>NC_000021.9:16715808-17965808 GCF_000001405.40 Homo sapiens | reverse complement strand
ATGGCAAGGTGACACTGAGTCATCTATGCATTCATTCTTTTTCCCCTTTACTAACTTTTATTGTGTTAGTAAAAAGGCCATTATTATATGTGCTGTGAGATACCATGGTGAATGAAATGTGGACCCTCTGCTCAAGAAACTCACAATCTAGCAGAAGAAAGTGACGTGAAATCATCTATAAGACAAGAATTAAAACAAATGCATTATAAGAGTATAAACACGTGCTTACAGAAGCCCACGGAAGTAGCAATTTATTGTAATGGAGCAGGGAGTGGCAGAGGTGGCATTTCAAAGTTGAATACTCCATCAATAAAAATTAAAACAATAATAATAAGAAGGAGGAAGAGGAAGAGGAGGAGGAGGAGGATGGAAGGAATGAAGGAAGCAAAGGAAAAGCACTAATGGTGAAATAGAAAAATATGACTGCACTATATATTGTGAAAAGATGAGATAGAGGTAAGAACAAACAGTTTCCAGCATATGGTGAATTTTGAATTTATAACTAATGAGCTTGAATATTTTTTCAATACACCATTGGAAGACTTTAGAGGCTTATAATGTAGGGAATAAGATTCTCCATTCTAAGTTTTAGGAAGAAACCTATTATAACTGGAGACCAGATGTGTACATTTGAGGAGGTAGAGAGGGTTAAGTGCAGTTATTGCTAAATTGGGATGATGACAATGAAAATTAAAAATAAATGGTTTAAGAGATTATCAAGTAGATGAACTTTCCAGAAGAAATTAAAATGTAAATTTAATTATATTATGAATAGTCTTTTCTGAAGTATGACAAGTCCAAATGAAGCAGAAATTTCCAAACTGTTATTTACTGATGGTTTCCAGATGTTCTTGGCTTCTATTTTATTTGTCTATATGCAACAAAGGAAAGTACTAAACAGGACATGGGGAAACCAGCAGTTGCTGCCCCAACACATCTGTGGCACTGTGACACATATTAAAAATGGCTATTGGCAGCTATCTGGTTAACTTGATCAAAATAGATCAAGCAAACCAGAAATAAATCAAGCAAATCAAAAGTAATCTAAGACATCCAGATGGACAGTTAACATTGATTATGTTAGATCACAAAGTAAAGTGAGAATTTGGCAATGTTTATGGACACTCAGGAAACCAGGAATCATTAAACCAGGAATTATTTGTCTGGGAAATAATCCTTAACCTGTTAGAAACAAAGATTCAAAACAAACCTTTCTAAAACAAATACTGAAATATACTGGAACCAATTCTTAAGTAAAAGGCAACACTACCCACAAATATATATACCCACTTACTCTGAAAAAGAAAAGTATTTTACAGCATAGCCACAGTAACATCCACTGAAGCCTCTGCCAAATTAAATTGGCTTCTCTATTATTTAAACTTAAATAAATGAATTCTCCTTCGTTTTGGCATTTTCATGTTCAGCACGTGCACGCATGTGTGCGTGTGTGTGTGTGACTGTGTGCTTGTTTCTATGTATATGAATTCATTCTATGAATATTCTTTCTCTACTTTTAATTTCCTTTTACTCTGCTTACATAAGTTTTATGGCTTTTTGTGGGTCATTCACATGTAAAATATGAAACACATGTATCGATCATTAAATAAGATGGATTTGATACATAAAAGACAATTATTTTATTTCATTTCGGCTTCAAAGGTAGCTTTTCTTTCTTGAAGAAATTTCAAAGCATGAATGTTATGTTAACTTGTATAATCTCTGATTTAACAAGTCTCTTGATTAAATAGTTTCACAGTCAAAGACAAATAATAGGGTATGATTATGTACTCTGAATACATTTTCCCATAACTGTGTATATTTGTGATTTTTTGGCAAGTTGTTTCTATTGATGGAAGAAAAAAAAGCCATTAACAGATTAAATATAAGGTGATTTCATTTTAGCCAAATCCTTTTGTTTTTCTTGTGCTTTTCTGTGATCATTAATGTAAAGGGTTATAAATGGCTAAAATGATTCCAAGAATATAAGAGAGACAGAGGAGAATCATGGCATGCCTTCAGCTAGATAATAGAGAGAAGCTTTAAAAAGATACAGAAACCAATGGCACAGAAAAAAAAAAAGGTTGTTTTCTTGTCAGAAAAATGATAATTGATATGGTTTGGCTACATCCCCATCCAAATCTCATCTTGAATTGTAGTTCCTATAATCCCTACATGTCATGGGAGGGACCCAGTGGGAGGTAATTTAATCATGGGCACAGTTACCCTCATGCTGTTCTCATGATAGTGAATAAGTCTCATGAGATCTGATGGTTTAATAAAGGGCAGTTCCCCTGCATATGCTATCTTGCCTGCCACCATGTAAGATGTGCCTTTGCCCCTCTTCACCTTCAGCCACGATTGTAAGGCCACCCTAGCCATGTGGAACTATGAGTCTATTAAACCTCTTTTTCTTTATAAATTACCTAGTCTCAGGTATTTCTTCAGAGCAGTACGAAAATGGACAATACAACTATGATGGTGCCTTCTTCTAGTATCATTTTTCCAATCTAACATTTTTCTACGTAATTACCGGCAAAACAGAAGGGTTTCAACTAACTCTATTTTGGGATATGTTCTACAAAGTGAACACCCATGGATGGCTAGAATGGAATCTCTGGTGTATCCAAATGGAATAAGAGAATGAAGAAAACTTTTTTCACTGTCAACCTTTTTGGGAAGAATTACTTGACTATCTTTCCATGAAGGAAGTTATTATTATTATTATTATTATTTTTTTTTTTTGAGACATAGTCTCGCTCTTTCACTCAGGCTGGAGTGCAGTGGTGCGATCTCAGCTCACTGCAAGCTCCGCCTCCCGGGTTCATGCCATTCTCCTGCCTCATCCTCCTGAGTAGCTGGGACTACAGGTGCCCGCCACCACGCCTGGCTAATTTTTTTGTGTTTTTAGTAGAGACAGGTTTTCACCGTGTTAGCCAGGATGGTCTCGATCTCCTGACCTCATGATCCACCCGCCTCAGCCTCCCAAAGTGCTGGGATTACAGGCATGAGCCACCGCGCCTGGCCTGGAAGTATTACTTCTTAATAATTCTCACTAGATGTATTAACCATTCACTATATTTTTGATAATGTAATTTATTTTCTCAAAGCCTTTTATATTGTAGGGAAAAGAATATCACTTTATCAGCTAGCTGGCTTCCCACCAGTTTTTCTAAAAGTATCTTTTTAATGGTCACATCTGGTAATAAAATAACTCCTTGTTCCCAGGTATGGATATTATGTGTAATTACTCACAGATGGTCACGGAGCCACCCTACCCCAGACAGCACAGACACATCCTCGGGGTCAGCTTGTCCATCTGTATCAGACTCCTGGAAGAGAACTCAAGAGAATCTGTTTCAGAATCACTGCCCAAATCTACCTTCAGCTCATGATAAAACTGCCTTTCAGACCAAAACTGTGTATACATTAAAACCTGACCTCTCATCTAGCACAATGAAATAGCATTGATTACACCCTCAATGCTTCATATTAGAGAATGGTCCTATTTATCAAGGTTAAAAATAAGCTATTTAGCTATTTATATGCTCCAAAATGCATCAACCAGAGCTTTTAGGATAAGTTTAGGTTACATCTTTAAGAGGATAAATGGTCTTGATTCCATATGTTTGAGAAAAGTATAAAGAAATGCAAGTATTCCTGCTTTCCCACACCCCTGAAAATAGGTCCCTAAACATTTAGCCCCTGACTTCTGGTGTAATCCAGCTGCATATTTGGAAGAACTTGAATTTTACTGGTGTAGTCTGATCTACCCAGGACAAGGAAAATTCTTAGAAACTTCTCTTCATGAAATTGAATTTGTCTTGCTTCCAATTCTTTCTAACATCTCAAGCCCTTTTGATGTGGCCACATTAAAGACTGAAGAAGAAACAATGAAAACCTTAGGGTAGCAAATACTAGACCCTTTCTTCTCCAAATGAGCCCATTCACTGTTGTCCATTCTTTTTGTGACCTCTCTTGTACTGAGCATTTATCATCCAAAGCTTGTTAATATTTGAGAGCCACTTTTTTACCGTATATTAGTCTTTAACAAAAATCATATTAGCAATTTAATCCCATCTCTAAGACATCTTTTAAAGGTTTTGTTAAAGGATTTGTTTGCAGCCTGCTCACTGGAGATGGCTCTTAAGGATTAACAATCACCATTCAGGAACTGTGATGAGTCAGTAAATCAGACTTTTTCTCTCTGCTCAGAAGCAAGTAAGCATCAGCTGGGGATAGGTAAGTTAAATGATATCCTTCCCCTAGCCACTGCTTCACTTACTGATCTTGTTTGAATATTTGCCCACAACATTTTCCCTGGATGCCTCTGAAAAGATTTTAAATAATGAAGCTTTTCTCTGAGCCATCTGGCAGCTTCTTGGAAAGCAGCAGTGCAAGATGTCCCTACTAACAGAGATTAATGAGATTCCCAGAGGAACCTTTCAAAACTGATCATTGACAACAAGATGCTCACTGCGGGCCAAACTTGCTTTTAGGTAGCACTAGCTGAACTGATATGCATATGGACAATTGACACTTCAATGGTCATGAGCTTAATTCTCAGGCATAAAGAAGAGGTAAGAGAACATGCTACAATAACACTGAAGTCTTACGCATAGGGAGAGAGGTAAAACAATGTTCCCCAAAGAAGGTGAACATCCAGATACAGTGTACTGTTCAGTCAGTAAGCATTTATAGAACACCTACTATGTAGCAGATACTATTAGGCACTCGGAATATAGGGGATGACAAAGGCACGTCTTTGTATGTCTTAGGAGAGAGACGAAGAAGCAAATATAATGTAGTTGAGTTTGAATGTTATTGAAATAAAGAAACTAAAACATAAAAAAAGATGAAGACCTGAACTAACTCCAGTGAGAAGTAAACACAGCAGAGAGTACAAACTTGAGAAATAAAAACAAGTATTATTTTTTGAAGACTAATTGAATGTGGGAGGCATGTAGAGAAAAGCTTTCAGGTTTGGGGGACTGAATAGGGAATTGAGGAGGAATGTTGATCAAGAGAGTCCTGGAGAAGAGAGAATGACCGGGGAGCCATCGATGTGTAGGAATGGGTTAAAATCATGGAAACAGATAATAGTCCATTATCCTGTAAGAAAAGGAAAAGATCAAGAACAGATTCTGAAAAACACCAAATTTGAGGAGATAACAGAATAAGAGAATCTGGTGAAGGAGACAGGAATGACAGTTGGTGAGCAAAGAGACCAAAACTTGGCTTCTGGAATGCCAAGAAAGGTTTCAAAACAAGGAGCACTCAATGGTATCAAATGTCTCTGGAAAGTTAAGATGAGAACTGAAAAAAATCTTCCTCGGATCTGAAAATTAGGGACATGTTATTGAATTTGGCCAGGGTGCTCAACAGAGCCTTGAAAGCAACACTGCATGCTAGGCATGTTGGTGTTTGAGGAGTCATTTAATCTATCATCTAACATACCCTTGACTGAAGGATTTAATAAATCATACTAGCTGAGAAACTAGAATATTTATTTAATAATTATTCTCAACTTTTACACAAGAAAATTCAGGCCAGCTATAAGAGATGGAGTTTCTGTCAACTTGCCGAAAATACTCTCAATCCAATAAGCTTGGATACCAAGTGTGTGCAGGGTTTTAGGAAGACCCTGTTTCTAGGCATTAACCCCTCATTTGCTGTATCATGGAGAAGCCTAGTGTATCCCTGAGGCATCTTGAGGGGCAAATACATACATTATACCCAGCTACGTCATCCAACACAAGACAGGCTTCTCTGTCAACTCTTCATCTCATAATCATCTGCTCCTCTATCACCCCCGCACTGTTCACCAATGCCCATATCAATACTGATACCACTGAAGTGTTAGATAATATTTCATAGCACAGCAACTAATATCTTCTAAAGGGCAGTAATTACATTTTAATTTCCTGAAAATTATAAATATAATTACACTGAGTGTATTTGTTAGAACATTGAATCACTTTTTAAATTTAACATTTTAAAGTAACATCCAAACTGTCCTAAGTATGGAAATGCAGGAAAATAATTTTCTCTTTTTCATGATAAGACCTACTTTCTCTAAATTACAAATATAAATGCCAACTGACTCAGTCTGTGAACTTTTGGAAAGTAAAAAAGAAAAATAAGATTAATTTCCTAGGAGCAAGCTAGATGTATTCCTTATAACAACAGTTGTTTTTCTTACTTGTAATAAATGTTATAGCCTATGAGCGCTCTCTGCCCGTTTCCTTTTTTATTTACTTCATATGTATTTGGAAAATGAGAATTTTCTCAAGTTAATATTGATGATCAGAATCCATGATTTTCATCAAAAGTCAGAGTATAGAATTTCCAGATCTTTTCTGGATCCCAAATGGCTTGTTAATTTAGAGTTTTAATTTTAAACTATGTCCTCACAATATCAAACTGTATACTCACAACAGACATTGAGAAATACTGAGGAAATTAAACACCAAAAACGTAGTGGACAGAGTAAACTTGATTGGAAAGCCTCAGAGACATTAGGGATGGATTCATTACCATGTTATTTTTACTTCATGACCTGGCCTTGATCACTTCTAAGAACACAGTCAGAAAGATTCAATAGGTTTAGAATACTTGACACCCAGGACTTAAGCTGGGGGCAGAAATATTTTGTAGCACATAGTTCATCTTGGTGGCCACTTTTTGTGAACTATGTACCTTCCTCCTGCTTTCTAAAAAATCTCCCTTTTTCCTTATTTCCTTTTAGCGGGGGTAATTATATCCTTAACATAGAAGGAACTTGTGTAGTTTTGTCTTTAGAGGCAAAAAAGAAAGAGCAAGCTGAAGAAACCTAAGGAGAGGAAAAATATCCATGGGACAGTGTAGTGTCAGCCAGAGAAGACAAGGAAATCAGGCTGAGTCCCCCAATCTTGCAACAAAACAGAAAGAATACACTGAACCACTCTGGACCAAGAAAGGGCCATCAAGTTTGCATTGAAATATCATGTGCATTTCCCCTCCATACAGAGAATGAACGGAATTCTATTATCAAAGGCTTACTGCAAAGTAAACCTGCCTTTGTTGTACTGCTCTCTCCTGATATTTCCAGAAATTTTAGACAAAACTACCATCTTAGACTCCTACTTTCTCACTAACTTCCACTGAGAAAATCTTAACTTTGGTTTTACAATCTTCCTTCTTTGTATCCCTCTGGCTTCCAACACTGGATGCCTGTTCCTACCAAGTGTCTGATGGAAACAGATGAGCATCTGAATTTCTTCTGATACTTCTAAAAGCTGGCTTTGCACACAGACATTGAACAAATGCTTTTGAAGATAATGTTATTAGAAGGGGGTTGGGAGAAGTAGTATGATACCAGGATATATTAACAGTAGTGTCACTTGCCTAGAGCTAGGAAGCAACCTTCCACTTCTTTTTTGGCAATGGTCTGACCCTAATAGAATACTGTGCCCAGTGTTTGTCTTTACAGTTTACATGAATGTGAAGAAATTTGAGAGGGGATCAGAAAGGCAAAAAACATAAAATATAATGAGAAAAATAGAAAACTATCATTTGGAGAAAAGAATAAAGGCACTGGGATCATTTCCTCTGGAGAAGAAAAGCCCATGAGGAAATTTAATGACAAATGTTACAGTGAGTAAAAAAATAAACCAAATTATTCTTCATCTTGACCAAGGAAACAATGACAGGAAATGTGCCTAAATTAGAAAGAGGGAGGGAGGGCTTGGTTAGGCGTAAGAAAAAAACTCTTGGCCTTGATGTTGAGACTGAAGTATTCTGCCAAACAAAAAGTTGTAAAATTTCTTGGAAACATCAATAACAATCTGTACTAATTGATGAAGACATTTCCCTCTGAAGAAAAAGTTTAAATCAATATTTTTTGAAGTTCCAGTTCTGAGGGGTATTTATAAAGAAAAAAAAAAGGCTGCCTAAAAGGTAAGGTCAAACAGACACTCCCAAGTCCAAAACATTTTCTTTATAAACAATATTTAGGACTCCGATACCTCTTGTTTTATTTGATTAGATTTGAGAACTAATTTGCACTAAGAGATTATTTTTATTATTTTTATATTTTATTTTATATTTTATTATTTTTATAATGTGGCTTTGTCTCTATTTCTTGAACCATCATCTCTTTTAATATCTTGGATCCTTTAGCACTTTGTGGTTATTGAACAGAAGATAAAGATTCTGGTTTATAGAATATGAGCAATACAAAAGGCTTATATAAAAAAGGTACAAAAAGACCTCCAATTTCCACTATTCATGGTCCCATCACAGTGGATTTTCTTCATAACATTACAACAACCTACCCTGTGTGGTTTCCTAGTGCCTGATGAACAAAACATGGAGGAGAATAGAGGTGAAGATACAAAGGAAGCAAGAGCAAGATCAGGAAACATGTAGGAAGAGTACGAAGTTTAAACTCTATCTTGATGGAGGGAGGGAGCAGTAAAAGATTTTAAGTAAAAAAGTTATATAATCCAATGTTCATTTTATTAAAATCATTCTGCAACCGAAGAATAGACTGACATGAAACTAGATATGAGACACGGTTGTGGCCTAAACATGTTGGTGGTGGTCAAGGTGGAGCATTTCAAGTAGACTCCAGAGATATCTAAGAGGCACAGTTGATAAAGCATAATGATTGATTAGATAGAGTTAGTGAATAAGAGAGAAAAATCCAGGACAATTATCAACTATCTGATTTAATTCATATGTTGAAACCTAATCCCCAATGTGATATATTTGGGATGAGGCCTTTGAGGGCCTCATCTAGTTAGGCCATCAACAGATTGGTTGCCCACCCACATTGGAGAGGACAACCTTCTTTACTCAGTTCACTGATTCAAATGCTGATCTCTTCCAGAAACACTCACAGACACACCCAGAAATAATGTTTAACTAGATATCTGAATATCTAGTGGCCCAGTCAAGCTTATACATAAAATTAACCTTCACAAGGATGTTAAAATTTGCAACTATGTTCTTGGGTTTATCTCTTCTTTCCTTTGAGGGGTTAAGGTCATAAGGACACAGCTCTCATGAATGGGATTAGTGCACTCATAGAAAAAACTCCAGATAATTTTCTGGCCCCTTCTGCCATATGAAAACACAGTGAGAAGATAGCTCTCTAAGGTACCAGAAGTGGGCCCTCACCAGACACTGAATATGCTGGTGCCTTGATCTTGGACCTCTCAGCCTCCAGAACTGTGATAAATAAATTTATGTTGTTTATAAGCCATCTAGTCTTTGATATTTTTGTTATGCCAGCCCAAACAGACTAAGAAACTGATATAAAGATTGGAAGGATGGTATCTTAGGTTGTTCTTGCATTGCAATAAAGAAATATCTGAGACTAGGTAATTTATAAGAAAAGAGGTTTAATTAGCTCACAGTTCTGGAGGCTGTGCAGGAAGCATAGTGCTAGCATCTGCTTCTGGGGGGGCCTCAGGAGGCTTTCAATTATGGCATAAGATAAAGGTGGAGCAGGCGTGTCATGGCAGGAGAAGCATGAGAGAGAGAGTGAGGGGAGGTGTCACACATTTTTAAAAGACCAGATCTCATGTGAATTCAGTGCAAGAGTTCACTTGTCATCAAGGAGATGACCCAAATCATTCATGAAGGACCCACCCCCGTGATTCCAACACCTCCCACTGGGCCCCATCTCCAACACTGGGGATTACATCTCAACATGAGATTTGGATGCAGACAAATATTCAAACTATATCAGATGGAGATGCTTCTCTTTTGACTCGATACTCCTAGCCTGCAATCCCCATAGAACATATGAAAAGACTCCCTGAAAGTTATATGAACTCCTCAAAATCTTTTTCTTCCGGGATCAAGGCATTCAGTCAAACAGATAGATGGGCTTTAATATATTTCTGAAGCTCTTTTCTGAGACATCCTTGTTTAATCCTCAAAACAGCCTCACAAATTATTGACAAATAAAGGATTGAAGACATCTAACCACAGAATTAGTAAGTGACCATGCAAGCCCTGGAACCCAAATCCCCTGACTTGCTTCACAGCACTTCAGGTTTTTATAAAAGTCTATTCCCAAAAAAGCAAGCAATTTTTTTCCCTAAAGCACATCATTTCTGAGGGCAAATCAAAATTCCCACTACTCTGACTCTTATGTGCAATATCAATCCACTCATTATATGATTTTCAGGTATATTTGGCAACTCTAAGATAAGCTGGTCTCATGGTTTCTGCATTAGTACTCCCCTGGTGACTGTCTAAAGAGTCATTATGCAGAATTTTAATTGAATATTCCTAGGACTCTCCTGAAAACTAAAGGTGTTTCCAAGAGGAAAAAAAAGTAATAAAACAGCGGAGCTTAAAGTCAGGTTGTAAGATTTCAAGAGAAAGGAGTAGAACAATTGTACAGTATTTACATCTATGACAATAATAGCACAACCCCTACTAAAGAAGTCAGGGTTTTTCTCAGGAAAACTTTTTCAGAAATGGACAATAGGAGATTAAGAATAGCCATTTAATCATTCACTTAATGCCACCTGCAATCATGAGATGAATCTCCAGGATAATATTTAATCCCATGACTTCAGGCAGGTAAGATTATTTCAGTGAAAAAAGAAATTATCATTTTTAAGGTGGCTGAATTTTTATTCAGTTGGTCAACATTGAAGGTAAAAATTTCTTAGAAAAGAACTGCTCTTTTGCTTAGAACACCTTAATGGACATGCTCTCACCAGACACTGAATCTGCCTGTGCCTTCATCTTGGACTTTCCAGCCTCCAGAACTGTGAGAAATAAATTCCTCTTGTCTATAAGCTATCCAGTTGATGGTAGTAAAAGTTTATGACAGTAGCCTAAACAGACCCAGATTATAAATATTTTTTAAAAATTATACATTACATAAAATTATAGATATTATATAAAATATATGATTTAATTTAAAATATAAATATATAAGAATTATATATTTATATTTTAAATATATATTTATAAATATATACAGAGAGAGAATTATGAATAATTGGAGGAATTGGCTTATGAATTATGGAGGCTGAGCTGTAACATGTGTCTTGCAATATGTATCTGCAAGCTGGAGATTCAGGAAAGCTGGTGGTGTACTTCCAGCCTGAGTCTGAAGCCTGAGAAACAACAGAACCTTTACTTCAAGTTCCAATCCAAGTCCAAAGGCCTGAGGACCAGCTGCACTGATGGTATAAACACAGTCCAATGCAGGAGAAGACTGATGTCCAAGCTCAGTCAGGCAGAGAGAACAAATTCTCCCTTCCTCTGTCTCTTTGTTCTAGTTAGGCCATCAACAGATTGGTTGCCCACCCACATTGGAGAGGACAACCTTCTTTACTCAGTTCACTGATTCAAATGCTGATCTCTTCCAGAAACACTCACAGACACACCCAGAAATAATGTTTAACTAGATATCTGAATATCTAGTGGCCCAGTCAAGCTTATACATAAAATTAACCTTCACAAGGATGTTAAAATTTGCAACTATGTTCTTGGGTTTATCTCTTCTTTCCTTTATTTCTGACACCTTTTACATCGTGTATTTTGAAGTTTTCTTGTATATACTTAAGACTTTTATGCCTTCCCAATAAATTAACCACTTATTGCAAAATATCACTCATTATCTCTTGTAATACTCCTTGTCTTAAAATCTACTTTTTCTGATATTATGGCCACAACACAAATTTTTTTCTTTTTGCTTAATGTTTATATGTTAAATCTGCTTTCATCCTTAATTTCAACTTCTTAGTCTTTACATTTATACATTTATTTATTTAAAAAAATTTTTTTTGAGACAGAGTCTCGCTCTGTCGCCCAGGCTGGAGTGCAGTGGCACAGTCTCAGCTCATGCAACCTCCACCTCCCGGGTTCAAGTGATTGTCCTGCCTCAGCCTCCTGAGTAGCTAGGATTACAGGCACGCACCACCACACCCAGCTAATGTTTGTATTTTTAGTAGAGACAAGGTTTCACCATGTTGGTCAGGCTGGTCTTGGACTCCTGACCTCATGATCCTTTCACCTCAGGCTCCCAAAGTGCTGGAATTACAGGCGTGAGCCACCACACCCAGACTAGTCTTTATATTTAAATAGTTTATAGTATGGTCTTACTTTGTTTAATCTCTATCTCTATATTATAATTTCAGATTTGAATCCATTACTTTAATGTAATTATTTATGTAGTCAGGTTTTAGCCTACCATTTGCAATTTGATTTTCTTGCTCATTGTATTTCTTACATTTTGTACTCATTTTCTCTCTTCTTTTGGTTTGAGTATTGAGTTTTTAAAGTATTTTATTTTCTCAATTGAATTTTTATTATTTTCTTATTTTTTTAGAGACAGAATCTCATTCTGTCACCCAGGCGGGAGTGCAGTGGCACAATCGTGGCTCACTGTAGTCTCTAACTCCTGGACTTGGGCAATACTCTTGCCTCAGCCTCCTGAATAGCTAGGACTACAGGCATGCAACATTATACCAGGCTTCAACTGAATTTCTAGCTATGCTAATTTGTATGTTCTAATTCTTGCTCTAGGGATTATAATATGCATCCTTAACTTATTACAGTCTGCTTTGAGTTAATATTATATACTTAGTGAATATTATTTACAATTCCATTATTTACTTGGTATTATCTGGGGCACTGTGGTCAAATATTTTACTTCAGTATGTAAATCTTATATTATTTTATTATTGCTTGATATGTTTTGGCTCTGTGTCCCCACCCAAATCTCATCTCAAATTGTAATCCCCATGTGTCAAGGGAGGGACCTGGTGGGAGGTGACTGGATCATGGGGGCAATTTTTTCCAAGCTGTTCTCATGATAGTGAGGGAGTTCTCACAAGATCTGATGGTTTAAAAGTGGCAGTTACTCCTACTGTCTTTCTCTCCTGCTGCCATGTAAGATGTCCCTTGCTTCCCTTTCGCCTTCCGCCATGATTGTAAGTTTTCTGAGGCCTCCCCAGCCATGCGGGACTGAGAGGCGATTAAACCTCTTTTCTTCATAAATTATCCAGTCTTGGGTAGTGTCTTTATAGCAGTGAGAGAATGGACAAATACCTTGCTTTAAATAATCCATTTTCTTAAATAGAAAATAAGAACATTTTAAAAACATAATTATTTATGTCCCCCACATGTTGACTATTTTCAAATGCACATAATCTCTTCTCCTCTAGGTTCAAGTTTATATCTGGTATCATTTCTCCTCAACCTGAAAAAATTCCTTTAGAATTTTTTTGTAGGGCAGTTCTATTGGCAATATATTAGCGTGGGTTTCATTTATCCTAAACTCTATTTTCTTCATTTTTAAGGATTTTTTTTCTTTGGTTAACGGTAAGTAATTTTTCGTTCAGCACTTAAAAGATGTTTTTCCATTATCTTCTGGCATTCATTATTGCAGAGGAAAAGACAGCCATCATCCTTATCATGGTAACCCTACATGTAAAGTGTCTTATTTTTCTGAATACTTTGAAAATTTTCTATAAACCTGTGGTTGTCAGCATTTTGATCATGAAGTACCTAAAAATAGTTTTCCTTGTAATTATCTTGCTGTGTTGGTCATCGTTCTTGGATTTGTAGGTTTATTTCTTTTTTTTTTTTTTTTTTTTTGAGACATAGTATTGCTCTGCACAATCATGGCTCACTGAAGCACTGACCTCCCAGGTGCAAATGATCCTCCCAACTCAGCCTTCTGAGTAGCTGGGACCACAGGTGTGCACCACCATGTGCCTGGCTAGAGATGGGGTCTCCCTATGTTGCCCAGGCTGGTCTCAAACTCCTAGGCTCAAGCAGTCCTCCTGCCTCAGCCTCCCAAAGTGCTGAGATTACATGCACAAGCCACTGTACCTGGCCTTTCTTAAAATTTTTAAAGACATATAATCATTATCTCTTTAAATATTATTCTCTCATTTTCTCTTTTCTATCCAATATTTCTATCATATGAATGTGAGACTACTTGTAACTTCCCACAGCTCATTGAGGCTCTGTTCAATTTGATCAATTTATTTCTCTCTGTGCTTTATGTTGAATAGTTTATTTTGATGTGTTATTTACTTGTAATTTCTTCTGCAATGTCCAAGCTAATGCAAATCTATCAATTTTTTAATTTTAAGTATATTTTACTTTTCAGTTCCAAATTAGATTTCAATTTTGTTCTATTTTATACATTCAAATATCTCTTGAAATTGACTCTTTACCCTATGAATTTTTTAATATAGCTATAAGTTAAAGTCTGCCTGCTAAATCTAACATGTGGATTGTGTGTGTGTCTGTTTGTGTGGATACAGTCTTTTGTTATTCAAAATCATAGCAGCATGCTGCCTTACAGTCTCACAGTCTTGCAATATTGAGATCTCATGGTCTCTTAGTCTTAAAGACTCTCAGTATTGAAGTTTGATGACGCTCTGTCCTTACGCCCTCCTAGAGAGAAAGCCTTGCCTTATATTCAAAGTGATTAAAGACACAGTTGAACAGAATCCAACCATACCTGCCACCTACCTATACCAATGCAGATTTTAATAGATCAAAGATATCAGCCCTGTGGCAACACAGGAAATTGGATCCTAGGCTGAAAGAAAATAGAAGTCTTATTAGACTTTTGGTGCTTAAATTCTAAGGCCCCACCAAAGTAATCATGCCACTAAACAACTTAACCATTGATTTGTACACACACACACACACACACACACACACACACGTATAGAGTAATATATACACACACATATTCTTATATAAGAATATATACACTTATTAATGTATATGTATATAGTTATACGTAAGTATGTTTTAGTTCATCAAAATTTGATTGGTTTCTCTCCAACCAATGAAATACTTTAAGACCTCAGACCACAGGAATTTGTGACTGTGAGGTTGCAAGACCATAAGAAGCAAGACAGTGAGACTTCAAAATTGTGATATTTCACGACTGTAAATCTGTTTCTCTTTTTCAGACTTTTTTCCAGTCTGCACTTACTTGGCAAAATTTACATGTGAAAAAATGACTGTCCAGAGAGGACTTACTTGGCAATTGGGGCTCTTCCAGTTTTATGTCTGGCATGCTATCCTTATACTTTGTCAAAAGCTGATTGGTTTCTCTCCAACCAATGATAGACTTGCTCCTCTGCCTACCCAGCCCGCAATCTCTGCAATTGCTCCAAAGTATGGAAGTATCCTCTAGTTCTACCTGACATTGGAACATAAAAATCTTTAGACTTCTATAGACTCCTTTATTGTACTTTATATCCACAGTTCTTAGATGGCTTTAAAGAAGTGTGTGTGTGTGTGTGTGTGTGTGTGTGTGTGTGTGTTGTGTATCTAGGATTTCTTGTTATGATGGGACCATAGGCTTTTTACTTCTTTCTACATTCTAACCAGAGACAGTAGCATCATCTCTGTAATATGTCTATTTTTTTTCTCTCTCTCTCATTTTATTCTCAAGCACTACTAGTTTGGTCTTAATCTCCATCTATTTTGTACAATTTCTTCCTTGAATTATTATATACCTTTTTTGAGTTCTTAAAAGCTCCTTTTATTTGTAATTTTTTTAATATAGAAAACGTTTCCCTTAACAAGTCTGCTTTTCCTTGGGTTTTTCTTCTTATAATGTATGTCATTTGTGCCCTTTTTAGAAATGTATCTCAAACTGGTCTATTTCTTCTCATAGCTTTGTTTTAATAAGTTCAATATTGTTGTTTAAAATTATTGTGGCAAAGACAGAATGAAGTGAAGCACTTGAGAATTTTGAATTTTGATTAGGGTATTGTCTTAATCATTCTTTTACAAAATCTATTCTTTTGTTTTGATTTTGGTTTTTGGTATTTTTTTCTATTTTATTTTTGGTCTGAAAAAGTATCTGCAGTTTCTCTGTTTAAGAAATTGCAGATGTTCCTCAATCCACAAGTTCTCTTGGTTGTTATCTGGAAATATTCCATCTTTACTTTCCTCCTCCCCCAAGCATTTTCCCTTAACTAGGAGCTAGATCTCAGATATAAGAAACAATTTGCTATCATATTTACCCCCTTTACTTTAGATCTTTATTATATTCTCTGGTTGCCCATCCATCTCTCTGGCTCACTTCACTTTAATCAAATAATAGTTGGCTAGCCCTTTCAAGACTATAACATTTACTTTTACAATTTCCTGCTAAAGATCAGAGGAGATAGGTCAGTACTGAGCATGGTCTCTCTCATTCCAGGCCACATTCCATATATTTGGCAGGTTTATGACAAATTCAGGATATGGGAACACAGCCATTTCCTCTTTCATTGAAAGTGAAGAGGAACTTCATCTCTTCCCCACTTTTTTACCCCCTCCCACATAGACACAGCTTTTGACTGAATTTATTTCTTTAACAATTTCTGAGTGAATGAAATGGAGACAAAATGTCTTTTTTTTCACAGTCTTTAACTAGAAGCTCTTTCTTCAAATACACATTTAACATGTAACTTAAAACTGAAAAGCCAAGAATGTGACATAATTAGCTTGCATTTCCAGTAGATACACTTTTATACTTCTCACTCAGACAATTTAATCTGGAAAATTTCTTGAGGCTGATGTATTATCCAACATTACTCTGCAGTTAGATTACAACTGAGAGCTGGGAATCCATTTCTTTCTAGAAATAGTTCACAAAAGGACATGAAGACTGGGTAGCTGTTGAGCAGCTTCATGTAGCTAGCAGGTCAATATTGTAACCACCACTAACACCACACTCAGGGGCCCATAAAACTGGTGTAAACAAAAGAGGTCAGCTGAAAGTAATCAAAGTGTTGCATAGTTAGGTATTCTAACTCCATATCCAAATTTTGCATTCCATAGTTACATGTATCCCATGACTGCCCTGATTTTGATTTTTGTTGCATCCTTGTCTGGGTTTGACAACAGAATAATGCTGGCCTGGTAGAATGAGTCTCGAAGAACTTCTACCTCTTCGATTTTTTTGGAGTAGTTTGATTAGAACTGGTATTAGCTCCTCTTTAAATGTTTATTAGAATTCAGCAGTAAAGCAATCAAGTTTGGGGCTTTTCTTTGATTGGAGATTTTTTATTACTGATTCAATTTTATTACTCATTATTGGTCCATTCAGACTTCCTATTTCTTCATGATTCAGTCTTGATAGATTGTATGTGTCCAGCAATTTATCCATTTCTTCTAGGGTTATTCAATTTGTTGGCATATAATTGTTTGTTATAGACTCCTATGATCCTTTATATTTCTGTAGTTGTAATGTCTTCTTTTTTACCTGCTATTTTATTTCCTCTTTTTTTCTTATTTAGTCTAGCTAAATGTCAATTTATCTTTTCAAAAAACAAACTCTTAATTTTGTTGATTTTTAGTGTCTATTTCATTTATTTCTGCTCTGATCTTTATTATTTCCACCCTTCTATTAATTGTGGGTTTAATTAGTTCTTGTTTTTTTTATTTCTTGAAGTGTAATGTTAGCTTGTTTATTTAAGATCTTTCTTCTTTTAACATAAACTTTTTTTTTCTTTTTTCTTCTTTTTATCTTTGTAGATTTAGGGGAACAAGTGCATTTTTGTTACATGGATTATTATGTAGAGGTAAAGTCTGGGTTTTTCGAGTACCATTACCTAAAAATGTAAACTGTACAGAATAGGTAATTTCTCAGTTCTCATCCCTCTCCCATACTTCAACCTTTTGTAGTTTCCAATGTTTGTTATTCCACTCTGTATGTCTGTGTCTACCCTTATTTAGCTACTACTTATAAGTGAGAAGATGCATATTTGACTTTCTGTTTCTCAGTTGTTGCACGTAAATAATGGCTTCCAGTTTCATCCATGTTGCTGTAAAAGACACATTTTCATTGTTTGTTATGGCTAAGTAGTATTCCATAGTATATATATGCCACATTTTCTTTATCCAATCATCTGCTGATGCACACTTAGATTGATTCCAGGACTTTGCTATTATAAATAGTGCTGCAAAAATATATGAGTGGAGGCACGGTTTTTATGTAATGATTTTTTTTCCTTTGGACAGATATCTAGGAGTGGGATTACTGGGTCAAATGGTAGTTCTATTTTTAACTTTTTGAGCAATCCATATCCTGTTTTCCAAAGAGCTGGTACATTCCCAGAGTGTATAAACTTTCTCTTTTTCCCAAATCCTTGCCAACATCTGTGTTTTTATATTTTTTATTTTTCATGTGCTTTTTGGCCGTCTGTATGTCTTCTTTTCAAAAATGTCTGTCTCCTTTGACTACTTTTTAATGAAGTTATGTGTGTGTGTGTGTGTGTGTGTCTGTGTGTGTGTTTCTTATTAGGTTGAATTTCTTGTAGATTCTGGATATTAGCACTTTGTCAGATGCACAGTTTGCAAATATTTTCTCCCTTCTGTAGGTTGTCTGTTTACTCTGTTGATTATTTCTTTTGCTGTTTGGGAGCTTTGTATTAGGTGTTTACTGCTATAAACTTCCTTATTAGAGCTGCTTTTACTGTATTCCATGGGTTTTGGTATGCTGTGTTTCCATTTCATTTGTCTCAGGAATTTTTAAAATTTTCTTTTTAATATCTTCATTGACCTGTTGGTTGTTAAGGAGCATGTTCTTTAATTATAAGGTATTTGTAAAGTTTCTGAAGTTCCTCCTATTACTGATATCTAGTTTTAAACCATTATGATCAGAACAAGTACTAGACATGATTTAAAACATTTTAAATTTGTTAAGACTTATTTTGTGGTCTAATAGATGATGTATCCTGGAATGTTGCTAACTCTCTTACTAGTATTAATAATTTATCTGTAATTACAACATAGCAAAAATCTGTAATATATATACAAAAATAAAAAGCAAGAAATCAACATACTACTAGAGAAAATAATTTCACCACAAAGGAAGATAGGAAGATAGGAAGAAAGGATCTATAAAACCAATAGAAATAAAACAAATGAAAATAAATGGATTAAATTCTCCAATTAAAAGACATTGAAAGGCTGAATGGATAAAATAATCAGACCCAACTATATACTGCGTATAAGAGACTCACTTCACTGGTAAGGACACACATAGACTGAAAGTAAAGGGATAGAAAAATATTTCATACAAATGGAAATCAAGAAAGCAGGGGTAGCTTTACTTGTACCAGGTAAAATAGACTTTAAACACCATTAAAAGAAACAAAGAAGATCATTACATAATGATAAAGCAGTCAATCCAGTAAAAGAATATAACCATCATAAATACACATTCACTCAATATCAAAGAACCTACATATACAAAGCAAATATTAATAAATCTAAAGGAATAAATTAACTGAAATATAATATAGCAGGGGACTTCAATACCTCTTTTCAGCTTGAAAACTCCTTTTAACATTTCTTGTAAGTCAGATCTGGCAATGAACCCTCTCAGCTTTTCTTTGTCTGGGAAAATCTCTGTCTCGCTTTGTCGCCCAGGCTGGAGTGCAGTGGCGCCATCTCGGCTCACTGCAGGCTCCGCCCCCGGGGGTTCACGCCATTCTCCTGCCTCAGCCTCCCGAGTAGCTGGGACCACAGGCACCCGCCACCACACCTGGCTAATTTTTTATGTATTTTTAGTAGAGACGGGGTTTCACCATGTTAGCCAGGATGGTCTCAATCTCCTGCCCTCGTGATCCGCCCGCCTTGGCCTCCCAAAGTGCTGGGATTACAAGCGTGAGCCACCGCGCCCAACCTAGAATCTCTTTTTCTATTACCTTTTCTAATTTGTTATTACTGATGTATAGGAATGCTAATAGGTTTTTTTTTTAAGATGAACTTGAATTCAACAACCTTGCTAACTCTCTGTCTTCTTCATTTCTAAAGAACAGCTCTGCTGGATAAAGTACTCTTTGTTGACTTTTTTTTCATTCAGCACTTTGAATATATCATTCTACTCTCTCCAGGCTTGTAGAGTTTGCTAAGAAATCCACTGACAGTTGTATCAGCCTTCCTTTGTGTGTGATATGTTTCTCATCTCTTGCTGCTTTTAGAATTTGTTATTAGTCTTTAATTTTTGATAGTTTGATTATTAGATGTCTTAGTATACTCCTCTTTGAATTAATTTTGACAAGGACTTCCATGCTTTCTGCACCTGGGTGTTGGTATCTTTCCTAGATTAGGAAAATTTTAGCCATCATTTTATTAAATATGCTTTCTGGCCCTTTCTCTCTTTGTTCTCCTTCTGGAATTCCTGTGATTGAAAGGTTTAGTTTCTTGATTGAATTCCATAATTCCCATAGACTTTTGTCATTCTTTTTCATTCTTTAACTCCTCTTACTGAAAAATTTCAATGTTCTATCTTCCAGCTCATTGACCCTTTTTTCCACCTGATTAATTCTGCTGTTTAAACTTTCTATTGAATATTTCTGTTTAATCATTGTATTCTTCATCTCTAAGATTTCTATGTGGTTCTTTTTTACTGTTTCTATTTTCTTGTCAATATTCTCACTTTTTGGGTATTATTTTCCAAATTTTAGAAATTTTAGAAATCTATCTGTGTATTTTTGTAATTCAATAAACTTGTTTATGAGTATTATTCTAAATTTTTTTTAGTCATTTTATAGATCCCCATTTCTTTGGGTTCCATTATTGGAGCTTTAGTAATTTTTTTTTTTTTTTTAACAGAGTCTCGCTCCATTGCCCAGGCTGGAGTGCAGTGGAGCGATCTCGGCTCACTGCAAGCTCCGCCTCCCAGGTTCACGCCATTCTCCTACCTCAGCCTCCCGAGTAGCTGGGACTATAGGCACCTGCCACCATGCCCGGCTAATTTTTTTTGTATTTTTAGTAGAGACGGGGTTTCACCCTGTTAGCCAGGATGGTCTCGATCTCCGGACCCTGTGATCCACCCGCCTTGGCCCTCCAAAGTGCTGGGATTCCAGGCGTAAGCCACCGCGCCTGGCCTAGTTTCTTTCTGAAGCGTCATGATTTCCTAATTCTTTGTAATATTTGTTCCCTTATGTTGTTGTCTGTGCATCTGAAAAGACAGCCCCTTCTCCTGGTCCTTACAAGTTCTTTGGAAGGGATAATGTTTTACTGTTTAGTCTAGCTGTGATTCTGGAAGTGCCAGCTGATGACCTCAGGGAAGCAGAGCTTGTTATGCGATCTCTAGCTGGCTGGGCCACTGCCATTGCTTTGATATCAAGTGGAGCTACTGGGTATTGTGATGGCTTCTGGTCAGGCTGGCCACAAGATATACCCCCTGCTTGGGCATTTCCACTATTTGGAATCTGCAGTTGGGCATGGCTGCAGGTTGGGCCCTAAAGTTAGATGGAGACACTTATCTGGGCAGGTGAGACCTGAGGCTATGCTCCTTAGAAATGTGTAATTGGGGATTGTCCCGCTGTCTGGGTGGAGCTGTAGGGTGAGCTTTTGGCTTAGATAAGTGGCTGTTTGACATTTCAGATCAAGCAGGACTAGCTGTTACATTTCTCCAAAAAATACAGAGGTGAGAATCTTTCTACCTGGGCAGGATTGTTGGGTCGATTTTTTAACTGCTCAGAGCCACTGCTTGCCTTTCTGGGTTAGGCTGGTGTAGAGCCACTTAACTTTTCTGAGATCTGCAGAGGCGAGAATCTCCCTGTCTATGCAGGGTTATAGGGCAGGCTTTTTGGCTATGCAGAGTTGCTGTCTACCTTCCTGGATAAAGCCAATGTAGCCCTTTGCTTTGCTGAGATCCATGGAAGTGGGAGTCTCCCTAATTGGGCAGGGTAGTTGGGGTGGGTTCTTAAGCTAGGAAGAATAACAGTCTAGTGGCTCACGCTAGATTATGATTTCCATCATCCTTCTAAAGTCAAGCAGCTCAGCTTTGCCAGTGTACTATAAGTTTAGCTGATATCTCTGAGTGCTTCAGTTGGCAGGAACACCGAGCTACCACCAAGATTTGTGCACTGGTCACATTTCTTTGTTTCTATTTAATCCAAGGACAGGTAAGCCATGCTATTTATCTTAGTGTTCCCCATGGAGTGAGATCAGACTTGGCTTCCTAGAAGTACCTTGGAATGCTAAGGAAGCTGAGTGACTTGCCCCAGTCCTCTTTCCCCATTGTAGAAACTGAGTCCAGGAAAATCCTCTCTGTCTGACACTATGCTGACTTGGGGGACAGAGAGCATGGTCAGAGTGAGACTAGTCCTCTTACCTTTCTAATTCAGATATTGTTCATTTCTACATAGCACGCTGGTGTCTCAGACTTGTTTCCAGGTGTTCCGGTTTTTGAAAGAATGTTCTAGTCCACAAATAGTTGGTAGTTGAACTTTCTGTAAGGGGAATTGGGGCCCAAGACTTCTTACTTCACCATCCTGGTCTGAAATCTACTCCTTTTTGATAACACACAAAAATATTTTCTTTCAAGCTATCACTTGTTGTATCACTCAATATTCATCAAGAGAAAAATAACCTCCAGAAGATATATATTAAAAGAGTTATTGCAACTAATTGGCCTATGCAACTGTGGGAACTTTTTAGGCAAGTCCAAAATCTGTAGGGCAGGCTTTGAGGAGGAGCAGGCTGGGGCTCTTGACATAAACTAAAGCTGCTATCCATAGAGCAGAATTTCTTCCCCCTAGGAAAACCTAAATTATTCTTTTATGCCCTTTCAACAGATTAAATCAGGCCCACTTCACTTATATTACCTAGAATAATCTTCATTACTAAAGTCAACTTACTATGGACTTTAATCAAATCTTCTATATTAGTCTGTTCTCACACTGCCAAAAAGAACTAAATGAAACTGGGTAATTTATAAAGAAAAGAGGTTTAATAGACTCACAGTTCTGCAAGCTGTACCAGGGGCATGGCTGGGGAGGCCTCAGGAAACTTACAATCGTGGCAAAAAGTGAAGAGGAAGCAAGCACATCTTCACATGGGGATGAGAGAGAGTGAAGGTAGAAGTGCTATGCACTTTTAAATAACCAGATCTCATGAGAACTCACTCACTATAAGAAGAACAGCAAGAGGGAATTCCACCCCCATGATCCAATCACCTTCTACCGGGTCCCTCCTCTAACACTGGGAATTAAAATTCAACATGAGATTTGGGTGGGGACATGGAGCCAAACCACATCATCTTCCAAATATCTTCACAGTAACACCTATTTGGGTTTTATTGACTAATACGAAACCATTGCTTACCCACATGGACATATAAAACTGACTACCACATTAACCTTTAAATTTTTGTGGTATCTTTAAGTTTTAAATTCTGATATAATCAAATGTATTAATTTTTCCCATTACTTTTTTTCTTTTGTACTATATATTATTAGTCCACTTTCACACTCCTGATAAAGACATACCTGAGACTGGGCAATTTACAAAAGAAAGAAGTTTAATGGACTCACAGTTCCATGTGGCCAGGGAGGCCTCACAATCCTGGTGGAAGGTGAAAGGCACATCTCACATGGCAGCAAACAAGAGAGCTTGTGCAGGGAAACTCCCCTTTATACAACCATCAGATCTCATAAAACTTATTCACTATCATGAGTTTAGCCCAGAAAAGACCCACCCCCATGATTCAATTACCTCCCACTGGGTCCCTCCCACAACATGTGGGAATTGTGGGAGTTACAATTCAAGATGAGATTTGAGTGGGGACACAGCCAAACCATATTATACTATGTTTAAACATCACTTCTTTTGCCCATGTTTCCAAACAAATTATCTTATATTTTATGGTCATGAGGGTTTCTTTGCTTGTTTTTTACACTTTTTTACTATTACATACTTTTTCTATCTGCATTGTTTAATGGCTAGTGTTGTTATGATCTGAATGTTTGTATTCCCCCCAAAATGTATATGTTGAAGTCTTAATCCCCAAGGTGATGGTTTTAGGAAATGGGGCTGTTGGAAGATAAGGTCATAAGAGTGAAGGCGTCATGAATGGGTTTAGTGCCATTACAAAAGTGGCCCCAGAGAGTGGCATCACCCTTCCACCAATGTAAAGGTGCAGCTAGAAGTCAGCAGTCTATGACCCAGAAGAGGGCCCTCACCATACAACAAATCTGCCAGCACCCTGATCTTTCATTTCACTTCCCAGCCTCTAGAACTGTGAGAAATAAATTTCTGTTGTTTATAAGCTACCCAGTTTATGGTATTTTGTTATAGTAGCCTGAGCGAACTAAGACAGGTATGTAGTAGAAAAATAATTTTTCCCAAAAATAGATAGCCAAATATCACAAAATAATTTTTTGAAAAATTAATATTTTATCCATTCATTTGATGTCATGTTTCTTATAAGTGGAGATTTGATAAGAACATTATCCCTCTGTTTTTTATGTTTCAATAAAATACTAGTCAATGTTCCCTTTGTGCTATAAATCAAGGCCAATTCATTGGCCAGAAAGCCAGGGTGGTTGTACTTGAACATTCAGAAAAAAAAAAAAAAAAAGCCCAGCTCCTGAATTTATGCATGCATGTGTATTTTAAGCACTAAGAAACAAGCTTTGGGGGTTATACAGAGTGGACTGCAATAAATATATTATTGCTGTGTGACTCTCTTCTAGCCTTGGAAAGTGGCCCAGGGATGAAAAAAAAAAAAAAAAAAAAAAAGAGGCAAGTTAAGTTTTGGGATTTTCTTCCCCAAAATTTAGAATTCAGTTTGAGAATATATCAATCTGCCTTGTCTTTTGAACTAAAGGAACATAAGAGTTTGAAAACCTTGGCATGGCCATATTTTACCAAGTAGATGAGTATTAGAAAAGTAAGACTGACAAGAATGAAACAGGGCACATAAAGATTTAGAGATAAGAGATGGCAAGCAATTCATGTTGGCTTTCTGTTTCTTTATACCAGACTCCTACTGAGGCATAGTCTCACTCTGGACCTTGAAAATTCTCTTAAATTCTTATTAATAGTTTACTTTAAAATTAAGTATCATGAATATATTTCTATTACCATAGATGTTCACTTATCCAAGTGGAAATCAGATGGTTTATCGAAATGGTATGTAAGAGAGAAGTTTACAGATACGACCATTCAGTGAGTTTCAAGAATCTGACAGTGTGCTCATAGAGGGGATGAAGAGCGTCTATTAATACAATGAGTTTCTTAATCAGAGATTGTTTAGAAGAGCTTCTACCCTGCTCACAACAGATAGATACACCCTGATTTCTCTTGGTAACAACACCATGCTACGCATTCTTTTAAATTTTTGTGCATATAAGAAACGTTTTAAGTGCATAAAATATAAATGTATAGCTTTATAAACTAACATACTTGTAACTCCCCTCCAGGTCAAGAAAAGCTATTAGCAGAATCCCAGGGGCCTCCATCATGTTTCCTCCCAGTTACTATTTATAAGCCTTTCTTCCATAAAGTCTACCACTATATAATCTCCTCTAGCTTTATAAGATTGCTTCATCTCAGACTTCATGGTAAATTGAACTGTTCTTTTTGTCTTTTTTTCTAATATTATGTTGGTGATATTAGTTCACTATAATTTATAGCACTAGACTATGAATTTTCTTCACTGTGTAGTATTTCTTTGTATGAATATAGCTCAATTCATTTGTTTCTTCATTGGTGATGAAAATGGGATTGTTTCCAGATTTTTGCCTGTTATGAATAATAGACAATATGTTGAGATAAATATTTCTGTAATATCTTTTGGTGAATATAGATATGAGCTGCAGTTGGGTTTTTATCTAGAAGTGAAATCCCTGAAACATTGAGTTTGCTCAGCTGTGTTAAATAATGCCAGACCGTGGAACCACATATAGAACTTTCTGGGCCAATGAAATATGAAAACACAGGGCTCCTTGTTTTAAAATTATTAAAATTTCAAGACAGCAACAGCAAACACTAAAAGAAGTGTGGGCCCTTCTAAGTTCACAAACCTCTATGACAGCACAGGTTACACACCCATGAATCTAGTCCTGCCAAACTGTTTGCCAAAGTGGTTGCATCAATGTACACCCTCCACTTTTTCACTTGGATTCATGAAATTATAAGACACGTAATAAAATTGAACGTTTTATTGCCTTAAGAGTGGGTTCCGGAATTCTACTTCAGAAGAAAACTGCATGAGAAACTACCTTGTTTGATAAAGCTCATAGGGTAAAGAAAGGGAAAGATTCTGAAGGAAGATCCAAAGCAACCCAAATTAATACTGGATTTTATTCACGGACAATGTGAGGAGTGTAAATACTTTGGAATGGAGTAAAAGAGGTAAGAGAGAAGAGGCAGAGAAGGAAAGGAATTGAGAGGATGGTAGATGTTTGGTTAGTGAGAAATGCCCATTCTCAGACTTTTATGAATAAGGATTTGTAATGTTTAATTTTTTATTTATCAACATTTATATTTATTGTTTAATTATTATTTAATTGTGAATTACTTTATTGTTTTTAATGTTCACTGACAGATGAAATGGATAAAGAAAATGTGTTGTGTACATATAATGCAATACTGTTTAGCTTTAAAAAGAAGGAAATTCAGCAATATGTGACAACATGGATGAAACTTAAGGGCATTATACTGAATGAAATAAACCAACCACAGAAAGACAAATACTGCATGATTCTTCTTATATTCAGTGTCTAAAATAGTCAAATCCATATCATCAGAGAGTGGAATGGCAGTTACTGAGGTGGGGGGAGGAGAAATGAGGAGTTACTAATCAGCAGGCATAAAGCTTCAGTGAAGCAAGACAAATAAGCTCTAAAGATCTGCTGTACAACATTGTACCTATAGTCAAAATAATGTATTATACACTTAGAAATTTGTTAAGAGGGTGGATCTCATGTTAAGTGTTTTTACCACCAAAAAATAAGATAAAATTTTAAATCTTCAATTTTAATGTGTTTGCATTTTCAAATTATAAACATTTCTCCCCATTTCCCACCAATAGATTTTCAGAATAGTGTAGGGATAATTTATTTGTAGATATTGATAAGGAGCAATATTTAAATAATACCTATGTGGAAACAAGATTAGACAGGATAGAAACGAAAAAAAATCCAGCAGAGGCAGTAAATTGAAATCAGAAGTGCCCACATGTTTGTATGCCCCTGGGAATTTGCAGAAGAGCTTGGACCTTTAGAAAGCAAAGAATGTGGGTTTCGGCCGGGCGCCGTGGCTCACACCTGTAATCCCAGCACTTTGGGAGGCACAGGCAGGTAGATCACGAGGTCAGGAGATCGAGACCATCCTGGCTAACACCGTGAAACCCCGTCTCTACTAAAAATACAAAACATTAGCCAGGCGCGGTGGCGGGCGCCTGTAGTCCCAGCTACTCAGGAGGCTGAGGCAGGAGAATGGCGCGAACCCGGGAGGCGGAGCTTGCAGTGAGCCGAGATCGAGCCACTGCACTCCAGCCTGGGCGATGGAGCGAGACTCCCTTTCCTTAAAAAAAAAAAAAAAAAAAAAAAAAAAAAAAGAATGTGGGTTTCCACTAATTTTATTTAAAATCGGAGTTCATAAGCACTATATACAGATATATATATATCTATATATATGCAGTAGCTGTTTTTATTCAACTGTATCTACTGCATTTCTTGTCCTCTCAATAAGTGTAACTTGAAATAGGAAAACAGAACCTTGCCTTTGTGTCCAAATAGGTCAGCAATCATCATTAACATTTAAGCGTTCTAGTACAGCAACAGAAATTGGGACAGTCTGTAGAAATGGCAGCGTTTTTGCACAAACATGGCAAAACCCAGTGGGGACTGTGGTGCCTAGTGGGATAAGGTGGTCGTAACAATAAATATCAGCCCCAGCAGTGGGGAACTACGTATTAATAAACCAAATGTAATGAAAATTTACTTTTCAAATTCGCAAATATTACAAATTTAATGAAAAGTATGTGGGGTGAGGGGAACTTGCCCAATACCAAATGAGAACAGAAGCCATTGTAACACAAGTTATACAAAGTTTAGGAACTTGCCCAGTAGACTTTTGATCTCTATAAACACATCAAAGACAGGTACCTTGTTTTCTTTATCTTTGTATCCTTGGCCCTTAACATAGCACCTGGCACATATTCAGCATGAAATAATGATTAAGTAACTGACAGATGAATTAAATGAGATGACAAAATTTTATTAAAAACTATAGATAACTTTTTCACCAATAAAAGTTATTTGAAAAAGCCTATCAAAGTGAAAAAAATGAGAAGGTAGAAAAATTATCCAAAAATTAATATCATAGTTTATAAAGAGCCAAGTGTAAAAAAGAAATCTAGGCTCCAGTGGTTAAAGAGATGAATTTCAAGCTAGTGTGAAGATCATCAGAACCACAGGAATATAAAATGTATCTGTGAAAAGACACTGTATTTTTATGAAGAAACAATGAGAACAGATTAAAGAGAACTATAAGTATGACCTGTGCAAATAACCTAATCTGTAAGAATCACAAACCTGGATCACCCTCAACGTGAGCTTTCTCTGCCTGTTCACTGTGAGCTTGATCTGCCTGTTCCCAGGACACTGAACACTACTGAGAGAAGACAGAGGATTATTCAGAATTGGAGCATTATGAATTCATACAGTCTAACTTCAAACGGGCCCTCTGTGTTTGGCAATCCTGTAATCACAACCAGGTATTCTCCTCTCTGTGGCAATTTCAAAACTTCTCTTTTCTCTGCTCTCACCTGCCCCTCTCCTTCTGTCCCACTTAGCAGATAACTTCACTGACTTTAGTGGAAAACTGATGCTCTGGGATCATCAAGATCTTGAACTTTACCAGTGTCTGATTTCATCTCAGTGCATATCCATTTCTACATTTATCCTCTTCCTCCTAATTTTTTTTTTTTTTTTTTTGAGATGGAGTCTCACCCTGTCACCCAGGCTGGAGTGCAATGGCACAATCTCAGGATCTCGGCTCACTGCAACCTCTGCCTCCAGGGTTCAAGTGATTCTCCTGCCTCAGCCTCCTGAGTAGCTGGGATTACAGAAGCCCACCACCACGCCCAGCTAATTTTTGTATTTTTAGTAGAGAAAGAGATTCACCATGTTGGCCAGGCTGGTCTCAAACTCCTGACCTCATGATCTGCCCGCCTCAGCCTCCCACGTTGCCGAGATTAAAGGCGTGAGCCACCACGCCCGGCCCTTCCTTCTAAAATTTTAATAGATATTTACTCTCCTTTCTCCAAAGATTACCCCTCCGTGTATGTTCTCAGTCACATCCCTTCCTAATTTCTGTGGACCTTAGAACTCATATTTTACCACTTATGTCCACGGCATCTTTCCTGCACTGCTGGATTCCTATATGTTTTTATTATTTTAAGTATGCAAATGTATAGCCAAACTTTAAAACAAAACATAATGAAACAACAGCTTTCCATTGGATCTGTTTCACATTCTAAGTACTATGAAATTTCTCTAAACTACCACATTTTCCAAATGGACTCTTTCTGATGATTCTTTTTTTTTTTTTTAACATCATCTTATACTATCTTTAATTTCATAAAAAGGATTTAAGGGTCTCTCTCCCACCTATTAAAAATCTACCTTCCACACTTGTTTCCACCCTTGCTTCCTCATTTTGATGATTTATTTTCTCAAACCAAAATCATTAAGGTTATGTCACAGTTTCTTCTAAATCTTTGTACCTCGTAACCCATCAGTCACCAAGGTCTTTCAAGCCTTCCTTCCCAATGACTTTTAGATTTTGCTCCTGTCCTTCATTGCCTGAATCCTTAGCCCTTTATGCCTGGGATACTGAAATTGCCTGCCAACCAGTGTTATAAGGTAGAAAATGCTACATTAATAAGTTCCACAAAAATCTTCCTGGCTAACAATAAGAAAGTTCTATTTCTACGATATGATAATGAGTTGTCAGAAGACTCTGCTTCATGTTTCTTCACCCTGCAATTCAAGCTGATAAAGCAGCCCCTGTCTAAAAAATTGCCAGGCTCACAGAAAGGGGAAAAGAAAGCATGGCAAACTGCAATTCAGAGCTTAACACCTTGCTTAGATGTGGCACTCATCACTTTTTATTGCTTTCAAATAGTGTATGCACTCCTGTCTTCGTGCTCTTCTCTCTATCCCTTACATCACCTCAATCAGCACCCATCACTTCTTCAAAACCTACACACTCTTCAACATCCTCAGAAGATACAATCTTTCTCTGCATATATTCCAAATCTCTCTCCAATCCTTTCTTTCCTAATTATTCTCCATGCTACACTCTTTAGAGATTTAATATATCAGGATACACTGCTGGTATAGATATTTCTACTTTGTGCATCAATTATGTCATCTATATATCTAATTTATCCAACTATATTGAATGTATTTTGTTAAAAAAGATAATTCTTGACATTTGTCACTTAAATTATTCATTTTTATTTCAAAACAATCCCAAATGTCTCTGCCATGAAACAATGTACAATTTGTCTAAACGCACACCAGAAGAGAGTCATCCCCTAATCAGAGTGTGCTTGTGAGCTGTGGAAAAGAAATACGGAGTAATGGAAGGTATATGTGGTTAAGACTGTGGGTTCTCAAGCTAGAATACCTGGATTCAAATTCATGGCTCTACCACTTACCAACTGAGTGGCCACTAGCAGTTACTTAACCATTTTTTCCTACATTACCTATTATTTATAAAATGACAATGATTATGATAATCTGTGTATATCATATAGCTATTTTAATGAATAAATAAGTATATAAATGAAAAGTCCTTATAACAGTACCTGCCATATATGAAACCCTCAAGAAATACTAGGTGGTGGTGTGGGTGTTGCCAGGTCCAAAATCTAACAATTTGGACAGTCCAGTCTCTCAATAGAGCTTTATTGTTTTCAACTCTCCTGGCTGCCAGGAATAAAGTATATGAGGAAATTAATATTCTCTCATGATATTTGCAAATACTAGAATTTAAAAAGGTGCCAGGAAATATTCCTAAAATATCCCTAGTACTTATTATATTTTTGTTCCCCTTAGCACTGCGGGCTGCCCAGGAATCCTTCAAGAAGTTCAATAAATAGGTGTCTATTGGCCTAACTTCTCAGTCCCAAAATAGAAATAACACCTGCAGTATTCATATCACAACATTATTTTGAACATACAAATTTTAATTTGTTTCAGAAAACAAAATCAAACAAAACATATGCACATAAATTTGTCTATTTATAATAAAAAATAAGATATTTAGGATGATGGGAGGAAGCAAATTTTTAAATATTATAGACATTTTGCCATTTAACATTATAAAAGGAAGAGGTGGGATGAAAAACGTTATAATAAAAACTTAAAGGGACCAAAAAATATGCAACTATTGTTTTGCAGTTGGAAAAGCAAAAATAATACACTTTAAGACACAGAGAGAAAACAAAATCAAATTATAACAATGGCTTGAATAACAATGGAGGAAAGAAGGAAGAAAGAACCCTGACTGAGGATAAGCCCAAGCTTAAAACATTTATGAAAACACTCTATACTAATAGGGAGAGAGAGAGAGAGAGTGAAAGACAGACAAAATGTGAACTGAGTATTAAAAAGCTCTCCATTGTCATTTACCAAATTGTGTTAAGTGGTGAAATACCCCAAATTCTAGAGCTTTCGGATGTTATTTTTTCTATTCTCAGCACTTTGTGATATATTTTCTTTCATGTGTTCTACTTTATTTTACTGTTTTTTGAGAATGTGTTTTTTTTTTTTATTTTTATAGATTCAGGGGGTACATGTGCAGGTTTGCTACATGGATATATTGCATAGTGGTGGGGTTTGGGCTTCTGATGTACCCATTACCTAATCAGTGAACATTGTATCCAATAGGTAATTTTTCGACCCTCACTCTCTCTCTCAACTTTTGGAGTCTCCAGTGACTACTATTTCTTTTTTTTTTTTTCTTTTTTGAGACAAAGTTTCACTCTTGTTACTTAGACTGGAGTGCAGTGACTCGATCTCGGCTCACTGCAACCTCTGCCTCCCCAGTTCAAGTGATTCTCGTCTCAGCCTCCCGAGTAGCTGGGACTACAGGTGCATGCCACCATGCCCAGCTAATTTTTGTATTTTTAGTAGAGATGGGATTTCACCATGTTGGCCAGGATGGTCTCAATCTCTTGACCTCATGATGCACCCACCTTGGCCTCCCAAAGTGCTGGGGTTACAGGTGTGAGCCACCACGCCCGGCCTACTATTTCTTTCTGTATGTTCTTGTGGGCCTGTTGTTTAGCTCCCACTTATAAGTGAGAACATGTAGTATTTGTGGGGAAAAGAAAGAGAGATCGGATTGTTACTGTGTCTGTGTAGAAAGAAGTAGACATAGGAGTCTCCATTTTGTTCTGTACTAAGAAAAATTCTTCTGCCTTGAGATGCTGTTAATCTATGACCTTACCCCAACCCCGTGCTCTCTGAAACATGTGCTGTGTCAACTCAGGGTTAAATGGATTAAGGGCTATGCAAGATGTGCTTTGTTAAACAGATGCTTGAAGTCAGCATGCTCTTTAAGAGTCATCACCACTCCCTAATCTCAAGTACCCAGGGACTCAAACACTGCGGAAGGCCGCAGGGACCTCTGCCTAGGAAAGCCAGGTATTGTCCAAGGTTTCTCCCCATATGATAGTCTGAAATATGGCCTTGTGGGAAGGGAAAGACCTGACCGTCCCCCAGCCCGACACCCATAAATGGTCTGTGCTGAGGAGGATTAGTATAAGAGGAAGGAACACCTCTTTGCAGTTGAAACAAGAGGAAGGCATCTGTCTCCTGCCCGTCCCTGGGCAATGGAATGTCTCAGTGTAAAACCCGATTGTATGTTCCATCTACTGAGATAGGGGAAAACCACCTTAGGGCTGGAGGTGGGACAGGCGGGCAGCAATACTGCTCTTTAAGGCATTGAGATGTTTATGTGTATGCATATCTAAAGCACAGCACTTAATTCTTTACCTTGTCTATGATGCAGAGACCTTCCCTCACGTGTTTATCTGCTGACCTTCTCTCCACTATTATCCTATGACCCTGCCACATCCCCCTCTCCGAGAAACACCCAAGAATGATCAATAAATACTAAGGGAACTCAAGAGGCCAGCGGGATCCTCCGTATGCTGAACGCTGGTCCCCTGGGCCCCCTTATTTCTTTCTCCATACTTTGTCTCTGTGTCTTTTTCTTTTCCAAGTCTCTCATTCCACCTAATGAGAAACACCCACAGGTGTGGAGGGGCAACGCACCCCTTCAGTATTTGATTTTCCATTGCAGTTTTTCACTTAGAATAATGGCCTCCAAATCCATCCATGCTGCTGCAAAGACATGATTTTATTCTTTCTTATGAGTGAGTGGCATTTCACGGGAGTATATATACCACGTTTTCTTTATCCAATCATTCATTGATGGACACTTAGGCTGATTTCACGACTTTGCTATTGTGAATAGTGTCACAATAAACATACAAGTGCAGGTGTCTTTTTGATAAAATGATTTATTTTCCTTTGGGTAGATACTCAACAGTGGGATTGCTGGGTCAAATGGTAGATCCTACTTTCAGTTCTTTGAGAAATACCCATCCTGTCTTCCACAGAGGTTGTACTAATTTACATTCCCACAAACAGTGTATAAGTGTTCCCTTTTCTCTTCATCCTCACAAACATCTGCTGTTTTTCAGTTTTTTAATAATGGCCATTCTGACTGATGTGAGATGGTATCTCACTATGGTTTTAGTTTGCACTTTTCTGATGATCAGTAATGTTGAGCCTTTTTTTCATATCTTTGTTGGTCACTTGTATTCTTTTGAGCAGTGTCTATTTGTATCCCTTACCCACTTTTTAATATGGTTGTTTGTCATTGTTGTTGTTGTAGAGTTGCTTGAGTTCCTTGTAGATTCTGGATATTAGTTGTTTGTCAGATGCATAGTCTGCAAATATTTTCTCCCACTCTGTAGGCTGTCTGCTTACTCCACTGATTACTTCTTTTGCTGGCAGATGCTTTTTAGTTTAATTAAGTCCCATTTGTCTATTTTTGTTCTTGTTGCATTTACTTTTGAGTTCTTAGTCATAAATGTTTTGCCTAGGCCAATATTCTGAACAGTTTTCCCCATGTTTTCTTCGAGGATTTTCATAGTTTCATGTCTTATATTTAAGTCTTTAACTCACATTGAGTTAATTTTTGTATATGGTGAGAGATAGAGGCCCAGTTTCATTCATGCCTGTATTTTGTAATTCCTTCAGTGAATTTTTCATTTCCAGAAGTTCTGCCTGTCTTTTTTTAAGATATCTATTTCTTCTTTCATATGCTACATTGTTTTCCTGATTTTGTTTCATTGGTTTTCAACTTTCTCTTGGACCTCATTGAGCTTCCTTATAATCCATATTTTTAATTATTTATCTGTAATTTCAGAATTTTCATTCTGGTTAGAATCCATTGCTAGCAAGCTAGTACGATCCTTTGGGGATGTCTCAACACTGCTTCTTCATGGTGCCAGAGTTCTTATACTGGTTTCTTCTCATCTGGAGAAGCTGTCACTTCTTGTTTTTTATTTACTTTCATTTAGATGGGATTATTTTCCCCATGACAGTGTGACTATAGTATAAGTTGAGTAGCGTCCTTTAGCTTTTATTCTTTAGCCTTGTGTACTTCTTGTTAGCATGTTTTGTATCGGGCTTTGCAGTTCAACCTCCAGACCAGTAGGTGGTGCTTATGGGAAAAAGCTGTCTGTCACAGAAGCAGATGGGTATTTGCTTGATCTCGGTTTATTGGGAGGAACAGAAACACCAAGCTCACCCATGAATACTTCAATGAGGAGCACAGGCACCAGCTCTGACGGGAGTGACTGAGGGAGCTCCTGGTGAAATGTGCCAAGGTTGCTGCAGTTGGAGAGGGGGCTCCACCAGCTCCACATCCTGGGCAGACAGGAACACAGTCTCTTTCTGTATCACACCCTTGTGCCAGGGCTGATGACTCTCAGTTCAGGCAGACACTGTCATCTAACGCCAGGCCACAATGTCACCGAAAGCCAGGGAAAACACCTGTCCCGTGATTCTTCACTGGAATGGCTTCAGCATGGAATCTCTTCCCTCAGCTCAATACAGACAACTTTGTGGCTCTCCTGTTCTCCAGTGTAGGAACACTGCTGCTTCATAGAGAGAGGGGGAATGGTTCTGCCTTACAGTACATGCAGGTGGGAGTCCTCTGTGGTGGTGTCAGGTGATTGGATTAGTTCAACCTCAGACCCCAGAGGGAATGAACAGGTGCCATCACTGGGCTAGGCAATCCCCTAATCCTCAGGTTCCTAAATGGCTCTCTGGACAATGTGCATGAGTCCTGGAGGGACTAAACCAGGACCGGACCAGCAAACATGTCTTCAAATTCCCACAGTTCAGGTATTGGCTGTGATAGGAAGGGGTGGGCTGGCCCCCAGGCTGCTGGCAGAATGCTTTGGAAAGGGCAGGCAGACCACTCAGGCAGCTGCGGAATATTCCATCAGCATGAGCAGTGGAGGCAGGCAGCTACAAGGTGCATGGCCCACTCATACCTCCCTCTGGCATAAACAGTGGTGGATCTGGTCATTGTGGCACATGCAGGTGCTGGTCTCCCTGTTCCCTCCCTACAACTGCTGCTAATAAGATGAAAGCAGGAGCCCCAGGGCAGAATGCAGGCCTCTGAGGGCTAGGCTTTCAAAAGGGTGCTAGGCAACAGCAAAATGCACAGGCAGGGGTAGCCCTGCTCAGTGAGAGCAGTGAAAGCTAACAGCTGTGGGGCCTTTGGCCCACTCACACCTTCCTCCCACAGAAACAGTGGTGGTATCCACCACTGAGGTGTGCAAAGGTGTCCTGTCTTCCCACTCCCTCCTTGGCCTGGCAGTGGTGGTGGCAGTTGCAGCAACAGCAGCAGGATCCCCAGGGCAGACTGCAGGCCTCTGGGGGCTGGGCTCTCAGAAGGGTGCCAGGCCACAGCCAAAATGCTCAGGCAGAAGCAAGGTGGCTGTACTGTGAGCCTAGGGAAGGCAGGTCCCCCTTAGCGGGAACAGTGAAAGCAAGGGTGCTCAATGTGCTTGCTCCTCTACCCTGCAGCAGCAGCAGCCGTGATACACATCTTTGGGGTGTGCAAAAGTACTTGGCCTCCCCACTCCCTCCCCACTCCCTCCTGGCACTGCAACAGCAGCTGGTACCAGGCTGCAGCGTTTCAGGAATGAAAAGCCTGTGGAATTCCATGTGGGCCGAAGCAGTGCCTCTGCGCAATCTCCGGGCAAGTTCCCTGTGTTAGACTGGAGGCCCCGGGGGGTTCAGGGAGCTCTCCCATCGCTAGGATTGTGAAAATCCACACTGGGAGTGGGGCCCCAGGGGTTGCTCACTCAGCCCTTCCCCATGTCAGGGAGCTACTCCTGGCTCCATACCAATCCCAGCTCAGCAGGCTGCATGGCTTCACCTTTCTTTGCTTTCCATAATTCCCATCACTTCTCTGATGAATTCCGTTGTGCTCTCTCTTTTAGATGATCTATTCAAAGTGTGAATATTTACTATTTTGATTCATCTCCATGGAAGAGGAACCCACTAGCTGCTTCTAGTCAGCCATCTTGAACCAGAAGCCCTTATTTTACTTTTATTTGTACTTTTTCTTTCAAAAAACTTTTTAAATATGTCATTAAAATGGTAAATTTGCAAGTTTAAGTGAAATCTAGTTTAGAATTGATGAATTGTTAGTGATGATATTCACATCATGAAAGTACTCAATAGCAACTAGCCAAAGACATTACTTTGAGGCATGAAAATATCCTGTGTCTGTTTCTGCAATATATGTTTATTTCAGGATAAAAAAAGAAATTGTTTCTATAATGGATTTTCACATGGAACAAGTAAAATGTTCTTGACTGAATATGTTGGCTGTCTTTTCTTCCAACAAACCATTAGTTTACCAGTGTTGACATTAGAAACAGCTCCTTACTAAAAAATAAAAATGTACCACCAATGGATCTCAGCTCTTAAGTGGATTTCTAGTGACTATGATACTTGCATGAAGTTCAGGGATTGGAATCTATCACTAATACTATCCTAGAATAAAAATTGAAATACAGATTTATTATTTCTAAGCCTAAATTATTAAAATGTTATTGTATACGTTTGAAAATATAATTCAGCTCAATAAGTACAGTATTCACAGTTAAGAAGTAAACTGGTCCCACCATCCTCTAATCACCCCAAACATTTCTCCCCTTCCAATTATTCTACAGACTTGGTTTCCACAGCAGGGGAAGTAAGGAGGTTAATTATCTGGAAACATGGCTATCCTTTCATTGTTCTCCTACTCAATAATGTTATAGAATTCATCTTTTTTTTTAGATTCAATTCTAAAAACCTAATCACTTTTCCAACTTTGGCCCCCACTGTTACCCAATTTGCAGTTATTTTCTAATCTGTTTTCTAAAACGTACCATGCTCAGCACTTCTTACATCTTTATACAGCTGTTATTCCTAGGACACCCCGCTTTGTCTCTGTATCCAAACTCTACCTGTACTTTAGGAGTCACCTCAAGGTCCTTTTTCTTTGGGTAGCCTTCCCCCAGCATCTCTACCTCTTATTGACTTTCCCTTTTCAGAACCCTTTTAATCCCGGGACATGGCACTTACTCATTTGCATTAATGATCTATACTGTACCTTCTTTAGTGATGTTTTCATGTGTGCTAGTCTTGGAACTCCAGGGAGACTATAAATTCATTGAAGACAAGAGTATAGTTTATTCTTTTTATACTGTGCAGTAAATGTCAAAACAAAACTAGCATAGGGATTTGCAAAGAATAAGTGCTTGATAAATATTAATTCTTACAAGATCTTTAAATATTTGAAAGATGAGAACAACCCTTAAATTCGAACTTTAAATTTGTTTATGATGGCCACCATGCCATTGAACCTGTTTTGAACCCTAGTGAACCTATTCAATATAATGGAACAAAGAATCATCAAATGCTTCCAGCTGAATATACCTGTACCCTTTCCAGTAACAATATAAATTTTTCTCCATCAAAGTTAGTTAACCTCACAAAAAGGAAGAGGATTTTTATTCTGTGTGTTGCGTAGGTGGAAGAGCAGCTACATCTTTCATTTATCATTTGAGGTCTTTATTCATTTAACAACTATTTATTGGAAGCCTACTATATATAAAAGATAAACCTACTATGGACCAAATGCTCCAACTCTATGGTCCATCAGAATATTCTATCAGCATGAGCAGTGGAGGCAGGCAGCTATAAGGTGAATGGCCCACTCGTACCTCCCTCTGGCAGAAACAGTGGTGGATTTGGTCATTGTGGCACATGTAGGTGCTGGTCTCCCTGTTCCCACCCTACAGCTGCTGCTATTAAAATGAAAGCAGGAGCCCCAGGGCAGGATGCAGGCCTCTGAGGATCCATTATAGTCCATTCCTTTATGCCTTGAAAATCTTCCAGCCTTCTCCTGTCCTCTATTAAATGCAAATATACCACAGAAAAGAAATGTTTTGAACCACTATTAGGCAACAACTGTCAGGACCATATGACCACCTTCTAAATATAAGAACAGCACGTAGCAAGCCAGGAACAGAGAGGATATCAAAGACAATGTTATAAGCGCTAAAGACAAACCTCATCTATAATCTGCCTAGGAAATGCCCAAATTCCATTCTATACGTGTGGGCAGGGGTATATTCAACTCCCTCTCATTTCCCTATTTTTCTGGAGCCAATATTCAAGTTTTCTTCAACTCTGGGATATATATATATACACACACACATACATACATATACATATATATACATATATACATATATACATATATATACATATATACATATATACATATATATACATATATACATATATACATACACACAGATATACATACATACACACAGATATACATATACATACATATACACATATATGCATACATATACATATATGCATACACATATGTGTGTATGTCTGTGTGTGTGTGCGTGTGTGTGTGTGTGTCTGTGTATTTAAAAGGTCTTTCTACCTAGGATAGATTATAGAAAGGCAATTTCCAAAATGGCCCAGATTGCCCACTAATGCACTCTTTATCCTAAACTTCCCAGTGACTTATGTTCCAGAGTATTCTTTTTATAATATTTGCCTTTAGAAAGTCTTAATCCTGATTCCCAACTGTATTCAAGTACGATCACTTTAGTAACTTGGTGATATGGTTTGGCTGTGTCCCCACCCAAAATCTCATCTTGAATTGTAATCCCTATAATCCACGTGTCAAGGGCGGGACCAGGTGGAGGTAAATGAATCGTGGGGGCGGTTTCTGTCATGTTGTTCTCGTGACAGTGAGTGAGTATCACAAGATCTGATAGTTTTATCACCATCTGGCATTTCCCCTGCTTGCATCTCTCCATGCTGAGGCCCTGTGAAGAAGGTGTTTGCTTCTCCTTTGCCTTCTGCCATGATTATAAGTTTCCTGAGGCCTCCCCAGCAATGAGGAACTGTGAGTTAATTAAACTTCTTTCCTTTATAAACTATCCAATCTCAGGTATTTCTTCATAGAAGTATGAGAATGGACTAATACACTTCAGGAAAAAAAAAAAAAAAACCCACCTTATTTATTTGTTACCCTCAGTAGCTTACTTAATCATTTGTCCTTGTGTAAACAATGTGTGTTGAGACCCTAGGCAAGTATAATTCTGTTGTCTAACCTAAAACAAAGAATTAAATTTTTTTTTCATTTCATAAAGGAAAAGCTAAACTTTTGTAAAATGGCAATACAAATATCAACACATGTTATGTTTAATTAGTTGGACTAATATGAAAGCTGTCTGTGTATCAGCTTTTTAAGATTTTCATCCTGATCTTTGAGAACTGAGCAGTGCGGTTTTGCTGCCCTCTTGAGGAAAGACAAGAATCATTACACCTACTAATTTAGAGTTTTTATGTTCTCATTATGCTTATTGGAACTAATTAAATTACTATTAATTAAACCACAAATTAAAATAAGTTTTGAAATACTAATTGTCTATTAAACATCTCAAATTATATCCTCATGAGTAAACAAAGAAAAAGAATAAACATCTCAAAGAAACTTATAATCACTACATTACTAAACTTTGAAAATAACCAATAAAAGATATTGGGTCCACTATTTGACCTTTCTGGACAACCAACATGGAATAGTCATTTACTCAAAGGAACTCAGAAAGTGTGTGGCTCACTTATAGTCCTGGATTGCCTGTATAAAATGTAATGAATAAAATAACAAAAATAGGAATCATCCAAATCTATTATAAATAAATTTATCCTTTTACTCGCAGGCGAATTTAAAATTTGTGGATGTTAACATACTAAGTTCCTATAATTTAAATCTCCCAATTCATGACAATGAAAAAGCAAACTCCATAAGGAGTAGCTCCTTGTTTATTTATTCAACAAGCATTTATTCAAAGCCTTCTATGTACTCTTTATGAATAATGCCAAAGGTCAGTTGAGAAATCAATGAGTTATTTAATTCTTTCCTATTTGCCCTCTGACACTTCAAATGTGTGGCCAAATTTACACTCAGCATGAAAGTCAGCTATCAGGAAACTGGCCCAGGTGCATACATCTTCACCCATTCTCCACCTGAGCAATCAAACCATTAATATGTATTAAGAGCTCTCTGCCTGCACAGTTCTAAAATTTTAAACCTGTGAAAACTGAGAGTCAACTTTCATGTTATGGACTGGTCACAATTTTGGATATGCACACTGTAGCATGGTACTAGAGTGACCACTAGAGGTCGCATCAGGTGGAATTTACAGAGGCTGCTCATACGCAGATTGGATTCTCCTCAGGGGTGTGTCCTTTCCTTTCTTCCACCCCACACGGCCACTAGTGCCCCCTCCCTTGAGCTTGGCTGCCCAGATTGCTCACTAATGCACTCTTTAACCTAAACTTCCAGTGACTTATGTTCCAGACTATTCTTTTTATAATATTTGCCTTTAGAATGTCTTAATCCTGATTCCCAACTGTATTAACTAATTCAGACCACAGGCTTAATGAGTGATCATTGATTGGTGTCTTTGTCTTCTTATGTAGCATTTTTTTAACAGAGCCAGATAAGGACAAGCTCTGTGGTAATATAACAGAATGATTAGCAGTGCACCTATTTGGTTTTACAAGGTGGATATGATGACAATGTACAAAAAAGAAAAACTTATTTCTGTAGACTTATTAATTTCTACCCTGAATGCAATATCAAGCATGTATTATTGATTTTTATGTTATGTTCAGCTAAAAAGTCCTTCAGTCTAGAGATTTCAGATAATAAAAAGTCCAGGTCAGAACAGTCCCGACTAATTGTATAATGACAATCTCATTTCAAGTTAAAACTTCTCTTCTCTCCCAGCTTCAGACTTGGAAGCCTGCAATGGGCAAATAGGATGAAGCTGGCTTCCTTTCTCTTCCTTGTTCACCTCCTCTCCTGCTAGGTCAGGCCCAGGGAAGAGGAGTTGGCAGGAAAGTGCACAGCTGCTCCATGGTGACACAGTTGTGATCTCACATCATTTCTCTCCGGTCTCCAAGGCTGATTCTCCAATAAAGGGTTTTTGGAGACAGCCCTCGGACACCTTTGCACTAGAGTGCACCAACTGCCTCTCCTCCCACAGGCTACTTACTGCTCCCTCCTGCTGGCCCTTGGGCTTCTGGCTGCCCATTTCTCTCCTCAAGTCCCTTCACCATCAGCTATACTCCAGCGGAGGATGCTGACCAGCTCTCTTTTCTGCATTCACACAGCTTTCACAGGAAATGCTACTTTTATTCTCCCCCTTGTGTACATGCCTTTGCTCCCTGTTTAGCACTTTGTATGGTGCTACCGGGCAGAGGCACCTCCAGCCACAGCCTCTCACCTTTAGCTTCCTCAGGCATGAGCCAAATATCAGACACTCTATCCCTCAAACTCCAAGAGACCCTCACGTTCCTCAACATCCTTCTCTTCCAAAGAAAGGGAGAGGGGAAGAACAGCATGTCAACAACACTCTCCAAAGAATTCCTGACTCTCAGCTTCTTTGACTTCAACCTGTTTCAAAACTCAAGTAAGTGATTGTTTAAAGCTATCTTTGTGTTGCCATCTTTCTAGTTCCACATGAGTAGTTTGGCACCTTTTCTAAATTATAGGGCTACTTAAGAACAAGTATTTTGTTCCTGGCCTTTGGGACTTGTATAAAACTGAAGAACTGGCCAGGCACAGTGGCTCAGGCCTGTAATCCCAGTACTTTGGGAGGCTGAGGTGGGCGAATCACGAGGTCAGGAGTTTGAGACCAGCCTGACCAACATGGTGAAACCCCGTCTCTACTAAAAATACAAAAAATTAGCTGGACATAGTGGCGGGCACCTGTAGTCCCAGCTACTCCAGAGGCTGAGGCAGGAGAATTGCTTGAACCCAGGAGGCGGAGGTTGCAGTGAGCCGAGATTGTGACCCCACACTCCAGCCTGGGCAACAATGCGAGACTTCGTCTCAAAAAAAAAAAAAAAAACTGAAGAATTAGGGAAAATGTTATATAAAATGTCCTCTGAGATCTTGTGGGAAAGTTGTTAACATCTTTTTACTTTTTTTAATTTATTTTACAAATCTGTAAAATTGAGCCCATGCTTACACCTACCTCATAGGGCAGTTGTCAGCATTTATGGTGATAATGCAGACTTTGGCAGGAAAAAAAAAAAGAGGCAGAAAAAGACAAAGTCTGCTGTAAATAATGGAAAAGCTTGTGAAAGGAAAATAAATCTTGAGGCCCCCAAATCACTAAGCTAAAGGGAAAAGTCAAGCTGGGACTACTTAGGGCAAACCTGCCTCCCATTCTATTCAAAGCCAACCCCCACCCCTGCTCACTGAGATAAATGCATATCTCATTGCCTTCTTTGGAGGGGCTAATCAGAAACTCAAAAGAATGTAACCATTTGTTTCTTATCTACCTATGAGCTGGAAGTCCCCTCCCTGCTTGAAGTTGTCCCACCTTTGCTTCCAATTGTCCCACTTTTCCAGAAGGAACCAATGTTCATCTTTCATATGTTGACTGATGTCTCCCGTCTCCCTAAAATGAATAAAAGCAAGCTGTGCTCTGACCACCTTGGGCACGTGTCTTCAGGACTCCTGAGGCTGTCACGGCTGCATGTCCTCAAACTTGGCAAAATAAACTCTCTAAATTAACTGAGACCTGTCTCAGATATTCAGAGTTCGCAACCTTTAGGAGCTACATCTCAGTGCATTCAGTAAAAGAATAAACTTAAAGCTAAGACCTCATAAGGAATGTCACCCCACATTCCTGAAATCTAATGTAAAACATTGCTGTTGTTATTGTGTTTAATTTCCACATAAATAGCAGTAATACTATCACACTACATGGGCAATTAAATAACCCTTTATTTAATTAAAGTACTTCATAGATAAGTGTGCTAACAACCTTATCAGAGCTACCACTGATGAGTTCCAAACCAGATTTATCAACCCATCTTGAGTGTCTCCTCTGATTCTTCAGCCTCATCTATTTTGTGGGCCATTGGCTGCTTTCTCTGTAGTAATTGCAGCCACAGCAAGTCATACTAGGCTGTCCAGACATCCAGAATCTCTGGGCCTCGCTCCACCTCTAAAGCAGTGGAACAATGTTGTAAATTTTCTCTGGAATGACCTTTAGCCAACAGGAGACAGGAGACATGAGTGAGCTCACAGATAAATTTCCCCCACAATTTTCCATCTGTTGGGTTGTTCTGAGGTACAGTGTTTTTTTTTTTTTAGAGCCATAAGCAGTGGCCCACTTGGTATATCACCTTGAATTTGCTTCTTAGACTTCTCTGTCTCACTTCTTCTTTTCTTCACTCTAACTGTACTGCCATGTACCTCCTAATTAAGCATTATCACTTCAACTTTCCCTAAGATTCTTTTGGTTAAGTTGAACATGAACTTAACTGTAAATAAGAAACCAGAAATAGCATCATATTTCATAACTTTCCTTTATTGTGGAATAAATCTGGACAATCTGTCAATTTATTCTTTTTCTTGGAAAAAATAGAAATTTGGAGTGTTCACTGAGATAATTTGGTAAAGCACTAAATGCTTATTACTACTCACAGTATGATTAATTTAAACATCTGCTGTCCACATGCTGCATCAACCTAGTCCAGCTCAGCATTATCTCTTGCCTGGACTTGTACCAAAAATTCCTAGCTGGCCTTCCTGACTGTAGCCTTAACCTGTGTCAACACATTGCCCTCCCTGCTGCCAGAATGATTCATCAGTCAGGATATACTAACTGCTGTAATAAACAACCCCTAAGTCCCAAAGCTTAACACAACATCTGCCTATTTCTCACACGTCTCAATTCAATGAGAGACAAAGGTGGATAAATGTCTATTCCACCTAATCTTTTAAGGACTTGCTTCCTTCTTCCTAGTGGCTCCTTCATCCCCCTAGAGTTTACATCCTATTCTAGATACTGTACCTCTCACCTGCCAAGTAGCAAAGGAAGAAAGCATGGAAGATTGTACACAAGAGGGTTAGACCCCCTGCCTATAAGGGGCACACATCACTTCTGCCCAACACACCCTTGGTGGTTAATTTTATGTGTTAACTTAGATGATGTTTCTGAATGGCATTAACATTTAAAACAGTGAACTTTGCATAAAGAAGATTGCCCTCCATAATATAGATGAGGCTCATCCGATCAGTTGAAGGCCTGAATAGAACAAAAAGACCAGCCTCCTCAAGCAAGAGGGAATTCTTCAGCAAACTACCTTCACATTTCATTGGCATCATAGACTCTCCTGAGCCTCTGCCTGCCAGTTCACACTGCAGATTTTGGACTTCCCAGCCTCTATAATCACAGGAAACAATTTCTTATAATAAATCTGTTTCTGTCTATCTATCTATCCATCCATCCTATTGGTCCTGTTTCTCTTGTGAGTCCAGACTAATACAAACCCTTGGCCAAAAGTTAGGTATATGGCCCCTAACTGCAAGGGAGCTTGGAAATGTACCTTGTAGAAGAACAGGCAAGACATGAACAGTGGCAGCAAAACTTTCTAAAATAGGCAAGTGATCATATAACTTCCCTGTATTAAATCCATCTTTTTATTGTCCTTGGAACAATATGAAAACTTATTCTCAAGCTGTCAGTTCTTCAGATCCTTATCTTTGTCTTCAGTGGGGCCTCTGACTACCTCACTAGCAGTATACAGTCAGATGTATTTACTCCGATAGATCTCACTCTCTACTGACTGCAGCTAATCCTCATACAATGTTAATAATAATAGCTACCATTTATTGAGCATGTGCTATCTGCCAAGCACCGTCTCAAAAATGTAAATGTATTTTCTTGTTTAATCCTTACAACAACTTGTGAGTTTAGTATATGATATGGTTGTTCTGTGTCCCCACCCAAATCCCATCTTGAATTGTAACTCCCATAATTCTCATATGTCATGGGAGGAACCCAGTGGGAGGTGATTAAATTATGGGGGCAGATCTTTTCTGGGCTGTTCTTGTGATAGTGAATGAGTCTCACAAGATTTGATGGTTTTAAAAATGAGAGTTTCCCTGCACAAGCTCTCTCTTTGCCTGCTGCCATCCATGTAAGACATGACTTGCTCCTCCTTGCCTTCTGCCATAATTGTGAGGCCTCCCCAGCTATGTGAAACTGTAAGTCCATTAAACTTCTTTCTTTTGTAAATTGCCCAGTCTTGGGTATGTCTTTATCAGAAGCATGAAAACTGAATAATACAGTAAATTGGTACCAGTAAAGTGGGGTGCTGCTGAAAAGATACCCGAAAATGTGGAAGCAACTTTGGAACTGGGTAACAGACAGAGGTTGGAACAGTCTGGAGGGTTCAGAAGAAAACAGAAAAATGTGGGAAAGTTTGGAACTCCCTAGAGACTTGTTGAATGGCTTTGAATAAAATGCTGATAATGATATGGACAATGAAATCCAGGCTAAGGTGATCTCAGATGGAGATGAGGAACTTGCTGGAAACTGGAGCAAAGGTGACTCTTGTTATGTTTTAGCAAAGAGGCTGGCAGCATTTTGTCCCTGCCCTAGAGATTTGCAGGACTCTGAACTTGAGAAAGATGATTTAGGGTATCTGGCAAAAGAAATTTATAAGCAGCAAAGCATTCAAGAGGTGACTTGGGTGCTGTTAAAATCATTCAGTTTTATAAGGGAAACAGCATAAAAGTTTGAAAAATTTGCAGCCTAACAATGCTATAGAAAAGAAAATCCCATTTTCTGAGGAGAAATTCAAGCTGGCTGCATAAATTTGCATAAGTAACAAGGAGCCAAATGTTAATCCCCGAGACAGTGGGAAAAATGTCTCCAGGGCATGTCAGAGACCTTTGTGGTTTGTGGCAGCCCCTCTTATCATAGGCTTGGAGATTTAGGAGGAAAAAATGGTTTCGTGGGCCAGACCTAGGGTCCCTCTGCTGTGTACAGTTTAGGGACTTGGTGCCCTGTGTCCCAGCTGCTCCAGCCATGACTAAAAGTAACAGCTTGGGCTGTTGCTTCAGAGGGTGGAATCCCAAACCTTGGTAGCTTCCACGTGGTATTGAGTCTGCAGGTGCACAGAGGTCAAGAATTGAAGTTTGAGAACCTCTGCCTAGATGTCAGAGGATGTATGGAAATGCCTGGATGCCCGGGCAGAAGTTTGCTGCAGGGGCAGAGTGCTCATGGAGAACCTCTGCTAGGGCAGTACAGAAGGGAAATGTGGGGTCAGAGCTCCAACACAGAGTCCCTATGGGGGCACCACCTAGTGCAGCTGTGAGAAGAGGGCCATCATCCTCCAGACCCCAGAATGGTAGATCCACTGACAGCTTGCACTGCGCACCTGTAAAAGCCGCAGACACTCAACACCAGCCCATGAAGGCAGCCAGGAGCGGGACTTTACCCTGCAAAGCCACAGGGGCAGAGCTGCCCAAGGGGATGGGAGCCCACCTCTCACATCAGCATGACCTGGGTGTGAGGCATGGAGTTAAAGGAGATCATTTTGGGGCCTTAAGATTTGACTGCCCTGCTGGATTTCTGATTTGCACGGGGCCTGTAGCCCCTTCGTTTTGGTCAATTTCACCCATTTGGAATGGCTGCATTTACCCAATTCCTGTACCGCCATTGTATCTAGGAAGTAACTAACCTGCTTTTGATTTTACAGGCTCGTAGGCAGAAGTGACTTGCCTTACCGCAGATAAGACTTAGGACTGTAGACTTCTGAGTTAATGCTGAAATGAGTTAAGCCTTTGGGGGACTGTTGGGAAGGCATGATTGGTTTTAAAATGTGAGGACATGAGATTTGGGAGGGGCTGGGGTAGAATGATATGCTTTGTCTGTGTCCCCACCCATATCTCATCTTAAATTGCAACTCCCACAATTCCCATGTGTCCTAGGAGGAACCCGGGGGGAAGTGATTAAATTATGGGGGCAGTTCTGAATCTCAAGACATTTGATGTTTTTAAAAATGGGAGTTTCCCTACACAAGCTCTTTCTTTGCCTGCTGCCATCCATGTAAGACATGACTTGCTCCTTCTTGCCTTCCACCATGATTGTGAGCCCCTCAACCCCCCGCCATGTGAAACTGTAAGTCCATTAAATCTCTTTCTTTTGTAAATTGGCCAGTCTCACACATGTCTTTATCAGCAGTGTGAAAACGGACTAATACAGTATAATAACTACTTTACAGATGGAAAATTGTGGCACAGAAAAGTTAGGTAATTCACCCAAGGTCAGAGAGCAAGTAAACAGTAAAAAATAAAATATATGAAATAAAATATTTCAACCCCTCATCAAACTTGAAAACCCCCCTCACCCCCAGTTTCTCTTTGCCATACCCCACCAGTATCAGCCTCTTCATCTGCCTAACACCTTCCTTATCCTCAGGATATCTATTTAAACCTGTCTTGTTTCAGGAGCCATTTATGACTCCACAGACTTCACAAGGTTTACCTACTAAAACTTTCATGAGATCTTTTATTTCCCATATAGTAGCACATTTATTATAACTACTTGTCTAATTGTTCATCACCTCCTTTAGAGTTTAGCTTCAAGAACGGCAGAACTACACACACACACACATACACACACACACACGCATATCAGAGAGAGACAACAGAAGACTTCATTTTTACACTGTTAACAAAAAGATAAAACATGCAGTGTGCTAAATATCATTCATTTACCTCCTGTAGATCTACTCTTTACTCTTCTCTGTGTCCCAGCAGATAGACATTTGTGAACCACATCAATGGTCACCTTTCTTCTCTGGCTTCTGTTGGGTTTGGCCAATAGAAGGCACTGCCAGGTAATCAGATGGCAAGAGAAGAGTGAGGTCAGGGTGTGTCCTTCCCTGGGTTGTCTGCATCCCTCTACAGATGGCCCCACCTTGGGTAGGGCATGAATCTCTTCCAAGTGTCCCCTCCAGAGTCTGGTACACTCCTTCCACCTTCTTGTTACTCTCTGTGGTCGCTAGCCCCAGGTTATTTTACTGCTGTGTTCTTCAGGGTTTTTCAGAGAAACAGAACAAATAGTATAAGGATATAGATATAAATACGTGAGAGGGGACTTACCAGGGAATTGGCTCACTCAATTATGGAGGCTGAGAAGTCCCACGATCTGCCATCTTCAAGCTGGAGAACCAGGAAAGCCAGTGAAGTAGCTCAGTCTGAGTCCAAAGGCCTGAGAGCCTGGGCAGGATTCCTGGTGCAAGTCTCAGAGTCCCAAGACCAGAGAACCTGGGGTCCTGATGTCCTATGGCAGGAAAAGAAAGTTGTTTCAGCTCCAGAAGAGAGAGAGTGAATCTGATTTTCTTCTGCCTTTTTGTTCTATCTGGGCCCTCAGCTGATTGGATGGTGCTCGCTCACATTCAGTGAGAGTGGATCTTCCTTACGTAGTCTGCTGGCTCAAATGTCAATCTTTTCCAAAATCGCCCTCATAGACCCAGAAATAATGCTTTACCGGCTCTCTGGATATTACTTAATGCAGTCAAGTGTACACCTAAAATTAGCCTTTACACTGTCCCTTGTTGAGTCTCCTTAACCCTTTCCTCACCTTTGAAAATAATCCCTTCATCAAACTCCCCTCCATTAGCCCATTGGAATATTTGCTATACCTTTCTTGCTGGGACTCTGACTTATACACAGGAAACCTAATAAGAAATGTGCAAAATGTATGTGAAGAAACTATGTAACACTAGTAATGAACAACAACAACAAAAATAGGTATGAACGAATAAAAAAAGCATACCATGTTTCTGAATAGGAAAAATCAACATGATAAAGCTGGAAACCTCCATTAATTCATAACTTTAAATTGATTCTAGTAAAAATACTAGCAATAATTTGAACTACTGAAGCTAATCTTAAAGTTTCTATAAAAATATGAGCAAAAATAATTTTAAAAAATCTAAAAAAAAAACAGTAACAAGGAGGAAGTAGCTCTACAAGTCATAAAATATATTATAAAGCTACAACATTAAGAAAATACAGTGCCTGTTCAAAAATAGATAAATAATTCACTGGGATAGAAAAGAAAGCCCAAATATAGACCTAAATATATAAAATAATTTTTAGTATATCATGTGATGTTGTTTTCAATCAGTTGAAAAAAAGATGAATTTGTAATAAATGACTTGGAGACAATCTGGATATAAACTGGAAAAAAATAAGGTTCTTTTTCTTAATCTCGGTTAATCTGGGCTCCCTTGCCACTTTCCTCTGAGGTTGCATTTAAGTTCTGGGGCTATTTGCGGTATCCAAGCATCAGAAGGAGACCATCTGGCTCTGTGTGTAATCTGAGCCTGGGGACACACACTGGTATACCCATTGCCTCCTCTGAAGGAGACATGCCTCATCCCTGTCTGCATGGCTCCTTCAGGTCCAACACAATCTCTGCTGCTTCTGGGAGACTACTGGCGATTAAGACTCACTCTACATTCATACCATGCTGGGGGTACAGAACATCTGTATGATTGTCTAAGGTGTACCAGGTACCTAGACATGCCATGCGGTCATTTATTGCCAAATATGACACTTAAGGAGAATGGTTAAGCGTTCTTAATAGTCCTATATACCGGAATGTATATCTCTAATGACTGAAGCATTGTTAGGTTATAGGCTTATAAGCTCAAAGACAGGCAGCACAGCGGGTAAGTCAAGATTCATCCAGGCGACAGAGGCAGATGGGATCTTCTCATCTCTCCAGTGTTATTCCTAGGGAGCAAGGCACAGATCACTTTACTCACAAATTTCACAAATTCATCTGAATTTTTCTCTCTGCCTGGAAAAGCTTTAACCTCCTCAAAACCTCAGCTCTGGCTTTTTATTCTCTTTGAGGCTTAGCATTCTGGAAAAGAAAAGCCTGAGAAAGAATGGAAACATATATGTTTTCACCAAACCTTCATGCTCCACATTCCTCTATAGGAAATGACCACAAACAGCACAGCTTCTTGAAGAGAGGAAAGGGAAAAAGGATGAAGGCAAATATCAGGACAGAAAAAGTTGAGATTTCAAAAATCTATAAAGTACCATATTTACCACGTAAAAAGATCACTTAAACAGACATTTTATGTCACAACAAAACCAACTAGAGAATCAACTGGTCCACTTGATAATAATACATAAGCATATCCATGAGTGAAAGAGGAAAAACAGAGATTAAATTCTTAAACTACCTTAGGCTTTGCTGAGGAATTCATTTCAAAGACTTCCACTAATAATGTATACTTCCAATTAGACATACTGAAGTACTTCATTAAATGGGAGAAATCTTCCTCAATTTTTTTTCCTGTTTCCTCTCCACTGCACCATTCTCGAATAGCAGCCTTCCTTTTATTCACCTTCTCTTTACTTGCCCCTTAGGAAGAACTCTCCTCTCCTCCTCATATATGTGCCTCACCTGAAGATGCCACCACTAGGCCATTCAGTCAATGACCCACCCACCATCTCTACCAGTTCCTTCCCCTCCTCACGCCAAAATGTGCAGGCCACTTGTCTTACACCTACTTTCAACCCCTCCCACATGTGTATTCTCGATTTATCTTCCTGCCTTTACCAAAACCTCATTCTTTTTTTTTTTAACTGTAAAATTTGATAGACATCTTTTGCTTTGGAATTGAAGCTCTCCAAAATATGGCACTTAAAGAGAATGGTTGTGCTAAGTGTTCTTGTGGTCCCATATATGTATTACTAAAGTAGTATTAGATTATAGGCCTATGAAGATCAAAGATGAGCAGCACAGTGTGTAAGTCAGGCTCCAACCTGGAATCAGAAACCACTCTGCACATCTGTAATATTGTGATACGTCTATTTGCCCTATGCATAGGGTGAGGTATAGAGGGCTGAGGAGCACAGAGTTTCCATGCTTCCTCCAGGCCAGTCTCCGTCCCAGCACCTCAATGTGTACACCAGCCAGAAAGTTCTTCTAATACCATTGTTTAGGGTCTGTTATGAAGGTTTCACTATGTAGGCATGATTGATTAAATCACTGACCATTGGTGACTGAACTCAAGTTCAGCCCCTCTTCCTATAGGTTGAGTGTTAGGGTGAAAGTTCCAGACCTCTAATCATGCCTTGGTGTTTCTGGTGACTCAAGCATTTGAGAAGCGATTAGACCATGGAAGTGAAGCCCCCATGTTTGGGATTAGTGCCCTTATAAAAGAGGCCCTAGAGAGACCCATTACTCTTCTGCCATGTGAGAGGAGGGTGAAGAGATACCATCAGTAAAGAAGCGGGCCCTCACCAAACACAGCTGGCACCTTGATCTTGAACTCTCCCGTCTCCAGAACCATGAGAAATAAATGCAAGCTTTTGTAAACCCCCTGGTTTCTGGTGTTTTGTTACAGCAGCCTGAATGGACTGACCTCCATTACTGTACCGCTGTCTTGTTTTCTTTCTGCAGTCTCACTCTTGCCCTAAAACCCTAACCTTTACCCTATTCCCTGTTCTGGTCTTGGCTCAGGTGGCCTTCACATCCCCACATCGTGAGTGCTTCCTTCCATTCCAAATCCAGATCCCAGTCCACCCTCACAAAGCCACCAGCCCAGCTCCCACGATCTTGCTTGAGAAGGTTTTCTGTCATTTGTAAATAAAACAATACTGATCCAATTCACAAATATCAACATGGTCTGTCATTTGTTTTATAAATTTTCCATCTTGTGCTAAATTTTCTATTCAATTCCATCACCAGTACTATCTGTTGACATTATTTTCGCAGTTATTTTTCATAAGGAAACATAGTCTTAATACTTCATCAATCATTATGTTCTAGGAATAAAAAGAGATAATACAGCCCCTGTAAACTGGAGATGCTACACGATATTCTAGCTCTAAGAAAAAGGAAAACACCGTTGCCACTTGGGGTAAGGGGATCAGTGGACCTCATCTTGAGGTATAAGAACATTGGATTTGGTGGTTTGGCACAGTGAGTATATGAACAAGCTTTGGAACCAGGCAGACAAGGGTTTGAGTTTGCCATTTGCCAGTCCCGTGACTATCTTAAGGTATAGTTTCTTCATCTGTAAATAGACATTTTAATCGTCCATCTCTTACAGAGCTGTCATAGTAAATAAGATAATGCATGTAATGCAATTTCCAAAGTTTCTGGTGCATAGTCAGACTGATAAAATGTCAGCTATTTTTGTTTTATTTTTATTGGAAATGGCAGAGACTAGGAGATGAGATGAAAGCTGACATTAACCAAGATATTAGAAAATAAGTCAAGGGTGAATTTATTGAAATTGTTGGTCAAAATATTTTTCTGTTATTTTTGATAAATCACTGGAAGGATCTTGAGAACTATATACCAATGACTCTAATATTAGCACTAGAAAAGATGGCACACTGTAATGAAGTTCAGAATATATATAGACAGAGATATATATACATACATACAGATATCCCTACAGATTTGAAACCATCTAAGAAAATGGCAACATGATTTCTATAAGTCATACCTGACTACAGCTGTTACCAACAAGTAACGAAATATTTAATCCCACATGAAGATAAAAAACAATGTTTATAAATTATTTCATTATAGATACAAGAATAACTTGCAGCCAAACTCATGTGCAGGAAGTTCAAATCTGAGCCTACAAGTCACATGTGCAAGAATTACAGCTTTATTTTTCTGAAATTCAATACATTGTCTGTCCATTTCAAACTCCCATTCAGGAACTAAGTTGCAAGCTATTCAAGGCACCCTGCCTCCCACCCCTGATCCAGCCGACTCCCTCCCCTAGACCAGGATGAGAGGAGTGAAGCAGGATCAACAAGAAGTGAAGCAGGATCAGTAACAGTACCCCTTGTAGTCCATCACAGCCTGAGGCAGAAGAAAAACTCACTGATATCGATACTGGCTTTACTTAATATATTAATATTTTATTCATAATGTACTTTTGCTTAATTTTGATATTTCAAATATGGCATTAAAATATTGAGTTTTCAGGAATGGAGAACCAAATACGGTATATTCTAACTTATAAGTGAAAGCTAAGATATGATAACACAAAGGCATAAGAATGATATAACAGGCAGGGCACGGTGGCTCACGCCTGTAATCCCAGCACTTTGGGAGGCCGAGGTGGGCGGATCACGAGGTCAGGAGATCGAGACCATCCTGGCTAACACGGTGAAACCCCGTCTCTACTAAAAATACAAAAAATTAGCTGGGCGAGGTGGCGGATGCCTGTAGTCCCAGCTACTCGGGAGGCTGAGGCAGGAGAATGGTGTGAAGCCAGGAGGTGGAGCTTGCAGTGAGCTGAGATGGCGCCACTGCACTCCAGCCTGGGCGACAGAGCAAGACTCCTCCGTCTCAAAAAAAAAAAAAAAAAAAAAAAGAGTGATATAACAGACCCTGGAGACTGGGGTGGGGGCTGGTTGGGAGGGGGATAAGGGATAAAGCACTGCATAGTGGGTCCAGTGTAGGCTGCTCGGGTGACAGATGCACTAAAGTCTCAGAAATCACCACTAAAGAACTTATCCATGTAACCAAAACCACATGTATTCCAAAAACTACGGAAATAAAAATAAAATTTTTTAAAACTAACAAAATAAATAAAATACTGAGTTTTTTGGCACACCATTAAATGTTGCACCCAGGGTTCGTGACTCACTTGCTTTATCCAAATCCTAACCCTAAACCACACAGGTTGCTGACACATCATTTGGCCTCAACCTCAGGAATCTTCAAACTTGGTCATATTGAATCACTGCTATGCCCATTTCAAGGAGCTCGCAAAAACTGATCTGCTCTCCCATACCACTCTGAGGCTTCAGGTCAATTATCAATATTGTCTGAGATACTTTCCCACTCTGTGCTGCTCTTAGATACATGAGAAATTGTTCTACTCCTCCTCAGAGTACAAAGAGACAAGCAGGAACCCTAAAAGGATGACAGAAGCCCATCCTCCTGGATGCATCACACTGCAAATTTTACACTTGATGTGGTATATAAGAAGTCGCTGGGTCCTCAGCAGTCTGTCTATTTCTCCAGGCTCCACCTGGGAAGGGAGGCACAGATCCAGTGGGGTGCTGGTAAGTGTTTAACAACAGCTCTCCAGGATGTGGTGGGGGACGGGCTTGTAGCATCTATCTGCCCATTTCTTTTCCTTTTTTTTTTTTTTTTTTTTTTTTGAGACGGAGTCTTGCTCTGTCGCCCAGGCTGGAGTGCAGTGGCGCAATCTCGGCTCACTGCAAGCTCCACCTCTCGGGTTCACTCCATTCTCCTGCCTCAGCCTCCCGAGCAGCTGGGACTACAGGCGCCCGCCACCACGCCCGGCTAATTTTTTGTATTTTTAGTAGAGACGGGGTTTCACCGTGTTAGCCAGGATGGTATCGATCTCCTGACCTTGTGATCTGCCCACCTTGGCCTCCCAAAGTGCTGAGCATCTGCCCATTTCTGTAGATTAAAACTCTCACCATGGCTGATTTCAAGTTACCAATGTGATACTAGCAAGTTCACGAAACTCCTAAAAACTTAACAATTGGCTCTAGCAATGGGACAAATTAAGTTCAGCAAACAGCAGCATAGTTCCCTTCAATTAATTATCTGAGACTCCAACGTATCTGAGGTTGCTGTCTTCCTTTAAGATGGCAGTGGCAGTCAACAAAGGAGAGAAATCAAGTGTCAGCCTCCAATTTTTAGTAACACCATATCTAGCCTCTTGTTCACCTTCTCACTTTCTTTCTTCCTAGGTTCAGTAAATCAGAAGCAGGAAAAACAACTCTTTATCTCATCTTCAAAATCTATCATTTACTGCTAAATTCTAGAAGTAGAAATAGATTAACCAAGAATTTAACTTTTGTGATCAGATTTGTCTGTATTGTCCCTTCCTTAAGGCAATGAAGGCAGAATACCTAATTGACCTTATGGAGGAAATAGTTTATTATTCTATTTTAAATAATGCTTTTAATTATTTTTTAACATATTATATTAATTGTCGATTTAATATAATGCTTATCATATTGTTTTATTTTAAAATAAGTGGTTTCCGAATCCAGCAGCACATCGAAAAGCTTATCCACCATGATCAAGTGGGCTTCATCCCTGGGATGCAAGGCTGGTTCAATATACACAAATCAATAAATGTAATCCAGCATATAAACAGAACCAAAGACAAAAACCACATGATTATCTCAATAGATGCACAAAAGGCCTTTGACAAAATTCAATAACGCTTCATGCTAAAATATCTCAATAAATTAGGTATTGATGGGACATATCTCAAAATAATAAGAGCTATCTATGACAAACCCACAGCCAATATCATACTGAATGGGCAAAAACTGGAAGCATTCCCTTTGAAAACTGGCACAAGACAGGGACGCCCCCTCTCACCACTCCTATTCAACATAGTGTTGGAAGTTCTGGCCAGGGCAATTAGGCAGGAGAAGGAAATAAAGGGTATTCAATTAGGAAAAGAGGAAGTCAAATTGTCCCTGTTTGCAGATGACATGATTGTATATCTAGAAAACCCCCTTGTCTCAGCCCAAAATCTCCTTAAGCTGATAAGCAACTTCAGCAAAGTCTCAGAATACAAAATCAATGTACAAAAATCACAAGCATTCTTACACACCAATAACAGACAAACAGAGAGCCAAATCATGAGTGAACTCCCCTTCACAATTGCTTCAAAGAGAATAAAATACCTAGGAATCCAACTTACAAGGGATGTGAAGGACCTCTTCAAGGAGAACTACAAACCACTGCTCAATGAAATAAAAGAGGATACAAACAAATGGAAGAACATTCCATGCTCATGGGTAGGAAGAATCAATATCGTGAAAATGGCCATACTGCCCAAGGTAATTTATAGATTCAATGCCATCCTCATCAAGCTACCAATGACTTTCTTCACAGAATTGGAAAAAACTACTTTAAAGTTCATATGGAACCAAAAAAGAGCCCACGTCGCCAAGTCAATCCTAAGCCAAAAGAACAAAGCTGGAGGCATCACACTACCTGACTTCAAATACAAGGCTACAGTAACCAAAACAGCATGGTATATATAACAGAGATATAGATCAATGGAACAGAACAGAGCCCTCAGAAATAATGCCACATATCTACACCTATCTGATCTTTGACAAACCTGAGAAAAACAAGCAATGGGGAAAGGATTCCCTATTTAATAAATGGTGCTGGGAAAACTGGCTAGCCATATGTAGAAAGCTGAAACTGGATCCCTTCCTTACACCTTATACAAAAATTAATTCAAGATGGATTAAAGACTTAAACGTTAGACCTAAAACCATAAAAACCCTAGAAGAAAACCTAGGCATTACCATTCAGGACATAGGCATGGGCAAGGACTTCATGTCTAAAACAACAAAAGCAATGGGAACAAAAGCCAAAATTGACAAATGGGATCTAATTAAACTAAAGAGCTTCTGCACAGCAAAAGAAACTACCATCAGAGTGAACAGGCAACCTACAAAATGGGAGAAAATTTTCGCAACCTGCTCATCTGACAAAGGGCTAGTATCCAGAATCTACAATGAACTCAAACAAATTTACAAGAAAAAAACAAACAACCCCATCAAAAAGTGGGCAAAGGATATGAACAGACACTTCTCAAAAGAAGACATTTATGCAGCCAAAAAACACATGAAAAAATGCTCATCATCACTGGCCATCAGAGAAATGCAAATCAAAACCACAATGAGATACCATCTCACACCAGTTAGAATGGCAATCATTAAAAAATCAGGAAACGACAGGTGCTGGAGAGGATGTGGAGAAATAGGAACACTTTTACACTGTTGGTGGGACTGTAAACTAGTTCAACCATTGTGGAAGCAGGTGTGGCGATTCCTCAGGGATCTAGAACTAGAAATACCATTTGACCCAGCCATCCCATTACTGGGTATGTGCCCAAAGGATTATAAATCATGCTGCTATAAAGACACACGCACATGTATGTTTACTGCAGCACTATTCACAATAGCAAAGACTTGGAACCAACCCAAATGTCCAACAATGACAGACTGGATTAAGAAAATGTGGCACATACACACCATGGAATCCTATGCAGCCATAAAAAATGATGAGTTCATGTCCTTTGTAGGGACATGGATGAAATTGGAAATCATCATTCTCAGTAAACTATCGCAAGGACAAAAAAACCAAACACCGCATGTTCTCACTCATAGGTGGGAACTGAACAATGAGAACACATGGACACAGGAAGGGGAACATCACACTCTGGGGACTGTTGTGCAGTCGGGTGGGGGGGGAGGGATAGCATTAGGAGATATACCTAATGCTAAATGATGAGTTAATGGGTGCAGCACACCAGCATGGCACATGCATACATATATAACTAACCTGCACATTGTGCACATGTACCCTAAAGCTTAAAGTATAATAATAATAAAAATAAAAATAAAAAATAGAGCAAAAATAAATAAATAAGTGTTTTCACCATTTGACTATGTCAAGAAATTTTTTTTCATCGCTCATATTCTCAGCCCTACACATATCTTATTCTAGGTTCCTCAGCAAGTTGAGATGGTTTTTAATATTCCTGAGGGTTATTGGTTTCTTTGTTTGTTTGTTTTCAGACGGAGTCTTGCTCTGTCGCCCAGGCTGGAGCGCAGTGGCACCATCTCGGCTCACTGCAAGCTCCGCCTGCCGGGTTCACGCCATTCTCCTGCCTCAGCCTCCTGAGTAGCTGGGACTACAGGCACCCGCCACCACGCCCGGCTAATTTTTTGTACTTTTAGTAGAGACAGGATTTCACGGTGTTAGCCAGGATGGGCTCGATCTCCTGACCTCGTGATCCGCCCACCTCGACCTCCCAAAGTGCTGGGATCAGAGGCATGAGCCACTGTGCCCAGCCGGGTTATTATTTTAAAGACAATATCTTCGAATTTTTTTAAGAAGTAGATACATTTAGGTCTGATTTCCTTGAATATGAATGGATGTGTTTTATTCTTCTCTCCAATAGGATGTTAAATTAAATGATGCTGGGATCAGTGTTTCTGATGGCCCGATCTCAAAAAAAAGAGCATTCTCTTTGGATACATTTTCCAAAACTTTAAGATATGCAAAACCACCAGCAAATTTTATTCAGACAAGAAACGACCCTGCTTTACACACAGGGCAGGAACTGGTGCTGGGACTTCCATTCTGGCTATGAATAGAAGAAGCCTGGGCCAGCAAAAAAACTGACACTGAGAACGGAGGCGTGCAGCAAGGATAGTCTCATAAACAAAAAGGGAAGCAACAGAAAGGAAATCTGTAAAAACTCCCTGAGGCCTTTGATCACAGAACACCGTGTAGATGCTCCAAGGGCTCATTTAAGACATTGGCTAGTTACTATGTGACTTGAAGCAGCTCACGCCACCACTCTGAGCCTGCTTTTTCATCTGCAAAAAAAAAACCAGTATATCAACAACTAGTTTTGGGCATTCTTATAGGACTACGTTAAGTGCTTGGTAAAATGTAAGGGTATGTGATTACAGCAATATATTCATTTTAACAAAATTTCACAGTAAAATAATTTGGATGTTTTCTAGATTGTTTTTTTTTTTGGCATTTTACAGTGAAAACCGATAAACCCAGCAGCCAGCACTTTATTATCCAAGGACAAAACTTTGTGCATACCTTTAGGTTATCTAATACCTGGTACTAAAAGAAAAAAGCAAATAAAACCAACTTACAGATTGCATCTAGAACAGACGTTATACAATATCCATTTATGTCAATAAAGATATTGAAGTATAAAAAAAAAATTTTTTTTTTTTGAGACAGAGTCTCGCTGTGTCACCCAGGCTGGAGTGCAGTGGCACAATCTCAGCTCACTGCAACCTCTCCCTCCCAGGTTCAAGCAATTCTCCTGCCTCAGCCTCCGGATTAGCTGGGATTACAGGCACCTGCCACCACGCCCAAGTAATATATATACATATATGTATTTTTTTTCTTTTTTTTTCTTTTTTTTGTATTTTACTAGAGACAAGGTTTCACCGTGTTGGCCAGGCTGGTCTCGAACTCCTGACTCAAGTGATCTGCCCACCTCGGCCTCCCAGAGTGCTGGGATTACGGGCATGAGCCACCGTACCCGACCTAAAAAATATTATTTGTAAATTGACTAGACTGTAACTTCTAGGAAGTGTAAAAAATATTACTTTTAAATTGCCTTGAGTGTAACTTCTAACCCATATTTCTAAAAATTCACAGAAGTATTCAAACGCCACATTGGTGGAAGATGTAAGAAGGGGACTTTTATAGTTTGCTGTTCTGCCTTTGCTTTCCCATCTCAGATCTTCAGTAGGGTAGTTACAGCAACCTCTTATAAGAAAGTGCCATACCTAATAAAGATATCAGAGAGGTCATAGAGCAATCAAGAGTCAGGAACTGAGTTTCCAAACCCTTTTTCTCTGTCCTTTAGGTAGCTTCACTTCACTCTAACTCTCAATTGTTTGTTGGAATCATACTCCGTGGATTTTGCTACCTAACGTTGACAGAAAACATTAAAACTCCAGGCAATCCATCCCCAGTTCATCAGCTCTCACCTTGGGAGCACTGCTCAGGGAGGGTACAAAGACAGTCATTTCATTCCTCTCACTACAGCCACGTTTTCTGTCCTCCTCGCTGCCTTCCACCGTCTGTACTAATACTACTCTTATTCAGCCCCCAAGTGTTATTTCCAGGGATTTCCTCAAATCACAAGTCTTTATACAATATTTGGAATTTCATGTGATTCCAATGCAGGAAAAGTGCAATCTCCTGCCATTTCTATCACACTGTCTGGAAACCTCCCCTCCCACGTATTTACCTTAATGAAAAGAGGAAAATGGAAGAAAACATATCTTTTCCCATAAAAAAAAATCCCCTTTATTAATCAACCAAAAAATGCTACTTCATGACTCCTTTTTTTTTTTGTAGAGAGAGGGTCTCACTATGTTACCCAGGCTGGTCTGTAACACCTGGGCTCAAGCCATCCTCCTGCCTTTGGCCTCCCAAAGTGCTGGGATTACAGGCGAGAGCCTTCGCACCTGGCTGGCCTCCTTTATGGTATTTTTACATACTCCCTCTCTTCACTCTTCAGCCGTAACTTCTTTCTCCTGGCTTAACCACCTACCAGAGAGACCTTCCCCAACAACTCATGCAGATTTCCCTCTAGACAGCTCCATTACTCTATCGCACCACTGTTCTACTCTTTCTTAATTCTTATCCTAATATAAATTTTAAATATTCATCATTTATTTTTAATGCTTTTTGTTTATAATCCTACAAGACATATTGAGCTCCACAAGGATCTTTTTGCCGTACTCACCCCTGCATTTCAGTTCCTTGCTCACTGCCTGACACATAATACTGTAAAGAACTGGGAAGGGACTGAATTTTGCCCTACTCACAAGCCAATAAGTTTGCCTGCTACAGTTTCATTGATGCCAGTAGAAGACAGGAGACTCAGGGTCAGAGAAGAAGAACAGCTTATTAATCACAACAATAGCAACAGCCAGGATTTTGGCATTTTGGGGACAGTATCTCGAGGCCCAAGTCTACAGGGTGACACAAAAGAACCGAAAGATACCTGAATACATAGTGGGTTGTGATACAGGAGAGGAATGCTGAGTTTAGGGGATGCAAAAATTTTATAATGGGCAGCAAGCATGTCTGCCCTTTGCTCCAAAGGGAGACCCAATCCCTAGCTTCCAAGGCCATTCACTGTATGAACATCACTGAAAAGATTTTCTGGGACAAAGGGTAATCTGTGTCTTTCTTATAAGGTATGCAGAAACATAAGAAACCCATGGAAAATTATCTCCTAACAAGTAGAGAATCAAAAAATAATATTTTTTATTTAATGAATAAATGAACTAGAACACCAATCTAGCACAGGTAGTGAAACTATTTTTTAAAAAAGAAAGAAAACCTTCTTTTGTTACTGAAGAGATGTCCTTACCCAGTGGAATGCTGGCAACTGTTTAACATTCAGCTCTTGGGGATAGAGGAGAGCTGATTTGATTTGTAGCATTTTTCAGTTTTCTTGGCAAAAGTATTCACACTGTAACCAACAAGAAGTTACTGATATCTCGGAATGCAGAGCTGGGGAGAGATGCTGGACAACACATCATTGTGGAATATTCCCACCATATGAATGCAAAACGTAAATCATCTCAAAAGGTGACTTTACTAAATAGTAAAATACTTAGGAAGCGGTGAGTCTTGAGTACATATTAGTTTAGTTTTAAAGACAGTTTACTTCATTGTAAGTTTATACGACTAATTTTTTCGAGACAGGGCCTTGCTCTTTTGCCCAGGCTGGAGTGTAGTGGTGCAATCATAGCTCACTGCAGCCTGAACTCCTGGGCTCACGTGATCCTCCCACCTCAGCTTCCCAAGCAGCTGAGACTGCAGGCGTGCACTACCATGCCCAGCTAATTTATTTTTCGTTTTATTTTTTGTAGAGACGGGGGCCTCACTATGTTGTCCAGGCTGGTCTCAAACTCCTGACCTCAGGCAATCATCCCACTTTGGCCTTCCAAAGCTCTGGGATTACAGGTGTGAGGCACTTTGGCCGGCCTTGACTTAGTTTTTAATAATGTCTGTGTTTAATAAGTGGCTCACAAAATTCTTGAAAATTTAACAATTGGCTCTTGTGAGCGGGCACAGGACACTCTTTACCACTGTTCTTCACTCCTCTCTGCCTGTCTTTAGTGTCACTCTTGTCCCTTCAGTCCCATATGTATTTTATTTCCAGATCTTTCATTTCTTTAGAACTCAGCTACTTCTGTTCCTCCGGGCTATGCTCTGCCTCATTCCCTTTCACTACACCCCCAAGCCTCACCCCATTCCTGGAAAGCTTTCGATTCTGTCCTTCACCATCCTCCCACCCCCACCTCCCAATACACACACCCCATGGCAGGCCATAGAAGCACCCCCAGGGATGGGATCCAGGAAATTCCACTTCGCCTTCCTCAGTAATCAAGGCCACAGCAGGGAAGATGGCTAACTGTGTTCCCAAGTGATCACTTTCAATGGATTTCCTCATGAAATCATTGCAACTACCTACTTGTTAGGCTCTACACTATTTTTTGTGCCATATTTTAAGTACCATTTATTATAATAGGGATTTACAAGCAGATCTGAGATACTAACCTCTCTTCTGATGTGAAAAATGCATTCCAATTTCTAAACTGAGAAAGCAACTTTGGGAACATACACAAATGAGAAACTGCTTAATATATGGAATTTGATATATAATTGTATAATGTTTATTTATTGAACTATATCCACCAGAGGGCAGCAAAAAATTTTATATGGGACATGTATTTACTCAATACAGAATTAAGAGCAAACCTCCATCATTACTTGATGATAAACAGGAAACCATTCGAGTCCCAATAAAGGCTTTCAATATTATGGAGAAATATGATCACAAGGCTAAAATTTATTTTTTACTTTAAAGCCTCAATACTAACTTTCATATTAGGTTAATCTCCAGTTAGTTACTCATTGATCCGTTTAATATATATTATTTAAACACTTCTCATATTCAAAGCATTGTGCTAGTAATGACCACAGTGAGGCATGATTCGAGGAATACAAAAACAACTGCCTGCCTGTGCAGTTGTTTATATATCAGTCAGGATTCTCCAGAGACATAGAAGCATTTGGATGTGTGTGTGTGAGTGTGTACATTAAAAGATTTATTCTAAGGAATTGGCTCATGAAATTATGCGGGCTGGCAAGTCTGAAACTTGTAGAGACAGACAAGCAGGCTGGAAATGCAGTCAGGAGAGGATGCTATGGTCTTCAGGCAGATTTTCTTTTCAGTGAAACCTGTTTTTTGCTCTGAAGGACTTCATCTGTTGGGATGAGGCCCACCCACATTATGAAAGTTAGTATCTTTTACTTAAAATCAACCGACCGTAGATGTTAATTGCATCTACGAAATACCTTCACAGTGACACCTGGATTGGTGTTTGGTTACGTAACTGAGTACTACAGCCCAGACAAGTTGACACATAAAATTAAACACTCCAGGCTGGGCGCGGTGGCTCACGCCTTTAATCCCAGCACTTTGGGAGGCCGAGGCGGGCGGATCACGAGGTCAGGAGATTGAGACCATCCCGGCTGACACGGTGAAACCCCGTCTCTACTAAAAATACAAAAAATTAGCCGGGCGTGGTGGCGGGCGCCTGTAGTCCCAGCTACTCCGGAGGCTGAGGCAGGAGAATGGCGTGAACCCGGGAGGCGGAGCTTGCAGTGAGCCGAGATCGCGCCACTGCGCTCCAGCCTGGGAGACAGAGCGAGACTCCGCCTCAAAAAAAAAACAAAACAAAACAAAACAAAAAAACAAAAAAAAAAAACAAAAAAAAATTAACTACTCCACTGCTCAGAAACATTTTCCCTGTCCAGATGCTGTATCCTAGAAATGCCGCACTTGGAAAAACATGCTCTGAGTCATGAATTGATCTTTCCAGATAACGTCTCTAAAATGCATACATCCTTGGTAGGTTAATATACCTACCTAGACACCAAGGCGTGAGTGCCAGGTTATCACATACATTTCTCCAGACAAAAGAGAATCTGTGGCATCCTGAAAGCAATGAGTAGCAAGAGATTCTAAATGCTGAAAGCTGCGAGTCACCACCAAGAGGCAAGCAGGCTGGAAACCACCCATTTCCTCATTTTACATAAAATTCCGCTGCCCAAAAGTACAATCATTTATGCTTGTTGTAAAAAACTACAATGTTGTTATTGCTGTTCGAAATTGCATCTACTGAGAAAATGAGGAGCTCATGGCAGAAGGGAGGCAGGACTAGGCTGTAGCTTTGACTCCGACAGAGCAGCATGCTGAGGCTGGCACTGTGAATTTTAGCCCCAGATCGACTACAAGAACAAACCAGAAATACCGAGAGGACCCACAGCCCCTCTGAAGGAAGCCGACTGCTCCTGCAGGACCTGGGAGATGCCTCAAATACTGTGAGTGCCCCAACTGCAAAAGTGGGAAAGGGAGACCCTCCTCTCCCAAACACACACCCCCACTGGAGAAACTGAAGGTCTGTTTGTGGGAGAAGTTTCCAACCTTACCTGGAGCTGAGTCAATTTAGAGAGCCAAGCAAAACACAGGGATAGAGGAAGCAGCAGGAAAGGCCTTGGGAGCTCGCTGGGTCCCCAAGCAGGCCATTCCTGCCTGGGACCACAGAGATCCATCAGGAAGGCAGCCAGAGGAGCGGGGGAAAAACACCACAGGGAGAAGGAAATCTCCAGCTGAATTTTTTAACAATTGGAACCATGTGAGAAGCCTCCTGGCCAGAACTGGGGGGAGGGCATGAATCCCGTGCGCACACTCCCACAGGTGGGGGAAGAACCAAGCCCTTTTCGTTCCCAGCTGGGAGGTGGGTAGCCTGGGGCAAGTTCTCAAGCTCAGCTTACCCACCACCTGGAAACAGACTCAAGGCTGTTTGGGGGGCAATGGTGGGAGTGAGACTGACCCTTCAGTTTGCATGGGAGGTGGGTGAGGCCTGTGACTGCCAGCTTTCCCCGACTTCCCTGACAACCTGCATGACTCAGCAGAGGCAGCCATAATCCTCCTAGGTACACAACCCCATTGACTTGGGAATGTCATGCCCATCCCCCACAGCAGCTGCAGCAAGACCCACACAAAGAGAGTCTGAACTCAGACACCCCCTAGCCCCACCCCAACCTGATGGCCCTTCCCTACCCACCCTGGTAGCAGAAGACAAAGGAGATATAATCTTGGGAGTTCTGGGGCCGCACCCACTGCCGGTTCCTCTCCACACTACCACAGCTGATGCTCTCTGGAAAGCGCCACCTCCTGGCAGGAGGCCAACCAGCACAAAAATAGACCATTAAACCACCAAGGCTAAGAACCCTCACAGAGTCCATTTCACACCCCTGCCACCTCCACTGGAAACAGGTGCTGGGATCCACGGCTGAGAGACCCATAAACAGTTCACATCGCAGGACTCTGTGCAGACAACCCCCTGTACCAGACTGGAGCCCTGTAGACTCACTGGCTGGCTAGACACAAAAGAAAGACAGCAATCATTGCAGATTGGCTCACAGGAAGCCACATGCATAGGAAAAGGCGGAGAGTACTACATCGAGGGAACACCTTGTGGGACAAAAGAATCTGAACAACAGCCTTCAGCCCTAGATCTTCCCTCTGACAGAGGCTACCCAAAAGAGAAGAAACCAGAAAATCAACTCTGGTAATATGACAAAACAAGGCTCTTTAACACCCCTAAAAAATCACATTAGTTTACCAGCAATGGATCCCAACCAAGAAGAAATCCCTGATTTACATGAAAAAGAATTCAGGAGATCAGTTATTAAGCTAATCAGGGAGGCACCAGAGAAAGGGAAAGACCAATGCAAGGAAATCCAAAAACTGATAAAAGAAGTTGTCAGGCCTCTGAGCCCAAGCTAAGCCATCATATCCCCTTTGACCTGCACGTACACATCCAGATGGCCGGTTCCTGCCTTAACTGATGACATTCCACCACAAAAGAAGTGAAAATGGCCTGTTCCTGCCTTAACTGATGGCATTATCTTGTGAAATTCCTTCTCCTGGCTCATCTGACTCAAAAGCTCCCCCACTGAGCACCTTGTGACCCCCACTCCTGCCCGCCAGAGAACAACCCCCCTTTGACTGTAATTTTCCTTTATCTACCCAAATCTTATAAAATGGCCCTACCCCTATCTCCCTTCGCTGACTCTCTTTTCAGACTCAGCCTGCCTGCACCCAGGTGCAATAAACAGCCTTGTTGCTCACACAAAGCCTGTTTGGTGGTCTCTTCACACAGACGCGAGTGAACGAAGTGAAGGGAGACATATCCAAGGAACTAGATAGCATAAAGAAAAAACAATAAAAAATTCAGAAAACATTGGATACACTTATAGAAATGCAAAATGCTCTGAACTTCAGAGCTCGAAAATAAGGTCTTTGAATTAACCAAATCCAACGAACAAAGAATAAGAAAATATGAACAAAGCCTCCAGGAAGTTTGGGATTATGTTAAACAACTAAACCTAAGAATAGTTGCTGTTCCTAAGGAAGACAAGAAATCTAAAAGTTTAGAAAACATATTTTGCAGAATAATCAGGGAAAACTTCCCCAGCCTTGCTAGAGATCTAGACATCGAAATACAAGAAGCACAAAGAACACTTGGGAACTTCATCACAAAAAGATCACCACCTAGGCCCATTGTCATCGGGTTATCTAAAGTTAAGACAAAGGAAAGAATCTTAAGAGCTGTGAGACAGAAGCACCAGGTAACCTATAAAGGAAAACCTATCAGATTAACAGCAGATTTCTCAGCAGAAACCCTAAAAGCTAGAAGGGATTGGGGCCCTATCTTCAGCCTCCTCAAACAAAACAATTATCAGCCAAGAATCTTGTATCCAGCAAAACTAAGCATCATATATGAAGGAAAGATACAGTCTTTTTCAAACAAACAAATGCTGAGAGAATTTGCCACTTCCAAGCCACCACTACAAGAACTGCTAAAAGTAGCTCTAAATCTTGAAATGAATCCTGGAAACACATTAAATAGAACCTCTTTAAAGCATAAATCACACAGGACCTATAAAACAAAAATACAAGTGGAAAAGTGAAAACAAAAAACAAGGTACAAAGGCAACAAATAGCAAGATGAAAGCAATGGTACCTCACATCTCAATACTAACATTGAGTGTAAATGGCCTAAGTGCTCCACTTAAAAGATACAGAACTGCAGAATGGATAAGAACTCACCAGCCATCTGCTGCCTTCCAGAGACTCACCTGACACATAAGGACTCACATAAACTTAAATTAAAGAGGTGAAAAAGGCATTTCATGCAAAAGAACAACAAAAGCAAGTAGGGGTAGCTATTCTTATATCAGACAAAACAAACTTTAAAGCAACAGCAGTTAAAAGTGACAAAGAGGGACATTATATAATGGTAAAAGGCCTTGTCCAACAGGAAAATATCACAAGCCTAAACATATATGCACCTAACACTGGAGCTCCCAAATTTATAAAACAATTACTAATAGACCTAGGAAATGAGATATAAAGCAACACAATAATAGTGGGGACATCAATACTCCAGTGACAGCACTAGACAGGGCATCAAGCCAGAAAGTCAACAAAGAAACAATGGATTTAAACTATATCTTGGAACAAATGGACTTAACAGATATATACAGAACATTTCATCCAACAACTGCAGAATACACATTCTATTCAATAGCGCATGGAACTTTCTCCAAGATAGACTGTATGATAAGCCGAAAAAGGAGCCTCAGTAAAATTAAGAAACTTGAAATTATATCAATCACTCTCAGACCACAGTGTAATAAAATTGGAAATCATCTCCAAAAGGAACTTTTGAAACCATGCAAATACATGGAAATTAAATAACCTGCTCCTGAATGAACTTTGGGTCAAAAACAAAATCCAAATGGAAATTAAAAAATTCTTCAAACTGAACAACAATAATGATACAACCTATCAAAACCTCTGGGATATGGCAAAGGCAGTGCTAAGAGGAAAGTTAATAGGCCTACATGCCTACATCAAAAAGAAAGAGTACAAACTGACACTCTAAGGCCATACCTCAAGGAATAAGAGAAACAAGAACAAACCAAACCCAAACCCAGCAGAAAAGGAAACAACCAAGATCAGAGCAGAGCTAACTGAAATTGAAACAAACAGAAAGAATATCAAAAGATAAATGAAACAAAAAGCTGCTTCCTTGAAAAGATAAATAAAATTGATAGACCATTAACAAGATTAACCCAAGAAAAGAAGAAAGAAAATCCAAATAACCTCATTAAGAAACAAAACAGGAGATATTACAACAGACACCACAGAAATACAAAAGATTATTCAAGGCTACTATGAACATCCTTACACACATAAACTAGCAAACCTAGAAGAGATGGATAATCCTAAAAAAAACACAACCCCCTAGCTTAAATCAGGAAGAATTAGATACCCTGAACAGACCAATAACAAGCAGTGAGACTGAAATGGTAATTAAAAAATTACCAACACAAAAAAGTCCAGGACCAGACGGATTCACAGCAGAATTCTACCAAAGAAGAGTTGGTTCCAGTCCTATTGACACTATTCCATAAGATAAAGAAAGAAGGAACCCACCCAAATTCATTCTATGAAGCCAGCATAACCCTAATACCAAAACCAGGAAAGGACATAACCAAAAAGAAAACTACAGACCAATATCCTTGATGAACTTAGATGTTAAAATCCTTAACTAAATACTAGCTAACTGAACCCAACAACATGTCAGAAAGATAATCCACCATGATCAAGTGGGTTTCATACCAGAGAAACAGGAATGGTTTAACATACGCAAGTCAATAAATGTGATACGCCACACAAACAAAATTAAAAACAAAAATCACATACTCATCTCAATAGATGCAGAAAAAGCATTGTACAAAATCCAGCATCACTTTATGATTAAAACTCTCAGCAAAATCAGCATACAAGGGACATCATACCTAAATGTAATAAAAGCCATCTATGACAAACCCACAGCCAACATAGTACTGAATGGGGAAAAGTTGAAAGGATTCCCTCCGAGAACTGGAACAAGACAAGGATGTCCACTCTCACTCACCACTCCTCTTCAACACAGTACTGGAAATCCTAGCCAGAGCAATCAGACAAGAGAAAGAAATAAAGGGCATCCAAATCAGTAAAGAGGAAGTCAAACTGTCACTGTTTGCTGACAGTATGATCATTTACCTAGAAAACATTATTAAGACTCCTCCAGAAAGTTCCTAGGACTGATAAAATAATTCAGCAAAGTTTCTGAATACAAAATTAACATACACAAATCAGTAGCTCTTCTATACAGCAACACAAACCAAGTGGAGAATCAAATGAAGAATTCAACCCCTTTTACAATAGCTGAAAAAAAAAAAATACTTGGGAATCTACCTAACCAATGAGGTGAAAGACCTCTACAAGGAAAAATTCAAAACACTGCTGAAAGAAATCATAGACAATGCAAACAAATGGAAATATATCCCATGCTCATAGATGGATAGAATCAATATTGTGAAAATGACCATACTGCCAGAAGCAGTTTACAAATTCAACACAATCCTCATCAAAATACCACCATCATTCTTCACAGAATTAGAAAAAAACAATTCTAAAATTCATATGGAACCAAAAAAGGCCCTCATAGCCAAAGCAACACTAGGCAAAAAGAACAAATCTGGAGGCATCACACTACCTGATTTCAAACTATACTACAAGCCCATAGTCACCGAAACAGCATAGTACTGGTATAAAAATAGGCACATAGACCAATGGAACAGAATAGAGAACCCAGAAATAAACTCAAACACAGCCAACTGACCTTCCACAAAGCAAACAAAAACATAAAGTGGGGAAAGGACACCCTTTTCAACAAATGGTGCTGGAATAATTGGCTAGCCATGTGTAGGAGAATGAAACTGGATCCTCAACTCAAGATGGATTAAGGACTTAAATCTAAAACATGAAATGGTAAAAATTCTACAAGATAACATTGGAAAACCCTTCTAGACATTGGCTTAGGCAAGGATTTCATGACCAAGAACCCAAAAGTAAATGCAATAAAAACAAAGATAAATAGTTGGAACTTAATTAAACTAAAGAGCTTTTGCACAGCAAAAGGAACAGTCAACAGAGTACACAGACAACCCACAGAGTGGGAGAAGATCTTCACAATCTATACATCTGACAAAGGACTAATACGCAGAATCTACAACAAACTCAAACAAATCAGTAAGAAAAAAAACAAACAGTCCCATCAAAAAGTGGGCTAAGGACATGAATAGACAATTCTCAAAAGAAGATATACAGGCTGGGCGTGGTGGCTCATGCCTGTAATCCTAGCACTTTGAGAGACTGAGGCAGGCAGATCATGAGGTCAGGAGATCGAGCCCATCCTGGCTAACACAGTAAAACCCCATCTCTACTAAAAATACAAAACCTTAGCCGGGCGTGGTGGCGGGCACCTGTAGTCCCAGGTACTCAGGAGGCTGAGACAGGAGAATGGTGTGAACCCGGCAGGTGTTGCTTACAGTGAGCCGAGATTGCGCCACTGCACTCCAGCCTGGGCGACAGAGCAAGACTCTGTCTCAAAAAAAAAAAAGAAGAAGATATCGAATGGCCAACAAATATATGAAAAAATGCTCAATATCACTAATGATCAGAGAAACGCAAATCAAAACCACAATGGGATACCACCTTACTCCAGCAAGAATGGCCATTAAAAAAAACAAAAACAAAAACAGTAGATGTTGGCATGGATGTGGTGAACAGGGAACTTCTACACTGCAAGTGGGAATGTAAAGTATACCACAGCCACTATGGAAAATAGTGTGGAGATTCCTTAAAGAACTAAAAGTAGAACTACCATTTGATCCAGCAATCGTACTACTGGATATCTACCCTGAGGAAAATAAGTCATTATACAAAAAAGATACTTCCACATGCATATTTATAGCAGCACAATTTGCAACTGCAAAATCATGGAACCAACCCAAATGCCTATCAATCAACGAGCGGATAAAGAAACTTTGGTATATTTATACAGTGGAATACTACTCAGCCATAAAAAGGAATGAATTAATGGCATTTGCAGAGACCTGGATGAGATCGAGTACTATTATTCTAAGTGAAGTAACTCGGGAATGGAAAACCAAACATTGTATGTTCTCACTGATATGTGGGAGCTAAGTTTTGACGATCCAAAGGCATAAGAATGACACGATGGACTTTGGGGACTCAGGGGGAAAGAGTGGGAAGGGGATGAGGGATAAAAGACCATGAATTGGGTGCAGTGTATACTACTCAGGTAATGGGTGCATCAAAATCTCACTAAAGAACTTACTCATATAACCAAACACCACCTGCATCCCAATAACTTATGGAAAAATTAAAAAGAAAACAAGAAATTGCATCTACTGCTCTTTGGTCTTAGCCACAGAAGCGAGATGACAAAGGGAATGTCATAGTTTGGAAAGCCCCACAATAAGATGCACATACTGTGTCCCTGCTGTGGGTCTAAGGCCTACCACCTTCAGAAGTGACCTGTGGCAAATGTGGCTACTCTGCCAAGTGCAAGAGGAAGTATAACTCGAGTGTCAAGTCTAAAAGACAAAATACCACTGGGACTGGTGAAGTGAGGCACCTAAAAATTGGGTACTGCAGATTCAGCCATAGATTCCGTGAAGGAACAACAGCTAAATCCAGAAAGACAACTGTTGCAGCATCCAGTTCATCTTAAGAATTTCAATGATTAGTCACGCAATAAATGTTCTGGTTTTTAAAATTTTTTTAAAAGAAGAAGAAATGGCATCTACCTCATAACCTAGCAATGAAACAACTACAATTGGATACCTCAATCCCTCACCCTTGTTCAATGAGCTATCAAAGTTTTGGTTCAAAATGTTTGCTTATTGTACTTCAATAAAAAGATTTTTAAAAAGAATCCATATCCCAACTCCAATGCTGACAAATGAGACAAAGCCAAAATGAAAAACATTCTATTAGAAAGATAGGACTGTATTCTTTTAAAATGTCAATGTCACAAAAGACAGAAATTAAAGGTAAAGACAAAGATTAAGGGAGACTAAAAAGATACAACCATTAAAATCAGTGCATGCTCCTAGACTGGGCTACTCTATAAGTGAGAAAAAAATGTTATGAAGGACAGGTTGGGGTCAATTCATAAACTGGAATACACACAGTCGATTGAATAGATGTGAGAAATTTCCTTTAGTTTGACAACTGTACTGCTGTTGTGTAGGTGAGTGTCCTTGTTTTTATACAGTGATCAGGTTCAGAAAAATATGAAAAATATGTGTATACGTGAAGAAAGAACAAGAGATGAAGCCGATGGAACAAAATGTAGGTGAATGTGGGTGAAGAGCATACAAGTGTTCTTTGTGCTGTTCTCACAAGTGTTACCTTGAAATTCTTCTAAATAAAAAGTTTTTTAAACATTTGTCCAAAATGGCTATGCTCTATTATAATAAATTTATTCATGTGCTTTAAATTGATAGTGACATTGCTTTGGAAAATCAATAGGATTATGGTATTGAACATGAGAAGTGGTCCAATAATATACGTTAAATGAATCAATGAGCAACCAACTGGAGATTCAGCTAATGCAATCATTGTTATTTGTAGCTCACATCACATCACAGTCCAATCTGAGGCACTGGGAGGAAGGGAAGGCTCTGTCTTATACCCACAGTTTAGGGGCCCAGGGTCTTTCCCACCAGAGGCTCCATTCTCTTTTGGTGTCCCAGAGTCCTCTCTAATCAGCCAAGAGCTTAGAGAATTGCATGTGGGAGGTTCTCTGTGTGTCAGTCTGAAAATGGTCCCATCATTTCTGCTTGCCATTTACGAGAACTCTCACATAGCTACACCAATCTGCAAGGGAGCCTAGAAAGTGTGGTCTACCTGGGGGCTCAGGATAAAGAAGAGAATACAGGTGCTCGTGAGCACTAGCATCTTGGCCACAATTAGTATGTTATTTCATAAAGATTTGGGGACACTTACAGACAGAAGGAATAACTCCTCCTGAGAAAAGCTAGCTCAGAAAATTATACATGCAAATCTTGATACCAAAGACCATGTCTCTCTCTCTCGGACTCTTTCTTCTCAAGGAGGACAAATAGCCAAGAGGATAAACTAAAATGAAATTAGGAAGGAACTGAATATCAAAAACAGTTTTAAGAAAGCAGTCATGGAATTTCTTCTATATAGGGGTATCATGGCATTAACAATTGAAATACAGGGTCACTGCTGCCTGCAAAAGCTGGGCTGAAGCTCAAGGATGTGCACAAGTCCAGGAATGGGTTTGTTAGTGCTGTGGACTTGCTTCTCCTGTCTCCTACCTGTTCCCCTCCCCGCCCTTCTACTCCGTCAAGGAACGTCACTAAGTATGTTTCTTCTATAAAACCTATTTGTTCCAGAACCAGTTAATTTTTTACAATTTGTCTCCTATTGCCTCTCTAGCTAATATGAAATGTTTTAGACTGTGACAATTCTTTCTTTTGTATTTTTATGTAATTACAGTAATTATTTAAGGGTAATGAGTACAGTTAGTCTCTCTTTAGTATACCTTGCAGTTAGCTCAGTGATGGGCCCATAAAAAGGGATAAAAAAATATTTGTTACTTGATTTGCTTCCATTTCTGAAGTTGGATAGGAAGCATGCCTCCTTCAAATTCATGGTCTTAGTTGGGAATCATAAATGTCTGAATTCTCCTCCGCATACTCTCACAAACAAAGACTAGTCATGCTTAGTAAGTGATAGAGCACAGTGTTTTGAATGAAGTTCTAAAGGCATTCTTTGTCATCCCGTTCACCTCCCCATCACACCCCACCCCTGCCCCCACAAGCCCTCTTACAAAAATCCTGATGATCTCTAAAAAAAAATGGATATGTCTAGTATCCTAGACTGAAACGAGTATGGCAAAGGTAGCATTCTAGACAATGGGCTGATTTCCAGATTTGGATCTTCTGGGCCCAGATGTAGACTGCTGTTTTCAGGTAGTGTCTTCCCAGTCCAGTCACCTACAACAACATGTGAAATATTCTTAAACTCAAGAACTTTGTGACGATAAAAAGATTAATTTAGACCGAATGGATCTGCACTGGAAAATGAAAATTACATATAGGTTGGTGCAAAAGTAATTGGGGTTTTTGCCATTGAAAGTCATGGCAAAAACCGCAATTACTTTTGCATCCACCTAATACATTTTACTATATAGTTAATGAATCATAATTATATACAGAATACAAACAATAAATGGCATACATGCAGATAAATTATCATATTAATTTACAGTATTCCTCAATAAGTCTTTGGTGAAAATCCTTAATCAAGGATGATTCAGAAAATCATCACTATTTCAGTTTAATCCAGATACAATTTCTCTGTCTCTATCTTTATCCAACTGTGGCATCTCTTCTGTTGAAAGCCACACACTGTTCATGGTTTTACAGGTTTTACAGGTCACTACCTTCTAGCAGAGTTGGCATTCTTACTATCTGCTCATGAGCTTGTGCAATGTTCCATTTAATATCCACTCTTAATAGTTACTCTGGGCTGGGCGCAGTGGCTCACGCCTGTAATCCCAGCACTTTGGGAGGCCGAGGCCAGTGGATCACTTGAGGCCAGGAGTTCGAGACCAGCCTGTCCAACATGGCGAAACCCTGTCTCTAATAAAAATGCAAAACTTAAGCGGTCCTTTAATTCCAGCTACTCAGGTGGCTGTCTCGCTTGAACCCAGGAGACAGAGGTTGCAGTGAGCTGAGATCACACTGCTGTACTCCAGCCTGGGTGACAGAGCAAGACTCCATCTCAAAAAAAAAAAAAAAAGTTACTCTGCTAAAGTGGTTGTCTTCACTGTTCTCCAATATACCTGCAAAATGTCATCCCCATTTGTCTCTATTCTGAGCCCTCTGTGTCCCTTGGGGAGTATGCACTTTGAGTCCCCACTGTGTTGAGGTGATGAAGAGGATTTTATTTTCCTCATATTTGAAGAGGACAAAAAACCACCTAATGAGAGCAGAGCTGAAAATACATTTCCTCCTGGCAACAGGGATGCTGTGCTTACTACCCTGAAATAGCATCAACTTTTGACCCAGAAGTTGCAGCTCAGGAGTCTAACTCTATCGTGCTGCTCAATATCAGGTGGGCAACATTAGCATGTGTGTTTTTTTTTATATTCCTATGGGCAATCCAGCAAAGTATTGGGGAAAAAATTACTTTCTGAAATGTGTATAAAAATTACATCGGTAGCAAATCTAGACTACCAGGTATTTTAGAGGATAGTTGCATTTTGCAGTTCAATGTTTCTACCTTCTCAGATTTCTCAGCTGAAACATCTCAAGAGAAAAGCAACATTATATATTTTTATAAATTGTGTTTATAATGTTCATGTAAAGACTGTAAGTGTTTGGTTTTAACAAATGTAAGAGTTTACAATAGTCTTTCATGTGAGAATACTCATGCCATCACACTCAGAAGTGACTAGAACGATGTCCATTCATGACAGTGCAGTTTTCTGCTTACTTATCTCTGGTTTATGGTTTGGCACATTTTCTAACTTTAATCCATTAATTTGGTTACTACACAACCCAATGAGGCTAAGGCTGTGGAGTTAAAATTGAGCATGAACCAGTCATAATTTCACTCTGTTTTATAACAACGCATTAAAACTTTTATCTTGATTAGTCTTCCTGCATATCCATTTCAAGGGTTATAGGTGAAATCAGACAAGATATTCATCACCACAATTTGAAAAACAACTCTAAATGCATGCCCTGACTTGGATCAAAAGCACTAATCGCTGCAGGAAAGATGACATGCTTTAACTGGTTTACAAATCTTATGGTAGCATTGATAAATAGAACCCTTCTTCTGTCACTTACAATATTATGAATTTTCAGAAGATATACATGGGCTTTTGACAAAGGTAAATGAGTTTAACCTGTCATTTAAATAATACCTTTTTTTATGAAAATCATGCTGTATTATGTGCTATAATTACAATTCCTCATTCAAATATAGTGACTCAGCATACCACCTAATCAAGATCAATACTGCATTTCTCACTGCCTTTATTTCCACCTATATCAAACCCAACAAGTGCAACAGTACCTGCACTCAAGGATTTAGCAAATGTGTAGTCAATTTTTATGTCAGAGTAACTGACTTTAGGTTTCATGAATCATTTGATCAAGGAACACTCTGCTTCTAAACGTCTATTTTAAGTTTCTAACATACTCGTGATGTACTACTATGTGCTATGGATATACAAAATTAATATCAAAGACATGATCCACTGGATTAGTCAGAGTTCTGCAGAAAAACAGAACCAATAGGATGAAAGTCTCCCTCTCACACTCTCTCTCTCAGAAATTGACTCATTTCATTATGGAGGCTTCAGTCAGTAAGTTCCCAAGTTCTTCAGTCAGTAAGCTGGAGACCCAGGAGAGTCAATAGTGCTGGTTCCAGTCTGAAGGCTGGCAGGCTCAAGACGTGGGGAGAGCCAATGTTTCAGCTCAAAGCAGTCAGGCAGGAGGACTTCCCTCTTACTCAGCCTTTTGTTGTGTTCAGGTTTTCAACTGATTGGTTGAGTCACACCTACATTAGAGAGGGCCATCTGCTTGACTCACTTTACCAATCAGGTTAATCTCACCCAGAAACACCTGCAAAGACACACCCAGAATAATGTTTAGCTGAATGTCAGGGCACTTGTACCCAGTCAAAGTGACACATGAAACTAACCATCGTACCCATATATACACATTAAAAAAATTATTTAGGGAAGAAATAAGATAAACAACAAATAATAGTAAAAAATGACAAAATCCTATAATTTAGTGCTAAATTAAATGATAATGCCTATAATTCCTATTAACCTCAGATTGGGAGTATTCAGAGAACTACTGACTAAAAATTGTATAATGAATATGTTTAATTTGTCTACAAGTGATTAAGTCCAAAGAATTACAGAAAAAATAATAAATAAATAATATTTTGTTTACTACCAAAAGATACAAAAGATAAAATGCCTAAAATAACCTAAAAATGAAAAAAAAACTCAAATACAGAGATGGGAGAGAAAAAATAACAGATGCCTCAGCATTTTTAAATCTGAATCTTGATAGCATTTTATGCCTCCATGTGAAAAGAATGCTTTGGCTGAGAGAAAATGGCTTTTGATGCCACATATTCTCTAAACACCTGCTGTTCGTAAGTGTTTCAGCAAATAATTCAACCTGCTGGGAATCCTTAGGTTATAATTTTTATATTCATAGCTTCTGAAAAATTTTTAGAGATTTTCATCAGAAGAGGAAAAGCAAATAATGCCAAGCTGAATAGTCTCTGAGAGTAATGAGTATTATTCACTGCTTTAGTTTCTGCGCATTACCCATCAGATTCTATTCTTTCACAGATAGCGTTTTAATGGAAGAGGTACAAAGAAGAATGTCACGTTCATTTACTTCCCCCAAGGATTAGGCAATGGTGTGTAAGCAATCCCATTGGCCAACCTTGATAGCAGTTTTTACTGTGAACTAATAATAGAAATTATTATGCAAAAGTCTGACAATATCTCCCTAATATTTCTTGAAGGCATCAATCCCAAACAGTCTCAAGGTTATCAAAGTGCCTACAGCTGAAAGCACATTATCTTTCTTTAATTTTTGCTTTTACAGTAATTCTAGATCAACACTCTGAGCTGATCAGACCACCGTTTTCTAGAGGCTTCATAGCCCAACAGAGGCTAACTGAATGCCCTCTTTCCACAAATAAGAATGGCAAAATCTACTCCATTTTTGCTGATTCCCCTAAACTGTCTTAGGACCATAATTTTCTTGCTGGTCACTCCTTTGCAGGGATCAGATGAATTGAAGCTGCCCTGTCTCTTAAAATTTTCCTGTCATCCAGAGCAGCCTTTCTCAACCAGGGTTCTGAGAGAGAATCAAACTCAATGCCATGAGGCAACTACTATAGGTATAATGAATTGACTGTGTCCCTGTGCATCTAAAATGATACCAGCTAAAGACCACCTATGGAAAATGGTCACACAATGATTTCATCTTCTCTAGGGTTTAATCCTTTTAATAAAGCCAAATTGAGAAACATTGATAAGAGTAAGGGGGTAAAACAGTATAATATATTTAAGATACACATCCTGGCCCAGTGACTTTCTTAAATGGCTTTCCTTCTGCATTTAACCAAAAATACCATGGTAATATCCATCACTTAATCAAAAATTACCAGATATGGTGAGAGACACCACAGAGGGCCAAAAATCAAGCGAAAAAAAACACAGATAAAATACATAAGATGAAAATGAAAGCAAGTATATTTAAATACAGTTTTATATATACTTTTTTTAAGAGACAAGGTCTTGTTCTGTGGCACAGTAGCATAATCATTGCTCTCCACAGCCTCTAACTCTTGGGTTCAAGTGATCCTCCTGCCTCAGCCTCCCGAGTAGCTAAGACTACAGGCACATGCCACCACGCCCAGCTAGGTTTTAAATTTTTTGTAAAGACTGTGTCTCACTATGTTACCCAGGCTAGTCTCAAACTCCTGGTCTCAAGCAATCCTCCTCCCTCAGCCTCCCAAAATGCTGGGATTACAGGTGTAAGCCATTGTGGCCAGCCCTAAATATATCTTTTAAACTTCAAATAAGCTAATTATGTACTTGTTTTTAGTATATTAAATAACAAGATTCAGTGGCAAGTCTAATAATAACTAGTTCAATGTCAAACTAGAAATGAGTGTAATTAATATTTTGAGATATCTGTAAAGCAATATAAAAATATCTATAATTCTATAAGTGACAAAGTAAGAGATACTGGAAATACTCTTCAAATTAAGACTATATTCACAATTAAAAGAGATCTTAAATTTTAATTAGAGGTCAGTGAATAATAGACCCGGAAAGTTGATTGGGTAGACCTGTCATCCCCTAGGACCTCAGGGCCCTTCCTTCAGTGAATCCTCTCCCTCTGGCCAACTGACAAACTATAAAAAAGTTTATGGAGGACTGCAAAAGAAGTGTTAGAAGGCAGCCTTGGAAGTAGGGTGTGTCATTTCCACACATATTCCCTGGCCAGAACTTAGACATAGAGTCCCACCTATCTGCAAGGAAGCTCTAAACTGTTGTTTAGCTCTGAAGAAAAGAGGAAAAAGAAATATCTTATCTTTTCTGCAGGTACTGAGCACAGACAGCATGATTAGGGGCAACTGGGTCAATACAGCATAATCACATAGGGCCAAATATAGCAGAACCACAAAGTCTGTGGAGAGGCAGAAAAGGAGTAGGTTTGACAAATGAGAAAAACCCAAGTCAACATTAAGGTGCTGGTGATAAAAAATATCAACCTTCCTCTTGCCAGCTGTGTGAATTTACACATGAAAGTAGGAATGCAAAAAAAGAAGGATATATCTAATATTCAGCTTTTGACTACCAAAAAAACCCAAAGAAACTCTTGAGTCCACAGTGAAGCATTAGTCTTGCAAGCCAGCCTATTGTGATAAAGAAAGGTGGTCTCTAAACTATAAAAGCTTCATTCTCATGTCAGGAGCCAAACCTAGATGACTTGACTTGAATCATAGAGTTTTACTAAAAGCTCTAGGATAGAGTAAGGATTCAATGTAAATGACATTCATCTAATTCAGTAAAAAAGAAAGAAATATCTGGAAGGAATTTCACTAGGATGAGAATATAGCCTGGGTCTTTGAGAAGGAACTTGGTTTCCCAAACTCAAGTTCCAATAAAGAAAAACAAAAATGACAGAGATAGATAGAGACCTTGATAGAGACTCTAGATTATTTGAGAGAGGATCAAAATGTCCAGGGTTGTTCCCCCTTTCTCCACTGAATCCATCATGAAGTGGGTGTGAAAGATTAGACACAAACAGACAGTAGTGAGCAGCATATTCCCCACGAGCAACATTTGGTATGTAGGAGATCTTGGAGTTCTCATGACCCAAGATGAGGAACTTGAGAGACTTGATGTTGAGAAATTTGAAGGAGCTGGTACTGGGAGAATGAGACCATAAAACACAGGACCCTAGAAAACCCAAACTGAAAGGACTATCACATCAAGAGGTGGTCCCAGCAAGAAGCCCAGATAGATTGGTGGGATTATCTATGCCTTAGTGAACACCAACCCAAGGGAACCAGGCACTGAACAGGTTAATCATTCCTCAGTGCCGAGAAGGCAGCCCCACACCAGAAGACTCCTGCACACTGAATTAAACAATCCAATCTTCTCTTGGAACAAACATGCCATCTTGGGGGAAAGAGGAGAAGAGAGAGCTTGTGAGAAGTGAGGAGACAATCTTGATAGGAAGTTTGAACTTTGAAATAATATTTTATTCTACCACCCATCTAAAGGCTAATTAATCACAAATGTTAAACCAATCAGAAGAAAATGTTTGTTAAACCAGAAAAGGCTGTTACCTCTCACAGACAAGGTAAGTGTTTTCTACCACGTTCATGCTTCCACCGGCAGCAGAACTGGGGTATGCAGAGCTAGATGCAATCAACTATAGCAAATAAAAGAGGCAGCATATTTTGTGCAGATCTGTATTGTAGTGTATACTTTAACCCCAAAAGACAGAAACAAATTAGAGGTAGTTCATGCCTCCCTTGAACTCATACTCTAAGAACATATTTTAATGTTCTTATGGAATTTTTTCCATATGATAAATGAAAAAATAGAAATAGGTATATGCAGCAGGTAGCATACAGGAGAAATGGATAAAATGGGAGGAAGATAAGCGTTCTTGGAAAAGGAAAGCATGTTGGGTTTTAGAGGATGAATAAGAGTTCATCATGTGTTGGGAAGAATTCCCTGCAGGTAAACATAATAATCAGGCAAATGCACAGAAGAGTAGAAGAGTTAAGAATGTTCAGTTTAGTCTCACTGGAGCATGATAGAGAAACCTAATCTTCAGACAGAATTCCATTCTCTGGTGACTAATGTTTTAGCTTAGAGAATAGAAACTGCTTTTGTTTCAAGATGTTAAAATTATATTTTTAGGGAGAATATATTTGACCATGTAATGGAGGGGGGAAGGTATAGTATTGTTCAACTAGCAAATGTTAGAAGTGACATTTCAAAGATAAATTTGTGTGATTATTGCTCTTCTCTTTAATCCAGAAAATAGACTCCAGATGGTTACAAATATTTATTTCTAAGATGTAAAAGATGAGATATCTTTTCACTCTATCCAGTCTCAAGGTCTTAAGCAATGTCTACCTTTAAAGAATTATACCATGCGTGATGCCCCTAATTAACTGTTTTGTTTTAAAATGCCTTTGCTATTAAAATGTTTATTCACATTATTTTGTGTCATAGTGAGAGTAACGTGCATTTTTGAAAGCCATTATCGGCCAGGCGCGGTGGCTCACGCCTGTAATCCCAGCACTTTGGGAGGCCGAGGCAGGCAGATCACAAGGTCAGGAGATTGAGACCATCCTGGCTAACACAGTGAAACCCCGTCTCTACTAAAAATACAAAAAAATTAGCCGGGCGTGGTGGCGTCCGTGTGCCTGTAATTCCAGCTATTCGGAAGGCTGAGGCAGGAGAATCGCTTTTGAACCCGGGAGGCGGAGGTTGCAGTGAGCCGAGATCACGCCACTGCACTCCAGCCTGGGCGACAGAGCGAGACTCCGTCTCAAAAAAAAAAAAAGAAAGCCATTCTCTAGCGTATTCTTTATAAATTTTGCCCAAAGATTATTATTATGCTCTATTCTTTTTAAGTGGTAGTTTAAAATGATTACATTTCAAATGTCTCAACAGTATTTTGATTATTTTATTCAGTTGATATTCAAAGATTAAGCTGAAGAATACAATCTTGATTTTATAGATGAAGAAAGACTTTTAGGCCATGACCAAGATTGTGAGGGCTGGTCTTATAAATACGTGGTATGACATGAGGATTCTAGAAAGTTCCACCTGCCCAAATATATTTCATCTACTTGCCAGGGCACCAAGGATGCTTTACTAAAAATTCATAGCTTTCAATTTCAAACATTTGTTGACCATCATTAATCCTATACTAAAGTGCCAATATCCCTGCAAGGGATCTTGTAATGTCTACATTAAAAGTCATTAACAAAGAATAACTTTCAACAGCATTTCCCAACAGGTATCTGATACATGACTAAGGGGTTCCATGATCAAATATGATGAAGAAATACTGAACATTATTTTTCTCTCTTACAGAGTCACAATATATATTAGCATATAAAAAACTCTGAAGAGTTCAACGATTATTTTTTAAAGGAATTTTAAACTTTTCAAAACTCAGCAAGTCCAAAACTCTTAACTCTTAGGGCTCCAATGGCATTTATGACTGCTATGAGAATTATAATAACAGCTAGCTGAGAGCAAGATGCCAAAATTAAACAAAAGACCGCCAACTGTATTGGAGCCAGAAAGGGGCACTCAAATGGCTAAGAAACTGCTGATAGTGAAGATGAACGTTTCCCAAGGAAAAACTGGATTTGTTCAACTCTTTTTCTTGGACTGGTTCTTGGAATTTTATCTATGGATAAAATTCATCTTGTCTAGGCAGCTTCGTTTCGTCAGAGCCAAGTCCCCACATAATCGCATCCATTGAGATGCATTTTAAGGTTATATCACTATTATCTAAAGACAACACAAGAAGTCGTCATATAGATTCCATTCATGTGCTTGCTATTTGGAAGAAGTCAAGCATGTTGTCTATTATCTTGTTCAGTGCCCCTTATATAAAGCACCACATTGAAAATGCTTTTCAGAACTTAGTGCTAAAAACAAACAGTTTTGCCTTCCCTGAGGAACTGAAATCCTCTTTCCTTTCTGAAAAAGAGCAATAGGTCTTTCTGCTTGCTTTGATTGCCAGGAAACCCAAAGCCTAATGTCAGCACAAGTATAATAACCACATAGGCCTTTACGGTCTGAAAGATTTTTTCTTTCTTTCTTGCTATTTGCTTTTTTTTTTTTTTTTTTTTTGAGAAAGATCTCCCTCTGTCACTCAAGCCGGAGTGCAGTGGAGCGATCTTGACTCACTGAAGCCTCACCTGTTGGACTCAAGCAATCACCCCACCTTAGCCTCCCGAGTAGCTGGGACTACAGGTGTGCACCACCACATCTGGCTAATTTTTGTATTTTTGTAGTGACAGGGTTTCTCCATAGTGCCCAGGCTGGTCTTGAACTCCTGAGCTCAAGTGATCCACCCACCTTGGCCTCCCAAAGTGCTGGAATTACAGGTGTGAGCCACCACGCTGGGCCAAAAGTTTTTTCTTGACTCCGTACTCTTATTAATGCCTCCTTTGGTCATGACTGAGTTTCTCAGTCTCCATTTGTTTGTTGTGTGTGCTTGTCATAAATCATTGCAATCCCATTCAGAAAGGTGAGGGAGGATAGGTGAGAAGATGGAAAGATTATAAAAGACAAACAGAGGCCAGGCGCGGTGGCTCACGCCTGTAATCCCAGCGCTATGGGAGGCCAAGGCGGGCAGATCACAAGGTCAGGAGATCGAGACCATCCTGGCTAACATGGTGAAACCCTGTCTCTACTAAAAATACAAAAAAATTAGCCAGGCATAGTGGCAGGCACCTGTAGTCCCAGTTACTCAGGAGGCTGAGGCAGGAGAATGGCATGAATCAGGTAGGTAGAGCTGGCAGTGAGCCCAGATTGTGCCACTGCACTCCAGCCTGGGCAACAAAGCGAGACTCCATCTCTGAAAAAAAAAAAAAAAAGACAAACAGAAATGACTGGCTCCTGTATCTGTATGTAACACACCACCAGTACCTTACATGGGGCCTGGTATATCGTTGACACCTAATAATTTTTTTTTTATTATACTTTAAGTTCTGGGATACATGTGCAGAATGTGCAGGTTTGTTATACAGGTCTACACATGCCATGGTGGTTTGTTGCACCCATCAACCCGTCATCTACATTAGGTATTTCCCCTAATGCTATCCCTCCCCTAGCTCCTGACCCCCTAACAGGCCCCCCGTGTGTGATGCTCTTCTCCCGGTGTCCATGTGTTCTCATTGTTCAACTCCCACTTATGAGAACATGCAGACACCTAATAATTTTTAATATTTCTAAGTGAAGAAGTGTTCTTGATAATATTTACCTCATAGCTGGGCACAGTGGCTCATGCCTGCAATCCCTAATAATCAGGCAGCTATACTCAGGCCATGAGTTCAAGATAATATTTACCTTATCAAGATCTCCAAGGAGACATGCTTCTTATCAAAATGTATGGCAAAGATACTGTGCACAGGTTAAGGCTGCCAGCTCTCATCACTGCTTGTGTTGAAGGAATTCCATTGCAGATAGGCTGAGGAATAACCTCAGAACAGTCAGTGAGCACACACCAGGGACAGGCCAGAGAACTTAGGAGGTAACATCTAAGAGAGACTGTCTCCTTTGCGGATCTGCAGAGGGCTACGAGTCTGTTAACCCATTCTGCTGAAAACAACAGATTTGCTAATAAGGCAAAGTTAGGATGAGACATGACTCAGAGAGTAGATAAACACACATACACACACACATACCCAAACACAAACACATACTCAGCGAATGTGTTTGGGTAAGGAGGAGTGAATTTGAAGGGGAAACCCCAAATTACCTATTCAGAATACATTCTGTAATAAGGAGAAATTGCAGGACAAGCATTTGTTTTACAGAGGGCTCCAAAACGTGTAGTAAATATACAGTTGATTGGTCCCATCATAGAAACCACACTCAGATATGATTCCTGAATAGCACTGCCAACTTTATTATCCAATAGTAGCCAGAACTATGAGTATTTTAGTGTTATGACTTGGAGTCAAAAAGCCTTTTCTCATGCCTGAGAAACCAGCAGGCAGAGAGTAAGTACTAGAATCTATAGAGATGGGGAAGCTATACCAGGAGTGTTGATTTTGATTTTCATTTTCCAAAGGCACAATTATCTGCTGATCTGAAGGGCCCCTTGCATGTGATACCTTGTAGTGTAACTATTTTGCAGAAATTGTTGGAGGGGTAACATTATTGCTTGTGTAATTTTCCCAATGGAAACTGCATCTATTTATTCATCTCAACAAACACAAATAGCTTTCCATGCCCAGTCACTGGGGCAGAGGGTGTACAAAACCAAATAAAGCACAGTCCTTGCCTTACAAAGGTTAAGGGTCCCAAAGTTCTGGTCTTATTTTTGTAAATGGACCTTTAGTCTCTCAAAATCCTTGCCCTGCTGAGGCAGAGAGAGGGTGAAGTATGCAGCTGTGAGTGGCATCATATTCTTAATGAGTGCACTTGTTTTCAGCTCTTTATTATTAACAACTTAGTTCTAAAGCCCCATATGCACTCAGAAGTGAAAAACTACATCAACAACAACTGGCTTTTATTCTAAGGCCTTTACATGTATCAGTTCGTTTCCTCCATAGCCCTTTGGATGTGACTGGCATCTCCTAGCAGTTGCACGCACCTTTCTTCCCCCTCTTAGGACATTCAGAGTTCAGAGCCCATGTTGCTTTTCCCTTTTTTTTTTTTTTTGTTTTTTGAGACACAGTTTCATCCAGAATGGACTGCAGTGGCATGACCATAGCCCACTGCAACCTCAACCTCCCAGCCTCAAGCAACCCTACCACCTCAGCCTCCTGAGTAGCTGGGACTACAAGTGCAGGCCACCACGCCCGGCTAATTTTTGTATTCCATGTTGTTGTTTTTTCCACACCACACTGCATGTGTGTGCTGAACTGTCAGTCTGCCCATAAACCCGGTCAGCCCAACATCTCACTGAACCACTGCTCTTCTGTCACTCCAGGACCACAGCGGGCATAAGACTTCTCTACAATAATTGTAGTCTCCCCAGGCTACTCCCAACAGAGCAAGATATAGGCCACTCTGCTCTCAGATTCACCCAGTGGGTCAGACATTCCTATAATTCCTCCAACCCCAACCCTACCGAGACCTAAATCTTAAGAGACAAAATGGTGCCCTACCAGCTTTAGAAACTCACACCAGCTGCTAACTATCTCGCTTCCTTTTCCTAATTCTGAAGCTCCACTCACATGCCAAGAATATTTTAAAAATTAAAAAGACAAAAAAAATCTCCGTGTGTCAGAAAAACTGGCTTTGAATCTATTCTCACCCTGCTGTGTTGTTTATGGATAAATTTGATGTATTCTTTCTGCAAGCTTTGAAAACTGATGCTAAAAATCTTGCTTTGGGGAGATTTATAAAAACTTTTTCTGGCTCAAAAATTAGGCTCTTCATTCAAAATTTAGGCTTTCTTTTTTTTTTTTTTTTTTTTTGAGATGGAGTCTTGCTCTGTCGCCCAGGAGGCTGGAGTGCAGTGGCATGATCTTGACTCACTGCAACCTCCGCCTCCCAGGTTCAAGCGATTCTCCTGCCTTATCCTCCCGAGTAGCTGAGATTACAGGCACGTGCCACCACACCTGGCTGATTTTTGTATTTTTAGTAGAGATGGGGGTTTCACAATGTTGGCCAGGCTGGTCTCGAACTTCTGACCTCAGGTGATCCACCCGCCTCGGCCTCCCAAATTGCTGGGATTACAGGCGTGAGCCACTGCACCCGGCCAAAACTTAGGCTTTTAAGATCTTTATTACTTCCATGATTTCCAAATAATAAACTGTCTTCTTTGCTTGGCTGAATCTGTTTTTCCTCTTAAATACCAGATGCCACTGACTGAAAGGGTAAAGACCATGCAACATTAAGAAAAAAATGCGGAAAAGAAAAAATCTCAGTTTTAATTATCTTGAAATTTTATTCGGAAACAAATTCAAATATAATTAAGTACCCAGTCCAATACATGCATTCCCTCTTGAAACTCTATTTCTCTTTAAGTAACCTTTTTACCGATGTATCACGTACAAACAGAAAAGCACACAGATTATGAATGTACAGCTTCATGAATGTTCACCGTGTGAAATCTACCCTTGTCACTGCCACAGGTCAGGAAGTAGAATGCGAACAGTCTCCCAGCCGCACCCCAAAAGAACTTACTATGCTGACTTCCATCATTATTCATCAACTTTACTAGTTTTTTAACTTCATGTAAGTGGTATCACACACTGTGCTTTTTGGATCTGGGTTTTTTCTCTCAAATTACATATGCGAGACTCATCCCTCAGTGTTGCACACGGCAATAGCTTATTCATTTTTATTGCTCTGTGGATTTCCCCTGTATAAAATGTATTTACCCATTCTACTGCTGGTGGACATTTTAATTGTTTCCAGTTTAAGGCTATTGTAAACAAAGATACTAAGAACATTCTTATGCATGCCTTTTGGTATGCATATGTTTGTATTTCTGTTAGTAATACACCTAGGAATAGTACTACTAAATCATAGGATTATGTGTTTAGCTATAGAGTAGATATTGCCACACAATTTTTTGAAGTGGTTTTACCAATTTGAACTCTCATTAACGTTTGAGAATTCCAATTACTCCCTGTTTGCATTAACACTTAATATTGTCAGTTTTTGTTTTGTTTTGCTTTGTTTTTTGAGACAGAGTCTCGCTCTGTCACCCAGGCTAGAGTACAGTGGCACGATCTTGGCTCACTGCAACCTCCACCTCTCAGGTTCAAGCAATTCTTCTGCCTCACCCTCCCGAGTAGTTGGGACTACAGGAGCCCGCCACCATGTTCAGCTAATTTTTGTATTTTGGCCAGGCTGGTCTCAAACTCCTGACCTCATGATCCACCTGCCTTGGTATCCCAAAGCGCTGGGATTACAGAAGTGAGCCACCGCGCTGGCCATAATGTCAGTTTTTTTAATGATAGCTGTTCTCATGATTGTGTAGTGGCATCTTACTGTGTTTTGATTTGCATTGCCCTGATGAATAAGATACCTTTTCATGTGCTTATTTGCTATTCGGATGTACTTTTTGTGAAGTGTTTGTTAAAGTCATTTGTCATTTTTCTATTAGGTTTCTGCCTTCTTTTTGATTTCTAATAGTCCTTTATCAAACCTATATATATATAACATATATATTTCAATTATCTCCTTCCTTCCATCCTTTGACTTGTCTTTTCCACTTCTTAATGAGGTCTTTTGATGATTGAAATTCCTAATTTTAAAGTAGTCTAAATTATCAATTTTTTCCTTTATGGTTAATACTTTTTATATTCTCAAAAAAGAAAAAAAAACTTGCCTACCAGAATGCCATGAAGTATTCTGTGTTATTTTCTCAAAGTTTTATTATTTTACCATTTCCATTTAGATACAATCCACCTAAAACTGATTGTACTGTATCATGTACATTGGTAGTCAACCTCCATTTTTTTCATATGTTTACCCAATTTACCCAGAATCATTATTTAAGGACAATATTTTTTCCCACTGCAAAACAGTGTGACACTTTTGTAATTTCATGTGACCTTATATGTCTGAGGCTATTTCTAAACTCCCTATTTTGTTCCATTAGTTTATGTGTATATCCTTGTGCCAATACCACACTACCTTAATTGCTGTAGCTATTTAACATGACTTCTTCTTTTTTCTTCAAGATCGTCTTGGCTATGCTTGGCTTAAAAAAAAAAATCTATAAATTGTAGAATCAGCTCTACACACACACATATATGTGCGTATATGTGTGTGTGCATGTGTGTGTGTATATATATATTTTATATATTTTGTATAAATATACACATACATACATAGATTGAAATTTTGATTGGGATTGCATGGCTTTTATAGATCAATTTTTAAAACAGAAATATTTAGAATAATAATGTTTCTAACCCTTGAACTTGTTGGAGTCCTCCATTTATTTAGGTCTTTAATTTCTCTTGGTTTAAATGTATAGTTTTTTTGTTGAGTTCCTGCCTATCTCTCATTAGATTTATTCTATGTATTTTATTTTTGGTGTTATTATAAATGATCTTTTTAAGATATAAAATTTATTTCTATATATTTACATTGTATCCTTTGATATCTATGTTGTTTTAACTTTACATGGCAGAGACCCAATTTAAATTAGATTAATCAAAAATAAATTCAATGGCATTTAGAAAATGAAAAGTCCAAGAGGTACTCTGGATGAATTCAAGAATCAAATGAGATAACTGGGATCTGTACTACTGTCTCCCCATCTCTTGGCTACTTTGCCTCCACTTGGCTTTTGTCTCAAACAAGCTTTCTTTATGTTGTATCAAGATGTCTGCTGGCAAATCTAAGGAGAGGAAAATAAAATTTTTCATCCAAGGATCCACATAAATTAGACTATGATTAGCCCTGCTTAAATTATATATTTCCACTAACCTAATCTTTGGTCTCCAAAGGGATGGAGTCCTCTTATTAGCTATCCTGGGGGGCAAACTGATCCAGGTAACTGGAAATTCAACCAAGATCTCATGGGGTAGAAGAGGAAATGTTTAAAAATGAAGCAGTGGGAAGCTAGCCCGACAAAAAGAAAATTTAATGGTCATTGCATATGGCCTCTATTTCCCTTGGAATATGGAATAAACATGGACTATTTGGTCTCATGTGAACTAGCCCCACCCCCATCTCTCTAGGTTTGTCACATACTTCTCTCTCCTCTTTTTTGTACTCTACCATGTTGATATCACAATTCAAATGCACCAAGTTCTCACCAAATTCAGAGTGTTTAGTCATGTGGTACTGTTGCATACCCTGTATACTTTTGTCTTGATTCTTAACCACCTCCCCACACCAAATTATCTTCTTATTAGGTATTAGCTTAAGTATTACTTCTGTAGAGAAGGCTTTTCCAAACTAGCTCTATTCACTACCTTTTGAGCTCCAAAAAACCGATTATTTTCATTTGTTCCATTCTCAATTAAAGTTCTCTTAAATATATGCATCTCTATACTCTAAGCTCCAGGAAGAAAAAGGACTAAGTCTGCCTTGTTCATGGCAGAATTATAAGCCACAGCACAGTGCCTGGTCCATGGGAAGCCCTTAGTAAATCTATTTTGTTTTATTTTGATTAACTTAATAACCACTCAGTTTAATAATTTCTCATTGCCCTTAACAGGCGTTTCTTCCTTAAATGTTGGTGTTAGCAGAGTTTTTGCCTTAACTTCATGGTCTTCTCTGGATACCCTCTACCCAAAGGCAGTCTCATCTATTCACATGCATTCAACTACCAGCTATATGCTATAACTTAAAAATCAACTTCTTCACCCTGTGATGGTTAATTTTATGTGTTATCTTGACTGGGCTAAGGGATGTCCAGCTAGCTGGTGAAACATTATTTCTGGGTATGTCAGTGAGAGTATTTCTGGAAGAGAGTAACATTTGAGTAAGTAGACTGAGTAGAGATGACTCTCACCAATGTGGGTACACATGATCCAATCTTCTGAAAGCCTGAATAGAATGAAAAGGCAGAGAAAGGATAAACTTACACTTTTTGTTTGAGCCTGGATATCCATCCTTCTTTCCCCTTAGACATTCATGGCCCTGGTTCTTGGGCCTTGGGACGGGGACAGTGACTTAAACCTCTCCACTTTTTTATCCTCAGTTCTGAGGTCTTCAGAGTGAGACCAGGACTTACACCACCTGCTTTCCTGGTTCTCCAGCTCTCAAACAGAAAACTGTAAGACTTTCTTGGTCTCCATAATTGCTTGAGCCAATTTCCACAATAAATATCTTCATATATTTTGAGTTCTATTGGTTCTATTTCTCTGGAGAACCCTGACTAGCATAGACTTTTGTACTAAGAGTAGTTCTAGAGGAACATAATTTTATGAATAACTGTTGTGAATTTGTTCTGGGGTTTATGGAATTGGATTACTAATCTGATCAGGTTTTTAAATTCTATTTCTAGTAGTAAAGAGAGCACTAATAGTAAATGGCTATGATATGCAAAATATCTGCAGTGGATAGTCCTAATCAACCATTTATGAGAATCAAAGAGCTAAATGACTGTATATCATAACATCCAACATTTTTTGAAAACTAAGGAATATAAGGATGTTGGTTCTTTGCTCCTAATGTCTAGAAGTGTGTTTTGTTTTGTTTGCCTTGTTTTTTAAAGGATGACCTCAGGGATTCCAGTTCCCAACTCAAGTGCTGAATAAATGGCCTAAGAGCTTCTATGTGTGCTCAGAAGGAGTTCCTTATCTCCTGTAGTCACAGGGCTGAAATTGCTGAAAATCAAACATAGGACCTCATCCTTCAGTTGGCTGAATTATAATACAAGTTGAACTTGCAGTCTCGCAGAATGTCTACTGTTAAAGTGAGGCCATCGTTTGGGAAAAAAGTGGGATTCTATGAATTGGGATGGGGCTGCGTGGAAAGACTGATGAAGCTGGAGACATTAAGTCCCTACATTCTAATGATTCTTCTTTGCTAGTGAAAGAGGTCTTCCCAGTGTCACTGGAAGCAGCCTTCTCATCCTTAGTGGAATTAGCCTCCCTCATCGCAGCAAAAGTGGCCTTCCCATCCACAGTGATAGTGACCTTCTCAACTCCATCTGAGGAGCTAGCTTCTGTTGACTGAAGAAATGGTAATGGCCTTCCCTGAGGCAGTTGCCATGCAAGACAATGCTGATTCTCCTCAGGACCCACCCCCACTTTTTGCTTCTAGACCTCTAACTAGACTGAAGTCCCAGGAGATTCCTAAAGGTGATATACAAAGTGTGAGCCAAGAGGAGATGCAATACACTTTAAAAGCACTGCTTGAGCTTTCTAATTTATACAAGCAGAAATCTGGGGAACATGTGTGGGAACGCTTATTATGAATGTGGGATAATGGTGGAAGGAACAAAATGTTGAATCAGGCTAAATTTATTGATATAAGCTCACTAGGCAGAAATTCTGCAGTTAATGTTGCAGCTAAGAGTGATAGAAAGGACTCTAGGCCTGACGTCATGGCTTACACCTGTAATCCCAATAGTTTGAGAGACCAAGGCAGGAGAATTGCTTGAGCCCAGGAGCTTGAAACCAGCCTAAGCAACATAACAAGATAGATAGTGTCTCTACAAAAAAAAAAAATTTAAATTAGCCAGGCTTGGTGGCATGCTATGTAGTCCCAGCTATTCAGGAGGGTGAGGTGGGAGGATCAGTCGACCTTGGGAAGTAGAGGCTGCAGTTAGCCAGGACCATGCCACTGCACTCCAACCTGGGTGACAGAGCGAGATCTACTTCAAAAAAAAATCTTTTAATAAAAGGCTTGATTTAATTTTTTAGATATTAGATCAATATATAAAAATCAATTTTATTTCTAGATAGGAGCCATAAGTGAAGATTTACTTTTAAAAATATATATACAAACGAAACAGATAAAAAATGGTACCTAAAAACAAATGTAATAAAAGATCTGTGTGAACTTTTATGTAGAAAATTATGAAACTTATGTAAAATGAAAACATTAAAGAAAACCTAAATAAATGAATAGACATACCATCTTCATGTTAGGAAGACTCCATAAAGATTAATTCTCACCCAGATTATAATTTTACTTCGATTAATCCCAGTCTTGACAGGTTTTTTTCCCAGAGTTTAAAAGATTATACATACTAAAGAAGAGGAAAATCCAAGATAGCTAAGGCAATTTTAAGGAAGAAAAATGGGATATCAGATTTGTCCTATAACCGCTATAATTTTAATTGTTACATTATAATTATACAGCTGTTATAATGGCTACAATTTTAAAATAGATATTTAAAAATTTTAAATATTTTTAAATTGTAGCCATTATAACAGTAATTAAAATTGTTATAGCAATTGTAGTAGTGCAGTGCAGGCAAACAGGCTAACGGAAGAGTAAAGAGCCCCCAAACAGACTCTACGTAGAATATGATGTATGACAAATACTGCAATGCTGACTATAGTGAGGAAAAGATGGATTACTCTGTAAAGAGTTCTAGGAATACCTGGCTATTTATACGGGTGGGAGTGATGAATTTAGAGTTTTGTTTTACACCATTCACAATCAAAAATTTTAATTTAATTTAAAAAGAAGGGCTTAACAGTTTGTTGGGCTGGTTGACTGAAACATGAGCCAAAAGATGGCCCATGCCCCACCGCCCACCATAAGTGAATTGGAGATGCTTGACCGCCCTTGGTTTAATGGAGAGGAAGGTATTCAAAGGCTTAGGGAGAGCAAAATATTAAAGTATATTAGAGTAGACCTACTCACCCACACTAGGAGGGTCCAGAAAACATACCCTTCACCAATACTTTCAGAAATAAGTTTGTGAAGGAAGCCCCAGCCTCCTTGACAACACCTAACGTAATGGGAGTAATTCAATCTTGGGTGGCCAGGGCCAAGTCTGGCACTCAACCACCAAAGGCAAGATGGATGTAGTTACCCTAACGGTCAGTAGAGTCAAAGCAGCAGTCAGAATATTCCGACCCTTGCAGAGCAATGACATTGGCTAATCACAGTGTTCCTACAAATGAAATAGAAAGCCTACAAATTCTTACTTGATCTGAACAAGCAGAAAAGTTCTAAGTCAAGTGTATTTCAAAAACAGACAGACATTGCCCTTCAATCAATTTCTAGACTTGGGCCAGTTTACAGACCTAGAACTCCTTGAATGAAGTGGAGGCAACCTCCCCTCAAGGAAAAACACAGTACATTACCTGAAACTTATACTGTTAATCTTTCTCCTAACCTTCCCTAAAGAGACATAGGACCTTTTATCATTGTAACTGTGCACTGGGATAAAAGAAAATAATCAGACATTTAGGAGACTACTGGACACTGGCTCTGAAATGACAGTAATTACAGGAGACCCAAGATGTCACTGTGGGCCTTTATCAGAGTAGTGGCTTATAAAGTTCAGGTGATCAATAGGGTTTTAGCTCTGGTCTGTCTCACGGTGGGTCCAGTGGGTTCCTGAGCCCAATCTGTGGTTATTTTCCCACTTCCAAATGCATAATTGAAATAGACATACTTAGCAGCTGGCAGAACTGCCACACTAGTTCCCTGATCTGTAAAATAATGGCTATAATGGTAAGAAAGGCCAAATGGAAGCCATTAGAACTGCCTCTACCTAGGAAAATAGTAAATCAAAAGCAATACTACATTCCTAGAGGGATTGCAGAGATTAATGCCACCATCAAAGACTTGAAAGATGCAGAGGTGGTGATTCTCACCACATCCCCATTCAAAACTCTTATTTGGCCTGTGCAAAAGACACAGACTGATCTTGGAGAATGACAGTATGATTATCATAAGCTTAGCCATGTAACAACTCCAATTATAGCTGCTGTACAAGATTTGGTTTCATTCACTGAGCAAATTAACACATCCTCTGATAGCTGGTATTCAGCTATTGATCTGGCACGTCTTTTTCTCTATCTGTCCATAGGGCCCACCAGAAGTAGTTTTCCTTCAGCTGGCAAGGCCAGCAATATACCTTCTCTGTCCTCAAAATTATATCAACTCCCCAGCCCTATGTCATAATTTAGTTAACAGGCATCTTGACTGCCTTTCCCTTCAACAAGATATCAACTGGTTCATTACATCGATGCCATTATGCTTATTGGATCTAGTGAGCAAAAAGTCACAACTATTCTAGACATATTGTTAACAGAGTGTACGTTAGAGGATAAAAAATAAAGCCAACTAAAATTCAGAGGCTTTCTATCTTAGTGAAATTTCTAAGGGTCCAGTGGTGTGGGGCCTATCAAGATATCCCTTTTAAGGTCGAGGAGAAGTTGTTGCATTTGACCCCTCCCAATCAAGAAAGCGGTACAATAACTAAAGAGCCTATTGGGATTTTAAAGGCAACATCTCTTCATTTGGGTGTGTTCCTCCAGTTCATCTATCAGGTGACCAAAAAGCTGCTAGTTGTGGGTGGGCTCTGGAATAAAAGAAAGCTCTATAACAGGTCTAGGCTGCTATGCCACTTGGAACATAGGATCTAGCAGATCCAGTGGTGCTTGCAGTTTCAGTGACAGATAGGAATGCCATTTGGAGACATTTGCAAGCTGCCATAGATGAACTGCAGCACAGACCTTTAGGATTTTGGAGCACAGCTCTGCCATCATCTGCAGATAAGTACTCTCCTTTTGAGAGACAGCTCTTTGACTGCTACTGGGAGTTAGGAGAAGCCAAACACTTGACCATGGGCTATCAAGTTACCACACAACCTGAGACCTCCATCATAAACCAGGTGTTATCTGACCTGCTAAGCCACAAAATTGAGCATGTACAACATACAGTTCTGTTTCTCTGATAGCCGGGGTTTACAGGAATCAAGGGGTGGAAATGGGAGTGGCACTACTCAATATTACCCAAAATGTTTTCTTCCTGTTCCCACAACCTTATGCTCTGCTGGCCTAAAAATCTTAGTTCCAGCTTCCACCAAGAAGCACAACAATGATCCCATTGAACTGGAAGTTAAGACTGTCATCTGGCCACTTTGAGCTTCTCATGCCTATGAGTCTATAACAGAGTCATAGTATTAGCTGGAGTGATTGATCTGGACTACTAAGCAGAAGCACCAGTCAAGATGCTCAATGAAAGCAAAGAGAAAAAAGAATAAATAGTAAATATGGTCATTATAAATACCTGCTATGACCACAAGACCAGTTACAGAAACAGACTATTATGAAGATGTCCCCCCTTATTTTGTTAGAAATACATTTGTATGTAGACATAGATATATTAAGTAAATATCATTGTCTTATTTCCTCTCTTATTCCTTTATTATGTAACATATATGTTAACAGTATTAGTGTTTTAATATTGTTAATTTTACATCATAATATTTAAGTTATAGAATATGAGAAGATGAGTAAACATCACTCAAAGACTTTATTTCTCATCTGGGGAAGAGATGAGAGTTACACACAAAATATCTGTGTCATGTTAGGTGCTTATTACCCTGTTATTGCCTTTATCTGGAGGTTAAGTATGGTTTAAGGAGATAGGTACTGGTGCCAAGTTGACAAGGGGTGGACTTGTGATGGTTAATTTTATGTGTCAACTTGACTGGGCTGAGGGATGCCTAGATAGCTGGTGAACATTATTTCTGGGTGTGTCTGTGAGGGTGTTTCTGGAAGAGATTAACATTTAAACCAGTAAACTAAGTGAAGAAGATCCACCCTCCCCAATGTGAATATGAATTATCCAATCTGTTGAGAGCCAGAATAGAACAAAAAAGTGGTGAAGTGCAAACTCACTCCTTCTGTTTGAGCCAGGATAGCCATCTTTTCCTGCCCTTGGACATCAGTGCTCCTGGTTCTCAGGCCTTGGGACTCAGACTGACCTTACACCATTGCCCCCAACCCCACTGTTCTCAGGTCTTCAGACTCAGATCAAGACTTCTATCGTAGGCTCCCCTAGCTCTAATGCCTTTGGACTCCGTCTGAATTACACCACTGGCTTTCCTGGTCCCCCAGCTTGCGGATGGCAGATGGCGGGACTCCTTGGCCTTCATAATCACTTAAACCAATTCCCATTAAAAATCTCCTCATATATATGTCTCCTATTGATTCTGTTTCTCTGGCAAACCCTGATTAATACACACCTTAATCACAAGATTAAGAGTTTTATATCTAATTGCCTACTAAGTATTTCTACAGAGACACTTCAAACTCAACATGTTCCAACTGAGCTAATATTTCTCCCACTCCTCCATCCCCATCCCACCTGCTCCTCCCACTCTTGCATTTATAATGACAATTAATGGTGCCATCATCCACCTAGTTTCCTAAAGCAGAAATCTTGTAGTCATTCTAAATTCCTTTCTCCCCTTCTACCCACATCTTTTCATTCACTAATTATTCCTCCTACATGGTTCTGTAATCCTTTTTTTCTCCCCATTCCTACTACTACTGCCTAATTAGGATTCCATTCTTTCTTACCTTGACTACTGAAATAGCCTCCTAACGACTCTCTGTCTCTCAACTTTTCCCTCCTTTGATGCTTCCTCCACAGAACATCCACAATGAGACATCTAAAATTCTGCTCGATGGTGGAATTACCAGGTTGAAATCTCTTCCAAGGCTTTCCATAGCCTGGTTACTCAACTAGAAAACTGGGCCTTTTGTAACATATTTACTTCTTCACCTCTATGCTCCATTTTACCTTCTTTTTTTTTAATTTCTAAAGAAAAAAAAAGGATACATGCGCAGAATGTGCAGGTTTGTTACATAGGTATACGTGTGCCATGGTGGTTTGCTGCACCTATTGACCCATCCTCTGAGTTCTCTTCCCTCACCCCCCACCCCCCCAGTAGACCCTAGTGCATGTTGTTCCCCTCTCTGTGTACATGTGTTCTCAATGTTTGACTCCCACTTATGAGTGAGAACATGCGGTGTTTGGTTTTCTGTTCCTGTGTTAGTCTGCTGAGGATGACGGCTTCCAGCTTCATCCATGTCCCTGCAAAGGACACGATCTCATTTCTTTTTATGGCTGCGTAGTATTCCATGATGTATATGTACCACATTTTCTTTATCCAGTCTATCATTGATGGGCATTTGGGTTGGTTCCATGTCTTTGCTACTGTAAATGGTGCTGCAATAAACATACTTGTGCATGTATCTTTATAGTAGAATGATTTATACACCTTTGGGTATATACCCAATAATGGGATTGCTGGGTCAAATGGTATTTCTGGTTCTAGATCCTTGAGGAATTGCCATACTGTCTTCCACAATGATTGAATTAATTTACATTCCCACCAACAGTGTAAAAGCATTCCTATTTCTCCACAGCCTCGCCAGCATCTATTGTTTCCTGACTCTTTAGTAATCGCCATTCTGACTGGCATGAGATAGTATTCCATTGTAGTTTTGATTTTCATTTCTCTGATGATCATGATATTGAGCTTTTTTCATATGTTTGTCAGCCACGTAAATGTCTTGTTTTGAGAATGTTTGTTCGTATCCTTTATCCACTTTTTGATGGGGTTGTTTTTTTCTTATAAATATGTTTAAGTTCCTTGTAAATTCTGGATATTAGCCCTTTGTCAGATGGATAGATTGCAAAAATTTTCTCCCACTCTGTTGATAGCCTGTTCACTCTGATGATAGTTTCTTTTGCTGTACAGAAGCTCTTTAGTTTAATTAGGTCCATTTGTCATTTTTGGCTTTTGCCGCAATTGCTTTTGGCATTTTTGTCATGAAGTCTTTGCCCATGCCTATGTCCTGAATGGTATTGCCTGGGTTTTCTTTTAGGGTTTTATGATTTTGGATTTTAAGTCTTTAATCCATCTTGAGTTAATTTTTGTATAATATGTAAGGAAGGGGTCCAGTTTCAGTTTTCTGCATATGGCTAGCCAGTCTTCCCAGCACCATTTACTGAATAGGAGATCCTTTCCCCATTGCTTGTTTTTGTCAGGTTTGTCAAAGATCAGATGGTTGTAGATGTGCAGTGTTATTTCTGAGGTCTCTGTTCTGTTCCATTGGTCTATAAGTCTGTTTTGGTACCAGTACCATGCTGTTTTGGTTACTGTAGCCCTGCAGTATAGTTTGAAGTCAGGTAGCATGATTCCTCCAGCTTTGTTCTTTTTGCTTAGGACTCTCTTGGCTATATGGGGTCTTCTCTGATTCCATATGAAGTTTTAAATAGTTTTTTCTAACTCTATGAAGAATGCCAATGATAGTTTGATGGGAATGGCATTGAATCTATAAATTACTTTGGGCAGTATAACCATTTTCACGATATTGATTCTTCCTGTCCATGAGGATGGAATGTTTTCCCATTTGTTTTTGTCCTCTCTTATTTCCTTGAGCAGTGGTATGTAGTTCTTCTTGAAGAGGTCCTTCACATCCCTTGTTAGCTGTATTCCTTAGATACTGTTTTTCGTTGTAGAGATTATGAATGGGAGTTCATTCGTGATTTGGCTCTCTGCTTGCCAATTGTTGGTGTAAAGGAATGCTTGTGATTTTTACACATTGATGTTATATCCTGAGATTTTGCTGAAGTTGCTTATCAGTTCAAGAAGTTTTTGGGCTCAGATGATGGGTTTTTTAAAATATAAAATCATGCCGTCTGCAACTACCCTCTATTTTACCTTCTAATAATCCCTAGCTGCTAGCAATTCTTGGTAAACAATGAAGTTTTCCTTATCCTAGCTCTCTTTGTGATGTTTCCTAAGCCTGGAATGTCATCTGGCTCTTATTCATCCTTCAAGATTAGATTCTAAGAATATCACTTCCCAGAAGCCAAGACTTCCAGGTTTGATTGAATTTATCTCTGCTCTCCCACAACACCCCATCAAACCTCTCATTGAGACAGCCAGGCTTCCTGGGTGGCTGGAATTCAAGCTGTGAGGTGGTGAGCACACTAGCAGGAACTCTGACCTTGCAGAGAGCCCCTGTTCCCCCTTTTTTCCTTTTTGCCCTATAAATCCCATTATTCTCTCCCTTCAAATCGTCTGCGAGCCTAAATTTTTGTGGCTGTGGGGAAAAGACCCCCTCTTTAGCTGAACTAAGGAAAAGTCCTGGAATATCATTATCAAGACATAAATTGAGATATGTTTTTTACAGTCTGCCACCCCCACTAAACAGTCAGCTCCTTGAGAGAAGGCCCAATCTCATATTTGTCTTTGTCCCCTGGGATGTAGTAGACAGCCTGGCATATATTAGGTATCTAAAAATAGCTTCTTGCCCTGAAATTTTTTAGAACATTTTGAATCTCTGTGACACAACTCAATCTGTTTTGCCCTTTCTTCTTAACAGAATTCAAATTTTTTTCCAGTGATAATGTGCCCAGCTCAATGACTATATTTCCCATCCTCCCTTGCGGGACTGAAAACCAATGAGGTAAAAGAAGTCACGGATGGCTTTTTGGAAACTGCTTTAAAGGAGGCTGACTAAATTTTGTCATTATTTTTTCCCCTTTCTTCCTAAAACATGTTCACAATGTCTGGAGTTCTAGGAAACATCATATGTGTGCTTGAAGATGCAAAGCCATGCCCTAAAGAAAGATGGGAGTCTGGTTCTCTATTAACCTTTGAGCTTTCATACCAGCCCAGGACAGCTTTATTTTAGTTTGTCCTTACATGAGAGAATATGATCCCTACTTTGTTCAGTCTGTCTGGATTTTGTTACCAGCAACTGAATGTACTGCTAGCTGTAGCTACTAGCTCTGAATAAAACTTTTTTCTTAAATGATGCAATTGCAAGTTAAAATTGATCATGGGCAGGGCTTGGTGGCTCACACTTTTAATCCTAACACTTTGGAAGGCTGAGGCAGGAGGATCACTTCAGGGCAGGAGTTCGAGACCAGCCTGGGCAACAAAACAAGACTCTATCTCTACAAGAAATTTGAAAAATTAGTCAGGCATAGTGTCACGTGCCTGTAGTCCCAGCTACTCCGGAAGCTGAGGTAGGAGGATCACTTTAGCCCAGGAGTTCAGAGACTGCAGTGAGCTATGATCACACCACTGCACTCCAGTCTGGCCAACACAGTGAGATCCAGTATCTTAAGAAAAAAAAAAAAAAAAAAGCATGAAAAGATGCTTCTTTGGGATCATCTAAGATGGATATTCTTCTATTTCTAAATGTATAGCTCCTTTCACCATCATCCAGGAACTGAAATGCTGAAGGACTTTTAATATGATAGGAGGCTACTTTGTTTTTACAATTTTTATTTAACTCATATGACTTGTCACTTAAGTAGAGTTGTAGTTTGTAAGGCAATTACTTGAGTAACTTTTATAGTGCTCTCGTTCACAGCTAGTAGTTATTATGGAGGCTGCATAGTGCCTAATTAAGAAATAAAGACAGAGTAATTAGCATTCTTTCAAGGATTTACAACCAAGAAAGCATTAATAAAACATCCTATATATACTCTAAATTACATGTATCTATATGTATGCACAGATATAAATACTTATGAAGACAGCAAACATAAATTATTAAGTTAGTCTGTCTATAAAGTATGAAATAAAATGATAAAAAACAAAATACACATGCGCAAATTTCAAGAATACACAGGATTTCAGGTCTGTGACTTAACAGTTTTCGTATTTTGTGTTTCTAACTATTGACTTGTTTACCTTATCCCCTCTTTTTTTTTTTTTTTTTTTTTTGAGATGGAGTCTCACTCTGTTGCCCAGGCTGGAGTGCAGTGGCACAATCTCGGCTCACTGCAACCTCCGCCTTCCAGGTTCAAGCAATTCTTCTGTCTCAGCCTCCAGAGTAGCTGGGACTACAGGTGCATGCCGCCACAATTGGCTGATTTTTTCTTTGTATTTTAGTAGAGACAGGGTTTCACTGTATTGCCTAGGCTGGTCTTGAACTCCTGAGCTCAGGCAATCCGCCCGCCTCGGCCTCCCAAAGTGCTAGGATTACAGGCATGAGCCACCACACCTGGCCACCTTATCCCCTCTTTAGGGCCATCACAGGCCATTTTCCCACTGTATTGACTCAGTTTAAACTCTATTCAGTTGATACTTAGACGCTGACACCATGTAGCCTTTTTCCAGGCACTTAACGCTAACTTTTTCTTTTTTTGGACACAGGGTCTCAGTCCCCTAATCCAAGCTGGAGTGCAGTGGTACAATCATGGCGCACTTGTGCAGCCTTTACTTCCCCAGGCTCAATCAATTCTCCCACCTCAGCCACCCAAGTAGCTAGGACTTCAGGTGTGTGCCACTACACCTGGCTAATTTTTTGTATTTTTAGTAGAGAAGAGGTTTTTGCCATGTTACCCAGGCTGGTCTTGAACCCCTAAACTCAAGCGATCCACCCACTTTGGCTTCTCAAAGTGCTGGGATTACAGGCGTGAACCACCGCACCTGGCCAACCCTAACTTTTTCACATCATCAGTGCCCATTCTCTGAGTGACTGTGATTTAGGGTCTGTGCCACTAACCATTTCTGTGTTAAATTCCTTGGGCTCCTCCCTTCCAGTTAAATCTATGTACAATTCTTTCTTCAAATATTCATTCCTTTCTGAGCCATTTAAAATCTATATCTGAAAAAGCCTTGATCCTGAAGGCAAAACATTTTGTGTTGTTTCACTGATAAGGATAAATGGTAGGATATAAGAGCAAAAGTCTTTAGACTCTAAGTGCCATAACTTGACCCTAGTGTTTTGCACTTAACAGGTGCTTGCTATTGTTAATAATAAGCAACTTGCCCAAGGTTCATTCATTAATTGGCTCAGTAAATATTAAGTATCTACTATGTGCCTAGCACTGTGCTAGGCCATAGATAATCCAGTGAGCAAAAATGGGTACAGTTTCTAATTATGTGTTGTGGGGGAGACAGATATTTAGCAAATAATCACAGAAATGAGTTTCTAATTGCAAACTGAGACAAGTGCTATGAAGAAAAAGAAATATGGTTTTATGAGTTTGCTAAATGCAGACTAGATTGTTTTAGACTAACCATCTTACTGAGAAAACTAAAAAAAAAAAAAAAAGGATTTAAAAAAAAAATGTTTGAATGTGTCATAAAGCTACCAAGATTGAGAGCTCTTGATGGGCCAAAATCCAAGAAAGGAGGATATTGCTGAGAGGTGAACCCGACAGTCAGGATGACTTTTCCTCTTAGGGCATTTGCTAATTCTAGTTGTAAGTTCAGAAGATGAGCACAGCTTGCTATAGAGTGATAAGAGCTGGGGAATAAAAGTTAAAGACTCATGAAGTGGCTAGGCACACTGGCTCACCCCTATAATCCCAACATTTTGGGAGGCCAAGGTGGGAGGATCCCTTGAGCCCAGGAGCTGGAGACCAGACTAGACCATATGGCAAAACCTAGTCTCTATTAAAAAAAGAAAACAAGAATTAGCCAGGCATGTTGGCAAGTGCCTGTAGTCCCAGGAACTCAGGAGGCTGAGGTGGAGGATCGCTTGAGCCTAGGAGGTGGAGGATGCAGTGACCCACGATCTCTAAAAACAATAAATTAATAAATAAAAAATAAAAAAATTTAAAACACACACACACACACACACACACACACACACACACACACAAAGAAAGGGAGGCTTGGATGCTTTGATAAACTCCAAAGCTTTCAGTTGATAAAATAAGGTACTTATGACTGCCCTTCTCCATTACTTATTCCATGTGCCTTTGTCTTTAACCAGCACTCCAGATAGTCGTGGCCCTTCAACCAATAGGTGACTCAGAATCTTAGTCCTAAAGTATAATACCTGAGCCATAGATTATTCTGCTTATAAAGTGATGTTTTAGCTTTTGTTAAATTTTACTATTGGGCATGGCTGTACTAGGAGGAAATTCAGATTATTATTTTAGCACTATCATGCCTCTCTCTGTGCCCACTGTGTAGTAAAACCCTTGACAGGATTAATTAGTTAACAACATAACTTCCTTTTGCTCATTTACTCAGTGGCATGAAGAACTCTGAATGGGTAAGCTATAGTCTAAGCTTCAAATTTAAAGGAATCATTTGCCAAATATCCCAGAAGGAAACATTCTTCTCTTCAATACTAAAATCTTCAAAGTCTGAAAGAGTGAGGATGGGAGGTAAAACATTTGTAAATAGATTATTAAATGATTTCACTTTCTCCTATTTAGGGAGAAACTCTACTCTCACTTCCAGCCTATTGTCTCCAAATGCATGTATTCAGTTTGTGGGAGATATAATACTGTATACTGATCCTTGGCTAAAAGGATATTACGAGACAGTCCTCTAGTCACAAGGTGTTGTGTCTAAGCTCTCCTATATGTGAGACTCCGATCGGCCATAGCTGTTTCTGAGCCTTGGGTATCTTAGACTTGTCAATCACCCTTTGCCTCACTTTTTTTTTCACTGTAAAATAGACTTCCTTGATCAGAGAAAGGCTGGGTGGAATATCATAACTGTGTATAAAATAGTCATTCCATGTATAGTGGTACTGAAGCAAAATTAGGAAGAAAGGCAAATTAAAATCTAAAGTGTCATAGCCTCCTCCTTGATAGAAGTCTCGCTGCCCTCCCTAGGGCATGGTATTGTATTACAAGCTCAGGGTTAATTGCTGTTTCTGGAAAGTACACAAGGTCAGATTTTTTAGAAAAAGTCCATGTGTTAATGTCTGTCACCATATCCACTTTAATCAAGTACTAAGGAAATCAGAAAAAAGCCGACTGACATAAATAGTGAGTCATCTTGTCCACCTGATAATTAAAACCCTCATTCACTGTAGCCTTTTGTTGGTCAGTTGCATAGGCTATATTTAGTCACACTTAGAAACCCCATTCAGAGGGGTCCATACGTAAGTGTCTTCCCCAAACACTTTGTGATCAATCTTACAATTCTGCTTCTTTTAGTTCCCTGACAATCTGATTATACCATTAACCACTGCCCATCAATCAGTACAGATACCTACCTGGGGCTTTCTACTAACTGACAAAGTGGACAATAAGATAAATTGTTTACATTTCTTTTCACTGGGAGAATTTCCATTTTGACTGTCCTTCAGGACCACTCCTGAGGGTGAAAGTAATGCCTCAGCAATCTATTTCTGGTTGGTACACAAATATGCAGAGCCATCCTTTTAAAAGAATCAAATGTTTTCCTCTTCAGTCAACTGATATGAAGAAATTCCCCCACAAGAGCACAGTGGCAGCAGGAGGAGGCAAGGTGGGTGTTCATAAAGTTATTTATGCAACTTATTTCTGCCTTCACAATTGACGTGGACCTAATCCTGGATATTAGTGGAATCCACTTCCACTTGCTGATGAAGGACTTCTGACCGTGTCTAACTTCAATGTTGGTTTCTAATTTTCCACTGCTTATAATTCTCTATCTTTCATCTTTGTGGGAAATAATCCAATCAGGCTCCACTCTATACCTCTGACTTCATCTCCTACTAGTATCACCCTGGTTCACTCCACTCCATGGGGCCAGTTAAGGTCCCAATCTTTCCCCTGGTCCTTTCTGCCTAGAATAGTCTTCCCTTGGAGATGCACAAGGCTACTTTAATGCCTCCTTTCAGGCTATTACTCAAATGTGACATTCTCATTGACATCATCCCTGACAACCATTTTTTAAATTGTACTCTTCTACACCCTGGCAATCCTGATTTAAGCAGATTTATTTTCTTCTTACTGTAAACAAAAATAAAATTCTAAGACCCACCCCCAACTATTTGAATAGACCTCTCCTCTTGGCCAAGGGCATTCCAAAATTAACCTGAAAAACTAGTTCAGGCCATGACGGGAAGCAGGGTTCGAACATGCCTCATTAGTTCTTCCTCCCTTTTGGAATTCAGGAAGAGCCAACCAGAATTAACATCCACACAGATCTTAAGTCTGGTAAGAAATATATACAATTGATTCTCTCTCTGAAGCCTGCTACCTGGAGATGTCATGCTGCATGATAAAACCTTGGTCTCCACAATCCCTTATCATAAACCAGACATTCCTTTTTATTGATAATAACTCTTTCAACCAATTGCCAATCAGAAAATTTTTAAATCTACCTATGACCTGGAAGCCATGGCTCCGAGTTTTCCCACCTTTCCAGGTCGAACCAATGTAAATCATACATGTATTGATTGATGTACTATTTCTCCCTAAAATGTATAAAAGCAAGCTGTACCCCCAATAACCTTGAGTACATGTCATCAGGATCTCCTGAGGCTGTATCACAAGTGCATGCCTAACTTTGGCTAAATCGAGACCTGTCTCAGATACTTTGGGGTTCATATTACATAGATAACCTTCTAAAATACTGTATATTTTAATGCATTTGTTCATTCTCTTTCTCCACTAGAATATAAGTTACATGAGAAAATTTTAATTTCCCTAGTTTATTGCTATATCTCCAGTACCTAAAATACTGTGTGTGAACATATTAGACATTTAATGAACATTTGAATGAATGAATGAATGAACGAATGAAATTTTCTCTTCAACATCCTACCAGATTTTAAATTTGATTTAAGAGTATTCCATTGCGTGAAAAACCAACAATATTGCTTCATGAATTATATGCCTGATCTTATTCACTTACACTGTTGAACATTCCCAATTTATTTTCTTCTCCACTTTTCTATATCTTTCCAATCTATATCTACTACAAAAAACTTTTGAGTGAGGAGAAATTGGTTCAATTTGCTCTTCTTTTCCAACATCTGTTGTTTTTTAGAATAATAATGCCACTGGTTGTTTCTGATTCAAACACAAAGTAAGGCTTTGTTTCCAAGACAAGTCAACCAAACAAACAATTAGAATTACTCTCAGCTCGAAGAGGCACATTGAATCCAGAATCTCAGTGAGTTGTCCCCATGATGCTAAAATCAGCCTAATCTAAACTCATCAGTTCCCTCTTTGGCCTACTCATTCAAAATACACACACATACACACAAACCCACAAGTCTGATATAAATTAACAAAGTTTTGCCATTTTTTGTGGCTATTCTGTCATCTTGCAAATTTGCCTTTAAATTGGCTCCCAGAACATGTTGGGATCTGACAACATTTAAGGCCTTAGAGACAAAGAAGAGGGTATGGATGGAACAAAAGACAAATTAGGGTCTCTGGTCAGGTAAATCTCTTAGATGAGCCTGTTTGAGGGCTTGTTAAGAGTCTTCAAGCAAAGGGGAAAGAGCATCATCAGAAAGAGAAAGGTGGCTTCAGTTGCCAATAAAACTCATGGAGGAGTTGAAGTTCCTCCCATATAAGACTTTCATTCTCGGCATTCTATTTCTTCTGGATCAATGCCCAAACTTTATTTTTTTTTTTTTGAGAGGTGATAAAAATATTCTATATCTTGATCATGGTAGTAGTGATCATTACATAACCACGAGTGCTTGTCAAAACTCATAGGACTACACATTCAAAAGGGCATATTTTATTGTATGTAACTTGTAACTCATTTTTTTAAACAAGACAAAGTAATAGATTTTTTTTAATTTAATTTGATTTTGAGTTCCAGGATACATGTGCAGGACGTGCAGGTTTGTTACATAGGTTAACGTGTGCCATGGTGATTTGCTGCACCCACATGCATTAGCTATTAAGCCCCACAAGCATTAGCTATTTATCCTGATGCTCTCCCTGTCCCCGTTGTTCCTCTGACCCACAGGCCCCAGTGTTCATTGTTCCCCTCCCTCTGTCCATGTGTTCTCATTGTTCAGCTCCCACTTACAAGGCAGAACATGAGGCATTTGGTTTTCTGTTCCTGTGTTAGTTGGCTGAGGATAACATCAATGCCCAAACTTTGTATCAGACACATGGCAAGGCTGTAAATTCAACTGACATTGAATTTTGGCAAACCAAAGACTCAGTTTTTCTGTGTGTATATTTTGGCTCTCTCAACCCAGTGACTGAAAGAAATGTGATGTTTCTTTAGCCAAAAAAAAAAAAAAGTCACTGATTTTCAATCAATGCCTTAAGCAGGAAACAGTACAACTGCAAATTGTACAACTATAAATCTATTTCTTTAAAGTATTTGGAAATTTTAACAATAAATACTATTTACTACAAGTCTTATATAAGTCATTTTACTATACTCTAACAAGCTAATTCCTTCCTCAAAACTTTGCTTCGTTAGCACTACATTCCAGGGTGAATAAATTAATATACTGTGTCTCCTCTGCATACCGTATGTTAGAGACTCATTGTTTACTAGCTGTAACTTTTGCTACCTTTAGTTCTGTTTCAGTCATTCCAACAATAATGCTACATAACATAACTAGATGGCTTAATATAATCACTTATGCTTTTTCTTTTAACTTCAGATTGACAGAAGTTGGCTAACCTAGCTTGAGTTTAACTAGGTCTTCAAATTATTTCACATACCTTTCATTTTCCTTTACCCACCAGCTAACAGGGGCATATTTTCCTCATGGTGACAGCAGAAGTACAAGAGGCCAGGAAACCATTGCACAAACACATCTCAGCACTTTGCCCACATTATATCCACTGACATCTTACTAGCCAAAGCAAGTCACATGGTCAACTCCAACATCATGAGGCAGGGTAATATATTCTACCCACAGGAGGAGGAAAAAGAAAATGAATATTTGCTGAACAGTAATCTAAACTATCATAATTTCTAACAAGGCCAGATACACAATCCCAGATCTCCTCATTTCTTTGAATGTCTGTGCCTACAAAGCTTCTCATTGAAATTTCTATAACAATACGGTTCTTAGTTGCAAACAACAGAAACTTAACTAAGGCTGATTTAGGTAGAAATGAAAATATGTTAAATTGCTAACAAATGCAACCAGGGAATTGAAACACTAGGCTTAGAGACTCAAAAAGTAACAGTGCATAAATCACAGCACAGTACAGATCTAGTCTTGTGTGAAGACATGGCTGCCCACTGCCTCTCAGCTCTAGGCCTACACTGCCCGATATGGGAGTCCCCAGCCACAACCAGCTACTGAGCATTTGAAATATGGCTAATCCAAATTCAGATGTACTCTAAGTGCAAAATACACACCAGATTACTAAAGTGCAAAAGAAATAATTATAAAATAGCTCAATAATTTATTAAATGGATTACAGGCTAAACTGATAGCATTTGGGATATTTGGGTTAAGAAAAATACATTCTTAAAATTAATTCTACTTGTTTCTTTTTTTACTTTTTTTTTTTAAAAATTATACTACTAGAAAGTTTTCAATGGCATGTGTGGCTTATATTACATTTCTTTTTTTTTATTTATTTATTTTTTTAATTGAGACAGAGTTTCACTCTTGTCACCCAGGCTGGAGTGCAGTGGTGCGATCCTGGCTCACCACAACCTCTGCTTCCCGACTTCAAGTGATTCTCCTGCCTCAGCCTCCCCAGTAGCTGGGATTACAGGGATAAGCCACCACGCCTGGCTAATTTTTGTATTTTTAGTACAGATGGGGTTTCACCACATTGGCCAGGCTGCTCTTGAACTCCTAACCTCACATGATCCACCCGCCTCGGCCTCCCAAAGTGCTGGGATTACAGGCTTGAGCCACCACTCCTGGCCTTATATTACATTTCTATTGGGCAGCGCTGCCCTTCACGCCGCAGCTTGTGTTGCTCACCCCGTGGGCACTGGATTCTAGTAATTGCCATGGTCACCACCACCAATGTGGTCTCCAAAAACTGGAAGTTGTTAAAACAACTAACCCCAACAGGGAAGAGTCTTCCCTATCTTGTCTTCTTTGCATTTCTACCTCCCAAGCATAATCTAGGAAAGATCCATCTGCTTAGCCAAACCTGAGTCATATGTTAATAATATAGTTTCGAGACGCTAACAGAGTGAATATATGGTGTTTCTATCTTCTAAGAAAGAGACAAACTCTTCCCTCCCACCAAGACTTATAAAGTGGAATTCCCCAAATACAGATGGTGGTTTTGACACAGAGAACTCAAATCTCAGTTTTTTAAAAAAATCACTTTTTGAACTAGTATTTCCTTTTTCACGACTCTAAGAAACAGAAATATAGGCAAGATTTCTTTATAAAGATTTTTATCTTAGCTGGATTCCTCCAAAAGTAGACACAGAAATAGGTAGTTTATTTGTGAGATTATCCCAGAAGCATCAGTAGGGAGTTGTGGAAAGCAAAACAGGAAAGAAAATCCATTCAAAGATGCATTAATGAAGAGAGCAACTGGGGTTTGGTCCCTCTGGGACCTTTGGGACACTGTTTACAAGACACTTCAGTGTTGTGCTACCCTGAGGATGAAGATAATAGAGGGAAGGTTAATCCTGGGAATGTTAACTTCCTGGCACTTTCAACCTGCGTGCGCATGTCAGAGCCAATAATAATCCCGAAAGACACGATCCCCAATGCCATAGTCTCAAATGGAAAGCAATTAGAGTTATTTAAAGTTCATCCAGAATACTCTGTTGAGAATAGACTGAAGGGTAATCAAGCTGGAGCTGGAAGGCAAGTTAGGAGGCTGTTGCAACAATGTGATAAAGAAGTGAGAGTGATTTGGATGAGGGTGGTAGCAGAGGAGCTACTGCAGACAGGGAGTGGGGACAGTATTTTGAAAGTAGAGCAAACAGGATTTGCTGACAGATTAGATATGGGATGGGATAGAATGAGAGGAGTCAAGAGCAACTCTGAGGTTTTTGTCCTGAGCAACTGGAAGAAGGGAATCCATTAATTGAGAAGAAGATAAGAGGAGAAGCAGGCTTGAGGTCAGGGGTGTGAGGTGAAGGGGAAAGTCAGGAGTTAGGTGATGGATATGTGGGTGGGCAATGAATGGGTCATGTGGATCTCGAGTTCAGAGGCAAGTTTGTGAGACTTCAGTATAGAGATGATATTTAAAACCATGGCCTAGATGCCATGCACCAATGCAGTGAGCACCAATAGAAGAATTCCAAGCCACTTTGGAAAATAGTCTGGCAATTCCTCTATACACAGAGTTACCATATGATTTGGCAATTCCCCTCCTAGGTATATATCCAGGACAAGTGAAAACATGTGTCCACACAAAATCTTGTGCATGAATGTTTACAGAAGAAGAATTCACAGTAGCTAAAAGATGGAAACAATCCAAATTATCATCAACTGGTGAATGGATAAAGTATGGTATAGCTGTTCAATAGAATATTATTTGGTAATTAAAAGGAATGAAGTACTTGTACATACTACAATGTGGATGAACCTTGAAAACACGTTAAACAAAAGAAGCCAGTCACAAAAACTAGAGTTGGGCCATAATACCAAAAGACATAATTCTAAACACCATAATATCAGAAATCACAATCTTAAAAATTGAAAATTCTAAAAATATAATTCTGGAAAAAAATTTAATTTTCTTTAAAAGAAAATTATTTATGCTTGTAAAAAAGATTTATTTGAGCAACATATAAAAACATGACAGAATACTTCATAGTATACAATAAAATACATGATAAAGTTGTATAAAGTTGCCACTTTATACAATAAAATAGGCAACAATAACATTTTTATAAGCATAAGAACTCAGATATACTAACAACAGAAACATGGGTATAACAGTTATAAGCAGATGAACCATATTCATAAATAGGTCCAAAAGAAAATGTATAAACGCATATCACTATGGTTGGTAATTGTGTGCATCCAGTTTTATAACTGTGGTCATCTGAAATACCATGACAGATGACCTATGTCTTTTGATGAGATCGATAAGAAACCACAATGTGTCACCACTACATATGTAATCGCCTAGAGAGTTGAGATCTCAAGAAGTTTTATCTTTCACAAATGCAGATGTACAAAAAGGACATCCCTTCATTTATTGAGGAAGTTTCAATGTTTTTATGTACATGTGCAATGTCTCACACACAAGGTCAACATTGTGATAATGCACTTTCATGCAGTCAAATTTGCAAAAAAAAAAAATTGCATAAAACAAATTAGAACACTCTAAAGTCTTTACACAAAAGACCACATATTATATGATTACATATATATGAAATGTCCAAGATGGGTTTAAGGGGGATAATGAGAATGTTCTAAAATTGATTATGGTAATGGTTGAATAACTCTGAAATGCACTAAAAGCCCTTGAATTGTACAATTCAAATGGTTGATTTGTATGCCATGTGAATTACATCTCAATAATATCATTTTAAAGAGGAAAGTTCTAAGATTTGAGTCCTAGGGCCATTGACTATTTAGAGATTTGTGATACTTATTAAACATCCAAGATGAAATTCTGAATAGGAGTTTGAGTATGTAAATTTGAAGTTCAGGAGAGAGGTCTGGGCATAAGAAATCAATTTGAGAGTCCTTAATATATGGATAGTATTTAAAACCATTGTACTAGCTGACATCACCTAGAAAGTGAGTGTAGAAAATAAATAGAAGAGACCTGAGACATTGTTCAGGGCACACCAATGGTTAGAGGTTAGAAATAGATAAAAGGACAAGCAAATAAGCCTTAAAAGGAGGGGGCCAGTAAAGCAAGACCTTGACAGAGATCACCTCTGTCAAATGCTGCCAACAGTTCAAGTAAGATGAAAACTAACAACCATCGCTGGTTTTAGCTATGTGAAAGTCAATAGCAATTTGACAAGAGCTGTTTTGTAAGAGGCACGAGAATGAATGCCTGATTAGAAAATGAGAGACAAGCAAATTGCAGATATCAAGTAGATATAACTATTGAGAAGAGTTGCCTTTTACAGGAGCAGAGAAGTGATCCAGTAACTGCAGGGGAATAAAGAGTCTGGAAAATTGTCTTCTCTCTTAAGATAGGAAAAATAATAGCATTTATAAGCTCATGGAAATGATGAAGCAATAGAGAAAACATGATGTTACAAGAAGAGAGATGCCTGCTGCTGATGTGATGTCCTCGAATACATGAGAGAGAATAGAAACTGGTGAAGGAGTGGAGAGGGCTGGAGTGTAGAGAGCTTGCTGCTAGTGAAAAGCAGAGTATGTGGGCACAGAGCAAGCGGGTGGGTAGCAATGCTGGCAGCAAAATGCAGGACATGTTTTCTAGTGGCTTTTATTATCCCAGTAAAACGGGAAACAAGGTCACAGCAAAGAATAAGGAACAGGGAGGAGGTACTGAGGAAAGAGGAACAAGAAGAAAATAGCCTCCAGCCGGGCGCAATGGCTCACGCTTGCAATCCCAGCACTTTGGAAGGTCAAGGTGGGCAGATCACTTGAGACCAAGAGATCGAGGCCAGCTTGGCCAACATGGTGAGACCCTGTCTCTACTAAAAATACAAAAATTAGCCAGGCATGATGGCACTTGCCTGTAGTCACACTATTGGGGAGGCTGAGGCCCAGAATCGCTTGACCTGGGAGGGAAAGTTGCAGTGAGCTGAGATCGCACCACTGCATGCCAGCCTGGGTGACAGAGTGTGACTCTGTCTCAAAAAAAATAAGAAGAAAAGAAAAGAAAATAGTCTCTGGGCGATGGGCAAGTGGAGGACTAGGAAATTGCAGTATGGTGCCAGGCATCCACTTGTGATTAATAACAATGAATTCAAAATTCAACCAGTCAGCAAGGTAATATTTTTTCCCAGGCACATTTAGCCACACAGAGACAGACCTTAATAAACTAAGAGCGAGATTTACCAAGATTGGAATTAACAAAATATGAACATGTTCATAATTTTATTTTAAAAAGATAGGAAATTTTACATAGAAGCATATTATAGCATTCCTATAGAATAAAAACACACTAAAGACATGTATGGGTGGCTATGTTTTTATGGGCAGTTTTTATTTTCTTCCATATCCATATTCTCTAAATTTTTTTGCAAAACTCAAAATTAACCTATCTTAAGTCAATTAGTATTCAGGACCATCCCATATAACTAAAGAGAAAGTAGTAGAGCCAGGTCCCACAAGAAATTTAAATCTGAAAGCAATAAAACATGGCAATTCTCTTCATCTTTTCTCTCACTGAGTGTGTTGTCTCCTGTGTATGTTTCCTTCTGGGCATCTGCATTCCCTTGAGTCCTTGTGCTTGACAAACAACGCATGGCCCCCAATATGGCTGCTCTTATCTTAGCCCATATTCCCAGAAACCACCATCGCCTGACTGAATCTTTATTCTTCTTAGATAGAATCCACAAGAGACAAGCTAGTTGGCTCAGCTTGGATCAAGATTCCCTGTTTTGTTCAATTAGCTGGAAACAGGAGTAGGAAGTCAACTAATCAAAATATGGCAGCCACTGGCCACCCAACCCCATTACTTCAGCCAAATATTGGGGAGAGAGAGGCAATTCCAATAAAACAGGCCAAGCAAGACCCCCAAAAAAGTCTTATTATGACTTTCATAATAAGAACAAGTATTTTTAAATACATGAATAGATCAGGGGAGATAACAAAATATTAAAAACTTAGTTTCCTCTGGTCAAATATTTATTCTCTGTTTCAGGTAGCTTTTCATAATTGTGATTTCTAGAAAGCTTCTGATAAGGGACTGTTAGTACAAGGCACCGTATCTTTCATTGCATAGAAGGAGTCTGGCAGGCATAAAATCATATTTAACAGTAAAATTTACATTTTTAGAAAACACTGAGAAGCTGAAATATATCCCTGACTGCAAAATGAAACTGTTGATGACATCAAAAATTCTGAGGATTCCCTCTTCAGTGAATGTCTAGTGAATACTTACTATGTGTTATTAGACTTGTAAGTTAGATTGGAGGCAAAATAACATGATAAAACTGAAAACTCAGTCTATTAATGGCTCTTTCTTTATATTTATTTTTTTATTTTCTTATTTTTTTATTAAGACAGAGTGTCACTTTGTCACCCAGGCTGGAGTGCAGTGGCATGATCTTGACTCACTGCAACATCTGCCTCCCAGGCTCAAGCAATCCTCCTACCTCGGCCTCCCAAGTAGCTGGGACTACAGGTGTGTACCACCATGCCTGGCTAATTTTTGTATTTTTTGTAGAGACAGGGTTTCACCATGTTGCCCCAGGCTGGTCTTGAACTCCTGAGCTCAAGTGATCTGCCCACCTTGGCCTCCCAAAATGCTGAGATTACAGGCATGAGCCACACACCTGGCTGGCATCTTCTTTTAAGATTATTTTTAATTGCACAAATTGTACACGATACATGTTTGTGTATTGAAAAATTCAAGTAAATACAGAAGCAAACACCCATGACTATCCCCAATTCTAAAGACTTTGCAGAGGAAAATATGGTTAACAGTTTGGGCTGAACTTTTCCAACTGTTTTTCTAGCTTAGGTTTATATTCTAAGTTCATTCTTAAGGCTTTTCTTTTTCATCTTTAAATTTGCTTTTCTTTCTTTATGCTGATGACTTCCTGTCAGCATTCTTGGTAAGTTATATACTCCGGTGGCGTTGCATCCAGACCCTATAAAGACATTTTTAATAATATCCCAAAGATCCAATCTCTTAAGGCTCTCAGATTTCACCTGTTTTTTAAAAGCAGACATTTTATGGACTGGCGAAGCAATCATTTAGAAACATACATCTCTGAAGCCATAATCATTTTATAATTTGTTCTGCCTCACAAACAACTGCAGCCAGTCTTCCAGGAGGACAATCCTTTAAACTAAATCTCCAGCATTAAAGCCGCTTATGGCTATTTCAGATAATGGGAGCTGTCCAGTCTGTGGTGTGTTCAGTCCCTTTCATTTAGGGAGAATCTGCTGTACGTAATATCGACTTGAAAATGAGCTCCGCACTAGAAATTCAGCAGTGAATGACGGAAATAAGTGAGCTTACAAAATTTATTGGAAATTTCTTTTTGAAGGTCAGAAAATATAACAAGCACAATAGCAAATGTGTATTTTTTTAAATATATATACCACATTCTTATGAGACCCTGTTTTATGGCAGTACCCTTTCAAAAAAAAACTGATTAAAGATAACTCAAACAAAGCCTACTTTGTAGATTTGTCTAAATTTCTGAAATAATAAATAAATACACAAGCCAAAAAAAATCTCTGGACATTTCCCCCAAAAGGAAAAAAAAATCCCAAAAAATATGTTCTTTGTGGACCTTGTAATAAGTCATATTTGTGAAGAAACACACTCTGTCACTTAAGAGTATATCATCTTGAATACTATTGGAATTTTTATTATACTCAGTTTCCTCTTTAAATTGGAAATTATAATGTCTGTTTTACAAGTATTGTTGAAAAATATGTTTGGGTTCCCCCCAAATTTATATGTTAAAAAGTAATTCCCAATGTGAAGGCATTAGGATGTGGGGCCTTTGGAAGGTGATTAGGTCATAAGGTTGGAGCCCTCATAGGGGGATTATGCCCTTTTAAGGGTCTGAAGAGACCAGAGTTCTTCCCTTCCACCATGTGAGAAAACAGCAAGAAGGTACCATTCTATGAACCAGGAAATGAACCTTCACCATATATCAAATATGCTGGTGCCTTGCTCTTGGACTTCCCAGCCTCTAGAACTGTAAAAAATGAATTCATGTTGTTTATAAACCACCCAATTTATGGGATTCTGTTATAGCAGCCTGAACAAAAGAAGACAATTGTACAATGTATGCATAGCAGAGGCTTTGCCATGTGCCTGCCCCATCACTGATTCCAGTTCCAACTGGTGGCAGACAATTCCCATACATACTGGAAAAACCTTATGCCAGATGTTTGCCTTATTGCTCAGCTTTTCTGCCTCAGGACTCGTTCTGAAGCTATAAGATTCCTCAGCCTTATATAGGACAGTCCAGAAACGTTGGGGCACTAACATCCATGGGCACAACCCTCAGCCAGTGAGAAATGGGGGTCAGTAAATAAATGCCTCAGTCTTCTGTTCTTCAGAGGAACAATTCTGAAATTCATTCTATATGGCTCCCTGAGGGGTCCATGGAATTGAGCCAGTTCTCCATAGCAATAACTGGCTCAATAATATATCTTTAATTGGCTTCCTGGAATCATTCCTCAAATAAATTATTTTCACCCAAATGCGTGTCTCAAGCTCTGCTAGGGGTAGAACCCAAACTAAGATATTAGTTAAAGTGCTTTTAATAGCGCCCTGTGGCCAGGTGTAGTGGCTCACGCCTGTAATCCCAGCACTTTGGGAGGCCAAGGCAGGTGGATCACGAGGTCAAGAGATCGAGACCATCTTGGCCAACGTGGTCAAACCCCATCTCTAAGAAAAATACAAAAATTAGCTGGGCGTGGTGGTGCACGCCTGTAGTCCCAGCTACTTGGGAGGCTGAGGCAGGAGAATCACTTGAACTCAGGAGGCAGAGGTTGCAGTGAGCTGAGGTCGCGCCACTGCACTCCAGCCTTCCAGCCTGGCGACAGAGCAAGACTCTGTCTCAAAAAAAAAAAAAGAGTCCAGTATAAAATTCATGGTTAGTATATGATGGTTTCGTTTCCTATGCCTCTTCAGTAGTGTCATTCTTTACTTGTGAATCAGATATCCAGATCTAAGCAATGACTCACTCTGGGGAAAAACAATGTCCTAAATATGGTAGCCTGTAGAGGCCACTGAGGACTTGAAATGCAGCCAATTCAAATTGAGAGGTGCTGACAGTGTAAGCTTTACAAGAGATTTCAAAAACTTAGAATAAAAAAAAGTAAAGTATCTCATGATATAATAATTTGTAGATTGATTAGTTGAAATAACACTGTGGATATATTGGGTGAAATAAAATATAGTATTAATATTAATTCCACTTGTTTCTTCTCATGTTTTCAAATATGGCTACCCAAATTTTTTAAGTTATATTAAGGCTTGTATACATCTATTGGACAGCGCTGCTCTAAACATTATAGGAAAGAGTCATGGTGTGAAGAGAGAGAGAGAATGTATGTGCGACTCAGAATATTCAACAAGATGTTTAATTGTAAGCCACAGAAACAATTTAGGCGGATGTAAGAAAGACTTCATTAAAGATTAAAGGAGGCTCCAAAACCTGGCCCAAAGAATCAAGCTTGGAGGCTGCACAGCGGGTACAATTGTATAGAGATAGTCTGCAAAATACCTGCCATCATTTTTCTTCCTGTATCCACATCCCTTAACAATGTGACTTTGAAGTTCCTCCCATCAGGAGGTAGGGTGTTTCTTTACCCTTTGATTTGGTGCTGGCCTTGTGACTTGCTTTGGCCAAAAGAATGTGGCAGAAGTGATGGTTATATCAGTTCTGAATGTAGACTTCACAGGAGCTCTACTTCTTGGAACCCTGCTGACCTGTCATGTGAACAACCCTGGGCTGGACTGTTCGGTGATAGAGACATGCGGTCCAGTCATCCCCATAGCCTCAGCTGACAGTCAGCCAAACCACAGAAACAGAGCTGCCTCATCGACCAGCAGCCAACTCCAAACACATGAATGAGCCCAGAGCTGTTCAGTTAAACCCAATTCAAACTGCTGTTTTCACAAGATCATAAATAAGCTAAATATAAGTTACTAAGTTCTGAGATGACTTGTGTCAAAGATAAATCCAGACACTGGTTAGACACTGGTTAAAGCACTAAGAATAAACTTTATTCCGTAATTATCACTGCAAAGGGAAAGAGGTTCCAACATGAACTGAACTTTGATTTGTGCAGAGGTGACTGGGCATGTTAAAGGGACAATGAGGGACTAAGGAAGGGGGAATGAGCAGGGGCTTAAGCAGAAACTGATCTTGTTAATTGGTGCTTATCTAAAGGAGAAGCAAACTTCTTATATTTATATGGCAGAAGGCAGTGGTGTAAATTAGAGGCAAGGTGCCACGGGGCTGGGCACCAGAGGGGGAATTATTTCCCTGAATGTTAATTTTGGGTGGTAGAAGATCTACATCGCAAAGGGGAAGAGAAAGGAATTACAACTGCAAGCTTCCTAAACTACAACTGCTCTAAGAGGGGAGGGTTCAGGGGCCTGTTTATTACTGGTTTGGACTGGATCAGTCTTGAGCTTTCCAAGGTGAGCAGTTTAAGGGGCTAGGGTCATTCTAGGAATGTAGCTTTGAGCTGCTAGAAACTATATTAATTTTTGCTCAAAAATTTTAGTGTGGGAGTGGAGTATGGAAAATAGACAAAAATCATTTATGCTGAGAGTCTGCAGTTTTTATAAGCCTACACTGGGGCATGGTCAAAAACAGAACTCAGAAGAGCTTATCTAAAGTTCAGTCAAGAAGAGAGTCTTTGCGACTTACCACTTAGTTATGGGATGATCAGTTATGCAGCAAAATCTAAATAATATCATTTTTCAAATCACACCACAGAACTGGTGCATTGGAAACCCCACCACCCCTCCTGCTAGACCCAGAAACTGCAGCTTGCGTGGCTGACCTACTGATACCAAACATGGCACCACTACTAGGGTCTCTGGAAAGGGCATGTACCTCCCACCACGGCTGCCAAGCTCACCAGAATGGATTGTGTTTTGTTTTGATTTTTTTGGTATCACTACCCTCAATTCAAAGTCTAGGGAGTCTCCATCTAATTCATGGAACCTAAGTCGTGTGCTCATGCCCTAGTTTCACATTGGTATCTTCGGTTTCTACAGTGGAAATCGTTTCCCTTTAATAAAATAGAGAATTATCCAATGCAGGAAGGATGTTCAGATGCTGGGTCATCAAACCAAAAAACAAATGCTATTATGTAAACTATAATATTTCATACCTTCATTGTTTACTGTTGCTGAGAACCATGCCTGAACACACTCCTTATCTTTCTCTATTTTAATAATTCCTCTTCATCTTCCCTGGGAAATTTTCTCTGACTTCTGCCTTCCCCAGCCCTGGTTATATTAGAAAAATGCACAGAGGCATGAAACCTAGCAAAGTAATTAGGATTCCCATTGTTTCCTCAGTTCCTCACTGGTTCTTATCATCAAGAATCTTTCGACCTGAGTGACTGAAATCTTTCATTCATTCCCCAGTGCCTGGCATGGTGTCTGAAACATATTAAGACCTCAGTGTTTATTTCTACATAAATAAACTAGAGATTCATGAAATGAGAGGTCACTCTTATAAAACAGGTTGGTGTCAGATTATGCAGGATATAAATGCAACCTAGCTCAGAGGCAACATAATGTCATTAAAGGTTTTTGTACTATTTATTAGAAAGATTCACCTATATTCAGTGTGTAGGATGCAAATAAGAGTGTGAGGCCAGAGCCTAGCCAGCAACCTACTGCAAAATGTAGTAGGTTGAGAGTGGAAGGGGCTAGCCACACTAATGCAAGAGAAGAGCCAGCTGCATGAAATAAAATTAAGAAGATGTTGGCATCTGACTGGTTCTGGGATGGAGGGAGAGGAAGGAGTATGTTCATATATCATGACAAAAAAATTGAAATGTGTTTTTTTTAATTATGATAATTTTCTTGTTTCCCAAAGACCTTTCCTTCATCCTGTTTATTCTAAGGTATTTTCAAACTCAGGAAAGGAAAAATTACTGCAGAACAGAATAAAAGGGATGTCATGTTTTTTGCTTTTAGCTTCAAACAGCAATGTTGTAGAACAGCAAAGACTTTGGAAGAGTACTTACAGAAAGAAGTTACACCCTTCATCTCCACGCAAGTTTAGGTGCCCAGTAGGTGAAAGCGTCCTGATAGGATGAAAATAATTCATGGAGGAGCAGCAAAAGGGTTAAATGCACATGAGGGAAGACTGAAACCTTACTCTTCCCTAGTGTATAGTTTGAGGAGAGAGAAGGTTGGAAAAAGTGTGTTCTAGATCTACCACATCAACTTAGTACCCCAGCATCAGAGCAAAAATGGTCAGTTACATTGGGCCAACAGTTAGATGTGGCTCGGTGTGACATCGAGGGGCAAAGAGACTCTGATGACGGCTCTGATCCTACCTTAAGGTCACCCGTGAGAAGTGGACAAATAAACCTCCCACTTCCCCAAGCAGGGCTCAGAAGGTACTTGAAAGAGACAGCTTAGGACCCAAGGGTCTAGAATTTTTAACCCAAATGCAAGTGGGCATTATGCAGCTGAGGCGCTCACAGTTGCAGAGATTTCAGGAGGTGGCCTTCTGGAAGACTGACAAATACCATGACCACGGAAGAACAGGTCCCTTTTCCCTGACTCCCTACCTCCATCCTGTCTAGAATAAACTAGGGAACAGGAATACCACCCTGAAGAGCAGGAGGCAAAGGCAAAGTCCAGAAATGACATGATTTTAAACTTGAAGTTACAAGACAAAGGATGACATGACAAAAGTATGACAAAGGCTAAATCCATCTAGAAATGACTAGATTTTGCATTACAATATCAGGGGAAATAGGGCATATAATAGAAACTAAGTTCAATTACCCAAAAATAAAATATTACCTAGTTTGTATGTATGACTTTAAGGCCTATGAAAATTACACTTACAATAGGTACAAAGGAGTTTACTCCATTTGTAAGAGGATTGAGAGTTCTTTTTGTGGAACTATAACAGGTTTCATTAAAAAAATAACAAATTATTGGCTGAAATGTTTCAACTCTAAGTTGAAATTAAAGTGAATTGCTACTTTCCCCATGCCTGGCCCTCCCTCTGAGGCATGTTCTGATTCTAATTGAATTCTAATTAAATTAGATTAAATTTAATTCTAATTGGTTTGGGTCACCAAGGTGATTCCAGTCAATATTCTTCAGTACAATCCAAAGATTTCTAGTCCACTCATGAGTCAATCAAAGTCTAGAGGACTCAGAACAGATTTATTAGCCATTGATGTGTGATATGGTTTGGCTCTGTGTTCCCCCTCAAATCTCATGTTGAATTGTAATTCCCAGTGTTGAAGGAGGGACCTGGTAGGAGGTAATTGGATCATGGGGGCAGATTTCCCCCTTGCTCTTCTTGTGATAGTGAGTTCTCACAAGTTCTAATGGTTTAAAATTGTAAGTTTCCTGAGGCCTCCCAGTCATGCTTCCTGTACAGCCTGCAGGGCAGTGAGTCAATAAAACCTCTTTTCTTTATGGATTATCCAGCCTCGGGTAGTTCTTTATAGCAGTGTGAGAATGGATTAATACAAAATGGACCTATAGTTAAGATAAACTCTAGAGTAGTTTTACTCAATGGGGTTTGGGTATAGGGGGTCTCCTCCCCATATGACAGTTAGCAAAGTCTGGAGATAGTTTTGGTTGTCACAAGTGAGGGTGTCACAACTAGCAACTAGTAGGTAGAAGCCAAAGATGCTGCTAAACATCACTCGATGCCAGACAACCCCCACAACAAGGAATTATGTGGGCCAAAATGTCATTAATACCAGGATTGAGAAACCTACTCTAGAGGTAAATTAGAAGCCTACCCATTTCCTGAATCCTGGCGGCCTCTTCAAGTTGACCAACCACTTTTATTTAATAGAAGACATTTAGTGTACACAGGCTCTTTTTTTTCTGGAGAAGCCTTAGACAAAACTTAGATTGTTTATTAGATTATTTTAAGAAATATTTAACACCTAAAAAAAAGCATTGGAATTCTTTAAATACTTTCTTCCTTTAAAATGTACAATTCAATTAATCAATCAATCAATACGTCATCTCTGTCTTAATTTCAGTAATCTGTTCTTGGTTAGTTCTATTGAAAAAATGCTAACTGGGAGCCTAATTATCATGATTTTACATGGGAAAAATTATAATGCAGAATATGTCAACCATAACCGACAGCCAATTTCCTCAAACATAACTAAAACTCAATAAAACATCTTGTTAGGGGGTAAAATGCTCAAGAGGAACATACTTCTTAATAACCAATAAATTAATATACCTCATAATCGCTTATGTGGTATATAACAAAATACTAAACATCTTCTTTTTGAAGCCTCAAGAATTTTTCAAAATATCAACATGTGACTTGGATGCTGTGGCTGAAATTACTTAAAAACTCCCATTGTTTCACTGAAATTATTTTATTATTAATTGTTAACTTCACTGATAATAATGTCACACATCTTTTTATGTGCCTGTCATGTATTTGTATATCCTCTTTTGTTAAATGTCTATTCAAGTAATTTGAACTTTTTTTAAATTCAATTGCATGGTTTTTTTTGTTTGTTTGTTTCTGAGACGGAGTCTCCCTCTGTCACCCAGGCTGGAGTGCAGTGACTCGATCTCGGCTCACTGCAAGCTCCACCTCCTGGGTTCATGCCATTGTCCTGCCTCAGCCTCCAGAGCAGCTGGGACTACAGGCGCCCGCCACCACGCCCAGCTAATTTTTTGTATTTTTAGTAGAGACAGGGTTTCACTATGTTAGCCAGGATGGTCTCGATCTCCTGACCTTGTGATTCACCTGCCTCGGCCTCCCACAGTGCTGGGATTACAGGCGTGAGCCACTGTGCCCAGCCCAATTGCAAGTATTTTTATTACTGAGAGATGAGTTCTTTCTAGACACTGGATACAAGTCCTTTGTCAAGCATATGTATTGTGAACATTTTTCTTCAGTTTGTGATTTGCTTTTCATTATTTTAACCATGTGTTTCAAGGAATAGAAGTTTTGAATTTTATAATCCAATAATTCAATTGTTTCTTTCATGGTTAGTGATTTCTATGTCCTGTTTAAGAAATATTTTCCTACCTCAAGGTCACAAAGTTATCGCCGTGTTTCTTTCTTCTGAAGCTTTACATACTAGAATGGCTAAAAATAAAGTTTGACAACACCTAATGCAAGCAAAGATGTGTGTATTAGTGCACAAAATGATATAGGTAAATGGAAATTACTTCAGAAAATTGTTTGGAAGGTTCTTACAATGTTAATCATGTACCTACTCTATGACCCAGAAATTTCACTCTAGGTATTTACTCAAGAGAAGTGAAAACATGTCCACAAAAAGCTCATACAAAAATATTTATCACAGCCATATTCATAATAGCTTAAAACTGGAAATAGCACAATGGTCCAACAATAGGTAGGAGATTAACAAATTGTGGTATATTCATACATTGATGAATGAACTACTGATGTATACAATAGATCAATCACAAAAACATGTTGAGCAAAAGAAGACAGACACAGAAAAGACCATACACTTTGATTCCATTTACATGAAGCTCAGAATAGGTAAAACTAATTGATATTGATGGAAATTAAGAGTTGTTATCTCAGGATGAGGAGAAAAGAGCCCAGGAAGAGGCATAAGGGAATTTACTATAAAGTGTTGGAAATGTTTCATATCTCAACAATGATGTAGCTTACATTGTTATTGACAATGGTGTAGGGTTATGTTGCTATTATAATGTTATGGTATATTCATTTTGTTATTGAACAATATACTTAAAATCTACACATTTTATCACATGAAAATTATACATTAAAAAATACATACCATATCACATTTTATAGGCACAAATATAAATTTGTCCTAAACGTGCATCGGCTAAGAGATGCGTACGCTTTATGAAGTTCAGATATAAAAAGTCACAAGGCATTCTGATGGAAAAATGTTAAACTGAGAGAAATACTGTTGGGGTATGTCTGTATTTTCTGTATGCCTGGAAAGATCTGTCGTCATCTGCGCCTTTTTAGATGTAAATGGAGAGTCAAGATTATACATTGGAGGTTGTTTCACTCTGGATTACATTTTAACTCACTAGGAATTCCTAACAGTGGGGCTGCATTCTGCCCTGCATTTGATCTGTTCTATCAGACAAATGCCAAGAGCTAATTCTATCTCTTCCTATAGTCGTAAATACAAAATACAGTACAACAGGATTTTATTTATAAGACAAAAAGGTTGGAAAATATTTTTGTTAGCTAGTAAATTAAACGTAACTGACTTCATTTTATCAAGAACCAAAGAAAATGTGTCAATTGATCAGTAACTAATAAGATCTGCTAAACCTGTGACCTAGTCCTAATAGTATAAAAAAGACTGCATTATCTGTGGTTAAAGCATTAACAAAATCTTTTGTCCTATATGAACAAACTTGACCTTGGGTTAACTTTATAGCACTGTTTCCCTGGAGATCTGCAAAGGGTAGGATGAAAATATTGCTACTAGGCAATATTTCTTATGATTAAAAAAATGACAAATTGCATCTGACAGGAGAGAAACTATATATAAACTATAAATACTTAGTGGGAAACCATAGCTTTGGGATCCCTAAGTGTGATGACTCTCACAGCTGGGCAGGCTCACTGCAGGGACTCTGGAATTGATGCCTCAAACATTGTAAGAAATACAGGATCTTATTGGAGACACAAGGCTTCTAAGCCAAGATGGACCATATGTACATGTCTCATCTCCTTGCACCTTAACTGTCAACTTAAAAGCCAGAGATTTGCTTTTTGATTGGTGTGAGGACTTCTGCAAGAAGTCTTATTAAAAAGGGGTGCCTGATGCTGTCATTCTGGCATGCTGCATGGCTTGCCTTATGCTTTTCCAATTAAATCTGATGCCAAGTGTGCCCTATAGAGGTCCTGGGGGTCAGAATTTTCAGAGACTCCCTTGTGGGTACTGCAGTAACTCAGTACACAATAGGATCCCTAATACAGAATGGTGGTGAATAAATATGTCTTTCATGATTGATGGGAAAGTCATTGCTCTCAGAGTCATGTTCATCTCTGCCACCATGGAGATGAACCTTCAATGCCACAATATAAAGCAGATATACAATAGTAAGAATGTCATGAACATAAGGTAATACATGAAATACTTGTGATCTCCTTAGAAGAAAGTGAGAAAGAAAAGTAGCTCAGAGCGGTCTGTGCTATGTGAGGTATGTAAAATTAATCAGGCCCAGAGAGACATGAGTATGAAACTTCAGCACACTCCTGGTGCACCCATTCCCAGGGGCAATTATTTAAAGGCATTTTGTTCTTTCTTTGCTTCTCTGCAGTTTCCAGACTAGTTGATAAATTACCTAAAATGTTATCACAAGTTGCACAATGTGACCCTCACTCATTATCTTTATGGTTCTAGAATTTGTGATACAAAGAATAATATGTATAGCCAATCACTAGCTTATGTTATTTTAATGAACCAATGTAAAAACCACTCCTTTTTTCTTTTAAAATCCAGTTGTAACTGCTGCTAATGAAAGCATACCATCAGGGCAGCTTGAATCTGTGACTCCTGGGTTACAGTCCCCAAATTTGGCCCAAATAAATTCTCTACTTATATTAATTTTGCCCCAGTTTCTTTCTTTAGGTCAACATATCTGGTGTAGCTGTCAGGATTCAGAGCAACCTCCTCACACCCTGGACCACCTAGTGATCCCTCCTGGACTCAGCACTCAGCACCAGCACAAACCTACTGTGTTTCTCTGTCTCCACATCTTTCCCTGAGTACAAAAGGTGAGTCCTACTGAATCTGAACCTCTTTCTTCTCAGTTGAGGTCTAGGCTTTATTTGGGCTGGGGTTTTTTTGTTGTTTTTTTTTTTGTTTTTGTTTTTGTTTTTAAAGACTGAAGGCTTTGGTCTCCGTCTCTGAATGGGAGCTTCAGGTGAAAACCTCTGCAGAGAAATACCTTCCCTACCTCTGCCCCATGGTAGGAGGTTCAGGTCATGGTGCAGCACACCACTCTGCAGAAAATTTCTGCCTTCTCTGCCTCCGCTCATGGCAAGAGGTTCAGGTTATGGCATTGGCAGTCTAACACTGCCAGTTTCCCTTTTTTGGCCTGAAATTACATAAATTACATTCTTTTAAAATTGTAGCTGCTTCTTACTGCTTGTGATTCACAATTGTCATTTTATTTGTGACCAATTCCTGCTAGTTTTAAGCCAAAAGGTGCATGAGGTTGAGCTCTCTCACCCTGAAATTTGAGAGAAACTTGCTACCTCCAAACTCAATTGGGTGCTGTAGGTGACTAAAGACTTTATGAAGATACAGAACATCTGTTCAAGATGTATCATAGTATCATAGGTCCTGTCTGCAAGAATACCTGTGATGACTTTCAGCTCAGCCAGAAGGTACGTGCGAGGGCTGGTTGCCTGGCGTCTTGAACACTCTGCCACCATAAGGTGATCAGAGATTACAAGACACATGAAAAGCAAGTCATGACTCTCTGGTGACTCTTTGAGAAGTGACACTCACAAAACAGCACACTTCAACCTGATACACTGTCCTGGCCTTGGTCATATTTGAAAAGGAATTTCTAAAATTATGGGAAACTGCTCATCAAAACTGAGCTTTCCCTGAAGGGACAATCCCCCTTGGAAACACTAGCTGGGTTTTCATGTAATACCTATGAAGCTCCATCTGGCAAATACCTATGTAAATGGACCCACATGACTCAAGATGACCCCCAAATGGCCATCACAATGGCAAAAATGAGGGTGATTTAAAATTCCTAAATTAATATATTTGCACACACAATTGAAAAATAAATCACATTTTAGAACCAAACAAATTGAATGAGAGGCCTACTTTTTGTTTGTCCTGGCTGAAATCTGATTATAAGGGATTTGAAGGTTTTTGTTTGTTAAAACATCTATGGTTTAAAAGCAAGGCATTTCTGCTCCCTTTTAGATCCATTTCCAGGAATTTTTCCAGTCAACTAAAACTCCTAAAACTCCTTTTTAATTGGATGCTTGCTCCCTCTGTTTGCTTCCTTTCTTGCTGGCATGATTTTTGCTGAGAAAAATATAAAACTTCATTGGCCTTTTAGAAAGTTCTCCCCAAATTGGCTCCTCTAAGACTTGCTCTTCCATTTCCTTCTACTCTGCTCCTCCTTCCCTTTACCATCTTCAGTGCCACATGAAGAAGTCTAGAAGAGCCTTCTAACATCCCGATACCCCTTGAGAAACACAGAAAAAGGTGCCATGCACACCCCTCGCTTGGAGGTTTTCTGTCATCCTTGTGGAGTTCTGAGAGTCATACGAAGGCTCCTCTCAGGTCTAAAGCTTTGTTCTCTTCTGCATTGAGTTACCTGATTTTTTTTTGGCTTTTGGAGTAACAGGGATTACCTTGTACTATCAGCTGAAACTTGATCTTTCTGTGACCTCTTTGTAGCTGGCAAGTCACTGGCGAGAACTGAAGTTTTGGAAGGGGCTGACAGCAGTTACGATGAATGGTTATTACTGCAGAGGGCCACTCATTTCTTTGTGTCTTTAGATAAGAAAGGTGCAGTTTGAACATTTGGAGGATATAGCAACCCTCATCACCAAGGGATAAAACTCTCTTGGGAAATGGGCTGATCACAGAGGGGGCTGATGGCATTGGGTCACCCACCGCCCCAGCCCCAGGAGAATGTCTTTGTAGTGAGTAGCACTGTGGAAACATTGTGTAGCCCCGTCCCAAGGCATTTCCCTCTTTAGGGGGACCCAGGATTTCGTGTAAAGATGAGATCCTTGATTTTTAAAGACCTTGATGCTCTGCCTCCTGCAAACTGCTAATTTTTTGTCAGGACTGTTTGTTAATGGGCTCCTCCCGGAGCTCAGTGGTCCAGTTAGAAAATGGAGACTAAATTAGAAGCTACCTATCTAAATGAAATTGTTCTCTTATAAAGTCCTGTGGTGAATGCTTATGCTTTTGTGTTACCTTGGTATCCATTTTTAATCTTCCTCTAAGTAATACATCCAAACTCCTTAAATAATAATAATAAAGCTTAAATTCTTTCCCTGTGCTTTGAGATGTAAACTTGCTACCCTGGGGACTGATTAACTGTTCCATTTACAGAGGTATAGTTTAATCTAACTGTTCTTTTAAACTAGAGAATTTTACCAGTCTCATGGCTGGAATTTTAAAATCAAAGTTATGAGATTTTATTTGTGTGTATCTGTATTTTTATGTGTACATGTGCACATGTCTGTGTTTGCATGTTGTCCACATGGTACCAAACTGACTTATAAAGAAATGAGTGTTCATAAATTAAGTAAATAAGACTAAACACTTTTCAAATTCGTAAGACTTTAGTAATCTTTGTAAACAAAACTAGTCTTTAAATTGTTGGCAAAACAGAATAGAAATGTCTTCAAGATTGACGAAATTAAATTTAATTTTAGATATTTTTACCTGGGTCTACAGGTAAGACAAATTTATACTGTCTTTGCTAGATGTTTTAAACATCCTAAAATGGTTGCTTCCATGATTTTTTTTTATACCTGCTTAATTGTTTGTGAGCCTATGTCTTTGGTTTTGAGCCTTTAGATTCTGACATCTAGACAGGTGGCCATGGTGATGCCTGAAAACATGTGTATGTTGACAGCACTTAGGCCACCAGCTGCATGTCAGAGCCAAACCCAATGTGTCTTCCCTGGCCCAGTTGTGCCTTATAACCATGCTGGAGCAGGGTAAGAGTCTCTAGGTATTGTCTTCACAGCTATGTCCTTTGTCCTAGCTTCTGCACCTGATACATAATTAAAATTTCTTACTTACTAGGTTGTTCAATGAAAATTAGAGTCACTAAGAGGTAAAATTATAGTTAATATGTAACTAAAACTACTAGATACAAAAGAATTCTTTTGTACACAGAGTACATAAGAAAAGAAGGATGTGTTTTTTGGTAAAGAAGGTTATAAGAAAGGCAGGAGAATATGGTTTTGGTTAAAGGAAAAGTAATTTTGCTTACAGGTTATTTGAAGGTTATTTTAAATTAAAGGAATAAAAAAACTAAATGGATATAGAAAGTCTGGGAAAGAAGGAATTAAATTGTAAGAGGTTATAAAAGTTTTATAGAAATCTTATCTTGTGTGGTTAAAGCTGATTGAGATTGGATAGATCTGTTTGTAGGGTTTTATTAAAATTACTTTCACCATTAATAATACAAAGGTAGAATTTGGTTTTCTCTTGTGAATAAGATTTTTGTGTAGTATTAATAAGAAGTAGTAAAAGGATTTCATCTTTTGAGTAAACTGCAAAAAAAAAAAAATAGGGAGAGAAGGAGAGAGAGATTCTATTGGTCTCATGCTGTCTTTATTAAGTCTTGATGTTTAGAAAACTGAATCTCTCTATCAAAGATAAGGAATTGTTGTTTCATTTTGTTTTTTTGCTTTTTGAAATATTTTAATCATCACTTTGGCTAAATAAATTATTCCATTTTGCTCCAGGGTTTTAAACCTTTAATATTTAATAAACTTCTCAAAATCAAATTTCAAATTCTAAATTAAGTCATTTCATCAGGAACTAACTTTTGGACATCCCAAAAAGAACCCCTGGAAGTTCCAAAGAGAGATACTGGGCTTATTCAGTATGTAAAAAATCATACAGAAAAAACTGTCAAATAAGAAATGGCATTTAGCTTTGAGTTATATATGTATAAATGTGTGTGTCCCAAAATTGTATGAGATTACTAAAAATCTAATATATCTTGGTATATGTTATCAGTCATAATTATGATTAGTATGTTGAATTGTAGGCAACAAAAAAAGAAAATGCACAAATTTCCTTGTCAATTGCATCTTTAACCATGGCCATTTTAATACTTGTCTTTTTCTATCTTGGAAAGTTCCTTCCAGTCTTCCCAGTGACCAAGGAACCCATTTCACTAGACAAATAACTCAGTCTATTTGTAACATATGGTCAATTTTTCAGCATTTCCATTGGACATACTACCCTCCATCTTCCAGACTAGTAGAACACACAAATGGGATAATAAGAAAATAAATTGACAAAGCTTATAGAAACATTTAACTTTCCCTGGCCTAAGGCTCTTCCATTGTTATTGCTTAACTTACATTCTACCCAATTGGAAAACATCAGCTTTTTCCCTTTGAAATGATACCAGGAAGCCCCATGTGCCTGGATGAAGGAGTCTATAAACCAGCTCTCTTTAAAGATGATAGTCTTCATTATTGCCAAGGCATTAAAAAGCATTTCACTAAAAATTCTAAATTAATTGAGGATTCTTTTAACAGCAAGCTCTTGGGAGTTTATGACATCAAATATCATGGCTTCCAACTTTGAGATTTTTGGATTCCCTGTAATCATGTTGGAAGAAGCTATATCAAGTATTACTTATCAATACTTGTGCAGCTAAACTCAAAGGCATTGACTCATGGATTTACATTTCTCATTTTAAAAAGGTAGCCCTGCGTGAGTAGGCATCTTCCATCATCAGAGATCTCCAACTGAAGCTGACCTGCAGCCAGTCACCTGGTTCTTCAGACCAGGACAAGAAATTGAAACTCAGTTTAAAAAGATCACTCAAAAGGCTAAATGGCTACAAGATGACCCATGGTTGGAAAGACAGACCCCTTATATGATTTATTTGACTGGTTACCTTCAGGTATTGGAATATTTCTCACATTTGGATTTCAAATTGTTTAATTAGTAATTGTCCTTATTTGTGTCATATTTTTGATTCTTAAATCAATTATGCTTTGCATTTCTCTATCTAAAGTGTTTGTTGACAGAAACTAAACTCATGATAGCTAGATGCATAGAAATTATTCAACACGCCATACTTCCTTTGTAAGTGGATGAAATCCTGAGACCCAATTCCTCTGCCCCTTTGTGTTGCCAGTTAATTTAGCCTAAGACTTCACTAAATTCTTAAGCTGTAGTGCCTCTCCTCTTTCCCTCCAATGTAGAGAGAGATTACCCGGGAATGAGCCTTCCTAGCAATATGGGGAAAAGCTACGTTTAAAATGTTGATTATCAATGCTTTCAGAAGAGGAAGATCTCAATCAAAAAGGGGAAATGAGAAGAAAAGTAGCTCAGAGATGTCTGAGCTATGTGAGGTATGCAAAATGTATCAGATCCAGAGAGACATGAGTATTGAAAGCCAACTTGTAACTACTGCTAATCAAAGCATATATTCATGGCAACTTGAATCTGTGTCTCCTTGGTTGCAGTCCCCAAATTTGGCCCAAATAAATTCTCGACTTATGTTAATTTGCCTCAGTTTCTTTCTTTAGTTGACGAAAGGCACTATGAAAATCAAAATATTCTTTGGTATAGGCAGGGTTGCTAGCTTTATTTCCTCTGAATTTTAATAACCTTTTCTTATTTCTAGATATGAGATAATCTATTTTTTGTTTCATCACAGACATATATATGAGTAGTTCCTCTTTTTAAAATCACAGGTTTACATGTATTAAATGTGACAATTTCCCCTCTATATCTGTTAACTATATTTATCCATCATATGTCACAAATCAAAACAAAGGGAACTGTCAAATACCATTAGAGAACTTGGTAATCACAAAGTAGACAAGAACAAAAAGTGGAAATTCCAAAATCATTCTAGAAAAGAGGAAAAAAATAGGGATACTTAAGACTTAAAGATACTTAAAACAAACTTTAAATACATAAAGCAAACTAAGAGTAGCTCCTGAACAGCTTCCACATGCATATAAATTAATTCTCCTGTTATGTCTGTGGGAAAACAGTATATTACCTTTTCTTCCCACATAAACTTTCTTTCCAAACTTTTTTTGACCCTTTAAATGGAATATATCATTTTCATTATTTGGTTATGAAATATACAGAAGGTACTCGGGAAGCAGCAATGGAAGAGGCAAAAGCATTCTTGGCCCTCAGGAAACTTACAGTCTACCGGGCAATACCAACATTGAATGAGCAATTACAAGTACAATACAAAAGGAGCTTATACTTGGGGAGCTAACCTCTCATGGAGGGATGAGATTTAAAACTATTTTTATTGCCATCCTATGCATTATTAAGGAAACAGGGAAAGCTCAGGAAAGAATTACATTACAACAACATTTGAAGAAGGGTAAAGCAGAAGGGGAAAACCACAGCTTTAGACTTGAAATAGACAACGTATTCCAATCCAAGATTTCAGGTGCTTTCAAAAAGTAACTCAAATTTTATTTTTACTTAATTCCTTTATTTATATATATAAACCTGAAATTAAGCCAAAAAGCATGCTATGAGACCCAAAAAAACTCACATGCTACTCAACCAACCAAAAGTGTTTAGGACTTAAATGGGACAAAAGATTTCAATAGCACTAACAGCTCAAGGAATGTATGTTAAACCTTTTGTTTTACATCCAGAAAATTAGAAAACTGGGCTAAATATTGTATATATCAGAAGGTTTTAAAAATAATTTGTATGATTTAATTTTACCAAAGAAAGCTTACTCATTTAAAGACATTTTTATACCAGCCCTTTATATTATCAGTGGAAACTGTTTATTAAGAGGGAGTAGTATGGGGGCCGGGCGTGGTGGCTCACGCCTGTAATCCCAGCACTTTGGGAGGCCGAAGAGGGCGGATCATGAGGTCACGAGATCGAGACCATCCTGGCTAAACACTGTGAAACCCCATCTCTACTAAAAATACAAAAAATTAGCCGGGCATGATGGCGGGCGCCTATAGTCCCAGCTACTCGGGAGGCTGAGGCAGGAGAATGGCGTGAACCCGGGAGGCGGAGCTTGCAGTGAGCCGAGATCGCGCCACTGCACTCCAGCCTGGGCGACAGAGCGAGACTCCATCTCAAAAAAAAAAAAAAAAGAGGGAGTAGTATGAGATACAGAAATAGCATAAACCAAAATCTCACACTTAATCCTTTAGTGTTAATTGGATTTCAGAGTGGGTAAAGTATTACTACAAATCACAGCAATGGGACAAAACACTGCTTTGTTTTAAAACTGCACATGTGCTTTGTTCCCTGAGAACCTTTGGTTTAGACTTTTTGTACAGTAAGCCATTTCACTAAATATGGTTAGATTCACAGTCTAAGACCTTAAGTGACACACTCGATGACAACATTCTTACAAATTATAGCCAATTATATGGCACGATCTCAGCTCACTGCCATCTCCACCCCCCAAGTTCAAGGGATTCTCCTGCCTCAGGCTCCCAAGTAGCTAGGACTACAGGTGTGTGCTACCATGCCCAGATAATTTTTGTATTTTGAGTAGAGACGGAGTTTCACCATGTTGGCCAGGCTGGTCTCAAACTCCTGACCCCAAATGATCTACCTGCCTCAGCCTCCCAAAGTGCTGGGATTACAGGCGTGAGCCACTGTGCCTAGACTTCTCTAGATAAACTTTCAATGAGCCTAATGTGAAAAGTAGTCCAGTGAACCTAGTATTTTATGACATACTTTTTCATCCTAAGCATACATGTATTTGTCATTTGAATTCAAATTATCAAAAAGGAGTGGGGAATACACAACATCTCTTACTGAGTTTGAGTTATAAAGCCCATATACTCATTTGGCCACTAACACCATTTGCAGATATTGAACAGCTTTGCAAATAAAATTGTTCAATATATCAATGACTAGATAGCTGGCTTAGATTGATAGAGCTGTAGGGTTTTTTTTTTTAAAAAAAAGACATACACACACAAAACTAGTTTCCCAGAGGATAAAACTAAAATATTTAACGATCTGCAATTCTAATTTATTTTCCAGGCATACACGCAAAATTGACCAAGAGCCTATAGGAGCATATTTAAACAGCTACAATTTGATGTATGCATTCTAACCACAGTCAGAGTTCTACTTTTCTAAGTATTTAAGAAAAACCTATAAGTGGGCATAGAGAAGAAAGAAGCAAACTAGCAAGCTATCTCACATTTAACGCTATATAATCTTCTCCACCTATGAGTTTATGTCTCAATAGATAGGAACTAAATAATATGGTCACAATTGCCTACATTGGTGCCACTTCTTCTGTGGCAACAGAAGAGAACCTCCCTCAAATGGTGAAGGATGGATAGGTGAAATCCATCTTCATATGTCTAGAAGACAAATTATCTGTCTAGGACACTTATCACAGAGCAAATGCTTACCATCATTCAAATTCAGTAGAACTAGTGGAACTCCTGTACAACTACTACTTTTTTACTGAATTTGTAATTGTTCCACTATTGTCAGTTCCATGAGGACATGCACAAACTGCATCTTTATCTTTTTACCTCTAGGTTTTGCATAGAGCCTAGTATATAGAAAATTTACTCAATAAATGAATGAATGGACAAATGGTTGAATGAGTTGCAGTGTGGTAGCAAATTAGTCTCAGTAGCTACTGAAGATACTGCTGCTGTATCAGTTAGGATGTTTACAGGTACATCAACAAATGACAGTACAGTAGACCCAAATGGGTTAAATAAAGTAGAAGCGTATTATCTCATTTAAAAAGAAAATTATTCCAACATCGGAACAGGGATTCAATTATGTCATATGGGTTGAGATTCTTTCTGTCTTTCCCGTCATTAAATCTCGGAATGTTAGCAATGTCTGCCTTCATGATCATAAGACAGGTGCTGAAGTTCCAACATCGTATCATCATGAGAATAAAAAATACTCACAGAATCCCAGCACTTTGGGAGGCTGAGGTGGGTGAATTGCCTGAGCTCAGGAGTTCGAGACCAGCCTAGGCAATGTGGCGAAACCCCATCTCTACACAAAATACAAAAATTAGCTTGGTGTGGTGATGCACACCTGTGGTCCCAGCTACTCGGGAGGTTGAGGCAGGAGGATCACTTTAGCCCAGGATTTTGGGGCTACAGTGAGCTACAGTGATGTGCCTCTGCATTCCAGCCTGGGTGACAGAGTGAGACCCTGTCTCTACCAAAAACAAAAACAAAAACAAAACCCACAGCAGAAAGGAAGGAAGTGAAAGGAAAACAAAATTTTTTCTAGAGATCCTTCATGCTACCATATTTTTGCTTATCCCTCACTGGCCAACATGCTTCACTTGTCCATTGTTAGATTGATCACCAACAAGAATAATGGAATTTCCATAATTGGCATAGACTAGGTCTCTATGGAGAGAACAGAGAAAAAACAGATGCACTCATCCTGCCCTACACTGCGAAATGAGCAAAGTAAAAATTCTATCTATGTGCAATAGGAAAGAATAACTGTAACCTGCAGTATTTGCATAGCTGACATATAGCATGATATATAGCAGATCCTGAAAAGTCAACATACTCTCAAATTATTCATTCACTCACATAACATAGATTTGTTGAGCACCTACCATGCAGCAGGCACTGTTCTCTATACCTGACAGATATCAGAGAATATAATGTAACTTCTAAACCTCATGGAGTTTACATGCCAAAGGAGGAAGACAGATGATAAACAATTAGTATAATAAATAATTATATGTTATATATCATTTCATATATTTATATATATGTATATATATATAAATATATGAAAGTGACAAGTAGTGTTTTAAAAAAATCACAGTAAGATGGGTCCAGGTGGAAGTTTCAAATAGGGTGATCAGAGAAGACCTCCTTGAAAAGTGACAATAATTTCAAGGAGAAGGGGCCAAAAACACCCTCTCACCTGAAAAGCTGACTGATTCTGGATTCTAAATGGCAAAAGGTCAGATTATTGCCTCCCCAGTAAAGCCTAATTATTCAGATAGCCTCAAGATAGCTGCTATTAACGTGAAAGAACATGTCAGAGAAAGAGCAAAAAAGCAAAAGCTGAAGTACTATCTAGAATACATCCAGAAAATGTTTTGGTTGTGCTTACAGGCACCTTGGAAGCAAATAAACTTAGAATTTACTAAGACTGAGGAAACTGTGTTGCTAAAGAATCTATGAGCCTAAGAACCAAATAGCCTTGTGACTCTATGGGCCTACAAACTAAGCTGTAAAATATATGCAGCTTTCAAGAGGAACAAATTCCCCAAAGCCCTCTTAGATCTGATCAAGAAGAATAATAGGCAAAGAAGTTACTTCCAGATAGCACAGCAGGGGGCCAGAGACCAATGGACAAGAATTTACTCCCATAAAGCAGAAATAAGGCCCAATCAAGGAAGTTCCTTCACTACTAAGACAGAGGTCTTTGACCCCCACCGTGTCTAGCTGGTTTCTATCAGTGCTATGGACCAGTGACTGCTGTGTTTCTCCTTCTTCCCTTTTCTGAATAGGAGTTTTAACTGCAGTTATCCTGTCTCTGGTCCACCATTTATTCTGGTGGGAAGAAGGAGTGACAGAAAGAGAGGATGTATTTTACCTTCAACTTATAGGTCACCAGATAACTAGGAGCTACCTATGGATGTGAGTGAGAGGACTGATCATCACCAATCAACATACCTATGGATGCTGAGCTGGATGCAGCAGCTGACTATAACCTTGAATTGTCTCCCTGGCTGAAGGGGTGAATGTGCTCCTTGGGGCTTGCCCAGAGAGAGGATGAGTATGAGAAGGATATACACAGAAACTTGGCAGCCAGAGTTTCAGGCTGTGGGAGAGACAGCTCGTCATCTACTAAAAATTATCCACTCGTTATTCCTAGGCACAAAAATAGGTTACATTTCCCCATCTCCCTCACAGACTGATGTAACCATGTGACTAAATTCTCAGTAATGAAATGTGAAATACGAGTAGATGTGGTATGTGCCTGCCTCTTCAGGAATGGGCCTTTTAAGAGAGGTGTGCTTCCTCCACACTACCCCCCTTTCCAGTGGCTGAAATCTGGATGCAATCCTGACCTTGCACCAGATGACAAGGTCCTAGAGGATGGAAGAAACCTGGGTCCTTAAATCACCATGTGAAGGAGAGCTACTACCAACCTGGGGTACCTACCTTCAGTTATTACATGAGGGAAAAACCATTTTCTTGTTTATTAAGTCACTGAATTTCTAAGTCAGGGTTTATAACAATTTACCCTCCGCTAACACAAACATTTTGCTAATGTATAAATTATCTCCTATATATTTTAAGATGGCAAAAAAGAATATAATACACTTTGGAAGCCTTTCTTTCAAAATAGCTAAAATGTTTTCAGTTTTGAAACCTACATTTTCCAGTTATTTTGAAAACAAATACTATGGTGGGATCCCTTATTACAGACTATAGATAATGAATTATTAATATGCTTAACATATAAGATTTAGCAAAATAATGAAAAAAGCAAGAAATAAAAGTTATTTGCCAATGTGGTACTTAGACATCTTCATGGTGCTACAGCAATTGAAATGCAAACGTATTCTATTGCCATTAAAAACTCCTTTCCAAATGCAATTACTTAATGCCTTTTGCTTATACTAAGCAGTAAATTTCTCAAGAGGAAGAACTTTGTTTTGCTCTCTACTGTGTAACTAATACCCGGCACAGTATCTCACATATAATGTGCATTTAATAAATAATTATTGAATGAATAAATCAATGATTGATTGAATGAAGGAATTTCATTTTTCATTGGTTTTAACTTTTGTGAAAAAAATAGTGTTTAGTAGAAATTAAAAAAGCAGAAAAGCAAAAAAGTTGTACTTTTTTTTACTACCCTTAATGCTGTTAAATGGAACTAAATATGGCCTGAGAAAGCCTCTCTATTTCCATACTTGAGTCCTATTGGACAAACCATAACCTAACGTAGCAGGTAGACAAGACTGAAAACCTAACTTAGGAGAATGCTTCTGTGGCAATAACTGAATCTCAGCCAATCCCAGGAGCCATACTTTGGCCACTCACACACTGCTCAGTGTTCCAACTGTGTTCAAATAAGGCAAATGCCAAGCTGTAACCAATCCAGCTGTTTCTGTACCTCACTTCCATTTTCTGTATGTCACTTTCTTTTCTTTCCTTTTTTTTTTTTTCTATAAATTGCTCTGACCACGAGGCATCCCTGGAATCTCTATGAATCTGCTGTGATTCTGGAGGCTGCCTGATTTGCGAATCATTTTCTTCTTGCTCAATTCAACTCTGTTAAATTTAATTTGTCTAAGGTTTTTCTTTTAACAATGCTATATTTCTCTCAGCATCAAACTTCAAAATTGTATCTCATTCAATGGGTACACCAATAGTAAACTCAGAAACACGTCTGGATTTTAATTTCTAGCTTGAGTATTCTATACCCAAAGACTGATACTTACACAATGGAATATAAAAATAAACCTCTGGTAAATTATGAAACAGACTTTTCTAACTTCAGACATCAATACTAAACTTTCCTTTTATCACCTTGAATTTAACAGGGGGGACTGTGCACATTACTGAAGACTGGATTTGGCTCACAGCAGACACAAAAAAAATCAATAGCTTGGTAGTTAACTCCCAATCTTCTCCCAGAAATGCCAACACAGAATTTATCCATAGACTAGAAATAGGTTTGCTTTGTTCTGCTTGCAAAACAAGACAATGGATCAGCAGACAGCTTACCCATAATGTCAGCATTACTAAAACTATAGGTAATAAATCCCTTTAATGCAAATATCTGTATCTCAAACTTTCAGAGGGATGCTTGTCTAAGCTTTAGAGGAGCCATAATTTTAAGAGTGATATTTTCTTCAGGGTTAAAGATTCCAAAAGAGCAGCGCTAGACTCCCTGTGTAGAATCTTATAAGGATTACACTTTTAGAAAATGGATGAATAAAACTGAAATAAGCCTGCCAAATTGTTCAATTTCAGTGGAAATCAAAAATAATTTTTAAGCAAATTATTATTATTATTATTATTTTTGAGAAAGAGTCTTGCTCTGCCACCAGGCTGGAGTGCAGTGGCATGATCTCGGCTCACTGCAGCCTCTGCCTCCCAGGTTTAATAGATTCCTCTGCTTCAGCCGCCCAAGTAGCTAGGACTACAGGTGTGCGCCACCACACCCAGCTAATTTTTTGTATTTTAATAGAGACGGGGTTTCACCATGTTGGCCAAGATGGTCTCCATCTCCTGACCTGGTGATCTACCTGGCTCAGCCTCCCAAAGTACTAGGATTACAGGTGTAAGCCAACATGCCCAGCCTCAAATATATTCTTTAATCCAGCATTTCATCTAAGATTAAAAATTTAATTGTTAGTGTTTATTAATCAGTTTTAATTTTTAATGTGATTCATTCATTTAATAAATATTGAGCACTGCAGTAGAGATTGCTTGCTGAAATTGCAATATCTATGCTCCCTCTTTTAGAAGCCCTGACTTTTAGCTGGCCATATGGTCATCTGGAATAAAGATGTGGTCCCCAAGCCCCCACCTCAGTTTGAGTCTAGAAGACGGAGATTGCAGTAAATCAAGATTGCACCACTAAACTCAAGCCTGGGTGACGGAGCAACTCTGTCTCATGGAAAAAAAAAACAAAGCAAAATGCATGCTTAAGAACTTTGAAAATCAGAGTCACCACACTCACCCTGGCTGCTCAATTCTAGTCTTCAACATAAGAGAAAAAAATAAAGTACAACTTTTTTTTTTTTTTTTTGAGACAAGGTCTCACTCTGTTGCCCAGGCTGGAGTTCAGTGGCACAATCCCAGCTAATTGCAGCCTTGACCTCCCATACTCAAGCAATCCTCCCACCTCAGCCTCCTGAGTAGTTGGTACTACAGGCCTGCGCCACCACACCCGGCTAATTTTTTTGGTATTTTTTTGTAGAGATGGGGTTTCACCATGTTGCCCAGGCTGGTCATGAATTCTTGGACTCAAGTGACCCTCCTGCCTCAGGCTTCCAAAGTGGTGGGATTACAGGCATGAGCCAGCATGTCTGCCCATGTCCAACTTTTTATGTCACTGTTACTTGGGGATTTTTATATTACTTGCAGTGAAACTTAATCCTACTGGATTCAAACACAAATTATAAGACATTATAATTTGTAAGTGTTAAACACAAGATGAGTAAGGCAGAGTTTCTGCATACAAATCAGCTTAAAATTTAGCAATAAATAATGATGTAGAAAGAGTACCAGACTAGATTATGACAGATAGATTTTTCCTGCTTAATAGGTTTCAAACCAATTCCCTTCCTCTGGTAAGAGCAACCACTTTCCTTTTGGGAAACTTGTCTTCCATATCTTGAGATCAAATTTTAATTCCTACACCCCCACTCCTGAGCCAACTTCAATCATTTGGGAATGGAGGAAGAGCTGGAAATGTAATAGAGCCTGGCCAATTAAAGTACTAGCAATTGTGTTTGATTCAGAGACAAGCATATGAATCACATTTGGCCATTCAGAATCCCGCTGTATTAATCAGCTATCACTGCAAAATGTTGCATAATTGTACAACCCCCAGTACTTGTATTAATCTGTTCTCACATTGCTATTAAAAACTACCTGAGACTGGGTAGTTTATAAAGAAAAGATGTTTAATTGACTCAGTACCACAGGCTGTACAGGAAGCATGGCTGGAGAGGCCACAAGAAACTTACAATCATGGTGGAAGGTGAAGGGGAAGCAAGCACATCTTCACATAGTGACAGGAAAGAGAGAGTGCAAAGGGGAAAATGCTACACACTTTCAACCATATATCATGAGAACTCACTATCACCAGAATAGCAAGGGGGAAATCCACCTCCATGATCTAATCACCTCCCACAAGGTCCTTTCCCCAACATTGGGGATTAGAATTCAACATGAGATTTGGGTGGGGACACAGAGACAAACCATATCAGTACTTTAATAACCAACATCATGGATCTATAGGTCAGCTGGGGCAACCCAGAGCTAGGCTGCAAGTTGGACCCTTCAATCTGTTTGATCTCTACATCTCTCTCATCTTTCTTGGACCAGCAAATACCTGGATGAAGGTCTTCTTGTGACATATGACAGAGATAAAGAAGCCAAGCTAAGGCACACAAGCACATTTAAGGTCTCTGCTCACTGTCATGTTCATTAATATCTCATTGGGATGGGGAAATATATTCTGCTCACTACAGTGAACTATAAGGTCACATGTAAGTGAAAGGGGGTGAAGAAGTAGAAATAATAATTCAGTCAATCAGTCACACCATCTTGAATTTCCAGTACCTTCAGGATCATGGTACCAGAAGGCTTTGAGCCTGGGGCTACATATGCCAATCTTCCTGGCTAAATGGAAAAAGCACCTCTCTAATTGGAGAGAATTAGATAACATAGGAGGAGAAACAAATAGGTGAGAGATGGGTGGATGGATATATTGAATATACTAAATCCTTTATTTTAAAAATGGGGCCATGTCAGAAAAACATACTAAAAATAGTAGTGCTATGAGCAAGCATTGTGGGAATTCAGGAAAGTAAAAGGACTAGAGATATTTTTGTAGCAGACATTCATTTGAATTGGACTTTAAATGATGAGAAAAATTTTCACCATTGTAGAGGAAATGCAATGATTTTCAGAAAAAAACATTATGCGATCTCTCTAACAGATATTGTTGGTCTCCCTCATGGAGACCTACTAGGGCAGTGCAGATGGGAAACGTGGGGTTGGAGCACCCACACAGAGTCCCCTCTGTGATACTGCCTAGTGGAGTTGTGATAAGAGGGCCACTGTCCTCCAGACCCCAGAATGGTAGATCCACTGACGGCTTTCACCTTGCACCTGGAAAAGCCGTAGGCACTCAAAGCCAGCTCATGAAAGCAGCCTCAGGGGCTGTACCTTGCAGAGCCATGTAGGCAGAGCTGCCCAAGACCTTGGGAGCCCACCTCTTGCATCAGTGTGCCCTGGATGTGAGACATGGAGTCAAAGGAGTTTATTTTGGAACTTTAAGATTTAATGGCTGCCCCACTGGATTTCAGACTTGCATGGGGCCTGTAACCCCTTTATTTTGGCCAATTTCTCCCTTTTGCAATGGAAGTATTTATCCAAAGTCTATATCCGCATTGTATGTTGGAAACAACTAACTTGCTTTTGATTTTACAGGCTCATAGGCAGAAGGGACTTGTCTCAGATGAAACTTTGGACTTGGGCTTTTGAATTAATGCTGGAATGAGTTAAGACTTTGGGGGACTGTTGGGAAGGCATGGTTGTGATTTTAGATGTGAAAAGGACGTGAGATTTGGGAGGGGCCAGGGTGGAATGATATGGTTTGGCTCTGTGTGCTCACACAAATTTCATCTTGAATTGTCATCCTCACATGTCGGGGGAGGGGCCTGGTGGGAGGTGATTGAATCATGAGGGTAGACTTTTCCCTTGCCGTTCTCGTTATAGTGAGTGAGTTCTCACGAGATCTGGTTATTTGAAAGTGGGTGGCACTTCCTCCCTTGCTCTGTCTCTCTCCCCTTCTCCACCATGATAAGACATGCTTTCTTCCCCTTTGCCTTCTGCCATGGTTGTAAGTTTCCTACGGCCTCCTATTCTATCCATGCTTCCTGTGCAGCCTGTGGAACTGTGAGTCAATTAAACCTCTTTTCTTCATAAATTATCTAGTCTCAGGTAGTTCTTTAGAGCAGTGTGAAAATGGACTAATATAGCTGTTATTACAAAATAGTCAAAATATTTAAAAAATTAAAGTTTATTCAGTAAAAAATTTATAGTAAGCTAAGGTTAATTATTGATGAAAGAAAAATTTATAAAATAAACAGTGTAGTATACATGTGCAGTGTTTATAAAGTCTACAGTGATTTTTAGTAATGTCCTAGGCCTTCACATTCAGTCACCATTTACTCACTGACCCACTCAGAGCAACTTTTACTCCTGCAGGCTCCATTCACAATCAGTGCCTGATATACCATTTTTTTCTTTTATACAGTATTTTTACTATACCTTTAGTATGTCCAGATACACAAATACATTGCCTTATAATTGCCTATAGTATTCAGTACAGTCATATGCTGTACAGGTTCAAAGCCTAGGTCTTTGAATAGTCAAGGATTTTACCTTTAACTAACTACAATTCTTACTAATTTAGTAACTCAGTGAAGTGTGCAAAAATGTGTTATAAACTATAAAGCGATATACAATAACTAGTTTTGTAATTAGCTCTTGGCCTAAAACAGACATTACTTTGACTTTAGGCTTAGTTAGGAATCTGTATTAATCTGTTCTCACACTGCTGATAAAGACATACCTGAGACTGGGCAATTTACAAAAGAAAGAGGTTTAATGGACTTACAGTTCCAATTGGCCAGGGAGGCCTCACAATCATGGTGGAAGGTGAAAAGCACATCTCACATGGCAGCAGACAACCAAAATCTAGAAAATATGAATTCTAGGACACTGAAACACAGACAGTACAAACATGTGATCCATAATAGGAAAGAAACAAATGAGAGGAGACCTATAATTACCCTGATTTTATGCATGGAAGTACTTTCAGACCATGGTCCACATAAGGAAATCCAAGCAAAGTTGCTCTGGGGAGAAAAAGATTTGAGTTTGGGGAGTCTAAGACGGGCTGGAATTTGCAATAAAAACTGGCAGAAAGGAAAAACTATAGAGTTTCAGAATACTCTTTCTTTAAGTCTTTGGCTGAATACTAAGCTGTGCATGTATAGGGCGAGACTTTACAGAAAATTTAAATACCAGGGCAAAAAAATAACTATCACCGAAAGAACAATTACTGGGGAACTACAAACTGAACACCTGCTGGAACTCACAGGGACAGGAGTCATTTGAGTTTTAATCAACTAGAGTGCAGAATCTTTATTAAATACCCATGACATACAATAGAGGGTCTAAGAAGCCACTCTTCAAGGACTGGACTAAGATATCCATATTACAAAATGATAGTGTAGACCCTCACAAGGTTTACAAACAAGTCTCTAAAGAAGCAAGCTGATCAGCCACTAGAGTAACATCTTCCCAAAATAAATCTCAACCTTCTTTAAAAATTTCGACATTCAATCTTTGTAATGCTGGCATAACTAACACAAGTTTAATGGCTTGAAACAACACCCATTTATTATCTCACAGTTCTGTAGGTAAAAATTCCAGTACAGCATGATTCAGTTGACTCCTCTATTTAGAATCTCATAAGGCTGAAATCAAAGTGTTGGAAGATTGTTCAAATGAGCTTCTCAATCTATGCAGGCTGTTGGCTGAATTCTGTTCCTTGCAGTTTAAAGACTGTAGCTCCCATTTCCTTGCTGGCTACCAGCTGGAGACCAGTGTTTGCTCCTAGAGCAATGGTGGGTCAAGTCCCTCTCATGCTTCTAATCACTTTGACTTTCTCTTTGCTACATTTCTCTGAGCTTACTTGGAGAAAGATCTCTGGTTATAAGGGTTCATGTGATTAGATTGGGCTCAGCGCAATAATCCAGGAAAACCTATTTTAAAGTTTATAACCTTAATTATATCTACAAAGTCTCTTTTGCTATGTTACATACATATTCAAAATATCCAAGAATTAGCGTGTGGACATCTTTTTCTCTTTTTTTTTTTTTTTGAGACAGAGTCTTACTCTGTCACCCAGGCTGGAGTGAAGTGGCACAATCTCAGCTCACACAACATCCACCTCTAGGACTCAAGCCAGTCTCCCACCTCAGCCTTCTGAGTAGATGGGACTACAGGCATGCACCACCCTGCCTGGCTAATTTTTGTGGGGTTTTTTGGTAGAGATGGGGTTTCACGATGTTGCCCAGGCTGGTCTCGAACACCTAGACACAAACGATCAGCCCACCACAGCCTCCCAAAGTGCTAAGATTACAGGTATGAGCCCCCATGCCCCACTGATCCCCAGCGTTGGAGGTGAAGCTTGGTTGGGGAGTGGAGAGCAAGGGGTTGGAGCTTAGTTATGGATCCCTGATGAATGGCTTGGTGCCATTCTCTAGGGTGTGAATCAATTCCCACTCTTAATTCCCAGTGGAACTCGTTTTTAAATAAAATAAAATAAAAAATAAAAAATAAATAAAGAGAGAGCAAGCTTGGAATTTCCTCCCCTCTCTCTCTTGCTCACTCTCAGGCCACATGATCTCTGCACATACTGGCTCTCCTTTGCCTCCTATCATGAATGGAATCAGCCTGAGGCCATCACCAGAAACAGATGCTGGCACCATGCTTCTTGTACAGCCTCCAGAACCATGAGCCAAATAAACCTGTTTTCTATATAAATTATCCAGCCTTGGGTATTCCTTTATAGGAACACAAACTGACTAAGACGAGCAGTGAAAAGAAACCACTGTTACAAAATACCATCGTGAATCTCAAAAACATGCTGCATGACAATAGCCAATCACAAATGAACACACACTGCTTAATTCTATGTATATGAATTCCTATAACAGACAAAACTAAAACACTTCGTCATATAAATTAGATCCCATGTTGAAGGAGCTTGACCAGAAAGGAACAGAAAGAAATGTCGGGGCTGTGGAAATGTTCTGTATCCTCACTGGGGTGGTGGTTACTCAAGTGTATGTATTTGCCAAAACTCATCAAATAATGCTTTTAAAATGGAAGCATTTTATTTCTGTAAATTATTCCTTGATTTTTTTTAAAAAGCCAACAACAAGAGAGAAGAGTTTTAAGAATAGCAAGTAAACAATGTGAAATGCCATAGGAAGGAAGACAATTCTGAGAAGTGAAAATAACTTGTTTCAATTTTTAAATTTTAGTGATTTTAGAACACTTTTATTGAATCACTTTAAAAGAGTCCTTTTTAAAAGAATGCTTTTTATTGAAAAGATGGGTAGAATCCAACATGCAAGGTATCTTAGTCGTAGTTACCTAGAATGAGAAATTCGAAGAGAAAAAGCACAGGCTTTTCATTTCAATTAGTGCATCTCAAACTTCGATGAACATAGGAATCTCCTGGCGGTCTTGTTAAAGTGCAAGTATTGATTTAGGAAATCTCGAGTGGGGCCTGAGATTCTACATTTCTAACAGGAAACCAAGTAATGTCAATGTTGTTTGTTCATCTACTACAATTTAGGTGGCAAGGACACAGATCGCTCCTGCGAGGCACAAATGCCATAACTGGAGTGCTAATTTGGCCCAGAAGTTTCCAAGATCTAGACAGTCCATTCCTAACCATCAGTTCAAGAATGCCTACATGTAGATTGACAGGCTAGCCCTCTTTCTATGTGAGTGCAACCAGAACACATACATATGATGCTGTAGAAAATAACATTGATCTTAGGTCAGTAGCCTTCGGTTCAAGTCCCAGCCTTTTTCTAACCAACTGTGATAACCTGGGTCAATTACTCGTAGGCTGCAACATGAGAGAACAGTTCCTGTTTCTCCTCTGTAGGTTACTGTGAGGACTACAATGGAAAATGTAAGTGAAAGTACTGCAAGAACCATACCCTAAAAAAAACAGAATAGCTTAAACAAAAGTCAAGCAAAGAATTTGAGAACCAAGCAGGACCTAAAAATAAGAGGTGGGGCTTCGGGATTTTTCCCGTGGGCGTTGAGGGATGTACCATATTGGGGGCAGGGGCGCCCCACAACAAATAATGTATTTGAAAAGATTCTGTATTTGAAATTATGCCTCTATCATGACACCTGAATATGAACTTTTCCTTCGTTAGATACTTCAACTGGCACTTAACTATAAGTTCAGTGACAGTATTCTGCTTCTTTCTCCTGAAGTCAAAGTGCCACCCACGCACCTCTCCCGTTCTGCCATCCACCCGCGGCTTTCCTACCCCCGCCGCCTGCGGCCCCCGCCCCGGGGCAGTAGTTTGCACTAGGCTGAAGGGAGAGGTGGAACGGATTCGTCTATCTACGCACCTCGAGGAGGGGTGTGTGAGGAGCTACGTTCCAGAGAACGGTAAGAAACTCCGGCCAGGAAACACGGGATCACAGGAGAACTCGAGGCGAAGGTGCGGCGTCGGTGCAGGAGCGGAGGGGCGGACCCACAGCAGCCCGGCGAGCGCGCAGGTGTGCCCGCGGCCGCGCCACCCTCCCCGCAGCCTTTACGGGATGGAGCCGGCGGGAGAGGGCGGGGCCAGGCGCGCGGCGGCCGCCTCTGCTGCGGCCGGAAACAATAGTGGAGGAACCCGAGCCGCACGGAACGGCGGTGGTGGCCCGCGGAGCCGGACGGTAAAGACCCCGCAGCCCTGCTCCCATCCCACCTGAGCCCCGACCCCCAGTCCCATCGTTCCGCCTCCTTCGAGTTCCGAGCCCCGTGGCCCCTCGCGCTGCTGCGCGCCAGGCGCCCCGACGGACAGACCGACGGAAAGACGGACTTGGGTCCGCGACTCCCTGGGGGCGGCCGCGCGCCCCCAACGCCGAAGGCCGGGCCAGGACCCGGCTCCCCGAGACGCTGAGGCTGGGCGGACCGGCCGCCGTGGCCCTCGGACGCTTTCTTCCCTCTGGGAGGAATCCCGGAGCGATGGGACGAGGCTCTCCCGCCCGCCGGGCTCCAGGATGCCGCGGCTCTCCCAGCTCCGGCTTGGGCCCCTCCGGCGGTGCCCGGCCGGTACCGTGAAGCCGCCGCTCGGCCTTCGGTGTAGTTGCCCCGGACACGGCGGGACGCCCTCCCCGGGTATTCGGTACCCACGTGCATTTTGCTGCCGCCGATCTCCGTTCGATGCGAAGCTTCGCAACTCCGAGTTCGCGAGGCGCATCTGAGGTTCCCCCAATGAAGTTAGCAAAGCAGTGTCCCGTGCAGGTCGTTTTTCCTGTTTCTCACAGCGTTAACTAGGTTGACAGAACCTGGTAGCTGAAAAGGCCTCGCTGCTAAGCCCTCTGATTATTCGAGGTTGGGGGACGAAGGAGGAGGACTAGAATGCCGGCAAATCTCTTTCCTTCAGGTGCCACTAACCCAATCAACTATAGGACAAAAAAGACACGGACATAGTGTCACCTATGGCCTGGCTTTAAGTTTTACTAGCTTTGTGTCTTTCCACAGGAAAAGTGCAATGTTGGAGTGCAAGTATGGCGATGCTTGTTTGATGGAGCTTTTGCTTTAAATGAGCTGAACAGCATCCTTATTTCCTAGAAGTTCCCAGTAAAGGGAACTACCCCAAAGGCAGGTTCATGAAATTGTGTAACTTTCCTTTTCTGTTTCTTAATAGGGGCACTATGAACGAAGAGGAGCAGTTTGTAAACATTGATTTGAATGATGACAACATTTGCAGTGTTTGTAAACTGGGAACAGACAAAGAAACACTCTCCTTCTGCCACATTTGTTTTGAGCTAAATATTGAGGGTAAGGACACAGTATAGTTTTGATCTTATGGAATGAATTTAACACAGCTGCTTTGTACTGATTGTAAGGTAAAACTAAAATGTCTTCAATGATTGGAAATTGTGCTAAGTATGAATAGTGTAGAGATTTGTTAAAGATAAGGTTTCTGGAAATGAAGGTGCAGTTAACAGAGTTACGAATTTAAGAGAAATCTTTTTTTTTTAAAGACCCCTGCAACAACCCCATTTTTCCTAATACAGAAATAAGTATGAGTGTTGACTGGGAAACGTGTTTTCTGGTTTGAGAGCTTATTGAATTGTCAGATTTTAACAGACCTGTGTGTTTTTTATATTAAGAAGTAACATAACAATTTTTTTATTCTTTCGAGCCTATTATGCAAGTATTTGAGTGAGATGAGCCCGAACTCTTTTCTCACCAGTATGATCTTATTATCTGGAAAAATACTTTAAAATTTTTAGATTAACCTCTTTTCAGTGATCACACACACTGTTGGTAATTTTTAAAACCTGAAAAGGTTTTTAAAATTTTTTTAATAATGTCCCTAAGATATATGAAGAAAAATTCTCCAAATCCAAAAAGAAACCCCAAAAAAAAGCCCTATTGGAAGGATTTATTTGGGTTGGTGCAGTTAGTGTTGTCATATTACAATTGATTTTTGGTTTAGATATTTATGAGTCATACTAAAAAAAACCTTAATATTCCTGCAAAAAAAATTTGGCCTGTAATTTGAGTTTTGAGTTGTAACATATCAGTAGAGAGACTTTATTAAACCTCTAGATTTTGGACAGTTTCAAAATAGTTCTTTCCTTTTTTCTGTATTATATATTTGAAATTTTTCATGATCTTTATTTTCTGTTTACTAAGTATGGGGTATGAAATGTTCTTATTGTTTAAAAAAATATAGTGGGGGATTATATACCTTGAAATTCCTGTTAGGACTTGTTATTCAGAAATTATTATGGTCACCAAACAGTATGTGATGGAAGATTATGGATTTCTTGTGGATTACATAGAATATCTATAACTTCAGCTTTAATAAATGTAGTGATTATAGCTAATTTCAAAAGATGACATAACAGGAACAGTGGTGTGTTCCTACAATCTCAGCTACTCCAGAGGTTAAGGTGAGAGGATTGCTTGAGCCTAGGAGTTCAAGTCCAGTTTGGGCAACATAGCAAGACCCCATCTCTAAAAAATTAAATAAAAATAAAAGGATATCTTAAAAATAAGTTTCTTTTACAGTACTTAAATCATGCTGGGGTGAAAATCCAAATTTATGTTCTTTGGAAATAGAGTTGGCTTGTATATTGTTGATACATTGTAGAATTTTAATTTTAGATGAGTAAAGACATTAGAAATTATCTAGTCCAAACCCTGTATTTTACATTTAAGGAAACAGCCAAAAAGTTGGACTGCCCAGGGTTGCTGTAGTGGTGATGGCAAGCTGTTGTTATGTGCCAGGCACTGTGCTAAACCCCTTATGTGGATTATCTTATTTAACTCAAGATAGCTTTGGAATGACTACTGTCATTTTCTATTTTAAATGTGATAGAACTGAACCTTGGCGACCTAAGAAATACAGTTTGAAGTCACACAGCTCATAACTGTTGGTCCTGGACTTTAAAGCCTGGCAGTCTGGTTCTAGTATATGTGATCTTAATACCATTGATCTACTGTCAATAGTTATTTTATAGCAATAGGGCTGATGTTCTAATCCTAATTGGTTATCCTTGCTATTCTCTCAGCCAGCTTTTTCTAACCAGTGTTTGCTGGCAAATCATCATTAATGGAGTTCATGCCATGATCGAATTTTTCCACAGAACCCTAAATTTTCGTAATTGCTTTTCTAGCTTTTTAAAATAAGCCTTTTAACTGGTTCTCAGTCATTATATAGAGAATATACAAATATTACCTTAGGTACCATCTCTTAACATTTCAGCTCTGATAATATCTCAGCATGTAAGCATGGAATAAGTCCTTTGTTTTTGAAATCATAGTTCCCTTCAGTGTAAAAGACAATTCTCAATTTGAATTAGAACTATTTCGTTTAATATTCTATGTATATTCAAGGTTTTATATATTAAAATCCCAATTTAATCTTTGTAAGAAAAATTAGAGTCAAATAATTTCTTCTCTATCTGGTGTCATTTCTCAGCTCTCACAAATACGCATTTTCATTTTCACTACAGTGATCAGCTAGTGTATTACAACTTTTTTGTTTAAGATTTTTGTAGGCCGGCACAGTAGCTCATGCCTGTAATCCCAACATTTTGGGAGGCCAAGGCAGGCGGATCACCTGAGGTTGGGAGTTCGGTACCAGCCTGACCAACATGGAGAAACCCCGTCTCTACTAAAAATACAAAATTAACCAGGCATGGTGGCACATGCCTGTAATCTCAGCTACTCAGGAGGCTGAGGCAAGAGAATCGCTTGAACCCAGGAGGTGGAGGTTGCAGTGAGCTGAGATTGTGCCATCGCACTCCATCCTGGGCATCAAGAGCAAAACTCTGTCTCAAAAAAAAAAAAATTATTTTAGAAAAGAGGAGGGAAATGAGGATCTTGAATTGCACAAAATTTTAGTTTTTATATCAGTATACGGGTCTTTAGAAATCAGTGGGGGAAAAAAGTCATAATAATAATTACATACTAGAAAAATAACAAGGTATATTTGTTGTCGGTAAATCTTTTAAAATATTTTTGAAGTTTTCTTTCCTCTACCAAGTTCCCAACACAATGCCTGTCAATAGACTAGAATGTAAGAGGGGCTTTTTAAAAATGACATTTAACTTTACTAGTTTAGTGTAAATTTTTTGTAGTTTGGTAGTATTGCAGTTGCCTGATTTCTTAGCTTTATAATTGCTAGCTTTGGTCTAAAGCACTCTTCTCCGAGAAGAGGCTGAGTAAAAATAAATTCTCTTGAGGAATAATAACAGTTAAGCTAGTTTTGAGTCCATACATTTGTAGTAAACAATAATAATATTTTCTACTTTTTGGATTGTTGCTTACATCAAATCAACACTGGTTTCCTAATCAATTAGCCTCTTGTTTAAAAGCTGTGTGCATGCATACGTTTATAAAATGAAGACAAAGGAAGGAAGAAATAACAAAAGACAATCTAATCTTGTTGAACAGATTTTGTACTGTGGGCATGGCTCTAAGTTGGCTTTTTCTCTGACTTTACAATAATGAAAAAGAAAGAGGAGCCTACATTTTATGTACTTCCAAGCCACAGGTGATATGCTTTAAGGACCTGAGAAACACACTTTGAGGACTCAGATATTTTTTAATGTTCACAAGGTTGATTTTTTTTTAACCTATGCTTCACCATTTGATATGGTTTGGATCTGTGTCCCCACCTAAATCTCATGTTGAAATGTAATCCCCAGTGTTCTAGGCAGAGACTGGTATTAGGTGATCGGATCATGGAGGCGGAATTCACATGAATGGGTTAGCACCATCCCCTCAGTGCTGTTCTCATGATAGTCAGTGAGTGAGTTATCATGAGATCTGGTTGTTTAAAAGTGTGTAGCACCTCCCCCCCTCACTCTCTTCCTCCTACTCTAGTCAGTTGAGGTGCTGGCTCCCTCTTTGCCTTCTGCCCTGATTGTGAGTTCCCTGAGGCCTCCGCAGAGGCTGATGCTACCATGCTTCTTGTACAGCCTGCGGAATTGTGAGCCAGTTAAACCCCTTTTCTTTATAAATTACCCTGTCTCAGGTATTTCTTTATAGCAGTGCAAGAATGGACTAATTCACCATTAAAATAAATTGTCTGCTTCTCAGATTAGAAGACAGGTGCATAAACTTCCTAAATACTTACAGCCTTGACCCTAAGACACTATGAACTTTTTCATACATATTAGTGATCAAATACTCTAATATGCATCATAGTTCAAACTGCTAAAATCTCTAAAGATATTTAATGACCAACTCACTACCATTCCCTAAGGAATGGCAAAGAGGAAGGCAGCCCAGGGTGGTCAGGAGCTAGTAATGAAACTCAACTGTAAGGTAACAAAGCCCAAAGTGAGACCTAAGCAGGAAGAGATCCAGGGTTTCAATACTGTTGGTTCATACTATCAGTTTTCATCTTGTGCCAAAATAGTGTACAAATAATTCTTAGAGCATTTCTCTCTTCCTATAATTGGCTTGCTTTCTTTTCCATAGAGGAAAAAAAACCTTTTTTTTTTAAGCTAGCTTAGCTTTGTTTAGCTTTTTTTCCTTTCTTCATTTTATTAAAATAAGGGTTTCACTATGTTGCTTAGGCTGACCTTGAGCAATTCTCCCACCTCAGTCTCCCAGGAAGCTGAGATTACAGGTGTGTATCACCTTACACCTAGCTAAAACTTTTTTATAAGATTGGACCAATTCCTGTTACACAGGTTGAGCATTCAAAATCAAAAATCTAAAACTTTTTGAACACCTACATGATGCTCAAAGGAGATGCTCATTGGAGCATTTCAGATTTCAGATTTTTGTTATTTGGAATGCTCAACCAGTAAGTATAATACAAATATTCCAAAATCTGAAATTTGAAACAGTTCTGGTCTCAAGTATTTCAGATAAGAGACATTCAGTCTGTACCAAACAAAGTTTTCAGTGTAAGTTGACCTTGCTAGTTGATGAGTAAGTATGTATCTGGCTGCTCTCTGTGTAGAGCCTCTTGGATTACTTTCAGTTAGTTCTTTCTAGAACCATTCTAGAAGGAGACCCAAAGTCAGCTCCTTAGCAATCTTTCCAACAAGAAAAATCTGTAATCTTGGTTAAGTCGTAGATGAATTAGTGTCTATGTTTAATCTTACTGTTCCTTGATTCTCCGTGTCTTTACCATATACTGTTTGTGGTCAGTAGTCAGGGACCAATTTGAATCTCAATATGAAATTCTTGATTTGGTTTGGAAGTTAGAACTGGTTGTTTATTACTCGAAGGGAACATAAACTGTTCCTCTATGTCCTGCTTCTGACACTAACTTTTTTCCACTTAAGTAAGGGGCCCCACCACTTGTGATCAGGAAGCTGTAAAGAGCTAATTCAATCTGGCATTAGCCTCTTTCTCATTTCCCATCCTGTAATGGCAAACATCATGTATTAACTAAAAGTTGCACTTTGAAGTATAAAGCCTAATGGGAATTCTGAACTTTAGCTTGGTGATCTTTAATATACTTATCTTAGTCTATTTTGAGCTGCTATAACAGAATAGCTGAGACTGGGTAATTTATAAAGAACACAGATTTATTTCTTAGTTCTGGCGGTTGAGGGCCCTGCATTTGGGCAAGGGTCTTCATGCTGCATCATCCCATGGCAGAAGGCAGGAAGTCAAGAGAGAGCTAAACTCACTTTTATAACAAAAGTGGATTTTTTTTGTTTGTTTTTTTTTGTTTTTTTCCAAGATGGAGTCTCGCTCTGTCACCCAGGCTGGAGTACAGTGGTGCAGTCTCGGCTCACTGCAAGCTCCGCCTCCCAGGTTCACACCATTCTCCTGCTTCAGCCTCCTGAGTAGCTGGGACTACAGGCGCCCACCACCATGCCTGGCTAATTTTTTGTAGTTTTAGTAGAGACGGGGTTTCACCGTGTTAGCCAGGATGGTCTCGATCTCCTGAGCTCGTGATGCACCCACCTCGGCCTCCCGAAGTGCTGGGATTACAGGCGTGAGCCACCGCGCCCGGCCAACAGTGGTTTCTTACAAAAGTTATCTGAAGATAACTAACCCACTCCTACAATAATGACATTGCTTCATTCATTTGGTCAGAGCCCTCATTACCTAATCACCTATTAGACCCCACCTCCCAACACTGTTGCTTTAAGGATTGTTTCCAAAACATGAACTTTGAGGGACACATTCACACCATAGCAACTTGAAAATAAAAGCTCAAGGTTATTTTTTTTTCTTAACTTCCTTTTAATATCATTTAGTTTGAACACTTTAAAAATGGCTCTGGTAGTAATACTTTATTTGAACAGGAGTAGGGATGGGTGAGAGTGAAAGTAGGCTTAATTGGTGATAAGTTTAAATAATAGAATATTTTTAAAGAAAAATCATTGAAACTAGGCTAACAATATCTGGTAAAGACTTGTGATTTAACTAACAACCCATATATGAGGAGCTGGTTTCCAGACTTTTATACCTGTCCTATTGATGGTAGCCTCATTTTTTTTTCCTCCTGCCTAACTTTATTAGGGTGTCTAGGGTGCGTTTAAAATTTAGATCACACATAAATTTTGGTTGTGAGGATATTTCCTCTGCAACAGAGGAGTATATATATGTTCATAATGATGATCTTGAGTGCTTTTTAAGTCATTGATAAAAATGTGTTCTTTTAAATCAGTGATTTAAAGTTGAAAACAAGCAGAGTATATAACCCAGAATATCCTGTTAATAAGAATATCATAATTATAAATTAAAATGATTTATTAGAATACATAGAAATGACTTTCTGTTTCAGAGTCATAGTTCATTTATCCCAATAGTCTAACAGAGATGAAAAGAAATGTTTTATCAGCTATATGAAAACAGCTTAAATCTAGATTGAAAGTCTCTACTACTTGGATCAAAAATATTCTCAAAGATACAGTTTTTATGTTGAAATAACTTACAGTAACTGTTACTGGAAAACTGATAAAGAGACATCACCTCTCCAGAAACGATTATTTGCCTTTATGAAGTATAATAGACGCTAAAAGTGTAATTTTTCTTATTACATGCAAATAATAATGGCCTGTGAAGAAAGAAGACAAAGATAGATTTATCTCTACTTTAGAGGAAGTGAAGTGTCACCCTCTAGTTGGAAGAAACTAGTCCACCTTATGCTCAGTAAATATTTAGGGAATTTATACTTTTAGGTAAGTCTCTTATCTAAATAATAGTTGGATATTATTTACCAGGTATTGTACACTTTACATACAGTTTTTAATTTTATTCTTAATACAACTATATGAAGTAGGTTCTGTGTTATCCCAGTTTGATGAATAAGGAAAGTGAGTAGAGAGTCTGGGTAACTATTCCAAAAATCACAAAGGTTAGAGACCAAGGGTCTCTGATTCCAAAATGTCCAGGTGCCTAAATTTATGCTTCCAAAGAAAATGACATGGACTCTTAGGAATTTAGGAGCTATTAAGTAACTTTTAGGCAAGATTGGAAATGAATTACACAAATGTGAATATTCAAGCAAGGACTAAAGTTTAGGTCCTAAGACATGCTTAATTTTTAAATAATTTCTACTCACGATATTTAATGAATACACATTCTGTGGAATAGCCAAAAATACTCATTTCTGATGACCTAAGAGAGTGGGGTGATGCAATTTCCATATAGATTGTAATCTAAACAAACAATAATATGCCAACATAATATAGTTTTGAGAAATTTTTATTGGATTGGTGTTAATCAGAGAGATGGGAGGAGCTAGGAAGAAAAAGGACACACACAAGACAGTCTTGTTGCTGGTCCTTACCCAGAAGAACCATGCAGATGTCAGCTGGTAATGAAACAGTGATTCTAACACTGCTCTCTGTTCTTCCACCATCCAAGTAAGGCAGACTAGCATATTTATCCTAATTAGCCTTTCTTTCAAGAGAGAGAACAGGATTATGAGTGAGTGGAAGCAGACAGTGTGAGCACAGGTGAAGATGTCGGCACCAATCCTGAAATTGCATAGCAGCTCCCTTTTGCTTATCAGCCTCAATAGCTGATGCTGGGACAACCTGAGAGAAAAGAAAGTGTTCATTAATGTTGAACTTCCTAGTTTCTGAATTTTAGAAGATAAGGAGCATTAAACTAACTATGTCAATAGAACATTTTAGAAATATTTAGAACATATTTAGAAATACTGTTCCTCTGTTTACAGTTCAAAATTAAAACTTAAGAAAAATTTTTCCATGTTTATTACCGAATATAAATTAAAAACTATAATTATATTTGTATAGCACTTAGAGGTTGGAAGGTGATTTTGCTGTTACATTTAATCACTATATTATGGGAAATGAGCATTAAATGTGAATTTTAAATAAGGCAAGACATGAAAAATGTATGAGTGATTGAAATCAAAGTAGCTAAGTAAAGTTGCAGAGTTATCAAAATGTTAACCACAGTTCTGGTTGGAGTGAATTTACATTATTCTAATTCAATTTGTCATACCATCTGTTAGGAATTTGATAAGGAGAATAAACCCATTAAACTCTGAGCTTTGGATTTATCGTTTTAACAAGGGGACAGTGTCTGCTGTTTATAAATAATTTTCAATTAATGTATCTTATTTCTGGTAGCTCTTTGCTGTTACTGTCTGAGTTGTACAACAGTAAGGCAAAATAATGATTTGTGTGTACCCATAAATCTGAATCTCAAAATGAAAGCGCTGTGGTTGATTTCACCATAATTTTAAACATATTCCTTCAATAAATACTAACTGAGCAACTACTAAGTGTCAGAAATTCTCTAGTAGCTAGAGATAATGGAGTTAGCAAAAATAAACAAATCCCCAAAATCATGAGGCTTACATGAGAGGAGGAAAAAGACAATAGAATAAATAAATTATATAGCATATTGGAATGTAATAAAGGATTATTTGCCACTATGAAGTATAATAGACACTAAAAGCACCTTCCAGTTTCTGAAGTGCTATACAAATATACTTAATGACATTTTTAATATCTGTCCTAAACGTATACTGGTGGAATAATATCTACCATGAACTTAATGAATGATAATTGCTACTCTGTTTTGAAAATTAGAGCCCATACATTGAGGAAATCTGGTTGTGTTATTTGGGAGGAGTGTTTCAAGATTAACATGGAATACTCCTTCATTCATACTTCTATACTGCTATCTTCAAATATTAAAGAGGATCTTCAGTATCTTTAAGTATTTTAGACAGTAGAAAATACTTTAAAGTTTTTATATTACTGTTTACTTTGAGAACATTTCTTTTACTTAATATCCTTCATAATTTTGACCATGTTAATTTGGCTGAACAAATTATTTTCCATTTATCCTGATAAATCAACATTTTCATTATTGTGTTAGTTCTCACACTGCTATAAAGAACTACCTGAGACTGGGTAATTTATGAAGAAAGAGGTTTAATCTTCTCACAGCTCTGCAGGCTGTACAGGAAGCGTGGCTGGGGAGGCCGCAGAAAACTTAACAATTATACCAGAAGGTGAAGGAATGTCTTAATGGCCAAAGAAGGAGGAAGAGAGAGAGAAGAAGAAGGTGCTACATACTTTTAAACAACCATATCTTGTGAGAAGTCACTATCATGAGAACTGCAAGGGAGATGTCTGCCCCCGTGATCTAATCACCTCCCACCAAGCCCCTCCTCCAATATTAGGGATTACAATTTAACCTGAGATTTGGGTGGAGACACAAATCCAAACCATATCATTCTGTCCCTGGCCCCTCCCAAATCTCATGTCCTCCTCACATTGCAAAATACAATCACCCTTATGAACAGTCCCTCATAGACTTAATTCATTTTAGCATTAACTCAAAAGTCCACAGTCCAAAGTCTCATCTGAGAGACAGCAAGTCCTTTCTGTCTATAAGCCTCTAAAAAACAAGTTAGTTACTTCCAAGATACAGTGAGGTTACATCACAAACTGGGGTTATGTGCCTGCAGCTTTTCCAGGTGCACAGTGAAAGCTGTCAGTGAATCTAGCCTAGCATTCTGGAGTCTGGAGGACGGTGACCCTCTTCCCACAGCTCCACTAGGCAGTGCCACAATGGGGACTCTTTGTGGGGGCTCCAACCCCACATTTCCCATCTGCACTGCCTTAGTAGATGGTCTCCATGAGGGCTCCACCCCTGCAGCAGACTTCTGCCTGGACATCCAGGCATTTCCATACATCCTCTGAAATCTAGGTAGAGGCTCCCAAGCCTCAACTCTTGCCCTCTGCACACCTGCAGGGTTAACACCACGTGGAAGCCCCCAAGGCTTACAGCTTGCACTCTCTGGAGCAGAGGCCTGAGACATATCCTGGGCCCTTTTAGCCATGGCTGGAGCTGAAGTGGCTGGGACATGAGCAGTGTCTCAAGGTTGCGCAGGGCAGCAGGGCCCTGGGCCCAGGCCATGAAACCATTCTTTCCTCCTAGGCCTCTGGGCCTGTGATGGGAAGGGCTGCAACAAAGGTCTCTGAAATGCCTTCAAGGCATTTTCCCCATTGTTTTGGCTATTTAGCTCCTCTTTACTGCAGCTGGCTTGAATTCCTCCCCAGAAAATGAGCTTTTCTTTTCTACCACACGGTCAGGCTGCAAATTTTCTGAAGTCTTATACCCTTTTAAATATAAGTTCCAGTTTCAGATCATCTCTTTGTTCACATATATGACCATACTCTGTTGGAAGCAGCCAGGCCACATCTTGAACACTTTACTGCTTAGAAATTTCTTCCACCAGATAGCCTAAATCATCACTCTCAAGTTCAAAGGTCCACAGATCCCTTGACCGGGGTATAATGCCACCAGTCTCTTTGGTAAAGCATAGCAAGAGTGACCTTTACCCCAGTTCCCAATAAATTTATCATCTCCATCTGAGACTACCTACTACTGGACTTCATTGTCCATATCACTGTCAGCATTTTAGGCACAACAATTTAACAAGTGTCTAGGAAGTTCCGAAGTTTCCCTTATCATCCTATCTTCTTCTGAGCCCTCCAAACTGTTCCAACCTCTGCGCATTATCCTGTTACAAAGTCGCTTCCACATTTTCAGGTATCTTTATAGCAATGCCCCATTCCCAGTACTGATTTTCTGTATTGGTTCTTGCATTGCTATAAAGAACTACCTGAGATTGGGTCACAGTTCCACAGGCTGTATAGGAAGCATAGCTGGGGAGGCCTCAGAAAACTTACAATCATGACAGAAGGTGAAGGGGGAGCAGGCACATCTTACATGGTGAGAGAAGGGGGAGGTGTTACACACTTTTAAACAACCAGATTTTGTGAGATTCACTATCATGAGAACAGCAAGGGGGGAAGTTTGCTCCCATGATCCAGTTACCTCCTACCAGCGCCCTCCTCCAACATTGCGTATTACAATTTGACATGATACTTGGGTGGGAACACAAATCGAAACCATATCAATTTTATTTCTACTACACAGTAGAATAAATACAGTATAGATAAAATATAATTCCTACATATTAGAAAGTTCTCCAGAAAAGTCAGTTTTAGATTACCAGGTTATTTATTAACAAAGTGTATTGGATAAATATCAGTCATAGATATTCTGGGAGATCTCAATTCTCAGTTGAGAGTGAATATAGACCAGCTTAATTTCTTTCACACTTCTTACAGCCTCTGTCTTTTCTACCTCCCACTCTTCTTTTTTTTTTGGATGGAGTGCCCAGGCTTTGTTGCCTGGGCTGGAGTGCAGTGTCGCTTTGTTGCCCAGGCTGGAGTGCAGTGACAGGATCTTGACTCACTGCAACCTCTGCCTCCCAGGTTCAAGTGATTCTTCTGCCTCAGCCTCCCGAGTAGCTGGGATTACAGGTACCTGCCACCATGCCCAGCTAATTTTTGTATTTTTAGTAGAGATGAGATTTCACCATGTTGGCCAGGCTGAACTCAAACTCCTGACCTCAGGGTGATCCACCTGCCTTGGCCTCCCAAAGTGTTGGGATTACAGGCATGAGCCACTGTGCCCAGCCTCCCCCTCTTAATTCATCTATTTACCCTCTCCTCCATTTTTTTTTTACTAACTCATCAGCTTGGCAACCTACAGTTATTTTCTATGTAACCTGGCAGATTGGCCAAAAGAATGATTAGCATATCAGAAATGTTCATGTCTCCCATTTTAAAAGAAAAAGTCAAGGAAAAAAACTTTTCCCTTTTTTCCTTAAGCCATAGTTCTTTAAAGAGCAGTTCATTTAGGGTCTCTTATTTCTCCTCCCAACTATTCTTCGTGCCCTCTAATTTGCCACCCTCTTTTGCTCTCACCAGCGATCACCTAGCTATCTAGGCAGTAAGCAGGTTCGTGTTATGGTAATTTTCAAAGTCTGATGTCTTGTTTGTAAGAACATAGATCACTTTCTCAGAACTTAAGTGGAGCAGGCGGCAGTTGAGGAGATGAAAGGCAGAGAGACAGAGTTATCACATTTCTTGCTTTCAAACCTTAAATTTGCTTTGTCATAATAGTGTGCCCTCATTCATCTGGTTATTATTATGAAGGCATTTTTAAGGCTATCTTTTGTTTAAGTAACATCTTTTTACCCTTGTCTATCATAGGAAACTTTGTTGTGTTTTTGTTTTGCTGTAAGTTGGTGTCTCCATATGCCCCATGTAAGTGGATATTTAAAACTAGTAATTCAATTACAGTTAATTTGAATAGCTTTTTAGATGTCTTATGACAATTTTATGCAGAAAAATTTTTTTAGAATAAATGTCAGTACATTCACTTAAATCCTTTAGGGGAATATGGAACAAGTAGAGGGTTACTTGGGTCCATTGGATTATTGGCTTAAAATTTTTTGTAACATAATGTTAATTAAACCTTATAGTCCAAATTTGATTTACTTTACCAGAAAAACAAATTTACCTTTCTATATCGTACTGTTGTGAGTGTAATATCCCATATTAATATATCAGTACGCTAGCTGGGTGTGGTGGCTCACGCCTGTAATCCCAGCACTTTGGGAGGCCGAGGTGAGTGGGTCACCTGATATCAGGAGTTTGAGACCAGCCTGGCCAACATGGTGAAACCCTGTCTTTACTAAAAATACAAAAACTACCCAGGTGTGGTGGTAGGCGCCTGTAATCCTGGCTACCCGGGAGGCTGAGGCAGGAGAATCGCTTGAACCTGGGAGGCAGAGGTTGCAGTGAGCCAAGATTGCACCATTGTACTCCAGCCTGGGTGACAAAAGCAAAACTCCATCTAAAATCAATCAATCAGTCAGTCATTACGGTTTTAAAAGAAATGGTGATAGCTTCTATCCATGTTCTCTTTCCAAGTACCCTTTTGCTTAGTTACCTATGGACAAGCTGCCTTGTCCAATTCAGTAGCCTAGCCACATTGAATTCATTTAAATTAAAATTAAAACTTTAGTTCTTCAGTCAGACTAGCTACATTTCAGATGCTAAATAGCCATTTGTGGCTACTGGCTACCTTATTGCATAGCTCAGTTATACATACAACTTGTCCATCATCACAGAAAGTTCTGTTGGGCGTTGCTGTTAAAAAACAGGTAGCTACATTAAGGAGTAGAATTGAGTTTGGATTAGTTTTGTGCCTTTTTAGTAATAAACAGTTGTTATGTAGGTGTGTTTCCCCAACTTTCCAACTGTTAGAATGAAAAAGTAGAATTCACTGAGAGAGGTTTTATTTTTGACAAGTCATTTGCAATGTATACATCTATCAGTAAAAGATCTCAGTTCTGCTCTGGCCTCCTAGGTTGAGGGTGAGGTTTATCATTGTCTCTCTGAACTCTTAGCTCATTGAAATTTTCCTTTACAATTCATTTATTAGATTAAGCTGCTTTGATTAACTGTTTTAATCCTTAGCACACACAGGAACTTTAAAATGGCATGCACATCTCTAAGCTGAAATCTGCCATCTAAAGGCCACCTGTTGATAAATCTTTCTTTAGGGCAGTAATTCTCAAAATGTGCGGAAGCAAGTTTCTGAACCCATCTGTATGTTGGCTTCATGTGGTTGCCAATATTCTATCTGCTACCAAGGCAGAGATAAGCAGTTACCTTTTACTTTTAAACGGTATGTTGGGTACTTGAATATGGCAGACTATTTAGTCATTTAAGTGGCTCCTGATTTAGCTAAAGGCATGAGGGTGAGGAAATGAGGTACTCTTTATCACAGTACTTTCTAAGACACCTAGGACAACTGATAAAAATTTTAAGAGGCAGAAGCCTGTCCTTTTGTGGGAAGTAGATACTCCAACTATTCATCCTTGCCTTCCCACTTTTAGTCTAATCTTCTGCCTTGGTCACATGACAGGATAGACAAACTGAGCATCCTCCCACTCAGTGGCAGTGCTTGGCAATAGATAATAATGGTAATAACTTCCTGAATTATGGCTTGGCTACTGCTTGCTCATCAAATGCATGGTAGTCTAGTCGAATTGAGCACAAAATCATCACTGGGGCAAGTAGTATTTACACTGCAGCAATCCAGCCTAGTCTCAGTACAGTACAGGTGACCGGACATGGATTTGGAGCCTGCAGGGTCACAGGTACAAGTGCTTTCATTAAGGAAATAATAAGAACTATTTGGAATTGAAGAGCACATACCCAGTTCAGCAGCCAGTTCCTGTCAGATCCTCTCATTTTGTTTTTAATTTTTCTCTTTAAAATATTTGTGGGCTAAACAAAACTTACCTGTAGTGTGGATCCAGCTTTCAGTCCGTGGGAGTGCCACTTCTACCCACAGGGCTTTTCCTTTATTCCTTTTATCAGGAATGGTTGTCTGCGCCTCAGAAACAAGTAACATTTTCATCCATTGTCTTTCCTAATAACATGGAATTTGGCTACCCTCCCATTTTTACAGTGAACACTTGCTTGAAGCACAAGATTACTGTTTCTTAATATGGACAACACATACATATTCAAGTACCTGTACCCCGTTTCTTAGCATCCAAGATAAGATCATCACAAAAAGAAAAACACCTTTACTCTTGGAAAATTACTTAGGCTGTGCCAAATGTGAGCCTCCATAAAAAACTTTTTTTTCTTTTTTTTAAGACACAGGGTCTCACTCTGTTGCCCAGGCTAGATAGAGTGTAGAGGCGCAGTCGTGGCTCATCGCAGCCTGTGCCTCTCTGGCCCAAGCGATCCTCCCACCTAAGTAGCTGGGACTACAGGTGCATGCACCATGCTGGGCTAATTTTTGTATTTTTTCTAGAGACCAGGTTTCACAATGTTGCCCAGACGACTCTCAAATTCCTGGGGTCAGGCAGTCCACCTGGCTTGGCCTCCCAAAGTGCTGGGATTATAGGCATGAGCCACCACACCTGGCCAAAAAATATTTTGAAGCAATACTGCATGTATTGTTGCACAAATACATTTATCATGTTTTAAGGCAGTGTGCTTAAAATTTTTTCACAGCATGTTAACAACTGGACACTTAATTTTTTTGCCTTATTTAAACATCAAGAAAGAACACATAAGCCCACCATTTAGCAAACCCATACTCCCAGTTCCCTAATTCTGCTCTAAGTTTGAGGTAAAGGTTGGAGTGCTTGCTTTCTTAGTGCTTTCCAATCTCCTACTGATGTGATAATGCATATTACAACTTCACATCCACTGATGGTTGTATTATATTTGCTCTCCCTGTGGAGCACCAAGTTATGTAAAGCCAGTCCTTTGGTTGGGAAATGGAATATGTAATCCAATTCAACATATAGTCTAATTGACCACAAAAAGTGTGAGGGAGTCAGATGACATGATTCAAGAATGTGTGAAGTATAAAGGCATTCAGCATCAGCATAGACAGCTGAGAGACAGTGCTATTTGACAGGACCAGCTGGTGAATCATCAGGAAAAGATTGCCTAGCTTACTTATTACTACCAAGTTATAAATCAAGTCTTCCTCAAGAGGCTAGGGGTAAAAGCAGAGGATCATGGGACATGTGGTAGAACTTTAAGCATTTTGATATTCGTGGGGTTTTTTAGTGCCATTTGGAGTATTATTTTTGTTACGAAAAAAAATTGTTCCTACAATTGGTGAATTAAACACAATCTAATCATTCTTTTAAAAGGGTAACAGTGGGCCAGGCACAGTGGCTCACGCCACTGTGATCCCAGGATTACACGCCACATGTAATCCCAGCACTTTGCTAGGCTGAGGCAGGTGGGTCACCTGAGGTGGGGAGTTTGAGACCAGCCTGGCTGACATGGTGAAACTCCATCTCTACTAAAAACACAAAAATTAACCACGTGTGGTGGTGCGTGCCTATAGTCCCAGCTACTTGGGGGGCTGGGGTATGATGATAGCTTGAACCCAGGAGGCAGAGGTTGCAGTGAGCTGAGATTGTACCACTGCACTTCAGCCCGGGCAACAAGGCGAGACTCCGTCTCAAAAAAATAAGAGTAATGATGGCAACTAGAGCTAAACATCTAAACATTTGAGTAGTCTTTGCACTTTTAGGATGGATTTAACCAAGTTTTCTTAAAGCAATTTATTTTAAAGAGGAACTTAAAGGATAGAGATGGGGATAGCATGCCAGATGGGTTAGAGGGAGGGTTTCAAAGTACAGAATAATAGTATAAAAACTCAGATAAAATGGGAAAAGATAAAAGAAAAATAAAATTATTGAATAGGAACAGCTTTTTAAAATACTACTATTCATACAGAAATACAGCCTATATACATTTCTAAATAGCCTCTAGTGAGAAGAAACCCTTTTTTTTTTTTAATACTTTAAGTTCTGGGATATACATGCAGAACATGCAGGTTTGTTACATAGGTATACACATGCCGTGGTGGTTTGCTGCACCTATCAACCCGTCACCTACATTAGGTATTTCTCCTAATGTTATCCCTCCCCTAGCCCCCCACCCCCAACAGGCCCCAGTTTGTGATGTTTCTAGCCCCCTACTTCCTGACAGGCCCCAGTGTGTTATGTTCCTTTCCATGTGTCCATGTGTTCTCATTGTTCAACTCCCACTTATGAATAAGAACATACGGGCCGGGCACGGTGGCTCAAGCCTGTAATCCCAGCACTTTAGGAGGCCGAGGCGGGCGGATCACAAGGTCAGGAGATCGAGACCATCCTGGCTAACACGGTGAAACCCCGTCTCTACTAAAAATACAAAAACTTAGCCAGGCGTGGTGGCGGGCACCTGTAGTCCCAGCTACTCGGGAGGCTGAGGCAGGAGAATGACATGAACCTGGGAGGCGGAGCTTGCAGTAAGCCGAGATCGCACCACTGCACTCCAGCCTGGGTGACAGAGCGAGACTCCGTCTAAAAAAAAAAAAAAACATACGGTGTTTGGTTTTCTGTTCCTGTGTTAGACATGAACTCATCCTTTTTTATGGCTGCATAATATTCCATGGTGTATATGTGCCACATTTTCTTTATCCAATCTATCTTTCATGGGCATTTGTGTTGGTTCCATGTCTTTGCTATTGTGACTAGTGCTGCAGTAAACATACATATGCATGTGTCTTTATAGTAGAATGATTTTTAATCCTTTGGGTATATACCCAGTAATGAGATTGCTGGGTCAAATGGTATTTCTGGTTCTAGATCCTTGAGGAGTCACAACACTGTCTTCCACAATGGTTAAACTAATTTACAATCCCACCAACAGTGTAAAAGCATTCCTATTTCTCCACATCCTCTCCAGCATCTGTTAAGAAACCCATACTTTAAAAAAAAATAAGATTAAGACTTTTGGTTGCCAATTAAGGTCTTGGTTCTCTAATAATGACTTTATGATTTAAAAAAAAGTGACATGGATATCTTTGAAGTATCTTAAAGATGTTTTTATAATAGGAAGTCAATTACGTTGGCCTTCAAAACTTGTATTAGCAAGCAAGTTGTAGTACAATCTTGGTTGGACTGGTTTGGAAATTATTATAACTCAGCTCCTCAAAAGTATCACCTGATTGTGTTGCATTTAGATTTATTCCCTTTCAAAAGCTGCTTAGGAAACAAATTAGTGCTCAGAGCTGTTTACGCTTGTAAATGCATTTAAAATTGATAAGTCAGTTGGGAAACTCACTGGGATCTCTTGAAATAGCAATGGTTGTTTCTGCTATAATAATTTGAACTGATGAGGTAGAAACAACAAATCACTTCAAGAATTTATAAAATGATATGTGTATTACTGATGCAAATTAAGTGAGCTACTCACATTATTTTCTAGATTAAAAAGTAATTTTTTTCAAGTATATGAAGTAGTCAGTGTTTTATAGAAGTTTTTGTTTCCTATGCTACTGCTGCACAGGATATTTTTAAATATGTTTATAAAACAAATGTTTCTAATTGAACTTTAAAACTCAGTCAGGTTTTTAAATTTTAGTACGACTGATGTAACTAAAGAAATTAGAGGTATATATCTAGATGAATGAGCTACAGTTAACATAAAACCATCTTCTTGTATATTTTCTGTATGTAAATTTCTATTTAAAAATATATATTTGAGTAGAAATTCATTATTTTCTTTGACAGATTGAATGATGCCACAGGAATGCCATTTCTGTATCAGTGCCACTGATATGTTCTTTAGACTAATAGCCCATTAGACTAAATATAGGAGTAACTTCACTGAAAGACACCTTTAATTACCCGCTGAGTAGCCTGGCAGAACTGCAAATTCTAGTTCCCTTGCTAGGAGGGACCTTGCAAGGGACCTTGAGTGATAATTGATTTGTTTTTGGTGTTTTAAAATATATTTTTAATTTTCTTTTATGCATTTAACTACTTTTGAGTACCCACTATGTGCCCGGCATTTTGACACTGAGAATATATGAGTAAGATAGACATGGTCCATATTTTTCACAGAACCTACATTTTGTCAGGAGATACAGGCCGCGAAAGAGGCAATTGTAAAATCTAGTGTGATAAACTAACCCAGACATTTGGGTTAGACAAGGCTTCTTAGGGGAAATGAGAACTAGACAGGAGGTGATGATGATCATGACCCACATTTGTAGTGGGAGTGGTGCTTGAGTGAAGCAGAAGGATTTCAGATGTTGTAGGTGCTAGATTTTATGGGGGAGAAATCTGTTAAGACGGTCAGCAAAACCTCTGGGATTGCGGGGAGTGAAGAGCTTTCAAGGAGGACACCCAGGTTTCTTCCTTGAGCAGTTAGTTGGTGATGCCAGATTCAGTAAGGGGATCAGTTTTGGAGTTGTGTGGTGAGAGAGATAAAGGAGTTAAGTGTTCAGTAAGGTGAGTTCGAGGAGCCAATAGGTACATCTAAGTGGAAATTATATTATATGAATCATTAAGAAGAAACAGTAGATAAACATTACAAGTCCTCATTATTCTTCAAATAGATATCTATTATATTGACCTATTGTTGAAGCTCTAGAGTACATCAGAAAATTAGTTATTTAATGTACTTTTTTATCGGAGTTTCTGTATAAATACTAAAAAACCCACAAAATATAACAATAAATATTAATTACTTTCCATAGCCTAGTTCACAACCTTTTTTATATGCTAAAGAATTTCATTGCTACATAGAGCTGAGGCAGTGCACTGAGAATGAGACCATTTACGGTTTTGAGGGATTAGCTAACCATCTGTTGGCAACAAGACCTAAAAGAGTTTGCAGAGGGTAGGGGAGCTCTTTAATAAATGTTTCAGTTAGTAATAGGCAAGCTTCAGGTTCTCTCTGCATACCAGTGTTTCCCAGAAAACTAAGCATTGGAATCAGATAGCAGAATGGAACCATTTTTCCTTTGGTGTATAACTTGTGATAACTACTGTTTTGTCTTATTATCTAAAATGCGTAATAATAAAACTTAATAAAGCAGAGCTCGTGAGCTTCCTTTTTATGTCAGTTTCCCATTTTTAAAGATGTATACTCTATTATCAAATAAAGCTTTGAGATTTATAATTCACATATTCTAATGTTGCTGGAAATTTGACCTAATCAGATAATAACTGGTAGAAATGTATACGTGCTCACAATTGCAGTACAAGGAGCAAAGTGATAAATAAGATGTATATTAAATTCTGTTTAAGTTTCCAGCAATTTTTGTACTCATTGGAAAAAACAAGGCTCAGATATTTGAGTTTACCTCATGAGAGCAGTTGTTTACATGTGCTTACAATATTAATGTTTTAGAGGTGTGTTCACATAGCTTACAGTAACTGTTGAGGGAACTGATAACCAATTTAACACTTGGTTTTGACAGTCTCATCAAGTCCCACCATTGGCTGATACTATATATATTTTTAAAAACATTAATATTCACAAGTATGCTAATACTTTATTTCATACCATTAAAGTACAAATGCTTCATTATCTTTCTTTTAGCCAGACTTTGGAGTTCAAATAAAATAACTATGAGTTCAATTTTTAAAGGAAAGGAGGAATTACAAAATGTATTTTTTTCTGATGAATCAGCTAAAACTTTTTTTTAAACTAGCTCCTGAGTGGCTCTCCGCTTACTCCATTTGAAAAGCTAAGCAGATTTAAACTGGTTAATTCTGGCAGACATAAATTTTCAGGTCCACATTCCTAATTCACCTTCAGCATAAAAGTAGCGCTGTTTAACTTTAATAACATGGCTTGAACTTATAAAAATGTGTGAATATATTCTGTATTTTGAAATGTATTAGATATTTGAAAATGTTTTATATTTTTATAATTTTTATATTTTTAAAAAACAATTGAGGTAGCATACTTATACTCTACTAAGTTGAGAGATATAAAAGTAATATTTCTGTTATTTATGGTATATAATGAACATTTGTGAGTTGAGGAATTACTGGCTGTTGGATCTTGGCAGATTGAATTTACTGCTGTATGGAAAATGATTGAGTATAATGCATTTCTTCTAGAAAATAAAATTATCTTGATAAGGTTTTAGTAACTATAAAATGGAAATGTGAAAAATGTTAGATGCTTTGATTTTCTTTAAAAATAAATCTAAATAGTTTATTGAATTTTTGACTTTTATTTGCATTTTTCTGGTTCTGGTTTTTTTTTTTTCAATAAACATAATTTAAGAACATGATTTACTGTGTTTTAGGGAGGAAAACTTGTTCAGTATTTCTGTTATTGAACCTCATAATATTATAGATATTTTTGCAAGTGTGTACTTCAGAAGGTTTCATGAAGAAAGCACTATAATGTAAAGGCCAAGAATCTGTAAAGGTAAATTGCTGGGTTCAGTAGTATTTTTTTATATCGTGCAGTAACATCTCTAGACTAGGATTAAAATTGAATAATTAAGTTCTTAGAAAGATTTTGCTATCCATAAGAATTTAATATTACTGAATATTGAAGCAGAAATTATTAGGCCACATTGTATATTAATACTAATATTCTTTAGCATTTTTCCTCTAATTCACAGACTATCAGGGACTCTGATTTTACTAAGATTTGTATGTTCTTAAAGTGACTTATAGAAAACAAAATTTCTCAAGTCTTTTGTTTCTCTTTTTTTTCCATAGGGGTACCAAAGTCTGATCTCTTGCACACCAAATCATTAAGGGGCCATAAAGACTGCTTTGAAAAATACCATTTAATTGCAAACCAGGGTTGTCCTCGATCTAAGCTTTCAAAAAGTACTTATGAAGAAGTTAAAACCATTTTGAGTAAGAAGATAAACTGGATTGTGCAGTATGCACAAAATAAGGATCTGGATTCAGATTCTGAATGTTCTAAAAACCCCCAGCATCATCTGTTTAATTTCAGGCATAAGCCAGAAGAAAAATTACTCCCACAGTTTGACTCCCAAGTACCAAAATATTCTGCAAAATGGATAGATGGAAGTGCAGGTGGCATCTCTAACTGTACACAAAGAATTTTGGAGCAGAGGGAAAATACAGACTTTGGACTTTCTATGTTACAAGATTCAGGTGCCACTTTATGTCGTAACAGTGTATTGTGGCCTCATAGTCACAACCAGGCACAGAAAAAAGAAGAGACAATCTCTAGTCCAGAGGCTAATGTCCAGACCCAGCATCCACATTACAGCAGAGAGGAATGTAAGTAAAATGGGGAGAAAAGTAAAAGTTGGGTGGTTTGGGATTTTTGTACATTTGTATAGATGTGTAATGGGTCAAGAATTTTGCTGTGGAATCATAGATTTGGGAAACATTGTATTTAACAGGTTCACCTTAGCAAAAATGAGACATCTTAAAATTTTTCATTCACTGGGATTCTGTCTTCTAAGCATTGAAGTTAAGCAATTTCCATGTTTGTTTTGCCATTTAAAATGATTACACTAAATGGAATCAACAAACTGTGAATTGGAACATCTAGGACTCGTATAGTTTAGAAGTACAGCTTCATCTGTTGGCTAATACACATTGTCATGTTGCTGATCCCTGTAAGACTAATTGACTGGTGGTGGCATTTCAGAAGCAAAAATGTGACATTTTACTAAAGGCCAAAGGTAATGTGTGCACTTATTGTAAAGTTAGAAAGGGTGACTCATTCTCTCTACATCTATTTCTACAAAAATTTACAGAAGCTGAGGTGATTTTAATTGTCTTGAAATCATGTTTTCAGAGCCAGAAGGGACCTCTGCTATCTTGTTATACAACTTCTTGATTCTAAATGTGAATTATTTAAGATTCTACATCTAGACAGACAAATTTATTTTTCAAACTGCAGGTTATAAACTATCTAATGCTTAATCAAAATAAGCTTAATGGGTAGTGACTAACACTTTTTAAAAACTGAAACCGAATAGGAGATACCAGAATTCATTGGACCTACTACTATTTTTTGGTGAAACTTTTATTTCATTGGAGGGTGGTGATGTACTGGGAGTGATAAAAAATATGTTTCTGGCCAGGCACAGTGGCTCACACCTATAATCCCAGCACTTTGGGAGGCCAAGGTGGGAGGATCACTGGAGCCCAGGAGTTCAAGACCAGCCTAGACAACACAGGGAGACCCCATCTCTACAAAAAATAAAAAAATTAGGTGTGGTGGCACACGCCTATGATTCCAGCTCCTAGGGAGGCTGAGGTGGGAGGAATCACTTGAGCCCAGGAGGTTGAGGCAACAGTGAGCCATTGATCGCACCACTGCACTGCCACCTGGGTGACAAAGTGAGACCCTGTCTCAAAAAAGAATAAAAATAAAATTTTCTTACCATGGGTTGTGGTCAGGGTTTGAAAACTTCTACTCCACACTTACGAGCGTTAATGGTTGAATACTGGAGTACTGCTGAATGTTGTGTTGGCAGTTAAGTGCTGATTTTTAAAAATAGGATATTGTGTTGGTGATGTAAGCAGCATGTTTTCCTAGGTTGTTGTGGTAATAGTGAATACATTTTCATGTTTCAGTGAATTCGATGACTCTTGGTGAGGTAGAGCAACTGAATGCAAAGCTCCTACAGCAAATCCAGGGTAAGAATCACTGTCAGTACTTTTTTGTGTGTGACAAATTTTGACATAGAAAATCATCTATGATAGGACACCACTGGCTTTATCTACATTTAAATTTGGAAATGAGATATTCAAACCTGTTAGAGTTTCCAGAGCAAAAAGAATAAGAAAGAAACAACTTTCAACTGCAGAGGAAATACATTTTTCCTTTTTTTTTTTTTTTTGCGACAGAATCTTGCTTCATCACCCTAGCTGCAGTGCAGTGGTGATCCTCCCGAGTAGCTGGGACTTACTGTCATTACACCCAGCTAATTTTCTATTTTTTATAGGGAGGGGGTTTCATCATGTTGCCCAGGCTGATCTCGAGCTCCTGGGCTCAAACAGTCCTCCTGCCTCAGCCTCCCAAAGAGCTGGCATTACAGGTGTGAGCCACTGCGCCCAGCCACATTTTTCTTTTCTAAGTGAAAATGGAAACTACCACCTCTTACTAACATTTTATTGACTACCCACTATTGCACCAGGCACTATGTGGGAGTCCTCCCAAACAGTTCTTTAAGGCATGTGATATTAGTCTTTTTTGTTAAATTATAAACAATTTCAAACATATATAAAAGTAGTGAGACTAGTATAGTGAACCCTTTAAGCCATTTTCACCAGCTTCAACTGTTAGCAAAGGCATAATAATCAGTATCTCTACTTGCATCCATTCCCATTGCACTACCAGTAGCATGGATTATTTTCAAACAAATCCTAGCTAACACACTGTTTTTTGTCCATAAATAGTTTAGGATTTCCTCTAAAAGAGATAACTTTTTAAAAAACAGTCACAGTCTCATTATCACACCATTTAAAGTTAATAATTCCTTAACGTCATCAAGTATAATGCTAACACTAACAAGTAATGTTCAGATTCCGCAGTTGTCTCCTTTTCAATTTATTTCCTTTTAGATGAGAAAATTGTACTTCAGAGATGTTAAGTTGCTTACAGAGATCATGCATCCAATCAGTAGCAGATCAAGGATTTAAACTCCAAAGCTTAACCACACAGCCTCTCAGAATAATAAAAATAATCACAATAATAGTTGTAGTAGAAATTTATGAGTACTTTACAAATATGATCTCATTTAATTTTTACAGTAGCCTGGTGAAGTGCTTACTATCATTATTAATGTTACACAGAAAAGGAAATTGAAACCAAAAGTTGCTTGCCTGAGGCACGTAAGAGTAGGAACAAGGATTCAAAACTCTTAGTAGTCTGATTCCAAAGCCTCTTAGAGGGGGTTCCAGACCTGAATACTAACAGGCACTTCTTGTCCATAAATCACATTATGTACTAATTGAATCTGTTTATAGATTCTAATTGAGAAAAGTAGCTCAGCTACAGTAGCAACCACCATTTTTGCTGTGTATCTCTGTAGTCACTTGATGGAGAAGAGCCAAATTCCATTTGGCTATGTAAAGTATACAGATGCCTAGGATGATCAGAACTGATATGCTTTGTAGAGAACAGAACTGTTTCCTTGGTATCAAATCAGTTTCATTGTGACACTTTGCCCAATGCATAGATTTCAGTTAGAGTTCTTGAAATATAAATCATAGCACCGGCTTTCTGCATACTAAAAATGAAAGTTTTTAAATCTTTTACAGAAGTTTTTGAAGAGTTAACTCACCAAGTGCAAGAAAAAGATTCTTTGGCCTCACAGCTCCATGTCCGCCACGTTGCCATCGAACAGCTTCTGAAGAACTGTTCTAAGTTACCATGTCTGCAAGTAGGGCGAACAGGAATGAAGTCGCACCTACCCATAAACAACTGACCTAAACAGACTTACTTCGTATGCCCTGCCCTTTATTGGTCTCCCAGACATGCAAACTTTGAAGAAGTTTGAAGAAAGTTGTGGTCCGTTTTTTTATGGTCATTAAATTTGCCAAACATAAGGCAGTATTTAACATCTTTGTCAAATAAAGCAGATCATTATACTCTAGTCTTCTAGGGCTAATCATTTTGGCTCATTTGGGGACTCTTTTTTCCCAGAATTACTAAACAAATTTTATCACATGTGACTACTTAAATATACTGTTACAGTGTCATTTTATTAAACATTTTAATTCACCTGTCAAAACAACAGATTAACTCCTTAGTGTAAACTACTAGAGATAATTTTTAAGAGGGAAATGGAATTCATATCACCTCTTATTTATTATGAGCAATATTTTAATATAAAAATTTTATATGTGAAAATGCTATTTTAGGTACTTTGCCATTCTCTTTATAAATGTGTATTTGAGTGGTTCTGTATATTTATTTACATTATCATGTGTGAATATGTTCACCCATATTTCAGGTCACTGCATTTTATTCTCTTAATACAATGTTTTCACAACGGTTACCTTGCTTTCCAAAGATAAATATATTTTGGATTAGAAATCTGAGTTGTTTTAATTTCTAATACCTCTTGTAAAAGAAGAATTAATAACTTTTTAAAGCAGTATTCAGGTAAATACAATACATTATTTTGTTTTCTAACAAAAGCAGTTCTTAGTTCAGGAAGAAAAGACTAATCTGGCTTCTATGTCAATTTGTCTCCATAGAAATGAAAGCCTCCTCTTGCTTCTTTCATTATTAGCTTCACACCAGTGACTGTGATGCATTAGAATTTGGACAGAGTAAGTCAAGCCTCACTTCCAATTCAAATATAATGTCTATCTTCAAATTGAGTGTGCTGTGAAATTGTTCTGTCTTTGAAAAAAAAAAGTAAGATTATTTTGTGTGCCACTTTGGGTAAAGTTTCAAGAATACTTAAACTGTCCAAATTGTATTATCACCATCATTGAACTTAGTGCTCAAAGAAAGCATTGTGAGGTATTTTTCTAAACTTTAGACTCTATAGAGAAATATAGGATTGTTCTACAGAAGAAAAGCAAAACTCCTAATTAAAAAAAAATAAACCTATGTATTAAGAGAATGTTCTCGTAAGTTGCCTATGATGCTTCCAAAGAGTTTTTATCTAACAGATTGTGCCAAACAGCTAGATAAATTTTAATAATGTATTACAGTAAAGGCTATAACCAATGCAGAATTAAAATGGGCTCTAAATTCTGTTTTTAACTCATGTTTAGAATGTACTTATGAGGTAGATCCTTGCTTGAAAGTATCTGCTGAAAAGCCCAGTAACGTGGCAGCTTCATGCATAAAGATATAAATGACATTTGCCTTAAATTTGGCAGCCTACCCTGGCTTGGGTCAGATTTTGTTGTTGAACACAAGAAAGTATTTAAGCAAAGAAACACTTCAGTTTAATTGAAAACAACTTTTTGTAATGCTGACGTGTTAAATTGGCCTGAGGGTATTAATTGATATCTGTTGATTTTGTTTTTCTTTGAAGTATAACATTACTTTTTGGAGGGAATTTTTGAAAGATGCTTTCGATTTCTCTCAATTCTTTAAGTCATGCAAAATGAATTTAAAATCCAGGGAGTATGGATGCATTGCCTTAGTTTTGATGAGCTTTAAATTAAATGTGTGCAATATCAAAATATTCAAACTTACAAGCTGGGTAAATACATTTCCTGATTAATATCTTAGTGCTTAATTGTTCCCACATTTTCAAATTTGACTTTACTCTTTTTTGGCGTAATTCAGTAAGATTGTTACCAGCCAGTGTGTTTGCACACATTTGGGTTTGTGTTTAGATGAGTTAGGGACAGTCATAAAAGTTGGGGATATGTTGCATTTGATATCAATAGTAGCATATTTCCAGAATATGAGCCATAAGTTGCAGTCCTGAATACAACAGTGTTATCCAAAGAAAGGAGTTTTCTGACAAATATACATAGCTTTGCTAATGAGTACGGAACAAGTGGATGAACGTGTGCATGTGCTAAGGTCTTAAGTGGGACTCTGATTTATTCCATTTAGATATTTCTACTTAAGCTCTAAAAAGGAGAGGTGCTCTTAAAAAAAACTTTGTGGTGCTGGTACTCACACTACTTTATTTGGATGAGTTCCTAGTAAAAAAAACTTTTTGTTGAAGTATTTTGCACAGCAGTTTATCCAAATGTTTGGTAAACTTATAATTTAGTCCTATGTTAGTTTTCTTAATCAAATATGCAATTACTGTGTATGCAAATATAAGTATCAGGTACAGAGTTGAGTTCTAACAAGAGAACATGAAATATCACAAATATTGTTTTCCACACTTGGCTATTCTCTACAGTTGTTAGTAATTTTTGAGAATGTTTTGAAGCATATCTCATGTACTACTGTTTAAAAAGTGGCAAAACAGACTGCCAGTCATCCATTACTAAATTTTCAGAGCTTATATGATTAAGGGGAGTGAGATAAGACAAATCTTTTTCACGTTCAGTTTTATAATTTGACACGTTAAATTGAGTTTTAAAAATTAGAAAAGTGTTTTTGACCACACAGGTTGTTCTCTTTAAAGTTCAGCCTTATAATGAAGCTAAAAATCAATTATGTTTTACTTTGAGATTATCATCTTATCCTTTGATCCTCATATTAATATCTAAATTAGTCTTTTTTAAAAGGCATGCACTTGAGACTCCAGTAATAGATGATTCAGGCAGCAGAATAGTGTTTTGTTGTGTCGTTGACTATGCACAATGGTGGAGCAAAGACACATTCTTAGTTTTTCAAAACACATGTTCATTTTACCACAAAGTGCCCATTTTTATATACATTTAAGGATTATTTTTTCAATGTCAAGTTCATGTTAGTGATTTCAGAAATATAGTCAAAATATATAGTCAAATATATCTTGACAGGCATCTTGAGATTTGGTTTTTCATTTTACTATATTTATGACTGAAAATGGTTTTGTGTTTTCTTTATGTTGTTTATATATTTTTTACCTTAGTGTTTACACTGGTAAGGCTTGTTAGTCCATTTTTGTAGTTTTTTTAAAGTAAGCTTTTAGATCTATTTGTGTTTTAATGTTTCCCAGTTTGGGTTTTGTTTTGTTTTGGAAGAATCTGCTTTCATTATTAAATTATAAAATGTAAATGCTCTAAAGTAGGAATTTTTAAAGAGTAAATTATTTGTGTAGCTTATTAGGAGGTTCAGGTTAGTGACCATAAAGTGGGTTACTTGTACATGAAAATTTGAAATGGTACCATGTAAAATTCTTCTATTGTCAACTTTTTCTGATGTATGCCAGTTCATTTACTGACAAATGTTGTTACTAAGTGCTTATTAAGAAGTGTAATACGCTATAAAAAAGTTAATACTTTTTGTTCAGATGTAAGGCAAAGATAATTGATGCCGTTTCAGTGTATGATTGTATTTTTAACTTTTACGTTGGTGGGAGTAACTATTTGAGGAAATTTGTGGTGAGAATTAGTAAGAGATAAAACCCCCAACAGTTTATTCTTACCAAGTAAAGTTTTGTGGTCATGGGGCAGGGAAGAGTTTATTTACCAGAATACTAGAGCCCTCACACAAAATAAAGGTAACTTGGAGGAGGGCTATAATGCTTGCATCTCAGTATTTTCATTTCACTTCATCCTTTCATAATTGCCTTGATTATGGTGCAGTCTAACCTATTAAGCAACTTCTGGCTATGGTAACATTGATATGAACCATATTATATCAAGTCTCCAAAACATCTAGTTTGTTAACATACACTTTCCCTGTTCTTTTTAGTTTGAGTCCACATTACTAATACATTTTAATAATATTTAATTATTTCACAATTTTAAGTTTACCAAAGTAAACAAAAATTCATGAAGATGAGTATTGCCCTCTCCCAAAAAAGGTTTAAAGATTAGTTGAACTTCCCTCAACTACACCTAAAGCAAAGGGGAATTTTAGTAAGTGTGTGTACCTTGTTTCTTTCAGACGCATCTAGAATGTTTTTCTTTCACCGTACCTCCAAAAGAGGCAATTTAGAAAGTATTAAGTAGTGACTTTTGTTCAGTTCCATTTTGTGTGTGTGTGTGTGTGTGTGTGTGTGTGTGTGAACCTTGCTTTAAAACAGTAGCGTATACTATGGTCATTGAACTTAATCTCTCTGGTGTTAGAAATTTACTTTACAAAATTGTGTTAAGACTTTTGGAAAAAGAAAATGAAACTGCTGTGGTAAAAACCAAGTTTGTTTCAAAAAAGTAGGCAATTATTTGGCTGTTATATTTTCTTTGAAAACTGCAATAATTTATATATTTGTATTGCTCTGCTTGGGAACTGTATATATGCTTGTCTACTATTTTTAATTTTACAACAATAAAATAAGTATTTTGTTATCTGCTAGCTTGAGTGGATGCTTTGAAAAGTAGCTATATTTTTTTAAATAGTGGGTCTATATGGTTTTGCTTTGCAGGTTTAGGGAGTCTATAAATGATCTTATCTGACAATTTCTTGTAATAATCTTACCTTATCTCTGATACTTAATATTCTCTGTTTCCCAACAATACAGAAGCAGGAAATAAGTTGCCTGTGACTTACTAGATGTGTATGCAATTTTTTTTAATTGGGGTGTAATTTATATACAGTAAGCACAAACATTTTACTGTATTGTTTGAATTTTAACAAATGTATGCAACTGTAGAGCCATCACTCCCTTTGGTTCCCCTCACAGTCACTTCACTTTTTATTTCCCTTCCACTGATTGTTCTGATCCTTTTTTTTTTTGAGATGGAGTCTCACTCTGTTGTCCAGGCTGGAGTGCAGTGGCACGATTTCAACTCACTGCAACCTCCACCTCCAGGTTCAAGCGATTCTCCTGCCTCATCCTCCTGAGTAGCTAGGATTACAGGTGCACACCACCATGCCCGGCTAATTTTTGCATTTTTACTAGAGACGGGGTTTTGCCTTGTTGCCCAGGCTGGTCTTGAACTCCTGACCTCAGGTGATCTGCCCGCCTCAGCCTCCCAAAGTGCTCGGATTACAGGTGTGAGCCACTGCGCCTGGCCTGATTGTTCTGATCTTTATTACTGTACTTTGCATTTGCCTGCATTAAAAACTTTACATAAATGTAGTGATACAGCATATGCTCATTTGCTCCAGGCTTTTTTCATTCCACTGGATGTTCTTAAAATTCATCCATGTTAGCTCAAAGATCAGTAATAGTTCATAGTTCATTTCCTTTTTTTTTTCTTTTTTTGGCTGAGTACTGCTCCTTTGTATGAATATATCATAATTTAATTATTCACCTGTTGATGGACATTTGAGTTGTTTTTAGTTTGGGGCTTATATGAATATGAATATTTTTAAATCGGCTTTAAAAATATTAAAATAGGAATACAACAAAATATTCAAGGTCACTTTTAGTTAGCATTACGAATCTGAATATTACATTACCAGTTTTTTTTCCACAAATGATTTTTAAAGTCATTTATATGATGCTTTTATGGCAACAAGCAGTTTAAAACTAGGAAACAGATGATTTTACAAAAGCTCAGAGGCAAATTACAAAATAAGGACTGCTGGAGAATTGAAACATTTCGTGGGGTACTAGAAGAATCTGTCGTTTTTGAAAGTCTCTTCAAAGTCTAATAGTCATACTGCTTTGTTTTTCAGGAGAGGAAATGGAGACCAAGAGTCTGGTTTGGAAAGAGTACCAGACTACAAATGAAGTGCTCCTGTTTAGCTTTAACTAACTGACATTAAGAGAAACTAACTTTTCTAAGCCTGAATTTGTTAGGCTTTGCTCATGCTCAGTTTCCCAGCCTTCTTGGGAATTTTCAAACTATTTGTAAAATGGTTTGTTCTCCCCTAATTTTTAATGTATCATAGGACCAGAAATTCTTTGCAGGTGTCTTAGAGGCCGACAAGTCATACGTGGATGATGGATAGAATAGGAAGGGGAGCTGCAGGCAGAACAAGGCCTGTTTTATATATTGATACTCTAAATTCATAAAAACCTGTTCGAAAGGTTTTGCTTTTAGAATCTGATAAAAGTGATGCATTGGATCCTTGCAAGTTTATGTCTTTGGGTTTTATTTTCTATTTTTGATTTTGGTTTTGTGGTTTTCTGCTGTTCTTCCACGTCTGAATCCCTTTCTAGTGTTTGGATGGCACAAGTCACCACCTCTAGAAGCAAAAACTTCAACCTCCTGTGTATCTGAGGCACCTCGCCCTGACTGGTAAAGCAAAGAAACTGGATAGGAGAAGGCCTGTGTTGAGGGCATCAATGGCTAACTGTCAGCAGGGACAACAGCCATTATCCCATATCCAGTGAGTACAACAGGTAAGTTCCTGACATTGGTGTTTGAATAGCCATTGCCTTGTGTACATTAGACTGTGATCCTAGTAGTTGATTACATCACCTTTGTTCCTGCGTGGTTTCCCAGCCTTCTGGGTGATCTCTCCCCATTGAATAAATTCCTTTATAGCCTAAGTCAACTAGTTGCTTTCTCTAGCTTGCAACTCAGAACTCTTGTTAAACCTAACCTCTTCCACTGGGTCTATGTCCTGTGTTCTACTCTGAGATCTTATGAAATTCATTTCCAGAGGTGAACTGCTAAGAGCCAATGCATATCTAAACTAACCCTCAGCCACATGGGCTGCCTTTTGAGTCAACTGAATCTGCTGGGAAGATTCTGAAGAGAAATTAAACCTCTTGGTAATGCAGATGTCAGTTTTCCTGTTAAGAATGTGCTTTAGGATGGGCACGTTGGCGCATGCCTATAATCCCAGCACTTTGGGAGGCCAAGGCCGGTAGATTGCTTAAGTCCAGGAGTTCAAGACCAGCCTGAGCGATGTAGCAAGACTCTGTATGTACAAAAAATATAAAAATTAGCCTGGCATGATGGCATAGGCCTGTAGTCCTGGCTACTTGGTGGGGCAGAGACTGAGGTGGGAGGATTGCTTGAGCCCAGGAGGTCAACGCTGCAGTGAGCCGTGATTGTGCCACTGCAGTCTAGCCTGAGTGACAGAGCAAGACTTTGTCTCAAAAAAAAAAAAAAAAAAAAAAAGAGAAAAAGGAAACCACTGCTCCAAACCATAAACTGCCCCAGAATTTACTTCCCAAAAGATGTGGTAATGCTACTTTCCTGCTAAGAGACCTTTCTAGATTATCACTGCCTACAAAACAAAAGCCAGTCCCCACAGTTTAGCATTTAAAGCCTTCACCATTTGGCATCCACTTATTTTCCATTCTAAATCTTTCGTCAATTTTCAGATTTCGTTATGTTGCCAGAAACTCTGCCAAGCCCTGTAAGTCTTTGGGTCTAAGGGATATAAAAGCCAACAAGACTCTGTTGGTCAACTGGAAAGTATTCTGCCAAGAGATTGAAAGAATAAGGATTGAATAATGTTCATTGTATTTAGCAACCAGAAATTCATGGAGTACAGTTTTAATGGACCTGTGGGAGCAAAAGTAGATCACAACAGATTGTAATATGGATGCAACGTAGTACCATGATTTGAATGTGTTCCCTGAAGTTCATGTGTTGGAAACTTAATCCCAAAAGCAACAGCATCGAGAGGTGGAGTCTACTAAGAGGTGATTAAGTCATGAAGACTCTACCCTCACGGATGAATTAATGTTATGGACGGAGTGGGTTAGTTATCATGAGAGTGCCTTTGTTATAAAAGCAAGTTCAGCCCCCTCTTGTTTGCTTGCTCACATCCTCTTGCTCTTTCCACCATGTTATCACACAGCATGAAGTCTTGCTACCTTGCCAGATGCTATCACCATGCCCTTGGACTTCCCAACCTCCAGGATTGTAAGCCAAATCAATAACTGTTTGTTATTAATTATCCATTCTGTAGTACTCTGTGATAGCAACATAAAATAGACTAAGACAGGTAGGATAGTGGATTTGAGGTATGATGTCTTTAAAATTTTATGAAGTGAAGTTGAGGTAAAGAGGATGTTGGGTCAAGGTTATTTTTTTAAGGTTGGGAAGTACTTGAACATGAATAAATACTAAGAGGACAGAGCCAGTAGAAAGGCTAACGATAGAGAGGTAGCAATAATCAAAGGAGCCCAGTTTGAAGACACAGAACAGAGTAGCACACCGAGAATGACTTGTCTTTGAAGAGGTTTAGGATTACCTCAGGTTTTGACACTAGAGAGAAGGTAAAACTACAGATGAAAGTATTTGAATCAGATTTGTTGGAGAGTAAGTTGAGAAAGTACTTAAATGGCTGCCTCTATTTTCTGTGAGAAAGACGAAAAAGATAATGGGTCAGAGATTCAAGGGAAGTGGTAAAGTGCTGAATAGTTACTACTTGAGGAATGAGAAGGGTCCTGACCATCAGAGGAGGGGTTTAGAAGAGGTGGAAATGAGGAACCATGACTCACCATTGGTTAAGGTTGCCTGAATTTGCTTTCTGATTTTGTTGCTGTAAAGAAGAGGTGCTTAGAAGAGTGAAAATGAGCAACCATGACCGTTTAGAAGAGGTGGAAATGAGGGACCATGACTCACCATTGGCTGAGGTTGTCGGAATTTGCATTTGGATTTTATTGCTGTAAAGAACAAGACGGAGTATTTTTGAAATGGGAGTAAACTAAACTGAAAGCACTACTGAAAATAGATTAGAATCTGAAACTGAGATAAATTTGTGGCTCAAAAAGAAAATTTACAAAAGCCAATAGATGAAATTTCTAGTGTGGGATAGATGAGAAATATGAAAAGCTACTGCAAATGGCATGTGGGAAAAATATGAATACTATAGTCTTTACTTCGTTTCTTCAAGCAATAATTTTATTTGTTCTCTCAGTATTTGGTGCGATGGCGAGGGTGGACTAAGACTCTGTTGTGAAAACCAAGCCCTTATAGGTCAGTTGGTATCAAGCTTCACCAGAGGGAAGTCAAGAAATCTTTAACCTAGAAGAGAAGAGGTTTATAAGAGGATGGTCAGTACAGTGTACAGAATGTGGAAGAAAACCATAGCATAGCTAACGCAAGAGTTTCAGATCTGTAACTTCAAAGCAAAGAAAAGGCAGTGTGAATACAGAAGGGCTATTCTAGAGGAAAGAGGCTACTGAACTGAAAAGTGATTAAGGCAGAAGAGGAAGTTGTAATGAGCAAGATGATTGCTAAACCGACATGCAGGAACTTCTCTTCTAATCTTCTGCCACAACTAAGCACCTCTTTACCTCTCTTAGCCTCTGTTTTCTCATCTGTAAAAAATGAAATTGAACTTTATGATCTTTAGGGGACCTTCTAGCTCTAACATTCTACAAGTATAATGAATTTTAAGAAACCTACAGTGGAAAATCTCCCAAGCCCCTCTATGAACAGCAGAACTGAGCTGAAAGGGCACAAAGAAAATGTGGTTTCATTTTAAGAGGAAACTGTGAGGTGCTGTTACAGCAAGCTATTTCTGTGATCACCTGTGACAAAAGAGAAAAGAGAGCTGTGTCAGCCTGGCTCCTATTATAAGCAGCTACACAATCCTCTGCATACTGTTTAAGAGCACCTATGTTGTAGAAAGAAAAAGAGGTCTATATATTTTGGCATCTTGTTACTCTGTCACATTCCATATCGGGGGAGCTATTGGGAGAGAATGTTCTCTTAGGAGTAACAGTGGGATAGTTCTCCCACACAATCAGAAGTTGGGTCACCTCCAGCACAGTTCCTAAAGGCTGGCTCCTGTGTGTGGAAAATGAGACACGTAAAGGCAATGTGGTAAGCTAGTTAATAGGATAGAATTTATTCATCAATAAAATTGTTCTTTGTTCTGAGAGTATGTCTTTCCTATGGGAATAGTAAATTTTTCTTTCTTTCATGAAGTGATGACAATAGATGGTAGATTTTCATTTTTGTTTATTTGTTTAGTTTTCAGTCCTTACTTGGTGGAATTAAAACCACAATCTTGTATTGGTCTATTAGTCAGGGTTCTCCAGAGAAACAAAACAAAGTATGTATATATGTGGAGAGAGAAAGATTGGTTTAATTCCCTAAACCAGCTCTGGGGGCTGGCAAGTCTGAAACCTGCAGGGCAGCCTGGATGGGTGGAAACTCCGAGAGTTGATGCTGCAGTCTTGAGTCTGAAGGCAGGTCAGAGGCAGAATTCCTTCCTCTTCAGGGGACCTCACTCTTTTCAGACCTTCGACTGATAGGACAAGGCCCACCCACATTACAGAGAGTAATCTGCTTTACTCAAAGCCTACTGATTTAAATGTTAATCATATCTAAAAACTACTTTCAAAGCAACACCTAGACTGGTTTTGACAAAACAACTGGGCATCATATTTTCCATTTTATTTCAATTTTATTTTAATACTCCATGAATTTAACAAGTCTGGAAACGATGAATCTGGCATTATTTTATCCAAACAGTTGTCTCTGAGCAGCACAATCCTAAATCCTCTACTTGGGTTATCACAATCTCCAAAGAAAGAAGTGCATGTAAGACGCCCTCACACTATTCTGAAGTTTTCCATGTGTTCTAAAAGGGCTTAGAGGAACAGCTTATTATTTTTTAGAATAATCCTTTGCGTAACAAAAATACAAGTTATTTCATTTGTGGTATTTTTTCCTCTTAATCTAGTGTTCAATCAGAAATTATTTGAAGACTGAGTGAGTGTCATACAAAAAGTAAAAGATTCAATGCCTCTAATAATTCAATATCCAATAATTTTAGATAAATTATTAAAGAGTGTTAGAATGTTGAACATTTGGTTTGTTCCTCTCTTATTCTCCTTGCTCCCTCCCTCTGTACCCCACAAACACCTATCCAGAAAGTCATCTTGTATAAGAGAAGGATCCTCCTGAATCCCATCTACCACCAACCCACAGCATATGTTTCCTTGAAAAAATTTAAATAGTCCCAGCTATTGGAAGAGCTCTAGTGTTCCCCAAGACTAACTGGGTAAATAACCAAGTTGCTGGCCATCTTGCTGTGGACAAGCTTGTTCCTTTTTGTCCTGATCAGATAGCTCTGAAACTAGAAAAGACAGCACCTGGGCCTCCTGCTAAGTTTCTCTTCACTGTTCCTGCCTACTGCTTCTCACAAAAGCCCCAGAAAAATGTGGGGACCCAGTGAACTGCTGTTGCCCTATAGAGACAATGGAGCACCTCCCTTGCTTAAAAGAAAATGCAGAGGGAGTTGAGCTAGTGACATGCAAAACCACATTTCCTTTGCTGCCTCCATCTCTTCTCATCTTCATACCTGTGTCAATAAAGTATGGGGAAATAGACTCACATCTTGCAGGACTACACTGCTTTTCATCAAAGTACGGAAGAAATTTCTATCCCAGATGGACACAGATTAGTCTCATCTCAGATGACAAAGTGAACCAGCATGTGGGATATATAAATATCATAGGAAAGTACTAAAAATGTAGAGCTAGAGGGACCTTCAGGAGTCTTGCAGCTTTTATTTGATTTGATTTGGTTTGGTTTGGTTTTAGCAGAGGTCTTTGTTTTAAAAAAAATCCTTCAAGAATTACAAAATGTGAAATGTATAGGAAATAGAGCTGCTGCTGTTCTGCTCGAAAGACAATGGAGATTATTCGACCGAAGTCCCCATTGTATCCCTCTCAGTGACAATCCCCTAGTTTCTCAAACCTTCTATCATGAGCCTCTGAGGCAGCTATGAGAGACCAGCAGGCCCCTGGTTACCTGCAAAGCACCTTTTACAAACTGCTTGTCTACTCTAATACCTTTAGGTGGCCTAAGTCAGTTAAGAAACTTCCAAACGTTCTATACCTTGTTAGCCACAGAGGCAAAGACAAGCACCAAATCTCGATTCCATTTCCAAAGCTCCCATGACCTGATACCACTTCTTATTTTTATTACACAAGATCTTCTTTCTAATGGAATAGTAAGCTATTTCTCCACAGTCTGCTGGACCACAGAAACAGCCAGGAGAGGACTACACAGTTGGAAAAGAATAGGCAGCACAAGTTTTCTAGGGAATCCAGAAGTAGCTTAGATGTCTTCATCCTGAAAGTCAACCAGAATAGACTATGGGAAGAGTAATAGCAGTAGAACTTGCATAACAAATGCTGCTTTACATCAAAAAGCCAGTTTCAGCAAAATTTGTTTATAGGAAATTTCAAAGCTTACACACGTCTATTGTGATTACCTGGTTGGAGGTGGGGGAAATCGCTTACCCTGCTGCTCCTCACTAGATCTTCAAACTAAAGCAGCTCAAGTTATATATTGTAGTCATATGTTCAAGGGCCTGTGGGTACTGTGTGGCTAGGATTTTCTGGTCAACAGAAGAAAATCACAGCAATGTGTACAAAAGCCCCCAGATGTCCCTTATCATATTAGCATCTCTTGTGCAGAAATATATTTTTTGGCACCATATCCTGGAACCAAAGAGAAGGCTAAGGTAAATGGAATAGCAGATGAGCTCATAAGAAGCCAAATTCCAATCTCATACCTGAACGAATTTGAAATGGAAGCTCACTTAGATACAAAGAATTTTAGAACAAGATCTGAAACTCAGTTAAGTAGCCCTCTTAGTCATTACCACTAACTTGGTGCTCATTACAAGTAAAAGGAGGACTTATCCAATTACCAGTGCTTGGTTTCCTGTTGCGCTAATGAACAGGAAAACAGACTACCGCTACGAAAGAATTCATGCCTCTGAGCAGCCAGCGGCTTAGCCACATGTCTGGGTATGCCGAATTGTTCTGATCAGTCAACTTAGGTAAACTCTCATTACTGGTAGATGCCAGAAATAGCACCAGCAAAATCCCCTAAGAAAACCCCAAAATGAAGTTTATGCTATTCCTTCCTCTTTCCTTTGGAACAATTCCATCCTAGAACTATCAGGTGCAACAAGCAAGGTTAGGGTTAGTCCTCATTCACAGGGGCATAGTGAGGTGTGTTTGAGCTGGAGCAAACCAGGAGGGCCTAGCATGGGGTGGGTGGGGAGGTCTGATGCAGGCTATCAGATCTAGAGTGGGAGGAGGAGGGCACCCATGGGGGCAGTGGGGAGCAGGAGATTGGGGGTGGGGTGCCAGAGCCTCAGTGGGCAGAGGAAACATCAGCAGGGGGAAAGGTTATTAAACAAAAATGAGGCAGATGTCTCAATTAGTAGAGGTTTATTAAGCCAAAGTTTGAGGACGACCCAGGAAAAACACAAGTCACAGGAGCATCTGTAACCTGGGCTTTCCGAAGAGGGTTTGGGGAACTCATTACTTAAGGGGAAAAAGCAAGCAGTGGGGGAAAGGGAAGGAGGGTAGGCAGTGAAACAAATAGTTACATCCTTGTGAGGCTGTAACTAGCACTAAAGGAATCTATGTTTTACATAAAAGAAGGTGAACACTTGAAAAGAGAAAGGAAAGAGACAATTATGCATCCATCTCAAGAGTAGGCGCAGGAGTGGTTCGTGTCTTGTACTTGTTCTGTACCTTGGAAGATAAGCTCGTAATTGACATGGTCAGGGTGAGATTTAACAGAACTCGGTTTTAGGAGTTAAACTTAGGTGGCAGGACCAAGGTTACAATTGGCATGTGTTGCTTTTATAGGGGAATATGTATCCTGAAAGATTTTGGAGCTAACAAGGAATTTCCTTGAGAGCAATCTGTGAAGGGGGCCATCTGGGGATGTATATGGCCTTTTGCCGTGTTGGGAACCTGGCTTACATACAATGTTATGACATAGGATTGTGAAATGACAGCTATCTGTTTCAGGAAGAAGGAAGGCAATATTTGCATGACTCAGTTCCCAGGCTTAACTTTCCTTTTGGCGTAGTGAGTTTGAGGTCCCAAGATTCTGATTTCTTTTACAGGGACAAAGTGGCAACACAGGGTTGGTTATATAGGAAGGAATTTAAATAAGTAAATATATTAAGAAATTGAGCAGTTCGGTTTCTCATTCCTCAAAGAGTTACAAATATGAAAGAAGAGAACCAGAATGAACCCTGTGAGTCTGGTTGCAATTGAAGATAATGGGGTAAATGCATGATTTTCAATAGATAGATAAGATACAAATCTAGATACACACAGATGTAAATGTGCTTTTGTGCTTGGCCATTGAGAAGGGGGTCTGGGAGAGTGACCCCCAACAAAAGCGATGAGTAACAACTAGAACCCAAATACTGCTTTCTAAAAACTGTTCACTAAATCCGGGCCCCTTTTGGAGAAATGATTGACTTTAGGGTACAAGATAAGTCGAATATATTTTTGTTCCAGAAAGTACAGAAATACTAAAAAAAGATGGGGACATGACAAAATAACAGAGAACTATATTGAAGGAGTCCCCACTAGCCAAATCAGAGGCAATGTAAGCACCCAAATACTTAGTGAATCCATTGAATGAAATAGGAAAATCTGTGTGATGAAATGAATACATAAATTGAGTTTTTCATAAGAGATGAACTATTTACATAATCTCAAAATACATCCTTCCAAATAATTATTAATTACAAAAGGGAAAGAATTACTTTTTGGTGGAGAAGCCTAACAGACTCGACTCTAATCAAGTGATCAACGTTGATGTCAGGCAGTGAGGATGAGGAGGGGGTAAGAAAAGATGTGAGACTGCTGAATATTTTCCTTAAGAAAATACAATTTGGGCTGGGCATGGTGGCTCATGCCTGTAATCCCAGCACTTTGGGAGGCCAAGGCAGGCAGATCACCTGAGGTCAGAAGTTCAAGACCAGCCTGGCCAACATGGTGAAACCTCGTCTCTACTAAAAATACAAAAGTAGCTGGGCGTGGTAGTGGGTGCCTGTAATCCCAGCTACTTGGAAGGCTGAGGCAGGAGAATCGCTTGAACCCGGGAGAGGGAGGTTGTAGTGAGCCAAGATTGAGCCATTGCACTCCAGCCTGGGCGACAAGAGCAAAACTCCATCTCAAAAAAAAAAGAAACAACAACAAAAAAGAAAATACAATTTGACCTTTAAAGACAATATGAATGTATAACTGTGGTAATTTATATATATATATATAAAATATTGAAAAATTTTTTTAAATCTTTGTTATTCTTAGGTCTTACTCATTGAAAGCTTACTCATTGAAAGAAAACAAATAACAAATATTATCAATTAAGACTATCCAATCATAACACAGTGCTTGAAACAAAATATAAATGGAAATGCTTTTACTAAGAAAAAAAATCATATAATGGCTCCCAAATTGAGAAATCCTTGATCCTTCATCAAATCATTGATCCTTAGAGTTTCAAATGTTAGCAAGTTGAAAGAAGCTACTTTAAATTGCTAAAATAAATACTATCATTAGTATTCACAAATTCTTGATCCTTGATCATCAAAGTTTCAAATGTTAGCAGTTTGAAATCATTAGTTATTATAAGTGATAAAATACTATCTAGCATTTGTGGAGTTTTACTCAAAGGCAAGCATTGTTCTTAAGTTTTATAGACATCATCACATTTAGTTTTCACAATTTCTTTATGAGGTAGGTACAATTATCTCCATTCTACAGATGAGGAAACAGGTGCAGAGAATTTAAGAACCTAGCCCGTCATACTATTAGAGGGGTGAACCCGGGTAGTTTAACTCGTATGCCTGTGTATTTAATCATTGCACTGACTGTTTTAATCCTTAATTCTAACCCTTAGTTCTATTCCTTCTCACATTGAATCAATCATCTATGATCTATTAATGTTGTCCCCCAAATCATCTCAGTCCCTGTGTACTTTGGCTGGAGTAATAGATTATTTTTTAAAGTAGAGGTTTATTTTAGAGATAATCTTGCTTATCTAATTTCCTCATATTGCAGACTTGCTGCAGTTTTACATCCAGTTCACTGATCAACTATCAAACTGAAGGATAGCTTGTCACTGCATCTGCAGTGACTCACTTGCCTTGGGGAAAAATACATGTCACACATTTACATTTTGGCTTTTAAGTGAGGAAACTTCATGGTTTTCAGAACAGAGTAAGATTCTTGAAAACTAAAACAATAAATCCAATGCTGATTGTGATCAATGATGAATACCTTGTGTCACTTGCAAAAATGTACAGCTTCTGGAGGTGTTTTCCTGGTCTTGGGGCTGGTGATTGTGATCATTATAACTACTGATGAGTTACCAAATTCCAAAGTCCCCCACAGATGGTTTGTGTAAACAGAGCCTGTAATAAGCTATCCTGTAGAGACATTTCTTTGAGAAGGTTTTAAACTGCTAACTATAGCACCAGTGATCTTGAAACTTTCACTAGTAGAGGCTTCAACATTTCAATGAGAGGTCACTTTGGGACAGTGTGGTGAGAGTGGTCGCTAAGGAGAGATTACTTGGGAGCCATCTACAATGGTCTAAATGGCCCCTCCTCAATGAAGGGAGGCAGAGACATTTCTGTGAAGTGAGACTGCCCATATGTAGACATACACACATACATACATACGTACATACATTTGCCAAAATGATGTATTTGAGCCAGCATATTAGGTTCTTTTTTTGCTTTTCTGGGTGGCAGTAGTACAAAAGAAGGAGCAACTAGACTAAAAGTCCAAAGGACATGGGAATAAATAATAATAATACATAATAATAAAATGCTATACAAAAACCACCAAGTGCCATGAGTTGTTCTAATACTTTACAATCATTAAATGAGTTCATCCTCTTAACAAACCTAAAAAGTGGGAACTATTACTTTACAGATGGGAAACGAAGGCACACATTTGCATTGACGAAATTATTCTATTATAAGGGGTGGAGCTGGGATTTGAGACAGCCCTTCTGGCTACCAGAGTCTTGCTCCAACTTTCAGTAAGTCTAGTATCTATTGACAAAATGTACTGTTCTTATCGCCTCTTATGACTTACCCCATTTGTTTGGGTTTTTAAGCATCAGCAAATTTGCCTTGCAAGCTGCTCTTGTGCTTAAGAGTTATCTATATGAAAGGAGAAATTATACATTCAAATAGTCATGTGATATTAATTAAATGAACCAGATCATAGATCGAATTTGCTGTTCATAGATGATCTTTTAGTTTAAAAAGTAGGAGACTATAAAAGTGCTGTTTCTTCAGCTATCATTCAAAGGCCTATTCATCAATCTATCCCTGGGTCATAAAAACTCCTATTTTATAACAGGCACATAAACAGATGCCTCCCATAATTCAATGATTCTGCACCCCATTCTATTCATTACCAACAAAGTGTAAAATGCTCCTCTTAAAAAACAGACAACAGGAGTGGCTGGCAAGATGGCCAAACAGGAACAGCTCTGGTCTGCAGCTCCCAGAGAGATCAGTGCAGAAGGCAGGTGATTTCTGCATTTCCAACTGAGGTACACGGCTCATCTCATTAAGACTAGTTAGACAGTGGGTGCAGCCCACGGAGGGCGAGCTGAAGCAGGGTGGGGCATCACCTCAGCTGGGAAGTGCAACGGGTCGGGGAACTCCCTCCCCTAGCCACAGGAAGTCATGAAGGACTGTACCATGAGTAACGGTGCACTCTGGCCCAGATGCTACGCTTTCCCCATGATCTTCGCAACCTGAAGACCAGGAGATTCCCTCTGGTACCTATACCACCAGGCCCCAGGGTTTCAAGCACAAAACTGGGCGGCCGTTTGGGCAGACACCAAGCTAGCTGCAGGAGTAGTTTTTCATACCCCAGTGGCATCTGGAATGCCAGCGAGGCAGAACCATTCGCTCCCCTGGAAAGGGGGCTGAAACCAGGAAGCCAAGTGGTCTAGGTTAGCAGATCCCACTCCCACAGAGCCCAGCAAGCTAAGATCCACTGGCTTGAAATTCTCGCTGCCAGCACAGCAGTCTGAAGTCGACCTGGGACACTAGAGCTTGGTGGAGGGAGGGGCGTCTGCCATTACTGAGGGTTCAGTAGGTGGTTTTCCCCTCATAGTGTAAACAAAGCCTCTCAGAAGTTCAAACTGGGCGGAGCCCACCACATCTCGGCAAAGCTGATACTGCCAGCCTGCCTCTCTAGATTCCTCCTCTCTGAGCAGGGCATCTCGAAAGAAAGGCAGCAGCCCCAGTCAGGAGCTTATAAATAAAACTCCCATCTCCCTGGGACAGAGCATCTGGGGGAAGGGGCGGCTGTGGGCACAGCTTCAGCAGACTTAAACGTTACTGCCTGCTGGCTCTCAAGAAAGCGGCGGACCTCCCAGCACAGTGCTCGAGCTCTGCTAAGGAACAGATGCCCTCCTCAAGTGGGTCCCTGACCCCTTTGCCTCCTGACTGGAAGACACCTCCCAGCAGGGGAAGACAGACACCTCATACAGGAGAGCTCCGGCTGGTATCTGGCGGGTGCCCCTCTGGGACAGTGCTTCCAGAGGAAGAAGCAGGCAGCAATCTTTGCTCTTCTGCAGCCTCTGCTGGTGATACCCAGGCAAACAGGGTCTGGAGTGGACCCCCAGCAAACTCCAGCAGACCTGCAGCAGAGGGGCTGACTGTTAAAAGGAAAACTAACAAACAGAAAGGAATAGCATCAACAAAAAGGACATCCACACGGAAACCCCATCTGAAGGTCACCAACATTAAAGACCAAAGGTAGATAAATCCATGAAGATGAGGAAAAACCAGTGCAAAAAGGCTGAAAATTCCAAAAACCAGAACGCCTCTTCTCCTCCAAAGGATCACAACTCCTCTCTAGCAAAGGAACAAAACTGGACAGAGAATGAGTTTGACGAATTGACAGAAGTAGGCTTCAGAAGGTGGGTAATAACAAACTCCTCCAAGCTAAAGGAGCATGTTCTAACCCAATGCAAGGAAGCTGAGAACCTTGAAAAAAGGTTAGAGGAATCGCTAACTAGAATAACCAGTTAAGAGAAGAACATAAATGACGTGATGGACCTGAAAAACACAGCACGAGAACTTTGTGAGCATACACAAGTATCAATAGCCAAATCCATCAAGCAGAAGAAAAGATATGAGACTGAAGATCAACTTAATGAAATAAAGTGTGAAGACAAGATTAGAGAAAAAGGAATGAAAAGGAACGAACAAAGACTCCAAGAAATATGGGACTATGTGAAAAGACCAAACCTACATTTGATTGGTGTACCTGAAAGTGACGGGGAAAATGGAACCAAGTTGGAAAACACTCTTCAGGATATTATCCAGGAGAACTTCCTCAACCTAGCAAGGCAGGCCAACATTCAAATTCAGGATATACAGAGAACACCACAAAGATACTCCTCGAGAAGAGCAACCCCAAGACACATAATTATCAGATTCACCAAGGTTGAGATGAAGGAAAAAATGTTAAGGGTAGCCAGAGAGAAAGGTCAGGTTGCCCACAAAGGGAAGCCCATCAGACTAACAGCGGATTTCTCTGCAGAAACCCTACAAGCCAGAAGAGAGTGGGGGCCAATATTCAACATTCTTAAAGAAAAGAATTTTCAACCCAGAATTTCATATCCAGCCAAACTAAGCTTCATAAGTGAAGGAGAAATAAAATCCTTTACAGACAAGCAAATGCTGAAATATTTTGTCACCACCTGGCCTGCCTTACAGGAGCTCCTAAAGGAAGCGCTAAATATGGAAAGGAAAAACCGGTACCAGCTACTGCAAAAACATACCAAATTGTAAAGACCATTGACACTATGAAGAAACTGCATCAACTAACGGGCAAAATAACCAGCTAGCATCATAATGACAAGATCAAATTCATACATAACAATATTGACCTTAAATATAAACAGGCTAACTGCCCCAATTAAAAGACACAGACTGGCAAATTGGATAAAAAGTCAAGACCCATCAGTGTGGTGTATTCAGGAGACCCATCTCATGTGCAAAGACGCACATAGGCTCAAAATAAAGGGATGGAGGAATATTTACCAAGCAAATGAAAAAAAAGACAGCAGAGGTTGCAATCCTAGTCTCTGATAAAACAGACTTTAAACCAACAAAGATTTAAAAAAATGACAAAGAAAGGCATTACATAATGATAAAGGCATCAATGCAACAACAAGAAGTAACTATCCTAAATATATAGGCACCCAATACAGGAGCATTCAGGTTCATAAAGCAGCTTCTTAAAGAAATACAAAGAGACTTAGACTGCCACATAATAATGGTGGGAGACTTCAACACCCCACTGTCAATATTAGATCAATGAGACAGAAAATTAACAAGGATATTCAGGACTTGAACTCAGCCCTGGACCAAGCAGACCTAATAGACATCTACAGAACTCTCCACCCCAAATCAACAGAATATACATTCTTCTCAGCACCACATCACACTTATTCTAAAATTGACCACATAATTGGAAGTAAAACCCTCCTCAGGAAATGCAGAAGAATGGAAATCATAACAAATAGTGTCTCAGACCACAGTGCAATCAAATTAGAACTCAGGATTAAGAAACTCACTCAAAACCACACAACTACATGGACACTGAACCACCAGCTCCTGAATGACTACTGGGTAAATAACAAAATTAAGGCAGAAATAAATAAGTTCTTTGAAACCAATGAGAACAAAGACACAATGTACCAGAATCTCTGGGACACAGCTAAAGCACTGTTTAGAGGGGAATTTATAGCACCAAATGCCCACAAGAGAAAGCAGAAAAGAACTAAAATCAACACCCTAACATTGCAATTAAAAGAACTAGAGAAGCAAGAGCAAACACATTCGAAAGCTAGCAGAAGACAAGAAATAACTAAGATCAGAGCAGAACTGAAGGAGATAGATTCATGAAAAGCCCTTCAAAAAAATCAATGAATCCAGGAGCTGGTTTTATGAAAAGATTAACAAAATAGACTGCTAGCCAGACTAATAAAGAAAAGAGAGAAGAATCAAATAAACACAATAAGAAATGATAAAGGGGATATCACCACTGATCCCACAGAAATACAAACTACCATCAGAGAATACGATAAACACCTCTATGCAAATAAACTAGAAAATTTAGAAGAAATGGATAAATTCCTGGACACATACACCCTCCCAAGACTAAACCAGGAAGAAGTCAAATCCCTGAATAGACCAATAACAAGTTCTGAAATTGAGGCAGCAATTAATAGCCTACCAACCAAAACAAGCCCAGGACCAACCAGACGGATTCACGGCTGAATTCTACCAGAGGTACAAAGAGGAGCTAGTACCATTCCTTCTGAGACTATTCCAAACAATAGAAAAAGAAGGACTCCTCCCTAACTAATTTTATGAGGTAAGTGTCATCCTGATACCAAAACCTGACAGAGACACAACAAAAAAAGAAAATTTCACGCCAATATCCCTAATGAACATCGACACGAAAATCCTCAATAAAATACTGGCAAACTGAATCCAGCAACAGATCAAAAAGCTTATCCACCATGATCGAATCGGCTTCATCCCTGGGATGCAAGGCTGGTTCAACATATGCAAATGAATCAATGTAATCCATCACATAAACAGAACCAATGACAAAAACCACATGATTATCTCAATAGATGCAGAAAAGGCCTTTGATAAAATTCAACACCTGTTCATGCTAAAAACTTAGGTATTGATGAAAAGAATCTCAAAATAATAAGAACTATTTATGACAAACCCACAGATAATATCATACTGAATGGGCAAAAGCTGGAAGCATTCCCTCTGAAAACTGGCACAAGACAAGGATGCCCTCTCTCACCACTCCTATTCAACATAATATTGGAAGTTCTGGCCAGGGCAATCAGGCAAGAGAAAGAAATAAAGGGTATTCAAATAGGAAGAAAGGAAGTCAAATTATCTCTGTTTGCAGATGACATGATTGTCTATTTAGAAAACCCCATCATCTCAGCCCAAATCTCCTGAAGCTGATAAGCAACTTCAGCAAAGTCTCAGGATACAAAATCAACGTGCAAAAATAAAAAATCACAAGCATTCCTATACACCAATAATAGAAAAACAGAGCCAAATCATGAGTGAACTCCTATTCACAATTGCTACAAAGTGAATAAAATACCTGAGAATACAGCTTACAAGGGATGTGAAGGACCTCTTCCAGGAGAACTATGAACCACTGCTCAAGGAAATGAGAGGACACAAACAAATGGAAAAACATTGCATGCTCATGGATAGGAAGAATCAATATCGTGAAAATGGCCATACTGCCCAAAGTAATTTACAGATTTAATGCCATCCCCATCAAGCTACCATTGACTTTCTTCAAAGAATTAGAAAAAGCTACTTTAAATTCCATACGGAACCAAAAGAGAGCCCACATAGCCTAGACAATCCTAGGCAAAAAGAACAAAGCTGGAGGCATCACGCTACCTGACTTCAAACTATACTACAAGGCTACAATAACCAAAACAGCATGGTACTGGTACCAAAACAGAGATGTAGACCAACGGAACAGAACAGAGGCCTCAAAAGTAATGCCACACATCTACAACCATCTGATCTTTGACAAAGCTGATAAAAACAAGCAATGGGGAAAGGATCCCCTATTTAATAAATGGTGTTGGGAAAACTGGCTAGCCATAAGCAGAAAGCTGAAACTGGACCCCTTCCTTACACCTTATACGAAAATTAACTCAAGATGGATTAAAGACTTAAACATAAGACCTAAAACCATAAAAACCCTAGAAGAAAACCTAGGCAATACCATTCAGGACATAGGCATGGGGAAAGACTTCATGACTAAAACACCAAAAGCAATGGCAACAAAAGCCAAAATTGACAAATGGGATCTAATTAAACTAAAGAGCTTCTGCATAGCAAAAGAAACTATCATCAGAGTGAACAGGCAACCCACAGAATGGGAGAAAATTTTTGCAATCTATCCATCTGACAAAGGGCTAATATCCAGAATCTACAAAGAATTTAAACAAATTTTAAGAAAAAAACAAACAACCCCATCAAAACATGGGTGAAGGATATGAACAGATGCTTCTCAAAAGAACATATTTATGCGGCCAATAAACATATAAAAAAAGCACATCATCACTGGTCATTAGAGAAATGCAAATCAAAACCACAATGAGATAGCATCTCACTCAAATTAGAATGGCGATCTTTAAAAAGGAAACAACAGATGCTGGAGAGGATGTGGAGAAATAGGAACACTTTTACATTGTTGGTGGGAGTGTAAATTAGTTCAACCATTGTGGAAAACAGTGGTGACTCCTCAAGGATCTAGAACCAGAAATACCATTTGACCCAGGAATCCCATTACTGGGTATATACTGAAAGGATTATAAATCATTCTACTATAAAGACACATGCACACGTATGTTTACTGCGGCACTATTCACAATAGCAAGGACTTGGAACCAACCCAAATGCCCATCAATAATAGACTGGATAAAGAAAATGTGGCACATATACACTATGTGTATATGTGAATACTATGCAGCTGTATAAAAGGATGAGTTCATGTCCTTTGCAGGGACATTGATGAAGCTGGAAACCACCATTCTCAGCAAACTAACACAGGAACAGAAAACCAAACACTGCATGTTCTCACTCCTAAGTGGGAGTTGAACAATGAGAACACATAGACACAGGGAGGGGAACATCACACACCAGGGCCTGTCAGAGGGTGGGGAGCTAGGGGAGGGATAGCATTAGGAGAAATAGCTAATGTAGATGATGAGGTCGATGGGTGCAGCAAACCACCATGGCACGTGTATACCTATGTAACAAACCTGTACATTCTGCACATGTGTTCCAGAACTAAAAGTATAATTTAAAAAAAAAAACTATGCTGAAATCACTGTATACTTAACCCCACTGGTATCCAAGAGTGTTTTCTCTTCTTTGAGTAAGCTCTAGAAACACTGTTCAACTCAATCATAACTCTTGCAATATTGTATCACGTGACATTAACAATCAACACAAATAATATTCAGAAATTAAACCGAGTGAAAGCAGTGGAGTGTGCTGAATGAGACAGGCCCCAGGAGGTTTGCAGAGCTTGAGTGTCTAGCACCCTATTCTCAGCAAAAATGCCTGTAAAGTCAATTTGCCTTATAATTTCATAGCTCCACTTCCACCAAGATTCAACTTCAGTATTCCATTTCTTAACCCAGAGCGGGAACATATCCGACTGTAGCTGTTTCTCTGCCTGCAGATTTTATGGGGACAGTGAATGAGAGTATATTGTGCTATTAAACCCTAACCAGGCAGTAAATTACAGGGAGGAAAACAAAAGCAAATTCTGCTGAGTAGGAAGATTTTTTTTATGTGAATGATTGTACCTTATTCTGAGTAAGCAAATAAAATAGTGAAACATTTCTTAAGAATTTGTCATCCTAGTTCATTTTTGTTTTGCCTTTAGTTTAGCAATAAAAGGAGTATTTGAAAGAAATAGTTTCCACATGGGGGAAAGTAAGTTGACAGGACAATAGTAGCCTAGGAGTTGTAAGAGTTGCCAAATGAAACCTGTTTCAGTAACTACGGATTTTTTTAAATCCATGGACAAACATGCAGAGGAGAGAATCAAACTCAAATATTTCAACATTCTCAGTGTTCCTGAGACTGTGGAGTGTTGGCAGCATCATTTTTTCAGCAACATGTGCTTCAAATTTTTCAGGGGGAGGCAGTGAGGAAGGAGGGAGGCAGAGCAATGCTATAAAATAGACAAAAATCAGTCTTTGCCCCATTTGGGGGGTGACCAATGATGGTTCTTGGGGACACTGAGAGTGTTTGCCTCCCATCAAACCTATTTCTATGGTTTTTCCAACCCACTCCTTCTCCCAAAATGGGAGCAGAATTTGGCAGACGAAGTCCACAGCATCTTTGTACCAAATAGGAAAGTACAGAACTCAGTAGTTTTCTTGCTTTCTTTGATAATGACACAAGCTCTCCACCATTGCATGTGTCATGTTACGGAAACAAACAATAAACCCATCCCTGTGATATTCCCAGACCTACCCACCCACTCCCTAATATTCAAAATAATATTGAGGGAATAAAATGGAAGCAATGTCATCATGAGATGGGAATTAATGTTTTAATTTGGTAGACAGAGAACTTGAGGTTCTAAGAACTTGCTGTTTTCAAGTTCACAGAAGTTCAAGTCCTTCAGGGGTTCTGTTGTAGCGATTTTGAGAACATAGAAAAGTTGTTCAAGGTTATGGACATTCATTTCAAGAATTCTAGATCTTAGGGAGCCTCCCTCTTTAACAAGTTCTCAGACTCTGAAGAATTGGAAGGATTAAACTTTACACCTAATTTTTTTCTTTAAAAAAGGTCAAATTAAAATTTTCTTAAAATTGTAACAGTCATAGAAGTCCTCAATGTCACATGGTTTCTTTAGAAACAGATTCCCTTCCACCCTCTAGAGAGATTGTTAGGGAAGCTGTTTGCATTACAAATGACTACCAGCAAATATTTTCATCAGAAGACAAGGGAATCTCACTAGAAATTCAGGAAATCAGAGATATGGAAAGGTCTATATGTTTCCAAGATAGCTCACCTTTAATTTTGCGGAGAAAACAAATTTGCTCTTGCTCAAGAGAGTTCTATAAAACAAAGCTTTTCCAAGAATTTTTTCTTTAAAGAAAGTGGAAAAAAAGCAGAAACTAGTATATGGGGACAGTGAGGACAGAAATTGTGTTCCTTAATTAAAATATTAATGAGCAGTCTGCTCACCACAACAAATGTAACTATGCAGTCAAAACAGACATGTCTTGAAATGGGAGACAACCAAGCATCTGTAAGGAAAAAAAAAAAAAGCAGAGAAATAGAAACATGTGCTGCTCCCAAACATTTCTTAGGCCATCTCCTAAATCCCAGTATTTTCATTCACCAGGTCTGGAGGGGACATTAGAGATTCTTCCATTCTGACCAACACGCTCAGAAGAAGCAGTGTGAAGCTGTTTTCAGGGAGCCCATCCACCACTTCTGGAGACACTCGCTTTTCAGGTGCACCGTCTTTGTGGAATCTGTCTCAGCTCCCCAGGCAGAGAGCAGGGGCTCCTCCTCTATGTTCCAGAGCCCTTCTTCCCAGAGCTCTTTTGCTATGTGCCGCAATTGCATTATTATTTTTTACATGTCCATGAGCACTAGTTGATAAGACGACAAGAACCGTTTGCCAATGTATTGCAATGGACTGAATGTTTGTGACCCACTCTCCAAAATTCTTATGTTGAAATCCTAATCCTTGATATGGTTGTATTAGGAGGTAGGGCCTTTGGGAGGTGATTAGGTCATGAGGGTGGAGCCCTTATGAATAAGAATAGTGCCCTTATAAAAATGACCCCAGAGAGCTCTCTCCTCTTTCTGCCATGTGAGGATACAGCCAGAAGTTGGCAGTCTGTAACCCAGAAGAGCATCCTCGCTGGAACGCCGCCTTGATGGCACCCTGATCTCAACTTCCAGCCTCCAGAACCGTGGGACATAAATTTGTTGTTTAGAAGCCCCGCCAGTCTATGGTACTTGGTTACAGCCGTTCAAGCTAAAATAGTGGGTGTTATGATCCTGACTCGTAAATGGGTGTCAGTACATGGATTGCTCAATTAGATGTTACATTAATGCATGAGGAAAATAAGATCCAGACGTGTTAATTGACTTACCTAGAGCATGCAGCTGTGTATCAAATTAAATCTCCTCAAAAGCCTTAAAAAATTTCTGGATATATAATCCAGCAAAAGGTTTTATCCTAACAAGAAAAACAACATAATACATTCAATCTTAGCCAAAAGGCCAAAAAGTGATGAAAAACTTCATAATGAAGCTGGCATAACCATAGTCCAGAACCCAAATGTGTGCTTCAAATTAGCTGTGTTCTCTTTTAATATTTAAACAATAACCCTGCGCTCACTGTGCTCAACAATGCGGAGAGAATTTGAAGCTTCTGAGCGAATGCAAAAAGCAATTCCATTCAGTGTTTCAACATGTGCGTACCACTTTGTGTCCTGTGAACAAGGACACAAAGATGAATGAGGTGGATCTTGGGCCCTGAGGAGCTTGTCATCTACTAAGCACTTAATGCAGAAGCCAGGGATTCCTTTATTTTTTAAAATAAATACAATTTTTCAAGAAAAAAATTTTCCACAGAAAAATAAGAGATATAATTTATTTATTTTTTCTTTTCTTTTCTTTTTGTTTTTTTTTTTGAGACAGACTCTCGCTCTGTCGCCCAGGCTGGAGTGCAGTGGCGCGATCTCGGCTCACTGCAAGCTCCGCCTCCCGGGTTCACACCATTCTCCTGCCTCAGACTCCTGAGTAGCTGGGACTACAGGCACCCGCCACCACGCCCGCCTAAATTTTTTGTATTTTTAGTAGAGATGGGGTTTCACCGTGTTAGCCAGGATGGTCTTGATCTCCTGACCTCGTGATCCTCCCACCTTGGCCTCCCAAAGTGCTGGGATTAGAGGCGTGGGCCACCGCACCCGGCCGATATAATTTATTTTTTGAAAAGTTAAAGAGAAGTTGAAGAAGAAGACACACTAAAGGAAGAGAACAAGAGTGATTCCAAGTTCTGGTACCCTACCTAGGGGGGCCTTGCTGCTCTCGGGCAGCCTGGAGCTTGTCAAGTGCTCTTCATTGCTTTGGGACAAATGGGGGTGTTGTCAGTGTCCTTGTCCTTGTCATTCTTTCTTAAACCATCATATCCCCCATGTGCTGAGCGACATGCCAAAACTTCAGGGGGTGTTTCCTGCTTTGTGTTCCAGGAAACTCCCAAATTCCCAGCTGATGCTGATGCTACAGGTTCAGACACCAGATGTTGAGGCACCCTCCTACCCCACCCCAAAAAAGCAACACTCTCACAATGTGGAGAGAAAGAAGAGCCAGGAAAGCCATCTTTAACACCATCTTCCTCCTTCTCTCTCTACTCATGCACCATCCAACTCCTCCTGCCTTTGCCCAGTCCCTTTCCCTGCCATCTACTGTCTCTTCCAGAATGGCTGAAAGCCCTACACAGCCAAGTTCAGAGCAAATTCATGGAACGCAACCTGGGCAGCCACACAGAGTCCTGTGCTCAGTAGGCCCCATGCTTAACGTTCTCCTGTTGCCATCTTGAAATTCTTAATCATGTTTTTATTATGATTTTAATTATAATGTATTTATTTTATAAATATATTCTTTATAAATTAATTATAAATTAGATATTTTTTAATTATTTATAATTTAATTATAACTATTATTTTCCCCTCATTTTTATTTTCCATGATGATCCACAAATTATGTTCTAATGACCCCAGCCTTTTGAAATCTAGGCATCGGGACTGCACAGGTTTTATATCAGCACAGCGCCTGAGCTGTATGTGGTTTTCGCTATCCCAGGCATTATCACAGCAGAGTACTGAAGTCCAAATAGCGGCTGAGCTGCAGGTGCTACTCTTCTTCCTCTGAGAGTTAAGGACCATGATGAAAGAATTTTTTTTGGATTCCATCACAGGTTCAAGGGAGCAACAATTTCCAAACAATGCCAGCCATGAAGGCTGGTCTTCCTGTCAATCACAGTCCATTGATACATTGGCAGAGTCGGATCTGTTCCTGAGGTCTATCAAACATCCTCCTGGGTAAACAGATCAGAGCTAATTAAACAAAAGTGACTTGGCAACAATCCTGTTAGCACACACACAATTACAATAGACTGCTATACAATCACAACGGCTCTCAAAATCTGGTGGCTGAACCTGCAGCATCAACACCCCCTGGGAATTTGTTAGAAAAGTACAATCTCAGATCTATCAAATCAAATTCTGGGGATGAGGCCTAACGACCTGTATTTTACCAAGCTACCAAGGTGATTCTGATGTCACTAAGAACCACTGGCTTATGCATGAAACAAACAAGAGTTTCCAGCTGCAAATATGTAGTATCAATTACGATTAATGTCCTTCACCATTTGACCTACTGAAGAAACACATATTGATTCATTCAGTCATTTACTTCCATCAAAATTCTTTTTATCCATATATTAAACACATGTAGGAGTGTGTGTGTGAGTGTGTGTGTGTGTGTGTGTTTAAGCCTCAGAAGTGAGCCAGGCACTGCAATGGATATAAGGTTGATGGTATGTGTCATAAAAGGGTTTATAATCCAATGCAGGGGAATGAAAGAGTCAAATTCATAAAAAACATGAATAACTGCCTGGAATTCTGGGTGAGAAGTACCAGAAAATATAATATGTGTTTGACCCAGGGAAGAGATTACATAGAATTTGTTGAAGCATAGTTAGGGAAAACTTAAGGAAAGTTTTCTTCTACAACTACTGATTATTCTACAATTCTAGTTATTCTACAACTAGGATTTTGATGAATAGACATGGTGAAGAGAAACGTACAGGCACAGAAAGAGCATAAAGGCATGAGGTGGAAAAGAATAGAGCGTGTTTCCAGATAAGCATATAATTCCATTGCCTTGGAGTGTGGATTCTGTGGGAAGGATTAATCTGGGAATAAACCAGAATAACAGTGTGGGGCCAGCTTCTGGAGTAAGGGCCTTGAGTGTGAGGCAGAATTTGGACTTCCCAGAATGAGAGTGAGAGCTGTGTTCTGAGCCCTGTTTGGGGGCGGGTCTCAGCTTCCTGTTCAGTTTTGGCCACATTTTGACTGTGTGATTCCAGGGAAAAGCATCTGAGCAATCTGTGATGCCATTCTGACAAAGAGAAAAATGTATTCGTCCATTTATTTCACAGGTAAAGTGAGACAGGCAGAAACAAGTTTACAGTCATTTGGAGACAGATCCACGTTGCTGGCCCACCTCGTGAGACTAGAGGATTCTTCAGGCCTTTGCCAGGTGATGCATAGCATGCTATTCATAAATCGACGTTTTATTCTTTCACATCAGACTCCTTCTTGAGGACAGGATTTTTTGGGTGATATATTTTGTTCATTTTTTTTTAAGTCAAGAGTAATGTGTAGTTTGGAAAGTTTTCCTGAGCAAGGGTGTGTTTAATCTTCTGCTTTTAGCCACCAGACTTCCAGCTCATCTCTCTCCACCCTCATCTCCTGCACGGTGTTATGGATGGGGTAATAGGCAGCTGCCAGCCTGTCTAAATCCAGGGACAAGAGCCATCTATGACAACACGATGGGCCCTGAGGCAAGGGAGGAATGTCATTTGTTAACTACCTTTCTAGCTATGTCTGCCTGATTCATTACACTCACTCTTTCGCAAAGAAATATGGACAAATAGATTACAATAAGCAAAACAGCCCATTAAAAAATATGTATGTGCTTGGAAAAAAATTGATTTCTTTTGAATGTTAGTTCTTGAGGGCAAAACCATCTATGATGCTGTACAGCACTCAAATGACATAAAGTAATTTGAAGCTTTGAAGGCCTCATTTAAAAAGCAATACAAAAATAGCCAGGAGATTGTAAAATAGTGCTACTTCTATGGACAGCAAGTTGGCAATACCCATCAAAACCTAAAATCCAGTAAAATGTGAGCCAAAAGTTAAACTTATAGGGCTTTATCATACTGGAAACTTGGCTCTGTAAAAGGTTAGCCAATAAAGTATTGTTTGTAATAACAATTTTTAAAAAGAATTAGAAGCAACAAGAATGATGTGAATAGGGAACTGGTTAAGTAAAGTATAGCCATAGAGTACTTGGTGATCAGAGCAAAGAATAAGGAAGGACTTTATCCCCTTCGATATGGAGAAAGCTTCATAATATACAGTTTGTGACAAATGAAAATGACAGCACAATGTGATCAGTATTTTACAATTAAAAAATCAGAAAAAAATGTCTGTAATCTCAGTATTCTGGGAGGCCAAGGTGGGAGGATCACTTGAGTCCAGGAGTTCGAAGCTACAATGAGCTATGACTGCACTGCTGCACTCCAGCCTGGGTGACAGAGTGAGACCCTATCTCAAAAAGAAGACAAATCAGAAAAAAAAGAGTTTATACGTATTTTTATTTACAAAAAAATACACCAAAATATATGGCTACAAAAGAAACATAACCTTGGCAGCTTCCAAGGAAGACAACTAAGGGGCTAGGACATGAGTTCGGAAAGACTACATTGCATACCTTTTTTATTCTTTTAGATTTAGAGCTGCATAAATGTATTATCTATTAAAAAGTAAGTGTATTAAAATGATAAGTTTAAACAGATTTTTTAAAATAACCTGGGCAACAGAACAAGACCCCAACTCTAAATAAATTGCCTAAAATATAAACTAGAAATTCTAATTTCTCTTAATCATTCTGAAGGACTTCAGTTTTGAAGTTGTTTTTCCTAAAAGCTCAGCATAACTTTTACATTCTAAAAAAAAAAAAAAATGGGATGATCCTAAGAAAAATGGGATGATCCAAATATCCTTCTTTACCTTTACCCCAAAGAGACAAAGCCATAAGCCAGTTCCTTAGTTCATTTGGGCTGCTACAACAAAATACAATAAACTCTGTGGTTTTTAAACTACAGAAATGTATTTCTGGAGGCTGGCCAGTCCAAGAGCGAGATGTTGGCAGATTTTGTATTGATGGGGGTCTGCTTCCTAGTTCAGAAACTGCATCTTTGCACAACATCCTCACATGGTGGAAGGGGTGAAGAGTCTCTCTCTGACTCTTTTTATATGAGTATCAATTCCATTTGTGAGGTCTCCACCCCCATGACCTAATCACCTCCCAAAGTTCCCCACCTTCAGATACCTTGGAGGTTAAGATTGGCATATGAATTTTAGGGGGACACAAACTTTTAGACCACAGCAGTCAAGGTAGAAAATCACTGACATAGTGATCACGAAAAAGGAGGACAATATGTAAAAGCGTGAAAGGGAAGGGTACATTAAGCCCAGTTATTTATTTTTATTTCCCTTGTTTCAGAAAAATAGTCATTGGACTTAGTAAATTATATGCAACACAAAAATGCAATGTCTCTAAAAATAAACCAGTTGCTCAATAAAAATTATTCACTAAGTGGATACACAATATTTTTATAATGAAATCAAAGAGAAAGTCAGCACATGTGACCTTGTAAAGAAGACACATGCCCTGTAATGAATAAACAACATCTTCACACTAATGATTATAAGTTCCCAGAGAGGTTACTTAGAATATGTTTAAATGTAGGCAGAGGTCATAATAACAGAACATAACTGAGTAAAAGCCACTGTACAAGGGACCAAAACAAAGGAATTCAAATGAGCAGCCCTGTGATTATCTGTTTAAGGATGGATTTCAGATCATCTGAGAAAATAAAGGACTACATATTCTTTTAAACTGTCCTCCATAAATATTACTCTTCTCAGCAGACTTTTGCATGATACTGAGTGGCTGTGAATTAATGTTCTACTTCCCGACAAGTGCCTGGAGGTATTATCAGGTGCTGCTGTCAGACAGAATGATGGGTTTTAATCATCAGCAAAGTTAGCACTGAATTAACATCCTTTAACAAAAGCTGAAGAGCCTTTCTGTCTGACCTGGGAATAGAAGATGTAGCTACTTCTGCATAAAAGTGAACTGATGAGAGGGCCAAGCTTTCCCTTAAGAACATTTTAGGCTCATTTCAACATATGCATAAATGAGAAATTGATCAAAATTTGACCAAAGTTTAATATTTTTGCCTGAAATAAATAAAGCCAAGCAAGTGTTATCAGAAGTCCACCTTAGTCACCTTTTCAAAGCCAGAACAGCACCCAGAGAACATTTAGATTTGAGCAAATGACTTTATGGTGAAGGAGTAAAAATAAACTGGTTACAAAATGTATGTCTTGATAACTAAATCAGTTGACTTGCAGTACATGGGTGTAAGCAAAAAAACAGTTAAATGTTAGTGGATGCTTAAATAAGAAACCTGATTTGGCTATATTTTAGCTGAAGTTATTCTTTCTGGCAATATATCAGTTAGAATAAGCTTCACCCTCATTTAACAGAAGAACCAAAATAACAGTGGCTGAAACAAGAGAATTTTATCTCTCTCTTATATAAAAGAAGTCTAAAGGTAGGCCATTCAGGACTGGTGCAATGGCTCCATAATTATCAGGGACTAAGGTTCGTCCTCCCCTTTTTCTGAACGTGCTGGTTGGTTTCCATCTTCAAGGTCACCTACATGGTCCAAGATGGCAGCCATGGCCTTTGCAAACATACCTGCTTCACAAGTATGAAGAGGGGAGAAGAAAGTGGGCACGACTCTCAACTGAGTGTTGGGGAACTATAATTTAAAAAACAAATATTCTCTCAATCCAGAAATCCTCTCCACGAAAGTGATAGAGGAAGAAAGCCCTTTTATTTTTGAATAAGCGTGAAACCAGAAGGTAATGCACATCACAGGCAATTTGATAAGAGATTGCACAGAGAGAACTCTCACCCTTCATACACCCAAGCACATACAACCTGTTGCATACACGTTCTCAAGATAAATCATAACTAGTCTTCAAGTGAGAGGTCTTGACAGCACCATTTCATTACACTTAAGTTTATCCTAAATTTACCTGGTAATTGTGGTGACCATCTGCGTAAGTTAACTGACTTTATACAAAGGAAAAATAAACTTCTCATATTGTTTGGACAGGAGGTAGTTTTACAACTTGGAGTCAGGCTAAAATTACTCCCCTACTCTCCTACTGAAACTAGGAGATAGGAAGCTATCTTCCTTGAATGTTTACATTCAAAGAAGATGGTTCCTTCCTGAGTTCTTGAGAAAGGCATTCTAGGGTCAAGTTGACAAAGGGCCTATCTACTTTTCAAAACAATTTACATACATTTCTAAGAGAGCAGAAAGTACTTGCAGTTATAAATTTCCAAAATAAACACTCTAAGGAAAAGGAGGAGAGTGATGTTATCTTCCCTTACTTTTAAGAGGGAGAAGCTAAGACTCTTTAGTCTGTATTTGTCTAAGATGAGTCAATTCCCTTTAAGGAACATTTTTAGAAACCTCACATAAAAATTTCCCTTTGGCCAGGCACGGCGGCTCACATCTGTAATCCCAGCCCTTTGGGATTATATATTTCAAGACATCATGTCATACATGATAAATATATACAATTTTGTTTGCGAATTTTAAAAAATAAATTTTTTAATGTGATGGAGAGAATGTTTTCCTAGAAATGAACTTGTTTTAATCTACTGTGTGGGATTAGCTGACCCAGTAAGAGGCCATTCTTACTGCTGTGCTACATAGGAGTCACTTCTATTGACATTAGTAACCAGTGATCGTCCCATTTACAATAGTGTAGGGTCAGAAAGATGTGATACATTTTCTCACCCATCATAAGGGTCACAGCTGACACTCCTCTAACAAAAGGCAGGTTAACAAGAGAAAAGCATAACAAATGTATTTAACCGAAGTTTTAGGTAACACAGGAAACTTCAGAATTGAAGACCCAAAGACCCAGGGCTTAGGTCCAATGAAGATTGGACAGCTGTGGAGAAATGTGATTAGACAATGGACACGATCCAATGGTAATAGAATGAGAGGGTGCCTTAATTCATTTGTGTTGCAATAAAGAAATACCTGAGGCTGGGTAATTTATAAAGAAAATGTGGCTCACAGTTCTGCTGGCCATGCCAGAAGCATAGCACTAGCATCTGCTCTGGCAAGAGCGTCAGGCTGCTTCTACTCACGGCAGAAGGCAAAGGGAACCCGAAGTGTACAGAGGTCACACACCAGGACAGGAAGCAAGAGGGAGACAGGAGGCGGTATCAGGCTCTTTTCAACAAACAGTTGTTTTGGGAGCTAAGAGTGAGAACTCACTCCTGTGAGAATGGAACCAAGTCACTCATGAGGGATCCACCCTCATGGCCCAAACATCTCTTACCACACCCCACTTGCAACATTGGAATCAAATTTCAACATAAGACTCAGTGGGGCCAAACAAACCATATCCAAACCACAGCAGGGGGGACACCAGCAGGCCTCTCTGTTCAGATACTTCTTGATTTCTCTGTGAAGGATGCCTTTTTCCCAGATATAGGGGAGGACCTGCATCTAATAAGGGTCTTAAGGGAGAAGGGAGAGTGTGACATTTATAGGTTTTATGATTTGATTTGGGGTAGAGGGGTTCAAGTTTTTATGACCTACCTTGGGGAAGAGGAATTCTGGTTTTTAAGACTCACTTAGATTTAGGGGAGACAGAGGAACAGGAGGATGGGAGAAGGTCAGAAAGAGCTTGCTTCTGAGGCCTTTCCAATTTCCTTCAGTCCAAAGTATTCAGCCTGCCAAGGTGCCATACTATGGGGTATTGCATTCCAAGCCCCAGCAATAGCAACAAAAATTATAGAATACTTAGAAATTATCTTAATAAGAAATGAACAAGAGCTAAAGGTAGACAATTTTAAAACCCTCTCAAGGACACAAAAAAAGAATCGATCAAAACCAGTTATGGTGGTGCATACCTGTAATCCCAGCTACTCAGGAGGCTGAGGCAGGAGAATCACTTGTACCTGGGAGGCAGAGGCTGTGAGAGGTGACAGCGTGCTGGCAGCCCTCACAGCCCTCACTCGCTCTCGGTGCCTCCTCGGCCTTGGCGCCCACTCTGCCTGTGCTTGAGGAGCCCTTCAGCCCGCCGCTGCACTGTGGGGGCCCCTTTCTGGGCTGGCCAAGGCCGGAGCCGACTCCCTCAGCTTGCGGGGAGGTGTGGAGGGAGGGGCGCAGGAGGGAACCAGGGCTGCATGCCATGCTTGCGGGCCAGTGCGAGTTCTGGGTGGGCGTGGGCTCCGTGGGCCCTGCACTTGGAGCAGCGGGCTGGCAGGCCAGCCCGGGCAATGAGGGGCTTAGCACCTGGGCCAGGAGGCTGCGGAGGGTGGGCTGGGTCCCCCAGCAGTGCTGGCCCACCGGCGCTGCACTGGATTTCTCGCCGGGTCTTAGCTGCCACCCTGCCGGGCAGGGCTCGGGACCTGCAGCACGCCATGCCTGAGCCTCCCCCTCTCTCAGTGGGCTCCTGTGGGGCCCGAGCCTCCCCTAGGAGCACCACCCCCTGCTCCACAGTGCCCAGTCCCATCGACCACCCAAGAGCTGAGGAGTGCAGGCACACGGCACGGGACTGGCAGGCAGCTCCACCTGCGACCCCAGTGCCAGATCCACTGGGTGAAGCCAGCTGGGCTCCTGAGTCTGATGGGGACTTGGAGAACCTTTATGTCTAGCTAAGGGATTGTAAATACACCAATCAGCACTCCGTATCTAGCTCAAGGTTTGCAAACACACCAATCAGCACCCTGTGTCTAGCTCAGGGTTTGTGAATGCACCAATTGGCACTCTATATCTAGCTCAAGGTTTGTAAATACACCAATCAACACTCTGTATCTATTATCATCTAGTGGGGTGGTGGAGAACTTTTGTGTCTAGCTCAGGGATTGTAAACGCACCAATCAGCACCTTGTCAAAACGGACCAATCAGCTCTTTGTAAAATGGACCAATCAGCAGGATGTGGGTGGGGCCAGATAAGAGAATAAAAGCAGGCTGCCCAGGCTAGCAGTGGCTCCGGTCCCCTTCCACACCATGGAAGCTTTGTTCTTTTGCTCTTTGCAATAAATCTTGCTACTGCTCAATCTTTGGGTCCACACTGCCTTTATGAGCTGTAACATTCATCGTGAAGGTCTGCAGCTTCACTTCTGAAGCCAGCAAGACCATGAACCCACAGGGAGGAACGAACAACTCCAGACACGCCACCTTAAGAGCTGTAACACTCACCGCAAAGGTCTGCAGCTTCACTCCTGAGCCAGTGAGACCACGAACCCACCAGAAGGAAGAAACTCCAAACACATCCGAACATCAGAAGGAACAAACTCCAGACACGCCGCCTTTAAGAACTGTAACACTCACCACAAGGGTCCGCGGCTTCATTCTTGAAGTCAGTGAGACCAAGAACCCACCAGTTCTGGACACAGCTGCAGCGAGCTGAGATCGAGCCACTGCACTCCAGCCTGGGCGACAGAGTGAGACTCCATCGCAAGACAAAAAAAAAAAAAAAGGAAAGTCATACTTTTTGTTAGAATGAGAAAAAAATTGATACCATAAAAATTTTAATTATCCACAGTTTTTTATTCTCTTAATACAACTTCAATAAAATACGGTTTTTTAAACCAGGCAAGTTAACACTGACATTCATTTGAAAAGATAAATAAGCAAAAACAACCAGGAAAATTATAACAATGAAGAGCAACACAGGAGGATTGGCCCTTCTAGATAGGACATATAACACCTTAATAGTTAAAACAGCTGATACATGAATAAACAGACTAGCCAAGTTGTAGAATAGGATGTCTAAAACTAGACCAAAATTCATAAGCAGGCCAGGCTGGGTGGCTCACGCCTGTAATCCTAGCATTTTTGGAGCCCGAGGTGGGAGGATTGCTTGAGCCCAGGAGTTTGAGACCAGCGTGGGTAACACGCTGAAATCCTGTCTCTACTAAAAATACAAAAGTTAGCCTGGCGTGGTGATGTGGGCCTGTAGTCCCAGCTACTTAGAAGGCTGAGGTGGGAGAATCACCTGAGCTCAGGAAGTCGAGGGTGCAGTGAGCTGAGATCATGCCACTACACACTCCAGGCTGGGTGACAGAGCAAAATCTTGTCTCAAAAAAATAAAAATAAAAATAAGCAGCCTGGGCACGGTGGGTCATGTCTGTAATCCCAGCACTTTGGGAGGCAGAGGTGGGAGCATTCCTTGAACCCAGGAGTTGGAGACCAGCTGGAGCAACATAGAGAGACCTTATCACTACAAAAAATTTAAAAATTAGCCAGTCATGGTGGCACATGCCTGTGGTCCCAGCTACTCAGGAGGCTGAGTGGGGAGGATCACTTGAGCCCAGAAGGTAGAGGCTGCAGTGGGTTGTAATTACACCTCTGCACTTCAGCCTGTATGACAAAGTGAGACCCCTTCTCCAAAATCAATCAATAATAAGCAAATTTAGTAAATGTTAAGGATGGCAATTCACATCAATAGAGAAGATAGAATATTTAATATATGCTGTTGGGACAACTGGGTAGCCATTTGGAAAAATGGTAAAATAGAAAACAAATTTTACAATGTACACCTGGAAAAATTTTTAAGGAATAAAAAATTGGGATTAAAAAAAGGAAGCCACCAGATGCAGTGGCTCACACTCATAATCCCAGCACTTTGGGAGCACAAGGTTGGTGGGACATTTGAGCTCAGGAGTTCAAGACCAGCCTGGGCAATAGAGTGAGACCCCATCTCTAGAACAAATTTTAAAAGTTAGCTAGGCATGGCCACACCTGTAGTCCTAGCTACTTTGGAGGTTGAAGTGGGAGGATTGCTTGAACCTGGGGAGTCGAGGTTGCAATGAGCCGTGATTGTGCCACTGCACTCCAGCCTGAGTGACGCAGCAAGATCCTGTATCAAAAAAAAAAAAAAAAAAAGGAGGCCATCAACGTACTAAAAAAATAAATAAATAAAAATAAAAATAGGCAGACATTTCCAACTGTGAATCCATTATCGAGAAGCTATACAAAATGGATAAACTCAACTCTATAATCAAAACTTTTGTGTAAAAACCAAAACGAACCAAAAAATAAAAAATAAACACCTATAAGCAAAAAGAAAACTAAATGACAAATTGGAAAGGATATTGCAAGTTTATATTGTAGACAAAGAATCAATATCTCTAAAATATAAAGTATGTTTCAACAAATAAGAAAAATGCTATTTAAAGTGATAAATAAACGATAAAGAATAATTCACAAAAAAGGAAATATAAAAGGATCTTAACTATATGAAAAACTTGTATAATCTCACCCATAAGTGATACAGATTAAAACTACATTAGGTTGCTCACTTTTTCCTGCTAAATGGATAAAAACTCAAAAGTTTGAACATACATTGTGTTGATTAAACTGTGGAAAAAGTCAACACTCCCACAATGCTAGTGGGGCTGTAACTTGGCATATTTACTAATAGAATGTAATTAGACATCTACAAGAATAAAAACGTTCATAATATACCTTTGGAATTAGCAATTCCAATTTCAAAATTTTATTCTACAGAAGTACTTGAGCATATGTCAAATAATATATGTCACAGTTATTACGTCATATAAAGCATTATTTGTAATTATGTAAAATTGGAAACAACTCAAAATTCTATGCAGCTATAAAAAGAATACAGAGGCCATTTATGTACTGTTATATAATTATCTTCAAGATATAGTAATAAATATGAAATAAAACAAGATGTAGAATAATCGGTATAGGATGCTGCCTGCCATTTGCGTAAAAAGGGCAGAAAAGTAACATTAGTATCTGCTTATATATTAACCGAGTTCATTTCTATTTCTCTCCCACTCCCTATTTGTATTCCTGTCTCCCTCCCTCACCTCCTCCAGACACACACACACAACATATGTACCTACATACATACAAGGCACATGTATATATGTTCACATATGTGTATGTTGTAGAAGCAGAAAGGTATGATACATTTTCTCACCAATTATCAGGCTGACATTTCTATAACAAAAGACAGGTTAACAAGGAAAAGGCATAACAGGTGCATTAATCAAAGTTTTATATGACATGAGAGTCTTCAGAAATGAAAACCCAAAGACCCAGGGAAAACTGTTTCTTTTTATGCTTAGTTTTGATGAAGTGTGGACAGCAGTGTGGAAATGTGATTGCACAAAAGGGTATGATTTAATGGTAGTAGATGGAGGAAGGAAACCCAGCCCGGCCTGTCTGTCCAGATTCTTCTTGACTTCTCCACGTAGCAATCCATCCTCCTGGGTATGGGGCAGGACCTTTCTGGAATGAGGGTCTCAGGAGAAAAGGGATAAAGTGACCTTCCTAGGTTTTATGGCTTGATTTGGAAGAGAGGGGTTCTAGTTTCTATGATCCACCTTGGGCAAGAGAAATTCTGGTTACTATAACTCAGTTTGGGGGAGGAAGAGGGGTGGAAGACAGGAGAGCAGCAGAGGGTCAGAGAGACCTTGGTTCTGAGGCCTTTCCAATGTCCTTCAGTTTAAAGTATTGAGCATGCCAAAACACCATACTTTGGGGTATTGTGTTTTGAACTCCCAACAATCTACATATATACATACATGCATGCATATACACACACATAAATTTAAAATCTCTTAAGTTAATGGAATAAATGTTACCCTATTGGAAAGATGGTGACAACTAAGGCAGCGTAGGACAGGGGTGGAAAGGAGCCTGCTCACTGGATAGATTGTATAGGTGTTTCTAGCCAGGTGGATTCATTAATATTTTTAAAGTAACAAAAATTTTAAAAAACAGGAAGTGTCTCCAGTGGGCACATGCAACTTAGGCCACAATTAAGTCTGCTATGAGTTAAAATTGAAAAACAGTCAATTAAAATCATAAATGCCTACATTTCTCCTGAAACATTCCTACACCTCATTGTTTAAATGGCCAGTAGGAGAAGCTCTGTGCTTAAAGCCTTTTCATTGAATATTTATCTGGGAAGCTCAGATTTGGAGTATATCAGGAAGGGAACAGGCATATGATTTGGATGCAGTATTTGGATGCAGTACCATTTAGTTAACATATTTATAATTTAGTAAAAGGGCTGCCCTACTACCAAATGTGATCACTTTCTCAATTCAATCAGATGGAGTCACATTGGTAGAACCGATCTTAAAATCATTTTTTTTTATTGGACAGGATCTGGCCACTCGTATTTAGAATATTCCCAGGGTACATTCTTTGAGATTTTTAAATTATGTATGAAATAGAAAGGAGCATAAATGGGACCCTGTTGGAAAGCAGCTCAGAATCTAGAAAGTTCTGGCAATGCACTTAATTATTGGATTTGGTAAAAGCCTTCTGAAAACTGAGACTTTATAGACCCTTATAATTTATAATTCAGGTAACCATTTCACAGAATTTGCCCACATTACTAGATCCTATCGTCTTTCTTTGTGAATTATTTATGTACGAGTTTCTGTCTTCTAAGTCCACACAAAGTTCCATGTGAAAAATGTGAATGCAGTAGGATCCCTGTGCAGGAGCCAACAGGATGCTTGACGTGGTTTAAAAATAAATTAGGGAAAGTCACCAGGAAGCAAGCAAGTCTTCTCCATTGCAGGAAGGATTTGAGTGATCTTTCTTAATTAGTAAATGTGGAGAGAATAGGCCTGATGGCGTGGGTGCAGGGCTCCAGAGCATGAAAAAGAGTTTTTGTTATTCCAGCAAAGGTCTAGTGATTCAAGGAAACACAAGGTAACCAAGCTGTCTCTTGGGAGGAAATGGATTGGCTTACATAAAGAATCTAGAGCCTTCTGGGAAGGAAGATATCAACAGTCCCACTCTGTTCCCAGAACCTTGAAGTTAGGAAAATTCTGTCAGGGTCAACAGTCACCTGGAGGTAGGCCTGCCCTGCAAGAGCTCCTGAAGGAATCACTAAACATGGAAAGGAACAACCAGTACAAGCCACTGCAAAAACATGCCAAATTGTAAAGACCGTCGAGGCTAGGAAGAAACTGCATCAACTAACGAGCAAAATAACCAGCTAACATCATAATGACAGGATCAAATTCACACATAACAATATTAACCTTAAATGTCAATGGGCTAAATGCTCCAGTTAAAAGACACAGACTGGCAAATTGGATAAAGAGTCAAGACCCATCAGTGTGCTGTATTCAGGAAACCCATCTCACGTGCACAGACACACATAGGCTCAAAATAAAGTGATGGAGGAAGATCTACCAAGCAAATGGAAAACAAAAAAAGGTAGGGGTTGCAATCCTAGTCTCTGATAAAACAGACTTTAAACCAACAAAGATCAAAAGAGAGAAGGTCATTACATAATGGTAAAGGGATCAATTCAACAAGAAGAGCTAACTATCCTAAATATATATGCACCCAATACAGGAGCACCCAGATTCATAAAGCAAGTCCTTAGAGACCTACAAAGAGACTTAGACTCCCACACAATGATAATGGGAGACTTTAACACCCCACTGTCAACATTAGACAGATCAACGAGACAGAAAGTTAACAAGGATATCCAGGAATTGAACTCAGCTCTGCACCAAGCGGACCTAATAGACATCTACAGAACTCTCCACCCCAAATCAACAGAATATACCTTCTTCTCAGCATCACACCTCACTTATTCCAAAATTGACCACATAGTTGGAAGTAAAGCACTCCTCAGCAATTGTAAAAGAACAGAAATTATAACAAACTATCTCTCAGACCACAGTGCAATCAAACTAGAACTCAAGATTAAGAAACTGACTCCAAACCGCTCAACTACATGGAAACTGAACAACCTGCTCCTGAATGACTACTGGGTACATAACGAAATGAAGGCAGAAATAAAGATGTTCTTTGAAACCAACGAGAACAAAGACACAACATACCAGAATCTCTGGGACACATTCAAAGCAGAGTGTAGAGGGAAATTTATAGCACTAAATGCCCACAAAAGAAAGCAGGAAAGATCTAAAATTGACACCCTAACATCACAATTAAAAGAACTAGAGAAGCAAGAGCAAACACATTCAAAAGCTAGCAGAAGGCAAGAAATAACTAAGATCAGAGCAGAACTGAAGGAAATGGAGACACAAAAAAACCCTTCAAAAAAATCAATGAATCCAGGGGCTGGTTTTTTGAAAAGATCAACAAATTTGATAGACCACTAGCAAGACTAATGAAGAAGAAAAGAGAGAAGAATCAAATAGACGCAATAAAAAATGATAAAGGGGGTATCACCACCGATCCCACAGAAATACAAACTACCATCAGAGAATACTATAAGCACCTCTACGCAAATAAACTAGAAAATCTAGAAGAAATGGATACATTCCTCGACACATACACCCTCCCAAGACTAAACCAGGAAGAAGTTGAATCTCCGAATAGACCAATAACAGGCTCTGAAATTGAGGCAATAATTAATAGCTTACCAACCAAAAAAAGTCCAGGACCAGATGGATTCACAGCCAAATTCTACCAGAGGTACAAGGAGGAGCTGGTACCATTCCTTCTGAAACTATTCCAATCAATAGAAAAAGAGGGAATCCTCCCTAACTCATTTTATGAGGCCAGCATCATCCTGATACCAAAGCCTGGCAGAGACACAACAAAAAAAGAGAATTTCAGACCAATATCCCTGATGAACATCGATGCAAAAATCCTCAATAAAATACTGGCAAACCGAATCCAGCAGCACATCAAAAAGCTTATCCACCATGATCAAGTGGGCTTCATCCCTGGGATGCAAGGCTGGTTCAACATACGCAAATCAATAAACATAATCCAGCATATAAACAGAACCAACAACAAAAACCATATGATTATCTCAATAGATGCAGAAAAGGCCTTTGACAAAATTCAACAACCCTTGATGCTAAAAACTCTCAATGAATTAGGTATTGATGGGACGTATCTCAAAATAATAAGAGCTATCTAGAACCAACCCACAGCCAACATCATACTGCATGGGCAAAAACTGGAAGCATTTCCTTTGAAAACTGGCACGAGACAGGGATGCCCTCTCTCACCACTCCTATTCAACATGGTGTTGGAAGTTCTGGCCAGGGCAATCAGGCAGGAGAAGGAAATAAAGGGTATTCAATTAGGAAAAGAGGAAGTCAGATTGTCCCTGTTTGCAGATGACATGATTGTATATCTATAAAACCCCATCGTCTCAGCCCAAAATCTCCTTAAGCTGATAGGCAACTTCAGCAAAGTCTCAGGTTATAAAATCAATGTGCAAAAATCACAAGCATTCTTATACACCAATAACAGACAAACAGAAAGCCAAATCATGAGTGAACTCCCATTCACAACTGCTTCAAAGAGAATAAAATACCTAGGAATCCAACTTACAAGGTTGGCAAAGGAACTCTTCAAGGAGAACTACAAACCACTGCTCAATGAAACAAAAGGGGATACAAACAAATGGAAGAACATTCCATGCTCATGGGTAGGAAGAATCAATATTGTGAAAATGGCCATATTGCCCAAGGTAATTTATAGATGATTCAATGCCATCCCCATCAAGCTATCAATGACTTTCTTCATAGAATTGGAAAAAACTACTTTAAAGTTCATATGGAACCAAAAAAAGAGCCCGCATTGCCAAGCCAATCCTAAGCCAAAAGAACAAAGCTGGAGGCATCACGCTACCTGACTTCAAACTATACTACAAGGCTACAGTAACCAAAACAGCATGGTACTGGTACCAAAACAGAGATACAGACCAATGAAACAGAACAGAGCCCTCAGAAGTAATGCTGCATATCTGCAACCATCTGATCTTTGACAAACCTGACAAAAACAAGAAATGGGGAAAGGATTCCCTATTTGATAAATGGTTCTGGGAAAACTGGCTAGCCATATGCAGAAAGCTGAAACTGGATGCCTTCCTTACGCCTTATACAAAAATTAATTCAAGATGGATTAAAGACTTAAATGTTAGACCTAAAATCATAAAAACCCTAGAAGAAAACCTAGGCAATACCATTCAGGACATAGGCACCAGCAAGGACTTCAGGTCTAAAACACCAAAAGCAATGGGAACAAAAGCCAAAATTGACAAATGGGATCTAATTAAACTAAAGAGCTTCTGCACAGCAAAGGAAACTACCATCAGAGTGAACAGGCAACCTACAGAATGGGAGAAAATTTTTGCAATCTACTCATCTGACAAAGGGCTAATATCCAGAATCTACAATGAACTCCAACAAATTTACAAGAAAAAAAAATCAACCCCATCAAAAAGTGGGCGAAGGATATGAACAGACACTTCTCAAAAGAAGACATTTATGCAGCCAAAAGACACATGAAAAAATGCTCATCATCACTGGCCATCAGAGAAATGCAAATCAAAACCACAATGAGATATCATCTCACACCAGTTAGAATGGCGATCATTAAAAAGTCAGGAAACAACAAGTGCTGGAGAGGATGTGGAGAAATAGGAACATTCTTACACTGTTGGTGGGACTGTAAACTAGTTCAACCATTGTGGAAGTCAGTGTGGCGATTCCTCAGGGATCTAGAACTAGAAATACCACTTGACCCAGCCATCCCATTACTGGGTATATACCCAAAGGATTATAAATCATGCTGCTATAGAGACACATGCACATGTAGGTTTATTGCGGCATTATTCACAATAGCAAAGACTTGGAACCAACCCAAATGTCCAACGATGATAGACTGGATTAAGAAAATGTGGCACATATACACCATGGAATACTATGCAGCCATAAAAAATGATGAGTTCATGTCCTTTGTAGGGACATGGATGAAGCTGGAAACCATCATTCTCAGCAAACTATCGCAAGGACAAAAAACCAAATACTGCATGTTCTCACTCATAGGTGAGAATTGAACAATGAGAACACATGGACACAGGAAGGGGAACATCACACACCGGGGCCTGTTGTGGGGTGGCGGGAGGGGGGAGGGACAGCATTAGGAGATATACCTAATGTTAAATGACGAGTTAATGGGTGCAGCACACCAGCATGGCACATGTATACATATGTAACTAACCTGCACAATGTGCACATGTACCCTAAAACTTAAAGTATAATAATAAATAAATAAATAAAATAAAAAAGAAAAGAAAAAGAGAAAAAATAAAAAACAAAAAACAGTCACCTGGAGGCAAGGTCAGTCTAGCTGGGGACCAGGGTCCAAGAAAGAATGTGGTGCTGTATCCAAATCATATGCCTGTTCCCTTCCTGATATACTCCAAGTCTGAGCTCCCCAGACAAAGGTATAGGAAGTTGTTGTTGGGTGAGAGGGAAACACTGGTTTGAGCACAGTGGGAAATTGATGCTAGACACACAGGCCAGGCCCAGAATCTGGCCTCAGCAGTTGTGTTTGGAAAATAATCCCTAAGCCTGGGAGGTGCACCAAAAGAATTTTGTAAGCCAGTGGTGCCATCAGTGTCTAACGGTGCCTGGAAAATCTGGTGTTTGCAAATAGGACCTACCTGGCTGGAGCGGGTCATTAAGAAGGAGGTTCTAGATTGCCTGCTAATAGGGCAACTGGAAACCAGAGAGGCAAATTGAACAAATAAGAAGATGCAAGTATCTTCCCCTAGTTTAGGAAGCCACTTGATGTAGCGATGCAAGCTTGAAAACACTGATTTTGGGTTTTTTACATCAGCTCACTCAGCTAGCTGCGCTTCTTCGTTTCTCAGGTATTGAGAAAGGGTCAAACTCCAGTGCCTTCAGGCATAAGGCTAGCAAAACAATTGTCATATAATAAGAAACACTTGTGTTGCAGCTCAGAAAATGATACCCTCAAATATGCCGCTTTAAAACTCAAACTGAGAGCACCTGGAAAGCAGCAAATGCAGGTAAGGGTTTTCTCTGATCTTGCCTTATCTGACTCAGGGAAGTTCCCCCAGAAAAATAGCAACCACGAAAGATTAACTCACAGAAAGAGAATAATAGTCTGATACCTCCTTCAGAGAAACTTGTACCACTGGCTATCATCTATTCTTCTGAGGGCTGCTGCCATAGAGACTTGATCTGCATAATAAGACAGCTTTTACTCGCTGTACAGTTCCTCCTCTTGCCCCCATAGCTTGTTGCCACCACCCTCCAGGGCACCCTAGCTTCAATTCCTTTCTGTGTGGCATAACAACTTTAGTCATCTGGTCTTTCTTTGACTCTTATATTTTGTGAGGCTTCTGTTCAATTGCAAGTAATGAACTGTATGCTTTTCCTTCTGTGAATCTGCCTACTATCAGTTTGTTCCAGGGATCCAAATTATTGAACCTTAAGAGAGTGCAGGGAAAGTTTAAAACTGGAGAGTGTACTTCTCTTCCAAGGGAATCTAAATTTAATGTTTTACAATCTGAGCTGATAAAGACCAAAAAAATTAATTTGTCTGCAGCTTGAATTCAGCCCCTCAACTGTTAACTTCGATACTCTACAACCCCACGGTGGCTACAACTGGTTTTAAATTATTCAAATCTGTTTCTGGGAAGATAAAAACTGCCTTCTCATGGTCACTAAGGAAGAATTTTAAAGGATCTTATAAGGAACAGTAAACACTTTATGAAGCTATAAGTCAGGGCTAAGCTCTAGGTCCTAAAGACCCCGAGATGACTAAGCCAAGTTCCCTCCTCAGTGAGCTCCTGGACACATATTCAACATTGCCAATATCATTTGTTCAGTTTCCTGTCCCCTTGAATCATTAGAAATGCTTCCCTGTAACAGTGTTGGATAAATCCAATTTTACCTTCCTTAAAGCCAGATTTTATGTAATATTTATGAGACATTTTTACTGTAAGAATTAGAAGCCATTGATACTGTTGTCCACTTTCCCATGGTGGGGTTAAACACATGTTACCCCAAAGCTGAAGGAATTTAAGAAAACCACAGAAGTAGAAAGGTCACTCTGATCTTGCCCTACCCTTTTTCCCTGGAACAGGTCGTAACACCCTCCCCATACCCACAGGAAGGAACATCCTTATATCTGAAGACACAGAGACACAAAAAAGAATCTGAACAAATAGACTTTACTAAGTTTTCCTCCATTGATTACATTTAGTTTAAACCATCTTTGTCCTATCATATTTCTCCATGATTGTCTACTCTTGATCAAACCTACTGTAAAAAGCTTCAGGTTTGTTTCTTCGGGTCTTCATTTCCTTATGAAGGCTCCCACGTCATGTAAAACTTTAATTGGTATGGCTTTTCTCTTATTAATGTTAGGGCTCAGAATACAACACCCCCAAATAAGGGCCTCAACAGCAGCCTCAGAAGCAAAAGTTTTTCTCTGCCCTACTATCTCTCAGTCCCATCTTCCCTGGAGACTAGCCATAGAAACTAGAATCCCTCTTCCCCACGGTGGGTCTTAGAAACCAGAACCCCTGGCCAGGCGCGGTGGCTCACGCCTGTAATCCCAGCACTTTGGGAGGCCGAGGCGGGCAGATCACGAGGTCAGGAGATCGAGACCATCCTGGCTAACACGGAGAAACCCCGTCTCTACTAAAAATACAAAATAATTAGCCGGGTATGGTGGTGGGCACCTGTAGCCCCAGCTATTTAGGAGGCTGAGGCAGGAGAATGGCGTGAACCCGGGAGACGGAGCTTGCAGTGAGCCAAGATCACGCCACTGCACTCCAGCCTGCGTGACAGAGCGAGACTCCGTCTCAAAAAAAAAAAAAAAAAAAAGAAACCAGAACCCCTTCTCCCCAGAGTTAGTTACAAAGCCTCAAACGATTATTCTAATTTTCCCTCTGCCTTTCTGTGTAAAAACTGACCACAAAGAAATTATCCGACCTACCTTGTTTGACTACAGGTCATAAGATCCCCGTTCCAGAAAGGATCCTGCCCCATATCCAGAAGAAAGGAATGTGTGCTCGGACAGGCTGAGAAGAATCTAGACAGACGGGGCTGGCTGGGTTTCCCCACTCAGCCTATTTACATTAGATTCTATCCTTTTTGTCGAGTCACATTTCTTTTTTTTTTTTTTTTTTTTTTTGAGACAAACTCACTCTGTCACCCAGGCTGGAGTGCAGTGGCACAATCTCAGCTCACTGCAACCTCCACCTCCCAGGTTCAAGCAATCCTTCTGCCTCAGCCTCCCAAGTAGCTGGGATTATAGGTGCCCACCACCACACCCGGCTAATTTTTGTATTTTTAGTAGGGATTTCACTATTTTGGCTAGCCTGGTCCCGAACTCCTTTTTTTTTTTTTTTTTTTTTTTCTTTGAGACGGAGTCTCACTCTGTCGCACAGGCTGGAATGCAGTGGTGCGATCTCAGCTCACTGCAAGCTCCACCTCCCGGGTTCACACCATTCTCCTGCCTCAGCCTCCCCAGCGGCTGTTACTGCAGGTACACACCGCCACGCCCGGCTAATTTTTTTTTTTTTGTATTTTTAGTAGAGACAGAGTTTCACCGTGTTAGCAAGGATGGTCTTGATCCCCTGACCTCGTGATCCACCCACCTTGGCCTCCCAAAGTGCTGGGATTACAGGCATGAGCCACAGTGCCTGGCCCCGAACTCCTGACCTCAAGTGATCCGCCCGCCTCGGCCTCCCAAATTTCTGGGATTACAGGCGTGAGCCACCACGCCTGGCCATCCAATCACATTTCTACATGGCTATCTAACTGTTAAATCTAAACATAAAAATGGACAATTTCTCCTCTATCTTTGGCTCTTCATTCTGAAGATTCATTTATACCCATTAAGTAAATTTGAAGCGGGGCACAGTGGGTCACACCTGTATTGCCACCACTTTTGGGAGGCCGAAGCAGGAGGATCCCTTGAGCCCAGAAGTTCAAGACTAGCCTGGGCAGCATAGGGACACCCCATATCTAGAAAAAATATAAACAATTAGTCAGGCATGGTCCCTGTGGCCTGAGCTACTTGGGAGGCTGAGGTGAGAGGATCACTGAAGCCCAGGAGGTTGAGGCTGCAGTGAGCCAAGATCATGCCATTGCACTCCAACCTGGACAACAGAGCAAGACACTGTCTTAAAAAATAAATAAATTTTTATTTTATTAATCAGTCTGCCTCACGTCAGAGATTTCGAGCAAAAATTTAGGGGGCCAACGGCCTTGGCTCCTGTAGTTTGGTGTTACAAACGGGATCATCAAACCTGCTCTGCTCTTCTAGAAGCTACAAAGATGAGAACCCAAGAACCTGACAAGCCAGCAAAAAGATAAGAATTTTTCTACCAGTCAGACTCCCAGCCTTTCTCTATGTATAATCTGGTTGGGCAGCCAATGAAAATGACCACTTGTCTCCTCTGCAAAGTTTTCATTAGTGGAAGAAAAACATTTGCATATGACTGGTCTTGGTGTAGTGACTCTGGTATACCTTTTGGTACTTTGTGGTATGATTATTCATATTGTCTGAAATAAATTTAATGACTTTTTTTGTTAGAAACATTGCTGATTCTATTAATGTTTGGTTTTCCAGGGTAAAGAGAACTTTTTTTTCTTTGAAGCTATTTATAACTTACAACAAATTGGGTAAAATATACTTTTGCAAGCAAAATGAAAGCATTTTTCTTTCTCTCTACCAGATTTCTCCAGAATTTGAAATGATTTGTGAGTATTCTTAATTTAAGGCAATATAGTTATTTGCATAAATTCAATAAGAATCTGTTTTCTTTTGTAACAGGACACAATTGGAAACACTGGTTATTTTACCAAGGCTTTGACTGGAGTGGCATATGACCAGACTGCTTTGAGGAACTGAAGTGAATTAATAGAACTGATAAAAAACCCCTTCAAAATACTGGCCTCTTACCTTGCCTAAGCAATTTCTTTACAAAATTTCTGACCTGTGGTAAGTAAAGAATGTCACTTTCTTGACCGGCCCAGGAACCTCAAGTTATTTTGGGAACTCAAGAAGAGAAGAATTTACCCAATTTATACGGGTATCTGCAGGCACAAATAAATTATCAGCTTGGCTGACCTAGAGGGTCTTTTAAAAGTCTAATTTGAGGTTTCATATTTTAAAAGTTTCAGCAAAGCCAATTTAAAGGAGCCTATATGACCAATCACTATTCTTGCTGCACTTTATGCAAATCATCAGGCCAAGTATAATAAGAGTAAAACTTGTTTTACAAATAAATTGGTTGTATTGTGATTCATCCTTAGTAAAAATGGGAAACCAGAGAGAAAGAAATTATGTTTCAGAAAAAAACTATAGTACAGCTATTATTAGATTATAACCTCATCTATTGCTTTTCAGTTTTTATTGTTTATCTACAATTTGGACTCAATCCTGAACTCTCCTGTAGTTACAAGTCTATACCTAATATTTCTCATTTTTCCCCATATGTCTGACTTGGAATCACTGAAATTAAAACTGCTTTTTCCTAAAGCCCCACGAGCTGAAGCTAGACAACTTGATATAAATTTTAAGAGAAATCACTATAGCAACTAAATATCTGAACAGTCTTCATGCTTGTTGATGTATTGACTGCACAGAAAGTTTCCTGGAATATCTGATGTAAACTGCAAACTAGATTGCCACTATCTTCTCTGACTTCATCTGAACATGCTTCAAGCTCAACATCTAAAAATCCTCTCAACTGGCTGACCTCTGGACTAAAAAACTGAGTTTATAGTTTGTTCTAACCATTAACTCTGGTTTTTCTTTGATATGCACAGAAGTTCTTCTTACTAAATATCCAATTGCTCAAATCACATAGAGGACTGACTTTGGGGAAAGCCCATCAACAACAGCACTGCCTGATTCACTGTTAACTATTTAACTGGACTGGCCTATTCTCTGGGCTGAAAAACTGGTTTAACAGCTTATAAGACAATCCAGCAACTCTATTTCTGAACTATGAAACTTCTTGGGAAAGTTTCACAATGGGGAATGTTGTGGATCAGAAAACAACAGCCCAAAATGAAGGCCTCAGCAGCAGCCTCAGAGGCAAGTTTTTCTCTGACCTTCTCCTGCCCTGCTATCTCTCAGTCCCATTCTTTCCCAAGGCTAGCCATAGAAACTAGAATCCTTCGTCCTTCCGGTGGGTCTTAGAACCAGAACCCTTCTCCCCCAAATTAGTCATAAAACCTAAAACTATTATTCTAATATTCCCTCCACCTTTCTATGTAAAACTAGCCATAAAGAAACTATCTGACCTACCTTGTTTGACTGTAGGTCATAAGATCCCATTCCAGAGAGGGCCCTTCCCCATACTGAGAAGAACGGAATGCTTGCTCAGAGAGGCTGAGAAGAATCTATACAGGGCTTGCCGGGTTTTCTGCTCTGTCTACTAACATTAGAATCTACTCTTTTTGTTCCATCCTGTTTCTGTATGGCTGTCCATAATTTGTTAAACCTAAGCGTAAAAATGGACAATTTCTTCTGTATCTTTTGGTCTTCATTCTGAAAGCTCTCTTGTATACATGTTAAATAAATTTGTATGCCTTTTCTTTTATTAATCAATTTGCCTTATGTTGATAATTTTCAGCAAAACTTTTTGGAGCCAAGGGCCTTATAGGGGCCTCACCCATGAACCTAAGATGAGTAGAAAAAGAGATATTTTCTTCCCCTCCGCCTACTCACACCTTAGCCTGTTTGTCCCTTCTGTCACTTAAACCTTTAGACACCCACACATGCCAACTTACCTCTCTGACTGTGTCTTCTGCACTATGAACCCAGAAGAGTTTTTGGCCCATGGTGTGTTTTTCAGGCACTCCATAATTGGAACTGAGTTCTGCTAGCCTGGAATTCTGGTTACCCTTCCTGGCCTTTTTCTGTGGGAGTCTCTTGATACACACTTGAATCTTTGAAAATTAAATTCATTAAATCCAGACTTAGTTTCCTGGATTCTGAATCATGCCTTCTCTTTAGCTTGGCATGGTATTTTGACTTTGATTTCCTTTCTGTAAGCTTGGTGCCCCTCCCGCTTTTTTCTCTTCTGTGAACAGACGTTTCTGTACTAAGAAGTAATTTCTTTTCTGCACTCAGCTCCTCTCGTTCCCTCCCTGCCCTGCTTCTTCTCAGTTTGTCCCATCTTCTTGCTACTTATAATTCTCCTGATACTTTTGAAGGTACCCTTCTGTAGAGCTGCTTTTATTAAGTGAATAAATTTAGAGTGTAAAAGTCGAATAGTAAAAGACATGAATCATGTACTGAAACTTCATCTTTTAGAGAAAATGTAATCCTCATAATTCTTTCAAAAGGATAAGGCATCAATTGGAAGATTTTGGCTGCAGAATAAAAATCCTTCCTATACCTAGCTTGTTCTCCCCACTCTGTTCCCCCATTTTTAGTCCCCAAATCACCAGTTTTCCTTTCATCAAAGAAAAAATATCCATATAATTATATGGTTATATGATAGACCATTTTCAGTCACTTAATCACTTAATTCTTACCAAAGAAGTTTCTATTTCCTCTAACAATTTATTTCCTGTGTGATTTCCACTTTGAGTATTTCATTTTAATTAATGAAATTCATCTTCATTCCTGAAGTCACAGGAACTCCCCAACCACCTGTACCTTCTGTTTCACATCCAATTACTTCTTACTAAATTCCTGAAGAGCATAGTGATTCAGGCTCAATAGACAACATTTCCTTTAAAAATAAATTTTTAAGCATAGATAACCTGACAAAACATTGAATATTTCTAAATCTGCTTTCCAAATGTGTGTGTTTTAGAGATGGGAGTGGTAAAAGGGAAAGGTCAAACTGAAAATTATTCCCAGTCATCTTGATTCTGCATTTGTCACATGAGTATCCTTTGGCAAAATTCTAGAATTCCAACACTTTTGTAAACATGGGACAGGGCTACTCAAATGCCAGTCGACCGAACCTTGTGTTTTACTTTTGAGTTGATTGCTATACTATTTCGCAAACTCAGACAATGATGCCCCAAAGTATGGCATTGTGGTATGCTGAGTACTTTGAACTAAAGAAAATGGAAAGACCTCAGAAGCAGCGCAGAACCAAAAATCTCTCTGACCTCCTGTCTCCCATCCCTCTTTCTGCTTCAAAGCAAGTAATAGAAACCAGAATTCCTCTTTCCTTTTTTTAATCTTTAATTTTAAAAAATATACTTAAATAGAGAAAGGATCTCACCATGTTGCTCGGCTGGTTCTAAACTATTGGCCTCAAGTGATCCTCCTGCCTTAGCCTCCCAAAGTGTTGGGATTACAAGCATGAGCCATCACACCAACCCCAGGATTTTTCTCTTACTTAAGGTGTGTCATAGAAACTAGAACCTCTCTTCAAAGCAAACCATAAAACCCAGAAAGGTTACTCTCTGCCTTCTCCTTTCTTCCTTGAAGACCCTCATTCCAGAGGAGTTCTGCCCCATACAGTGGGGTTCAGGGGAAATGCTACCCAGAGACATCTAGAAGAATCTGAACAGACAGATCTTGCTATGTTTCCTCTCTCAGTCTATTACCACTAGATGTACTCTTTTTGTTCAATCACATTTCTACGTGGCTGTCCATTCTTCATCAAACCTAAGCATAAAAGTAGGCCATTTTCCCCAGCTCAATGAGTCATCATTTCTGAAGTGTCCTGTGTCACATAAAACTTGGGTTAAATAAATTTGTTATGCTTTTCTCTTGTAAACCTGTTTTTGTTATAGGACTGTTGATTGTTACCCTTATAATTGATTTAAAAAAAAAGGGATCACATCTTTCTGCCCCTACACTACTCATACAATAGTAGTTTTGCTTGTTTCAAAACTGATACATTTCTTAAAATCATAATCCATTTTGTTACTATATTAATATAGATACTACATAAATATGAATAGTGCTGGAGGCCCAGGCAATTCCAGTTTTTCACAAATTACTATCCAACCTTCCTAAGTCAGTGTTTAACACACTTTCCACACAACCATTATCATGTGACGATTTAGTTCTAAGGCAGAGGAAAAAACCCATTCAACCCTCCACAATGAATAAGGTGGTTTACCATGTGAATTCCCAAAGGAAAACACGTTTAGAGTTCCAGTTCATGCTCTATCTGGAATGTCCATAAGCCCAGAGTTATGAAACTCAACTCTGCTCCAGCATCAAGAAAAGAGGGGTGACAAGACCAATTAGCGCCAGCAGTGGCACTAGGAAAGGGGGAGGTGGCAGGCATGTGTGAAGGGTATGAACAGCCACAGGATTTTGTCAGCTGGACCAACAGAATAAGAAAGTCCCCAACACCAGGGAGGGAGGGGAGCACCATGGCAGCAGCAACAGGAAAGTGCACATAAGAGATATGTTAAATCAAACTAAATTTAAGCTTTAGAAGTCTCCATATGAGCCCTACATGACAACCTGCAACTTAACTTAATAGGGAAACCAACTGAAAACCTGACTTAGGAATTTGCCTTTGTAACAAATAGCTGAGTCTCGGCCAATCACGGCAGCAGAGCTTCAGTCAATCACAGGTGGCCAGCTATTCAAACCAGGTTCAACAGGCAAATACCAAGCTTTAACTGGCTGAGCCGTCTGTATCCCTCCTTCCATCTTCTGTTCTTCAATTACCTTTTTTTTTGCCTGTAAACATTAACCAGCCATGTGGCAGCCTCAGGAGTCTTTCAGAACCTGTTCTGGTTCTGAGGATTGCCCGACGCACAAATAGTTCTTTGCTCAATTAAATGCTGTTACATTTAATTTGTCTAAAGCTTTTCTTTTAACAGATGTTTATAAGATAGGTGTTCATAAGCAAGAGAATGTAACTCTATTTGCCTTTAAATACTTGTTATGAAGAAGTTATATTTGCAAAGTTCTAAGAAAGCTGCAATCACTTGCTGTTGCCGGAAACTGCCTTGTGGCCTGGCGTCCTGGGAATTTGCTTGGCTTTTTGTGGCCGCCATCCAAAACTGGGAACCACAAGTCAAAGGTAAATATAAACTAAAATTACATTACTTCCCTTCCTTGTTTATGCATTTCTGCCGAATGGGGACATTTTAGCAGTAATATTGCATTTATTAGGAGGATAGACTGTCAGAGCAAGTCAATCATAGCCGTGATAAAAACACAGAAACATTCTTATGCGTTTTTCCACAATACACTATGTTCAGTTGGGATAAAACTCGGGCTCCTAGTTACATAACACTATAAATAGGTATAATTGCACTTTATCTCTAAATGTGAGTAGATATATGTAGAGATGACAGAAATGTGTTAATTATATTCAATAGCTTCCAAAGAACAACATCTAGATTTCTAGCTCCAAAAGGAAATTTGTCAAGATTAAACTTAAAACCAGTTTTATAACTTAAAATGAAGACTATTCCTCTAGAAATTGTCAAGGGAAAATACATAATGTTTTCAAAGGGGAGAGACTCATAATCAAACATATCAACATTCACGAAAATGGAAGGCAAAGGAATAGAAATGTTAAGTGTAGACACACTGAAGGCTTCAACATAAGAGTCAAGTGTTTAGAAGAAACCTTTATCACATCTAAATCAGAGATTCTAAATCTTTTTAAAATTTCTACCAAAATTGACAATTGTACTTTTCTCTTCATGTATAATTCATCGTTCTGGAAGCATGCAACCCTTCTCACAGTTGTTACAGTTAACTGCATTTGGATATCAATTTAAGAATATTACTGGCCAGGCACTGGTGGCTCATGCCTGTAATCCCAGCACTTTGGGAGGCCAAGGCGGGTGGATCACGAGGTCAAGAGATCGAGACCAACCTGGCCAACATTGTGAAACGCCATCTCTACTAAAAATACAAAAATTAGCTGGGTGTGGTGGCACGCCCCTGTAGTCCCAGCTACTCAGGAGGTTGAGGCAGGTGAAACGCTTGGACCCAGGAGGTGGAGGTTGCAGTGAGCCAAGATCGCACCACTACACTCCAGCCTGGGTGACAGTGTGAGACTCTGTCTCAAAAAAAAAAAAAAAAAAAAAAAGAATATAACTACTTCTGCAGGCATATAACAAAATCGAGGTTGTCGGTTACAGCCAGTCATTTTTCTGTGAGTAATCCCAGGCATGCTTAATTCTCTACATAAGTATCATAACTTGTTAAACTACAACATCCAGTGCCTTCTACTATGGGCCCTCGCTTAGGGTAGGTAAGAGGAATAGAGAAAATTAAATTCCGAGTATACTATCAAAAAGAAACTGCTACATTTTCCTATAGGTTGCAGCTATTTTACAGTGCAATATGGAGCAGTCATCAATAATATGTATGTAGTAAAAGAAAACTTGTGCACTAAGAAGGAAAACCAGGGCCAAACGCAGTGGCTCATGCCTATAGTCCCAGCACTTTGGGAGGCTGAGATGGGGATCACTTGATCTAGGAATTCAAGACCAGCTTGGGCAACATAGTGAGACCCAATCTCTACAAAGCATTAAAAACTAACTGGGCCTGGTGGTGTACACCTATAGTACTAGCTATTCAGGAAGCTGAAGTGAGAGAATCACTTCATGAGTTGGAGGCTTCAGTGAGCCATGATCACACCACTGCACTCCAGCCTGGATAACAGAGAGAGACCCCGTATCAAAAACAACAACAACAGGTAATAGATCCTTCCACCATTTACTTGCCATATTTCATAACTCAAATGAATCTTCTGTTCCTCTGTAATGTGGTTCATGAGAGGTTCTAGGATGTGTACATCTTTGAAATGGTTAAGAAATTTATTTACAAACTATTTAACAAGGAGTTAAATACCAAGAGAAATACAAACAAGCGCATGAACAATCACAAAAAAGGATGATTTACTAAAGGGAAAGTTAGAGTTCTATGGACACACAGTGGAGAAAACCAACCTAAATTAGTAGAAGAGGAGGTCAGGAAGATTTTCCTGGGGGTTGAACGAGAGCATAGTATCCTAAAGGAGGAAAAGGAGGGGGATTTGGAGAGTGTTGACTGAAAGCCTTGAGAAGAGAAAGCAAAACCAGGGAATCCTCCAGGGACTAAAACGAGTGACTACAGTGTCAGTGGTGGAGAGAGATGGGAAGGACAAGGGGGAAAAGCAGCTGGAGAGATGGCGAATAAGGACAGCAGGAGGGAATGCAACGAGCTCTGACCGGGAAAATAAGGGTGAACCAGATCTAACAGGGCTACATCTATTATCAGCAATTTTCTCCAGAATTTTGACTGCCCTCAAGGAAAGAAAAATGAAGCCAATGAAAAGCTTAAAGCATGTAGAACTGATACAAAGAGAATTATGTCTCAGAAATAACACTCTAGCTTTGTTGGAGATTATGAATTAGTCCAGGAGAAAAGCAGTAGTGGCTTGTACCAGACCCTGCCAATAGAGATAGAAAGAAATGGATGGAACAGACATGCATTTAAGAAGGTTCAGGCCGGGCGCGGTGGCTCACGCCTGTAATCCCAGCACTTTGGGAGGCTGAGGAGGGTGGATCACGAGGTCAGGAGATCGAGGCCATCCTGGCTAACACAGTGAAACCCCGTCTCTACTAAAAATACAAAAAAATTAGCCGGGCGTGGTGGCGGGCGCCTGTAGTCCCAGCTACTCGGGAGGCTGAGGCAGGAGAATGGCGTGAACCCGGGAGGCGGAGCTTGCAGTGAGCGGAGATCGTGCCACTGCACTCCAGCCTGGGCGATTGAGCAAGACTCTGTCTCAAAAAAAAAGAAGGTTCAGCAGAGTGTGGTGAAGACTGGGCTGTGAGGCTGAAGGAAGAGAGAGTTGGGCAGGGGGATTATTGAGAAGTAGAGAAATAATGGTCAGTATAAAGATATATGGTCAGAGGAAAGCCAAGTGTAGAGAAAGGAGTGTGTGGACAAAGATTAAGTTGAAATACACCAAGTGGCCTCTGAGATGTTGTCTTTGGAGGCCAGGACAAGATTTGCAGAGCCGGACCTTCAAAGAAAGACAGATACTGAGAGCTACCCACAGATTGGATTTGAGCATTTAGCTGAAAGAGCTCTTGAAAGAATGGACCCCGAAATTTAATCAAAATTAAGCTCTCTTCAGTCATAGTCTTCTCTATTTAGATTTTTTTCTTAAGTATAGGAGAGAGAGAGAGAGAGTGTGTGGGTGTTCTGATGGGAATTTTGTATAATCAAGACCTTGGATAGCCAGAAAGAAATAACACACTAAATTTTTTTGAAAGTCTAATGCCATTCAAGATGGATATCTTTGTTTGAAATAGTAAAAACAAAATATGCTAGCAGGCCCTTTCCCAGATCTTGCTCAACTTGAAAAGTAAATATAGAAAGAAATAGGTTAATTCCTGTCCCAATCAAAATACTGCTTTCTCCTTATTGTATCTGGGGAGTCAAACTATAGGTCAGCATCCAAGAAAAGATTTTAGTCTCCCTCTTCACCTAGAGTTTTCCTTAAGATTCTAAATTCACCAAGTCCCATCTCTTTTCTCATCTATAATTCACATTTGCTTTAATTGTCCTCTGTTCCTCTTTCCCTCTCGCCCTTCCTTCTAACCTCCCTCCCTCACTCTAAAAAAAACAAAACAATAACAATAAAACCGTCCCAATGTGTTGAGGATTTGCTGATCAGTTCACTGTGGTACGAAGCTGTCAATGGACAGTTTTTCTAAAATATACTCTTTTCTGTTCAACTGGACTAGACACTGGTCTACCTGTTATCAAGTTCCAGATTCACAACCCAGTGCTTTTTAGACATCTTTCCAGAATGACTGTGACAAGGAAGCAGCAGAGAGCAGCTCAGTCTTCTCCAGAGGTACCAGGACAAAAACAGGAGGCTGAATGCATTGTGGTGATTCTCAAAGGTACCTCATGGAACTTGAGTAAGCAATTCTACTCTACAAGAGGGGCACACTACCTAGAACAGCAATTAGAGTTGATAAGGCAATCAAATTGAAAAACGAGGTTTATTCTCTCACACACACTGCATTTTTATTCCGAATTACCCTTTTCATTAAAAATAAAATCCTCCCCCAGTATGGGTTGGAACTGTGTCCCCGTCCAAACCTCATGTTGAAATGTAATCCCCAATGCTGGAGGTGGGGCCTGGTGAGAGGTGATTAGCTCATGGGGGCAGTTTCTCATGGTTTATCGCCATTCCCCTTGGAGCTGTCATTGCAATAGTGAGATCTGCTTGTTGAAAAGTGTGTGGCACCTCCCTCCTCTCTCTTCCTCCTGCTCTGGCCATGTGAAGCGCTGGCTCCCCTTTGCCTTCTGCCATGACAGGAATCTTCCAGAAGCCTCCCCAGAAGCAGAAGCTGCCATGCTTCCCAGACGGTCTGCAGAACCACGAGCCAATTAAACCTCTTTTCTTTATAAATTACCCAGTCTCAGGTATTTCTTTACAGCAATGTGAGAACAGACTAATACACATCCCCCCACCTCGATCACCCCAATCTAATCATGAAAACACAAACTCAAACAGAGAAACCTTCTACAAAATACCTGGCCAGTACTCCCTGAATTTGTCAAGATCATGACAAATAAAGAAAGACTGAGAAAGTATTCGGAACAGAACAGACTAAAAGAAATGGCAACAAATGCAATATTATCTCCTGCATTGGATCCTGGAAGAGAAAAAGGACATTCATGGAAAAACTAGTGACATCCAAATAACCTAAGCGTAGTAAAGTACCAATGCTGGGTTTTAGTTTTGACAAATCTGTCATGAGAATGTAAATGGTTAACATTAGAGAAACTGATTGAGGGGTATACAGAAACTCACTACTTATTTTGCTAATTCTCTATTAATCTTAGCTTATTCTAAAATAAAATGTTTATGTACAAAATAAGAAATAAAACCTTCATCTTATTTTCTCCCCTCTGGCAGCTGCAATACTAAAATATAAAATAACATTTTATATTACGCAATGTATTCGTCTCTGATCTATATGATTTTATTTAATACTCAGAACAGCTACATGTGTTGCCAGGCTTGATATTATCGCCCTTATTTTACACGTGAGGAAATGGAAGTTTTGAGAGGTGGTGACTTGCCCATATTTCACTGTGTTGGTTAGGGCACAAGCTAAGCTATTTTTACAAGAAGATTTCGAAAATGCAATAGCTCAAAAAAAATTATTCCTTATTTTTCTCTCCTGAAACAGTCAAAAGATGTCATGAAATTGAGGGCCCAGGCTGCTATCTTGCTGTTCTTGGGTTTGCCCATGTCATTAGGCAAAAACAGGATCCACCACATCTGCACGCCAGCCCAGAGAGAAGAGGAAAGATTAGGAAGCAGGGTCTTATAGTTAAGGACATTGTACACAATTGCCTACATCATTTTAATTTGCAACCCATTAACCAAACTTAGCCACATGGCTACTCCTAACCTAGAGAAGGCTGGGGAATGTAGTCCAGCTGGGGGGCTACAACTCAAGAAGAAAAAGAGAGATAATTATGGGGACAATTAACCAAATCTACCATATTTCCAGGCATCTTAGAAGTGGAAGGGAGGCTTTAATCAAGACCTTCTGATTTCAGGTTTGATGCTATGCCTCTTGCCTGTTGAATATACATTTGTACTCTACTCATCTACATATAAAAGTAAAACAAACAGTAAATGCTGCTAATTTTTTATTTTACTTAATATCTTCCTATAACTAAATTTGCCGTTTAATAAAAATATTGAATTATTAATCATTTCTTTCTGGGTCACATCCTTCTGATGTTCATGTATTTTGTGACATCAATTTAAATACGTGAATACCTTCTGGAATGCATATCCAGTGTGGCACTGTGTTTAACATTTCTCTTAAAGCTAGAGAAAGACTAAGGTACTGGGCAGAAGGCCAAAGATAGCACAGCTGCTCTGTGCTCTGTTGGCTTCTTTTGTCAATTGCTATGTGACCTTAGAAAAACTATCTATCTGATCTTTTCAAGATTCAATCCAGGTTTTGTAGGAACTAAAGATTATACATGATTTAGAGACCCTCTTTAAGAAAAATACCCAATTATTAATCTAAAATTAAGTATAAAGGGAAATACTTATATGATAAATAAAATCAGAGCAATTAAAAAATTAAATACAAAAAATTAGCCAGGTGTGGCCGGGCGCGGTGGCTCACGCCTGTAATCCTAGCACTTTGGGAGGTGGAGGTGGGCGGATCACGAGGTCAGGAGATGGAGACCATTCTGGCTAACACGGAGAAACCCTGTCTCTACTAAAAACACAAAAAAATTAGCTGGGCGTGGTGGTGGGCACCCATAGTCTCAGTACTCGGGAGGCTGAGGCAGGAGAATGGCGTGAACCCAAGAGGCGGAGCTTGCAGTGAGCCGAGATTGCACCACTGCACTCCAGCCTGGGTGACAGAGCAAGACTCCATCTCAAAAAAAAAAAAAAAAAAAAATTAGCCAGATGTGGTGGTGATGGGCCTATAGCCCCAGCTACTCAGGAGGCTGAGGTGGGAAATCACTCGAGCCCCCGAGATCAAGGCTGCAGTGAGCCAAGATCATGCCACTGCACCCCTGCCTGGGTGTCAGAGTGAGACCCGGTCTCAAGATAAATAAATAAATAAATAAATAAATAAATAAATAAATAAATAAAATATTTAAAAATAAAAAAAGTTAGAAGTTGATAAAAGCCACAGATACCAAGAAATTCTGAAAAATAAGATGTTTTTATTCTGCCTGACATAATACTTTTCACGTTACATTTTTTGCTACATATTCATTGATATATTTATATGGTAACAGTTTCATATTTTCTAAAAGGAGTTAAAAAATTAGTTTTAATATGACTGACTGAAATTGCTTTTCTAATATTATAGTTGGGATTTATTTTTAAAAAGTAACTTCACATTTAGATGTACTTGTATTTCTATGACTCGTTTTACTTTATAAACACAAGAATTATAGTAAATTCTGTTTTGTCGGATCCCCATCAAAAAAGGAAAAATGGGGTACTTATCATTACAATGTGCTGCAAAAGGGAAGCTCCACTTTAATGAGGCTTCAAAAACAAGCGAATTCTTTGCTTGCAATTTTGCACATTTGATGACCGGAAAAATTTTCCCCAAACTAGTTTCTAATGCCCTCCATTCCAAGCTTTCTTTCTCTTCTGCTAACAGAACCAGATTCCATGAGACACATCTGGGAATTACTCCCACCTCGGAACAACTAGCCACAACTTAACCATACATGGAAGTGACCAGAAGCCCCCAAATGTATTCTGCTCTGTCTAAATGCATCCGCAACTCAACTTCCCTCAGCCAATTGCCAAAAATGACCAATGTCACCCAGCATGAGGTGAACCATGATGAAGGGGAAGTCAGAAAGGAAAGAGATTGCACCAGTCTGAAGATTGTAGTTTCTCTTGTAAAGTTTACAACAATATGTGATGATGTAATCACATTCTTAGGGCTCCTCCCAGAGTCTTAGCTGGATCCTGTGCTACTGAAAACAGCATGGTACTGACATAAAAATAGACACATTGACCAATGGAACAGGACAGAGAGCACAGAAATAAACCCATGCATTTATAGTCAACTGATTTTCAACAAAGGTGCCAAGAACACCCAATGGAAAAAGGATAGTCTCTTCAATAAATGACGTTGAGAAAACTGGACACTCATATGCAGAAAAATGAAATTGGACCCTTGTCTTACACCACATACAAAAATCAACTCAGAATGGATTAAAGACTTAAACATAAGACCTGAAACTATAAAGCTACTGGAAGGAAACATAAGGGAAAAGCTCCATCACATTGATCTGGGCAATGATTTATTGGATACACAGAGGCAACAAAAGCAGAAACAGACAAATGGGATTGCATCAAATTTACAAGCTTAAGCTTTTTCTCTCTCTCTCTCTCTTTTTTTTTTTTTTTTGTTTGAGACGGAGTCTCACTCTGTTGCCCAGGCTGGAGTACAGTGGCGCGATCTCGGCTCACTGCAAGCTCCAGCCTCCCGGGTTCACGCCATTCTCCTGCCTCAGCCTCCTGAGTAGCTGGGACTACAGGCGCCCGCCACCACGCTAGGCTCATTTTTTGTATTTTTTAGTAGAGACGGGGTTTCTCCGTGTTAGCCAGGATGGTCTCCATCTCCTGACCTCGGGATCCACCTGCCTCGGCCTCCCAAAGTGGTGGGATTACAGGCGTGAGCCACCGCGCCTGGCCGAATTGGTTTTAACAGTAAATAAATAAATAAACAACATCTATTATACCAACTTTTCAAATAAGGAAACTGAGTCATGCAGAGATAAAATTACCCAAGGCCCTTGCTCAGAAATAAACGTGAACATTTACTAAATCGAACTGATTTTGATACATGCAATAGAACATATTTGAATTAAAGAACACTGCCATTTTTGTAGGTCAAAATTGTTGCATATAGGGAATTCCATGTGGCTTATCCTAATACATTCCCATCCCATCTTGTCTTTACATGTGTTTCTTACTCAATTGTTGCTGCTTAGATGTTTATGCAGGAAGTATAACTGAGTCGCATCTTTCTGTTGCTCTGGAATCTTTTTCCAGATACTAATTCTAACAAACCAAAATGTTCTATATTAAAATAGCAACTTGTCTTCCTTTCTATTTGTTTCAATCAGTTCTGCTTGACAAAGAGTTTAAACCAAAAGAGGCTGGGTAAAAAGTGGCCCTCCTTGACAACTAAATTAGACTAACAAGCGTTTATAGGACTCAACCTTAGCAGGAAGAACTGAGAGTGACTAACCAGCCTCCAGGCTTCTGTGAGAACAAGGACAGATCTTGCCGCAAAGTAACAGAAAAAAGTCTGTAAACTTAATCTCTAACTTCTTTAATAAAAGCAGGATCCAAGAGTAAATTTTCTCCCCTTAGAATGTTAGGGAATCAGAGTATCCTAAAGGAAACTATGCTGGCTGTCCCATCAGTTCAATAAGTAAGACTATGCTAAGAAAAGTTTAATTTGATTGTCATCTTATGAGCACCATACCGCATTGAATAGTACCATTTTTTACTGTCCCACCAGATTGCTTTGAGTAAGTTCCATGATGCCAGGGCTGTCTCTGTCTTATTCAGCTCCTCATAACCAATGACTGGCACAGTACCCTATATTAGATAGAGGTCAACAAATACTCTGGAAAGGATAAATATTGTTATTAAAGTAGGAGTTGATGTAGTCATAGTACAAACAATTGCTGGTTTTCTAATCCCAATGTAACAAAAACTGGCTATGTGATTCTGAACAAGTCATTTAAATTCTCTGTGCCTCCTTTTACCTAATGAGTAAAAGAGGGATTGGAATGAAATCCCTCTTCATCTCTATAATTCTAATGCACATAAGAAAGTGTGATTGAGTTACTCTTGTGAACAGTGTAGTTAACATTTCTGTTCTATTTCCCTGCGTGTTCATTCATCTTCTCCATGCTTACCTAAAAGCACACCAGGGAAGGGCAGGGAATGCAGAATTAGAAAGCAAATTACAAGAATTCTCAGGATTCTGCTTGAAGTATCTTTGCTTCTTTGACTACGTGAGATTTTACAATAGCAAGGCTCACAGGAACAAAGCCTCTGTATGCACAAGTTATGTTCTCTTTGTGCATTGTCTGATTTCATTTAGGGATAATTTCTCAATCCTATTTCCTTCTATAAAGTCTACATCATGTTCATTGTAATTTAGTAAAAATTATATTCTCTCTTTGTAAAAACAATAGAAATTTTTTATTGAAAAGTGATTTCTCCCCAGTGGAAGGAGATCGGATAATAGCATCTTCTTAGCAAGGTCAGATTTTTGGAGCTTTGCTTCAAATGAATAAACTTATTGTCCCCAAGAATTGAAAATCTAACCCTCTGTCCTTGTGGAGAGATACATCTCCCAAAGGGTAAATGGCGTAAGTCCTAGGATTACACTGTGTTCTGAAAGGAGGGAAGGAGGCCCCAAACACCACAGCTTTTAACCCTCTATTCGTTTCTATAAGGTTATATATAAGTTGGATCAAAAGGACTATAATCCAAGGGAAAGGGAAAAGAGGGGAGAAAACACAAAGAAGAGTGCCTGGCACTCTCCATATCTACTCATCTAACAGAAAAAAAGGCTGCCATCTCCAAACATACGTCTTTATGTCCAGGCAGATAACAGAAAGAGAACTTAGCCTCTTAGTTTCTCAGTGAAGTTTGAACTACATATTTAAATTGGCAATACATTTTGGGACACTTAGTTGCAGCATTCATTAAACAATTATGAAGAAAATACCACCACGTTGGGAGGCCAAGGCAGGTGGATCACTTGAGTTCAGGAGATCAAGACCAGCCTGGGAAACATGGTGAAACGCTGTCTCTACAAAAACATACAAAAATTAGCCGGGTGTAGTGGTGCGTGCCTGTAGTCTCAGCTACTTAGGAGGCTGAGGTGGGAGGATCACTTGAACCTGGGAAGTTGAGGCAGTGAGTCGTGATTATGCCACTCCAACCTGGGTGACAAAACACGACTTTGTCTCCAAAAAAAAAAAAAAAAAAAAAACCAGAAAAAGAAAAAGAAAAAAAATACCAGCATCATCTTGGTCAGTGATTTAGAATGCTATGTACCTGATGTTTCCATGATTTATTGCTGTGTAATAGATCAATTCAAATGTTAGCAGCTTAAAGCGGGACTTGTTTTATTATATCTTAAGATCTTGTGTATCAGGAATTCAGGCAGGACTCACCTGGGTGATTTTTCCACTCCATGCGGCATTGATTGAGGTTGCTCAGGTATTTGGCTGGCAGATATGTTGTGCGGAGGATCCAATGCGGCTTCATGCCCGTGTCTGGCACACTGGCAGGGATGACTGGCAGGCTGGGCTCAGCTGGGGCCATGGACCAGAGCACCCATGCTGGCCTCTCTGGCATGAGGCCTCAGGTAGTTGCATTTCTCACATGGCTTAGGGCTCTTAAAGAAAGTTTTCTAAGAACCAGAATAGAACCTGCTAATTTCTTAAAGGCTGAGCTCAACAGGTAGTACAATATTATTTCCGCCATTTTCTACTGTTAAAGCAGTCACTGAGCCACACATTTTCAAGGCAAAAGGCCATAGACGTCCCACCCCCATCCAATCTCCTGATGGAAAGAAAGTCAAAGAACTTGTAACCATCCTTAAAGTGCCATATCTGCCAAGGTTTCTCCAAGGTCACACTTCTTGGAAGGACCAAATCTGTAATTTGGCAAGTCAACCTACAAAAAAGTACAAGAGGCCTGCCAGAAAGGGAGGGGTGAGAAACATTAAAACCAATGCCAGGATGGAGGGATGTGAAGGTAAAGGGAAAAAGTCTGCAGCATAAGCACTATGTAATCCTGAGTCTGTTACACCTAATGCTGGAGACAGGAATGCCCTGAGTGGAGAGAAGGGCAGAGTTAAGCACGGAAGATTAAGATAGGTAAGTGTGATACTATGAAATGTCAGTGATTTTGTCCTCTGATCCTCCTGGTGAGGAAACTGGGGTCACCATGTTTTCAGGAGATGAGGGCTCAGAAAAACAGAAAGATATAGAAGTAGAATTACAACCCTTAGAGATTTGTTGTCAAATTATCAAAGTTTTCCTGCTCAAGAACTTAATGAAAACAACTTTAATATGTTCTAAAGAAACTTTAATAACTCTTACGCTTTTTTCCCTTCATATAAGTGAATATGCATGAGCCGTACAGATTCCCCTTCAAAACTGAGACGCTCATTCCCCCAGGCACTGGGAGTGTTGGTGGCTGATGGTTCTCCGCCCAGAGTTTCTCCCTGGGACTCACTCTATTCTGAAGAGAGCTGCTCCGACAGGCAGCCCTCAGCCCTCATCTAACGGCTGGTCCTCCTGATGGAATTGCCTGATGTCTTTTTTGGTGACTGCATCACAGCTGAACTCCTCCCTTTGTATAATCGTACCTCCACTCCCCTCTAAGAGTTGAACCCAAGAGTACTCCCTAATAAGATTCTGCACACAAATTCTCATCTCAGACTTTGTTTCCCAAGAAACTCATTCTAAAACATAAGTATAGCAGCAATTGGGTAGCAACAGCAATGAAAGGTGTCTGTGTCTACTTTGGAAGTCCTGGGAGTGACCATGTTAGACTGAACTAGCCATGTAAGGGACTTGCTGATCATACTGCCCCATTAGGGAAGCCTTGGAATAGCAACCACATAACCAAGGGAAATGGCTCTGAATGCTTCCTTGGAGTGGAGCCTTGTTTTTTATTCTATTCATGTGTTGGGAAACTGGCTCTGTAGGGAAAAATGGGGCCCCGACATATATATCCTTTGCCAATTTCTGTGGTGTAAATTTTCCTACTTTGGCTGATTTCAAGCTACCAGCTGTTTAACTGGGCTCATCAATTTCCTAAATATTTAACAATCATCTCTTGGGGATCTCCAGCACGCTGCTGCATGTAAGCATACTGTCCTTCTCAGACCTGCTTGGACCAGGAGAGCATCAAGCTCATAGGCAGCAAATATGATGATATGGGCCTGTTAGTGGCCTAGGCTTGTGGCGTAAGAATCAGAAAAAGACTACACTGTGATTAAACAAAGCAATAAAATTTGAATGCAAGGTATATGGAGAATACGAGCAGCAGACACCAGGGAGTAAAAGCTAAGAAGGCAGCCAGCAGATGCAGTGATGCCACAGAAACCAGAAAGTGATGGAAACTGTGAACGAGCACTTCATATTGGGAGAGAACAAGCAGTGGCAAAAACAGAAATTGAAGGATACTCCAAGTAATCCAGGGACAGGAAGAACAGCTGAGCTGTCTTAGTGGTGGAGCCAGACACCAGAGAGCAATCAACTTGCGATATTGACACAGTGACAAGAGCTGCCTCAAGAGCTGCATTTAACTCCAGGCAACCTTGTAGTGCTCTGTTGTCTGAGTGGACTGCCTACCCAGCTAAGATCCCATCTACCTAATTTCCACATACAACCTTACAATCAAGCCCCCGCTATTTGAAATAACCAGAGAGGCTCTCTCTTGCTTGCAGAGACATGATTTTATTAACCCCAGGTCACCATCTGAGCTCAGCAGCCACAAGGCAGAAACAAACCCAGAGTGTGTGCAAAGGTTGTTAACAACATCAGAAGCAACCCAGAATAGAAGCAGCAGAATCTCTGCTGAACAGTCTGGGGAAACCAAAGCCATTTTCTTATAGAGAGTCTAAACATCCACAGGGCAACTTAATTAAATCATCCTTTTACCCTGTTAGTAAAAGAAAAGGCTGTTAAGAACTCGGTACCACTGATTCATTCATTCAACAAATATTTATTTATTTATTTATTTATTCATCCATCCATTCATTTTTAAGGAAACCACACACAGGGGTGAAATGCCTCCAGCCAAAGAAGGCAAGGGATAGAGGTGTCTTACCACTACGGAACGTATCCAAGTCATGTGGCAGCAGCGAATCCAAAGAGTCTGCAACAAACTTGATTCTTGCCTCCTAAGAGGAAAGAATTCGGCAGAGGGGCATAAAACAGAGGAAGTGACCAAGGCAAATTTTAGAGCAGGAGTGAATGGTGACGGGAGCCTGTAGTCCCAGCTACTCGGGAGGCTGAGGCAGGAGAATGGCGTGAACCGAAGAGGCGGAGCTTGCAGTGAGCCGAGATGGCGCCACTGCACTCCAGCCCGGGCGACAGAGCGAGACCCCGTCTCAAAAAAAAAAAAAAAAGCTTTTACCACAAGTGGCAGGAATTAACGTACAATTGGAAGAGGGCCAAGTGGGCGACCTGAGAGATCCAAGTGCCTCAACAAATATTTATTAAGTGTCTCATCTGAAAACCCCATGCTATGTGGATTCTGGGGATGCGATGGCAATCAGAAACAGACACTCCATCATGGAGCCAATGGTCTTGGGGGAGACAAATATATGATTTTAAAAATGTGCACAGAAAACATAGAACTCAACTATGCTAAGTGCTAAGGAGAGACAGAGTCCCTGAGACTTCGCACTGGGATTGGGGGGATTTGGCCTAGTCAGGAAGGTCAGAGAAGACTTCCACGAGAAGAGATAATAATTGAGATCTGAACAATGGGTTCAAGTGAAGAGAGGAGGAAAGAGTGTTGAGGAAAGCCAGGAACATGTGCAAAAGCATATGCCAAGGGAGCACGGAAACTGGCAAACCTTCGGATTCAAACAGAGTTTTGGACCATCAACCTTTGTACCACGTGGGAGCTAATCAGAAACGCAGACTCTCAGGCACAATTCCAGATTGACTTAACCAGAATCTGCATTTTAACAAGATTCCCTAGCAATCTGTACACATTTTAAAATTTGAGAGACTGAAAGAAGACCAATGTGGTTGGAGCTGAGGAAGTGAGGGGTGGGGTATGGTGTGAGCCGAGGCTAGACAAGTGGGTAAAGTCCACCACCCAGAGTTTCATCAGCCATGTTGAGGAGTTTGGCTTTATTCTTTTTTTTAAAGAGATGAGTTATGTTGCCCAGGATGGCCTGACACTCCTGGGCTTAAGTGAATGGGCTCAAAATATGCTCCTGACTCAGCCTCACAAGTAGTTGGGACTACAGGCACGTGCCACTGTGCCCAACTCAAGTTTGGCTTTACTCTAAAAATATTGGAAAATCATTGAAGTGTTTTAAGTCTGGGCAGGGAGGGAGGTTGTAGGAGGAAATCTAACCTTAGAGTAGTAACTCATTAGACAGAATGAGAATTAAATGTGATTCGCATTTAGAAGGCTATTACAGATGTCCAGGCAGGAGAATATGAGAATTTGGACTCCAGAGATGAAGGTAGAGGTGGAATTGGAAAAAAAAAAAAAAAGGAATGGATGTGAGACGTATTCAAAAAATGAAGTCAGCAAGACTTGATAATTGTTTGGATTTGGGAATGGGCGGATGTGATAACATATAAAATGCTTTCAGACTTGCACAAATGATTTTCATGGTTTTTCTTGATTTTCACTGTCTTATTTTGGCACCAACAATTAAGCCTAGCAATGCTGAATAAATGAATGAATGAACTGAATGGAAAGTTTGACGCAGAGTTTTAAGGGTGAGATCATGATTTGGGCTTTGGAATTGTTGATGGGGACTACTATGAGTTGAAGTGGGCCTCCCAAAAACATATGTTGAAGTCCTAATCCCTGGTACGTGTGAATGTGACCTTATTTCGAAACATAACAGACAATAGATGTAATCAAGTTATGATGAGGTCATATTCGACTAGGGTAGGCCCTAATTTTTTTCTTTTTATAAATTTAAGGGGTATAAGTGCAGTTTTGTTACGTGAATATATTACATAGTATTGAAGTCTGGGCTTTTAATATAGCCATCACTTGAATAATGTACATAAGTAATTTCTCATCTGTCACCACCACGCCCCACCATTCCAAGTCTCCAATGTCTATTGTTCCACACTCCATGTCCATGTATACATACTATTTAGCTCCCACTTATAACTGAGAACATTTGGTATTTGACCTTTTTTTTTTTGAGATGGAGTCTCACTCTGTTGCCCAGGCTGGAGTGCAATGGCACAGTCTTGGCTCACTGTAACCTCTGCCTCCCGGGTTCAAGCAATTCTCCTCCCTCAGCCTCCTGAGTAGCTAGGATTACAGGTGCCTGCCACCACGTGCAGCTAATTTTTTTTTTTTTTTGTATTTTTAGTAGAGATGGGGTTTCGCCATATTGGCCAGGCTGGTCTCGAACTCCTGACCTCATGATCCTCCTGCCTCAGCCTCCCAAAGTTCTGGGATTACATGGGTGAACCACCGTGCCCGGCCTTGACTTTCTATTTGTGAATTGCTTCACTTAGGATAATGGCCTCCAGTTCCATCCTTGCTGCTGCAAGAGACATGATTTCATTCTTTTTATGACTGAATAGTATTACGCTGGGTGTATATACCACATTTTCTTTATCTAATTATCGACTGATGGACACTTAGGTTGATTTCATATGTTATTGTGAACAGTGCTAAGATAAGTATGAGTGTAGGTATCTTTTGATATAATTATTTCTTTACCTTTGGTTATACATCCAGTAGTGTGATTGCTGGATCAAATGGTAGTTCTATTTTTAGTTCTTTGCGAATTCTTCATACTATTTTCCATAATTGTTATACTAATTTATATTGCCACCAGAAGTGTATAAGCATTCCCTTTTCTTCACGTTTTCACCAACATCTTTTTTTTTTTTTTTTTTTACTTTTTAATAATAGTTATTCCTATTGGTGTGAGATGATATCTCATTGTGGTTTTAATTCGCATTTTTCTGAGATTAGTGATATAATGAGCATTCTTTCATATGTTTGTTAGCCATTTGTATGCCTTCTTTCGAGAAGACATGTCTTTTTATGGTTTTTGCCCACTTTTTAATGGGATTACTTGGATTTTTTGTTGTTCTTGAGTCATGTGAATTCCTTGTAAATTTTGGATATTAGTCCCCTGTTGGATACATAGTTTGTGAATATTTTCTCCCATTCTGAAGATTGTTCATTCTGTTGATTATTTATTTTGCTGTGCAGCAGCTTTTTAGGTTAATTAAGTCCCATTTTTCTATTTTTGTTGTTGTTGCTTGTGCTTTTGAGGTCTTAGTAATGAATTCTTTACCTAGACTAATGTCCAGAAGAGTTTTTCCTAGGTTTTCTTCTAATATTTTTATAGTTTCAAGTCTTACATTTATGTCTTTGATTCATCTCGAGTTGCTTTTTGTTTATGATGAGAGATAGGGGTCCTGTTTCACTCTTCTGCATATGGCTAGCCAGTTTTCCCAGCATCATTTATTGAATAGGGATCCTTTTTCCATTAGCTTGTTTTTGTTGACTTTGTTGAAGATCAATTGGTTATAGGTATGCTGCTTTATTTCTGCCTTCTCTATTCTGTTCCACTTGTCTATGTGTCTATTTTTGTATCAGTACCATGGTGTTTTTGTAGCTTTGTTGTGTAGCTTGAAGTCAGTTAATGTGATGCCTCCAGCTTCGTTCTTTTTGCTTAGGATTGCTTTCACTATTTGGGATTTTTTTTGGTTCCATATAAATTTTAAGATTTTTTTCCCCAATTCTGTGAAACTCGATGTTGGCATTTTGATGGAAATTGCATTAAATCTGTAGATTGTTTTGGGCATTATGGTCATTTTAATGATACTAATTCTTCTGATCCATTAAATAAGATAGTTTTCCATTTGCTTGTGTCGTCTACAATTTCTTTCATCAATATTTTGTAGTTTTCCTTGTAGAAATATTTCACCTCGGCCGCCCGGGAGGCAGCGGCTGGAGGAGCGGACGGGCCCCGCGGGGCCCGAGGGCAAGGAGCAGCCGCCTGCCTTGGCCTCCCAAAGTGCCGAGATTGCAGCCTCTGCCCGGCCGCCACCCCGTCTGGGAAGTGAGGAGTGTCTCTGCCTGGCCGCCCATCGTCTGGGATGTGAGGAGCCCCTCTGCCTGGCTGCCCAGTCTGGAAAGTGAGGAGCGTCTCCGCCCGGCCGCCATCCCATCTAGGAAGTGAGGAGCGCCTCTTCCCAGCCGCCATCACATCTAGGAAGTGAGGAGCGTCTCTGCCCGGCCGCCCATCATCTGAGATGTGGGGAGTGCCTCTGCCCCGCCGCCCCATCTGGGATGTGAGGAGCGCCTCTGCCCGGCCGAGACCCCGTCTGAGAAGTGAGGAGACCCTCTGCCTGGCAACCACCCCGTCTGAGAAGTGAGGAGCCCCTCCGCCCGGCAGCTGCCCCGTCTGAGAAGTGAGGAGCCTCTCCGCCCGGCAGCCACCCCATCTGGGAAGTGAGGAGCGTCTCCGCCCGGCAGCCGCCCCATCCGGGAGGGAGGTGGGGGGGTCAGCCCCCCGCCTGGCCAGCCGTGCCGTCCGGGAGGGAGGTGGGGGGGTCAGCCCCCCGCCTGGCCAGCCGCCCCATCCGGGAGGTGAGGGGTGCCTCTGCCCGGCTGCCCCTACTGGGAAGTGAGGAGCCCCTCAGCCCGGCCAGCCACCCCGTCCGGGAGGGAGATGGGGGGGTCAGCCCCCCCACCCGGCCAGTCGCCCCGTCCGGGAGGGAGGTGGGGGGGGTCAGCCCCTGCCTGGCCAGCCGCCCCGTCCGGAGGAGGTGGGGGGGTCAGCCCTCCGCCCGGCCAGCCGCCCCGTCTGGGAGGTGAGGGGCGCCTCTGCCCGGCCGCCCCTACTGGGAAGTGACGAGCCCCTCTGCCCGGCCAGCCGCCCCGTCCGGGAGGGAGGTTGGGGGGTCAGCCCCCCGCCCGGCCAGCCGCCCTGTCTGGGAGGGAGGTGGGGGGCTCGGCCCCCCGCCCGGCCAGCCGCCCCGTCCGGGAGGGAGGTGGGGGGGGTTTAGCCCCCCTGCCCGGCCAGCCGCCCCGTCTGGGAGGGAGGTGGGGGGGTCGGCCCCCCGCCCGGCCAGCCGCCCCGTCCGGGAGGGAGGTGGGGGGGGTTTAGCCCCCCTGCCCGGCCAGCCGCCCCGTCCGGGAGGTGAGGGGCACCTCTGCCCGGCTGCCCCTACTGGGAAGTGAGGAGCCCCTCTGCCCGGCCAGCCGCCCCGTCCGGGAGGGAGGTGGGGGGGTCAGCCCCCCGCCCGGCCAGCCACCCCGTCCGGGAGGGAGGTGGGGGGGGTCAGCCCCCCTGCCCGGCCAGCAGCCCCATCCGGGAGGTGAGGGGCGCCTCTGCCCGGCCGCCCCTACTGGGAAGTGAGGAGCCCCTCTGCCCGGCCAGCCGCCCCGTCCGGGAGGGAGGTGGGGGGGTCAGCCCCCCCGCCCGGCCAGACACCCCGTCCTGAAGGAGGTGGGGGGGGTCAGCCCCCCTGCCCGGCCAGCCGCCCCGTCCGGGAGGTGAGGGGCACCTCTGCCCGGCCGCCCCTACTGGGAAGTGAGGAGCCCCTCTGCCCGGCCAGCCGCCCCGTCCGGGAGGGAGGTGGGGGGGTCAGCCCCCCGCCCGGCCAGCCGCCCGTCCGGGAGGGAGGTGGGGGGGGTTCAGCCCCCCTGCCCGGCCAGCCACCCCGTCCGGGAGGTGAGGGGCACCTCTGCCCGGCTGCCCCTACTGGGAAGTGAGGAGCCCCTCTGCCCGGCCAGCCGCCCCGTCCGGGAGGGAGGTGGGGGGGTCAGCCCCCCGCCCGGCCAGCCGCCCCGTCCGGGAGGGAGGTGGGGGGTGTCAGCCCCCCTGCCCGGCCAGCAGCCCCATCCGGGAGGTGAGGGGCGCCTCTGCCCGGCCGCCCCTACTGGGAAGTGAGGAGCCCCTCTGCCCGGCCACCACCCCGTCTGGGAGGTGTGCCCAACAGCTCATTGAGAACGGGCCAGGATGACAATGGCGGCTTTGTGGAATAGAAAGGCGGGAAAGGTGGGGAAAAGATTGAGAAATCGGATGGTTGCCGTGTCTGTGTAGAAAGAAGTAGACATGGGAGACTTTTCATTTTGTTCTGCACTAAGAAAAATTCCTCTGCCTTGGGATCCTGTTGATCTGTGACCTTACCCCCAACCCTGTGCTCTCTGAAACATGTGCTGTGTCCACTCAGGGTTAAATGGATTAAGGGCGGTGCAAGATGTGCTTTGTTAAACAGATGCTTGAAGGCAGCATGCTCGTTAAGAGTCATCACCACTCCCTAATCTCAAGTAATCAGGGACACAAACACTGCGGAAGGCCGCAGGGTCCTCTGCCTAGGAAAACCAGAGACCTTTGTTCACTTGTTTATCTGCTGACCTTCCCTCCACTATTGTCCCATGACCCTGCCAAATCCCCCTCTGTGAGAAACACCCAAGAATTATCAATAAAAAAATAAATTTAAAAAAAAAAAAAAAAAAAAGAAATATTTCACCTCCTCAGTTAAATATATTCCTAGGTATTTTATTTTTTTGTAGCTACTGTAAATGTGATTGCCTTCTTAATTTGGTTGTCAGCATGATCATAATTGGTATATAGAAATACTAGTGATTTGTGCACATTGATTTTGTATCCTGAAACCTTACTGATATGGTTTGGCTGTGTCCCCACCTAAATCACATCTTGAATTGTAGTTCCCATAATCCCCACGCATTGTGAGAGGGACTTGGTGGGAGGTAATTGAATCATGGGTGTGGTTACCCCCATGCTGCTGTTCTTGTGATAGTGAGTGAGTTCTCATGAGATCTGATGGTTTTATCAGGGGCTTTTCCCCCTTGTGCTTGGCACTTCTCCTTCCTGCCATCATGTGAAGAAGGTTGTGTTTGCCTCCCCTTCTGCCATGAATGTAAGTTTCCTGAGGCCTCCACAGCCATACCGAACTGTGAGTCAATTAAACCTCTTCCCTTTATAAATTACCGAATCTTGGGTAGTCCTTTTTTTTTTTTTTTTTGAGAGGGAATCTTGCTCTGTCGCCCAGGCCGGAGTGCAGTGGCGTGGTCTCAGCTCACTGCAAGCTCCGCCTCCCAGGTTCAAGCCAATCTCCTCAGCCTCCGGAGTAGCTGGAACTACAGGCGCCCGCCACCACGCCCAGCTGATTTTTTTGTATTTTTCAGTAGAGACGGGGTTTCACCGTGTCAGCCAGGATGGTTTCGATCTCCTGACCTCGTGATCCACCCGCCTCGGCCTCCCAAAGTGCTGGGATTACAGGCGTGAGCCACCGCGCCCAGCCAGGTAGTCCTTTATAGTAGCATGAGAATGGACCAATATACTTACTGAATTCATTTACCAAGTGTAAGAGATATTGGTGGAGTCTTGTGGATGTTCTAGATATAAGATCATATCATCAGTGAACAGAAATAATTTGACTTCTTTTCCAAAAAATGTCTTCTTTTTTTTTTTTTTTTTTTTTTTTTGCCTTATGTCTCTGGCCAAGGCTTCCAGTATTATGATATATAAGAGAGGTAAAAGTGTGCATACTTGTCTTCTTCCAGTTCTTAGGGGGAATGCTTTCAACTTCTCCCCATTTAGTATAATATTGGTTGTAGGTTTGTCATACACTGCCTTTATTATTTTGAGGTATACTCCTTCTGTGTCTAGTTTGTCAAGTGTTTTTATTATGAAGGGATTTTGAATTTTATCAAATGCTTTTTTTTGCATCTATTGAGGTAATCATCTGGTTTTCATCCTTAATTCTGTTTATGTGATGAATCACATTTATTGATTATGTGTGTTGAACTGTCTTTGTACCCCTGGAATAAAACTCGCTTCATCATGGTGTATTATCTTTTTTATATATTGTTGGGTTGGGTTTGCTAGTATTTTGTTGAGGACTTTTCCATCTACGTTCATCAGGGATATTGGTCTGTAGGTTCTTTTGTTGTTGTGTCCTTGTCTGGCCTTAGTATCAGGGTGATCCTGGCCTCATAGAATGAGTTAGGGAATTGGGCCAGGCATGGTAGCTCACTTAAATAATCCCAGAACTTTGGGAGGCCGAGGCAGGGGGATCACTTGAGGCCAGGAGTTCAAGACTAGCTTGGACAACATGGCGAAACCCTGTCTCTTCCAAAGAAAAAAAATGCAAAAATTAGCCGGGCATGGTGGCACATACCTGTAATCCCAGCTATTTGGGCGGCAGAGGCATGAGAATTGCTTGAACCCAGGAGGAGAGTGAGATTCTATCTCAAGGAAAAGAAAAAAAAAATTAAAAAGAATGAGTTAGAGATAACTTCCTCCTCCTTGATTTTTTAGAACAGTTTCTGGAGGATGGGTACCAGTTCTTCTTTGTACATTTGGTAGAATTCGCCTGTGAATCCATTCAGTCCTGGTCTTTTTTTATTGTTGCTGGGAGGGTTTTTCATTACTGATCTCACTACTCATTATTGGTCTGTTCATAATTTCTATTTCTTCCCAGTTCAATCCTAGAAGGTTGTATGTTCCAGGAATTTATCCAATTTCTTTAGGTTTTCTAGTTTGTGAGCATACAGTTGTTTATAAATCTCTGATGATCTTTTGTATTTCTGTGGTCTCAGCGGTAATATCTTCTTTTTTATTTCTGATTGTGTTTATTTGGATCTGCCCTCTTCTTTTTTTCTTAGTCTAGCTAGTGGTTATCAATTTCATCTTTTCAAAGAACAAACTTTTTGTTTCATTGATCCACTGGGTTTTGTTTTTGGTCTCAATTTCATTTAGTTCTCCTCTGATCGTTGTTATTTCTTTTCTTCTGCTAGCTTTGGGTTTGGTTTGTTCTTGTTTTTCTAGTTGCTTGAGATGTGACATTAGGTTGTTAATTTGTGATCTGTCTATTTTTGTGTGTGTTTTGTGTAGGCATTCAATGCTATAAACTTCAATAGGCCCTAAATCTTATGATTGATGTCCTCATAAGGGGAAAGGGAGTTGAAGACACTCCCTGAAGACACACATAAATGGAGATGGCCATGTGAAGTTGGAGGCAGAGATTGAAGTGATGTGTCTATAAGTCATGAACGCCAAGGATTGCCAGAAGCTACCAGAAGCTAAAAGACAGGCATAGAGCAAATTCTTTCTCACATCCTCCAGAATGAACCAATCCTACTAACACCTGGATTTCAGACTTCCAACCTCTAGAACCATGAAAGAATAAATTTTTGTTGCTTTAAGCCACCCAGTTTTGTGGTATTTTGTTATGGTAGCCCTAGGAAGCTCATAGGGGAATGCCATTCCAATATCCAAAAAGCAACGCCAATAATTAGTTTAAAATTTTGATCTGAAACTGAGGAATTACTCTAGTAAAGGCTCTTAGCCAGAACCTGTAATGATTAGGATAAATATCCTTGATTATATCCCTCCCAACCATCATCCCCTAGAAAATATGGGTATCCACATTTGTTGTTGAGGGTAGTCTATGAGGCCAGGCACGGTGGCTCACATCTATAATCCCAGCACTTTGGGAGGCTAAGGCAGGTGGATCACTTGAAATCAGGAGTTCGAGACCAGCCTGGCCAACATGGTGAAACATGTCTCTACTAAAAATACAATAATTAGCTGGGCATCTTGTGCCTGTAGTCCCAGCTACTTGGGAGGATGAGGCAGGAAACTGCTTGAACCCAGGAGGTGGACGTTGCAGTGAGCTGAGATCATGCCACTGCACTCTAGTCTGGGTGACAGAGCAAGTCCCTGTCTCAAAAAAAATAGTCTATGAGATCTCAAATATTCTCTTTGGCAATCTGAGAATTGAGAAAAGAAAGACATAAAATTAAGAGATGTTAAAAAGAAAACAAGATATGACAGAGAGCATTGAGAAAGTTGTTTTACCAGAACACTCCAAATTCTGCTTCAAAGGGCAGAGAAGCTTTTATTATGTTTGAGATTGGTGTGTTATTTGACCACCTGACTATTGTAGCTGCTCAGAAGTCTCTTAGAGATTTCCTCAAATTCAGTCAACACTTTTTAAGAAGGTCTGGAAGATAACCTTTTAGGCCTTTTCTGGAATGTAAACATCATTATCAATTGCCTGTAAGAATCTAAAGGTCATCCTAATTTATCATGGGCCAGTCTACCTCCCAGGTCAACCAAATTGTTGCAATAGGTTCATCATCAGTGTTTTTCTCTACCCAGCACAACCTCCAGTATAAATGAGCCTTGAACCCAGGGAAGATAAACTGACTGGAAACTCAGACTACCCAGGAATGAAGATGTCCATGTTCATTTCACTTAGGCTTTTGTGCATGATTCATAGCCCAGTCCTCTCCAGAGCTGGCCAAGAGGAATTACACTAGGCTGGTCCTAAAGAGTTTTGGTCTTGAGCGGGACTATGTATTAATATGATCCATTACAGGGCAAGGAAAAACAAAGCTGTTTTACATGCAGATAGTTTCAATTGACCAGTGTGTCAGGAGTTCACATCAAGTACAGTTGTCCAAGATGTGAAATTGCATCTTTTTAGACAGAATTCAGGGGTGGTGTTAAGGGGTGCCAACTTAGTTCATCTAAGGTAAACAAACTCACTGAATGCAAGTATACCTGATAAATGATTACTATATGAAACTTTGTCCAAAGCTCCCTCTTGGGATTCCTAGAACATACAGACTGGCAAATCAAATCTAAGAGTCCTCTCCCCCTCCTCCTGATCCTACCTCACCCACCAGCTGTGCGATTGGAAGTATTTTCACCACTCTAAGACACATCAAACACAAATTCTCAAAGCAATACACAAAGATGAGCTTGTGCCTAGACAACTCTAGATGGTCAGGAAGAAATGCTCAAGAGGTCTCTGGCCAGACCTCCCTCACCCACTGAATTCTCACCTCTCTCCTAGGCTACTCTTAAGGCTAAGTGCTAACTAAATTTTTGTGCTAAATGGCTCCCCTCTCCAGGCCTAGACATGAACCAAAACCTTCTTTTTTCCTCTTCCCCTGGCAAAGGCAAAGAAAGATGAATATTTATATAAGGAAACTTTATCAACAACAAAAAAGTGAATATAAGAAAGTACAAAAGCATGAGTAAATGTTCAGTTAACATATCCTGCCTGATATGATTTGGCTATATGGGATATGTAACTTCCACAATTTCCACGTGTCATTGGAGGAACCCTGTGGAGGTGATTGAATTATAGTGATAGTGAATGAGTCTCACAAGATCTGATGGTTTTAAAAATGAGAGTTTCCCTGAACCAGCTCTCCCTTTGCCTGCTGCCATCCACATAAGATATGATTTGCTCCTCCTTGCCCTCCACCATGATTGTGAGGCCTCCCCAGCCATGTGGAAATGTAAGTCCATTAAACCCCTTTTCCTATATAGATTACCCAGGCTAAGGTATGTCTTTATCAGCACCACGGAAACGGACTAATACAGTAAATTGGTACCACAGTGGGGTGTAGCTGAAAAGATACCTGAAAATGTGGAAGCGACTTTGGAACTGGGTAACAAGCAGAAGTTGGAAGAGTTTGGAGGGTTCAGAAGAAGACAGGAAAATATGGGAAAGTTTGGAACTTCCTAGAGACTTGTTGAATGGCTTTGCCCAAAATGCTGATAGCGATATGGACAATAAAGTCCAGGCTGAGGAGGTCTCAGATGGAGATGAAGAGCTTGTTGGGAACCAGAGCAAAGGTGACTCTTGTTATGTTTTACCAAAGACAATGGTGATATTTTGCCCCTGCCCTAGAGATTTGTGGAACTTTCAACTGGAGTGAGATGATTTCGGGTATCTTGCGGAAGAAATTTCTAAGCAGAAAAGCATTCAAGAGGTGACTTGGGTGCTGTTAAAGGCAATCAGTTTTATAAGGGAAGCAAAGCATAGAAGGTTCAAAAAATTTGTTGACTGCCAATGCAATAGAAAAGAAAATCCCATTTTCTGAGGAGAAATTCAAACAGTTGCATAAGAAATGAGAAGCCAAATGTTAACCCCAAGACAATGTGGAAAATTTTTCCAGGGCATTCAAGAGGTCTTCATGTCAAACCCCCCCATCACAGGCCCAGAGGCCTAGGAGGAAAAAGTGGTTTCATAGCCGGGCCCAAGGTCTCCATGCTGTGTGCAGCCTAAAGTCAAAGCTGGAAAAGAAAAAAAATAAGCCAGACACAGAAAGACAAATATTGCATGATCTCATTTATTTTGTGAAATTAAAAAAAAAGGCAAATACATACGATAGAGAATAAAACAATGGTTACTAGGGATAGAAAGTGGAGGTTGAAAGTTGAGAAAGGAGAAAACGGGGAGATGTAGGTCAAAGGATACAAAGTGGCAGATATAGAGGATAAACAAGCCTAGAGATCTAATATAAAATATGAGGACAATAGTTAATAATATTGTATTGTATTCACCATTTTTGCTAAATTAATAGATTTTAGCTGCTTTTGCTCAAGAAAAACAAAACACATTTTAAAAAGCAGGTTACTAAGTGAGATAATGAATATGTTGATTTGCTTTACTATATTAACCATTTTGCCATCTGTATGTATATTATAACATCATGTTGTCTACCTTTAATATATACAATATAAATTATTTTTAAAAATCAACAAACTTCGGTCTGGTTGCAGCCTCTCAGCTCAATTGATCTATATTGGGGAGGGGATGTGAATCTGCAGGGAACTGAGAGTATAAAGATAACAAGAGTGTAGCAAAGACAAATGATGTTAGTTCCTCCCTATCTATTTTCTGTACACAGTGTCCATGAAGATTTAAGAAAAATAGCAGCAAGAAGGAAGAAAAAGGATGAAAGAGAAAGAGGGGGAGGGGAAGAAAGAGAGAAGGAAGAGGAGGAGGAGAAGGGAGAAGGAAGGAAGATAAAGGTGGAGGGTGGTAGAAGGAAGAAGAGGGTGAGGTGAGTAATGAGAAAAGTTATGAGGTTTTGAGAGTGAGTGCTGAACCTCTGCCTGGCTTTCCCAGCCCCTGGATCTCCTGCTGTCTGCATCTGAAGTCTCTGATGATTATCTCCCACTGCAAGCTCTTGCTTAACCCCATTTCATAGTCAGAGAAAGGAGGTTACTTAATCATAGCCTCCCTGCAGATACATGTCAGAATTAACTCAGACTGCTACAACAGGGCCTGGTGACAAAGTAACTCCACAGTTGCTGACTCTTTAAGATTCTTTGACTACTAAACCACCCCTGGACTTAGTATGATTTGTTTTTGTACCAAATGTTTTGATCCAGTTGGCAGCTTTTTCCTGACTGTCAATCGTTTCTGACTGGCTATTTTCCTAATTCTCCAGCTCCTTCTTCTAAACCTGCCATCTCCAACTGCCGCCCAAGGACTAGAATCTCCATCCTTCCTCCAACCAGTTCTCATCCTGTTCCTGTCATCTCTCCTTCTGTGTTGGGTCTCAAAAACACAAATGAAATCCTCAACAGAATACTAATAAACCAAGTTTAACAGCACAGCACATTGAAAGAATCACATACCACGGCCAAGTGGGATTTATTTCTAGGATGCAAGGGTAGTTCAACATATTAAAATCAATCAATGTGACCACTACATTATCAGAATAAATGAAAAAAAATCACATGATCATCTTAATTGATGCACAAAAAACCTTCAACAAAATTCAAAACCATGATAAAAACACTTAATAAACTAGGAATATAAGAAAATTACCTGAACTTTATAAAAGCCATATATAAAAAGCTCCCAGCTAACATCATACTGAATGGTGAAAAGCTGAAAGTTTTTTTGATAAGATCTGGAGCAAGGTAAGGATGACCACTATCACTTCTATTCAACATAATCCTACAAGTCCCAGCCAGAATAAGGAAGAAAAAGAAATAAAAGGCATTCAAATTGGAAAGGAAGAATAGAATGATCTCTTTCTGAAGATGATATGATTCCATATGTAGAAAACACTAAAGATTAAAAATAACTGTTAGAAATAATAAACGAATTTGGAAAAGCTACAGAACACAAAATTAACACAAAAAATCAGCTATATGTCTATATAATAACAATAAACAATATGAAAAGGAAATTTAGAAAATCATCCTATTTACAATAGGATGATTTGGCCTTTTGGCCTTTTGGCTAAGACTGAGTATACAATAGCATCAAAAAAAAAAAAAAAGTACTAAGGAATAAACTTGACCAAGGAGACAAAAGACGTGTACACTGAAAACTACAAAATATTCCTGAAAAGAATTAAAAGGACACAAATAAAAAAGCATCTTCTGTTCATGGACTGGAAGACAATATTGTCAAAATGTCTATACTACCTAAAGCTATCTACGGATTCAATGCAGTTCCTATCAAAATCCCAATGGTATTTTTTTAAGAAATAGAACAAAAATTCTAAAATTTATATGGAATCTCAAAGAACTCTGAGTAGCCAAAACAATCCTGAAACAAACAAACAAAGCTAAAGGCCTCACACTTTATAATTTCAAAATATATTACAAAGTCACATTAATCAAAACAGTATAATTCTGGCATAAAGACAAGCATATATATTAATGGAACAGAATAGAGAGCCCAGAAATAAACCCTCACATGTATGGTCAAATGATCTTCGACAAGGGCACCAAGACTACACAATGGGGGAAGTGTAGTATCTTCAACAAATGCTGGTGGGAAACCCAGACATCCAATTGCAAAAGAAAAATGTTGGATACCCTATAACATATATAAAAATCAATTCGAAATGGATTAACCACCTAACCATAAGATCTGAAACTATAAAACGACTAACTATAAGAAAACATAAGGCAGAAGCTTTGTGATCATGTATTTGGCAATGATTTCTTGGATATGACCTGATAACCCCAAGTGATAAAAGGAAAAATAGACAAATGGGACTATATCAAATTTAAAAACTCCTGTGCAGCAAAGGAAACAACTAGTAAAGTAAAAAGGCATCCTGAAGAATGGGAGAAAAAGAAAAAAAAAAAGAATGGGAGAAAATATTTGCAAATGATATATCTGATAAGGGGTTAATATCTAGAATATATAAGAACTCCTACAACTCAACATCAAAAAAACACAAAAACGTGATTTAAAAGTGAGCAAAGGACTTGAATAGACATTTCTCTAAAGAAGATATACAAAGGACCAACAAGCAAATGAAAAGATGCTCAATGTCACTAATCATTGGAGAAATGCAAATCAAAAACCACAGTGAGATATCACCTCCTAACTATTAGAATGGCCATTATCCAAAAATTAGAAAATAACAAATGCTGGTGAGAGTGTGGAGAAATTGGAAACCCTGTGCACTGATGGTGGGAATGTAAAATGGTGCAGCTGCTAAAGAAAACAGTATGGAGATTTCTCAAAACATTAACAGTAGAATTATTATGTGATTCAGCAATCCTACTCCTGGGTATTTACCCAAAACAATTGAAAACAGGATCTGGAAGAGATTATGCACACTCATATTAATTGCAATAATATTCACGATAGCCAAGAGGTGGGAGCAAACAACCTAAATATCCATTGACAGTTAACTAGATAAAGAAAATGTGGTATATACATACAATGGAGTATTATTCAGTTTTTAAAAAGAAGGAAATCCTGTCATATACTAGAAGTGCATGAACCTTGAGGACATTATGCTAAGTGAAATAAGCCAGTCACAAAAAAAGACAAATACTGCATGATTCCATGTATATAAGGTATCTAAAGTAGTCAGACTCATAGAAACAGAAAGTTAATGTGGTCACTAGAGGCTGGAGGGAAGGGGAAATAAGTAGTCATTCCTCAATGGGGTATAGACTTTCAGTTTTGCAAGATGAAAAGGTTCTAGAGATCTGCTGTACAACAATATGCATATAGTTAACACTACTGTAGCATACACTTAAAAATAGTTAAGATGATATGGGAAACAGCTCAAATGTCCATCAACAAATGAACAGATAAACAAATATGGGATATATTATTCAGCCATAAAAAGGAATGCAGTTCTGATACATGCTGCAATGAAGGTAAACCTTGAAACTATTCAAAGTGAAGGAAACCAGACATAATAGGTCATATATTATGTGACTCCATTTATAGAAAATATCAGAATAGATAAGTCCATAAAGACAGAACATATATGAGTGGCTTCTAGGAGCTGAAGGGAAGATATGGGTTTTTCTTTGGGGATGAGAATAATGTGTGTGGTGGCGTTTTTTGGGTTTTGTTTTTAGAGATGGGGTCTCACTCTGTCACCCGGGCTGGAGTGCAGTGGTGCAATCATAGCTCACTGCAGCCTCTAAATCCTGGGCTCAAGTGATCCTGCTGCCTCATCCTCCTGAGTAGCTAGAACTACAGGCATGTGCTACCACAGCCAATTAAAGATGAAAATATTTTAGCACTGAATACACGTGGCAGTTGCACAGCAATTTGGAATGTACTGTAAACTAAAAAGTATCTGAAACAGTCTCAATCAATTTAGAAGTTTATTTTGCCAAGGTTAAGGACATGCCCATGACATGCCTCAGGACAAGATTAAGGACATGCCCATGACATGCCCGTCCTAAGGACAGCCTCAGGAGATCCTGATGACATGTGCCCAAGGTGGTTGGGCTACAACTTGTTTTATACGTTTTAGGGAAATGTAAGACATCAATCAATACATGTAAGATGTACAAAGACTCTATTTGAAAAGGCGGTACAACTGGAAGTGGCAGTTGCCGGTTGGGAGGGATTCCAGGTCATAGCCAGATTCAAAGATTTTCTGATTGGCAATTGGTTATTATCTAAAGACCTGGAATCAATTGAAAGGAATTTCTGGATTATGATAAGAGGTTGTGGAGACCAAGGTTTCATTATGCAGGTGAAACCTTCAAGTAGCAGGCTCCAGGGAGAATAGATTGTTTCTTACCCAACTTGAAGAGTCTGTTCTACAGAAAATCAAATACTGCATATTCTCACTTATAAGTGGGAGCTGAATGATGAGAACGCATGGACACATGGGGGAAACAACACACACGGGGGCCTGTTGGAGGGTTGGGGGAAGGGGGGGGAGGGAGAGCATCAGGAAGAATAGGTAAAGGGTACTGGGCTTAACCCATTTATGCCTGAGGTTGAAATTTTTTGAATTTTTGCAATCAATCAGACCTTGGCAATGACCTTGAGCAGTAGGATATAAATAACTCCCACATGCTTAGTGTTCCAATAATGGAACACTAGGCTAATACCTAGGTGATGGGATGATCTGTGCAGCTAATCACCATGGCACATATTTAACTATGTAACAAATTTGCACATCCTGCACATGTACCCCTGAACTTAAAATAAAAGTTGGACATAAAAATAGAGTCTTTGCTTGCTAATGGTCTATCAATTTTATTTATCTTTTCAAAGAACCAGCTTTTTGTTTTATTTATATTTTGTATTGATTGTTTCAATTTCATTTAGTTCTGTTCTGATCTTGGTTATTTCCTTTCTTCTGCTAGGTTTGGGTTTGGTTTGTTCTTGTTTCTTTAGTTCCTTGAGGTGTGACCTTAGATTGTATTCTTTCGGACTTCTTGATGGAGGCATTTATGGCTATGAAGTTTCCTCTTAGCACCACTTTGCTGTATCCCAGGGGTTTTGATAATTTGCGTCACTCTTGCCATTCAGCTCGAAGAATTTTCTAATGTCCATCTAGATTTCATTTTTGACCCAATGATCATTCAGGTACAGGTTATTTAATTTCCATGTATTTGCATGGTTTTGAAGGTGGTTCCTTTTGGAGTTGATTTCTAGTTTTATTCCACTATGGTCTGAGAGAGTGTTTTTCTTAAATTTATTGAGACTCATTTTATGGCCTATTATATGGTCTATCTTGGAGAAAGTTCCATGTGCTGTTGAATAAAATGTATATTCTGTGGTTGTTGGGTAGAATGTTCTGTATAAATCTGTCAAATCCATTTGTTCCAGGGTATAGTTTACACTGATTGTTTCTTTGTTGAATTTCTGTCTTGATGACCTGTCTAGTGCTGTCAGTGGAGTACTGAAGTCCCCAACTATTATTGTGTTGCTATCTCATTTCTTAAGTCTATTAGTAATTGTTTTATAAATTAGGGACTTCCAGTGTTAGGTGCATATATATTTAGGATTGTAATATTTTCCTGTTGAACAAGACATTTTATCATTTATATAATGTCCCTCTTTGTCTTTTTTAACTGCTGTTGCTTTAAAGTTTGTTCTGTCTGATATAGGAATAGCTACTCTTGCTCACTTTTGGTGTCCATTTGCATGGAATGTCTTTTTCCATCCCTTTAAGTTTATGTGAGTCCTTATGTGTTAGGTGAGTCTCTTGAAGGCAGCAGATGGTTGGTGAGTTCTTATCCATTCTGCAATTCTGTATCTTTTAAGGGGAGCATTTAGGCCATTTACATTCAACATTAGTATTGAGATGGGAGTTACCATTTCATTCATCATACTATTTGTTCCCTGTATACCTTGGTTTTTTTGTTTTTTGAGGGTTTTTTTTTTATATTGCCTTTTTGTTTTATAGGTCCTATGAGATTTATGCTCTAAAGGGGTTCTGTTTTCATGTGTTTCCAGGATTTGTTTCAAGATTTAGAGCTCCTTTTAGCTGTTCTTGTAGTGCTGGCTTGGTAGTGGCGAATTCTTTCAGCATTTGTTTGTCTAAAAAATACCATTTTTCCTTCATTTATGAAGATTAGTTTCACTGGATACAAATTCTTGGCTGATAATTGTTTTGTTTGAGGAGGCTGAAGATAGGTCCCCAATGTCTTCTAGCTTGTAGGATTTCTGCTGAGAAATCTGCTGTTAATCTGATAGGTTTTCCTTTATAGGTTTCCTGGCGCTTTTGACTCACAGTTCTTAAGATTCTTTCCTTCATCTTAACTTTAGGTAATCTGATGACAATGTGTCTAGGTGATGATCTTTGTGCAATGAATTTCCCAGGTGTTCTTTGTGCTTCTTGTATTTGGATGCCTAGGTCTCTAGCAAGGCTAGGGAAGTTTTCCTCAATTTTTCTCCCAAATATGTTTTCCAAACTTCTAGGTTCCTCTTCTTCCTCAGGAATGCCAATTATTCTTAGGGTTGGTAGTTTAACGTGAACCCAGACCTCATGGAGGCTTTGTTCAATTTTTCTTATTCTTTCTTCTTTGTCTTTGTTGGATTTGGTTAATTCAAAGAACTTGTCTTCAAGCTCTGAAGTTCTTTCTTCTGCTTGTTGAATTCTATTGCTGAGACTTTCCAGAACATTTAGCATTTCTATAAGTGTGTCTATTGTTTCCTGAAATTTTGATTTTTTATTTATGCTATCTATTTCATTGAGTATTTCTCCCATCACTTCTTGTATCTTTTTTTTTTATTTCCTTAGATTGGGCTTCACCTTTCTCTGTTGCCTCCCTGATTAGCTTAACAACTAACCTCCTGAATTCTTTTTCAGGTAAATCAGGGACTTCTTCTTGGTTGGAATCCATTGCTGGTGGGCTAGTGTGATTTTTTCTTGGGTGGTGAAGAACATTGTTTTGTCATATTGCCAGAGTTGGTTTTCTGGTTTCTTCTCATTTGTCACAGAGGTCTAAGGCCAAAGGCTGTTGTTCAAATTGTTTTGTCCCATGGAGTGTTCCCTTGATGTAGTACTCTCCCCCTTTTCCTAGGGATGTGGCTTCCTGAGAGCCAAGCTGTAAAGATTGTTATCTCTCTTCTGGATCTAGCAACCCAGCAAGTCTACCAGGCTCTGGGCTGGTACTGGAGGTTGTCTGCACAGAATCCTCTGATGTGAACCATCTGTGAGTCTTTCTGCCATTGATACCAGCATCTGCTCTGGTGGAGGTGGTGGGGGAGTAAAATGGGCTCTGTGAGGGTCCTTGGCTTTGGTTGCTTAATGCACTATTTTTGGGTTGGTTGTCCTCCTGCGGAAGGTGGTGATTTCAAGAGCATCAGCGGTAGTAGAATGGGGAGGAACAGGTGGTGGGGGGCACCACCACCCCCTTGAACTCCCAAGAGTATATGCCCTTTGTCTTCAGTTACCAGGGTAGGTAGGGAAGGACCATCAGGTAGAGGCAGTGGCAGGCGTGTCTGACCTCAGACTCTCCTTGAGCGGTCTTGCTGCAGCTGCTGTGGGGGATGAGGTTGAGATTCCCAGATCAACAGTTATGTTCCTAGGAGGATAATGGCTGCCTCTACTGGGTCATGCAACTTGTCAGGGAAGTGGGGAAAAGCCAGCAGTCATAGGCCTCACCCAGCTCCCACACAACCCAAAGGGCCAGTCTCACTCCCACCGTGCCCCCAGTAACAGCACCAAGTGTGTTTCCAGGCAGTGGGTGAACAGGACTGAGAACTTGCCCCAGGCTACCCACTTTCCAGCTGTGAAAGCAATTAGGGCTTTTATTCTTCACCTGCCTGTGGAGTCCGCACACTGGATTCATGTCCTCCCCTGAGTTCTGGCCAGGGGGCTTCTCAATCAGTTCATATTGTTAGCAAATTTCAGCTGGAGATTTTCTTCTCCCTGTGGCCTTTTCCCAGTGCCTCTGGCCACTCTTCCCAAGGGCCCCTGTGAGGCAGGGCAGAAATGGCTTGCTAGGGAACCCAACAAGCCCACAGGACTTTTCCTGCTGCTTCCTCTACCCCTGTATTTCACTCGGCTCTCTAAATTGACTCAGCTCCAGGTAAGGTCAGAATCTTCTCCCATAATCTAAGCCTTCAGGTTCTCTTGTGCAGGGGTATGTGTTCTGGGGTGCATGATCTTCCTTTCTCGCTTCCACAGTTTGGGCACTCATAGTATTTGGGGTATCTCCTAAGTCCTGCAGGAGCAATCCACTTCCTTCAGAGGGTCTGCTGGTTCTCTTGGCTTTCCTAATGTATTCCTGCAGTCATTCTGGAGCAAAAGTTCGTGATGCAAGCCTCCACATGCTGCTCTGTCTGTCTGAGTGGGTGCTGCAATCTAGTCCTGGCTTCCATCTGCCATGATCCCTGGATTATACATTTTAAATAAGTCTGGTCTATCAGCCTTAAGGTCTGTGTTGATGTTAATGGTAATGAGGCATGTCCAACTCCTCCTTCCCATCATGCCTTGAACTAGCTTTTCAGTTTAACTTTGGAATGTCCTTGGCCTAGAGGAGGGTCCATTCAGATGGTTGGAGGCGCTTAGAATTTTACTTTTGATTTATAGTACTAAATTCCACTGAATTCTTCACTTTAAAATGGTAATTTTTATTTATTCTATTTATTTTTTTAAGGTCCTTCCCCTGCCCTTAAAAAATGATAATTTTTTTTACACAAATTTTACCTCAGTAAAAAAGTAAAATGTTTTTTAGAAAGCAAGTACACACCGCCAGGCGCGGTGGCTCATGCCTGTAATCCCAGCACTTCGGGAGGCCGAGGCGGGTGGATCACCTGAGGCTGGGAGTTCGAGACCAGCCTGACCAACATGGAGAAACCCTGTCTCTACTAAAAATACAAAATTAGCTGGGCGTGGTGGCACATGCCTGTAATCCCAGCTACTAGGGAGGCTGAGGCAGGAGAATCGCTTGAACCTGGGAGATGGAGGTTGCAGTGAGCCGAGATTGCTCCATTGCACTCCAGCCTGGGCAACAAGAGTGAAACTCTGCCTCAAAAAAAAAAAGAAAGCAAGTACACACCACACACACACACACACACACACACACACACACACACACACATTCTGTGTTAGCCAGTTCTCACATTGCTATGAAGAAATGCCTAAGACTGGGTAATTTATAAAGAAAAAAGGTTTAATTGGCCCAATTTATAAAGAAAAGAGGTTTAATTGGCTCATGGTTCCACAGGCTGTACAGGAAGCATGATGCTGGCATCTGCTTCTGGGGAGGCCTCAGGGAGCTTTTACTCATGGCAGAAGGCAAATGGGGAGCGAGGCACCTAACATGGCAGGAGCAGTAGTAAGAGGGTCAAGGGAGGTGCTGGACACTTTTAAACAACCTGATCTCACAATAATTCACTCACTCACTATCATGAGAATGACACCCAGAAGATGACAATAAACCATTCATGAAGGAGCACCATCATGATCCAATCACCTCCCACTAGGCCCCACTTCTAACACTGGGGATTACAATTGAACGTGAGCTATGGGTGGGGACACAGATCCAAACAATATCACATACATACATACATCTACATACATGTGTGCACACACACATGAGCTCTCAGACTGGCAACATTTTACTATCTAACTAGATTGAATAAAACAGTTGGGACCATCTACAGTAAATTCCCTCAGTTTTCAACTCATCATCTTGCACTCAAACATGTGGACATCCACACTTTTACTTGCTTCATTTCATCCTAAGAGAATAAACTATCCTTCCTATTTTAAGATAACTGCTCCAAATCCCTTCATTTTTTCTTCCAAGCTCTCACTCCTTCAAATTTCACTTTTTCTCTTGAATATTCCATCTTTTTGTTCTATTGATTTTTTTCTCTTTAGCCTATAAATAGTCCCAAGTCTCTCCCACCCTAAAAAAAAACCCATTGACCTTTTACTATTCACTGTAATTTGTCTCCTTTCATTCTCTGCCAACCTTCTCAGAAAGCAGTCAACATTCACTTTCTGAATCAGTTTGTCTCCCCAAGGTCACCAATGCCTCCACACTATGAAATCTAGTGGACATATTTAAGTCTTTATTATAAAAACAATTTGTGATACTGTGAAATATATATATGATCTTCCACCCATTTCCCGGCATACAATTCTTAAAATCCTTAGACTCTCCAAAGTGATGACTTCTTGTATGCTAATGTTGACTGATGGCTGGCAGCCCCTATGTAGCTTCAGGATGGGAGCTGGTCACAGAATGACCAAGGCATGATTAGAGGGTTGGGATTTTTCACTCTACCTCCTGACCTCTGGGGAGGGAGAGTGGCTAAAAGTTGAGTTAATCACTAATGGCCAATTATTTAATCAATCATGTCCATGTAATGAAGCTTCCATAAAAACTCAAAAGGACCAGGTTTGGAAAGCCTCTAGGTAACTGAACACTTGGGGGTTCCTGGAGGGTGACTGCCTGGGAAGGAGATGGAAGCTCCGCATACCTTCCCCCGCACGTTTTTCTATGCATTTTTTCATCTGTATCCTTTGTAGTATCCTTTATTTATTAATTTTTTTTGGAGACAGTTCCACTCTTCTGTCACCCAGGCTGGAGTGCAGTGGTGCAATCTCGGCTCACTACAACCTCCACCTCCTGGGTTCAAGCAATTCTTCCTACCTCAGCCTCCTGAGTAGCTGGGACTACAGGTATGTGCCACCACGACTGGCTAATTTTTTTATTTTTAGTAGAGACGGGGTTTCACCACATTGGCCAGGCTGGTCTTGAACTCCTGACTTCAGGTGATCCACCCGCCTCAGCGCCCCAAAGTGCTAGGATTACAAGCGTGAGCCACCGCACCGGTCATGAATGTATTTCTTAAGTAATAAGACTTGAAATTCTGTAATGTCCTCTATAATGAACCAGTAAACTGTTTCCCTGAGTTCGTGAATAAATCAAACCCAAGGGGAAGTTAGGTGATAGAACATTTAAGGACTAAGTTCTGATTTTTTTTATCTTGCCCAAATTCCTATCTAAGGAGTCTGGGAAGTCATGCCATACAAACCATAAATTCTCATCACTTGGGTTTTATTTAACCCTATATATTGTGACTTACTTTCCAACCTGACTCTGGCATAACATTATGAAACAAGAAAGAAAATAAAAATATTTTACCCCAAAACATGTTTCTTTGCCATATCTTGAAATGGCCCTACAAAGCTGTCCTTTGTAGGGGAATATTTGCATCTGTAAAGAATCTCTATTAACATAGAATCTCTATTAACATAGCTAGGTCTTTTTCTTCCAGGCCCTCCCAATCCTAAAGAGATTAACTAAAAGTCTAGTACCTTTTAAAGATCTGAATAGGAAACATTTGTCATCTACTGTCTCTAAGGGCAGCCATGATAATAAGACTTCAAAAGAACCTTGGTCTTGCAATCTTTTATCTTAACCTGAGCATTTCCTTTCTATAGATCTAAGGTCTTTAGACAAACTGAACAAATTGCCAAGCAGAAAATGTTTACATTTACCTATAGCCTGGAAGTTCCCACTTTGAGTTGTCTTGCCTTTCTAGACCAAACCAATAGACCAAACCAATGTATTTCCTAAATGTATTTGATTGATGTCTCATGCCTCCCTAAAATGCATAAAACCAAGCTGCACCTTGACTACCTTGGGCACATGTTCTCAGGACCTCCTGAGGCCGTGTCATGGGCTATGGTTGCTCATATTTAGCTCAGAATAAATCTCTTCAACTATTTTACAGTTAGACTCTTCATTGACACATTATAGTTAAATCACATTATACTAATTATACTATACACATTAGTATAATGTGATTTAACATGTCTCAAAATGGACTCACTTGTGACAAGTGAGAGCCCAGAGTGAAATCGGAAATTGCTGACCCCTCAAAGTGATAAGCATATGTATGGTGAACTGAGGTGATAAGATAACACTTGCTTGGCCAGGCACCCCCCAGACCCAACAAGAAAGTGAAGCCAGATCAGGTGCAGTGGCTCACGCCTGTAATCCCAACACTCTGGGAGGCCGAGGCGGGCGGATCACGAGGTCAAGAGATGGAGACCATCCTGGCCAACGTAGTGAAAACCCATCTCTACTAAAAATACAAAAATTAGCTGGACATGGTGCCAGGCACCTGTAGTCCCAGCTACTCGGGAGGCTAGGCAGGAGAATCACTTGAACCCAGGAGGCGGAGGTTGCAGTGAGCCAAGATCACAACACTGCACTCCAGCCTGGCGACAGAGCAACATTCTGTTTCAAAAAAAAAAAAAAAAAAGGGAAGCCAAAAGGCAGCTGTGATATTGACCGTGGACATACCTGAGGAGGGACATCAAAACAGCAAAGAAACTGACCATGTCCAAGATGCCTGAAGAAGCTCTGCCTCAGAATTCTGTGGCCTCTTCTCCATTGGCAGTGGCCACCAGAAGCTGTGGGGAGAAAAGCAGCAGCCTCCCACCCACTCTGCTGGTTGGCGTTTCCAGGGAAATCCAGACCTGTCCTGTTCATCCCTCAGCATGCTGGTCCCCTCTCTCTCTTATTGCTGCTTGTGTGTGTGTTGAATATATTTGCATGATTGTTGATGTGTGAAAGCCTCACAATAAACCGTGAATTCAAAAGCATTTAATTGGCCACTGAGTCATCCTGATACCTCCCAGCTCCTAAGTCAGAGTTAGCACAACTAGGCTGATTCGAACCTGACACAATATTGTGGAAACCCTGGTTTACAGGCAGTCAGAAGCCCTGGCAGAACAACCAGGGGCTTGGGATTGACATTGGAAGTGGGGCCAGTCTTGTGGGACCAAGCCCTCAACCTGTGGGATCTGACACTATCTCAGGTACACAGTGTCAGAATTGAACTGGATTGGAGCCATCCAGCTGCGGTCCACTGGAGAACTTGATTGCTCACTTGTGTGGGGAAAAGCGCACCCACAATTGGTCACCGAATGTGGTTTTCTGTGTTGATCATTGCTGAATGAGAGAGTAGAGAAAGCCCTTTGCATTTTTTTGTCCACAGACAATTCCTTTGATTTGTTTCCACATATCCTGTGTTGGTACTGTTATCTTCATCCACTCTTGAAATATTTGTCTTCCCAAGAGCCCATCCTCAACCCACTCATGCTTCACACTCTGTGTAATTTTAGCCACTCTTGTCGTTCTAACAATGACCTATAGGATGATGAATCTCTAATCTATATCCTTGAACGAGATGTTTCCCCAAAACTTCAGACACATATATCCAATTTCTCACTTAACATTTCCACCTGCAGCAGGGCACAGTGGCTCACGCCTGTAATCCCAACACTTTAGGAGGCCAAGGTGGGAGGATGACATGAGCTCAGGAGTTTGAGACCAGCCTGGGCAACACAGTGAGACCCCACCATCTCTACAAAAATTTTTTTTTAAAAAATCAGCTGGGCTTAGTAGCACACACCTGTAGTCCCAGCTACCCAGGAGGCCAAGGTGGGAGGATCACCTGAGTCTAGTAGGTTGACGCTGCAGTGAGCCATGATCACACCACTGCACTCCAGCCTGGGCAACAGAGTGAGATACCATCTTAAAAAACAAAAAACACATTTGGGCCGGGCATGGTGGCTCATGCCTGTAATCCCAGCACTTTGGGAGGCTGAGGTGGGAGGATCACCTGAGGTCAAGAGTTCGAGACCAGCCTGGCGAACATGGTGAAACCCCATCTCTACTGAAAATATAAAAATTAGCTGGGCATGGTGGCACACATCGGTAGTCCCAGCTACTAGGGAGGCTGAGGTGGGAGGATCCCTTGAACCTAGGAGGCAGAGATTGCAGTGAGCCGAGATCGCACCACTGCACTCTAGTCTGGGTGACAGAACAAGATCCTGTCTGAAACACACACACACAGTTTGCAATCAGATGCCCCATGGAAATCTCAGATTCAGCATGTCTAAAATAAAACATCAACTTCCATGCAAAACCTTCTCCTTCTGTAGCACCCATATCCACCCAATTAGCTAAGTTGAAAACCTGAGCATCACCATTGAATCTTTTTTTTTTTTTTTCTTTTTTTTTTTGAGAGAGAGAGTCTCACTCTGTTGCCCAGACTGGAGTACAGTGACATGATTTCAGCTCACTGCAACCTCTGCCTCCTGGGTTCAAGCGATTTTCCTGCCTCAGCCTCCTGAGTAGCTAGGACCACAGGCGTCCACCACCACGCCCGGGTATTTCTTGTATTTTTAGTAGAGATGGGGTTTCACCATATTGGTCAGGCTGGTCTCAAACTCCTGACCTTGTGATCCACCTGCCTCGGCCTCCCAAAGTGCTGGGATTACAGGCGTGAGCCATCACGCCTGGCCCTCACCTTTGAATCTTTGAACGTCTTCACCCCACTCTCTCCTTTAGATGTATTTTTAGAAATTACCTAATTCTGAGAATGTTACCTCTTTAAGATTTCTCAGAATTGATTATGCCACTCCCTGCTTAAAACTCCAATAGCAGCCAGGTACGGTGGTTCACGCCTGTAATCCCAGCACTTTGGGAGGACAAGATGAGCAGATCACCTGAGGTATTCGAGACCAGCCTGATCAACATGGTGAAACCCTGTCTCTACTAAAAACACAAAAAATTAGCTGGGCGTGGTGGCACGCACCTGTAATCCCAGCTACTTGGGAGGCTGAGGCAGGAGAATCGCTTGAACCCAGGAGGCAGAGATTGCAGTGAGCTGAGATCATACCATTGCACTCCAGCTAACAAGAGCAAGACTCCGTCTCAAAAAAAATAAAATAAAATAAAAATAAAAATACAAAATAAAAACACTCCAAGGTCTGTCCACTGCACTTGGCATAAAAGGAATATTCCAAGGCCCCATATAATCTGCCCTGTGTCTATCTCCACCCACACTCCCCACAGCTTGGCTCCTCACTTACTGGGCTCTTGCCACAGTATGTCTCTTTCTGCTCCCCAAATGCTCCAGCTCATTCATATCTCAAGGTTGTGCCATTTGAGGTTTCCTCTTCCTAGAACTGTCTCTTGCCAACTCTTTGCATAGCTAGTTCCTTCCTTATGTCTGCTCTCAACAAAAGTCATCTCTGAGAGCCCTTCACCCCATCTAATCCTACCCCTTTGCACCCCCACCCCTTGATAAGTAGACCCCTTTGGAGACATTATCTCTTATTTTCTTCATAGCTCTTATCACTGTTTGAATCATCTCATTTGGGTATTTACTTATTCTCTGTTTCCTCTGCTAAATTAAGAACTTATCATTTTGGAAATACTGTATTTGTTCAAATTGGTTTGGCCCATCTCCCCTGCTAGAATGTAAGTTTTATGAGAACAGGGATCTTGTATATATCTTATACATCCAACTCCTGTCCCCATTCTAGCTGGTCATGGGTTCCTCCCTCCCTCACCCTCCAGGCCCAGTACTACTAACATCCCAGCATGCTTTATGTCAAGCCTCTGAGCCCAAGCTAAGCCATCATATCCCCTGTGACCTGCACGTATACATCCAAATGTCCTGAAGCAACTGAAGATCCACAAAAGATGACATTCCACCATTGTGACCTGTTCCTGCCCCACCCTAACTGATCAATCGACCTATGACAATACACCCTCCCTGCCCTTGTGATAATGTACTTTCTGATATTCCCCCGCCCTTAAGAAGGTACTTTGTGATATTCCCCCGCCCTTAAGAAGGTACTTTGTGATATTCCCCCGCCCTTAAGAAGGTACTTTGTGATATTCTCCCCACCCTTAAGAAGGTACTTTGTGATATTCCCCCGCCCTTAAGAAGGTACTTTGTGATATTCTCCCCACCCTTAAGAAGGTACTTTGTGATATTCCCCCGCCCTTAAGAAGGTACTTTGTGATATTCCCCTGCCCTTAAGAAGGTACTTTGTGATATTCCCCCGCCCTTAAGAAGGTACTTTGTGATATTCCCCCGCCCTTAAGAAGGTACTTTGTGATATTCCCCTGCCCTTAAGAAGGTACTTTGTGATATTCCCCTGCCCTTAAGAAGGTACTTTGTGATATTCTCCCCGCCCTTAAGAAGGTACTTTGTGAGATCCACCCCCTGCCCACAACAAATTGCTCCTAACTCCACCGCCTATCCCAAACCTATAAGAACTAATGATAATCCCACCACCCTTTGCTGACTCCTTTTATGGACTCAGCCCGCCTGCATCAGGTGAAATAAACAGCCCTGTTGCTCACACAAAGCCTGTGTGGTGGACTGTCTTCATACAGACACACATGACACTTTATGCCTGATCTTAACTGAAATATGACAAATAAAAAGAAAGACAAAACATTCTTTCCATTCACCTTCTAAGAGGAGTCGTGCTCCCAGTTCTGAGTGGTGCTAAGTGTATCTTGACACTCAAAATGGCAGCACCATGCTCACATGGACGCCCAACATTTATTAGACACCTTCTATTTCCATTGTACCATATTGAAGGTTGTGTGAGTTACACTGGTGAATACAGGACTGTCTCTGGCCTGTAAGAATTCATACTTTATCAGGGAAGACACAAGCAACTGTAACTGTGGTAATCAAGGATCTTACATTATCTGGGGCAATTCTGATTGCAGGATTATGTGTCCTGGTTTGTGATTCAGAATGTCTTAACCTTATAACTATAAATCTGTGTGATAAATACTTACCAATGGTATGAACAAAGCTTTTTGAAAGCATAAAAGAAGCAATTAATTCTGCTGGTAGGATCAAGGGAACCCTCTCAATGAATCAGTCGTTGGAACTTGAAATAAATACAAGATTTTTCTTCCCAAATGAAGAAGATAGGAAACAGCATTCAAATCAAAGCAAAAAATATGAGCAAATGTACAGAAGTGCACAGGATTATCACATACCAGAGAGGAGAGGAGCAATAAATAAATAAATAAATAAATAAATAAATAAATAAATAAGTAACAAACCTACAAAGCTGAATGGCTACAGAATGATAGGACTTTGGTGGTAAACAGCCTTGGGTGTGATGGTGAGGAATGTTGATTTTCCCCCTCTTATTCACTGGTTCCCCAGGCCTTGTCAAACCGACTACGTGGGAATCACCTGGAAAACTAGATTAAAATACATATTCCTGGGGTCGGATCTGCTTGGGTAATCTGATTCAGACCATTCATAATGGGTCCCCGGAATCTTCCCAAGAAATTCATATGATTAGCCCATGTTGGGAACTACTACTTTAGAGAATGGAGTAAGTCATTCTTAGTCTTTACCCGCTTGCGTTACCAATATCTAAAATGGGAGCCAGGCACAGTGGCTCATGCCTGTAATCCCAGAACTTTGGGAGGCCAAAGCAGGCAGATCACTTGGGGTCAGGAGTTCAAGACCAGCCTGGCCAACATGGTAAAAACCCATGTCTACTAAAAATATGAAAATTAGCTGGGTGTGGTGATGCACACCTGTAGTCCCAGCCGCTCAAGAGGCTGAAGCAGAATGTGGGGAAAAGAAAAAGAGATCAGATTGTTACTGTGTCTGTGTAGAAAGAAGTAGACATAGGAGTCTCCATTTTGTTCTGTACTAAGAAAAATTCTTCTGCCTTGAGATGCTGTTAATCTGTAATCTTACCCCCAACCCTGTGCTCCCTGAAACATGTGCTGTGTCAGCTCAGGGTGAAATGGATTAAGGGCTGTGCAAGATGTGCTTTGTTAAACAGATGCTTGAAGTCAGCATGCTCTTTAAGAGTCATCACCACTCCCTAATCTCAAGTACCCAGGGACACAAACACTGCGGAAGGCCGCAGGGACCTCTGCCTAGGAAAGCCAGGTATTGTCCAAGGTTTCTCCCCATGTGATAGTCTGAAATATGGCCTCGTGGGAAGGGAAAGACCTGACCGTCCCCCAGCCCGACACCCGTAAATGGTCTGTGCTGAGGAGGATTAGTAAAAGAGGAAGGAACGCCTCTTTGCAGTTGAGACAAGAAGAAGGCATCTGTCTCCTGCCCATCCCTGGGCAATGGAATGTCTCGGTGTAAAACCCAATTGTACATTCCATCTACTGGGATAGGGGAAAACTGCCTTAGGGCTGGAGGTGGGACACGCGGGCAGCAGTACTGCTGTTTAAGGCATTGAGATGTTTATGTGTATGCATATCTAAAGCACAGCACTTAATTCTTTACCTTGTCTATGATGCAGAGACCTTTGTTCACGTGTTTATCTGCTGACCTTCTGTCCACTATTATCCTATGACCCTGCCACATCCCCCTCTCCGAGAAACACCCAAGAACGATCACTAAATACTAAGGGAACTCAGAGGCCGGCGGGATCCTCCGTATGCTGAACGCTGGTCCCCTGGGCCCCCGTATTTCTTTCTCTATACTTTGTCTCCGTGTCTCTTTCTTTTCCAAGTCTCTCGTTCCACCTAACGAGAAACACCCACAGGTGTGGAGGGGCAAACCACACCTTCGGCAGAAGAATCGCTTGAATCCGGGAGGCGGAGGTTGCAGTAAGCCGAGATTGCGCCACTGCACTGCAGCCTGGATGACAAAGTGAGTGAGACTCCATCTCTAAATAAATAAATAAATAAAATGAATAGGTTTGGCCTTGTAGAGTTCCTGAACGAGGCAGGAAGTGGGCTGGTTATCTCGTATCCATCAGAGTGCAGGCTCTGGGCTTAGTCCTGCTATTACTGTGCATTGCCTGAGTGCTTGGGCAGTTCATGACCACTGGGGCTCCAGCCTTCTCCCATCCTTCCCCACATGTGCCCAGTGTACATAGCTGGGCTCCTGACTCAACATCATCAGCAGCGACCCAGTCTTCCCCAAAGCTGGCAGCTGCAGGAAGAACTCTTAATTACTTGACTGGGGCCTAACGATCTGCCAAACCCTGACACTCCCTTTTCTGTGGGCTGAGTCCTGGCCATTAGTGAAGGTCTTAACCCAAAATATGGACAACCCCAGAGAAAACAGTTGTTGCAAACAGAGAGTTATGCAAACCAAGGTTTTCAGCAAGTGGATGACATTTTGGGGTTTATGTTTCAGGAGGATGAATTATTAAAAAAAAAAATAGGGGGAAATGCAGCAAAGCATTTAGAAACTGGTGTCGGCCGGGTGCGGTGGCTCACGCCTGTAATCCCAGCACTTTGGGAGGCCGAGGCGGGTGGATCACGAGGTCAGGAGATCGAGACCATCCTGGCTAACACGGTGAAACCCTGTCTCTACTAAAAAAAACATACAAAAATTAGCCGGGCGCGGTGGCGGGCACCTGTAGACCCAGCTACTCGGGAGGCTGAGGCAGGAGAATGGCGTGAACCTGGGAGGCAGAGCTTGCAGTGAGCCGAGATCCCGCCACTGCACTCTAGCCTGGACGAAAGTGCGAGACTCTGTCTCAAAAAAAAAAAAAAAAGAAAAAAGAAACTGGTGTCATAGTTTAGGGAAAAAGACAGTGAAGGAATAATTTCTCAAAGTAGTGGCAGAGAGAATGGAGAGGAAGGGACTGAGAACTTGGTCACAGATTAGAGGCAGACGGGACAAAGGCAAAGATGGTGCCAAGATATCTAGTTTTTATAAAGCAACATTTTAGCTAGATCAGCTATATTGCTTTTGCATCATTTGTTACCTATTTTTTAACCATACTTAAAATGTTCACTCATAGGGAAGTACTATTATTAACCAGTGTCGCTGTGTGTCATAGCCCATCTCTAGAAAGCACTGTAAGGAGAGCCGCATGGAAAACCTTTCTTCTGGCTTAAACAAAGTTCCTCCACCATGGATGTCAAAAGTGCTTGGAATGGTAAAGCAATCATTTAACCACCAAAAGTAACACTATTATTTTCACTTCAAAATAATCCCTTGAACTTCTATCTTGTAAAAATAAAAACCAAGAGGCCGAGTGCAGTGGCTCACGCCTATAATACCAGCACTTTGGGAGGCTGAGGCAGGTGGATCACGAAGTCCAAAGTTCAAGACCAGCCAGGCCAAGATGGTGAAACCCTGTCTCTACTAAAAATACAAAAATTAGCCAGGCGTGGTGGTGGGCGCCTGTAATCCCAGCTACTCAGGAGGCTGAGGCAGAGAATCGATTGAATCCAGGAGGCGGAGGTTGCAGTGAGCTAAGATCGCACCACTGTATTCCAGCCTGGGCAACAGAGTGAGACTTTGTCTCAAAAAAATAAACAAATAAAATAAAAAATAAAAACCATGAATACTTAGTTTATCTTTCAAGGTGCGACTCTTTTTAATTTCAGGATTGCTAACGTGCAAATAAAATCAAATAAAAAATAGTAGCAAGTCACTAATCTTTGTGTTGCCTTTTATTTTTCAGATGTGTATTTTTTAGCTTTATTTAATAACTGTATTCCTAATTTCAACAGATGTGCATTGCTTTGGTATTTGGCTTGGGAGTTTTTTTTTTTTTTTAGTAGAAATAATACAAATCACATTTTATTCTTGGAATGTTTATTTTTTCTGAGATTCTGAGAAATGTGCATAGATTTAAAAGAACAATTTAAAATTTATATTTACTTTTGGACCTTAGAAGTGTCATTCCATTTATAGAGGTTCCATCCTAAAAAAACACATGAATATCCAAATGTCCAATTGTCATATCTTGATTCCCTGAAGGAGTATAGCTGCTTCCTTTACTCTACTTAAAGTTGCTAAGTAGAACCAAAAGCAAAATCAAGCAGTAAACCTGCTGAAGTAAGATCCTTCATTGCTACTTTGCCTAATGCCTAATTATAAATTAGAATACAACAAAACCCTCAGGTTTTCTTTGCAAAGAAACTTGACTCATATGCTGAGTCCACAACCTCCAAAATGCAAACTTGGCTTCCTAATGCACCGGCCAGAATCACTGGAGAAGCCACCCCAGAGCAGTAAACTGAAGCAACTCTTTCTTTACCAGGAATTTTATTTTTCCTGGCTTTCTTCATTTAACAAAATAATAAAATGATTGCTAACCTCCAATTTTCTTCTGTTCCACAAAAACTTTCCTACCATGGAGGGAGCTTTAAAAACGTGCACTATGAGGCCGGGTGCGGTGGCTCACGCCTGTAATCCCAGCACTTTGGGAGGCCGAGGCGGGCGGATCAAGAGGTCAGGAGATCAAGACCATCCTGGCTAACACGGTGAAACCCCATCTCTACTAAAAATACAAAAAATTAGCCGGGCGAGGTGGCGGGCACCTGTAGTCCCAGCTACGCGGGAGGCTGAGGCAGGAGAATGGCGTGAACCCCGGGGGGCGGAGCCTGCAGTGAGCCGAGATCGTGACACTGCACTCCAGCCTGGGTGACAGCGAGACTCCGTCTCAAAAAAAAAAAAAAAAAACATGCACTGTGAAATTATTTTCCTTCTGGTGAGTTCATTCAGCACAGCACGTGCAAGGAGGAACAACTCCTCCTTCCAAAGAGCAGATAAATAATTGCTAATGAGTAAGAAGAAAACTCCTGGCCAGAGGAAGGAGAGTTGCCAGCTCCTGGCTCTCTTATTACGTCTCCTGCCAGTAACAATTGGTAGGTGGCCCCGTAATTTTCCACACTCAAGATTCAGAGGGGCTAACATTGTTCTGTTCTTCTTCCTTCAAATAAACCAGAGAGAAAATGAAAAAATAAATAAATTAAGGAGCAGCAGGGGTGGCTTACTTCACTGCTGCTTTAACCTCTAACAAAGGAGCAAAAACCTCCTACACCTGCATGTAAGAACACAGCTCAAGTGCAACAGGAATTTGGAATTGAAAGCCAGTTTCTGAGCAGTAAGTTTGGAATTGCCTTAAGCCAAGAAAGTCAGCACAAGCTAAGACTTGAAGGGATATCTGAGCGTTAACAGAAAAGGGTCTTGATCCACACTCTAAGAGAGGGTTCTTGGACCTTGTGTAAGAAAGAATCCAGGACAAGGTCATAAAGTGAAAGCAAGTTTATTAAGAAAGTAAGGGAATAAAAGAATGGCTACTCCATAGGCAGAGCACCCCCAAGGGCTTCCGGTTGCCTATTTTTATGTTTATTTCTTGATTATCTGCTAAAGAAGGGGTGGATTATTCATGAATTTCCCAGGAAAAGGGTGGGCAATTCCTGGAACTGAGGGTTCCCCCTTTTTTTAGATTGCCCTGACATTCCCATGGCATTTGTAAACTGTTGTTGTGCTGGTGGGTATGTCTTTTAGGATGTTAATACATTCTAATTAGTGTGTAATGACAATTAGCATATAATGAAAGTGATCAGAAGTCACTTTTGTCGCCATCTTGGCATTGGTGGGATTTGGCCAGCTTCTTTACCACATGCTATTTTATCAGCAAGGTCTTTGTTAACTGTATCTTGTGCTGACTTCCTATCTCATCCTGTGACTAAGAATGCCTTAACCTCCTGGGAATGCAGCCCAGCAGGTCTCAGCCTTATTTTACCTAGCCCCCATTCAAGATGGAGTCACTCTAGTTCAAATGCCCCTGACATGAGGACTTGACATCTCCCTGCTTGGTCTTCTCCCCACCTGGTGCTTAAGAGAAGAGATGGTAGGCATATTAACCCATCCATCACTCACACTATTCTGTACCTGCTCAAGTGACCTAAACCCAGAGCTCTGACTCTGCCTCCAGCTAAGAGGATCAGGCAAGACAGAGACCCAGGAGCTCAGTTCCAGAGCCTCAAATTCATCCTTATGTCTTTGTGATTATAACCCATGAATTGGGGATTTAAAATACGTTGGACCAGAATTTTAAAAAGTCAAATACATTGACTGCAAAAACAAACCAGCAACACCGAGAGGAACTACAGATCCTCTGAAGGAAGCAGACTGCTCCTGCAGGACCTGGGAGACACCCCAAATACTGTGAGTGTCCCAACCATAGAAGTGGGAAAGGAAGATCCACCTCTCCTGGACACACACACCCACTGGAGAAACCGAAGTTCTGTTTGAGGGAGAAGTTTTCGACTTTACCTGGTGCCGAGTCCAGTTAGAGAGCCGAGTGAAATATGGGGTAGAGGAAGCAGCAGAAAGGCCCTGGGAGCTCGCTGGGTCCCTAAGCAGCCAGTTCCTGCCTGGGACCACACATCAGGAGGGTGGCCAGAGGAGCAGGGGGTGAAACTACAGGGAGAAGGAATTCTCTAGCTGAACTTTGTAACAATTTGAACAGGGCAAGAAGCCTCTGGGCAAGAACTCGGGAGGGCACGAATCAGGCATGCAGACTTCACAGGCAGGAGAAGAACTAAAGCGTTATTCTCTCCCAGCTGGGAGGTGGATAGCCTCAGGCAAATTTTCAAGCCCATCTCACCCTCCTCCTGGAAACAGATTCTGGGCTGTTGGCCAGGGCATGGTGGGAGTGAGACCAGCCCTTCAGTTTGCATGGGAGCTGGGTGAGGTCTGTGACTGCCGGCTTTCCCCCACTTCCCTGACAACCTGCATGACTCAGCAGAGGCAGCCATAATCCTGCTAGGTACACAAGTCCAGTGACCTGGGAACCTCAACCCTATCCCCCACAGCAGCAGCAGCAAGACCCGCCCATGGAGAGTCTGAGCTCAGACACACCCAGCCCTGCCCCCACCTGGTGGTCCTAGCCTATCCACCCCGGTAGTGCAAGACAAAGGGCATATAATCTTGGGAGTTCTAGGGCCACACCCACTGCCAGTCCCTCTCCACACTACTGCAGCTGATGCTTTCTGGAAAGCGCCACCTCCTGGCAGGAGGCCAAACAGCACAAAAATAGAGCATTAAACCACCAAAGCTAAGGAACCTCACAGAGCCCATTGCACCTTCTGCCAGTTCCACCCGAAAAGGTGCTGGTAACCACAGCTGAGAGACCCATAGATGGTTCACATCACAGGACTCTGTGCAGACAAACCCCAGTACCAGCCCAGAGCTGGGAAACTCGCTGGGTGGCTAGACCCAGAAGAGAGACAACAATCACTGCAGTTCAGCTCACAGGAAGCCACATCTATAGGAAAAGGGAGACAGTACTACATCAAGAGAACACCCCATGGGACAAAAGAACCTGAACAACAGCCTTCAGCCCTAGACCTTCCCTCTGACAGAGCCTACCCAAATGAGAAAGAACCAGAAAACCAATCCTGGTAATATGACAAAACCAGGCTCTTCAATACCCCCAAAAAATCACACTTGTTCACCAGCAATGGATCCAAACCAAGAAGAAATCCCTGATTTACCTGAAAAAAGAATTCAGGAGGTTAGTTAATAAGCTAATCAGGGAGGGACCAGAGAAAGGTGAAGCCCAATGCAAAGAAATCCAAAAAACTGATACAAGAAGTGAAGGGAGAAATATTCATGGATATAGATCACTTAAAGAAAAAACAATAAAAATTCAGGAAACTTTGGACACACTTTTAGAAATCTGAAATGCTCTGGAAAGTCACAGCAATAGAATTGAACAAGTAGAAGGAAGAAATTCAGAGCTCAAAGACAAGGTCTTTGAATTAACCCAATCTGACAAAGAGAAAAGAATAAGAAAATATAAACAAAGCCTCCAAGAAGTCTGGGATTATGTTAAACAACCAAACCTAAGAAAAATTGGTGTACCTGAGGAAGAAGAGAATTCTAAAAGCCTGGAAAACATGTTTGAGGGAATAATTAAGGAAAAATTCCCTGGCCTTGTGAGAGATCTAGAGAGCCAAGTACAAGAAGCACAAAGGACACCTGGGAAATTCATTGCAAAAAGATCTTTGCCTAGCCACATTGTCATCAGGTTATCCAAAGTTAAGACAAAGGAAAGAATCTTAAAAGCCACAAGACAGAAGCACCAAGTAACCTACAAAGGAACACCTATCAGATTAACAGCAGATTTCTCAGCAGAAACCCTACAAGCTAGAAGGGATTGGGGACGTACCTTCAGCCTCCTCAAACAAAACAATTATGAGCCAAGAATTTTGTATGCAGTGAAACTAAGCATCATACATGAAGAAAAAATAGTCTTTTTCAGACAAACAAATGTTGAGAGAATTTGCCACTTCCAAGCCACCACTACAAGAACTGCTTAAAGGAGCTCTAAATCTTGAAACAAATCAAAATAGAACCTCTTTAAAACATAAATCACATAGAACCTATAAAACAAAAATACAAGTTAAAAAGCAAAAACAAAAAAGAAACCACCAAAGTACACAGGCAACAAGGAACATGATGAAAGCAATGGTACCTCACGTTTCAATACTAACGTTGAATGTAAATGGCCTAAGTGCTCCACTTAAAAGATAGAGAACCACAGAATGGATAAGAACTCACCAACCAACTATATGCTGCCTTGAAGAGACTCAACTAACACATAAGCACTCACGTAAGTTTAAAGTAAAGGGGTATAAAAAGGCATTTCGTGCAAATGAACACCAAAAGCAAGCAGGAGTAGCTATTCTTATATCAGACAAAACAAATTTTAAAGCAACATCTGCTAAAAGAGACAAAGAGGTACAAGGCCTTGTCCAGTGGGAAAATATCACAATCCTAAACATATATGCACCTAACACTGGAGGTCTCAAATTTATAAAACGATTGCTAATAGACCTAAGAGATGAGATAGACAGAAACATAATAATAGTGGGGGACTTCAATACTCCACAGACAGCACTAGACAGGTCATCAAGACATAAATTCAACAAAGAAACAGTGGACTTAAACTATATCTTGGAACAAATGGACTTAACAGATATACACAGAACATTTCATCCAACAACCACAGAACACACATTCTATTCAACAGCACATGGAACTTTCTCCAAGACAGACAATATGATAGGCCATAAAATGAGCCTCAAAAAATTTAAGAAAATCGAAATTATATCAAGCACTCTCTCAGACCACAGTGGAATATAACTGGGAATCAACTCCAAAAGGAATCTTCAAAACCATGCAAATACATGGAAATTAAATAACTGGCTCCTCAATGAGCATTGCGTCAAAAAGGAAATCAAGATGGAAATTTAAAAATTCTTTGAACTGAATGACAATAATGACACAATCTATCAAAACCTCTGGGATACAGCAAAGGCAGTGCTAAGAGGAAACTGCATAGTCATAAATGCCTACATCAAAAAGTCTGAAAGATCACAAATAGACAATCTATGGTTACATCTCAAGGAACTAGAGAAACAAGAACAAACCAAACCCAAACCCAGCAGAACAGAGGAAATAACCAAGATCAGAGCAGAACTAAATGAAATTGAAATAAAAAGACAAGACAGAAGATAAATGAAACAAACAGCTGGTTCTTTGAGAGATAAGTAAAATTGATAGACCATTAGCAAGATAACCACAAAAAGAAGAAAGAAAATCTAAATAACCTCACTAAGAAAGGAAACAGGAGATATTACAACTGACACCACTGAAATACAAAAGTTCATTCAAGGCTGCTATGAACACCCTTATGCATATAAACTAGAAAACCTAAAATAGATGAATAAACTCCTTGAAAAATACAACCCTCCTAGCTTAAATCATGAAGAATTAGATACCCTGAACAGACCAGTAACAAGCAGTGAGATTGAAATTGTAATTTAAAAATTACCAACAAAAAAAAGTCCAGGACCAGACGGAATCACAGCAGAATTCTACTAGACATTCAAAGAAGAATTGATACCAATCCTATTGACACTATTCCACAAGACAGAGAAAGAAGGAACCCTCCCTAATTCATTCTGTGAAGCCAATATCACCCTAATACCAAAACCAGAAAAGAAAACTACAGACCAATATCCTTGAAGAACATAGATGCTAAAATCCTTAACAAAATACTAGCTAATCGAATCCAGCAACATATCAAAAAGATAATCCATCATGAGCAAGTGGGTTTAATACCAGGAATGCACGGATGGTTTAACATACGCAAGTCAATAAATGTGATACACCACATAAACAGAATTAAAAACAAAAATCACATGATCATCTCAATAGATGCAGAAAAAAAAATTTGACAAAATCCAGCATCCCTTTATGGTTAAAACTCTCAGCAAAATTGGCATATAAGGGACATACCTTAATGTAATAAAAGCCATCTATGAAAAACCCACAGTCGACATAATAATGAATGGGGAAAAGTTGAAAGCATTTCCTCTGAGAATGGGAACAAGACAGGGATGTCCACTCTCACCACTCCTCTTCAACATAGTACTGGAAATCCTAGCCAGAGCAATCAGACAACAGAAAGAAATAAAGGGCATCCAAACAGGTAAAAAGGAAGTCAAACTGTCACCATTTGCTGACTGTTTACCTTGAAAAACCTAAGGATTCCTCCAGAAAGCTCCTAGAACTGATAGAAGAATTCAGCAAAGTTTCTGGAGACAAGATTAATGTATACAAATCAGTAACTTTTCTAAACAGCAACAGCGACCAAGCAGAGAATCAAATCAAGAACTCAACCCCTTTTACAATAGCTGAAAAAAAAAACAAAACAAACAAACAAACAAACAAACAAAAACCTTAGGAATATACCTAACAAAGGAGTAGAAAGACTTCTACAAGGAAAACTAAAAAACACTGCTGAAAGAAATCATAGATGGCACAAATGGAAACATATCTCATGCTCATGGATGGGTAGAATCAATATTGTTTGAAAATGACCATACTGCCAAAAGAAATCTACAAATCCAATGCAATCCCCATCAAAATACCACCATCTCTCTTCACAGAATTAGAAAAAACAATTCTAAAATTCATATGGCACCAAAAAAGAGCCCACACAGCCAAAGCAAGACTTAGCAAAAAGAACAAATCTGGAGGCATCACACTACTTGATTTCAAACCCAAACCCAGCAGAAGATAGGAAATAACCAAGATCAGAGCAGAACTCATACCATAAGGCCATAGTCACCAAAACAGCATGGTACTGGTATAAAAATAGGCACATAGACCAATGGAAAAGAAAAGAGAATCCAGAAATAAACCCAATACTTTCAGCCAACTGATCTTCAACAAAGCAAATGAAAACATAAAGTGGGGAAAGGACACCCTTTTCAACAAATGATCCTGGGATAATTGGCTAGACACATGTAGGAGAATGAAACTGGATCCTCATCTCTCACCTTATAAAAAATCAACTCAAGATGGATTAAGGACTTAAACCTAAGACCTGAAACTATAAAAAATTCTAGAAGATAACATTGGAAATGCCCTTCTAGACATTGGCTGAGGCAAGAATTTCATGACCAAGAACCCAAAAGCAAATGGAGCAAAAACAAAGATAAATAGTTGGGACCTAATTAAACTAAAGAGCTTTTGCACAGCAAAAGGAACAGTCAGCAGAGTAAACAGACAGAATGGGAGAAAATCTTCACAATCTACACATCTGACAGAGGATTAATATCCAGAATCTACAATGAACTCAAACAAATCAGTAAGAAAAAAACTAACAATCCCATCAAAAACTGGGCTAAGGATATGAATAGACAATTCTCAAAAGAAGATATACAAATGGCCAACAAACGTATGGAAAAATGCTCGACATTACTAATGATCAGGGAAATGCAAATCAAAACCATAATGCGATACCACCTTACTCTTGCAAGAATGGCCATAATCAAAAAATCAAAACACAGTAGATGTTTGGTATGGGTATGATGAACAGGGAACACTTCTACACTGCTGGTGGGAATGGAAACTAGTGCAGCCACTATGGAAAACAGTGTGGAGATTCCTTAAAGAACTAAAAGTAAACTACCATTTGATCCAGCAATCCCACTACTACCCAGAGGCAAATAAGTCATTATTCAAAAAAGATACTTGACATGCATGTTTATAGCAGCACAATTCACAATTGCAAAATCATGGAACCAATCCAAATGCCCATCAATCAACAAGTGTATAAAGAAACTGTGATATGTATATATACACACACACACACACACACACACACACACACACACACACACACACACATTGGAATACTACACAGGCATAAAAAGGAATGAATTAACAGCATTTGCAGTTACCTGTATGAGATTGGAGACTATTATTCTAAATGAAGTAACACAGGAATGGAAAACCAAACATCATATGTTCTCACTGATGTGTGGGAGTTAAGCTATGAGGACACAAAGGCATAAGAACGATACAATGGACTTTGGGGACTTAGGGGGAAGAGTGAGAGGGGGATGAGGGATAAAAGATTACAAATATGGTGCAGTGTATACTGCCTGGGTGATGGGTGCACCAAAATCTCACGAATCACCACTAAAGAACTTACCCATGTAACCAAATACCACCTGAACCCCAATAACTTATTGGAAAAAAAGAGTTAAAATAAATAAATAAATAAAATCAAAAGTCTAAAAAATAAATAAACCCAGAGTTCTCAGGAAATTCAGGAAGAAATGCTTCAATGGAACAAAGCTAAAATAATATATTTTCTCCAAAGGCTCTCATTTTCAGTAAAATTCTGTATATTGCTGAGTGAAGCAAATCCAGTTATATTGTTCCCAGGAAGAAAGAGGAGAAGGGTGTGAAAGAGATAAAGCATGTATACTTGAAGCCCACACAGAGTCACATTCTCAGATTTTCCATCCTTACCTTAGGGACAAACACTGGCTTCATGTCATGGGGATGGTAACTGAAGCCTTAAAAGAGTACATCACCAGCTCAGGGACAAATGACTAATACATGGCAGGGTGCAGCTTTGAACTCAGCATAGTGAAGGAAATCAAAATATTTTAACGCAAATATATTTAGTTGACATATTTTGAGATGGCTGTTACAGAGCCAGTAAACAGAAGTTGTCCTGCAAAGCTGTCTTTTGTGAGGAAGATTCACCTCTGTAGAGAATCTGCATCGGTGCACCCAGGCCCTTTCTTGTCTGGATCTAGGAAAGATAAACTGAGAGTTTGACACCTTTAAAGGCCTGAAAGAAACATTCATCATCTATTCAGTCTGAGGTCTGCTACATAACAAGACCACCTTTTCTAGCCAGGCCTCCTCTTCTCTCCCTCTTGGAGGGCTGCCAGCTATGAATTTTCACCTACATAACAAGACCAACTTTTCTAGCCAGGCCTCCTCTTCTCTCCCTCTTGGAGGGCTGCCAGCTGTGAATTTTCACCTACATAACAAGACCACCTTTGCTACAGGCCTCCTCTTCTCTCCCTCTTGTAGCCTGTCTTATCACTATAACCTGATTTACCACCGTAACCTTTTATCGGCCATGCTCTGAGCCTCTATCCTTTCTGTACTTCAGGATGGTATATAAGCTTCTGCACCCCATTAGGGACTGGAACTGGCTTTCAATTCCAAATTCCTGTTGCAGTTCAGCTTTGTCCTTGCATGCGCTCTGTGGTTCTCCCCTGTGTGCACATTAATAGATTTTTATGCCTTTTGTGAGTTGATTTTTCACCAGACCTTCAGAGGGTGAAATAGTTTTTCCTTGGCCCCAACAATGGTCAAAATCAAACCCAAGTTTTATACTTTGTCCTTTTCTTTCCTAAATACCACTCCCTGGACTGGTGCTAGCCTGGTTTCTACCAAGACTCACCTGGGAAGTGTCATAAAAATGCCTGTGTCACACACAGGCTCCAGAAAATCCAATTCAGTGTTTGGAGTAAAATCTGGGAAGCTGTGTTGCTTTTTTAAAAAAAAAAAGTAAATCAAAAAATAAAATTCTAAGGCCCCCGCCCCCAACCAACAGAATGGACCCCTCCTCTCAGCCAAGGGCATTTCAAAGTTAACCTGAAAAAACTAGTTCAGGCCACGATGGGAGTGGGGAGCTGGACATGCCTCATTATACCCTCCTCCATTTTGGAATTATTGACAGAACAGACTCTTTAAATCTGATAAGAAACATTTACAATCTATTCTCTGAAGGCTGCTACCAGGAGACTTCATCTGCACGATAAAACCTTGGTTTCTACAACCCCTTATTGTAACCAGACCTTCCTTTCTATTGATAATAACTCTTTCAACAAATTGCCAATCAGAAAATCTTTAAAGCTACATATAACCTGGAAGGTCTCCTGCTTTGAGTTGTCCCACCTTTCTGGACCAAACCAATATACATCTTACATGTATTCATTGATGTCTCATGTCTCCCAAAAATGTATAAAACCAAGCTGTACTCCGACCACCTCGGGTGCGTGTTCTCAAAATCTTCTGAGGGCTGTGTCAGAGGCCATTGGTCACTCATATTTACCTGAGAATACATCTCTTCAAATATTTTACAGAGTTTGCCACTTTTCATTGACAAAAGTCTCCTTGACATTTTCCTACAGCCAGACTTGGGCACCATTGCAGTATATACTCTTTTAAGCCATTTTTTCCCCCAGCAATTAATTAGTTGATTTCATGAAAAACTTAGCTCATCTTTCAAATCAAAGTAGAATGCATGTGTCACTCTTTGAAAATTTGTTCTTTCTACAAATGACGAAATAAGTTTTCAAAATTTTTAAATTTCCAGTGGTCTTTTAGAAATGTCTGTGAGGTGTAATTTATGGGATGTTTCCTTACACTCAGAAAATGAGGGTGCTTTTTGGAGCGAATTTGTCACCCACAATGGTCTTGCTGCAAAACCCTACTGTTTCCTGCAAGATTCAAGCATTTCCTTACTTCTTGATGGCTCAAAATGCCCGGGCTTCTGATGCTCAGGACAGAATCCCCAGCTCATACATTTTTAGATTTACTTCACTTTCAGGATTTACATATTTTAAGCATGAGGCTATGGATGTGTTTCAACCAATTTTCTAAAATACGCTTTTTCCTAAGACAATTTTTGCTTCTTGTTAAGACTCTGAGTGTTGAACATCTCTTGGGACCTGAGGTGGAGATTTTTATAACCTTCTGCTCTCCAGTTATAGGCTATTTGTGTCCCTACGTCCAAGTCTCAAGTTTATTTCTCCTTCTCATTTACTCCTTTACTATGAAGGGGTCCACAGCTAGACTAAAGTGGGGTTTAACGAACTGCAACCCAGGGGCCATTCTAGCCTGACATCTATTTTTGTTAACTAAAGTTTTATTGGAACACAATGACGTCCATTCATTTGCTTGTCTCTGACTGTTTTTACACTACAGTGGCAAAAAGGAGTAGCCAGAAGTAGACAGAGACCAGATGGCCTGCAAAACCAGAAGTATTTATTATCTGGCTCTTTTTTTTTTTTTTTTTGAGACGGAGTCTCGCTCTGTCACCCAGGCTGGAGTGCAGTGGCGCGATCTCGGCTCACTGCAACCTCTGCCTCCCAGGTTCACACCATTCTCCTGCCTCAGCCTCCTGAGTAGCTGGGACTACAGGCGCCTGCCACCACACCAGGCTAATTTTTTTCTATTTTCAGTAGAGATGGGGTTTCACCGTGTTAGCCAGGATGGTCTCGAACTCCTGACCTTGTGATCCTCCCGCCTCGGCCTCCCAAAGTGCTGGGATTACAGGCGTGAGCCACCGCACCCAGTCCTATCTGGCTCTTTAAAGGAAAAGTTGCCAACCCCTGGACTAACGGAACATTCCTAGTGAAAATATTTATAAGTTTTCTTTCAATAGGGAAACATCACATTACTTCTAGCATCACTCTAAACTGCATGTGCTGTGAGGATTTTGCAGTTTGCCAATGTTTCTTTATCTTTTATCGTTATCTTCAGGCCACAACATACAAAGAACCTCATTTTCAGATTGCACTCGTTATTAAAAAGACAATTTAGGGCCTAAAAATTAATGGACAGTCTTGTTTATAAATGCTTTTTTTTTTTTTTTTTTGAGACAGAGTCTTGCTCTGTCGCCCAGGCTGGAGTGCAGTGGTGGGATCTCAGCTCACTGCAGCCTCCACCTCTCAGGTTCAAGCGATTCTCCTGCCTCAGCCTCCTGAGTAGCTGGGATTACAGGTGCCCGCAACCACACCTGGCTAATTTTTGTATTTTAGTAGAGATGGGGTTTCACCATGTTGGCCAGGATGGTCTCAATCTCCTGACCTCGTGATCTGCCCGCCTCGGCCTCCCAAAGTGCTGGGATTACAGACGTGAGCCAAAGTGCCCTGTCAAATGGCATTCTTTAATCTACAATGAATCACCTAGTTACATGTGTAAGGGGAAGCGTCAGGGAGAACTGTCTGAATCTCTATTCATTTGCCTCAATTCTCTGCCATAATTTATTTATCATATTAACCTTAACCTTGTTAACCTTTCTCCTGTCTGCTAAAGTGAACCCCAATTTCACCTATTTGTAGCTTGTTTTGCTATATTGCTGTACACTGCTGATAAAAAAGAAAATAATTTTTTCTTTTAATTTTCCCCAAATTTTCTTGACAATTGGTGATGATACAAAGTATGTATCTAATACAATATTAACCCAGGAAAATATATTTTTAGAGACAAATCTTATTTTTTTCAATGAAAGTAAAAAGCAGTATGCTTTATTTACTAACTAGTAAGACCTTATTACTTTTCTCAAATACCACAAAACTTACTAAAGAAAAGCTTTCTGATTTGATCTTTGAATGATTGCAGAAAAGTAAACTGGCTTGGATCTGACATCACCTTGTCTTTCATTGCACTCTTTGCAGCCAAGTTACTGATATTCAACAGTACCAGTTTGCCCTCTTGTGGTGTATTGCAGTTACTGTTCTTTTCTACCACTAAGAAGTTTTGTATAGACCCGTTTAATTTTATGTAACTCATTGTACAAGACACCACTCTATCTTACATTTCATCTGTGATTAATTCATATAGAACAATAATCAATAATACATGCTGGAACTTTCAGAATGAACTTCTAAAATTACTCTAGACCATAATGAAATATGATTATCGCTGTTTGACACCCATCCTGAATTCCCAAGAACAGTAATAAATCTGCCATCCACCTTTGGTCCATAGGACTACTTTGTAGGACAAAAAGTCTAAAATTATCATATTCTTGCATATCAGATGTTATAAAGAACTTCTACCTATTCTGCTTTCCAACTCGGCGATGTGAATACATACATAAGTGTAAATATTTTTATCAAAGGACACGTGAACATTCTCCTAAGCAGGAGAATAAAAAGTTATTCTATTCAAAAGAATTGTTTCACTTTTGTAAAAGTAAAATCTACACCACAGTTTCTGGTTGCTTCCATTCAAGGAGAGCTTTGGAAACCCATTCTGACTCCTTGACTTTGTGAATTCACTGGTTTAGGGTAAAGTACAAGGCTCATGGATCCCATAGAGCAGTGGTCTCCAATCTTTTTGGCACCAGGGACCAGTTTCATGGAAGACAATTTTTCCATGGACTGGATGCGGGGATGGTTTCAAGATGATGCAAGCACATTACATTTATTGTGCACTTTATTTCTATTATGTTACATTGTAATATATAATGAAATAATTATACAACTCACCATCATGTAGAATCAGTGGGAGCCCTGAGCTTGTTTGCCTGCAACTAGACAGTCCCATCTGGGAGGTGATGGGAGACAGTGACAGATCATCAGGCATTAGATTCTCAAAAACAGCATGCAACCTAGATCCATTGCATGTGCAGTTCACAATAGGGTTTGCAATCTTATGAGAATCTAACGCTGCTGCTGATCTGACAGGAGGCAGAGCTCAGGTGGTAATGCTAACTCGCCCACCGCTCACCTCCTGCTGTGTGAATTGGCTCCTAATAGGCTACAGACAAGTACCAGTCCCTGGCCCAGTAGCTGGGGACACCTGCTGTAGCGTATATTTTGGCACTTGTGAGACCAATTACCTGTAATGTCTCCTCCACATACAGCAGGAATTAATTTCTCTTTTGTTACATATTTTCTCTTTTTTATATTTATACTTTTCCCTCTCTCCATGATACCCACTACGAGTTCAGATTCTGGAGTCCAGACAGCTTGGGCTTTTTTTTTTTTTTTTTTAATATATGCAAGTTCTACCACTTAATTTTTTTTTTTGAGATGGAGTCTCGCCCTGTTGCCTAGGCTGGAGTGCAGTAGTGCGATCTCAGCTCACTGCAAGCTCTGCCTCCCAGGTTCACGCCATTCTCCTGCCTCAGCCTCCTGAGTAGCTGGGACTACAGGCACCTGCCACCATGACCAGCTAATTTTTTTTTTTTTTTGTATTTTTAGTAGAGACAGGGTTTCGCTGTGTTAGCCAGGGTGGTCTTGATCTCCTGACCTCGTGATCCGCCTGCCTCGGCCTCCCAAAATGCTGGGATTACAGGCATGAGCCACCAAGCCCGGCCCACTTACTTTCTTACTGGGGATTTCTTGTGCAAATTGCCTTAATGGACTCACCCTTGATTCCTTGTCTCTGAGGGCGGAGGATTACCCAGGTGCCGAGGCAAGAGACTGAAGGCACAAACTGTTTCAGTATAATAAAGAAAATAGTTAGAATAAGAATAGTCATAATACAAATTAGATATAGAGATGATCATGAACAATTATCAATCATTATTATAAACATTATTAATCATTAGCTTTTAATATTACTCTTTGTTGCATTACTAATATAACCTAGGAATAACCAGTGGGTATAGGGTCAGGTGCTGAAGGGACATTGTGAGAAGTGACCTAGAAGGCAAGAGGTGAGCCTTCTGTCACGCCTGCATAAGGGCCGCTTGAGGGCTCCTTGGTCAAGCGGTAACGCCAGTGTCTGGGAAGGCACCGGTTACTTAGCAGACTGCGAGAGGGAGTCTCCTTTCCTTGGAGGAGTCAGGGAAAACTCTGCTCCAGCAGCTTCTGGTGGGAGGCTGGATATTATCCAGGCCTGCGCGCAGTCATCCGGAGGCCTAAACCCCTCCCTGTGGTGCTGTGCTTCAATGGTCACTCTCCTTGTCCACTTTCATGTTCCTCCCATACTCCTGGTTCCTCTTTGAAGTTCGTAGTAGATAGCGGTAGCAGAAATGGTGACAGTCTTAAAGTCTTTGATCTTTCTTATAAGTGCATAGAAGAAAACACTGACCTATGCTGCCTTCTCTCTGTGTGCTTTGGCTACCTAAGAAGGAAGGGCCACCTGTCCTGTGATCATGTGACTTGCTTCACCTTGTCAATCACTTAGAAGATTCACCCTCCTTACCCTGCCCCCTTGTCTTATATGCAATAAATATCAGTGTGTCCAGCCGTTCAGGGCCACTACCAGTCTATGCGTCTTAATGGTAGTGGTCCCCGGGTCCAGCTCTTTTCTCTTAATCGTTTTGTCTTGTGTCTTTATTTATTACAATCTCTCATCTCTGCACACCAGGAGAACACCCGCCAAGCTCCGTAGGGCTGGACCCTATATTTCTGTAATATGGAAATATTAATAGTGGCAAGCCCACATAGCTGCCACGAGGACTTCATACAATAATGAAGGTAAGGTGCTTAGCATGAGCCTGGGGATAAAGGAAGAGTTTAACAAATGTTACAATCAGTATTACTTTCTGATTTCTGAATATAACACTTTATTTTCGTCATATCTATCTCTCCTTTCCTTTTTTCACTGTCTACTTTTCTAGTGTACTTTTGGTCTGCTTTTATTAATTTTTTGTTTGTGTTCCCCTTTGCTCACTCCATGGCAATGAAAAAGTTAGATTTTAAAGTACGGGTTCTTAGTTCAGGACCCTGCATTCGAATGGATTTATTGCTATTTCTAACACAGAAAACTGCATTGTAGGACTGTTCCCAGATGTAACTGACTATCAGGCTGCTATTTCTCGTGGCCCAATAACGAGATGCAGATGAACTGGGGAGAAAGAGAGTTTTTATTTCTGCAGCCGTTTACAGGGAGAAGGCCTGGAAATTATCACCAGACCAACTCAAAATCACAAAGTTTTCCAGCGCTTATATACCTTGTAAGCTATATGTCTACATGTAAGTGTGCATTCATCTAAAGACACATGTGATTAACTTTTTTTCCTTTTTTTTTTTTTTTTTTTTTGAGGCAGAATCTCACTACTCTGTCACCCAGGCAGGAATGCAGTGGTGAAATCTTGGCTCACTGCAATCTCTGCCTCCCGGGTTCTAAGCGATTCTCCTGGCTCAGCCTCCTGAGTAGCTGGGATTACAGGCACCTGCCACCACACCCAGCTAATTTTTGTATTTTTAGTAGAGATGGGGTTTCACCACGTTGGCCAGGCTGTCTCGAACTCCTGACCTCAGGCAATCCACCTGCCTCAGCCTCCCAAAGTGCTGAGATTACAGGCTTGAGCCACCATGCCTGGCCATGATTAACTTCTTTTAATCTATAACTAAGGTCTGAGTCCTGAGACCTTCCCCTGGAACCTCAATAAATTTACTTGATCTAAATGGGTCCAGGTGCTGGGGTGATTACCCTTATCTTGTCTCCTGCTAAATCATGGAGGTTTGGGGAGTTCCTTCAGAACCCCAATAAGCTTCTTTGTGAAGCCTGGGGAGTTTCTTCAGACTCCCAATAAAACTTGTTTAATCCTAAATGGGTCCCGTTAAGGATTCCTTCGTTATTTTGTTATGCTTTAAGGCTCAGGAAAAGCCTAGGCAAAACTCTTGGTGGGCTTTTGTTACATTCCAGTCTTTGTATAAGGGCACTGGCTTTTAAAACTTAGCCAGTCAGTCAGTACCGAAGCAGGTGTTATGGAAGACTGCATTAGTGAGACCTGGCCTGCCACAGGACCAATACCTGGAAATAGTGGGGTATTTTTGTGCTCCTCAGGTATGCGTTTTTGGACATCCTTTTATTGGAGAGCTGAAAGAGAAGGCTACCATCTTTGGACGCCCTTTTACTGGAGAGCTGAAAGAGAAGGCTACTGAGAAGATATTTTTAAAGTATGTATATAAGTATACTTACATGATGTATGTATGAGGTTTAATGCAAAAGTTAATTGCGGTTTTGCCATTAAAGTGATGCAAAAACCTCAATTACTTTTGCACGAACCTAGTAAGTACTTACTCTGTTTTTCCAGTGGTCAGAAGAGTCTTTCATTTGGAAGTTTCTAATGCAAGCTAATTTTGTGAGAAAAAACTCTCACATCATGTATCTGCCCATTTTAGAGGAAGGATAAGCATATGGTACAACATCAGTGGATGGAACAGAAGCCGCAACTAGTTGAGGGTATTTCCTTGCCTACAGCTCCATCAAGCATTAAGAGAGACTTTCCAGGCCAGCTCCAGATGAAAAGTGCTTATTTCAGAATCTTTATTTTGGGGGTCTGTGCCATTATGTCAAGATTCTAAAACTCAAAATTGGAGCCTGAAAATTCTTCTTGGTTCTTCTTGTACAATTTATATTTTAGTTGTAACTCAGCCCAAAATCTGCTGGGGTTGTGGGGGAGATGTTTTTTCAAGCAAGTAACTCCAGATAATATTTAATAAATAGATTTTTGCCTATTCCTTCCCTGGTCGCCACGGTTGTTGTCTGTTACCTAGGAATTAAATGTTGAATGGCAAGGTAGGATCACTATAGTAACTCGAAGGGCATTGGAGCAATGAGAACGTGGGAAGATGTTAAATTTAGATCAGAGTGAGTATATGTCACATTATCAATCCTATTCCTGTAGGAGCTAATTTTCTTCAACAGATCTTCCTTATACAACACATAAAAGGCCCTTTTCTCTCCTTTGTGTCAACTGTCAAAACTGTTCAAATTAGCAAGCTTGATGTTTTTGCTGTTTTCAGAAATAATTGTTTTGTTTCTCTTTTTTCAAAATGTAACTTAGAATAACCATGTTCCTATGCTATTTAGCTCTTGCTGAATGATAAATAGTACAAATGTCTACTGTCTTTTGGAAACATACTTTCAAAGAATTCTTTTTGTATTTTTTAAATATCAGAAATACAGCATCTGACCTGCATTCTGACTTTGCTGTGAATCATTAAAGTTGGAATGTTTTTGAATTTTAGTACATTTTGTGGCATTAACTTTCCTACCCACAAACGAAGAGCCTTCAAACTACCTAGATGAGATCAAACGTCGATGACATTTATATTTTTCTAGGAGTCAGGAAGAAAAATATAATCCCACAACGTTAAATGCCTTTCAAGGAAAAAAAGTGAGCACGTGGCTGGATGTTTGACGTGAAAGACAGAAAAATCTTCTGTCTCTGTTTAGTGTTCCCAAACGTCAGGCATTCTTCTTTTTTTTTTTTTTTTTTTTTTTACTTTTTTCTCTTTCCCCTGGCTCTCTGAATTATAATTAGGGACCTGGTGAACAGATCTGACCCTCACTTGTGCTCATTTTTATTAATATATAAAGTCTAATGGAGGACTGTTCTGCTTCTTCACAAATGATTGATTCTAATTCTTTGGTGTTCCTGACACAAATCTGTGGGGTGTTGCCAATTGTCTTACAAACAGCAAACCCCCGAAGGCAAACTGCATTCCAAGTAGTGCAAACCACGCATTCCTAGTTACAAACTTGCTTCATCCATCGCCTATTGTTGTCTAAAAATAACCAAAGCTCATGACCCAGCTTTTTACTAAGACTTTCAAAGAAGTTGACCATCCTTGGATAGTGTCTCTAGGAAGAGACGGGTGAAGGGCAGAAAGACCATACTTTCTTTCCAACCAGATCCCATGATAAAGCAGGAGATTCACTAAGGAGTGGATGAGGGTAGTGTTTCCATGTTTCAATATGACAAGCAAGATACAGTTCATAACAATCTAAATATATTACTATGTCCCTCTGTTCTGTCCAAAAAGTTCAAGGAGATTTAGAGACAATTCATTGCCAAAAAAGAAACAACCATACTAGTAACTGATCCAAACACACAAAGAGAGTTCAGAGGAGTCTAGAGGCAAAGCATTGATTTTCCAACCCACTGCCTGACAGTCCTTACAGAGTCTGTCTTGGGTAGGCACTGGGGAGTCTCTTTCTTCTGCAGTCTCCCTTCTCTCCCTATCTCCTGAACGATGGAACAGAAGCTTCAACTACTTGAGGGTAATTCCTTGTCTACAGCTTCATCAGACATTAAGAGTGACTTTCTAAGCCAGCTCCAGCTGAAAAGTACCTATTTTAGAACCATCTCCTCTCCTTGGGCTCGGCTCCATCTTGCAGGTGGAGGGAGCAGTAAGATCCTTGAGGTCCTGAGGACTGTTTTTCCTAGACAGCTCAACCTTCATTGTGCTTGGATTTTCCCCCCTAAGAAGAAGCTTAGACATTTTAGAATCTTCTGATTAGAGCATTTAAGATAAACATGAATGCTTTTTCTTAAGACATTGACCACTGCTGATAGCATAACATATTTATTCATTTGTTTGTTTATTTTTGAGACAGAGTCTTGCTTGTCACCCAGACTGGAGTGCAGTGGTACAATCATGCCTTACTGCAGTCTCCAACTCCTGAGCTCAAGTGATCCTCCCACCTCAGCCTTCCAAGTAGCTGGGACTACAGGTGTGTGCCACCACACTCAGCTCATTTTTAAATTTTTTCATAGAGACAGGGTCTGCCCACGCTGGTCTCAAATTCCTAGGGCTCAAGTGATCCTTCCACCTTGGCCTCCCAAAGTGCTGGGATTACAGGCGTGAACCACCATGCCTGACCAACATATTTAACGTATTTAAAATTTCTTTCCCTTACATCTGTATTATAAAACTCCCTTCACAGAGGTATAGAAGAAAGAAAGAAATCAGAAAAAAAGATATCCACTCAAAAAATCCAAATATAAATTTATGCCTTTTTTGAACCACTAGAATTGTAGCAGATGCTGGGATACCAAAATGAATAATTCATAGCCATAATCTCAGTGTCTATGAATTCAGAATTTAACTGGAGATAGGGTTGAGGTGGCAAACAGGCACATAAAAAAATTAATGGTGTCACAGTCCTGTGAGAACTTTCATCTAGATATGAACACAGTGTTGTGTTAGCTCTGAGGAAGGCACCATGCCCTGGGAGAGCATGAGCAAGTGGGAGTCAGGCACAGGAACACAAAGGAGAGTACACATCTTGATTAATTTTCCCGGGACTTAGCCTCCCCAGAGCCAATTGCAGTGTGGACCTGTGCCATTTTACACAATGGGTTCTCATTCCACACCTGGCGCTTAACTACTGGGAAACCGACACAGTGACAGAATGTCAAAAGTGAAGAGGACTGGAAGAAAAGGTGGCATGGGTTTGAACAGAGCCATGGTGCTCAGGCCGCTGTGCAGTGCATTCATTTTCTAGGGATGCCATAGCAAAGTGTCACAGGGGGGTTTAAGTAACACAATTTTATTGCCTTATAGTTCTGGAGACTAGAAGTCTAAGATAAGCCTTCAGCATGATTGGTTCCTTTGGAGGCCCCTCTCTCCTTGGCTTGTAGATGGTTGTTGCAGGGGCAAAAAAGGTATAATACCTCTTCCTCACCCATCACAAGGGTCACAGCCAACACTCCTAAACAAAAGATAGGTTAGCAAGAGAAAAGTATAACACATGTATTTAATCAGTGTTTCATGTGACATGGAAGTTTTCAGAAATGAAGACCCAGGCTGGGTGTGGTGGCTCACGCCTGTAATCCCAGCACTTTGGGAGGCTGAGGTGGGCAGATCACTTGAGGTCAGGAGTTTGAGACCAGCCTGACCAACATGGTGAAGCCCCATCTCTACTAAAAATACGAAAATGACCCATGTGTGATGGCGGGCACCTGTAATCTCAGCTACTTGGGAGGCTGAGGCAAGAGAATTGCTTGAATCTGGGAGGCAGAGGTTGCAGTGAGCCAAGATCACGCTACTGCACTCCAGCCTAGGCAACAGAGAGAGACTCCATCTCAGAAAGAAAAAAGAAGAAAGAAAAAAAGAATGAAGGCCCAGAGAACTTCTGTATAACCCTATGTATTTTTATGCTTAGGTTCAATGAAGAATAGAAATGTGATTGGACAAATATGGTATGCTCTAATGGTAATTAACTGAGGAGGCAACTTAGCGAGGCCTGTTTGTTCAAATTCTTTTTGGCCTCTCTGTGTAGCATTCCTTTCTCCGGGTACAGGTCAGGACACCTGTCACATGAAAGCCTTCAAGGGAAAAGTGAGAGGGTCAGAGAGTGACATTTTTAGGTTTTGCAGCTGCCTTTGGGGAGAGGAGTTCTAGTTTCTGTGACCTGCCTTGGAGGGAAAAGGAGAGAGAGAGAAAGGAAGGTAAGAGGTCAGAGAGACCTTGCTTCTGAGCCCTCCCTATCTCTTTCAGTTCAAAGTACTCAACACGCCAAGGGGCCATACCTTGCAGTATTGTGTCCTGAGCCCCAACACTGTTGTCTTGTAATGTCTTCACATGGTATTTCCTTTGTGTATGTCTGTGTCCTAATCTGTTCTAATGAGGACCGCAGTCATATTGGATTAGGGTCCAACCCTATGACCTCATTTTACCTTAATCCTCTCTTTACAAGTCCTGTCACCAAAAACAGTCACATACTGAGGTACTAAGGGTTAAAATTTCAACATATAAATTGAGAGAAGGGGGACACAATTCAGCCCAAAACATAGGGTCTTAAAACATTGGGGAAAGTATGGTAAGGAAGTTCCAGCTATAAATTGCTCCTTTGGGAGACGGAGAGAGAGAGAGAGAGAGAGAAAATTCCTGGTTTTCCTGGAGTTTTGAAGAAGGACTAAGATTAGGTGGGGATGACCAACAGGTTTTAACTTAAGTGCTATCTGCCATAGATTGGTTGGAGCAGCCTGGAGCTCTGCATTAGGGAGTCAGGAGGAGAAAACAGAACAATTTGGTTGTCATCCTATAGGATGACACTTTCCTCCATGTCCATTGGGAAAAATAAACTTAGGAAATGAACAAAATCAACAAATGCTATGACATTCTGCCATACATATAGCGTGGCAATCAAAACTTCCACTATTTATTATTCTACCACCATTTTTGTAATCATTACCAGTTATTGATTGCCCACTAGTTCAGTCCAGCAGAGACGTTAAGGGCATGGGCCCTAGAGCTAGATAACCTTGCATTTGGGTTCCAGCTCTACTACTTTCAATGTGACCTTGAGCAACTCAACTTCTTTGATCCTCATTTTCTCATTGAAAAAAAGGAAATATTTTGGCTAGGCGTGGTGCCTTATGCATGTAATCCCAGCATTTTGAGAGGCCGAGGTGGGCAGATCACGAGGTCAGGAGTTCGAGACCAGCCTGGCCAACATAGTGAAACCCCGTCTCTACTAAAAGTACAAAAAATTAGCCAGGCGCGGTGTCAGGCTCCTGTAATCCCAGCTACTCGGGAGGCTGAGGTAGGAGAATCGCTTGAACATGGGAGGCGGAGGTTGCAGTGAGCTGAGATTGCACCATTGCAGCCTGGGAAACAGTGTGAGACTCCATCTCAAAAAAAAAAAAGTTGTTATTTTATTTAAAATTACTATTCTCAGAGGTATGACTGAGCAGTTGCTCAAGTGATGTTAATCTTCTGATAGAATTCTAGAATATGTCTCTTCCTTCCCCATGTCCAAACATGATTGAAAATAAATTTTTGTATCCAAAAATAGTTGGAAATAATGACTGTGCCTCCCTCAGATTGCTCTAGTGAGAATTATATGAGATAATAAATGTAAAAATTATTATCATTTCTATTAATATTTTCCAAGGACTATACATAGTGGGTGTTTTATGATTGTTATCTATTTAATTTTCTATAACAATCCTATGAAGGTTTTTGTTTTTGTAGACGGGGGTCTTGTTATGTTTGTTACCCAGGCTGGTCTCAAACTCCTGGCCTCAAGTAATCCTCCCGCCTTGGCCTCCCAAAGTGCTGGGATTATAGACATGAGCCACTGCACCCAGCTGAGGCATATATCATTAGCCCCAGCATCCTTCTATTCTACCTACCCTTGCTATCACTGAGGATGATTTCCACAAAGACATTCATTAAGAGCTTTACACTCTGAAACTGATAGAAAGGGCAGCTTCACAATAATGTCCATCCTCTCTTCTTTGGAGGGTGCATTTTACCCTGTGTATAGCTGCTCTCCAGCACAGTTTCTATGACAACCTCTCCCTGGGATATCTGACTGCTCTCCCCAGACATCCCTAGTACTCACGGTTTTTCTTGTTAATCGAAAAAAAAAATTACATGCAATTATAAGTAAAGGGCTACCTTTTGTTAATGGGGAATCTCTAAAAGAGCCATGATGCTACAACCATCAAGACAGTAAATTATTTCAAACTGTTTTATTAAAATGTTGCAAAGCCCCATATATGCTCATGCCCTCCAACACAATAATTGGTGGCTTGCGCAATTGAATCTCCGTTATTAGGCAGCTATAACTGATACAATGTAAAGCAGAGGTACAGTCATTTTGATGTTGGGGACTTCTTAAAATTTTCTTTTTGATGTTTCCTTTGATTTCATTGTGTGTTGTAATTCACTTTACAATACTACGGTATGTAAACACTGGGAACTCTGTGTGCAGCAATTAACTCTAATTTGTACCCTAGGGATCGATTAGCACATGAAGTAACCTAATAGAATTAACACCCTAAGAATTGGCCAAGTGGGGCCGGGCGCGTGGCCTGTAATCCCAGCACTTTGGGAGGTTGAGGTGGGCAGATTACCTGAGGTCAGGAGTTTGAGAGCAGCCTGGGAAACATGGTGAAACCCCATCTCTACTAAAAATACAAAAAGTAGCCGGGCGTGGTGGCAGGTGCCTGTAATCTCAGCTACTCGGGAGGCTGAGGCTCACTTGAACCCAAGAGGCGAAGGTTGCAGTGAGCCGAGATCGGGTCACTGCGCTCCAGCCTGGATGACAAGAGCAAAACTCCATCACAAAAAAAAAAAAAAAAAAAAGAATTGGCCAGGTGGCATTAAAAAGTATTTGTATGAAGTCAACATACAGAAGGTTTATTATTTAGCATGTTAGAATTTTTCATTGGTGAAATTAGTGGGGTTTAAGTTGTGTGTGATTGTTGGAAGTTAGACATCTCCATATTTGCAGGAGTTACATATAAATAAATACCTGTCTGGGCCAGTTGTTCATACCAAAGGGCAGCTTCTAGATTGAAGGCCCCAGTGGCCGTGTGCTCCTTCTCTTAGCAGACAATCCTGTCATCAGATCTCACCAAAAGGGCTGCCCTTTCATCGATCAGAACCTATCTGCCTCCATCATGCAGAAATCCTTTCATGAAGGTGATGTTCAAGGGTTGAAAGTGAAAATATTCCAAGTCACCACAGGCTGTAAAATTGTGTTGTGCCTGCTTACAAGCAAATATTTGTTTGCTTAGAACAATATGGTCTGAAATGGCATTTGGTATATTAACATTAACATACCCCCAGCTGACAGATGAGATGAACTCTCTGTGGCTGAGACCCTCAAGAGAAAATTAAGCGGCCATAACAGAGAAAAGGGTTTGGTCATGTACCTGTACATTGTTAACTACCGATAGATCCAGGAGACAGATAAGGGAATTTGCCCAGGATCTTGCCTGGGCATGCCTGCAATGGACTGGGTGGACTGGGGGCTCACGTGAGCACTGGGGGAATGGGGTGGAGCCACCAGGAATTCTGCCTAATCAGGGGAAAGAGTCTGGCTTCTTCAGCTCGTGTGTGGTGGCCTGGTATTCAGTCTGTGAGGTGGGAGCCTATTGGCAGGACCCCCTCTTTTTGCTGAGAGCTTTCTTTTAATAAATTCCGCTCTCCTCACCTTTCAATGTGTCCGTGGACCTGATTTTTCCTGGTTGTGAGACAAGAACTCGGATTTTAGCCGAGAAAAGGAGCAAAAAATCCTGCATTACTACTAAAAGGCTTGTTAACTGCTATAAAGTTTTCTTTCTGCAGTTAGACTGAAACCTGTTCTAGGAAAACATTGCCAGACTCATTTGGGTGGACCCCCACCTTAGGGATCCTGCCAGCAGCACCCATTTTACAAGAGACCTGCCTTACAAACATTGTTTCCTGATAAGCAGCTACAGACCCTAATCCGGTCCCAGCCAGCTTTCAGAGACTGTGCACAAATGTCTTTGTGCCCTATAATTCACTTTTTGAGGTAAAAAGTCAAATTCCACCTCACTTTAATGATAAAACCCCACCCCAAAGTGAACATGGAATGTATGTTACATACATGTTAACTCACTGGACATGAGCTTGACTTTTCCCATAAATATTAATAGCTATTTCCCAAGCCTGATGAATAAGCATGTAAGACAGACCCTGGAAGACCTGAATTCCACTGTTTCCTTCCCTTCTGCATGCTTTTGGTTTCCTTGAAAGCACATTTCCCTAATCTGCTAATTGTTACTCAGAAAATAAAGTTGTTTCCTTTTTCCTTCTTCCGTAGATCTCATGGTCATATGTTAATAGCTACAACTGCCCGGTGGTAAGCTAGTGCATAGGAAATTCACCCCCTCTAACTAGTAGAGAGTTCCAATGAAGCCCAAAGTCATTTGACATTCATAGAACTCTTGGTTCAAATTCTCATACCCTCTTCTTCAACACAGACCTCATAATGATCCGTTATATCTCAGTTTCCTTCTGCCACACTAGCATTTGTTTTTCTGATCATGTTCATTGATCTTTACACAAGTGCAGTCTACTGGTCAGAATATCAGCTGCAGGTGACTTAGAAGTGAAGTTTCCATAACCACTATTCTGACACTGAGTCACAAATTCTCATGTCACTTTGAGACTCATATTTTTTCCTTTTAAATAGCCTTTTTTTTTTTTTTTTTTGAGATGGAGTTTCGCTCTATTGCCCAGACTGGAGTGCAGTCGTGTGACCTTCGCTCAGTGCAACCTCCACCTCCTGGGTTCAAGTGATTCCCCTGCATCAGCCTCCCGAGTAGCTGGGATTACAGGTGCACACCACCATGCCCGGCTAATTTTTTGTATTTTTAGTAGAGACGAGGTTTCACCGTGTTAGCCAGGATGGTCTCGATCTCCTGACCTCGTGATCCACCCGCCTCAGCCTCCCAAAGTGCTGGGATTACAGGCGTGAGCCACTGCAGCTGGCCTAGACTTTTATTTTCAGAGCACTTTAAGTTTCACAGAAAAACTGGGCGTAATGTCCAAAGAGGTCCCATAACTGCCACATGCACCTCCCCCACCTGCCAACACACACACACCCACACACACACAAGCCTTCCCCGCAATCAACATCCTGCCCCACAGTGGTACATTTGTTAAAACTGATGAACTACATTAACAAATCACCATCACTGTCAAAAGATCAAATTACCCCAAATCTAGTTTAAAAATTTAACTGGCTTCTATTTGAGATTCTAGAATCAGGCAATACCACATTCTATAAAACAGAATGAGTGTTCTGATAAGCTGAGCAGAGGAGATTGGCTTTATAGACAGGAAAATGTTGAAGAAATCAGAAACAGAGAACAAAAAGTGTATTGGTGGTTTCAAAGTTACTTTCTTTGTAAGGTTGAAACAGAGGGCACTCCCTTATTCATTGACTCAGATTGCCTGGAATCTCCTGGGCTGTTTTTATTTTTTTAAACTGGCCCGTTTTAAGGTTCCGTTTGATAATGTGGAACATAAGTGACTCCATCCTAGTTTGGTCTGGTCTGCTGGAGCCTCATGTGGAACGCTAGCTCAAAACAATGGCCTCCCATAAATTGTGTTTATCACTCAAAGTCTATAGTTTACATTAGGATTCACTCTGGGTGTTATATATTGTATGGGTTTTGACAAGTATATGATGACATGTATCCACCATGATAATATCATACAGAATAGTTTCACTGCCCTAAAAATCCTATGTGCTCTGCCTATTCATCCCTTCCTTTCCTCCAGCTCCAGCAAGCTCCAATCTTTTTACCATACCCATACTTTTGGCTTGGAATTGTACAGTGTGTGCCTTTTCAGATTAGCTTATTTCACTATTTCACTTAGTAGTTTTCATTTCAGTTTCCTCCATGTCTTTTCATAGCTCTGCAGCCTCCACCTCCCAGGGTCAAGGAATCCTCCCACCTTAGCCTTTGAAGTAGCTGGGACCACAGGTGCACACCACCATGCCTGGTTAATTTTTGCATTTTTTGTAGAGACAGGGTTTCACCACGTTGCCTAGACTGGTCTCAACATTAAGTGATCCTCTTCCTTAAGCTCCCAAAGTGCTAGGATTACAGGTATGAGCCACTGTGCCCAGCCAGCTCATTTCTTTTTGATGTTGAATAGTATTCCATTGTCTGGATGTGCCACAGTTTGTTTATCCATTCACCCAGCCGAAAGACATTTTGGTTGCTTCCAAGTCTTGGCAATTATGAATAAAGCTGCTAAAAACATCTGTGCAGGTTTTTGTGTGGACAGCAGTTTTCAACTCATTTGGGTAAACATCAAGGAATATGATTGTTGGATCATACGGTAAGAGTATATATAGCCTTGTGAGAAACTGCCAACCTGCCTTCCAAAGTTACTGTGCCATTCTGCGTTCCCACCAGCAATGAATGAGAGTTCTTGTTGCTCCTCATTTCCACAAGCATTTGGTGCTGTCACTGTTCTGGATTTTGGTCATTCTAGCAGGCATCTAGTGATTAGGCATCTAGAGGACAGGCATCACTGTTACTTTGATTTCAGTTCCCTAATGACATATGAACTAGAGCATCTCTTCATATGCTTATTTGCCATCTGTGTAACTTCTTTGGTGAGGTCTCTGTTCAAGTCTTTTGCCTCCTTTTTAATTGGGATGCTTTTTAATTATTGAGTGTTAAAAGGTTTTCGTATATTTTGCATAGCAGACCTTTGTCAGATCTGTCTTTTGCCAAGATTTTTTTCTTAATCCGTGATTTGTCTTCTCATTCTTTTGACTAGTCTTTTAATGTAATAAAAACATGCCTAGTTGTTTGTGCATTTGACTTACTCATGTATTTGCTCTTTCATTCATTCAATATATATTTATTGAGCACCTGCTAACTGCCAGGCCTTGTGCCAGGCAGAAAATAGAGATATAACCAAAATAGGCATGGGGCTTGCATTTGCCTCTAAATCACACCACTCATATTTTAAATCCTCAAAGTTATATTGACATCAATTGTGATTTATCCTCTGAAATATTCTGGAGTCTATCCTCTCCTCTTTTTTTCCTAGACTACCCTGGCTACTCTCCTCACCATCATAGATGATTGCAACAAGCTCATCCGGTTCTCCCCTTTCCAATTCCTTCTCTATGCAGGTGGCAGAGTTATCCTTCCAAAATTTAGATAAAATCAGGTCATAATTCTGGTTAAAACATGTGTATGACTAGCAGGTATCAGTTTTACCCTATAACACTAGAGTGCAAGGAAGTTCTCTTCCCTTAAATTCTCTGCAGTTGTTAAATTATATTCAACCCTCTTCCACTCAGCCAGTGAGAAATTCAATTTCAGTCTTTTTATTGTGCTCCTTCCTTTTCTATCAAAGATCTTTTGAAATTACAGGGCTCTCATCCAGAATATTCACAAATAGGCCCTCTGGTCTTTGCCTACAATGCTGTCTACCGTTCTTCACCTCTACCATATCTACAAGGTGCTATGAAGATAGGTAATGCCAGCCTTATTTCTTTAAAATATTTGGTTTCTGCCCAGCAGCACAAAAGACCCTGAGACAAGAAAAACAGAAGTTAGGTAACTTCTTTGGTGAGGGAAAGTAAAAATATATAAAACAAGAAAAATAAAAGCACTAATTAGTATTTCAAATTATCCTGCCTTGTGGAATGAGTCCAACCTCCTTAGCATGGCAACAAGACATATCTACACTTCCCAATTTCACCTTCATCCCATGGTGTTGTGGAGCCAGTTTTTATCAGCTCATGAGAGTGGAGTGTTAAATTTTCAGAAATTTTGCAGCCAATTGTTAAACGTGGCTATTATCAACAATTAAATTATATAGCCCTCTCTTCCTCCCTCCCTTTCATCTCCCTAGAGAGGTCTCCCATTACTGTCTGAGATTCCAAAGGGCTATGCACTTCCTTGCATTACAACAAATCTGACATTGTTTCTAATTATTGCTTTTACTAAAATATCCTGTAGACTATGAGCTTGTGGATTACACTTGTCATTCATATTTGTTTCCCTTGCTAGCAGAGGGCCTGGCGCGTGGTAGGAATTCAATAACTGTTCTGTGAATGAGTGAATGACTCTTGCAGGTTAAAACCTTGTTCCTTCCTGATATCTTTTTTTTTTTTTTTTTTTTTTGAGACGGAGTCTCGCTCTGTCGCCCAGGCTGGAGTGCAGTGGCGCGATCTCCGCTCACTGCAAGCTCCGCCTCCCGGGTTCACGCCATTCTCCTGCCTCAGCCTCCTGAGCAGCTGGGACTACAGGCGCCCACCACCACGCCCGGCTAATTTTTTGTATTTTTAGTAGAAACGGGGTTTCACCGTGTTAGCCAGGATGGCCTCGGTCTCCTGACCTCGTGATCCGCCCGCCTCGGCCTCCCAAAGTGCTGGGATTACAGGCGTGAGCCACCGCGCCCGGCCCTTTCCTGATATCTTGAGATCATCTCTCTACCCAGCAGGACTCAGTTTCCCAAGCCTTATATTCCTAAAAGCCTGCATTCTTCCATTCTTTAATCAATTACCACATAGGAAAAGCTTTGTGTGCCTCCCAAAGAGACACAACTTTCATTCTCCAAGGCCCTTCTTCCAGGGGGGGAGCTTAAAATGAAGTCAAATACAAGAAGTTAAGAAACAAAGACTCTTTACAAATTCCCTCAGGTACAGAAATCTAATTTAAAGTCTCAGCATCTATGTATAATATCCTGTGGTACTTGAGCCTGAAATGGAATGTTCATGTGGGCTTGTTGGTAAACCAGTGCAAGATGCTCTTCAGCCCAGCTGACATTCTAGAAGCAGAGGATGGATGTGAGAATGGTTGATGTGTATCATTGTTAGTGGGCTGACAGATAGACAAAGTGGCCAGCAGAGTTGCTCATTGCATAGATACACCTTCTATGTTTATTATTTATTTATTATTTTTGAGAGACAGTTTTGCTCTTGTTGCCCAGGCTGGACTGCAATGGTGTGATCTTGGCTCACTGCAACCTCCACTTCCCAGGTTCAAGCGATTCTCCTGCCTTAGTCTCCCAAGTAGGTGGGATTAAAGCCATGCACCACCATGCCTGGCTAACTTTTTGGATTTTAGTAGAGACAGGCTTTCACCATGTTGGTCAGGCTGTTCTCAAACTCCTGACCTCAGGTGATCCACCTGCCTCGGCCTCCCAAAGTGCTGGGATTACAGGTATGAGTCACCATGCCTGGCCAATATACCTTTTAGAAACAACCTTTATTTGTTTATTTATTTATTTATTTGAGGTGAAGTCTCACTCTGTCGCCAGGCTGGAGTGCAGTGGTGCGATCGTGACTCACTGCAACCTCCGCCTCCTGGGTTCAAGCAATTCTCCTGCCTCAGCCTCCTAAGTAGCTAGGATTACAGGTGCCCGCCACCACGCCTGGTTAATTTTTTTATTTTTAGTAGAGACGGGGTTTCACCATGTTAGCCAGGATGGTCTCGATCTCTTGACCTGATGATCTGCCCGCCTCGGCCTTCCAAAGTGCTGGGATTAGAGGCGTGAGCCACCACGCCACACCATAAACATCCTTTTCTATCTTCCCAAGCATACTGGAAGGTTTATGACAGAAATGTCCCAAAGACTGGAGAAAAACAAAGATTAAAAACCATTGCTTTTGATTTTAGACAATGCAACCCCAAGTACAGAACTGCTTGACCTAATTTCTAATCCCTCAGGCAGTTTTGGTGAAATAGTCATTGCTTTGCCCTAGTCTTCCCAGAACAAGAACCAAACGTCCCTGAGGACACCAAATGACACCACCACCCCACCGCCAAGCTGGCACCAGCAAAGACGTAGGCTATTTGCAGAGAGCATGCCGCCTCTGCTGTGAGTGGGCTGTAAACTACCAGGGAGATGCGTGCTGCCTGCCTGGAGACAGGGTTGCTAGGTGCCTCTGAAGTAGTGAGACCGAGAGGTGTACATTTTTCCCCCACACTTCTTATTTTACACAGTGACAGTTGTAGCCTGGAAACAGAACTGAAGAATAGTGCCTGTAGTGTAGGGTATGATGGCCAGCCAAGTGCCCTATGGGGCAGAAGGAGTGGGGTTGAAGCTTTTATCAGGAACAGGAGAAAAAAGTAATGTGATTTGGTTTCACCATAATTACTTAAGCAGGCTGCGTGAGAACTAATTATGAGTTAATCTGGCTCCAGAGAAACCCCACCTCTTCCCTTTTCTAGAATGGTACTAAAATATCAACATTGCATCACCAGAAATCATTCCCATTGGTGGCCTTTCTTAAGAAAAGCAGCATGCTCTTTCCCTCGGAAAGCCACTGGAATCTGTACACACCCAGGAATTTACATCTTCCCAAGACAAATAAAATACCTCTGACACTCAACTCAGAGTGCTTGCCCATGATTATATCATGGAGAGAGTGTCGTTTTTAAATCTGGGGAGTAAGGAATGCAGAGAAGGAAATGAAGAATAAGTTAAGAGCTTTCTGCCATTGTTAGACTCAGGAGGGGTTCTGAATTTCAGAACCAGGCTGCTCATTGATGATATCTTGACTCTCCCAGGTTCTCACCAGGATCCAATGGCCCTAAGGAGACAAGTACATTTGCTTGGAAAACTGGTCACCTAATTCCCAAAAGGACAGAGCTAACATTATATGTCTCAGCATCCAGTCCATCCTAGATGGATTTCGATTCTATCTAGGTTAGTAGTCCACATTACAGCTCTAGATGAAAATTCAATAATGCTGCTAGAATATGCTTGTAGAATAAGCTTATCTGTAATATGCAGACCTTATGTGAGTTCTGAGAATGAAAGGAGTTGGTATACTACAAGTGTAGAAAGAGCATGGATTCAAATGCTGGGTTCAACCTGGCTTCAAATCCTGACTGATGCTTTCTAGCTGTATGGAATTTACTGGCCTTCTCTGAGTCTTAGATTCAACTGGGAAAGGCAGTAAAAATGTCATTCCCCTTGAAGGATCTATGTAAGAATGAGAAATAATACATGAAGTGCTTTCACAGCACTTGAGACAGAGGATGTACACTATAAATGGTAACACATGCGATAGTCATGTCTCTCGCTATGAGAGTGTTGGGGCTCAGAAAGCGATACCCCAAAGACTGGTGCTTTGAAATGTTGAGAGGACTTAGAAGCTGCCTCAGAATCAAGGTCCTTCTAACCTTGACTTGTTCCTCCACCTCAAGCACAGGGAGTGATTCTTTCTGGAATGTCCTTATCTGACCAAGAAAATTTCTTTCCAAAAGAATTGTAATTGTCTTAAACCCCTTTTCTAGGGAATCTCATCAAACAACCAGGGAGGATCAACCACCAGAGAAAAGAAGAGACTGGGAGTCATCACCATGTCCCCAACAGAATTTTCATCTATCCTTCTGAGGACAGCTCCAAGTGATTACCTAGAGGACTTTGCTTCATAATAAGTCAACCTTCATTCCTGTGCAGCCCCACCTCTCACCTTCCCAAAATGTCTGCCTCCCATCTTCTGGGTCCATTCATTCTCTCAAATGATTTGCTGCCCCTCAAAAGAATTTTCCACGTTCCTCATCTCTCCCCTCCCCTGGGAAAAAGCATATATAAGCTTCTATACCACCCTGGGTTATTGGGTAATCATTCTCCAGCAATTCTCCCATCCTGTGCACATCAAATAAATTCTGTATGCGTTTTCTTTTATTAATGTGCTTTTTGTCTGTTGATTTTCAGTGAGTCTTTAGAGGGCAAAGGGGAAATTTTCTCCCTGCAAGAGTCTTATTATCCGAGTGTCTCTGCAAGCAGCACGTGGGGGTTACAAAGACAGACAATGCCTGACTTTTGTCTTCTGAACCACCACGGTTTAGTTAGATGGAGGCGGGAAGGAAGGAGGTAGGGAGAGTGGGACTACCTGAAGCAAGTAGCAACAAAACGACACTATATAATTAGATAGAAAATTGTGTGTTACAAATTCTGGGTGGGGTAGGAATTCAGGGAAAAGAAAGAACAATGAGGGTGCAGCAATAGCTTCAACCACTGAACAGAAAAACAAACATAAGCGTGATTTGCCAACTGTCAAGATTTACACAGAAGTCATACAGTAGGTCCAGCAAAAACAGAAGAGCTGTACACCAAGGCTCATTTTTAGCACCCAAAGGGCATGCAAGCAAAAGCAGCTAGCTCTGGTTACTTTTTCCCCAAAGAAACATTCTCGAAGACTGGTGGGCTTTGAAGGTTCTAAGCATGGGCCTTGACTGGGTCCACCCGTGGCGTTTAAGAGATGAGCCGCCATCTTTATTTTGCAAGAAAAGTCAGTTTACAGTTAGAAAACAAGGAGCAGAAATAAATCATACCATTCCAGAAAAGGTACAAGCTGAAATGTAAGTTTCAAAATGTAGCCCCTTGTAAGGTTAGAATGGCTTACTCTTCCTATGACTCTGCTTATCCCCCTCGTCAGATATTCCCTTAAATATAATGGGCTTATGCCCAATCCCGTGAACATGGAGGTACAATCAATGGCACTTTTATAGCTAATCAGAATCTTTATGCTCAGGAAAATGTACAACTGTAGTCATTATTGATGACCACCCCTACAGTGGGAGAAGAGAAAAGAAAACACAGTAGCAATGATTATGTATTTAAGTCACACTAATACTTTATATTTTGTGCAGATTTGCCTAAATACCATAAATACTTCAATGTAAGATGACATTTCCCCTGAACATTTTTTCATACAAATAAAATGAATTCCCTTATATTGGAGTCTTTATAAAATCTATCCAGTTATAGGAGTCCTATTCAATTATTTTGAACAGCTAATTATATATGTATGAATATAAAGTGTAGTTTTTCCCATTTTTTTCTTAGAGATACAAGAATTCACCTTATATTTTAATCTGTACAAAATCTTTCCTGTTATGAGAGGCCTATCCAATTATTTTGAAAAGCTCATTGTGAGAAGACACGATGTTCTGATTCAGTCTCAATCAGTGCAAGTTTAAAATGCTTATAGGGATCAGCTGATGGCGTTGGTAAAAAAAGAAGACAAAAATATTTTACACGGATTTGTAATGATTCCTGGAGGTATGAATTCTAAATTATAACAGTTGGGTAACACTGTAAATGTTCCATTTAAAGGACAACTTAAAAAACAGTAGACTAAGTGATTATATTGGAAAGATTATAAATATAGATTCACATATGAAATAAACCAACGCTGGAGTAAAGATGGCTAAATGAACATATTCATTTGTGTTTTGAACCCCCACTAAAACATGATAAAGAGTTTTTTTTTTCCAGAACATAAAATTATAGGGACCAAAAATGAGGGAAGAGACAACAGCATCAAAACTTGGAAGTTGGGGCCAGGTGTGGTGGCTCATGCCTATAATCTGAGCACTTTGGGAGGCTGGGGCGGGATTGCTTGAGCTCAGGAGTTCGAGACCAGTCTGGGCAACGTAGTGAGACCCTTGTCTCTACAAAAGATAAAAGCAAAAATAAATTAGTCAGGCATGGTGGCTCACACCTGTAGTCCCAGCCACTCAGGAGGCTGAAGCAGGATGATTGCTTGAGCTTGAGAGTTCAAGGTTGCAGTGAGTGTGATCGTGCCACTGCACTCCAGCCCATGTGACGGAAAAAAGAAAAAGAAGGCCGGGCGCGGTAGCTCACGCCTGAATCCCAGCACTTTGGGAGGCTGAGGCGGCTGGATCACGAGGCCAAAAGATCAAGACCATCGTGGCCAACATGGTGAAACCCCATCTCTAAAAATACAAAAATTAGCTGGGCGTGGTGGTGCGCACTTGTAGTCCCAGCTACTCAAGAGGCTGAGGCAGGAGAATCACTTGAACCTGGGAGGCAGAGGTTGCAGTGAGCTGAGATCGCACCACTGCACTCCAGCCTGGTGACAGGGCAAGACTCCATCTCAAAAAAAAAAAGAAAAAAGGAAGTTGGAAAGGAAATAAATGAAAGAAAACTGATGTAGCATACAGAAAAAGTGCTGGCTCCCAAGATGGTAGGAGAAAAGCTGAGAAGCCATTGATTGCAACACAAGTCTTGGGAACTGGTAGTGCTAGGTGGCTCTGAAAATAAAATTGAAAAGAGCAAAAACAAACAATTAGAGCCTCAAGTCTCCTATCTACTTTCAAGAAAAGCCTGGAAATTTATTTTTTGGGCAAAGCTAACACAGAGGGTGCTGGGAGAAGTGAGAACTGCAATACTGAACAGAAAATTAGGATTAGGTAGATGTTGACATATTAAAAACTAAAATTCATTCATGCTAGCAATCAGGCCTAAATCTTCCAGAAAGGAGTTAAAAACTCTTTATCTAATGAATCCACCAAACTGGCTATAGAAAAAATTCAGAGATAGCCTAGATCTGTGTTGTCCGATGAAGTAGGAAGTAGACGCTTGTGGCAATTTATTCTAAAACTTAAAGTAATAAAATTAAGTAAAATTAAAACACCAGTTCCTCAGTCACACTAGTCACATTTCAAGTGATCAATAGGCACATGTGGCTAGTAGCTATAGCATCGGACAGTGCAAATATAGAACATGTTCAACATCATAAAAAGTTATATTGTTAGAGCAGGTAGCCAGGCAGACATGAGCAGGGCAGAAGAGGGTTGCCCCCCAACCCCGAGGAATGTCAGACGACCATCAGGTGATGGTCAGGCAGTTGTTAAAACTGTCTCTCTAAAATAATAATTGGTTGCAGCTGGTGCCAAGGAAATAGCCAGAAAATAGCTGAAGCTGTTTATCAGCAGGTTCCCAATAAAATATCAGGGGTTGGGCAAGTGGGCTCAAGCATGTGGACTGAGGCAAAATGGCAGGACATAAATGGTATATGACTTGCCTCTAAGTACGCTCGATTGGTAAGGGAAAAACACCTCAAGTGAACATGTGTACAACTTCAGTAAATTCACTGTGCATGCAGCCCAGCCCAAGTGCTGGCAAGCCACTGCACATGCGGAGGGCCCACCCCAAAGGAAGAGTTAGGGAAAAAGAAATGCAAATCCCAGAATCACAGCAATGTATAAAATCCCAAGTCAAGGGTCAGACAGGGCCCTTGGAGCTCTCAAGTTGCCCACTTGGCCCTCTTTCAAGTGCATTTTACTTCCTTTCATTCCTGCGCTGAAACTTTTTAATAAACTTTCACTCCTGCTCTAAAAGTTGCCTCAGTCTCTCAGTCTATCTTATGCCCCTTAGCCAAATTCTTTCCTCAGAGGAGGCAAGAATTGAGTCACTGCACACCTGTACAGATTTGCCACTGCTAACAATATTACATGACACTGACCTACACAGATATCCCCACAACAAAGTTCACAATCTCCACGTACACACTCTAAGTGAGCCATATTCTTAAATATATGCAAACAATGAAGGATCACTAGATACTTAAGACATCTAATACAAAAAATAGAAAACAAAGTTAAAGTGTAAGCAAACCAAAAGAACCAGAGATGACACAGAGGGAAGAAAATGTATTATCATTAATATCCTCAGGGAACTATGAGAAGATATTGTTTCCATGAAACAAGTATAGCCTGCCATAAGAAAAGGAATATCCAATAAATAAAAATATAAAAGATTAGATTCTTTAAAAATATAATGGTGAGACTAGAACGTGCTGAGTGAAAAGAAAAATATACGTAATGGCATAAATGACAAACTCAATAGAAGTTTCACAAAATAAAATTGGAGAAATCTTCCAGAAAGCAGAACCAAAAATAAAAAAGAGAAGAAAAAAATCAGAAACTTAGAGGACAAGTTCATAAGTTCAATATTCAAATAAGAGTTCTCAAGAAATAGAACAGAGAAAATAAGGCTGAGAAAATTATTTAAGAAGTATTTCAAGTGAGTTTCTCAGAACAGAATGACCTAAGTATTCTGATTAAAAGAGAATTCATAGTGTGCAGATGATGGCTAAGAGTAAACCATACTGAAGTCACATCATCACAAAGTCTTAAAACTGGGGACAAAGGCAAGCTTCCAAAGAGGAGGGGAAATGGTCACCTAAAAAGACCAAGAATCTGAATAGCCTTGGATTTTTCAGCAGCACACTGGAAGTTAGAAAAGCAACATCTTAAAAATTCTGAAAGAAAGCATTTCTCAATATAGACATCTGTATCTAGCCAAGCTATCAATTGAGTATGAGAGAAGAATAAGAATGTTTTCAGACATTCAGGTATCAAGAATTTTACATCACCTGCACCCTCTCTAAGATAACCACCTGGAGAATGTGCTTAAGTAAAGTCAGTGGGTAAACCAAGAAAAATGAAGACATGAAACCCTGGGGACAGGGGAGAGAGGTGAATGAAATGGCAGGAGTGTGGTCATAGTCAATTCCATGAATACAGCTGTGTGACCAGCTCTGAGATCAGCCTTTCCAGATTAAAACAAATTATCATCTTCGAGAAGGAGTGCATCAGGGGTATGCAACACCAGGAGAGATTTAGGCAATTGGCAGAAAGTATGAATTAGGATTATATAGAAAACTAATATAAAAATATTTAAGGACAGCTATTTAATTTAGAGAAAACCAGGCTTTAAATAGGAAAAACAATCATATTTGTATAAATCATTGTATTCTACAAGGCATAGTTGTGAATAGCATTTGCATCATCATCATCATCATACAATAATTTGTTACAACTTAAATAATAATATAACCACCTTAGAAAGATGGGGAGCAAAGAAGAATTCATGTGATGGGATGGGGGTGGAGTATAGATATGAGAAGTAAAGAGGAGTCACCATTTTCCAAAATGGGAAGCTATACCACTATTTTGTATCCATAATTAAGAATAAAAAATTTTAACAAAACAAAATGGGATGTAAATATTAATAGATAATGGCTGGGGAAAAACAAGACTGGAAATATTAGCACATTATTTAGAAACATCAAGGTCATATACCTGAGAAAGAAACAAAACAGGTAAGAGTTGAAAGTGGTTGATCCTGAGTAGAAAAAAATGGATCACAGGAGGTAAGGAGTATTTGGAATATTCTGTTGAATTATTTTATTTTTTAAACTTTGTGCACCTATAACTTTGATTTAAAACAAATGAAAAGCTGGGTCTTCATTAAACAGTATAATTCAGGCTGGGCACGGTGGCTCACTCCTATAATCCCAGCACTTTGGGAGGCTGAGGTGGGCGGATCACCTGAGGTCGGGAGTTCGAGACCAGCCTGACCAACATGGAGAAACCCCATCTCTACTAAAAGATACAAAAATTAGCCGGGCGTGGTGGCGCATGCCTGTAATCCAAACTACTCGGGAGGCTGAGGCAGGAGAATCGCTTGAACCCAGGAGGTGGAGGTTGTGGTGAGCAGAGATCACACCACTGCGCTCCAGCCTGGGCAACAAGAGTGAAATCCCCTTAAAAAAAAAAAAAAAAAACCAAAACAGAAAAACAAAAAAGGCAGTATAATTCATGTTAATGTAAAACATGGCTGGGAACATTTGCCTTCTTTAACAAATAGAATAGAGCCAGTCAACCTATATCAAAGTAGTTATTAAAATAAATGTAATGAATATGTCTACAAAGAATAGTTTAGTACTTTATTTTGCAAAAATGCATATATATATTTGATATAATTTAGTTTGAGAAGTTTAGCCAGTTTTTCTCATTTGTTTTACTTTATGGATGTCTATCTGGTTTTTGTTTGTTTTGTCTTTTTTAAATCTTTTTTTATTATACTTTAAGTTCTGGGGCACATGTGCAGAACGTGCAGGTTTGTTACATAGGTATACACATGCCATGGTGATTTGCTGCACCCATCAACCCATCATATACATTAGGTATTTCTCCTAATGCTATCCCTCCCCTTTCCCCCAAGCCCCTGACAGGCCCCAGTGTGTGATGTTCCCCTCCCTGTGTCCGTGTGCTCTCATTGTTCAACTCCCACTTATGAGTGACAACATGCAGCGTTTGGTTTTCTGTTCCTTGTTAGTTTGCTAAGGATGATGCTAAGCTTTATCCATGTCCCTGCAAAGGACATGAACTCATCCTTTTTTATGGCTGCATAATATTCCATGGTGTATATGTGCCACATTTTTTTTATCCAGTCTATCATTCATGGGCATTTGGGTTGGGTCCAAGTCTTTTCTATGGTGAATAGTGCTGCAATAAACATGCGTGTGCATGTGTCTTTATAGTAGAATGATTTATAATCCTTTGGGTATATACCCGGTAATGGGATTTCTGGGTCAAATGGCATTTCTGGTTCTAGATCCTTGAGGAATTGCCACACTGTCTTCCACAACGGTTCAACTCCCACCAACAGTCTCGTTTTTAAGGGGCTGAGCTTTTCTTATACATGGAAGGTTTGTTTTGTTTTGTTTAGCTTTTAAGCAAAGCTTTTCAGTTTGTAACTTGCTGAGTATTTTTCTTTTGAGAATAACTGGAGAAATATTGGCCACTGATTTTTATGTATAATACAGGTGTGTTTTTCCAGTTTGTTGGTTCCTGTCCCCTCTCTGTTAACTGTTTGACTATTGGAACAGTATGTCTTCAATAATGCAATGTTATTTTGAGATATGCATATTAGTATACCCTTAGTTATTCTTGAAATAAAATCAATCTCTTAGCTTATCGTTGCAGTGGAAAAAAATTGAAGAGAAAAAAGATGAAGAAAATCTAAACCTGCTGTCCAAATGTTGTGTGTTGGAGAAGATTTTCTTTCTCTCTGTTTATGAGATTTTCTAATGATAGCATCACAGACAAATTCCTTTCACCTTTAGTGTTGCTATCTTCTCTCTTAAGCTTCCCATAGGTTTTCTGTCTTACATCATGACTTCTGCCTCCAAATTCTTCCATTCAATTTACTTTTATGAAATTGAATGGAATTCAATTTCCCATGATTCACCTGCCTGTATTTCTTGCTTAGAGATATGAACCTAGTACTTCTAGATAGCTTTATAATTATAATATAAAATTCTTGAAAACTAGAAGTATGTCTTGTGCTTTAAAAACCTAGCACCTGATTCCATTTTTGCAACACTATGAACACATATAATGTGAATATTTCCTAGTGACAATTTATTGAGCACCTTCTATTATGGTGGTGATATAGTCACTCTACACAGGTCATTTGATTAAATGCTAGAAACAACTCTGCAAGGTGAGTACAATAATCACCATTTTGCAGATGAACAAATGGTAAGGGAAAGAAAAAGCAGTGAAAATTTCACCTTAGCTCTGAGAAAAAGAAGTATCACAAATTTTGTTTAAATCAAATTGAGCTGCGTCAGCAAGTAGGAAATTGCATTTTAATCATTTCTGGACTTCCCTCCTCCAATTCCACTTCCAGGTGACACAGAAATCGGGAGTAGAGATGTCTTCTTAGGTCCTAAATCCTGAAAGAAAGGTGTATGGCCTCCACTGGTCCTCACTGATATGCTTATTGTCCAGGCTCTCATGATCTAGTCCCTGAGGGAAGTGGTACTCACCGATAAGCTTGGACAAAGGTCTCTGACTTCTCTATCAAGGCAGTTCCTGAGACCAGGGCTCCTAGAGGTCTTCCCTTTGTCCTGAGGCAATCCACCCAACTAGGAGTTAACAAGCAGGACCTGGGGGCTACTTTCTTTGCAAACCACCCAAACTCCCTTCCTTCTTGTCTCGAGGAATTTGCTACCTGAAGTCAATTCTGCCTCCACCTCCCAGCACCCCCTAGAAGACCTCATCTTTCTTTTCCTCCACTCTACGTGATGTGGCATAATCCCTGCAGTAGGTCTAATCATCCAAACAAAACAAAACAAAAATGGAATGAAGCTGTTCTTGGGGAACACCTGCTTTCCATTCGACCATCCAAAGCCCCTGGAACACAATGGCGTGGCTATTTTCTTGGAATGGGAAGGGGGAAAATACCTTTGAGCAGTGAAAACGAAACACGTATCTGTGGAGGAAAACAAAAAGATGTATAACTTCCTATATTTTGTGGGGGCAGGGAATGGGGAGTTGGTGGTCAAAGGGCACAAATGTATGATTAGGAGAAATAAGTTTCGAAATCTATTGCACGGCAGAGTAACTACAGTCAGTATTGTATAGTATATTCCAAAATAACTTAGAGTAAATTTCAAATGTCTCACCACAAAAAAAAATTATAAGTAAGTGAGGTGATGGATATGTTAATTAGCTAGATTTAGTCACTTCATATTGTATAGATACATAAAACATAACATGGTGCCCCATGAATGTATACAATTATGATTTGTCAATTAAAAAAAATACATACATATATTTATATACTCCAATTTAAATACACATATACATATGTATATAAACATAAATAAGCAGGTATGTATATAATTATATTTATAACATATGCAGTTGAATGAATGTCTGTGAGAAAAGGAGATTTTCACTGTAAAAAAAGTTAACTTCCATTAAGAGAACCTGTCTCATCCTCTAGTCTTCTGCTATTGCCTTTGAACCACATTCCAAAGCCAGGGAAAAAACATGTTTACAAAACTGCAAAGGTCAAGGCCAGTAATGGAAATTGATTTTACATGCTCAGCTGAGTGTTTTTAGAACCATGGAACAGTCTAAGGGAAAGGAAATCTATTTAATTACTCGACAGTCTTTTGTAGTCCATTAAAAAGGCTCCACAATGGTCTACCTCCCCTGAACCAACTTAACATAAATCCCTCCCATTAAAGAAGCACTTCTTAGAAATTGCACAGAATGTGCCCTTCTGAAGAGGTGAAAACTCCAGAGGATGAACTCAAACTGGGAATAATGATTCCTACTTAAAGAAAAGCTGCTTCCTTTAAATGTTTTTAATGAGGCAGAAATTTTCACTTGAAGCTCCTGCCTGTTACCTGAGTAGCTGGTGTCTTTGAACTTGTATTTTTCTCCCTTCACTTTCTGTGTGATGAGATAATGGGCAAGAAATCAATAGCCTCTGCTTCAGGAGCAATTGTGGTGCATTTTTGACTTTGTTCTTTTTGAATTTCAGTCTACCGTGTTCAACACTAAAAACTGTCTCTACACTTCAAAGCAAATTCATGGTAATTTAAAATATGATTTTATTACCATTAACAATTAACTGCCTTTAAAATTTTTACTGTTTTAGATTGAAAGTAAAGAAGAAGAAAACAGTTTAAAATTGGATTTAAGGAGCTGTATATGTAAATGACTACTTGATAACATGAGGAAGTATGCTTACCCCCTGATAGGTCAGGGCTCAAAAGAGTCTCCTGGGACAATTGTTCTACAGCTATGTGATGTCAGACTTCTAAAGATCACTATGTTCATTAGATGATCAATTCAATTAATTCTGTTTAATTATAGTTACTGAATAAGTGCACAGTTAAGCACTATTGTTTGAAATTTGAATAGTCTTTCCATATCAACAGTAATTAATTACTGATGCATTAACTATACAGTATCTATTCTAGTGGTTTCTGCTACCACTATATAAATTTGAAATAAATACTATTTCAAATTAACTTATGATAGTCTCTCCCTACACTAACAAGATTTCATTTTATCATAACTGTTATATCAAGGTCAATATTCACTTAATGCTACTTCTACCTTTGTTATTTTTGTTTTTCAGAGGCAGGGTCTCACTTTGTTGCCTGGAGTGCAGTGGCTATTCACGAATCATTGCACACTAGAGCTTTGAACTCCTGGGCTCAAATGATCCTTCTGCCTCAGCCTCTCAAGTAGCTGGGACTACAGGAGTGCTCCAAGCCCCCCTACACTACCTTCCTGTCCTAACTGAAATTTAGCTTTCTCCTGATTTCTTCCCTTGAAGCCCATTTCAGTGACAGCCACTTCCTTCTACTAGTCTTAAACCTGCAAGAGAGTCACCATTTTCTTCTTCCAGAGTACAGCTTCCAGTCTTTTCTTAAAACAAACAAAAAACACTCTGAATGATTTGTACTGATCTTTTGAAATTCATGTATTTGTTTACACTAGCTAGATTCACCTCAGCCAATTATCCATGACTTTCAAAATAGTTTGGAATTCCTAGGTCAGTTTTATTCTCCAATATGACACTGAAAAATGGTTCTCTGAAAGATATTCATGATCTAATCCCTGAAGTCTATAAATGTCACCTTATTTGAAAAAATGTCTTTGCAGATGTGATTAAATAAAGGATGTCAAGTTGAAGAGATTGTCTTGGATTATCTGTGTGATCCCTAAATGCTGTCACGTGTGTCTTTATAAGAAAGAGGCAAGAGGAGATTTGACACACACGGAGAGAAAGCAATATGAAGATGGAAGAGAGAGAGAGATTTAAGGTGCTGGCTTTGAAGATTGGAGTGATGTACCCACAAGCCAAGGGATTCTGACAGCTACCAGCAGCTGGAAGTGGCAAGAAACGGATTGTTTTCTGGAACTTCTGGAGGAAACATGGCCCTGCCAACACCTTGATTGCAGCCCACCAATGCTAACTTTGGACCTCTGGCCTCCAGAAGCATGAAAGAACAAATTTCTGTTGTTTTAAACCAAGTTTGTCGTAATTTGTTCTAGTAACCGTGGGAAACTAATACACTATCCTATTCTTTATTTTCATTCTCTAAGACTTCACCATCCATATTGTACCAAGAAGTCATACGGAAAACTAAGATTCAGAAAAGCCCACAAATAGTTTCAAGAACAGGGGAGTGATCAATATCTTTAAATATTATGAAAAGGTTAAGATAAAGGTTTTAAAGTACCTATTAGATTAGACAATTGAGAAGTCTTTAGTGACCAAAAAAGAATAGTTTCAATATGGTGATGGAGGTCACATAAGAGACCCACAATAAGAACTGCCCCGCCGTGCTGTCAGTACACAGACTCTTGAAAGAAAAATAAATTTTGTTTTAAGCCACTACATCTTGGGTTATTTTGCTACTTAGTCAGGGCTAATCAGAATATGAAAGGACAGGGAATTAAGATAATTTACACTATTTTCTCTTAGCTGGGGAGACTGCTAAATGATTTGGAATGATTAATTTGAGGAATGAAACAAAAAATTCATCAGGGACAAGTAGAAAAATGGTTAAGCAGTGTTGAGGGCCCAATTTATGTCATAGACCCTAAATCTTTGATAGCATCAGCCCTCTTTATAATTTTCTCTAGTAGAGCTCAACAGATTTATCTAGGGTTGGAGGTGGGCAATGCAGATACACAGGGAAAACAAGGGCCAAGGGAGAAGAGGGCCAAGGGAGAAAAGTGGTTCTGGCCAGGCACGGTGGCTCATGCCTGTAATCCCAGTATTTTGGGAGGCCAAGGCAGGCGTACAGCTTGAGTCCTGGAGTTTGAGACCAGCCTGGGCAACACTTTCTCTACCAAAAATACAAAAAAAACTACTACTTGGGAGGCTGGCTGATGTGGGAGGATTGCTTGAGCCCTGGAGGCAGAGGTTACAATGAGCTGAGATCGCACTACTACACTCCAGACAGAGTGAGACCCTGTCTCAATTTTAAAAAGGTAGTAGTCAATCAGTGCCTAGGAGCAGAGCTGACTGATACTTTACACATAGTAAGAATGGAACCTGGGGTTCACTAGGCTTCTGGGGCCCACAAAAATGTTTTATTTTATTTTTAGAATCAGAATAAAAAAAACTTTCACACCAAAAAAATGTTTTTATGCATAGTAATATATTTATCTTTATAAGGTAATCATAAAATGTACCTTTTAATATTCTTTTATGGAGGAAGGGGCCCCAAAAGGCAAAAGTGCTTACGTAATGATGTGGCCCTGCCTAGCAAGGGCAGACATATGAGAGAAAAGGGAGATTTGAAACATCTGAGGTTTAAATGAAACTATTACAAATATGTAACAGAACTAAGAGAGCAAGAGACCAAGAAGGATAAGAGATTATGTTGAGGGAGTGAGAATAATAGAATGTGAGAGTTTTACAGTTTTAGAAATGGAGAAGCATCACACAAGGATAAGACACTCCAGGATGTTGTCATGAGAGGTGAGAAGGGAGGTGGTTGTCTGAGCAGAGGAGATCCGGGAACATGGTGGGTGGGGTTTGTGTAGGTGACGTCAACACTGAAGTGATCCACGATCGAGGCAAGAGTTGGAAAGAAGACTAGGATTTCAGGTGGACCAATGATTTGTGTTAAAAAATAAAAAATAAAAAAAAGATGGAAGTGTTAAAATAATTTTTAAAAAATTATCCAAAATAGAACAAGTATAAAGTATGATATAAAATATAGATAGCAAAATGAAGAGATTTATAAACTAAACGACATGCAAATAAAATTGTTCTGCATGACAAACACCAAAATGACAATTCAACAAACTGAGAAAAAATTATTGCAACTCATATTTTAGTAGAAGTCTATTTTCCTTACTATGGAAAGACTTGCAATAAAACGATAGGAAAATAGGCAGGGGAGATGTCCAGGAAAGAAAGTACAGTGTTAAACATTTGCAAAGATGCTCAACTTCACTCAACATAGGAAAAACATAAATTAAAATTTCAATGAAATATTTTCAATTATGTTCTTGGCAAAGTAAAAAAAAAGTGTAAAATATTATGTTAGCAAGGCTAATGGGAAACTGGTTCTTTTAAACGTAGTTAATGGGTATATAAATTAGTGCACAGCTCATGCAGTATAATTTTTTCAGTATCTATCAAAACTTTTAAAAAGCAAATAACTTTTGACCCAAATAACTTGTAAAAGTAAAAGGTGACATCAGTAGAATGTTATTTATAGAAGCCTTGTTTGCAATAGCAGAAGACTAGAAACACTAGAATGAATCTAGTTGTTCATCAGTAGGGGACAGGTCAAATAAATTATTGAACATCCACATAAAATATTATGCAGTAATATTTCTAAAAGAAAAGTTTGTATGCATTGATAAGAAAAAGCCTTTAAAATATTTTGTTTAAAAAAAGAAAGGTTTTAGAACAGGATATATAATTTTCTACCATTTGTTTATCTTTAAGAAACCAAAAATTTATATAAACATGCATTTATATGTGCATATCTATGCATGTGATTATATTTGCACAAAATACCTTTAAAGGATATCCAAAAGCTGGTGATAAAAGTTGCTTCCAAAGTAAAGTAATAAGAGACTGGAAGACATATAGGGAAGGCCATTTTCATTTCATATTCTTTTTGATGAGGAACCACTTGTCTTAGTTCTAATTGATTGTGGAAGTGACCAGATTAGTTGATGCAGGGTAGTGCATGTTAGACTTAGATGTCATACAACCAAGGAAAGAGGGCTTTTTGGATAAGATTGTAGAGTTAAACTTTGGAAGTGACCATGAAGGTCTAAGTCACTATCATCTCCTGGCCCAGAGATACAGAAAGGAAGAATGGCCAGCTTTTTCAGAGAAAACTGCCAGAGAAGTGATGACATCAAGGAAAAGCCAAATTTCCATTAGGACAGGAACATAGTAAGTTCTGCAAAGACACTGCGGATGTCATAGAAAATAGAATGAAATTTCTAGAGAGTAGTAGAAGAATTGTGAGAGAGGTCAGCCATCGGAAGTGATAGGAAGATGACCCAGAGAAATGAATCACAGAGCAGGATGGAGAAGAAAATACGAAGGAGAGAGACCGCTGAGGAGCCTGCATTCCAGACCTGAGGGTGACAGACATGAGAGACATGAAAGGAATTAATAGCCAATAAGTTTCTGTGGTTTTGTCATTTCACCCTGGGCTCAGCTGCCAGGTGACCATTTATGTTAGTCTGTGGCCCAGTCTGTAAGTGCTGAGATTGGCTCTGGCTAGATCCCACATGCTGTCCACTGTTTTGACTATGGCTTTTATTCTACAGATTCTTTGCATAATATCCCTGTATTAGGCCATTCTTGCAATGCTATAAAGACATACCTGAGACTGGGTAATTTATAAGAAAAGAAGTTTGTCTCATGGTTCTACAGGCTGTACAGGAAGCATACTGGCATCTGCTTCTGGGGAGGTCTCATGAAGCTTCCTGTCATGGCAGAAGGCAAAGGGGGAACAAACATCCCACACGGCAGAATCAGGAGCAAGAGAGAGAGAGAGCAAGAGAGCAAGAGCAATGTGTGTGGGGGGGAGGTGCCACACATTTTTAAACGACGAGATTTCATGTGAGCTCAGAGTGAGAGCTCACTTATTACCAAGGAGATGGCTCAAGCCATTCATGAGAAATTCACCCCCATGAGCCAAACACTTCTCACCAGGCCCCATTTCCAACACTGGGGATTACATCCCAGCATGAGATTTGGAAGGGACATCTGAACTCTATAAGTTCTTCATGGAAAAAGAATAAAATCTATTTCTGTGCTGCCACAGCATTTAACCCTAGGTAGTGTTCGCCACCCACATAAAAGGCCTTTCCCCCAACCTCATCATTGCCCTGACATTGCACTTTCTGATCTATTTTTTCAACATTTCTTATCACTCACTGCACTTGACTGAATGTTTATGTCCCCCAAAATTCATATGTTGAAGCCTAATCCCCAATGTGGTAGTATTTAGAGGTGGTACCTTTGGGAGGTGATAAGGCCATAGGGAGAAGCCCTCATGAATGGGATTAGTGACCTTATAAAAGGGACCCTAGAGAGCCTCCTGACCTCTTCTATCACATGAGGACACAGCAAAAAGGCAGCATCTATGAACCAGGAAGTGGGCTCTCACTAGACATCAAATCTGCCAGCACCTTCCTCTTGAACTTCTCAGGCCCCAGAACTGTGAGAAATAAATTTATGTTGTTTATGAGGCAACCAGTTTATTCTGTTATAGCAGCCTTAATGGACTAAGGATATCCACTATTACTGAATTTGATTTTGCCTCTGGTCTTACCATTGTCTTTCTTGGAGAATCTAAAAAAGACTAGAAAGAAAAATAAACTTTAGAGATCATCTTTCCTAGTTGTCCTCAACCCTGGCTATCTAATAGAAATCACCTGACATGCTTTAAAAACATAGATATCCAGTTGACATCTCCTAATCTGATTTTGTTGTTCTAAAATAGGGACCAGGAATAATATTGTATAAACATCCCCAGGCAATTCTATGCATAGCCAAGGTTTTTAACTGATTTACGTCAACACTTTTATTATGAAGGTGAAGGGACAAAGTCAGCCATCTAGAAAGTGGAACTGGAATTGGAACCTAAGTCTCCTGGTTCTCAGTCTATCCGTCTGGTGTTCATTCTTCTGTATCACGTTGCTTTGAACCACTGATTCTTCCCTCTCTCCTGGTTTCACTTGGCTCTTTACCCAACTGTGAAGCAACAATCAAAGATATTAAAATGTGAGCAGCATGACTTTCTCGTGTTGTCCATCTCCCAACACCTGTATAAGCCCAGCCATCTACTTCTGTTTCATTTGTAAGCATCTGTGCATTGCTTGAGAAAGTCATGTAATGGTGCCATTTGGCATCACTATGAATTCATGCTATCTAGCCTCAATGTGTCCTCATTCTGTAGGGCCATCTTTATTTCACTCTTCTTTGTTTTTTGTCATGTCACCCAGAAAGACTATTAGAAATATTTTCTATGCTCCTTGAATCATCTGTCTTAGTTCTGTACCCCACTCTCAGCAGATAAAATTATTGAAAATTAATGTATCTATTTCCTAGCCTCTCCTCTGCTTGAAATCATCTCTGTATTTTTCACCTATCCTCTTTCCAAGTCTAATTTTTGCCTGTGATTGGATTTAAGTCCTCCTTTTGTTCTCTAGGGCATATTCTGTCTGTCCTCCTCTCTTCTTTCTCTTTTCTTCTCCACTAGAGTATTTTTGCTCCTAAAAGCAATACTTCTCATAAAGTTACTACCCTATTGAGCTACCAGCCACTACCCATCTTTCTTTCTCTGCTGAATTTTCCACTGGCTGGTTTACAATCACTGCTCAGTTTTTCTACCTGCTATGTGTAATCTGACCTCCATCTTTCATCTACTTAAACTATTCTCCCATTTATACCTTTTGGCTTAATTGCCAAAATTAACAACTTCAATTATTGTCCTTGCACTAAGAAGCTCTCTCTCTCTTGCTCTCTCTCTCTCTTTTTTTCTTTTTTGGAAACTTTCTTCTCCATTTATTAATTATATTGCATTCTCAAGTTCCATTTACTCCTACTCCACCCTGGCCCTGAATTTTCTAGTCATGCCTCAGTACACCAGGTTGGAGGGACTTGCTGCTCTGTGGCCATGGACTAACAATATGGCAGTGATCTGCAAGCTTGTCAGAAATATGGCATCTCAGGCCCCTTCTAAGAACCTGCTGAATCAGAATCCCAGGATCTGAATTTTAAGTACCTGCTCAGATGATTCATGTACATGTAAAGCTTGAGAAGCATAGCTCTAAGGGTCTGCCCTTGAACATTTTCTCTAACCTGCTTTCTTTCTATTCTTGATAGTCTGATCCAAAACTTCAACTAACCAGGCTGAGCATAGCGGCCCACACCTGTAATCCCAGAACTTTGAAAGGCCAAGGTGGGAGGATCACTTGAGCCCAGGAGTTTGAGACTAGCTTATGCAACATAGGGAGCCATTATCTCTACCAAAACAAACAAACAAACAAACAAACAAACAAAAAAACAGTTAGCTGGGTGTGGTGGTGCACACATAGTCTCAGCTACTGGGGAGGCTGAGATGAAAGAATCAGTTAAGCCTGGGAAATTGAGGCTATAGTGAGCCCTGATGGTTCCACTGCACTCCAGCCTGGGTGATGGAGCGAGGCCCCATCTCAAACAAAACAAAAAAACAACAACAAAATACTTTAATTATAAGCAAAAATCCCAAGATCTATTCTTCTGACCATGAGCTCCTTCCATCCTGTATATTATGTCTCCATTTTCAACAAGCTTTTGAACACTTGATATGTGTTTTTTATAGACAAGCTATCATCTTCAAAGTAAGTCTTAATCTTTTCTAAAAACTGTTGTTTCTTCCCTATCTCAGTTAATGAACATTCTCCCAGGCACTCTGTGTTACAATTTTTTGTTAACCTTGATTCTTTCCTCTCTGCAAATGGCCTTCATATAATAAAGAATATAATCTTGATTGGTTTCATCATTAAATGTCTTTTGCATTTCTATTACTTGGCAAACATAGATGGATAGGTGGATAGATTGATGTGTATATATAATCACTTATTTTGAGTTATCATCCAGGTGATCTTCTAAGAGCTTTATGAATATAAACCTGATATGGTTTGGGTCTGCGTGGCTGCCCAAATCTCATGTCAAATTGAGGGCCCTCCCAGGTGGGGCCTGTTGGGAGGTGATTGGATCATGGGGGTGGTTTCTCATGAATGGTTTTGTACCATCCTACTAGTGCTGTTCTCATGATAGTGAGTGAGTTCTCATGAGATCTGATTGTTTAAAAGTGTGTAGCACCTCCCACCTCTCTAGCCTCCTTCTGCTGGGCTCTGTAAGATGTGCCTGCTTCCCCTTCACCTTCTGCCATGATTGTAAATTTCCTGAGGCCTCCTTAGAAGCATAAGCCACTAGGCTTCCCAGACAGCCTGCAGAACTGTGAGCCAAGTAAACCTCTTTTCTTTATAAATTACCCACCCTCAGGTACTTCTTTATAGCAGCGCAAGAACAGACTAATACAGAAAATTGGTACTAAGGAGTGGGCCATTGCTATAAAGATACCTGAAAATGCAGAAGCAGCTTTAGAACCGGGTAATGGGCAGAGGTTGGAACAGTTTGCAGGGCTCAGAAGAAGACAGGAAGATGAGGGAAAGTTTGGAACTTCCTAGAGACTTGTTAAATTGTTGTGACCAAAATGCCAATAGTGATATGGACATGAAGTCCAGGCTAAGGGGGTATCAGATGGAAATAATGAACTTATTGGGAGCTGGAGTAAAGGTCACTCTTGCTATGCTTTAGTAAAGAGCTTGGTTGGATTGTGCCACTGCTCTGGGGATCTGTAGGACTTTGAACTTGAGAGTGATGATTTAGTGTATCTGGTGGAAGAAATTTCTAAGCAGCAAAGCATTCACGATGTGGCCTGGTTGCTTCTAGTAGCCTTTGTTTATATTTGTGAGCAAAGAAATGACCTGAAATCGGAACTTATATTTACAAGGGAAGCAGAGCATAAAAGTTTGGAAAATTTGGAGCCTGACCATGTGGTAGAAAAGAAAAACTCATTTTTAGGGGAGGAATTCAAGCAGGCTGCAGAAATTTGCATAAGTGAAAAAGAGCCAAGTGCTGTTAGCCAAAACACTGTGGAAAAGGCCTCAAAGACATTTTAGAGACCTTCACAGCAGATCCTCCCATCACAAGCCTAGAGGCCTAGGAGGGAAGAATGATTTTCTGGGCTGGGCCCAAGGCCCCACTGCCCTGCACAGCCTCGGGACCCTGCTCCCCTTGCATCCCAACTTCTCCAGCTCCAGCCTTAGCTAAAAGGGGCTAAGGTACAGCTTGGGTCACTGCTTCAGAGGGTGGAAACCATAAGTCTTGGTGGCTTCCACATGGTGCTAAGCCTGCGGGTGCACAGAGTGCAGGAATTGAGGCTTGGGATCCTCTGCCTAGATTTCAGAGGATGTACAAAAAAGCCTGGCTGTCCGGGCTGAAGCCTGTAGCCAGGGTGGAGCCCTCAGAGAGATCCTCTACTACAGCAGTGCAGAGGAGAAATGTGGGGTTGTAGCCCCCCACACAGTGTCCCCACTGGAGCACTGACTAGTGGAGCTGTGATAAGAGGGCCATTATCCTCCAGAGCCCAGAATGGTAGAGCCATCAACAGCTTGCACTGTGTGCCTGGAAAAGCTCAGGCACTCAATGCTAGCCCATGAAAGCAGCTGCAGGTGCTGAACCCTGTAAAACCACAGGGGCAGGGATGCCCAAGGCTTTGGGAGGCCACCCCTTACACCAGTATAACCTGAATGTGAGACATGGAGTCCAAAAGATTATTTTGGAGCTCTGAGGTTTAATTACTGCTCTGCTGGGTTTTGGAATTCTGTGAGGCCTGTAGCCCCTTCTTTTGGCCTATTTCTCCCTTTTGGAACAGGAGTATTTACCCAATACCTGTACCTTCATTGTATCATGAAAGTAACTAACTTGTTTTTTATTTTACAAGCTTATATGTGGAAGGAGTTTGCCTGATTTCAGATGAGACTTTGGATTTGAGACTTTGGAGTTAATGCTGAAATGAATGAAGACTTTGGAGAGCCTGTGGGGAAGCCATGATCATATTTTGCAATGTGAAAAGAACATGAGATTTGGGAGGGGCCGAGGGGCGAATGATATGGTTTGGATCTGTGTCCCCACCCAAATCTCATGTCAAATTGTAATCTCCAATGTTGGAGGTGGGGTGTGGTGGGAGGTGATTGAATCATGGGGGTGGTTTCTCATTAATGGTTTAGCACCATTCCCCTAGTGCTGTTCTCATGATAGTGAGTTCTCATGAGATCTGGTTGTTTAAATGTGGGTAGCACCTCCCACTTCTCTCTTCCTCCTGCTCACGTCATGTAAGATGTGCCTGCTTCTCTTTCACCTTCTGCCATGATTGTGAATTTCTTGAGGCCTCTCCAGAAGGAGAAGTTGCTATGGTTCCTGTACAGCCTGCAAAACTGTGCCAATTAAACCTCTTTTATTTGTAAATTACCTAGCCTCAGATGTTTCTTTACAGCAGTGCAAGAATGGACTAATACAACCTACTTAAACTTGATTTTGTGGACAATGTTATCTTATTATCTTATCCTCTTTTAGACCTTGGTCACATTTTACCTGGATCTCTGCCATTGCCCAACTACTCTGGCTATGTGCCTACTTGTACACTCTCCCTACCCCAGGACCACCCAGAACACTTATGATGAAAATGCTAATGTTTGTGTAGTGCTTTATAGTTTGCAAAGTACTTTCACATGATCATCTTATTTAACTCTCACCAAAAACTATGAACATGATGTTATTTATATTCTCATCTTTCAAATTGTATTTATTTTTTACTTTTTGTGAGAAAGGGGCTCACTCTGTTGCCTGGGCTGGTCTTAAAATCCTAGCCTCAAGCAGTCCTCCCATGTCAGCCTCCCAAAGTGTTGGGATCACAGTTGTGAGCCATTGCACTCAGCTTCCATTTTATAAATAAGTAAAATGATATTCTAGGTATATATACGATTTGTTCAAGACCAACATCTGACTCCTTACACTTTGCCTGTGCAGCTTTAGCTTTCTAAAGCACAGATGGAGTCTCCTCTTCACAAAACAATGTTAATGTCTTCTAATTACCTACAGAATGATGCAACCTACCTTTCCAGTTTTAAATCCTCCACAACCTATTCTACAATTACTCACTATTCTTAGACTGTACAAGTGCTTTCTCAACTCTATTTCTGTTCACACTCTTCCCACCACCTGTAATACCCTTTTTTTCAATCACCATCTGACAAAATGTATGCATATGCATCACTCAAGGCCCTGCTCAAGTGGCCTTGCCTTCATGGAGTCCTTTCTCAATTAACTATGACACACTCAACCGATGCATCCTTTCCCTCTTTTGCTAAATCATCCAGAGCAGGGCAAATACGAATATTGCTTCTGGAGTCCGAGAACCTGGATTCCAGTGTGGCTGTGCCATTTCTGAGCCTTGGGCTTCAGTTCCTATTGATAATAACAGTATCTAGTTCATCAGATTATGATGACATGCCAAACATACTACTAACAGATATACAATAGTGACCAAACTGGCAAGGTTTCTGTGGCTGTGAAACTTTATATCACAGGGGGAAATAAACAATAAATTAGTAAACATAAACGTTGATATGTAATGTCTTAGCTGGTCATCTATTAAAAGGTCCCCTGAGAAGTGAGGAACGAGCAGGGGCTGGCCCATTCAATGTGCTGGAGGAAATGTCCCAGGAGGAGCAAAGAGCATGTGCAAAGCAGTAGAGCAAAAGAGGCAGATATGTTTGTGGATCTGACATGTCCAGTAACAGAAGCACAGCAAGGAGAGGGCAGAATAAAATGAGATGAAATTGGAGTGATAAACCAGGCCTCATAAACTGCAGCAAAAAAAAAAAAAAATTGTATTTGATTTATTTCTTTTTAGTTATTTATTTATTTTTGAAACAGGTTCTCGCTCTGTCGTCTAGGCTGGAGTGCAGTGGTGAGATCTCGCTCAGCTCACTGCAACCTCCACCTCCAGGTTCAAGCAATTCTCCCACCTCAGCCTCCTGAGTTGCTGAGTTGCTCGAACTACAGATTGTGCCACCACACCCGGTTAAATTTTGTGTTTTTTAGTAGAGACAGGGTTTCACCGTGTTGGCCAGGCTGTTTTGGAACTCCTGACCTCAGGTATCAATCCACCCACCTTGGCCCCCCAAAGTGTTGGGATTACAGGCGCGAGTCACCACGCCTGGCTGTATTTGATTTATAATGAGAAGTATTGAAACATTTTAAGTGAGCAAACAACATGGCCCAATTTTTCTTTTTAAAAAAATTATCTGGGAAAAGGGAAGGAAGGGAGGAAGAAAGGAAAGGAGGAAGGAAGGAAGGAAGGAAGGGAAGGAGGGAGGGAGGGAGGGAGGGAAAAAGAGTGTTTTGGCTAACATTTGTAGAAGTGAAACAACCTTGTTCAGACATTAGCGCATGGGCATGTAAGCACTTTCGGGCAAATTGTATCTGGCATTCTACTGTCAAGAAGTGGGGTCTGGCCGGGGACAGTTGCTCAGGCCTGTAATCCCAGCCTTCAGGGAGGACCAGGCAGGTAGATCACCTGAGGTCAGAAGTTTGGGACCAGCCTGGCCAACATGGTGAAACCCTGTCTCTACTAAAAATACAAAAGAAAAAAACAAAAACAAATTAGCCTGGCGTGGTGGCAGGAGCCTGTAATCCCAGCTACCCGGGAGGCTGAGGCAGGAGAACCTGGGAGGTGGAGGTTGCATTGAGCCGAGATCGCACCACTGCACTCCAGCCTGGGTGACAAAGTGAGACTTGTCTCAAAAAAAAAAAAAAAAAAAAGCGATAGGAGACTTAAAGAAAAAAATGTGGGGTCAGGTCCTCTCCCCTTGAATAGAGAGGTAAGCCTATGACTACAGCAATAGTAACACCATGTGATATCCAAGGCTGAGTCATAAAAAGCAGCTCAGCCACCATTCTGTGCAGATGCCAAGCAGCTGCATAGAGGAGCCAGTGAAGGTGTTCCAGGCACTGTCCCAGTGGAGCCATCAGCTAACAGCCAAAATCAACTCCCAGACATGTGAGGAAGCAAGATTTCAGATTATTCCAGCCTTAGTCCTTGAGCCACTGCAGCTGATCCCTGTCGCAATCCAGACCTGAGCGTATTAAATGTCGTCGTTGTTTAAGTCACTAGACTTTGCCATGTTTTGTTGCACAGCATTAGATAAATGAAACAGCAACTGTTAGTATCAATATCATGTCTGCTAATTACCCAATAACCTCTCTCCTACCTTCTAAACCTCGATTTTCTTTGACGCAGCAAAATACCCAGTTACAAAAACTTATTTCCCCAGATACCTCCCAACGTGACGTTAGTTGACATGTAATTCATTTCTGATTAATGAAATGTAAATGAACATTTACTGGTTAGATCTTCCAGGAAAGCTATTTTATTCCTAATGAAAAGGGACAGAATCAGTTAGTATATACCTTTTGCCTTCAGCTTTTGATCTTACTGCCCAAAAACAGGATTCAAAGTCTGGAGCCATCTTCCAACACTGCATCCTTTGGAAGCAACTTAATTAATTAATTTTAAAAATTAACCATTGCAGATGGCCACTCCCGCTATTTTTATTCAACATTATCCTGGAGGTTCTAACACTCTAATAAGGAAAGAGAAATAATAAAAAGCAAATAGACTGGAAAGGGAGACATAAATCTCTGTTTATTCACAGACGATATTGTCATCTATCAAAAAACCCTAAAGAATCTGCAAATAAGCTGTTAAAACTGAAAGTGAGTTTAGTTCAGTGGCAGGGTACAAAGTCAATATCAAAAACCAATTGCATTTCTTTATATTAGCAATAAACAATCAGAAATTAAAATTAAAGTTTGCCATGTACAGTGGCATCAAAACTGTAAAATACTTAAGGATAAATTCGACAAAAGATGTTCAAGACCTGTACACTGAAAACTATAAAACATTGCTGAGTAAAATTAAATGTTAAAGAAGACCTAAGTCAATTAAGAAATATACCATATTCCTAGATTAGATGACTCTATATTGTTAAGACGTCATTTCTTCCAAATTGATCTGTATATTCAAGGCATTCTAATAGAAATCCCAGCCAGCTACTTTGTAGAAGTAGCAAGCTGACTCTAAAGTTTAAATTAAAGTGCAGAAGATCTAGAACAGACAAAACAACTTGGAAGAAAAAAGAACAAAGTTAGAGGACATTTTGTGTGTGTGTGGTTTTCTTAAAAAGTATTTTTTTAGGAAGTAATTTCTAAGAGTAGAATTAGTGGATAAAAGGCTAGAAGAAAGCTCAATATCTTATTAAATTTCACAGCTCAAAAACTTTTTGATTTGAAATATTTTAAAAATAAATTTTAAGATCTCATAAGCTTGAGCAGTGCCCAAGTGATTCCACCCTCTGGAGGCCAGGTGATAATGAAATGAGATGTGGTGGGAGGATGGAGTAGGATTACCTGCTGGTGACATAAATGATGAATGGGAAAGAAAAATTCTAATTTACTAACTAAATTAATATTGTGGTAAATTTACTAATAAATAAAAGGAAAAACATCCTACTATATAGAAGATATTTTACAAATATTTGATGTTTATAATTATGCTTCAATAGAGCAAAGACTATCTTCACATTAATTTTTAGAAGCTCTAGAAGATGTACTGAACTGGGAACCTGCTGATGTAAACTTTAGTGCTCTGTGTGCCACTAACCAGACAATTGACTTTGGGCAGGACTTTACGTCTCTAGGTCTTAACCTTGATATTTTCAAAAGGAGGTTATTAAAGGACTATTTTGAGAGTTATGCCACAGATTCTATTTAGGCCTTTCTATTAATATTTCATTACTATTACATTTTGTTACAACTTCCATCCATTTCTTCCCTATAGAATCCAATTCCTTATAATTTATCTTTATTAAAGAGCAGTACCATGGGATTATGTCCAAGGAATCAAAGGTTCTAAAATGGTCTTCCCCTTTACCATCAAGGATCAGTAAAGAAGGCATTAAGCCCAGTATTGTGGCATGCACCTGTAGTTCTAACTACTCAGGATGCTTAGGCAGGAGGATTGCTGGAGCCCAGGAGTTCAGGGTTGCAGTGTACTATGACTGCACCTGTGAATAGTCACTGCACTATAGCCTGGGCAATATAGCAATATCACATCTCTAAAAAAAATTAAAAATTAAAAATTAAAGTTTGAAAAAGAAGACATTTAGCACATCTCTACCACTCATTATGGAAACTTCTGTTTTTGCTTCTTTCTGCAGTCCTCCAAATGTAGTCTGTGATGTATCATAGGCATGGAATACCACCATTATTTCTCTCTAGTGATTTCTAGAACAGTCTAGAGTATTGGAGAATACATAAATAAACTAAAAACAAGTTCAAGTCCACCAACTGACCTTTCTCTAGCTACATCTGCAAAGCTCTGTCTCATATTTTTGTAAGTTCTGATAGCTTACTTACTGGGAAAACTACTGGGCTCATAATAATTTTACTCCGAAAAGAGCCCTGTTTAGGCTATCCTATTTTAGTGCAGAGAGTCAGACTTTAAAAAGATACGCAACATGAACAAAATTTTGCAAAGTCTTAAAAAGTACTTTGTCTTTTAGCTATGATAGAATGAGGTACAACTACATTATTCTGCCCAAGGTAGGCCCCAGATGAAGGATCCCCCCCATATAGGACTTCACTATTTACGTAGAATTTAAGAGATAGGAAATCTCTCCTCTGAAGATCATACTCTTGGGTTCATGAGCTTTTAAAATTTTATTTCCTCCTCTGTTATTCCAGACTATGCCATCAGCCCAAATGACCTGCTAATCTTTACCAGTGTATGTGAGGCTATTCTGAGATATAAGCTTCACATAGCTAATGAAAACTTCAGAGCTAGTCTCACGTTGTTGTAAGGGCAAAAGGAACTTTCTTTTCACCTCCTGAAGGTTTGAGAATTCGAATCTATAAACAAACTTACAATAGACAGATTAATGGGAGAACAGGCATACAAATTTATAAATGTACAAGCACATGGGAGTCAGACAAAGTATAAAACTCAAAGAAGGGCCAGATTATTGAAGGTTAAATACCTTCTTCATAAGGCAGAGGGAAGGAGGGGATGTAGGTAATTTTAGAGGAAGAATAGATAATTTTTAGGGGAGATGAATTGGCTCAAAGAACAGACAATAGCCTGGGACAAAGTTAGTCTGGGCTCTGAGAGAGATGGTGACAATTTATGAGAAGTTTAGTGGCAGAATTGCACTGTGAACAAAGGCTGTCTAATTACGCAGATAAAGTCTCTCAGGCACCATTCCTCAGAAGAATAGATGAAAAGTGTGTCTGGGACTATGTGGGGACAATCTTTTCTTTTAATTTTTTTTGAGGGGTCTTGCTTTGTTGCCCTGGCTGAAGTGCAGTGGCACGATCACAGCTCACTGCAGCCTCCGCCCAGCTCAAGTGACTCTCCTGTCTCAGCCTCCTGAGTAGCTGGGACTACAGATGTGCACCAACTCACCCAGCTATTATTTTTTGTAGAGATGGAGTCTCACTATATTGCCCAGGCTGGTCTCGGACTCCTAGGCTCAAGCCATCCTCCCGCCTTGGCCTCTCAAAGTGCTGAGCTTATAGGCATGAGCCACCGGGCCCAGCTGATAATCTTTAATTTCTTCTTTGGTGATTAATCTTCCCTGGTTAGTGAGATTTCAGACAGGAGATTGAAGACAATTGTGTTTCTTTTGGAAGGAATTCCCTCAGTCAGAACTTCAGGGAGAGCTCTCCCTGTGCCTGGGGGAAGAAAACAAAGGAAGATCAGAGAGACCTTGATTCTGAGGCAGCTTCTCAGGCCTTCCAATTTTCTTTAATTCACTGTGTTCAACATGCTATAGAGCCACACTATGAGACATCGTTTTCTGAGCCCCAACATTATCCAATTGTCTTAGCACAGGTTTAGAGAATAAGACCACCTAAACCTTGGGAACACTGTGATTATACACCTAGCCAAATCTGAGCACCCTCCTTCAAACCCTTCACACCCTTCTCTTCAGAGTTTTATTTTTTTATTTTTTTGAAACAGAGTCTCACTCTGTCGCCCAGGCTGGAGTGCGGTGGCGATCTCAGCTCACTGCAAGCTCTGCCTCCCGCGTTCATGTCATTCTCCTGCCTCGGCCTCCTGAGTAGCTGGGACTACAGGCGCCTGCCCCCACGCCCGGCTAATATTTTTTGTATTTTTAGTAGAGATGGGGTTTCACCGTGTTAGCCAGGATGGTCTCAATCTTCTGACCTCGTGATCCGCCCGCCTCGGCCTCCCAAAGTGCTGGCATTACAGGCGTGAGCCACCACGCCCGGCCTCTCTTCAGTTTTAAGTACAGGTTAATGACCACATGACTTGCCAAGTTTGTTTGTGTCTCCTAAATGTCGCGCTTTGGAAACCTTGACCAGCCTGTTCTAACCCCCTTTGAGTTGAGCCTCCACATCAATATGCAACTGTTATTCTGAGTGCTTTCCTTATCTGTTCTTTTTATAGTTCTTCTTATCCTTGATCTTTCTTAATAGGCTGTTCACTTACATGGTGTTCTCTTAAGTTTCCCTCTGAGCTCTTAAACTTTGTTTTTCACAGACATTTTCACTCAGGCTTCAATCTTAACACAGACTATAAAACCCTTCAAACTCTTGGGGAGAAGTGTGAATTTTGTCAACTGCGAATGGTCCACTCTGAATCTCTCACTATGTGGTACTGAAACTGGAAATACATAAATAAATAAGTTATTTATACTCAAATTCTCAAACATGTTTGCTGCTTTCTGTTGAAATTTCCAAATTCAGGCTGGGTGCAGTGGCTCACACCTGTGGTCCCAAGCACTTTGGCAGGCCGAAGCTGGTGGATCACTTGAGCCCTGGAGTTCGAGACTAGCCTGGGTAACATGATAAAATCCTGTATCTACAAAAAATTTAAAAATTAGCCAGGTTGGTGGTGCACACCTGTGGTCCCAGCTGCTCAGGAGGCTGAGGTGGAACGATCTATTGAGCCCAGGAGATAGAGGGTGCAGTGAGCCGTGATCCAAATTCAAGCATTTTTTAAGCCTCATCTTCCTTTAATTGTCATCATAATCAAGTGGTATCTAGTCTACCACACGTAGGGGTAGCTGAGCAAAACAAATAAATGTCTTTAGCTTAGAGTCTGTCTTAGATGGCAGTAATGTGGAGAAATGTATAAAATGACAGCAATACCAAGAGTGAATATAGAAAGCTAAAATCATTAATACTGTCATGTTAATCTCACCAGGTCTCTAAGAGAACGAATATTTGGTATGTTTGAGGTGTCACTGGAGTTGGCACTGATTACTAAACCCTGAATTTTCAAAGCTGATTCTGACAATGCTTTAGTATATTTAGAATTCATCAAAATTATTTCATTAAAAAAGAATACAAGTTGACATCTGTGAGTGCTATCTCACACTTGAGTAAAAATGAAGTCAGCTGCTGCCTGGCTGCAGCAGTACTTTTATTTGACACTTTGAAATACTTGGCTAAAAACGAACTAGTGTGCTGGCCAACAAAAAGCAAAAGAGCGTGAAAAGCAGTGGGATGATAAAACTGGGTAAGAGCAGACATTTTCAGTTCAACTGTTTTATTTTATAGTCTAAGACTATAAAAGCAACGAACTGTAAAACTACATGAACCTATTTACCACTGAATTTTACATGATTCTACCGTAAGTGTCATAATCTATCTTTTCCTCAAGAAAAAAATGGTAAGTTCTATATTTAGGCTAAAGAACCCACAGTGCTAATGTAACAAACTATTTAGTAGGTTCAATACATTTTACTATTCAGATTTCCATCATTCTTTTAATATAATACTGATCTTTTTACAACTATCTTAGAGAATCTCAAATTTGGTTCACTTTTTTTGGTAAGTACAAGGAAGCCAGGGAGTTGCCTTATCTCTCTCTGCGTCATCTCTCTTTCTCCATTGCTGCTTTCTTTGTCTTCTTGTTCGACACCCTGCGTTTCGAATTCTGCACTTCCTTCCTCTTTTCTGTAATCCATTACCTTCCTGGAAAGTATCTCCTAAGTTCCTTTGCTCCCATAATTACCTTTGACTTAAAGCTGAGTAGGAAGCAGAATTTCTGAAACAATACAGTGAAATGTAGATTATATTGCAGAAAAATAACTTAAAATGAATATTATAACAAATTCAATATATGGAACATTTTTAATGACAATAGATGCATTTTCTTCAACAAATCAATACCATGAGAAACCAAAAAAAAAAAAAAAAAAGAAGAAGGAAGAAGGAAGTCTTCTCTACATTTAAAAGACAGGAGAGTCAAAACATTTAAATATGTGGACTTTGCGTTACCATTCAACTAACCAACAGTATACAGAAATATTTTAGACAGTCAGGGATATTTTAATATTGCTGGCTATTCCATAATACCAAAAATACCAGGAATTACTATTAATTTTGTTAGATGTAAAAATGGCATTATGAATTTTTAAAAGACCATATTTTTTAGGGATGCATCTTGAAGTATGTAGGAGTGAAATGACAGGATTTCTAAGATTTGTTTTCAAATATTTAGCAAAGAAAGAAAAAGCAATTACGCAAGTGTGACACAATCTTGGTAATTTTAAATCTCGATGGATATTGGGCTTCATTGTGCTTTGCTCTCTATTTTTGGATATGTTTAAAATTTTTCACTTCATACAATTTTCTAATTTGGAAGTAAAAAATAACATATTCCTGTTCTTAGGTCTCTTGATAAATCCTGAATCTTAGAAACTTTCATTCGACTGTCTTTTTTTAATTCAAGAAAGAGCCCAATATATTTTTGGGTAGCCTTGATTTCTTAGAATCTCACTCTTAATGTCCCAACTACATCCAACACCCGGAAGCCCATTTACCTCCCACCTGGGGCAGTTTGGAGACATCCTGGGTTATTCTGGCAATGCTCAGATAGCTTGATAGCCATAAATAAAATGGCCCATCTTGGTGTTTTCCTAAACAGAAACTATTTTCCCTGTAACGTTATTGACTTCACCTTTCTCCACAGGCAGAGTTTATCACTCTCCACTTTGTTTTATTTATTTATTTATTTATTTGCTTATTTGTTTGTTTGTTTATAGCGCCAGGGTCTCACTATGTTGCCCAAACTGGTCTCAAACTCCTGGGCTCAAGTGATCTTCCTGCCTCAGCCTCCAAGTAGCTGGTATTACAGGCATCCACCACCATGCCCAGCTCCTCCATTTGATGTTTTCATAGAATTAAAATAAAGACCTATATTGGAGTATGAATTACAAGTTGCAATTTTATTTGTCTGTTTTGTTTTTTGCTTCTTTTTGGGTTTTGTTTTGTTTTGTTTTGTTTGAGACAGGGTCTCACTCTGTTCCCAGGCTGGAGTGCAGTGGCACAATCACAGCTAACCACAGCCTCAACCTCCTGGACTCAGGTAATCCTCCGACATCAGCCTCCTAAGTAGCTGGGACTACAGGCATATACCAACATACATGGCTAATTTTTTAATTTTTTTTTTTTTTTTTTTTGAGACACAGTCTCTCTCTCTCTCTCTGTCGCCCAGGCTGGAGTACAGTGGTGCCATCTTGGCTCACTGCACTCTCCGCCTCCCAGGTTCAAGCGATCCTTCCACTTCAGCCTCCTGAGCAGCTGGGACTACAGGCCTGCATCACCATACCCAGCTAATTTTTGTATTTTTAGTAGAAATGGGGTTTTGCTATGTTGGCCAGACTGGTCTCAAACTCCTGGCTTCAAGTGATCGGCCCACCTCGGCCTCCCAAAGTGCTGTGATTCATTGGCCTCCTTGTCTCTTACCCCCAGTAAGTTGTAAGCTCCTTGAAGACAGAGACTGTGATGGTTAATTGTATATGTCAACTTGACTGGCCATAGGATGCCCAACTATTTAGCCCAGCATCATTCAGGGTGAGTCTGTGAGGGTGTTTTTGGATGAGATCAACATTTAAATCAGTAGACCTAGTAAAGCAGATTGCCCTCCATGCTGTGGATATGACTCCTCTAATCAGTTGAAGGTCTCAGCAGAACAAAAAGGCTGACCCTCTCCCAAGTGAGAGAGAATTCTTGCTGCCTGATTACTTTCTAAGAACTGGGACATTGGCCGGGCACGGTGGCTCACGCCTGTAATCCCAACACTTTGGGAGGCCGAGGAGGGCGGATTGCCTGAGGTCAGGAGTTCGAGACCAGTCTGGCCAACATGGTGAAACACCATCTCTACTAAAAATACAAAAAAATTAGCTGGGCGTGGTGGCGTGCGCCTGTAATTCCAGCTACTCGGGAGGCTAAGACAGGAAAATCGCTTGAACCTGGGAGGCAGAGGTTGCAGTGAGCCGAGATCACGCCACTGCATTCCAGCCTGGACGACAGAGCGAGACTCCGTCTCAAAAAAAAAAAAGAACTGGGACATTGACGTTTTTCTGCCTTCAGACTCCATCTGAAACGTCAGCTCTTCCTGGGTCTCAAGCCCGCCGGCAATGGGACTGGAACTACACCATGGACTCTCCTGGTTCCCAGGCTTTCAGACCCAGGCTAGAACTATACCAGTGGCTCCCCTGGGTCTCCAGCTTCCCAACTTATCTTACAGATCTTGGGACTTGCCCGCTTTCATAATCGTGTGAGCCAATTCCTTAAAATAAATCTCTTTATATATATTTATACACATCTTATTGGTTCTGTTTCTCTGGAGAACCCTGACTAAAACAGAGACCATATCTTATGCATTTCTAAAGGCCCAGAACTTGGAACAGTGCCTAACAAAGAGTAGATGCTTCTTTTAAAGGTTTGCTGAATGAAATGGTGCTTTTATAATCTCTTAAGTGTATAACTCTTATTTGAGTATTGATTTGTTTGTGCACAAAAAAAGTTGGGCTTTGAGAAAAGGAAAAGTTGAGTTCTACATTAGTGTGAAAAAAAGAGAATTACTTGCTTTTAGAAAAAATCAACTAAAAACTTAATCAACTAAAAGAAAGAAACTACTGAACTAGACCAGAATTGGATTTGTTTCCATATTGTATTGACCCAAACTTTAAATTTGTTCACACATCCATACTTTTACCAATCTGGGTCTTAATTTTCTCATCATGGTCCACAAAGTTGGATCCTAATCTGGCATCTCACTGGCTCTGAACTTTTGTCTCTCTCATCTTTCCGAGTAGCAACCACAAGTTAATTTTCCTAACATTGCTTTTATCTTGTCTCAAAATTTTTAGCAGCTCTCTAATATCTACTCCTTTTGCTCTGGTATTCAAGTGACTCACAGTCTTCTCTTTTATTTACTTTTAAATATTTTGTAGAGACCATATTTCCCGATGGTCTTGACTCTTGGGCTCAAGCAATTCTCCTGCCTTGGCCTCCCAAAGTGTTGGGATTACAGGATGGTGAGGTCAGGTGCATGAGGTGCCACACGCAGCCTCACAATCTTAACTTGCCTTTTCCAGCCTGTCTTTCATCAATCTCTCAATCAAGTCCTTTGTCCTTCCTTGTTGGTTAATGACAACCCATTTATTACACATCTTACTAAATTTACTCCAGTTCTCTTTTTTTTCGAGGTGAAGTTTTGCTCTTGTTGCCCAGGCTGGAGTGCAATGGTGTAATCTCGGCTCACCGCAACCTCCGCCTCCTAGGTTCAAGTGATTCTCTTGCCTCAGCCTCCTGAGTAGTGGGGATTACAGGCATGAGCCACCACGCCTGGCTAATTTTGTATTTTTAGTAGAGATGGGGTTTCTGCATGTTGGTCAGGCTGGTCTCGAACTCCCAACCTCAGGTGATCTGCCCGCCTTGGCCTCCCAAAGTGCTGGGATTACAGGCATGAGACACTGCACCTGGCCTACTCCAGTTCTTAAAATGCCTTACCCCTTGCTTGTAGCCAGTCCAAATTCTCTCACGGGATAGTGGAGAAAGCACAAAGTTTGAAGTTAGGAAACTTTCCTTCTTGTCTCTTTCAATACCACCGTGTTGTGTGACATGGGGCAATTGTGTCAATTACTCTTCTGGAACTCAATTTCTTTACCTATATGATAATGGGGGAAAACAAAAGGGTTGTAAGTTCTTTCTCAACTAAAACAATATTATGGCTTCTTTACCTTTCAGCACAGCTTTTGTCATTAATTCAACAAACAGTTCTTGAGTGCTTTTTATGAGCAATAAACACCTGCTCTATGAAGCCAGCCTTAACACCCACTACCCCATTCCCAGCAGCTGCACTTGCTGACTCAAGTGCGCTGATTGTCTGTGCCACTCATTATTTATGTTATTTTTATGCCATAGCATCTTAAATATAGCATTAGCTTCTTATCAGCAGGGACTTATGCTTCTGCATATCCTTGACAGATAAAGTTGTCAGGCTTTGAAAAGTATAACCTGAGAAACTTGCTAAAAAAAATGCTGATTCCTTGGGAAACTTTTCATCAAGTAAGAAATAAAGAAAAAAAAAATGTTGATTCCCAAGTCTCCCATCTACCCCCTTCTAATTCTGATTGAGTAATTGGTAATTTACATGGTAATAAATACCATTATCACCACCCCATGGTTCAGATTCAGATGGTCCAGGAACCAATTTTGAGAAAAAACTGCTCTGCAGTATATAGCACATTTTCTTGCTTACATTTAGCATGTGCTCAAAAATTATTTTTTTAAAAAACCTGTCTTAATTCCAAGGGGATAGGTATGTTTGCATTGACAAATATCTAAAACAGAAAATGGCTCATGAGAAATGGGTAACTCTAAAATAGTCTGTCCGTATATGAAAAATAATGCCCATGAAGAAAGAAAAGGGGGAAATGCATAGGAAACCGAAAAGACTGCATAAGGTAGACCAGCTGCAAATGAAAAAGTCACTGGCTGAAACCCATAACAATGGGGAAGGGAAGGCTAAATGTCAAAAATGGGCTAATGGTTCTCAAAAAGCTGTTTTGCTAAGTTCAGAGAAAGTCTTCAGACTCCCGCTCAGTGCAGATGGAGGCAAAAATAAAATCTTCAGAATCTCATTTTGTTTCATTCTTTATTCCAAGAAAAGCAACCTTAAGTAAAAAAGAACAGAGCTAACATCCTAAGGTGAGGAGTTAAAGAAAAAGAAGAAATAGTAACTCTGAGGGGATTGATATCTCCGGTGCTAGAATCATCTGTAGATTTAAGGTATGCTGTTGATAATTAAACGAGGAAATGTATAAGAGAAATATCAGGAATTTGCAAATGGTATATGTCCTGATTTTGAAAGAAGATGAAAAGTGATTTGAAAACTACAGACTTGATCTCGAGCTCTTTAAAGATTTTAGCACAGATTAATAAAAAGTTTATCAGCAATTAGAGATGAAAGAGATGAACACTTTGAGCTAGTTTAGGTATACCAAGGACAGTAATGCCAAACTACTTCTTTTCTTTTTTAAAATTAATATATCAATTATATATCACAGTTGTACATATTTTGGGGTACGTCATTATTTTGATACATATATAAAATGTGTAATGATCAAATCGGTAATTGGGATATTTATCACCTCAAACACTTTTCTTTGTGTTGGCAACATTAGAATTCTCCTTTTCTATGTATTTTGAAATCTGCAATAAATTTTTTTCTTTCAGAGCTTCAGGAGATACCTATAGAAGTTGCTATAATGACCTCAGCAAGGCATTTGACAAACTAATGGTATTCCTATGAATAAGTTTAAAAAAAAAAAATAGTTCCTTAGGTAAAATTCACACTTCGTGGACTCATGTTTTTGCCCAAACATGATTAATGCAGTGGGGCCTCTGGGGCTTTTTTGGTGATTCAACAAATATTTATTGAACATTTTACCAAGTACAAGAAACAGGTCTAGGTAGGGCAAATCCAGGAGTGAATAAATCAAAGTTTCTGCTCCCAAAGGTCTTAGTAGAGGGAGACATATAATAGATACACAAATATATTCTGTCAGATAGTGGTTAGAGAAAGAAAACAAAAAGCAGGTTAAGGGGTAAAAAAAAGTGTAATGGGGGATGTTTCTTTTACAGGCTGGTCAGAAAGGCTGATAGGATCTGGTGATACCTGGGCAAGGACCTGCTGTGTAATGAGCTTCGTAATTAACCGGGGGAACAATATTCCAGGTAGCAGGACAGCAAGCATATGGGCCCAGAGATGGAAGCATGCGTGGCTAAGAGACCATATGGTAGGCAGATAGTGGTGCCCCAAAGATGTCCATGCCCACATGCCTGGCACCTGTCAATTTGTTACATTATGTGGCAAAGAAATTGCAGACGGAAATGGCATTTCAGACCTTAAGATAAAGAGATTATCCTAGATTATCCAGGTGGGTCCAATAGAGTCACATGAGCCCTTAAAAGCAAAAAACTTTTTCTGGCTGCAGCAAGAGAGATTCAGCAGAAGGGAAAAATCAGAGAGATTCCAAACATGAGGATAGCATGCACTGTTTCTGGCTCTGAGATATGGGGACCCATGAGCAAGGATTGTCCTCTGGGAGATAAGGGTGGGCCCTAGCTGACACCAGTGACGAAACAGGGACCTCAGTCCTGCAGACTGAAGGCACTGGATTCTACCAACACAGGAAACAGCCAAGACAGTTCAGACCTCCAAACTACAGAACTGTGAGATAATAAATTTATGTTGCTTTAAGCTGCTAAGTGTGTGGCAATTTGTGGTCATTTGTTGTGGAAGTAATAGAAAACTAATACTGTGAGACTTGATTGAAATGGGAGGTGAGTATAGCAGGAGATGAAGCAAGAGAGGGAGAAAGCATGGGCTGGGGGAGGTAAGGAAATGAGGGGTCAGCTACTGTGGGGCTTAGTAGAACATTGTGAGACCTTTGTCTTTTACTGTGGGTGAAATGGGGAGCCTATGGGGGTTTGGGGCAGAGGCATGACACGATCAGCCTTACACGATAAAAGGATCACTGTGAACTACCCTGTGTAGAATGCAATTAGACAAATGTTGCCATCATTCATGCAACAGCTTGAACTAGGGAAATTACAATGGACATAGGAATGGTCAGATTCTGGATATGTTGGGTTGAACCATTTAAAACTGCTACTTGAGTGTCTCAAAAAGAATTGAAAATTAGGTTGAATCAAGAGGATTTGCTCAGGGATAGCTTATGGGGTGTTGGGGAAAGAGGGGTGTCATTGTTGACTCCAAAATTTTTGGTCCCAGCCATGGAGAAAAAAGACATAATGAGATAACAAAGAGGAGTGGCAAGTTTAGTGGGAGTTGTGGGACAAGGGCAAACAAGGGTTTATCTTGGGACATGTTATGTATGAAATGCCTATCAGCTATCCAAGTGGAGATGTCCATCACATTGTTAGATACACAAGTTTGAAGTTCAGAGGATTATCAAGAGCTGGAATGATTAATTAGGGAGTCCTCTCACACAGGCAGTACTCAAAACCATGGGGTGAGTTCAAACACAGAGGAAATGAATGTAAAGAGAGGAGTGATGCTGCCTCGGGGCTTAATTGTTTTCGAAAGTCTCTCTTACATTAAATTTTTTTTTTCTGATTTGTGAATACAAACATATCAGTAAGCACACACACCAAAATATTGTTAAAACATTTAGTTATGTATTTAATGAATTATCTGTCTATAAGATAATAAAATCGAATTAAAAAATACATCAAAGAAATAAAGGGTCCAGAATAAATAAATACTTCCAAAATAAAGAGTCATCACTTTGGCTGGGTGTAGTGGCTCACACCTGTAAATCTCAGTACTTTGAGAGGCCAAGGTGGGTGGATGGCTTGAGCCCAGGAGTTCAGGAACAGCCTGGGCAACATGGTGAAACCCCATCTCTATAAAAAAATACAAAAATTAGCTGCGCATGATGGCACATGCATGTTGTCCCAGCTACTCAGGAGGCTGAGGTGGGAGGATTGCTTGAGGTGGGTGACACAGCAAGACCCTGTCTCAAAAAAAAAGAGTCATCACTTAATTTTAGATATTCCAAATTAAACAGATTATATACTTGAGGATCCCCAGTGAAATTAGCATAAGCTACACACCCATATTGAAGGACTAGTGAATATATTCTCCCAATAGTTGTTGCTCTGAAACATTTTAGTGTCTTAGAATGGTGCACCTTTTTATATTATATTTATGTTGAACATTCAGTGAGAAGAATTATTCTCTCCTATTCGTTCTTCAGCTCCATGATAGTTCAATATTTACAAGTCTACAATTACAAACAAAAACAAAACAAAATAGAGTCACCAATCTAACAACTTCGTTCTACTCTCCTTCTATACATAATACCTCCATTGTGTTTTGGTTGTTGCTAATGATACACATCATAGTTTATTAGTTATTTCCTTCTGGAAAAAAAACCAGTTATTTGTGAGCACATCAAGCTAGGATAAAAACACTGACAAAAATGTTCTGTCATAAATCTCTTTTCATGCCCCCCTGAAATAAAGCATATACATATATGCATTATATATAGGTATAGACATGTCTTTTTGTATCACAAAAAGAGTTAGCTGTAACTTCCTACAAGGTAAAGAAAAACCTGACCTGCTGCCATTACCTCCTAAAGCAACTTTTATAAGCACATCATTACAAAATATTTTGCCAACCACATCACAAACATTATTAATATACTAACTACAGTCCAGGTTTTGAGCTCCTCCTGGGCTGGGGTGGGGTGGGAACAAGCTCTTTACGGTAACATTTTATTGGGTCATCTGCTGACAAAGCAGAATTTTAAAAGCCTACCCGTAATCACCCTAATTAAGCCATCAAGTGTCAGGACTTGCTGTGTGAATCTGATTAATTCTAGCCATCTCTGTGGTGCAACTGATGTTGCCTGTATTAAAGGAGTGACTCTGCCTCAGAGGCAATTCCTTTATGTTTATGCCTTCTCCCTTTCTACCAGTCTGTATCAGAAAATTACAAAGAAGGTTTGCAATGATGCCCTCATAAGCCTGTGAAACTTCCTTTCAGCTGGGAGCCCAACCACATACAAACCCTTTTATATACCTACACCATTATTGTCTTTATACTTTTATGCGGTATTTAATTCATAATACAACTTGTAATGTGTAAAGTAGATTGCTCACATATGTCTTAGTCTGTTTGTGCTGCTACAACAAAATACTTGGAACTGGGTAATTTATGAATAACAGAAATTTATTTCTCACAGTTCTGGAGACTGGGAAGGCCAAGATCAAGTTGCCAGCAGGTTCTATTATCTGGTGAGAGATGCGTCCTCTAGAGAAGAGGAAGGATGTGTCCTCACATGGCTGAAGGCAAGTGGGATGAAGAGCCTCCATCAAGCCCTTTTATAAAGGCACCTAATCCTGTTCATGAGAGAGGAGCCCTCATGGCCTAATTACCTTCTAAAGGTCCCATCTCTTGGTACTGTTGATAGCATCAGCAACACCTGAATTTTGCAGGGGTCACATTAATTTATAGCAGTATCTTTGACTGTATTGTGAGCAATTTATTATTTCCTTTTGATCCTTTCTAATGTGTGCACTGTTCCCAATGCTCTAGCACAAATATTTGACATGGTTATGCTGCAGATGCTCCTGAAAACAGACATCCAATCCTCCTTCCCCCGTCCCCACCCCATCCTCACTACCACACAACTGACTGAAAAGAGCAAAGAAAAATAAAAGCAAGGTAATTTGTTTTCTTAATAAAAGCATGCTTTATGTGGTTCACTAGGGGATTTATGTTTTAAAACCTATTTATCATCATGCCTGTAAGAAAATGCTATTGAATGAAGGTTGTTGTGATGGTTGATTGTATGCGTCAACTTGGCTAAGCTATGGTGCCCACATCCAGATTGCTAGATGTGAATGTGCTTAATATTTATACTCAGTTGACTTTAAGTAAAGAAGATTATCCTGAATAATGTGGGTGGATATCAATCATTTGAACATTTTAAGAGCAAAAACTGAGGTTTTTTAGAGAAGAAATTCTGCCTCAAAACCATAACATAAAAATCTTGCCAGTGGATTTTGGGTTTAAGACTATAACTTCAACTCTTGCCTGAGTTACCAGCCTGCCAGCTTGCCCTGTAGATTTCGAACTTGCTAGCTCCCACAGTTGCATGAGCCAATTGTTTAAAATAAATCTCTCCTCTCTGTCTTTTTTCTTTTAAAATTATTTATTTATTTTCTCTCTGTGCCTCCTATTGGTTCTGACTCTAGAGGACCCTGATTAATAAAGTTGTATTTCAAGCAGTTTTTTTTTTACGTTATTTCTGAACCTTTTGCTAATTGAATGCTGGCATATCTAGCTTTATTGCCCTTCACTTAACTGGAACTTGCAGATATTGCATGTTTTTTTACAAATTGAAGATTTTGGCAATCTTGTGTCAAGCAAGTGTTTAAGCATCATTTTTCCAACAGCTTGTGATCACTTTGTGTCTCTGTGTCACATTTTGGTAATTCTCACAATACTTCAAACTTTTTCAAAATTAATATATCTGTTAAGGTGATTTGTGATCAGTGATCTTTGATGTTACTATTTTGATTGTTATGAGGTGCCATGAACCACACCCATACAAGACAGTTAACTTAATAGATAAATGTTACATGTGTTCTGACTGCTCTACTGACCTTTGCCATTCCACTGTCTCTCTCTCCTTGGGCTTCTCCATTTCTGAGACACAACAACATTGAAATTAGGCCAATTAATAACCCTACAATGGCCTCCAAATGTTCAAGTGAAAAAAAGAGTCACACATCTCTCATTTTAAATCAAGAGCTAGAGATGATTAAGTTTAGCGTGGATGGCAAAAGTCAGTCGAGACAGGCTGAAAGGTAGGGCTCTTGTGCCAACTCGTCAGCCAAGTTGTGAATACAAAAGAAAAGTTCTTGAAGGAAATTAAAAGTGCTGCTCCAGGGAATACATGAATGATAAGATAGCATGATATTGCTGATATGGAGAAAGTTTTAGTCTCTGGATGGAAGATCAAACCAGCCACAACATTCCCTTATGCCAAAGCCTAATCCAGAGCAAGCCCCTAACTCTCTTCAATTCTACCAAGGCTGAGAGAGGTGAGGCAGTTGCAGATGAAAAGTTGGAAGCTATCAGAGGTTGGTCCATGAGGTTTATGGAAAAAAGCCATCTCCATAACATAAAAGTGCAAGGCGAAGCAGTAAATGCTGATAGAGAAACTGAAGCAATTTATCCAGAAGATCTAGCTAAGAACATGGTTGAAGGTGACTACACTAAACAGCAGATTTTCAATGGAGACAAAGCAACCTTATAATGGAAGCAGACGCCATCTAGGCCTTCATAACTGGAGAGAAGTCAATGCCTCACTTCAGATCTTCAAAGTATAGCCTGAATCTCTCTCTTTTTTTTTTTTTTGAAACAGAGCCTTGCTCTGATGCCCAGGCTGCCAGACTGGAGTACAATGGCACCATCTTGGCTCACTGAAACCTCTGCCTCCCAGGCTCAAGCGATTCTCCTGCCTCAGCCCCCTGTGTAGCTGGGATTACAGGCATGCATCACCATGCCCAGCTAAATTTTGTATTTTAATTTTGTATTTTGTATTTTTAGTAGAGACAGGGTTTTGCCATGTTAGCCATGAACTCCTGTTGGTCTTGAACTCCTGGTCTTGAACTCCTTGAACGCCATGTGGGTCTTGAACTCCTGGTTTTACATGATCCACCCACCTCAACTTTCCAAAGTGTTGGGATTACAGGCTTGAGGCATTGCGCCCAGCCTGGCTAACTCTCTTAATAGGGGATAATGCAGCTGGTGACTTTAAGTTGAAGTCAGTGGTCATTTACCATTCTGAAAACCCTAGGGCCCTTAAGAATTATGCCAAATCTTCTCTGCTTATGTTCTAGAAATAAAACAACAAAGCCTAGATGACAGCACATCTGTTTACAGCATGGTTTACTGAATATTGTAAGCCTACTTAAGTGACTTATTGCTCAGAAAAAAATATTCCTCTTAAAATATTACTGCTCATTGACAATTTACCTAGTCACCCAAGAGCTCTGATGGATATCTACAAGGAGATTAGTGTTGTTTCATGCCCTCTAACACAACATCTATTGTGCAGCCCATGGATCAAGGGATAAGTTAGAATTTCAAGTCTTATTATTTAAGAAATACATTCATGGCCAGGAGTGGTGGCTCATGCTTGTAATCCTAGCACTTTGTGAGGCCAAGGCGGGTGGATCATGAAGTCAGGAGTTTGAGACCAGCCTGGCTAACATGGTGAAACCCTGTCTCTTCTAAAAATACAAAAATTAGCCGGGCGTGGTGGTGCATGCCTGTAATCCCAGCTACTTGGGAGGCTGAGGCCAGAGAATTGCTTTAACCAGGAGGCAAAGGTTGCAGTGAGCCAAGATTGTGTCATTGCACTCCAGCCTGGGCGACAGAGCAAGATTCCATCCCCGCCTCCAAAAAAAAAGAAAAGAAAAAGAAATATATTTATAAGGCTATAGCTGCCATAGGTAGTGATTTCTCTGATGGCTCTGAGCGAAGTAAATTGAAAACCTAGGGAAAGGATTTACTATTGTAGATGCCATTAGAAACATTCGCAATTCACAGGAGAAAGGTAAAATATCAACATTAATAGAAGTTTGGAAGAAGCCGATTCCAACTATCATGAATGACTTTGAGGGATTCAAGAATTCAGTGGAGGAAGTAACTGCAGATGGGGTAGAAATAGCAAGAGAATTAGAATTAGAAGTGGACCCTGAAGATGTGGCTGAATTGCTGTAATTTAATGATAAAATTTGAATGAATGAGGAGTGTCTCCTGTTGCCCAGGCTGAAGTGCAGTGCTGCGATCAAGGCTTACTGCAGCCTTTAACTCCTTGGACTCAAGCAATCCCTCCCAAGTTGCTAGGATTACAGGTGTGAGCCACGGTGCCTGGCTACAAAATGGTGTTTTGAGATAAAATCTACTCTTAGTGAAGATGCTACGAACATTGTTGAAATGACAACATAGAATTTAGAATATTACATAAACTTAGTGATAAAGCAGCAGCAGGGTTTGAGAAGATGGACTTGCATTTTGAAAGAAGTTCTACGGTGAGTAAAATGCTACCAAACAACATCACAAGCTACCAGAGAAATCTTTCATGAAAAGGAGAGTCAATCAATGGAGCAAACTTTATTACTGTCTTATTTTTTTTAATTGCCACAGCCACCCCGACCTTCATCACCCGCCACACTGATCAGTTAGCAGTCACCAGCATCGAGGCAAGACCTCAACCAGCAGAGAGATTAGGACTCCCTGAAGGCTCAGATGATCATTAGCATTTTTGGCAATAAAATATTTTTTAATTAAGTACTTTTTAGACACAATGCTACTGCACACTTAATAGACTACAAATAGTGTAAACATAACTTTAATAGGCACAGGAAATCAAAAAGTGTGTGACTTGCATTATTGCAATATTCACTTAATTGTGGTGGTTTGGAACTGAACTCGCAATATCTCCGAGGTATGCCGGAATACCTATATTCTTATTATATTCTTAATTTTGTTGCACTAAAATAAAGATAGGAGTTGTGCTCGCTTCGGCAGCACATATACTAAAATAAAGATAGGAGTTTATGCATTACTCACTAATAAAAGTCAGTTTCTCTGCTGGCATGGAGAATAGGAGAGTATTGCCAAACAACAACAACAACAACAACAATAATGGCACCTCTCCTGCCAAGCTGGGAAATTTTACTCCAGGGATTTCCAATATGAAGTTCTACCTAAGCATAGAGTGTCTGGCCCACTTGAGTGTCATAACTTATACATCACCCTAACCTAGTTCACATAAATCCTAACCAATTACCAAACAATAATATGAAAAGTTTGATCAAAGCATTTTCTTCTGAAAAAGATGAGCCAAGTTTGAGGCCTCTTTGAGGTAGGGAGGAAAGTTTCCACAGTTAATGCAACTCAAAATAGGAGGTTGGTGTGCCCAGTTTCCATTGCCTCATTCATCAAGAGAGTTTGTGTTTTGACTTTTGGAAGTCAGTTTTATGGCATGATGTAACGGAGAAAATAATGAAGATTGCAAATTTTCTTTATGCTTATACTTTAATCACTGCTGCTTTATGGATATTTAAGAAGCTAATGCAAGAGAAGTAGATTTAGTCTTTTTTAATTTAGTTACATGGCTAAGTTCTGGAAATTTTTGAAGAAATGTGTTGAAGTGTTCTTAAAATTATAGTCTCAGATCTTACTTGCTGGACCTCCAAAGGCCCCAGAAGGCTGCACACACTTTTCCTTGATGTTACATAGCATAATGTAACATATGCTATGTAACGTAACATCCTCTATGTTACATACCAGTTTCTCTACATAGCTAATGCAACTAACATAACACAAAATCCTCCATGTCCATTATAAAAGTGACTGTTTTGGCAGATCATGAGGTCAGGAGATCGAGACCATCCTAGGTAACACAGTGAAACCTTGTCTCTACTAAAAACACAAAAAATTAGCCGTGCATGGTGGTGGGCACCTGTAGTCCCAGCTACTCAGGAGGCTGAGGCAGGAGAATGGCGTGAACCTGGCAGGCGGAGCTTGCAGTGAGCCGAGATTGCACCACTGCACTCCAGCCTGGGCAACAGAGAAAGACTCTGTCTCAAAAAAAAAAAAAAAAAAGACTTTTGTATTCAGATTCAAACTTGACAAGTGAATTGAGAAGATGGTACCCAAGACTGTTTTTTTTTCCTTCTTTTCTTTTTTAGATAGTGTCTTGCTCTGTTGCTCAGGCTGGAGTGCAGAGCACGATGATCTCAGTTCACTGCAACCTCCACCTCCCAGGTTCAAGCCATTCTCCTGCCTCAGCCTCCTGAGCAGCTGGGATTACAGGAGCATGCCACCACACCTGGCTAATTTTTGTATTTTTAGTAGAGATGGGGTTTCACCATGTTGGCCAGGCTGGTCTCAAACTCCTGACCTCAGGTGATCCACCTGCCTCAGCCTCCCAAAGTTCTGGGATTACAGGCGTGAGCCACCACGACCCGCCGACTGTTTTGCTTTTAATGCTGAACTCTTGAGTTCAAAGGATTTTAAAGACTCACATATTTAGTGAAAATAAGTCCTAATTTTGAAAGCTATTTCACAGATTTTGTTGATTCTAAGTTGCATTCTCTGCAACTCTGAGACACAACCACAGGATGTGTGTGATGATTCCTGTGATTATAAAGCCCTAGACATATTAGAGTGGCTCATTTTCATAAGAAACCACTTGTGCTAAAAGCAAACTACACCATTAACACACAATAGAAGTGAATATCTTAAAGTTAGCTGTGAAATGGAAATACATATTAATGAGTATAGTAGTTCCCTCTTATCCCTGGTTTCATTTTCACCAGTTTTAGTTACCAGTGGTACAGTACAATAAGATATTTTGAGAGAGAGCGAGCATACATTCACATAACTTTTATTACAGTGTACTATAATAATTGTTCTGTTATTATAATTATTGTTAATCTCTTACTGTTCCTAATTTATAAATTATACATAGGGTTTGGTACCATGTGCAGTTTCAGACATCCACTGGGGATCCTGGAACATATCCTACCGTGGATAAGGGGGAACTACTGTAATTATTTACATCAGCTCTGCTCCTGTCTTATTCCAGGATGCTATAACAGAATACTATAGACTGTGTGGCTTAAACAACAGAAATTTCTCACAGTTTGGAGGTAGGGAAGTTAAAGATCAAGGTACCAGCAGATCCAGTGTCTGGTGAAGGTATGCTTTCTGGTTTGCTGTCTTCTCCCTATATCCTCACTTGGCAAGAGAGCAGACAGAGTGATCATCTCTCTCATGTTTCCACTTACAAGGGCACTAATTCCATTCATGAAGGTTCCACCCTCATGACCTAAGTGTCTCCCAAAGGCCCCACCTCCAAATACCATCACATTGGGGATTTAGTCTCCAACATACGAATATTGCGAGGGACACAAACATTTAGTTTATAGCAGCTCTCCTCTTTCAGTCCCATAAAGAGGAGGGCTCTGCCTTGCCATACCAATTCATTTGTGATTTTGTGATTCCAACTCACAAGGAAAGAGAGCTGGGGCAAAGCATCTGAAGCACACAAGAGTAGGGCAAGTTTTGAAAGAGACATAAAAACAAATACTGTGTGTGCAAGGGAAGTGGATGAGAGAAAAAGTGTTTAAGAGACATTGTTTGCTATGTGTCTATTTCACAGTGTTCAGCTATGAGAATTTTTTTTTCTTTTTTTAGACAGAGTCTTGCTCTGTCACCCAGGCTGGAGTGCCATGATGTTATCATAGCTCACTGCAGCCTCAATTTCCTGGGCTCAGGTGATCCTCTCACCCCAGCCTTCAGAGTATCTGAGACTACAGCTGCATGCAACCACACCTGGCTAATTTGTGTATTTTTTGTAGAGATTGGGTTTCATGATGTTGGCCAGGTTGGTCTTGAACTCCTGGAGTCAAATGATCCTCTCTCCTTGACCTCCCAAAGTACTGGATTACAGGCATGAGCTACAGTGCCCAGCCTGAGAATTTTTTAAAAGTCATTTTGAAATTGGGTTTCAGGTTCTTGCCTGTATTTTTTGAATATGGTACTGCTCTAAGACTGGAAAATGTGGACCACAGATTTATAAATACTACACAAAATACTAATCCTAAACTATAGAAATTTCTGGACAAATTTTGAGTAATGTGGGTGGTTACCTAGCTATTTTATGAAACTGCAGAATTAAAGGCCTTTATCTGTAAAAATAACCTCATCAGATTGTTATGATTTTAAAATAAAAACACCTTCACACCTCCTAGAAGACTCCAAGGTGTAAATATCCTCTTTAAATGTACCAGTAAGTAGACTAAGTCCTAGAAGAGTATAATTTTTTTTTTTTACAAATAAAGTTTATTGTACTGTTTGGGGGATGGTATATTTATTACTGCTAAAAAAATTACCATTTTGAATTGCTAATTGGCTATAACAAAGATCAGTAATACAAATTTAAAACATTCATAAAACTGAGCTGAAAACATGCTCCCAAGCCTAGTGGGCAGTAAGGAATCTGGCCAATATACTGTACAACTTGAACATTCAGTTCTTAAGTAGTTTACAACATGGTTTAGCCCTCTTTTAATAATAATAATAAAAAGGTAGGAATATCTTGTATTCCTCCCGCTAGTTGGATGTATTAAAGTGCTTTCACAAAACTAAGACCATGGTGTTAACTCAATATAAAAGGTTGAAAAGATGTTCCTTCTTTTCTTCAGAAAGTTAATGTTCCCTCTCCATATTTGTATTTGCTCAAAGATGAAGCTTTGCATCTGGGAAGTCCTTGAGTAGAGTGTCTCAGAAATAGAAAGCCTGGACTCTCAAGGCTTCATTCCTTTGGCCAACATCTTTGGAGCCTCTCCTTTATGCAAAACACAGTGGCCGGTGCCAGGGCAGCACACAAGCGTCCACAGGAGGCAGGCCCTGCTGTGAGGGGCCAGGGAAGGGCCCAACTAGGAGTGCCAACAACCGCCTAAAATACAGCAGGGCGGCTGCACGGTTAACGTGCGTGTAATTGACTACAGCAAGAAGGATGAGGATCTGTCCATAAATGCCAAGTTCCCCTTCCCGTCGAGTCCGTGTCCCCCATGAAGCCCCGGGTCTAGAGAGCTGGGTCTAGAACTCGCCATTCCGCCCTGAGGGTGTCAAGTGCAGCGTGGAGAGACCTGAGGGGGAAACAAAAAGGCCGAGACAGCCGAAAGGACCAAGCCCGCGCGACCCCCGAAGGCGCTGACGCACGTAGGGCGGCCGGGCGGGGGTCCCACAGGCCTTCAGCGCCGCTTTTTGCCGGGGAGGGAAGCCCGCGGTTCTGCGGACCGCGCCGTCGCGGTCGAGGGTCTGCGCCAGGCTCAGGGTAGGGCGAGGGTGTGTCGCCTCCCGTGCGGCTAGGCCCGGGGCTCGGGGGTGGCCTCGCGGCGAAGCCCCGCCCCCGGCACCGCCCCTCAGGCGCGCGAGCCGATCCCGCGCGCGCCAACCCTTTCCCGGGTCATCGCCCCTCCCCTCTTCCGGGCCGCGAGCCCCCTGCGCGCCGCTTTGGGGCTGCGCTCACTCGTGTGCGCGCTCGTCCGCCCGCCAGTCCTCTCAACGCGCGCTTGGCCGCCCGACGACGCGGGAGCCGCACGCGCCGGACGAGGCTCGCTGCGCTCCCTGTTGCCCAGCGCGGGCCCGTTGAGGCGGAGCCCTCAGTTCCCGGCCAGGACACGGTCTGGGCCGCCGAATCTCCGGCCGAAGAGCGGCGGCGGCAGCGGCGGTGAGGAGACCGGGCCGGGGAAAGGCAGACATGGCGGGGCTGTGGGTATCGGGGGAGGGTGGTCCCGTCGCCCCTGCGGCCACGTCGAAGGCTCGCTGGCGGGCGGCGCACCGGGGACAGGGGAGGGGCAGGGGATGGAACCAGGTTGCATGGGCTCCGGCTCGGCGCCAGAGCGGGGCTGCGGGCCGCGAGGGCGGCCCGCGAGGCTTTCCGCGGGACCCTCGGCGGGCGCCTGAGGAAAAAGACGCCGCCTCAGGGCTCCTGCCACGTTTCCCACAGCGCGTTACATTCCGCCTCCGGGTGGGCGACAACCCCGCGGCTTCCCACCCTCTGTCCACCCCCTTCGCGTCGGTGTTTTTTCTGGAGCTCCGCTTGTTTGCTGGAGAGTCGCGCCTCCGGGAAGCCGGGTCCTCGAACCCAGGGCCGCCCGCCGGGGACAGCGGACCCGCGGGGCAGGCGCACCCTGGCGAGGATGTTGTCGGGGAGGCTGGGCATTGGGCGCCAGGGCCCTTCCCCTTGAACTTGGGGAAAACCGGGATTGCAGAAGTTGGGCGCAGCTCAAGGCGGTTCTTTCAAGAGCGGGTGGAGATGTTTGATCCCTCCTCACCTACCTCTCTCAAAACCCCAGCGGGAGAGCCTAGCAGCAGGTTTCGATGGCTTCAGAAAGTCCAACTCTTAGCCCCTTGGAAAATTATTTCCCCTCTTCATGGCTTTGTGGCGCCGCTGAGGTCGGGCCGGGGCTCCTCACCCCACGGGCCAGTCTTCTCGCGCCCTCCACCTTGGGAACGTCTATCAGGAGAAAAATGTGTTCCTAGAAACGTTTGCGATTAGCTTTTCGTTACAAGGGAGGGAAAAGTACAAAAGTTATAAACTCCTGCGAGGCCGAGCTTGATTCTGGATTCCCTTTGGGTTTTATCCACGCAGCCGTGAGCAGAGGAGCCTTGTGGAACAAAGTAGAACTTGAGGAGCAGCCGCCGCGGTGACGAGGTCCCAGGATGACGTCACCGTGCGATATTTAAAATGGGAGCCTTTTGCTCTGAGTGTGGGTGGAGGACGCCTACTTACTCAAGACGCCTGAGGTCTTCTTGGCCCTGCTTGCCTCTGGTGGTTCTTGCCCTGACTGTAACTCTCCCTCTTTCACCTTTTGGTACTCCTAGAATACTGGTGGGAGTGGGCTTATTTTTCAGCTGTTCGAGCTATCATTTCTTCAAACGGGGAAAACAAAAGTCCAAATGAGTCATCTTGTGTTACAACCAAAAGCAACCACTAAGTGGTTCTTTCCTTCTTTTCTATTTTTTTATATGAAGCAGAGCAAACAGAAACAAATCCAGAACTCAGATATGTGGCACATAGTTGGCAAATGTAATGAATGAGGAGAAAGATCTAGTTAAAAGATTCAGTACATTTCTTTAGTGTGGTTCCTTGTTTGCTTTGCTGGAGTGGAGGCTAATGTAGTTCCATCAGCAAAACTTTCTTCCCAACCCGTATATTAAATTGCCTTGGGTTTTCTTTTCCATCGTATCGTGGTGGAATATAAACGTAGCTTTACAAAGTGGAAATGGCTTACATTTTTCAGGAGGAGGCTGCACAGCAGTCGTGGTGGGCTGGGGTTATGTATACGTGTACACTCGTGTGTGGACCCATGCCCGGTGCCTGCTAGCTGGCTGTAGAAGGTGAATTTCTCATTCTAGGGTTCTGGGAGGAAGATTTGTGTGCCTTCCCCTCCATCAGGCTATCTGCGGCTGCCAGCACACCTCTCAGATAACTGTGTAGAATTTATTTCACAGTGAGGTTCCTTGTTTGAATTTGCACTTGGAATAAAGGAGTCATATTCTGAAGAGAGACTGAAAGAGCAGTTTGAGAAAAGAAAGCTAACAATCAGCTTTATTTTTTTGGAAATGTGGGAACACAAACTACTGCTAGGTTAGTTGTTTTTATGCTAAACATAGCAGAGGCTGTATGTTTTTAATACGTAATTGGCTCCCAAAAAGGTGATGTTGCTTACTAAAGGCAGCATCTTAATAACTCCAGGTTACAGCAGCCAGATGAATGAGCTCACTGAGTAGAGACAACATACATCAAAACAATCTTAGGACAAGGGTTTGCCCTTAAGGATTAATCAATGATAAATCAGATATACCATTTTTAAAGTCCTTTGAGGCAATCCAAAATGTAGCTAAATCTCTGATTATTTCTTTTAGTTTGTTTTTCTGCGGGTGACCTGAATTTCCATTTCTTAAATATGTCCTGATAGATCCACTAGTTTTTGTGTCTCTTAACTTGTGGATAAATGTATCTCTCTTCCTGAAAGAGTACTTTCGGAAAGTCAATGCTGAAATTTTTTATGTAGAACAGTTTTGGGATTTAATTTATATACCATGCAATTCACCCATTTAAAATGTACAGTTCAATGGTTTTAGTATATTCACAAAGTTGTACAACCATTACTATAGTGAAATTTAGTAAATATTTTTATCACCTCAAAAAGTAACCCTGTACTTATTAGCAATGCTCCTTTTCTTGGTTTCCCACTTCCCCGTAGGCCACTAATCTGTCTTCTGTCTATATAGATTTGCTTATTCTGGATATTTCATATCAATGGAATCGTACAATATGTGGTCATTTGTGACTGGCTTCTTTCCCTTAGTGTGATGTATTCAAGGTTCACCCATGTTGTAGCTTATATTAGTACTCATTCGTTTTAACTGCTGAATAATATTCCATTACATGTATATACCACAGTATTTGTCCATTCCTTAATTGGTAAACATATAGATTGTTTTTACTTTTTAGCTATTATGAATACTGCTGTGGGCATTTCTGTGTTCAAGGTTCACCCATATTGTAGCTTGTATTAGTACTCATTCCTTTTCATTGCTGAATAATATTCCATACGTGTGTATAACACAGTATTTGTCCATTCTTTAGTTGGTAAACATATTGTTTTCACTTTTTAGCTATTATGAATACTGCTATGGGCATTTCTGTACAAGGTTTTGGTGTGGACATATGTTTTCATTTCTCTTGGGCAAATAGAAGTAGAATTGGCCGTGTCATATGATAACTCTGTGTTTAACCTTTCTAGGAACTGCCGAACTTTTCTGTTATAAAATAGCTCTACAGTTCTAGATTTTAAAGTAGACTTTTTTTATGTTTTAAAGTTCAAATCATTTCACAGAATTTTAAACTTAGATTATTGCAGCTAAATATTGACACACACAGTAACATCTATGTCGTATCATTTATTATAGTGCTTCTCTTTTACTGATAGGTGTGGTTTTATTTTAGCCAACAGGAGCAACGTGCTATCTTTATGGAATTTCTTCATGAAGCTAAGTGATAAGATTTTTAAGTAGTATTTTATAATAAGGCCTTTATGGCATAAAGATAAGTAGATTGTTCTCTACTTCAGATATAAGCCAAAGAAATACAAGATAAAATTGGAAGGAGGAAGGGGAGAGCTGTAAAGGAGGTATATCTTACAGAGCTTCATCTTCCCAGTTTTTATATTTTGTTTTTCTGAGAAAACATGTTTTATCTTTGCAGGGAAAAAAATGAAGAATGAAATTGCTGCCGTTGTCTTCTTTTTCACAAGGCTAGTTCGAAAACATGATAAGTTGAAAAAAGAGGCAGTTGAGAGGTTTGCTGAGAAATTGACCCTAATACTTCAAGAAAAATATAAAAATCACTGGTATCCAGAAAAACCATCGAAAGGACAGGCCTACAGGTAAAGGATTAGATTGGATTAAGCAGAGGCTGATCAACCCCTGAGGTGGGTTCAAGGCCGGATGATTGAAGGGTGTGCAGACCATGCCTACAGGTGTTTCATCTGCAAAATATAGAACTCTGGGGTGTTTGTATATTTTCTCCTTACTCATTTTAAAACAAGTATTTGTTGGCGGAGTGGTGGAGTCCCACTGCCTGGACACAGGAGGCCAATGCTATGGGGTCAAAGGAGTTAGTCTTTTGTGGTTATAGCCTGGCTCCTAACAGTGCATTTCTGTTTATCACAAATACTTAGGGATTTTCACAATTCTAGAGGACCCCTAATAACACATTAATGGGCATGGTAGGAGTTGAAAGAAGTGAATCTTGCATCTAAAAGTAAATTACATGTTATATGTTCTTTGAAAAAAAAAAAAGTATGGAAAAAGGGAACTAAGATTATCAGACACCTGATATGTCGTTAATACAAGAATAATCTCATTTATATATTTGTGGTAGAAGTCAGTGTAACTATTTTCTAGATGAATGTGACTCACCTGTGATCCACGACTAGTAAATAATGGCTCTGGGATTTGCTTTTCTGGGAGTTTTTTTTTTTTGTGGTATTGTTTTTGCTCTGTCACCCAGTCTAGAGTGCAGTGGTATAACCATAGCTCACTGCAGCCTCAAACTCCTGGGCTCAAGCAATCCTACTGCCTCAGACTCCAAAGTAGCTAGGATTATAGACATGTGCCAACACACCAGGCTAATTTAAAAACAAATTTTTTTTTGTATAGATGGGATCTTGCTGTGTTACCCAGGTGAGTTTCAAACTCCTGGCCTCACGCGATCTTCTCCCTTTGCCTCCCAGAATGTGAGGATTACAGGCGTGAGCCACCATGCCTGGCCAAGGTTCTGGGATTTGAACTCAGGTCTACATGACCCCATGTTTTCATGGGCTTTCTGCACACCACAGTGTTACCACTGTTTTGGCACTGAGAACGAAGGTAATTCTCACTTGGAGCTGTCTTTTGTACTCTGCTGTATAAGGTACATTTACAGCTTAAAGTAAAGAAGAGCAGACTCCTATAAAACATGCCCTGGCATGCTCACTGTAGTATTTATGTGACTGCTCAGGAACCTCAGTTGAGAATGTTCTGCTAAACTCAGCTGCCAAACATTGTCCCATTTTGTGGATGTGGCCACGAGAAATAAAAGTGGAACAGTGACTATAGTGATAACTACAGAAATACTCTTTTATTTGTGTATATTGATGTCCCCAAAGTTTCCTACACAAATCAACACTTTGTGCTTTGATGTCAGAAGGACTTCCTTTCTGCCACTGGGCTCTTGCAAGTACAGCACTATTCAAGGAGTCTAAAAAGGAGGTAAACATATTATTTGCTAATTTCTCATGTACTGAAAGTCAAGTGAGCTTGTGTTCTATTGACAAGAAGAGAATCAAAATAGTTTATTTTCCTTTTCATTTTTAATCCAAAGAGGTTTCCAGTAAATTGGAAAATGAATTAAAATAGAAATGTGCACGCTAACACAGGCTCAAGTCATTTTTTATCTTATCTCTTGATTATCTTAATTTTTTTTTTGCATATTTTCATTTCCAATAGAGTGAACAGCTTTCGTTAAGTTAGAACTGTTGAGGCTTTTTACTCTGATTTAACTGACATTGGATGAAGGCTTTTTGGAAGTGCCAAGCCACCATACTATTACTGAAAAAGGAGGCACTGTCAAGTAAATATTTAAAGGTCAGACAGTGTACAATTTCATTTCCATTAATTCTAAAAACTTGAGAAAAAAACTGAAACGATTAAATTGGCATGTGATCAGAAGTATCATTACTGAGTCATTTTAAAGCTGTATTTGAAGTAGAAAAAATAGTGGGTTGTTACTATTATAAAAATGAATAGAATATAAGATTAACCAAGTTAGTAGAGACTTCAGTCTGTAGAATAGGTGGAGTGTTCTTTCTCTTACAAAATGTTTGTAAGTTGAAATTGTTTTTCTGCAATATAAATAAGATACTTGTAGAGAGCAATTTGGCAATATTATCAAGATCTATAAAAATATTCATACCTTTTGAACAGTAAGTCTCCCAAGAATCTATTCTAGAAGTATAATTAGAAATGCAGACGAACATGTATGAATATGGATGTCTCTTACACTTTGTAATTGCAAAAATGGAAAGAACTAAACTGTCAACATTAAGTAAATGATAGAATATTTTTATGCAACTTTTAAAATTTTGTTTTTGAAGAGTAGTTAATGGATAAGTAGTATGTAGAGTGAAAAAAAATAGTACAAAACATGTAAGGTATGCAGATTTTGTTGAAGCATAGTCTCTGTTTAAGCATCTATATTTATATATAATTTGTAAGCTTAGAGCCTGTATCACCTTAATTGTAGATAAGAAAAACACATACATCTAAGATATATCTTTTTATCCTTAACTGCTTTTGGTCCCAGAGCACATGGGATCTTTCAAATTACCCTATACAATATTAGAATCTATAGCATAAGACCATGTTTTTAAAAGGACTAAGCAGTATTTTACATACTAGAAAATAATTTTTCTCACTTTGCCTTTGTTATATTGTTAATGGTGACGCTAAGATAGGTACGTATATACAGGGTTGAGTATTAAGGAAATAACTTGCTCTTTGGAGTCTAGTGGCCTGGATTTGAACCCTAGATCCATCACTTAGTAGCTGTGTAATGTTGGGAAGTTACTCAAACTCTCTCTGCCTCCTTTTTTCTTTATGCTGAGGAAAAAAGTATCTAACTCACAGGATGATCATGAGAATTAAGAGTTAATACATGCAAAGCATTTAGGAAATTGTCCATTGCATAATAAATTTTTTAAAATGCTTATTATTGTTAATATTATTATGTAGAAACACTTATTCCTATTACCTGTTGAGAACTTTTTCATTTTTTAAATAGAAATTAAAACCAACTAATAATTTAACTTTTACAAAAACTTTAAATAGCACATTAGTCTTTATATCATTGTATTTTACAGCGTAATTACTATTCATCAATTAACTTGTATTTCCATGTTTTATAGTTACAGGTCTGAGGAAGAGGTACAGTGACTTAACTAGGCTTACCTGATAAATACTAGGATTAGTGCTGAAATCCAAGTTCTCTTGATTGATTCTTGATTGTAGGCAGTAAATACTTTTCCTTCATAGGCCCTATTTCCCTACTTAATCAGAATGCTTATCATTTAACAGAATGCATATTTTTTATTTATTAAACATTCCATTAGGTAGATGTCGTATAATAGGTTAAAAAAAGATGGGACAGAGGCTTTATTGGTTTAGAAATTTTCCTCACTTAATTTTGACAACTATTTAAATAAAAGTGCTTGGGTAAATAGAAGTTAAATGAAATAAGCCAATAACATGTTAGTTAGGTATTTTAATCATAAGTATATGATATGAATGAATCTGTGTCCTTCACTTATCCTGTATTTATAGAACAATTATAGGTAAAGCAAGGGTGTCCTCTTACCACTTTACTATCTGAGATATAAAAGCAAGTTAATGACAGATCAGAATTTGTCGTAAGCATTTCCAAATACCATCTGAAACATTAGATGAGGCCTTTTGTTAGAGATTTTTTTGTATAGGAACTTGGCCTATAGAAACTTTTACCTTCAGAGTTCTAAAATTTCGTGCAACTTTCATACTCCGTGCTCATTTAATGTACATGGGTGGTCAAGTCTCTGGGTAGACTGAGGTAGACCCAGTACTAGTGATTTCCTTGGGCTCACATAGGTGCCATCTTTTTTTCAGGCTGCCTCTGTGCCTGTAGTTCACATTTATTATCTGTTTAGGATAGATATGCTCCTAGGTTCTCTACCAGGGTATTTTTTTATTACTATTTTATTACTCACCTTGGCAAGTATGAATAGATATTACGGCGTTTATGATTAAATTCATTTAAATCCATTAACGTAACTCCACTTTGTTGTAGATGTATTCGTGTCAATAAATTTCAGAGAGTTGATCCTGATGTCCTGAAAGCCTGTGAAAACAGCTGCATCTTGTATAGTGACCTGGGCTTGCCAAAGGAGCTCACTCTCTGGGTGGACCCATGTGAGGTGTGCTGTCGGTGAGTTCTCAAGTTTAGAGGCTGAACTGATGACCATGCTGGAACTAATTTTATGACATTCTGTCATGTACGGCCTGCCTGTGTATCTTTATGGCCAGGAGCTGGTGGTTTAACTCTCTCAGATGTAAATTTTATGAAATACTTTTCTGGAGGTGATGTTGAAGGACTAGTTAGATTTCTGCTTTATAGCCGAAAAAAGAAACTGATTAGGCGGGGGTTTTCTAGTAGTGCTTTGCCAAGAAGCTTATTGTAGACCAAGAAGTAGACACCTAGATTCCGCTAGGTGTCTATTATCTTTAATTGGTGGTGCACTTGTCTGTCTTCAAATTAAGAAGCTAATCCCAAATAATACTGGATAACCACTTTTGGTTTGTTTCTGTTTCTGTTTATTCTCCCTCTCTCCTCTTTTTTTTTGGGACGGAGTTTCACTCTTGTTGCCCAGGCTGGAGCGCAATGGTGCATTCTTGGCTGTCTGCAACCTCTGCCTGCCGGGTTCAAGTGATTCTCCTGCCTCAGCCTCCTGAGTAGCTGGAATTACAGGCGCCCACCACTGTGCCCGGCTAATTTTTTTTTATATTTGTAGTAGAGATGGGGTTTCACCATGTTGGCCAGACTGCTCTCAAACTCCTGACCTCGTGATCCGCCCGCCTTGGCCTCCCAAAGCGCTGGATTACAGGCGTGAGCCACTGCGCCCGGCCTCCTCCTTTTTGATTATGTAAGTGACTGAGTGATACTTCGTGGTTTTATTTTTATAATGGAAGTTATTTTTCACATCTCCTAATGAATAGAGTTGTGAAAGATCAGTGCTAGGTATGAAATCTTTTTGAACTCCACTTGCTCAAAAACCATTATTTGTGGACCAGGCACTCTCAGTTGTAGGGTTTTCAAAAACGAAAGCAACATTCTGCTTTTAGGTAATTCAGTTTGAAATTGAGAAGAAAAGTAAGCAAATTACATTGTTATCTGATTTATGTTAGAAATGTGTACAAAATGCAGTGGTAGGTTGCACAAAGTAGAAAGTTACTGCATCTGGTGAGGAGTCAGGAGACTACTGAGTAGGTGATACTTGAGCTGGGAGGTGAAGGATGAGCCATGGTTGACCAGGTGACAAGGTGGGAAGGATGTTCTAACTAGCAGGAAGAAGATGAACAGAGGCATGGAATTCCTGCAAGAATTTTCCTGTGGCTCTGCCTTTAGGATGTTTCTATTTGGTTTTGAGGTACAATTCACCTGACCACCTGGCCTCTTTATTGATTGTAGTAAAGTTGCTTTTTGAAGGAACCCTAACTATGTACTCCTAAGGTGGTCGCAGACTGACCTGATTCCAGCAATGAAGGTGGAGGTGAAGACAGGAGAGATGAATTACATGATTATTCTTCCATTAAATTTTGTCAGGACCACCGCTTGAGGTTACTACCTGATTTGCCAGTGGTTGGTGTAAGTTTATTGCTTTTGGAAACCAGATGTAGGTGGTAGAGGTTTGTGATAAACATTCTCCAATACTTCTTTCTCGGGTAGAAAAGGAGCAAGCTATCTCAAATTTAGGTCTGAGAAAATAAACATTTTTAGATTCTGGGACTAATTAAGGACCTGCTTTAGGCTAGTTTCAGACTTGGAAAACTTTGGCCACTGAACCTGTGCAGAAGACCTCCATTTATAAGAAATAGCTGTCAAAAAGCTACTATATTGAATTGTTTACTTTTTAATTTGACCTGCACTTAGATCCTAGTTGGCTCCTATTTAACACACAGTTAAGTTAGTTGTGTGGTTTCTTAACCCATGAAATGTGAGAAGCAGCATTTTAAAGAGGGTTGATGAGTCAGACGCTACCAAAAAATGTCATGTGGTCTGACATAGAGGCAAAAATGAAAAAGCTAAAAAATCAGCACGATTATGTTATCACACAATCAAATAGTTTACGTTCAATATAATGATCCTAAACCATCAGGGGAAAGTTTTTATGTCCAAGGATGTTTAACAAGTTACATAATTATATAAACATTTTGGACCTATGTATTTAAAATGCTTAAAATAAGTCTCAGTACCTGAACATAAAAACTTTAGTTATACGGACATTCTACTTCAGTAGACATTTCATTACTTGATGATGCCTGGTAGGAAAAAACTGCTACTTTGCTTTCATCTTATTAATCTTAGAAAACCTTTTCATTCAGTAGGCTTCTAATTTATATGTAAATTTGCCAAAAATTGGCTCTGATGTGATTTTTTTCACAGCTAATAGAAATCACCTGCGAGTGTCAGGTGTTCATTCAATAACAGAACCCCAAAAAGAAAGACGTATTAATCGTTTAGTAGAGGTGGTTGATATAAGTTAACAGAAGAAAAAGACATTGAGAAATATTTTTTCACCAAAACTGGAAACATAGATATTTTGAAAATTAAAGCTGATCTAGCAAGTATACAATTGATCAAATATCTGAGAATCTTTAAAAATAATAACTCATTGGTATACTAGAGACTAAGATTGTAAAAAAAAATTGAGATGCACTGAGAACATTCTTCATAGTCTTCACTTACTCTGATAGAATAAAATGCTGCAAGAGTACAAAGAGTGCCATATAGTTAGAAAGGTTATCACTTCGTGATACAGAATAGAAAATAAATCTTGCCTATGATGAGAAGTTCTGAGAACAGATGCCAGCTTATCTACTCAACATATTTTACAACTTTTTTTTTTTTTGGTGATTTCTGCCATCCTTTTTTTCCCCCAATAGAGTGTTAAATACTATTGATTGTTTCTAAATAACTAAATTAGCCTTGATGTTTTATCAGTGATCATTGAAAAATGGAAAGTTTAAAAGTTGTCCAGGTGTCTACTAATTCTCCTAAGATATCGACTGCACATTGTAATGTTATAGTAGTATAGTCAGCAGCTTCTCTTACCATGAAGAGAGAGCCTTCATACCAAAATAGTACAAAGGGAAAAATGCAGAACCAAACTAGGTGTCAAAGAAATCTGAGTTAATAATGCTGATCCTTCAATCATTAGATATTTGCCCTTGGTTGAGGTTTCTGTTTACAAAGGCAGGAATTTTTCTCAAATTTCTTGCCTTTCCATTTTTGAATTTTGATTCCATTAATGGGCAAAACTGAAGATAGGCCTAAGTCATTGTTATATTAGTGTCATTAACACATGAATTAACCCTTGATTGTCTTGAAATTTGTTGAGTCTTCCAACTGTGGAGGGGACATGGAGTAAATGTGTATTGCTAAAACCTTATGCTAAGTAAACTTGAAATTAGAGAACACAAATTTTATGTTGTGAGGAACTCAATTGTTTAGGAATTTATTTTTTGTTTGTTTTGTTTTGTTTTAGAGAGAGGGTCTTGCTGTGTTGTCCAGGCTGGAATGCGGTGGCATGATCATAGCTCACTATAATTGTGAACTCCTGGGCTCAAGCAATCTTCCTGCCTTGACCTTCCAAAGTACTAGAATTATAGATGTAAGCTACCATGTCCAGCTTCTGTTTAGGTATTTTATACTACGAAGAGTCACCAGCCGTAGATCAACCACTATCTAGCCAGCTCCAGCTTCCTCGTCCAGCATATAGGAAACTAAGGCCTAGGGAAATTAAGTGACTTGCCTCTGGTGACCAAGCTAGTCAGTGGCAGAGCCAGAATGAGAAACTAGTCTAATGCCCTTTCTACCATCCCGTAGCAACTTTTTTTTTTTTTTTGAGACGGAGTCTCACTCTGTCGCCCAGGCTGGAGTGCAGTGGTGCGATCTCAGCTCACTGCAACCTCTGCCTCCCAGGTTCAAGCAATTCTCCTGCCTCAGCCTCCCGAGTAGCTGGGATTACAGGCGCACACCACCATGCCCGGCTAATTTTTTGTATTTTTAGTAGAGACAGGGTTTCACCATGTTGGCCAGGCTGGCCTCGAACGCCTGACCTCATGATCCACCCGCCTTGGCCTCCCAAAGTGCTGGGATTACAGGCATGAGCCACCGCGCCCAGCCCCTGTAGCAACTTTTATGAGGTAAACTAAAAAAGAATACAAAAGCGAAGTTATGTACTATATTTAAGTAGTATTTATAGTTTCATTTGGCCTATAGGAATGGAAGACAGCATAGCTATCTGAAGAAATAGAACTCATCTATGTGTGATCTCTGAGACTGCTAGATTTCCACATACATTTTCTTTTCTGTTTTTTTAATTTTTTGTTCTTGTTTTTTTGTTTTTTTGAGAGACAGGGTCTCACCATGTTACCCAGACTGGTCTCAAATTCCTGGGCTCAAGCAGTCTGCCCACCTAGGCCTCCTGAAGTGCTGGAATTACAGGTGTAAGCCACTGCACCCAGCCTCATGTACATTTTCAAAGGCTTTATAGCAGTTAAGCCTTTTACTTTATAATAGATAACCATTCTGATTCAGAAATAATTTGAGACGAGTGCTATCTTGAAATGAATTAACTTCAGCTAACTATTGAATCAAAAGCTTGACATTATTTCTACTTAGAGTTACTTATTTTTATCTTTTTTCAAACTTAGAATCACTTTAATTACATTTCTAACTGTATGTGTTTTGTAAGAACCGCTTAACAATATCCTTTGTCCTGATGCTAGAAATTGTTTGATAGTGTTGACACTGTGCAATCTATTTAAATAGATTTGTGGATTTCTCCTATGTCCACTGAATAAAAACTCTTGGTTTTACTTGAGTTTATTACACTATTTTCCTACAGTTCAGAATTTTTTTTTAAGTAACCAGCAGCATATGTTACATATTTTGACAACTTAAAAAAAATCAAAAATCTTCAAAAATGTTTTGGAAGAATAACAAGATTTTTTCATCTTACCTTAAAAAAAATTAAGATGAGAGGTGAGTAGTTATCCTAGGAAACTCTGAAGTAAGCAATATAATTTAAGCAAAACCTCTATATTCTTCAACAACTATCTTTTTTCTTTAATCTCAATAACTGCCTCAGTTCTCATTTTTGTGAGTATAAATAACAGGCCCCCTTTTTTATTTAATTGGGGTTAAAGTCAATTTTATAGGAAATTTCTAGTTGATCTGTGACTTGAATTACTAGCATATATGTTACATTTATAAGTACAGCTGGGGCTGGGCGTGATGGCTCACGCCTATAAACCCAGCACTTTGGGAGGCCGAGGCGGGTGGATCACCTGAGGTCAGGAGTTCAAGACCAGCCTGGCCAGCATGGTGAAACCTCATCTCTACTAAAAATACAAAAATTAGCTGGGCGTGGTGGTGGGCACCTGTAATCCCAGCTACTTAGGAGGCTGAGGCAGGAGAATCACTTGAACACCTGGGAGGTGGAGATTGTAGTGGGCCGAGATTGCACCCATTGCACTCCAGCCTGGGCAACAGAGTGAGACTCCGTCTCAAAAAAAAAAAAAAAAAAATCAGCCAGTGGCGCATGCCTGTAATTCTAGCACTTTGGGTAGCTGAAGTGGGTGGATCTCTTGAGCCTAGGAGTTTGGGACCAGCCTCAGCAACATGGTGAAACCCTGTCTCTAAAAATGTATATAAATTAGCTGAGCATGGTGGTACACTCCTGTAGTCCCAGCCTCTTGGGAGGTTTGAAGTTGGAGGATCGATCACCTGAGCCCAGGAGGTAGAGTCTGCAGTGAGTTGTGATTGTGCCACTGCACTCCAGCCTGGGCAACAGAGTGAAACCCATCTCAAAAAAATAAAAATACATCAGAATGTTTTATTGTACAACCAATTTCATTGGTACATACAAAAATGTAATCAAAACAATGGACTTTTTTTGATGTTTTAAACAATTTTTTTTTTAGGAATTAGTAGAAAGAAAATAAGGGAAAGAAAATGGGGTTATGTTTATGAATACTTAAATAGACCAGAAGTAGAAAACTGTGGTTTGCTTGCTGGCATTGAGCTGTATTAGGATATTAAATGTGTAGGGTCAAGTTCTGTGATGATTCAATCTTTGCCTTGTATTGATGGCATGTCCAGATCTCTTTGTTTTTATGGACATTTTTTGCTTTGCTGATGTGACTTCAAGATTTGTAAGTTTTTAATTTTATTCTTAGGTATGGAGAGAAAAACAATGCATTCATTGTTGCCAGCTTTGAAAATAAAGATGAGAACAAGGATGAGATCTCCAGGAAAGTTACCAGGGCCCTTGATAAGGTTACCTCTGATTATCATTCAGGATCCTCTTCTTCAGATGAAGAAACAAGTAAGGAAATGGAAGTGAAACCCAGTTCGGTGACTGCAGCCGCAAGTCCTGTGTACCAGGTAACCATGAAAACAGCTCAGTTTTAAAGGGATGTGCAGGGATTGCCAGGACCTTTCAGGTAGTCCTACTTGGCATTGCCCAAGGTTTCTGACTTGAGATTCTGGATAATAGTTCTTGCCTTTCCCCATGCTAAGGGAAAGCTGTTTCTCTGGCACGTAAATAGGCATCCTGAGTCATTTTATCAAAGGTCAGCTTCACTATACAATAACTAGGATAAATATATTTCAGAAAAATTGGCAAAAAGTAGAAAATTCATGATGGTAAAACATTCCTGATATTTTAAAATCTCATTCAAAAGTTACCACTTATTTTTTGTAGTATGTAACACTTTGTTTTGTACCTTTGGGTTTAACTTTCTATTCTCTCCCGTTCCATGATTAAAGAGAAACCTCTCTAAATTTATTATATTATAATTAATATTTTACTCAAGCTGAAACATTGTCTCCCTTTTTGCTTTACTAGTTGAAAAGTCATATAGCTAGTGTGCCTGCACTTACAGATCCATTCACTGATTTACTATTTATATCTACATACCAAAGAACATTTAATCGACTTTAAAAAATTGTTGACCAAACAGCATTCTTCAACAGGAAAGATATTTTAAAGTCATAACAATTTAAAGAGATTTTTTGAGTTGAGCCTTATTCTGTAAATGTACTTATTACTAATTTTTAAAGGTTATCTATTTTTACTTACTTGCTTTGATTAAATGTGAAACATACCAGGTTTGTGGTAAGGTTGAGCTGAAAATGAAAATTTAGACCTAATGAGTAAGAAGCAGAATATTGGAGCTTTTAGTATGATAAACTAAACTTTTAAATTCAGCATACATTTACATAATGAACATTATTTCAGTGTAACTTAATTTTTGGTTTTCTCATTTTTTTCTCAGTTGAATTATTCTTCCTAGACTTTAGGGGAAGATTATTTCTGAAGATTATCATAATTTAGGATTCTATGTATATGTGTATGTATATGTATATGTATATAACATGTACCTGGCTTTATGAAACTTCAAACAGTACAAGACAGTATAATAGTGAGAAGTCCTCTTTCTCCCCAACCACCAGTCCCTATGCATTTCCACAGAGACATTCATTACCAGGTTTTTTTTTCTTTTTTTTAGTATCCTTCCAGAGACATTCCCTATATAAATAAGTAAACATAGTATTTGTACTTCAGGATCATTTTTAAAAACCTTGCCATAAATATTTGAGGCATTTTTTTTCTCTGTGTGATGGATTATATATTGCAAATTAGGTATATTGAATTTTCTGGAATTCATCCAAATGTGTGGCAATTTTACCTCAGAATTTTATTTGTTGTTAAGCAAGAATGTAAGTCTCAAATTAAATTGATTGCTGCTAATTTTTTACAAGCAAATTAACCTTTAATTTTTAGGATTTCTTTTAAAATTAAATTGCATTTATTTTCCCTCATGTTGAAAGACTATTAGGATAACAGAAAGGTATGGAAATTGAGGTGTCTCTTACGTGCTTTTTAAGGAAAACATTTCTCCTTGGCCTAATACTCATTAGCAAAACATTTTATAATAGAGAAACACTACTTGTGTGAAAGCTAGTGCAAATGGCCCACTTTGATTTTCTTCTTTCTAGTATCTTGAATCTGGCATTGCCACAAGCTTTAAAAAAGTTTTATCAAATAAGGACAACAAAATTTCTAGCTTGGAATTTTTGTTCTCTACTGTTTTCTAAAAGGTATCCCAAGAGAGGGGATAAAGAATTATTCATATCTTAAAAAACGAAGAAATGAAGATTGTGTCAGTTCTCCTGAAATAGATCTGTAGATCCAATTCAGTATCAATGAACATCTTAAAAGGTTTTTTTCTGGAAAGTGACAAATTGATTCAAAATTTTAAAAAAGGAGGATCAGTTGGAGGGCTCACACTAATTCAAAGCTATTATATATTCATCAAGACAGTGTGGTAATGGTTTAAAAACATACAAATATATTGATGGCACAGGATAGAGAGTCCAGAAGTAGACCCACATACATACAGTTAGTCTTTTTTCTCCCTTTTAACAAAAGTGCCAAAGCAATTCAATGGGGAAAGTCTTCAAGAACTTGTGCTGAAACAACTGGATGATCTGTGTAGGAAAAAAAACGAACCTAACTTAGCTGACACCATACACAAAAATATTGATTTGAGATGGATTGTGTACCTAGACATAAAAGATAAATCTCTGACGCTTTTAGAAGAAAACATAGGGAAATATAATCTTTATTTTGTGACAGGCAAATATTTCCTCTAGAGGGTCACAAAAAGTAACTAATAAGGGAAAAAAATTGACAAACTGGACTTCATCAAAATTAATCATCTTTTTGTTCATCAAAGAAACCATTAAGAAAATGGGCAAACCATAGACTAGGACAAAATATTCTCATTACATATATCTGTAAAGGACTTATTTCCAGAATATACTTTTTTTAAAATCGCTCACAAATCACTAGTAAAAGGTAAATGATTCAATGAAAAATAATGGGCATATCCTGCTGTAATCTCAAAAAAAGGGCAGGAGGAGCAAAAGATGTGAATAAACACTTTACAAAAGGAGTTATGTGAATGGCCTCATTTATGATCAGAGGAATGCAGATTAAATCCATATGAAACACTAGTTCTTCCAGAACTGCACAATTTAAAAGCCTGACAGCATGAAATGTTAGCAAGGATGTGAAGCAGCTAGATTCATAAACTTGCTAGTCATGTAAAATAGTACCACTACTTTGGAAAACTGGAACTTTTTAACGTTAAATGTGTAACTCTTCTATTACTCAGCAGTTCCACTCCTAAGTATTAAATATTTACCAAAAGAAACGAAAATATGCCTATAAAGCCTTCTATTAGAATTAACTGTGCTGTTATTCATTGCAGCATTGTTTTGTTCGTTGTGTATCATTGTTTTTTTAATAGTAAGAGACTGAAAACAGCCTCAATGTCCCATTACTAGGAGACCATTTAATTTATAGTCATTGCTATACTATCTAGCTGTAGAAAAATGAGAAGGATCTTTATGTATTGATATGTTTCTGAAATGTATTATTATGAAATGTAAAAAGCAGGATACAATCCAGTATACATATATATTTTTAAAGTGTGTATAGATGTGGATAGAATATCTCTAAAGGTATATTTAAAAAAATGTTTGGTGTCAGTTGCCCTTGAGAAGGGTTAAGATAAAGAAGATAAAGGGTGAGATAAAAAAAGAGGGACTTTCCACAGTTTACCCTTTTGTACTTTTTGAATTTTCTATCATGAATGCAATGCTATACACAATATAATTTTTTTAAAAAAATCCTATACTTAGAAATGCAGATTTGAGATCAGCAAAATCAGAAATTTAAGAAGATGTGGCATTCTAAGCAGAGAGGTCTAAAACTGCTGATAAGAACACTTTGAATAATGTGAACCTGACGTGCCCACCTGATTTATGGGATAATCTAAAACTATTATTCCCAAATACTAAACTGGCTACATCAGAATCACCTGGGGAGCTTTGTCAAAATACCTGGCCTCTAGTTCTGAGATTTTATTATTGTTCATTAGACCAGTGCTAGGGCATGAATGTTTTGTGTTTATCTTTTTTTTTTTTTAACTTTTATTTTAGGTTTAGGGATACACATGAAGGTTTGTTCCATAGGTAAACATGTGTCACAGGGATTTGTTGTACATATTATTTCATCACCCAGGTGTGAAGCCCAGTACTCAATAGTTATCTTTTCTGCTCCTTTTCCTTCTCCCACCCTCCCCTCTCAAATAGACTCCAATGTCTATTGTTTCCTTCTTTGTGTTCATAAGTTCTTATCATTACCTCCCACTTATAAGTGAGAACATGCGGTAGTTGATTTTCTGTTTCTGCATTAGTTTGCTAAGGATAATGGCCTCCAGCTCCAATGTTTTGTATTTAAAAGCCTCCAAGTGACTCCTGGCTTAGCCAGCTGTGGAAACCACTGGACTAAAACAAGCATGTCCTTACAAGCTTCCATTCGTTCCATGTTTTGGTCTTTTTTGGTTGAAGTTGTTTAGGAAGTACTGTGTTTGAGTTTATTCATTTCTTTATGCATTCAGAAAACATTGGTCACCTGTTATACATTATACGCCTATTACACATGAGGTTTTTAATGTATTTAGACCTGACAATAGGAGTGTCACTTAGATGTGATCTCAGTGTTGTGGGTAACTTTGTTTGTCTTTAATGAGAAATCTGGAACATAGATGATGATTTTTTCCTTTGAATTAACTTAATGTGTTCTCTTCCCTACAGATTTCAGAACTTATATTTCCACCTCTTCCAATGTGGCACCCTTTGCCCAGAAAAAAGCCAGGAATGTATCGAGGGAATGGCCATCAGAATCACTATCCTCCTCCTGTTCCATTTGGTTATCCAAATCAGGGAAGAAAAAATAAACCATATCGCCCAATTCCAGTGACATGGGTACCTCCTCCTGGAATGCATTGTGACCGGAATCACTGGATTAATCCTCACATGTTAGCACCTCACTAACTTCGTTTTTGATTGTGTTGGTGTCATGTTGAGAAAAAGGTAGAATAAACCTTACTACACATTAAAAGTTAAAAGTTCTTACTAATAGTAGTGAAGTTAGATGGGCCAAACCATCAAACTTATTTTTATAGAAGTTATTGAGAATAATCTTTCTTAAAAAATATATGCACTTTAGATATTGATATAGTTTGAGAAATTTTATTAAAGTTAGTCAAGTGCCTAAGTTTTTAATATTGGACTTGAGTATTTATATATTGTGCATCAACTCTGTTGGATACGAGAACACTGTAGAAGTGGACGATTTGTTCTAGCACCTTTGAGAATTTACTTTATGGAGCGTATGTAAGTTATTTATATACAAGGAAATCTATTTTATGTCGTTGTTTAAGAGAATTGTGTGAAATCATGTAGTTGCAAATAAAAAATAGTTTGAGGCATGACAACGCGTGTTTCTGTTGTGTGCATAAAAGGGGAAAAGAACGGGTATTTCCCTTCAATGTATTTAACTAAATAGCAAAAACATTAAACAGAACGTAAGAATTTTAAAATTTCCTTTGAAAAATCAACTATTAACCATACTTTTCCTAAAAGACCACATATCAGAATATGCATATGAAAAGTTAAAAATTTGTTAGTGGTAGTTATTGAAAATATAATAAAACATCTTTTAACTATCAGTGTCACTATACATAGGGTTTTTTAACAAAGAATTTGGCTCGTACTAATTTTGACATGACATCTGACTTACATGTCTAATGCCATTGCATAAAGTAGATGTGTTCTTACAGCTGCTCTAATCTCTGTGCCTTGTGCTTTTTTTAAAAAACATTTAAGTCTTTACTAGAGGCCTAAAATAAAGTCAAATAATACAATACTTCAGATTCTTCAGTAGTCCATATTTATACAACTGTAATTCCATCAGTCTTGTAAGGGTACTTGAACTACAAAAAGAAAAAAAGAGATATCTCTATAAGAGTTTTGATTTTTCTCCAAAGGTAAATTTTTAAAAACTAAGATCAGCAATACTTTTTCCATCACCTTCATCTTTAAATTTGCAGTCTTAAATTATTTGACTTACCAGAAAAATCACAACTTGCTAATAAATCATTGAATGGCCATGGCTATTCCACAAATTATTGTTATTTTTAGGAAGATAAATTCTGTTGAAATACAAAACTGCACAAATCATAAAGGTATAGCTCAATAGTATGAAAATGTCAGTTTTTAAAGTTTGCAACTTCAGAAAACTCATTTTTAAACCTTAGAGACTTTTCTAGCTTTAATATTGTACTCTTTAAGCCATACACAATTTTAACATCTCTCTAAACCATATCTACTCTTTTCCTGAAATCTAGTGACTGCCTATTCAAACATGAGCATGTTTGTTTATTAGTGTCACAAGGGAGATGCGTTTTATCAATTTTTTTTAACCAAAGTTATTGAAAGAAAAAAAGGAAAAAAAAATTACTTTCAGAGTCATCACACTGCTTCCTTATGGGTCCTTGAGAGTTTTGTGGTGATAATGACAGATTTGTAGGTGATTGGCGTAAAGTTGGAAAGTTTCAAGTATTTTTATCATGAAGTTAGCAGACAGAATTTATTTATTGCTTTGCTTATGAGCAAATTGGTCCTCATCTGTAGGTTTTTCATCTGTATTTAACCATGTATGGAAAATACTCAAAAATTAAAAAAATACAAATTTTAAAATATAACTACATTGCATTAGGTATTATCTAGATTTAAAGGATGTACATAGGTTATATGCAAATACGAAGCCATTTTATATAAGGCACTTGAGCATCTGAGGATTTTGGTATCCAGGAGGGTCCTGGAACAAATCCTCCAAGGATACTGAGGGATGACTATATAGGTTTGTTGGGAAAATCAGAAGCATAATAGTGTAAAGAAGGAAGTGTTATTTTTGGCACATACCTAGTAGCCAGAACATTCCACGTTACTACAAAATCTCCTTAATTAGTTCTGACGATTAAATGACAGGGCCTCTTGGGGAAACCACTAGTTTTGAATTCAACTGCATACAGGTAGATGTTATTACTCATAGAAGATTCTGCCAGTGTTTCGACTACCCATCCTCCACCTTGTCCTGAAACTTATTTAGAGCAAAAGAAAGCTCTCATAAATATGGCTTTTCCAATCTATTCCTAATGAAATAAAACTGTCACTCAGCAACTGGGTCTTAAGTTCTAGCAAGCATGGGGTACAAAAGTTTGCCAAACCCTTTTTTAGTAGTAATTATGACTCTAGGTGCTTTGTTCTCTTAAGTTTGTCTCCCTTAGACAACTCCAAGGTGGCTCTTAAAACATGACTACATAATTTCAGCTTGAAAGCCTTATCGGGCTATTTCAAGCAGGAGTGGTTTATCACTGAACAATAATTTGTTTAAATTCTCCATTTTATTTTTGTATTTGTAGGCATAACTGCAAAGCTCTAAATTTTATAGGTTAAACTTGGATATTTGAAAAAAAAAGTTTTAGTAAGTTCTATCACATTAATACTAAAGCAGTGCTTATTTCTGGTTTATTAGTATAATATTTATCTCAAAGTATTTAACTTTTTAGTAAACTTCTGTGGTTCCAAGTTAAGATAATAAAGCATTTATGTTGACTTCTCAGCTAACAGAGGTATGTGTTAATTTCTTATTTTATGATTAGGAAGAGGGAAAAATACAAACACCTACCATGTACAGTTTATTGTGTAGCCATTCTGTCCATTTTACAGATAATAGTAAATAATTTTTTTAATTTTTATTACTACATGGCAACAACTTATTTAATCATCACAGCCTCAGGGGGTATGTACCATTATCATCCCAGTTAGATAAGGATTCCAGAGAAGTTAAAAATGCCCAAGATCACAGAAAACTAAATAATGAAGCTCTGACTTAAAACCCAGCTGGGCTTTTTTAAGGCCCATGCCATGGTACCTTGCCATCAGATTCATTTTGTTACCTATAAAATCTACCAAATCTTGAAACTTGTAAGAAGGTTCATTATCAGACCAAGATTTTTTTTAAAAAAAGGAACCAGTGCGAAGGTAAATTAATGAGAATATAAGACATTAAAGTATCTATTGATTAACCACTAATAAATCTTTGGCCAAGTTTCTTGTTACAAACTACTCAGATATATCTGAAGAGGGAGCTGGCTGATCATCTGATAGTAATTTTATTGCTGGAAATAGAAATTAAATTGCAATAAACAGTACAACCCAGTAGAGTGAAGACTGAGATGACAAAGCAAACTGTACCAATGACTTGTTACATGGAAAGATCACACATAATGAGTAGTAATTCCCAAGTCTGTCACAGTCTTTAACTTTTTTTTCTTACTTATCAGTTACTTGGCAATTTAACAGAGTGTACAACGTTAGTAAACTTTGTGCCAAATTTCTTCATATACTCTGGAATCTATTGCAATGGATGAAGCAATAACATTGTGAGGCTCTTACGGAAACACAACAATATCCCTGCATTGCATATGGCACTTTATGGCATTGACTCGTACTGCGAAGTTGTCACACAAGCACTCATGAGCACAAGGGAAGGCTCATGCAATTCCTCTTTAAAATATGTACATTTTATTCATTGCAGAAACCATCACCCACTTCCAAATTTAATAGCATTAGTCCATCTTCTATGTTCCTTTGTTCTTTCATGTATACTTTTAAGGGTAACATAAGGACAAAAGTGGAAGCATGTTTAACCCTTATCAAAAACAAATTCACCATTAAGACTTGTAGCAGATACATCACTGCAATTAGGGTAGTTTGATGTTTATTCTGTAAAGCACACAATCAGCACAAATAAAAGTACTGAATTTGTTTCTCCTATCAAAAAAAAAAAAATACCTAGCTACAAAAATTTCTTCCATAAAAGTTAAGAAACATAATCATGGGAGACTTTGTGTTTAAATTTCATAGGACTTAAAAATACTAATTATGATTTAGACAGCAATGCCATGGCTAAAAAATGTTTATTTGTGTGTATACATATATAAAATTTATAAAATATAAATCCATAGGGAATATGGGTGAAACACATTTCTATCTAGACTAGAGGTTTAATGGATCATTTCTGTGTATAATATTAGTGTTATGACCAATAAATATATGAACACTAAATACAAATTAAAACATTTATTTTGGGAATCAAAATTAATAATGCCCAATATTGGTGAGGGTGTAGGGGAAGCAGTCTCTTACAGTGTTACTAGAGGCTTAAAGAGGAGGGCAGTTACACCTTCTTGAAGTATATATCCCTTGATCAAGCAATTGTACGTACTTCTAGAAATTTATCTACAGAAGTACTCAAACGAGGACCATTACCTACGTAATAAGTGTTCACTGCAAAATTGTTTTGGGTGGCAAAAATAACAAAAGCCCAAGTAGCCACCAATAGATGAACAGTTTAATAAAATTTGAACATCTGTTCAAGGAAATGCTGTGGAAAATACCATGTAGCCATTAAAAAAGAGTAGAATAAAAAAAAAAATGGTATGCCTAGAATGGTGCTAGTATTGTCTGGGGGCAAAAAATTGTTAATGGTAGTTAGTGTTCTCAGAGGCGGGGAATGGGACAAATACAGAGAATATTATTTTTCTACTTTCAACATTTTGATCTTTAAATTTTTATATTGAGCATTATTACTTTGTAACTGGAGGGTAAAAAGACACTTTCTCAAAGGGCTTTAAGACAAGTTCAATGGATTTATTTTTAGCAGATGCAAATGCTGCCATCAGTGATAATCAAATTGTATGTTTTGTGGACAATCTGTTGTATTTCTGAATTAAACAATTGCAATGTGGCTACAGTTTTATGTTTGTAATCATACTGTGTCTACAAGGAAATATTCTGAAATAGTAAATACTTATAATGGGGTAGCAATAGTGCATAGTTTCCTCCAGTGTTCCCATTATATATAATATGATAATATTCATGAGAAAAATGTTAAATATAGTATTTGGTGGGAGAAAACCCCATTATTAAGAAAAAGTATTAGGGAGTAGAGGGATGCAAAAAAGAAAAGTGAAAGAAAATTTATTAAATACCTGGAAATAAACTTTAACAACAACAAAAAGGAGTGAGTCCTATAGAGAAGAAAATTATTAAAATTTGGTGAAAGACAAAAACTGAATAGAAGAATATATCATTTTTAAATGGACCTGATATTATAAAAGCTTTACTTTTCTACAAATTAATACATAAAGTCAATAGAAATCATAATTTTAAAATCCCAGCAAAATTTTATGTAACTAGAAAGCCTGATTTTAAGTTTACATGGAAGAGTAAATTTCAAGAATTACCAAGAATTGTTTTAAGTAAAACAATGAGCAGAGAGTATTTTTCCTTTTACATTATTTATTAATACATACTCTGAAGTATAACATAGGAATAAACTAATTCACCAGTGAAACAGAATTACAGATCCAGAACCAGAAACATTTATATACAGAAGTTTGGTGAATGGGGCTTTTCAAATTAAAGATGAAGAATCCACTAATCAAAAATTAATAGGTATTCTTATACACCAATAACAGACAAACAGAGAGCCAAATCATGAGTGAACTCCCATTCACAATTGCTTCAAAGAGAATAAAATACCTACGAATCCAACCTACAAGGGATGTGAAGGACCTCTTCAAGGAGAACTACAAACCACTGCTCAATGAAATAAAAGAGGATACAAACAAACGGAAGAACATTCCATGCTCATGGGTAGGAAGAATCAATATCGTGAAAATGGCCATACTGCCCAAGGCAATTTATAGATTCAATGCCATCCCCATCAAGCTACCAATGACTTTCTTCACAGAATTGGAAAAAACTACTTTAAAGTTCATATGGAACCAAAAAAGAGCCCGCATTGCCAACTCAATCCTAAGCCAAAAGAACAAAGCTGGAGGCATCACACTACCTGACTTCAAACTACACTACAAGCCTACAGTAACCAAAACAGCATGGTATTGGTGCCAAAACAGAGATATAAACCAATCGAACAGAACAGAGCCCTCAGAAATAACGCCACATATCTACAACTATCTGATCTTTGACAAACCTGAGAAAAACAAGCAATGGGGAAAGGATTCCCTATTTAATAAATGGTGCTGGGAAAACTGGCTAGCCATATATAGAAAGCTGAAACTGGATCCCTTCCTTACACCTTATACAAAAATTAATTCAAGATGGATTAAAGACTTACATGTTAGACCTAAAACCATAACCCTAGAAGAAAACCTAGGCAATACCATTCAGGACATAGGCATGGGCAAGGACTTCATGTCTAAAACACCAAAAGCAATGGCAACAAAAGCCAAAATTGACAAATGGGATCTAATTAAACTAAAGAGCTTCTGCACAGCAAAAGAAACTACCATCAGAGTGAACAGGCAACCTACAGAATGGGAGAATATTTTTGCAACCTACTCACCTGACAAAGGGCTAATATCCAGAATCTACAATGAACTCCAACAAATTTACAAGAAAAAAACAACCCCATCGAAAAGTGGGTGAAGGATATGAACAGACACTTCTCAAAAGAAGACATTTATGCAGCCAAAAGACACATGAAAAAATGCTCATCATCACTGGCCATCAGAGAAATGCAAATCAAAACCACATTGAGATACCATCTCACACCAGTTAGAATGGCGATCATTTAAAAAGTCAGGAAACAACAGGTGCTGGAGAGGATGTGGAGAAATAGGAACACTTTTACACTGTTGGTGGGACTGTAAACTAGTTCAACCATTGTGGAAGTCAGTGTGGCGATTCCTCAGGGATCTAGAACTAGAAATACCATTTGACCCAGCCATCCCATTACTGGGTATATACCCAAAGGATTATAAATCATGCTGCTATAAGGACACATGCACACGTAGGTTTATTGCGGCACTATTCACAATAGCAAAGACTTGGAACCAACCCACATGTCCAACAATGATAGACTGGATTAAGAAAATGTGGCACATATACACCATGGGATACTATGCAGCCATAAAAAATGATGAGTTCATGTCCTTTGTAGGGACATGGATGAAGCTGGAATCCATCATTCTCAGCAAACTACTGCAAGGACAAAAAACCAAACACCGCATGTTCTCACTCATAGGTGGGAATTGAACAACGAGAACACATGGACACAGGAAGGGGAACATCACACACCAGGGACTGTTGTGGGGTGAGGGGAGGGAGGAGGGACAGCATTAGGAGATACACCTAATGTTAAATGACGAGTTAATGAGTGCAGCACACCAACACGGCACATGTATACATATGTAACAAACCTGCACGTTGTGCACATGTACCCTAAAACTTAAAGTATAATAATAATAAAAAATTTTAAAAAACTAAAACAAAACAAAAATTAATAGGTATTTGGCTATCCATTTTTAAAAATTAACCCCCTACTTCAAACCATAAAAATAGATTCCAAATATATTAAAGAAATCACGTAAGTTATGAAACTATAGGAGTACTGAGAAGAGGCTGACTCACACCTGTAATCTCAGCACTTTGGGAGGCCAAGGTAGGAGAACTGCTTGAGGCCAGAAGTTTGAGACCAACTTAGGCAACAAAGTGAGACCCCATCTTTACCAAGAATAAAAATAAATAAAAGAACTGAGAGGAAATATGGAAGGATTATACATATATAATATATATTATATATATATATACACATTATATATATATATACACACATTTTGTATATATACATATAAACTTTAGCTTTGGGAAATATTGGAAGACAGGCCATTTGGAATGGGGAAAAAATTTTAAATTTTCACAAAATGTGTAAAAGAAAATGAATTAATGTCACTATATACAAAAAGGGTCTGTATATAATTAAAGTAAATCATTTAGTAAGGCCAAATCAATAAAGAAACACAAATGGCTAAAAATATTAAAAGATAAGACAATGGCACACTAATGACGAGGGAACTATAAATTGAGACCATATTTAGACCAGATGAAAAGGAATAAATCGCCTATAAAAATTACTGGCCACAAGAGGGCATCAGATTTCCCTTTCCAGCTTAGCTAAATACTATATTCGCAAAGAATAATCTAGCTTCTACAGGAAAAGTGTTAGTGGTTATAGCTTAAATCACTTCTTTTCCTATGGGTCTACATGTAAAAACTGTCACTGGTAATGGAGAATTTTAATGAATTATGTCATAGTTATTATACAAAACATTTCTTTACTATAATTATTTTTCTGTTAATAAAAGTAGTATTGTTCATTTAAGAAAAGAATTAAAACCGGGCGCGGTGGCTCATGCCTGTAATCCCAGCACTTTGGGAGGCCAAGGCGGGCGGATCATGAGCTCAAAAGATCGAGACTATCCTGGCCAACATGGTGAAACCCCGTCTGTACTAAAAATACAAAAAAATTAGCTGGGCGTAGTGGCACGCGCCTGTAATCCCAGCTACTCAGGAGGCTGAGGCAGGAGAATCGCTTGAACCTGGGAGGCGGAGGTTGCAGTGAGCCGAGATGGCGCCACTGTACTCCAGCGTGACGACAGAGCGAGACTCGGTCTCAAAAAAAAATAATAATTAAACACCCAGAAGCACAAAGACAGATCATTGGAATCGAAAACCACTATTAATAGTTTAATGGATGGGGGAGCTTTTACTTTATATACTCCTATACTGTTGTATTATGATATGAAATATGTTCATTTTATGGTCACACAATTCGAAAACATGGAATGTTTTCTTACGCCATTGTTTTTTTCCTAAAACATGATTTTTTATAGTTTCATGGTACTCATATGTATGTGCTGTAATTGATTTAACAAATCTTTATTACTAGATTTTAAGCTACAAATCTCTTTCAGAAATATCTTTTCAATCATATATCTCAATGCATATCAATGTCAGATGTTGGTCAGGAGTATTCATTTAAAGTCCAGAAATAAACAGCCAAGTTAATCTCAGAACTACCAACTTTATGAATTCACACATAAAAAATATAGACAATACATTTTTCAGAGTTAATTTAATAAGTAAAGCCACAAAATTCAATGGAAAAACAGTGTGATTTTGTTTTACTAAACTCTATGGAAAAAAACAAACATTGTTTTTGCATCTTATAAATCATCCATCAACCACTTCTAAAGAAGAAGTGATAAAATATACTGATTGAAAATGAAAATGTATTTAAAATTTTTGAACTTTGTTTAAAGAGACTGTAACATGAAAATATAAAGTCAGTTTTGTTATTTGAGTTTTTGTTTGTTTGTTTGTTTTTTGAGACGGAGTCTCTCTCTGTGGTGGAGCGCAGTGGTGCAATCTCGGCTCACTGCAACCTCCGCCTCCTGGGTTCAAGCAATTCTCCTGCCTCAGCCTCCAGAGTAGCTGGGATTACAGGTGCCCGCCACCATGTCCAGCTAACTTTTTGTATTTTTAGTAGAGACAGGGTTTCACTATGTTGGCCAGGCTGGTCTCAAACTCCTGACCTCGTGATCCGCCCTCCTCGGCCTCCCAAAGTGCTGGGACTACAGACGTGAGCCATCACGCCCGGCCTAGGGGCAGGACTTTTTAAAACTTTCAGAATCGCAAGACCTTAATAATAGTAAGATGTCCAAATACATTAGGAACCATTTGAACGTTTGCAAGACAGAATAACCAAACTTGTGAATGCAGGATGGCACGATGATGTGTACGTGAACCACCCTGCACTACAATACGCTCTTTCCTTAGAAGATGATCTTCACATCGCTGTTACAGACCAAAATAAATAAAAAGCCAAAGCTACGTCTTTAATTAAAAATCATCATTTATTGATGGCTTCATACCAGCCAAACGCTGGACTAGGTGCTTTACATGGATTATCTCATGTATGTTCTTGAGGTCTATACAGTTTGTTCTTCATTTGTTCAGTGGCTGAGCCAGGATAACCTCTAACTCCAGAGTCCAAACTCTTAACCATTACATTTACTTCTTCTAACAGAATCCTTCCATTTATCTTAAATCATGAGTAAGCACAAATCTTTCCCACCTGAGTTGATTGCATACACATACACACACAAACACACAAACCCAGGAATAAGCATGTCCTATGTATGCAAGCCTCGAAAGCACTAACTTGTGGCTATAATGGATCCCTTTCTAACATAGCAACAAAAGGAAGGAAGGAGGTTAAGATCCATTCTGTGTGAGGTTACTACACCCGTAGGCAGCCTTGTAGATCCATTACAAGCTAATTTTAACAGAGATGGGACCAGATCATAATGAGGTCTTTCTGGTAAACTGTCCTCAAAGAAAGGGTCCAAAAAGGAATCCCATGTGATCATTAGGATAGTGCTGAATTTTAAAAATCTCTTTAAGATATTTCTCTCTTCTTCCTCAGCCTTTGAGCAAACTCAAAGAGAGGATTATACATTTATTTCTTAGTTAACATTTGGGTATTTAATCATTAAAATATGTCTGTTCACTGATACCAGGGGGAGCAAAGTGGATTTCGAGTGTGTGTCAGCATGGCCAAATCATCTGATGGCTATTTTGGATGAGATGGTAGCGTATTTCAAGTATTGCTCTGATACTAAAATGGATGATGTACAACAGTTATACATATATGTTGGAGAAAATCTGAAAAACAACCACCCCAAGTTAATCTCTTAAAATTTGGTATATCTTTCCTATGACTACTATAGACATTTAAAGGTTTTTATTTTAACATTTAAAACAGCCTATGGACGTTTCTGTTTTTTGCAGAACTTTAACTGCTATGTAAATTTCTTCACTTAACTGTACCACAAATCTTTTGCCCATAACATTACAAGAAGTTTAAACCAAATCTATATATACATACATTCATAAAGCTCTCCTGGTCTACTATATAGCACATCTTTATCATGTCCCGAACACAGCAGATAGTATCTTTTACTTGAGAAGGCAGAGATTATGGTTCCTCTCATGTAATTGTTTAATTTTACTTTGTGTTCTCTCGTTTCTGTGAACACATAAAATGTCCCCTCCTTGTCAGATTAAAAGACTGGTGAATGTTAGAGGACTATGATTTCCCAACAGGTTGCAAATTGCAGTCACTGATATCTTTTCTATCACGTTCTCTCCTCCCAGAATCGCAAGGTCATTCTCCTGTTCCCAAAAAATTATCTCATTGTTGACAGTTCTGGGACTATGTGAGAAGATGTCTTACTTAGAAACATTAAAAGAGCACAGTGCCAGCAGCCAACATTGAACTTGGGATAGTGTGTGACAGCTGACCTAAGATGTAACCTAGACACATCTTTTCAAATGCAAGATAACTCACTTTCTTCATTAGTTTGTGCTGATTCCATAAAACTGCTCTTGGCAAAAATTCCGACAACTTGAAGAAACCAAAGATAAATCAAGGAGACACACTGTTATGGCGATACATGCAGCAATGGCTTGATATGAACACAGCCAGAGCTGCTACAATTATTATCATCAGCAAAGATTACTGAGAGTTTATGTGTTGAACAGTTAGATGTAAAGATGTTTCTGCCTTTCAGAACTCTGACATCTGCTTAGAGATAGGAGATAAACACATGAAAAGACAGGTGACCCTGAGCTCCCAGTGAGGGTACAATTTCAAGGAGGGAGAGATAAGTCAGTGTTGAACCAGAATGGTTTGGAAATGGCTTCTCTGTGGGACTTAGGAAGGATTAAGATTACATAGCCATAAAAGGGCAAATACAAACAGTCAGATAACTTGAGGGGAAAAGTTGCGGGTCAAATCACAAAGAACTAATATTATTAATATTTAAAAGCTCCTCCAGCGGGCTGCGGTGGCTCATGCCTGTAATCCTAGCACTTTGGGAGGCCAAGGCGGGTGCATCACCTGCGGTTAGCAGTTCGAGACCAGCCTGGCCTACATGGTGAAACCTTGTCTCTGCTAAAAATACAAAAATTACCTGGGTGTGTTCGGCTAGACCCAGGAATTCAGGGAGACCTAGATTCCCACTCCTAGCTATGTGGCCTTAGGAAATGTGTGGCAGGTGCCTGTAATCCCAGCCACTCAGGAGGCTGAGACAAGGAGAATCACTTGAACCCGGGAGGGCAGAGGTTTGCAGTGAGCCGAGATTGTGCCACTGCACTCCAGCCTGGGCAACGAAGAGTGAAACGCCGTCAAAACAAACAAAACAAACAAACAAACAAACAAACAAACTCCTCCCAAATTAGCCAGACTACTAGTACAAAGGAAAAATGGAATTCTCAAAAATATAATTTTTTTTTTTTTTGAGACAGAGTCTTAGCCTTTGTCACCCCAGGCTGGAGTTGCAGTGTTGTCAGAGCTCACTGCAAGCCTCAATCTTCTTGGGCTCAAGTGATCCTCCCACCTCAGCCTCCTGAGTAGCTGGGACTACAGGCACATGCCACCACATCCAGCTAATTTTTTATTTTTTGTGGAGATAGGGTCTCAACTATGTTGGCCCTGGCTGGTCTTGAACTCCTGGCCTCAAGTGATCCTCCTACCTCAGCCTCCCAAAGTGCTGAGATTACCGGTGTGAGCCACCGTGTCTGGTCCTACAAATGTTTTTAAACAAAGAAAAAGATGCTCAACTGAGCAAATTGAAAGAGAGGTAGACTTTTAAACCATGTGATAATTTTCTCCTGAGGTCAGGAAAGATCAAGAAGTTGGATAAAAGTATGGTGAAGATTTTCAGGGGATAAACACTCTCATATATTGAAAGCATAAGCTGCCACAACACTTAGGATGCTGTTTTAATAGTATCTATCAAAATATTCTTTACTCATTTGCTCCTTTTAGAAATTTATTTTAAAGATATATTTATACATACACAAAATGACATATATACATATATATTGATTGTAATTTTACTTGTTATACCAAAAGGATGGGATTAATTTAAATGACCATCAATTGGAAACTGATTATATACGTTATAGTGTATCACTTTGATGTAACACTATACAGTTTTGGGAGAAAAAAAGCTTGCTTTGTACCAAAGATAATAGATACAAAGGGAAATACAGAATGACCTGAGAGCAATTGTTAAATTAAAAACAAGTTTGTGACCTAGCAAGATGGTTCATGCCTATAATCCCAGCTCTTTGGGAGGCTAAGGCAGGAGGATCACTTGAGCCCAAGAGTTTGAGACCAGCCTGGACAACATAGTGAGACCTCCTCCCTACAAAAGAATTAAAGATTGGCCAGGTGTACTGGTGCGTGCCCATAGTTACAGTCACTTGGGAGGATGAGGTGGGAGGACTGCTTGAGCCCTGGAGGTTGAGGCTGCAGTGAGCCATGATCACCCCTCTGCACTCCAGCCTGGGTGACAGAGCAAGACTCTGTCTCAAAAAAGAAACATTGTATTAACTTTTATTTTTTAAAAAATACATGTATATGCCAGTATAAGGATAGAGTAAGTATAATAGTGCAGGGTCAGATGTAAAAGTCTGAAGCCACTAAACCTATGGTTTAGACTTTAATCTTTATTTATGTATTTTTGGTTTTGAGACAAGGCCTCACTCTGTCACCCAGGCCGGAGTTCAGTAGTGCGATCACAACTCACTGCAGCCTTGACCTCCTCAGGCTCAGGTGATCCTCCTACTTCAGCCTCCCAAGTATCTGGCGCCTGCCACCATGCCCAGCTAACTTTTGTATTTTTACCAGAGACAGGTTTCGCCATGTTGGCCAGGCTGGTCTCCAACTCCTGGGCTCGAGATATCTGCCTGCCTCGGCCTCCCAAAGTGCCGGGATTATAGGTGTTAGCCAACACGCCTGGCCTGGAATTCTTTAAATTGGAAGTTGTCTAGGAAAGCTTTTGAGCAAGAGAGTGAACATAAGTGTTTTAAGAAAGTTAACCCAGAAGTGAGAGTTTTCGCCAACTCTTGTCTAGGAGAACATACTTAACTGCAGAGGCTGTTTAATAAATTAATAAATTTAATAAACGGCTGTTTTCATAATCAAGTGGATTCATATTTCTTTCCAAAGTGGTCCAGGGCCAGGTATGGTGGCTCATGCCTATAATCCCAGCACTTTGGGAGGCAAAGGCTAAAGACTGCCTGAGGCCAGGAGTTTGAGACCAGCTTAGATAACATAGCAAGATCCCATCTCTATAAAAAATATAAGTAAATAAATAAAGTAGTCCATCACCTCTTCATGTCTTCCTGAGGTTAGATGCACCCAAGTCCTCTATATGCAATAGTAAATGAATAGGAAAGGTTGTTTTTTTTTTTAATAAAATACAACAGGAATGGAACAAATCATGTCTTCATACAAACACACTTTTATTGAGCACTTACTCTGCCAGCTAATATCCAGGCCCTAAATGGCCAGTGTAACAAGTTTGTGATTCAAACCTCACCAGCACCATCACCATTCAAGGACTGCTTTCTGTGTTCTAAGCCTCTTCTCTCTCCCATTCTTCATCCGAAATTTCCTAAATTTCATCTCTTTTCTGTCTTCTTACCCTGCCCTACAACTGGCAAGCCGCCCAGGGAATGGCCTCACCTATACATCATAAAGAAAAGTGAGACCGGCGGGGCGCAGTGGCTCACGCCTGTAATCCCAACACTTTGGGAGGCCAAGGCAGGCAGATCACGAGGTCAGGAGATCGAGACCATCCTGGCTAACGCTGTGAAACCCCGTCTCTACTAAAAATACAAAAAATTAGCTGGGTGTGGTGGCATGCACCTGTAGTCCCAGCTACTCGGGAGGCTGAGGCAGGAGAATCGCTTGAACCTGGGAGACGGAGGTTGCAGTGAGCCAAGACTGCACCACTGCACTCCAGCCTGGGTGACAGGGTGAGACTCCATCTCAAAAAAAAAAAAGAAAAGAGAAGAAAGGAAAAAGAAAAGTAAGACCGTCTAATAACATCCTATCCACACAGTCACAAATGTGTTAAATCTGCATCCATCTCTCTCACTTTCTCAAGTTCTTCATTTTATCTTGGCCCCTTCTTTCCAGGCTCTCTTTCCACAGCCTACATTAATTATGCTTGCATCTCTCCTATCTTAAACTAACCTTTGCCCTGCTTCTAGTTACTGTGCCGTCTTGCTTTTTCCTTCCCTTCACCACCAAGGACTTTGAAAGAATAGTCTATTAGCTTTTATATTGGGTCTTATGAATCAGATGTCTCTGGAGCTAGTGGGGGATCTGGTGAAGGGGGGATGTGGGGAGGCAAAGAGAAGATAAACAATAACCATTTCATCTGATATGATTTGAACCTTACATAGGATTTCATTTGAGACAGGTATATGCAAAATGTACTGCTTCCTTAGATTTCTTAATTTTTTTGAAGACAAGGTCTTTTGCTCTGTCACCCAGGCTGGAGTGCAGTGGCGCTATCATGGCTCACTGCACCCTTGGGGCTCAAGCAATCCTCCCACCTCAGCCTCCTGAGTAGCTGGGACAACAGGCACGTGCCACCATGCCCGGCTAATTTTTATATTTTTTGTAGAGATGGGGCTTTGCCATGTTGGCCAGACTGGTCTCGAACTCCTGGGCTCTGCCTGCCTTGGCCTCCCAAAGTGCTAGGATTACAGGCGTGAGCCATTGAGCCCAGCCCTGCTTCCTTAGATTTCTTTAATCCACTGTTCTAAGTGTTGACCCAACCATCCTACCAGAACTGGTCCATCATCATGTATGATTTCATTTTCACAGTAGGGTTTTCTTAGTTCCTGCGTGCCCCAGGGCGCTGACTTGGGCTTCTTCTCACTCTACACACTCTTACCTGGTGATTTCACCATACACCTTTCACTTAGAAAGGCCAGAACTTATCACCTCACACCTGTCAGTTTAGCTATTAAACAAACAGACAAAAACAAACCAAAGGTAAGTGCTGGTGAAAATGTGGAGAAATTGGAACTCTTGTACACTGCTGGTGGTAATGTAAATTGGTACAGCCATTATAGAAAACAGTATGGAGATTCCTCAAAAAATTAAAAATAGAACTACCCTATGATCCAGCAATCCTATCAATCTTTTGGTATTTTCAGAAGAACTGAAATTAAGATATTGAAGGGCTATTTGCACTCCTATGTTCACTGAATTAGTCAAGATGTGGAAACAACCTAAATGTTAATAGATGGATGAGTAGATTAAGAAAATGGTATCTAAATACTATGGAATATCACTCAGCCTTAAAAAAAAAGTCCTGCTATATCCAACATGAATGAACCTGGAGGACATTTTGCCAAGTAAAATAAGGCAGTCTCAGGAGGACAAATATTGCATAAAACCACTTTTATGAGGTATATAAAATAGAAAGCAGAGAGTAGGAGAAGCAGAGAGTGCCAGGAGAAACGGGGAGGGAGAAATGGGGAATTGCTATTCAACAGGTAAAAAGTTTTAATTATGCAAGATGATTAAGTTCTCATGTTAAATGTGTTTACCACAAGTTAAAAAAGAAAGGCCAGAAGTTCACTTTTTTTCCTTACCAAGGTTTCTTAAATTGTGTTCTAGAGATCAATGCATCAGTTAAAAAAAAAAAAAAAAAAAAAAAAAAAAGCTTGCAGAATGGTCTGACGTGTGAGAAAAAGTGGTTTCACTTAAATTTCATTTCATTTTTCCCAACAACCCATTGTCTTAATACCTGTGCTCTGAATGTTCAAAAGAATGAAAAAGACTCCAGGAATGCAACATTACATATGACATAAAATTAAAAACAATCTCTAGGTCCAAAAATAAGAAAATGATAAGTTATGGAACGTCAACTTAATGAAACATCATGCTTCATTAAAATGGATATATATGAAATACTTCCAACAACAGATGTTTAGGATACAATAATATTAAGTAGAAAAAAAATTAGAGAACATGCACTTTAAAAATCAAACATATGTATTTAAATATGCCAGAAGTGAAATAGGACAGACAGGTTTTGATGATGATGTCAGGTAAAATATTTTAAAATTCATTTACTATTGGTCACAGTGTTATCTTAACAAGGAAACAATTTTTTTTTTTTTGAGACAGGGTCTCACTCTGTAGCCCAGACTGAAGTGCAGAGGCACTCTCGTTACTGGCAGGTATTTTGATATAACACAGTAAATGATGTCACACATTATAGCAGTACTGGTGTATATCCTAGAGTTTTGGAGATAGTCTAAACAGCATGGAAATGTAACATATTTTTAACTATTTAAACTTGTTTTTAAATAGTTAAATATTGTTTAACTATAAATATAGTGCTTTTTTGTTTTTTGTTTTAAAATAAAGACCAGTCAAGTGCAAAAGTGAGAAGGGGCAAAAGAGTAGAACAAAGAGCTTGACCTGTAACTGTGAACATTTAATGGAGATAACTCACTATCTTTGGAACTGCTGGTTCTGCTTTTGATTGAACAGTGACAGAGAAAGTGTGAGTAGAGACATTTATTTTTCTCATGGTTAGTACATAACACCAAGGGACTACTTCCGAGTTACTGTAAAAATCCCAAAGGCAGGGTAACCATAAATCTTACTGCCCAATCCGACATACTTTTGAGAGCAAATGATTTATTGCTGTTATCAATTACACCGAAGTAACAGACATAAATCTACCCCCGGAAAAGTGGGATACAGTCACCTTATATTAGTGAGATATGAGGTAAATATTACTAGTATAATACAAGAATAATAACGATGCTAAAAGCTAACACTTAACTGATCACTGACCAGGTGCCAGCCTGTATACTTGACATATGTAAACAGCAATCCCATAAAAATTGGGATAGATACTACAAGGTAGATACTATTATCCTATTTTATTCATGAGGTAAAGGAGTATGGAGAGGTTAAGTGGTTTGTCTAAGGTCATCCAGCTAGTAAGTAGTGAAGCCAGAGATGGAACCAGAGCTGGCTATCTCCCAAGCTCCTTTTATGGTGTTATCCTGACCAAAGTATTTCTGGAGGATTCCCTAGCTCCCTGCCAACAGCCTATTAAGCACTTACTGCATTTGCACCAAATTAAATTTGTTCAATCAATGGAACCCTGTTGGGCATGTTTCTTTTTCCTCCTTTTCAAAGCCCTTAAAAACTTTTTTTTTTTTTTTTTGAGATGGAGTCTCGCTCTGTCACCCAGGCTGGAGTGCAGTGGCGTGATCTCGGCTCACTGCAACCTCTGCCTCCCAGGTTCAAGTGATTCTCCTGCCTCAGCCTCCCAAGTAGCTGGGACTACAAACACCCACCACCATGCCTGGCTAATTTTTGTATTTTTAGTAGAGACAGGGTTTCACCATGTTGGTCAGGTTGGTCTTGAACTCCTGACCTCAGGTGATCCACCAGCCTCGGCCTCCCAAAGTGCTGGGATTACAGGCGTGAGCCACTGCGCCCAGCCTAAAATCATTTTTTTTTAACTTTAAAAATTTTACAAATTAATCCCAGCACTTTGGGAGGCTGAGGTGGGTGGATCACGAGGTCAGGAGATCAAGACCATCCTGACTAACACGGTGAAACCCTGTCTCTACTAAAAATATAAAAAAAAATTAGCTGGGCTTGGTAGTGGACACCTGTAGTCCCAGCTACTTGAGAGGCTGAGGCAGGAGAATGGCGTGAACCCGGGTGGCGGAGCTTGCAGTGAGCAGAGATCGTGCCACTGCACTCCAGCCTGGGCAACGGAGCGAGACTCCGCCTCAAAAAAAAAAAAAAAATTTTACAATTGAGGACAGGCATGGTGGCTCACACCTGTAATCCCAGGACTTAGGAGGCCGTGGCAGGGGTATCACTTGAGTTCAGGAGTTCCAAACCAGCCTGGGCAACACAGCAAGACCTCTCTCTACCAAAAATCAAAAAAATTAGCCAGGCATGTGGGTGCGCCTGTTATCCCAGCTACTTGAGAGGCTGAGGCAGGAGTATTGCTGAGCAAAGAAGATCGAGGCTGCAGTGAGCTATAATCGCACCACTGCACTCCGACCTGGGCAATAGAGCAAGACCCTGTCTCAACAAAACCAAACAAAACCAAACAAAACAAAAAACAGAAAAGCCTTCCCAACAGGAGCAGCAGCAGATAGAATGAGACACTTCATTCAAGGTTGCCAGGAATATTATCTTTCTCACTGGCTGACAGCATTGGACCCCTAAATATCAACCCTTATGTATGTATGTATGTATGTATGTATGTATGTATGTATGTATGTATGTATGTGTGTGTATATATGTAATATATATATATTCCATATTTTTCCATTTCCCTACTTCCTATTTGAGTGAAGTGCCCATAGTTTGGGCACTTGTTTATATCACACACATCCTTGGTAATCCACATTTTTCTATCTCCAGTCCTCTCTCCTACTCCAGATACATCTAGGTATCTATTCAACATCTCCATTTGCATATCTAACAAACTTCTCAAACTCAACATGTTCAAAACTGATTTCCTTAGCTTCACTTCTGAACATTCAAAGAATTAGCGCTCTGATCACTACCTTTACTTCTGTCTGCATTCTCTACCATGATGACTTCATCTATTCCTGTCTAAAATCTGCCTTAAGGCTTAAAACTGTCCAATTTTCTCTCCATTTCTGAATTTTCTACTTAGGTCCAAGTTGGTAATTCACCTGCCTCCTATCATCATGCCTGGATTCTAATAGACATTTTATATGTTGCATGGCTAAAACAGGGTTCTGCTTTCAAATTTGCTAATCCTTCTGTCTTTCCTAGCTTAGTATCATAATTTCCCACACAGTTACTCCAACCAAAAACCTAATATCCACTCACCCATCATGACCAATCCATTCACTGTTAACTTTTTAAAATAAAATATTCAGGATAAACTCACAAACACACATACACAAGTACTGGACTATGTATAGAGCATTCCTAGAAGGGTAAATAAAAAACTGATCACATTTTTCACTATATACTCAGACCTTTTGAATTTTCTTCTGTGAAATAGATGACCTATTCAAAAATTATCAAAATTGAAGAAGCAATCAGTTAATGCCTTTTGAAGGGGAAGTGGGGACAGAAACTGGGAAATACGGGTGAGAGGGTTAGATTTCACTCTATACTTTGTGCATCACCTTTCTGAAATACTTTACAAACTATTTCAGGTTCATTAATAGTTATCTTGTGAATAACTTAAAATGTAGAAGTTCTTATCACTTCCTGGCCTTTTGGCTAAGATCAAGTGTGAAATGTAGAAGTTCCTCTAAGCTTTACTTCCCTCAAAAACTAGTTTTATCTTGTCAGCAGGATTCACTTAAAAAGACAAATTCAGATTATGAATTTTTTTCTTTTTTACAGGGTCTGCTCTGTTGCCCAGGCTGGAGTGCAGAGGCACAATCTCGGCTCACTGCAGCCTCCGCCTCCTGGGTTCAAGCAATTCTCTTGCCTCAGCCTCCCGAGTAACTGGGATTACAGGCATGTGCCACCACCCAGCTAATTTTTGTATTTTTAGTAGAGATGGGGTTTCACCACATTGGTCAGGCTGGTCTCGAACTGCTGGCCTCAAGTGATCCACTTGCCTCGGCCTCCCAAAGTGCAGAGATTACAGGTGTGAGCCACCGTGCCCAGCCTCATAACCGTTTCAACTACTTTTTCACTTGACAAGCAGATGTGAAGTTAACAAAGTCACCCATATTTGAAATAAAGATAGTATATTCCTGGGGTAGGCAGAGGCAGTTGAGGATCATGAAATAACTATGTTGGCATAGTTATTTAGGTGTTGATACTGTTATTATGCCATTGAAAGTTAAACAGAGAACCCTCTGGGTACATGTTTTATACCAATGCACACTATCTTATTAGTCCCTCTCATAATGTGCAGTCATCATTACTGTTACGGGTTGAGGTGTCCCCATCCTCTATGGGACACCTCTATGTTGAAGTCTCAGATTCCCTAGAATCTCAGAATGTGACCTTGTTTGGAAACAGATTTGCTACAGACGCAATTAGTTGAGATGCGCTTATATGGGTAGGTCCTAATTCAGTGACTGGTGTCCTTAAAAAAATGGAAATGTACACACGGTGGTAGACATGCATAGAGGGAAGAGAGATGGAGAAAATGGTCACCTACAAGCCAAAGACAGGGGTCTGGAGCAGATCCTTCCCTCACAGCCCTCAGAAGGAACCAATCTTGCCAATACCTTGATTTTGGACTTCCACCTCCAGAACTATAACACATTTCTGTTCTTCAAGCAATTTGTAGCCATTTGTTACAGCTAATACAATCACACATAGAAATGACTTGTAAATGACTAGGCATTTCAGAAGACTAGCCATTTAAAAAGACTTTGACGGAATACTCTTCAGGTCTTTTGGAAAGCTAAAATCTTCTAAGAAATTGTTTTCGGTATTTTCGCAGATCACCTCAAATTCTGATACTAAGATATATTATTAGTATACCAAAATTAAACAACAAATTTTAAGCAGGTATTTTTTTTTTCAACCACACTAAAAGTCTGCAATTTTGTGAAGCCCAGGGGAAAAAAAACAACGTTAGTTAGTGCCTCAGCATGGAAATCAGTCATCTGCAAAGGGTTTCCTAAGCACCCAGAGGCTCCCTAAGTTGGTTAATTATTGAAATAATCTGGGAGAGAAGAGTCACTGATTTCACCCTAGACCTATTCAGCGGGAATCCGTAAGAAGGGCTTTAGAAATATATTTCTGAAATGCTTCTTACAATGAGTTCTGTTTTCCGTGTTCGCTACTACTGAGTCAGGTAACCCCATGCTGTATTTGCGCAAGTTAACTCTTTAAGCCAAGTGCAGCCTTTCCCCTCACTGCACATACTCATCCTTTTTCTCATGATACTGCCCCTTTTTTTTTTTTGAGACGGAGTCTCACCCTGTCACCCAGGCTGGAGTGTGCAGTGGCGCGATCTCGGCTCACTGCAACCTCTGCCTCCCAGGTTCAAGCAATCATCCCATTCAGCCTCCCAGATAGTTAGGATTACAGGCATGCACCACCACGCCTGCCTAATTTTTTTTTTTTTTGTATTTTTAGTAGAGATGGGGTTTCATCATGTTGGCCAGGCTGGTCTCGAACTCCTGACCTCAAGTGATCCGCCTGCCTTGGCGTCCCAAAGTGCTGGGATTACAGGCGTGAGCCACCCAACCTGGCCAATACTGCCTTTTTGAAGAGACCAGGCCAGGTGGCTTGCAGAGTATATGATGCATATTTAATGAACACATATTTGTCCCCAGTGTCCATAGGTTTCTTACTAAATATCCACTCAGCATTTACTGAGCAATTTGGAAGTCATAGACTTAGGCAGTGGGGACTGAGGTGGGTAAATCACCTTCAGGTTACTGAAGGAGGTATATCAAGCATGCGAAACAATTAGAATGCAAAGGTTTTGTGCCATAAAAGACCTGTGTTGACACTGAGGAGGGCACAGAAGTATCCCAAATTTGGAAAACCTAATAGCTTCTTTTTGTATAGTTACCTTAGAGTAGCAACTTTTCCCCCTATAAATATTTAACACAATTTAAAAATCATCTAAGTAACAAAGTATGTTTGACTTACATTTTGGAAATACCGGCAGAAAAACTGAGCTTAGTTTCTTGGAGTAGCTTCTTGATTTTTTCACTGTTGGTATTACTGCATCTTGAAATTATCTTTGATTATGCCTTAGACTTACACTATTTTTACTGAATAATAAGTTACTTCATACCCAATGTTGTCTCAGTTTAATCAGCTTTGCCATTTGTTAAGCAGAAATATGATCCAGCCATTAGAGCTATAAGATTAAAATATGGTCTAAATGAAAGGCATTTAATTATTCTCAGTTCCACTTGGCATATTGTACTGTAATCTCGATTCCTTGAAAGTCTGTATCATTATCAGCATCCCAGCTATCAAGGATAAATACAAAGAACTTTCATTATTATATCAGTTCTATCTCTTTGAAATCCTCCAACATCCCCTGTGAAGTAGGTATTTTGTACCATTTTAAGCACTAGGAAACTGAAGCAAAGTGAAGCAACTAGTAATAAGTGGTATTTAAACATGCCTGACTCTAAGCCCTGTGCTCTTCACCTTTTAATCGCCGAGTAGAAAATTTCACATCAGTATAAATCCGTGGTTCTCAAAAGGAGGCGATTTGGCTCCGACCCCAGGGGAGATATTTGGTAATGTTTGGAAATACTTTTTATTGTCACAACTGTGGTGGGGATGCTGTGGTGGCGGGGACCAGGGTGCTACTGATATCCAGCGGGTGGAAGCCAGGGGTGCTGCCAAACATTTCGCAATGCACAGGACAGTCCCCTACGACAAAGAATTATCCAGCCCAAAATGTTAATAGTGCTGGTTGAGAAACCCTAGTATAAACACAATATTCCTCAACATGCTTCTTAAAGTAGCATCAACATCCCATTCTGGTTTTTCCTGAAATCAACATTTACAGTGAATGAAAATACTTTAAGCCATAACGAGATGTTACTTTGGTTCGAATATCTGTGCCTCCCTAAAATTCTCATGTTGATATACATTTTATTAGCCAGAAGCCCAAATCTCACCATTATGCTGAAATCTTAATACTCAACGTGATAGCACTCAGATGTGGGGCCCCTCTGGGAAGTGATCAAGTCAGGAGGACTCCACTCTCATGAATAGCATTAATGGCCTTATGAAAGAGGCTAGAGGAAGCTCCCTTTCCTCCTTTCTGTCATGTGAGAATACAGCAAGAGGCCCCATCTTTGAAACAGAAGGTAAGCTCTCACCAGACACCAAATCTGCCAGTGCCTTGATCTTTGACTTCCCATCCTCATATCTGTGTATATATACACACATTGGGCAATGTATCTGAAAAATGTTTGAGTTTATACTGTAAATTCTGAAATGATCACAGAACGTTGGAGGTTTCAACCCCAAATAGTATATACTGTTATATAAGCACACAGGAATGGGGAGATAATGGTCTGTATGCTTGACATGTTTTCAATGATGTATTAATATGATTGTCGCAATCTTTATTCTTTCTGTTTAGAGGATACACGGGGGGAAGGAAACCATGACACAGCAAGCAGGGAGGAATAAAATATTAAAGCTTTAGTGGACACTGTATAAAAGGCACAATAAAGCCACACCATGAGGCAGAGAACTGCTTTCTTGATTTTATTTCAAAAGTACACAAGGTCACAAAACTAGAGCAAGTTGTTTTTCTTAACAAATTTTGTTCTTACAAATTTCAAAATCTGCACCATTGGATATATAAGCCAGAAATCGTACATACAAAATCTGAAACTGACACTGTCAGTTCTATACTTTGCACACGTGAAGTGTCAGAATATTTTCCTCAGTAGTACAGGTGTATTTATCACTAAAATTCACAATTAGGGAAAAGAATAAGTGAATCAATGAATTGTGGTTCTCTTAAAACTTGTGTCATTAAATAAGTTAGCAGAAAACACAAAGTTCTGTTTTGATGGAGCTTTTAGTCTCGATGACCAAAACCAAACCCAACTGATATGTACTATATTCTTAAATTATAAAATAAGATAAATTATAAAAGTTAACCATAATGAATAAGAGGCTGGGGTTATCTGCTATAAGATAAATGATCAGCCTTCCCTAAAGATAAATAAACTGAACCACAATTCACAAATGTGTTTATTATTCTTCCCTGCTTCTATAACATTTATAAAAGGAATTTGTGCTCAGTTGTGGTCTATTTTAGTGTTAAAATAGGTAAATGAGTAAGAAATCCTATTGCAGAACATGATGCCTTTATTGCTGGAATATCCAAAGGCATTCAAAATATTAAAACTTGCCCAGAACATTTACACTACTAAACACAGGAATGTTATAAAGATATATGTACATATATATATATAATATATAATGTCACAAGCCACTAAGAAGTTAAAATTGTGCCAACATTTTCTACAAACTACTCTTTATGTGACACATCAAAGCATTAACCACATAAAATATGAACTTTTTCTGTTCACACTGGAATAAGGCATCTGAAAGCCCTAAACACTGCTGAAGTGAAAATTAGAAGAAAAAACTCAACATTCACATAACATCAAATGTACATGCTGCACGCACACAAAAGACACTGAGAATATTTTTAAGAAGCCACACATCACAGAATTTGATAGTCAACTTCATGCAATGAGTTCCTTTTATATTTCATCAAAAGGTTTACTTGCCCCTTTACTTGTTCCAAATTTCCAAGATTAACTCTTAAATTTGAAAAAGTATCTTTTTAATAAAAATCAGGTATCTCTTTATATCCATGATCTATATGGATAGTGATTTGGATTTTTTCAATCAAACTCTCCCTAAGATACACTCAGGCTGTGTTTCCATTTTAGAAAGTCCATGGCAGATAGCTCAAATTAAAAAGAAGCAATTTGTCCAGAATAATTGGTTACTGTCATGAATAGTAGACATTTTTGGGGGTGGGGGAGTGAGAGGCTCTCTAACAAGGGAATCATATTAGTTAAGATTACCAGTAAGAAAAAAAAATAGCTGTAAACTACTCCATATTCAAAGTACAGAACTGGCTGGATGCTGCGGCTCACACCTGTAATCCCAGCAATTTGGGAGGCCAAGGCAGGAGGATCTCCTGAGCCCAGCAGTTTGAGACCAGCCTGAGCAATAGTGAAACCCTATCTCTTAAAAAAAAAAAAAAAAAGTACAGAACTATATATTCTACAGTAACATTTCTCTTCAAATTATCCTCTGTAACCTAAAGAGATGGATGGTATCAAGTCTCTCAGTTATAAAGTAGAATAAAATGGCTTTGCTGTTAAGATGCAGTACTGGGCCGGGTGCAGTGGTTCACGCCTGTAATCCCAGCACTTTGGGAGGCCGAGGCAGGCAGATCACGAGGTCAGGAGATCGAGACCATCCTGGCTAACACGGTGAAACCCTGTCTCTACTAAAATTACAAAAACTTAGCCGAGCGTGGTGATGGGAGCCTGTAGTCCCAGCTGCTCGGGAGGCTGAGGCAGGAGAATGGCGTGAACCTGGGAGGCGGAGCTTGCAGTGAGCCGAGATCCCGCCACTGCACTCCAGCCTGGGTGACAGACCGAGACTCCGTCTTAAAAAAAAAAAAAAAAAAAAAGATGCAGTACTGTCCTTGACTGATCTAACGGAAATGCTTTAGTAATTTTTTGTTCAACTACTTGATTACCAGTAGTAATTCGGGAGCAAATATTTGATCTCTGGTTCAACTAAATTATCAGTGAGAACTACTTGAAAACGTATTGGTACTATTTGGCTGACAGAATTTTACAGTGAGACATAAGCCTTTAAAACAATGTCCTCTAAAATATGAAGTATATGGGAAGAGAAGTCTTGTTCCTCATATGTTATTAAAAAAAAAAAGGAAGGAAAGTCTTATACGTGTCCACTTTCTATGATAACTTCTACTTAGATCAATAGGATAATTTTCATTATATGAAAGTCAGGAATAGGAAGAACCAAAACTTTATTATTAATGTTCTGTTTATTTACTTATTTTTTATAATATTTTATAAATAAACTTTATTCATATAAAACAGGCCAAACATCTGACTTTCAAAAATGGCTACTGTTATAAAATCAGAAACATAGAGTGTTGGGAATATTGAAATTTCTAAACCTTTATGAATAACACAATTGCTTAAGTTATATCCACAAAGAACAGAAAAGAGGCAAGCTTGAAAATGTGAGGATAGAAAGGTATCACAGTGATGTGTTTTTAGAAACAGTACCTTCACCTCTAAGCACCTTTCAGGTAGGTGATAGCTAGCTCATAGGCACCAGAAATTCATAATAGAAATTAAATTACCAAAAGGCACAGATGAAAATGTTAACACGAGTATAAAAGTAATTTTACATAAGGTTAAAACCTGTTTTTAAAATGCTTCCAAATATGTAAAACTATACACAAATCCATTACACATTCAGCTTAAGTTTACCATTAAAAAGTGTACACACAATACTCTAACTGTAAATACATGCCACCGTTCATAATATAGCATTTACCACCACAGCACCCAAAGATATTAACAGAAACCAACTCCCTACTAAAATCTAGGGAAAGGTTTTAGAGCTAGTGAAATAATTTATTGCAGACCGTATTTATTATAAAGAAACTGTTGGCTCATTCTACTGTATCCACACTCCCTCACAATCTTAAGGGAAATACAATAAACCCACTTTCTTCTCCTAAAATGATATTTAGCACATTTGGCAAGGAGGAGTAGTCCCTTTACTCCTCCTTCTTATCTTTTTTTCTTTTTCTTTCTTTTTTTTTTTTAAGAATAAATCACCTTCACAAAACTAAGACAAACTTTTTCAAAGCTCAGCTTGATTTGCTGGAACTACACAGAGACATGTTTGATCACACAACAGCAACTGTACATCCTCCCAAGTCTGGAATACAGAATTGATGGAGGACACTTAACTTGCTTAAAATGTATTTGATTATTCTGCATTTATGATAAAAAATATCATCCAGGGATTATATTCAAGAGGGTAAATTTAGGATTACATGTTTCTAGAACATATAATATGTAACACCATCCAAAAACAACAACAACATAAAGCACTGGAACCAAAGAACCACTTAAAATTTAGAATAAATTAGGAAATTTCAATCTATAAGTGTCAAACAACAAATGAGTTATAATATTTTTCTAATAAGAAAAATATCACCTGGGAACTATGAGATACTACATCCTTGATCTGGCTGGCCACCATTTTGAAGACCACCACAGATCTCAAGGCATGAGACTACTCACCAACAAAATCTATCCCTGCTATTGCACCTAGTGTCATCTCAATATGTGGCTGACAGCAAATGTTCTAACTTAATCTGATAGATGCTCCTTTAGCATATAAAAGAGCTTGCTAAGTCCCTATTACCTGTAGCAGTCTATCAACTAAATATTTAAGAAGTCATTTCATAGACAAGGTTTATGAATGACTTAGAAGTAAAATTAGTAATTTCTAAACCACTGTAGTGTTTTCTATGTTTTTAGAGATATTCCAAACACAGAGTTTTCAAAGGAGCTGTAAAACCAAGTACAAACATACGTAAGTAATTTTGTCATGGATATTTCTGTACTAATTTGGGGGAGACTGGTGGGCCATAAATAAATGAAATACACATCCTAAAAATAATGGTAAAAATGATCAAGTACCACTTTCAGATGGTTATTCAAGTATCAACTTGGTATGCAAGTAAGTTCACCCATGTCTTCACCTATGATTTCATATTCAAAGCGCTACATCTTACTTAGGTACTGATAAATTTAGAAAACTTTATAATCAACCTCTTAAAGAAAATCCAGCTTTTTCAGATGGTAAACTTTTCTTTACTAACTTTAGTGCCTGTAACTATTTCGATATAACCAAACAAAAATTTTTAAAAATATATTCCGTACAGTTCCTGATTAACTTATTTTTTGATGTATTTTGAGGCTAGTAACACAATTTAGACCAGAATAGGTTTTCATATATCAAAAAAAGGAAAGGAACACGGAGAGCACAGATGAGACATATGGAGGCTCTATACTATAGACCCATCCTTGCTCTGTGCTGGAATCATCACAGGAATCGCACCCATTCGACTTAGATTAGGGGCAGCTACCTTAGCAGGTGGGAGAGTCGGACTCTGAGGAGTGCGTTCAAAGTCTTCACTTGGTACTTGGTTATACTGAGTCTTGGAATATCCTTCCATGTTGGAAGGAGACATGGACCCCAGGGATGAATGATTACTGCCGATGTAGCTTCTGGCAGTGGACGTACGGCTCTTTGGAGGTGGCACATCTTCCCTGCAAAGCAAAATCCCCAATACATGTCAAGAGAATAAGTTTCTAAAAACCTACAATTATGCAAGCTATGAATCATGGATAAGAGCCTGTATTTAGGTACTAAACATATAAAAGTGTGTGTGTGTGTGTGTGTGTGTGTGTGTGTCACAAAAAAGCAAAAAGCACAAGCCATAACGTCATAAATTGTGTATGTCTCCAATCTGTCATTCTGATTAAAGAGTTATAACTTCACACTTAATGAAATATGGTATTTACACAAATGTAGATGATTCTAGAATGTTGTCTTACAAAACACAAATCTCAAATAGTTTCATATTCTAGTATCACTGGTCAAGACAATCTAGTTAAAGCCATGTAACACTTTATAGTTGAGAAAACACTAACACCTACAGGTATATTTCTATCTTAATCACACCTGTAATCCCAGCACTTTGGGAAGCTGAGGTGGGCAGATCACTTGAGATCAGGAGTTCAAGACTAGCCTGGCCAATATGGCAAAACCCCATCTCTACTAAAAATACAAAAATTAGCCGGGCTTGGTGGCAGGTGCCTGTAATCCCAGCTACTCGGGAGGCTGAGGCAGGAGAATCGCTTGAACCCAGGAGGCCAAAGTTGCAGTGAGCCAAGATTGCGCCACAGCACTCCAGCCTGGGCGCCAGAGTGAGACTCTGTCTCAAAAAAAGAGAAATAAATAATAAATTTTAAAATTTTTTAAAAAAGGAAAAGAAAAAATTCTTTTTATATTAAAGTTATCTAAAACCTTAGCTGAAAACACTACAGATTTAAGTTTGCTGGGAATTTAGGCATAAGAATTTTCATACCAAACACTGACAGAGAGCTCAACTGGCCCTCCACATCCACGGGTTCCACATCTGTGAAGCCAACAAACCATGTATAGAAAATTTTGTTTTAATATTTTTAAAATACCTAACATGTACAGCTTTTTTCTTGTCATTATTCCCTAAACAATACATTATAACAATTATTTACATAGTATTTACATTATATTAGGTATTATAAGTAATCTAGAGATGACTCGAAGTATACAGAAGAATGTGTGCAGGTTATATACATTGTATCTTTTTCTTTTTCCTTTTTTTTTTTTTAATAGAGACATCTTGCTCAGGTTGGTGTCTTGAACTCCTGGGCTCAAATGATCCTCCCATCTCCGCCTCCCAAAGTGCTGGGATTACAGGCGTGAGTCACTGCGCCTGGCCGCCATTTTATATCAGGGACTTGAGCATCCTTGGATTTTGGTATCTGCAGGAGGTCCTCCATGGATACCGAAGAATAACTATGTATATGAGTTATCTTTGGTGCATTTAAAAAATACAGCCATACTCGTTTCATTGTGCCTTGCTTTTATTACACTTCATAGATACTTACTGCATTTTTGTTTTGTTTTGTTTTTTCTTTACAAATTGAAGGTTTGTGGTAACCTTGTGTCAAGCAAATGTATCAATACCTTTTTTTTTTTTTTTTTTTTTGAGACAGAGTCTTGCTCTGTTGCCCAGGCTGGAGTGCAGTGGCGTGATCTCAGCTCACTGCAAGCTCCACCTCCCGGGTTCACGCCATTCTCTTGCCTCAGCCTCCCGAGTGGCTGGGACTACAGGCGCCCGCCACTGCACCCGGCTAATTTTTTGTATTTTTAGTAGAGACGGGGTTTCACCGTGTTAGCCAGGATGGTCTCTATCTCCTGACCTCGTGATCCACCCATATCGGCCTCCCTAAGTGCTGGGATTACAGGTGTGAGCCACCGTGCCCGGCCACCAGTACCATTTTTCCAACAGCATGTGCTCACTTCATGTCTGTGTTGCATTTTGGAAATTCTCACAACAGTTCAAACTTTCTCATAATCATACCTGTTAGGGTGATCTGTGATCAGTGATCTTTGATGTTACTATTTTAACTGTTTTGGGGCACCATGAATGATGCCCATAAGAGACAGCAAACTTAATAAATGTTGTGTGTGTTCTGGCCATCCCCCCCAACATCCTCCCCATCTCTCACCCCTCCCTCAGGCCTCCCTATTCCCTGAGACACAATGATATTGAAATTAGGCCACTTAATAACCCTACAATGACCTCTAAGTGTTCAAGTAAAAGGAATAGTTATCATGGCTCTACTTTTTAAAAAAATATCTTATTTATTTTGAGACTGTCAACCACGGTAGGGTGCAGTGGTGCGATCCTAGCTCACTGCAAGCTCAAACTCCTGGAGTCAAGCAATCATCAGCAAGGCTCTCTTTAAATCAAAACCCAGAAATAATTAACCTTAGTGAGGACAGCATGTTGAAAACCAACACTGGTTGAAAGCTAGTATCTTGCACCAAACAGCCAAACCAAATTGTAAATGCAAAGAAAAAGTTCTTAAAGTAAAGTCAAAGTGTTACTCCAGTGAACACGTGAACGATAAGAAAGTGAAGCAGTCTTATTGCTGATATGGAGAAAGTTTAGTGGTCTGGATAGAGGATCAAAATAGTCACAACATTCCCTTACACCAAAGCCCAATCCAGAGCAAGGCCCTAACTCTATTCAATTCTATCAAGGCTGAGAGAGCTAAGGCAGCTGCAGAAGAAAAGTTGGAAGCTAACAGAGGCTGGTTAATGAGTTTAGGGAAAAAGGCCATTTCCATAACATAAAAATACAAAGTGAAGCAACAAAGTGCTGATGAAGAAGCTACAGAAAGTTATCCAGAAGATCTAGTTAAAAGATCGTTGATGAAGGTAACTACACTAAGTAACAGATTTTCAATAGAGACAAAACAGACTTCTACTGGAAGAAGACACCATCTAGGCCTTTAGTGGCTAAAGATGTCAATGTCTGGCTTCAAAGCTTTAAAGGACAGGTTGACATCTTGGCAGGAGCCAATGCAGCCCAGGAGTTCGAGACCACCCTTGGCAACATGGTGAAACCCCATCTCTACAAAAAATACAAGAATTAGTCAGGTGTGGTGGCTTATGCCTGTAGTCCCAGATACTCGGAAAGCTGAGGTGGGAGGATCACTTGAACCCAGGGGGCAGAGGTTGCAGTGGGCCATAATTGTATCACTCCACTCCAGCCTGGGCAACAGAGAGCGAGACCTTGTCTCAGAAAACAAACAACAAAAAACCCAACAACCAAAGAAAGAAATTGCCATAGCCACTGCAACCTTCAGCAACTACCATCCTGATCAGCCACCAGTCATCAACAGTGAGGCATGACCTTCCACCAGCAGAGAGATTAAGACTCACTGAGGGCTCAGATAATCATTAGCATTTTTTAGCAATATTTTTTAATTGGGGTATCTACACTGTTTTTTTACACATAATGCTACTGCACATTTTAGACTACAATATAGTATAAACATAACCTTTTATGCACTGGAAAAACAAAAACATTCATGTGATTTATCGCAGTGTGCGATAACTCTGAAGTGTGCCTGTACAAGTGTCCAGACCCCACCCTAGACCTGCCAAATGTCAATTTCTAGGGTGTGAAGTCATGTGTTATTACTTCTAAAATTCTATTATCTAATATGCACACTTCTCGTTAAGACCTACTGATTTAGAATATTTAAGGAAAATAAAAATTATACTACCAATTGTTCTACAAACTTCCAGATTACTTGATACAATCAGGTCAGTTTTTTTTTCAAACCTCAATATCTACTTCATCCCTACCACTGCAGGCAGGGATTCTTCTCAAGAAGCAGGCAGTCTTGAGATAATCATTTGGCAGTGGTTCTTAAAATGGGGTACGAGAAGGTTGGGGAGCGGGGCACAACGAATGGTGGTTGGAGCTCTGCACTTGCAGTTAGAAGTAAATGCTTTCAAATGTATTGAGAAGGCGGCCAGAGCTTTTACCCATTCTCCTAAGAAAGATGCTTTGGGTGGTTAATAAGAGAACGAATGCTTTAGAGAAATGACATATATTTGGTATACATCAGTCAACTCCTGTCTCACTTAATTACCTGATATCGTGATGAACTTCCTTTTCATATTTTTCTTCTCTGCGCTTTTTACGACAGCAAAAGATGATAAGACCAATGAGCGCTAGAGCAAGCAAAGTTCCTATAATGGCTCCTGCAATTAGTCCAGCTTTATTTGAAGCTAAAATAAGAAGAATTAATAGTAAAAAATATATACATATATACATGTATAGATACTGAAGGTAGGCTATACATTTTTAGATTGATTTCATCACGTGTTAACTTTAAGACAAATTATTTAGTCTTTTTGATCCGGGGGAAAAATTCATAAAAAGAACTGTCTTCTGAACTGTATAATCTATTCCAAGCATTAAAATGATAAAACCTGTCTGAAAGATTTTAATATTCAAAGCTATCTTGGTTAACATATAAGAATGTTCTAAGCTACTCATACTTATAACAGCTAAATATGGTACAAGGGTTGATTTGACAACTCTTACCTTCTTAATATATCATTGCAATTATGAAGTTTTTTTAATAAAATGTATTTTTCTAGAAAAGCTAATAATCAAACCACAGTGTTCTGATCAAAGTCAGTGTCCCTTTGTCCTTAATACACACTTGCTGACTGAACTAAAGGAGGTGGTATAAAGATAACAGAAACAAAACCACCAACAGAAAGAAGATAACTTACGAGGGACAACGTTTAGACGCAACAGGCACTGATCAGAGCCCACTCTGTTTCTGACTGTACAGCTGTATGTCCCAGAGTACTCAGAAGAGGCATTTTTTACAGATATAACAGATGAAGTCATTTCTATGGAAGGAGGAAAAAGAAAACAAACTCATTTTTATAGTATGTATTGTTATCAGGTGTTAGTAAACATAGTCCTCTCCAAATTAAACAATCCAGTTAAAAGCAAGACAGACCAAGGCTGGATGCAAGCAAACTGGCATTGAGCCACACAGATGTTTCCAGAATTCAATCATGCTTCCAGTTCACATGTATCAAGGTGAAAGTAACCATGATCCCCTGCAGCACACAGCCTCAGCTGGAGCAGGGGTGCTGGTCCACTGTGTACCTGCTGCAAACCCATCTTGGGGCACATAAGACTATAAACGCTACCGCATTCCACAAAGGATCTTTCCTGCAGCAGGAAAACATACAAAACCTATTTTATTCCCCCCTAGATGGAAGAAACATACAAAAGGAAGTCAGAAGAGGACTCCCAGATTGGTCTCTTAGTTTGAAAAACAGAGAGGCAGAGAGAAAACCTACTAAAGACCAGGATGCAGTGGATGGCGGGGTGGAGCCTGGTCATCAGTTTGAACTAAGAAGTCAATTATAACAAATAGGTGAGCAGATTTGGCCAATTTGTAACTTTCTAGTTAGTGTCACACGGGTTTTCTTTTAATTTACAGACACACCATGGGTAAATTACTATATTTTCAATCTAGGCAAAACACTAAAGAGCCAACTCTTACTATACTTTAGCCACCATCTAAGTTGTAATCATGAACATGTCTCATCAATTAAAAAAAAAAAATTCGCCAGGCGCAATGGCCCACACCTATACTTTGGGAGGCTGAGGTGGGTGGAGAGCTTGAGCCCAGGAGTTTGAGACCAGTGTGGGCAACATGCAGAAACTCCATGTCTACAAAAAATACAAAAATTAGCAGGGTGTGGTGACACATGCCTGTAGTCTCAGCTACTCGGGAGGCTGAAGTGGGAGGCTCACTTAAGCCTGGGAGGTGAAGACTGCAGGGAGCCGAGATTCTACCACTGCACGCCCAGCCTGGGTGACAGAGCGAGACCCCTTGTCTCGGAAAAAAAAAAAAAAAAAAAAAACCCAAAAAAAAGTACCAAAGTAACTAATATCCTAAAAAAATGAAATCATAGAATAGCTCTTCATTTATAATATATGACACTAAATTGATATTATAAAACACTGAATAATTCCTATGGAAATCCTGATTATTCTATGTAGAAAAGGGAAAGAAAGCATCTGGGAATCTACAATATACAAGCAGGCTGGGCACATGCCTGGGCTCATGCCTGTAATCCCAGCACTTTGGGAGGCCAAGGAAAGAGGACTCCTTGAGCCCAGGAGTTTGAGACCAGCACAGGCAACGCAGGGAGATCCTGTCTCTACACATTTTTTAAAAAAAAAATTAGCAGGGTGTGATGGCATGCACCTGTAGTTCCAGCTAACTGGGAGGCTGAGGTGGGAGGATGACTTGAGCCTAGGAGGTTGAAGCTTCAGTGAGCCGTGATTGCAGTGAGCCTGGGTGACAGAGCAAGGCCCTATCTCAAATCACACACACACCCCTACTAGATCTTAGTCCAAATCAATGGCATGTGGTACAAATACTATTATCAGCAGTACCTGCTAACCATGAAGTGGGCATTTTCTGTGAGTCAGACAATTTTTGCCACTCATACTGTAATGGAAGTGAACCTTCTTTTGGTTCACATTTTATCTTAAAGTCACTTCCAATTTCTTCAGATCCATCAACGTAACATCTCGCACCTGAAGGCTTAACTGAAAGAGAAAACAAATTATAAATTTACATAAGAGAATGGAACTTACTTTTATGAATACAGCATTGTACACAACCACTGACTCATTATCAGTTGGTTCTGGGTTCAGAATTCACAAAAGAATGAAAGACCACAGTAAGTGATCAACATCAGTTTATTCAGCTTTATCTGACACAAAACAGCAAAGAATAAGCTCAGACAAGCAGCCACTGCATTAGTAGATATGGCAATATCTCAGGCATAGCTCGGTGCCTGTCCATTTCATGGGGCACACCTGAAAAAAAGCAAGAATGATGCACTTGCTTTTTTCAGCAAGACCACTTGAGAGTCAAGGAAGCTCCCCCTCCCATTCCTTAGCTATTCTTCCCCATGCCTGACATGTAACCCTCTGGCAGTATGTACCAAGTCACATCCCTCTAGGCGCCATAACCCTGACAATCAGGCAGTTTATCATCAACAATACTAACAACACTTAGTGTGGCAAGGAACAACTAGCATTCTGCATTTACATCACCTCAAATCCATCCAAAGAGCAGGCTACAAAAAAGAAAACCTGGGCTGGGCATAGTGTAATCTCAGCACTTTGGAGGCCAAGACAGTGGGGGGATCACTTGAGGTCAGGGGTTTGAGACCAGCCTGGGTAACATAGCGAGACTCTGTCATAATAAAAACTTCGAAAAATTAGCTGGGTGTGGTGATGTGTGCCTGTGGTCGTAGCTACTTGGGAGGCTGGGGTAGGAGGATGACTTGAGACCAGGATTTTGAGGCTGCAGTGAAGCTTTGATCATGTCACTGCACTCCAGCCTAGGTGACAGAACCAGACCCTGAATCAAAAAGATATTCACAGCCTGGAAATTCATGTGTAAAAAAGAATATTTAATTAAAAAAAAAAAAAGGAAATCTGAGGTTATATTCCAGGTGTTTCTGGGTAACTGTTTAGAACAACTACTAACTCCATTACCTGCAACTCACCCCAATCCTGGATTAACACCTTGGCATTGCATACTCTTCTGCTGAACTTTAATAAGGTATAATATTCACACAATAAAGTTAACATGTTAATCACGTGGGCTGATCACTTTTAATAAATGTGTCTATATCCATTAAGCACCACTCCAACCCTCTCCCAAGGAAGTTCCCTCATGCTGGTTACAATAGATGGGACTCCAAAACCCTGGACCCAGGAAGCCACTGATCAGATTCTACCACTGTAGATTAGCTCTTCTTCTGGAACCACATGAATAGAATACTACAGTATGTATTTTCTTGTCTTCTTTTATTCAGCATAACATTTCTGAGATTGAGCCGTTATTGTATATATAGTTATTTTAGTATTTCAATGGACTATAACACAAGTTTGCTTATCCAGTCACCTGTTAATGAATACTGTGTTTCCAGTTTGGGGCTACTGTCAAAGCCCAGTCAGCCAAACTGACAAGGAGCAAGTGTGTGGTCTATCAAAATCAGATTGACTAGTGAGGACGGCATTACGAGGAACCACGGAATGCCACTGGACAAGAGCAGGGATGCTGAAGGATTCTCAGGAGGTTGTAAGGAAGTAGCCATCAGCTGTCAATCAGCTGTTTCTGAGATTAGGAAAAATGAGGATTAAACAGGAAGTGGGAGCTGTGAGGAGGTGGGGCCATTTAGTAATTGAGTATTCCAGTAAAGGATGGGTAGAGAAATGTGGGTCTGCGGGCAACACTAGAAAAGACAGCAATAGTCTATGCTTTACTACTACTCTATAACCTTGGGAGAGACAATGTTTTCTATAAACTCTGTGGCTGACTTTAATCTGTATCTGTCCTTCCGGCTGATAAACGTCAAGACTTTTTTCTTTTTTAGTTTAAGCTGATTTTCATTTTTTCAGTCGTGAATGGGTTTTTATTCTTTCACTACTATGAATAAAGGTAAATGCATTTTTGTTTTGCAGTATTATGAATAATGCTGCTTGAACACTCATGTGAACACTGGCGTATGCTTTCCTTTGTCTTAGTAACTGCTGGATCATATGGTGACTGTACATATTTTAACACTGTAAGAAATTGTCAAATTGTTTCCCAAAACTGGCTCAACATGATTTATCATATTCAGTGGGGTATCTTCAACTAAGGTTATCAACCATGACCTTACTCTTTCTTAGTAACTCCTTAACAAATTTAATTGTATTCCCCTTCATCTGCTCCTACTTACATTTTTAAAATAAGGGTCAACACATATTTAACTGCACTGTTGATTTTTCCAAACAAATCTGTTTATTTTTCAATCTGACCAGGTGCTCTGGAGACTACATCAATTGGACTTTTAAATAAGTTTTGCAAATTATTTCATTCTGGGAGTCTTCAATGAAATGAGCCTTGTTCTCTTCCAGTTCTTCAAACTACCAATAAATCCTTTATTAGAATAAATTACCAGCAAATAAATAACTGATGCAATGCTTTGTGCATCAAACATCTATGGGTAATATGGTATTCTAACTCTAACGCTCATCCTTTCTATATCCATTTTCTCCCATATAACCAGCAATCTAAACATATCTAATAACGGATAGTTATTTAAAATAGCTGCTAGGAAATTCAGGGCCTCACTACAACCCGTCCACAATAAAACAAGATTCTACCAACACAGGTTTCTGAATGACACTTTGGAGTGGCCCACCTGCTTTCCACTGGGAAGAGGAAGTACAAGTCTTTTACATGCCAACATCCAACCATTACACTACGAGGAAGATTAATTCTTAACCCATGGTACTCTGCTGGAACAGAAGAAAACCACAAAGAGAGCACGAATAAAGTCTTGTCTCCTAAATGTTTCTTTGGTCTGGACTTCCCACATACTGGCCGCTGTCCTCAGAACATCTGCTTCCATGATCACTAACACAAACAACAGTCCTTCTCAGATATGGGTATGTGACCATCAAGTTGTAGTTGGACATGGTATCCCACCAATTTAGTAATGCTCTGTTCCATACACGTATTCCTTCATCATCTTTTCCTGCTAGTGGCTGCACCAGTCTACTGGAAATAATCTCTAAATCCCTACATGAGACAGGGGATACTTTTATCATGATGTCATCCTTCCAAGAAATATAATTTCTTATTGGTTCAAAAATACCCTGACTCCAGGCAAAATCTATCAATAGATGCTAAAATCAATAGGCAAAAGTTAAATAAGAAATAACATATCTGCATAGTCTCGAAGTAGCTCCCCCAAGACATTTTTTAATTATAGAGGGAAAAATAATAACTCTAGAGTGGAGAAGCCCATCAGATAAAACTTAAACCAAGCGATCACGATTAACAATAAGACATGACATCATGTGCCCCCAGACGTGACTGGAGGAGATTAAGGAGATATAAATGCCATGTGGATTCTAGATGCAATCCTAGTACAAAAAGGACATTACCGGAAAACAGTAAAATTCAAACTGGGTCTGTAATTTAGTTAATAGTATTGTATCAGTGTTAATTTCCTGGTTTTGATAATTATAATATGATTTTGTAAGATGTTAACATTAGGGGAAATTAGATGATGGATCCACTCTCAGAAACTTCCTTGTATTTTTGCAACTTTTCCATAAAACTAAAAATTATTGTAAAATAAAAAGTAGTGAGGGGCCGTGCCCAGTATCAATGGTTTGCAAATCCCTTAGGACCTTTAAGGCCAGTGATGACTGAGCCACTACACTTGCTGCTGCCACTGTGGCATGGTGCAGTGGGAGTATACCATATATGTCCAGGAATTGTTAACTGTGCATGTTCTGCTCTTCAAAACAACTCTGTCTCTTTATACCAAAAGGTTTCAATAAACAGGCCCTTCCAGAGCTCCAGGGGAAGGTGCCCGTGATATATGGCCACAACAGTAACCTTCTATCAACTCTCTTTGTTATCATTTCCCACTTCTGCTTCTTTACTGAGCTGCATCCACAAGAGCTTCTGCTGTGTCTGAAAGAGCAAGGCAGGCACGGCAATGGAGCAAGCTACAGCAACATGCTGCCCCTCACATCCAGACGACTATCAATCATCTCTGTGGGTTAACGGCCACATAACACACAAGCTCAATGAATGCACTGCCATTACCCTGTGAATGCCATGATGGCAACTACTTCAGATTTCCCACAAAAGAACCAAAGCATTAGACAGAGCCACTATCAGTCAATCAAATGAGCTCCAGTGACCACCACTTAGTTGGGTCACTAGAGGGCACTTCATCTTATCTTTTGCCCCAGATAATCCAGGCAGAATTTCCAGGCAAAACTAACAGATAAGCTTCAATCCAATTAATTTTCACCTTCGAGAGAATATAATTCTGGTGGTTTCTCCCAGCAGCAGTCACGACTCATCTAAAAACATGGAAGAAAAAGCTACAAGGAATTCTCTGGCTCTGACACAACCTCGTCCAGATCAGAGTTCCAGTCGTCCCTACTTCTCTTCGGCAATCACTTCCCTGCTTTCTCCTCTCATCCCCAGTTTATCCCCTCTCCCCCTCCTTGGTTTGAACTGAAGGCTGACTTGGCTATAAAATTCTCCCCAGGAGTAACTCAGGGTGAACTGTGTCAATGCTTCCCACTTACCCATTCTTAGGACATGCTGGGGTTCAAAGTTTAATATAAAAAGGCCATTCCTACTGCCGGGCAGTCACGGCTCCTGCCATGAGTGAACTGAGCCACATCATGTGCCATCCCCTACCACCCAACTCAGGTTCCTTTTTGGGACATGTTCTGCTGTAATGTTCTCTTCAGTTGAGAACTGCAAATGTGACCCTGAACCTGGTCCCACAGGATCCAGACAATACACAAACACACAAACATGCTTGTCCACAACTCTTCTGGGAATATGTGCCAACCCCATTAATCCCAGTGTAACTGTCCCATCAAACAGGGGTTTCACAATAAATAATTCCGATAATCAAATATCTTCTGCTTCGCATATCATGAACCAGTTAATATTCCGTATACATCTTCCAACTTAATAGTTCCTAGAGAGCAGTGTTGGAAGAAAGTATAGTCAGGGTTATAATCTCAGGAATTCCTGGGTCTGTGATAAGAATTCAGACCAGGTAGCTGGGTGCGGTGGCTCACACCTGTAATCCCAGCACTTTGGGAGGCCAAGGCAGGCAGATCACGAGGTCTGGAGATTGAGACCATCCTGGCTAACATGGTGAAACCCCGTCTCTACCAAAAATAAAATCAGCCAGGTGTGGTGGCGGGCACCTGTAGTCCCAACTAATCAGGACGGCAAGACAAGAGTATTGCTTGAACCCAGGAGGCGGAGGTTGCCGTGAGCCGAGATCATGCCACTGCACTCCAGCCTGGGTGACAGAGCGAGACTTGGTCTCAAAAAGAAAAAAAAAAAAAAAAAAAGAATTCGGACCAGGTGTTAATCTTTCACTTGCTTATACATTTATAACAAAGAAAAGTTACTCCATGTTTACTCAATGAAGACACAGAAAATTCAAATTTCCAACATTACCATATTCCTTTTCCTGGTTCCTTTTTTAGATTGACTTACTTTCACACCACAAGAAACATTTTTAGTTAGTGCGATTCAGAATGATGCATTTCACCAGGACCTCTTCAGGTCCCCATTCAATGATGCTGCCAGCAGAGTCTATCTACCAAGACAATGCATGAATTTGCCATGAAGGTACACAAAAATCCCCACTCTTGTTCCTAGTCTCTAGGAGTAATAGTTAAGTGCTGGGTCTACTTGTAGGAGGAGTAGTTAAGTGTTGGGTGCCCAAGTCATCTTGAACATTGCTCTCCTAAAGAGTATTCTTGTAATCTCAGCACTCTGGGTGGCCGAGGTGGGTGGATCACCTGAGGTCAGGAGTTTGAGACCAGCCTGGCCAACATGGTGAAACACTGTTTCTACTAAACATACAAAAATTAGCCAGGCGTGGTGGTGCATGCCTGTAATCCCAGCTACTTGGGAGGCTGAGGCAAGAGAATCACTTGAACCTGGGAAGCAGAGGCTGTAGTGAGCAGAGATTGTGCCACTGCACTCTAGCCTGGGTAACAGAGTGTGACTCCATCTCAAATAAAATAATATTAAATTAAATTAAAATTAAAATAAAGAGTATTCTTTAGAATATTCTACCCCACCCCTAATCAGTTCTCTAAACAGAAGGAATGAGGTAAATGTTGATGTGGGAGGCCTGCCCTGATCAGTTATTTCCAGTCATGCTAGACAATTCTAGCATCAGCTTTTCCTATGAAAGTCAATCCCCAAGTGTCCCCTAAAACATGAGGACAGGGGAATTTACTGTCATTAAGCAGAGAGCTAGACAGCTATGTTTTTCTACATGGTAGCCAATGTACATTTTGTGTAAAGCTTACCACAGTATGGTTTTAGAAGTATATTTATGAACTATTATCTTTCAGTTTCTCAATTTGAAGGGATTAAGAGTGCTTGTAGACATTATCACAGAATCTAGAGAAGGATAATAAACTCTGTAGTCTTTGGCAGTTTACAAAGCAGTTTACACTACCTCCCTATTAACTATTACAGAGAGGGCTATAAGATATCAGTGAATGTCTCATCTCCTCACTTTAATGATGAAAAACAGTGATGCCAAGAAGCTTAAATACTATGTGATGCCTAATGGCCTTACTTGAATTCAATATTCCTTCTTCCATATTTCTTCATCTCCATTCTAAATGCTTAAATTATTCATCATAGAAACATGGTTCTACATAATTCTCAGGGCAAATTCTGAGGACAAGGCAAAAACCCTAGATCTCCTAACTCCTAGCTTAGGGTTCTTCCTCCATACCATAATACTCGTTCACTTATTTTCAAACTCTTATGAATTTCACAAAGAAGTTGATCACTTCTTACTTTTCCTATCCAAAACCAAAAGCTAGTTTTATATTTGATGCTATCCAACATAGAAGTACTTCAAGTGTTTAAAATTGTTATTCTAAAAAATTAAGCTTTATTTTATACAAGTGCTGCTACTACAGTACTATGACTAATCATTCTCTTACTCAGTAACCCGTTAACACAAATAAAAATAACTTACCAAGAACTACCAGATGAATCTTCTTATTTGCAACACCAGGAGCTTTTTTCACTTTGCACTGATATGTGCCAATATCTGACAGTTGTAAATTCGTTACATTTATTGATGCATCACCAGATTTGAGATCATTACTCGTAAAATGTACTCGGCCTTTCAGATCTGGATAGTAGTCATCATAAATTTTGTCTCCAGAATATAAAATAATCTAAAAGAAAGCCAAAATTAGACAGGAGGAAAAACAAACACACACAAAAAAAACTGTCTCTTAAAGGAGCCCTGGATACACCTGCTGCTACAGAACGCCCCCTCCCAGAAAAGAAAAAGAAGAACACAGTATTATGGGGAAACATAAAACTACCCAAACCACAGAACGAGAAAATGGAAAGGAATCAATGTGATCCTTGGGTATAGTCCCAGACTTCTATTTTTAATGGGGAAACCAAGACGCAACATGATAAAATAGTAAAGCCCTATACTGTCCTAGAGAGCAATTTAGTAAGATTGGGCAAGAACACAGATTTGCTTGTTCGTTGTCTTTTCTTTTCCTTTTCTTTTCTTTTTGAGGTGGAGTCTGTGTCTGTGGCCCAGGCTGGAGTGCAATGGTGAGATCTCGGCTCCCTCCACCTCCCGGGTTCAAGCAATTCTCTCGCCTCTGCCTCCCCAGTAGCTGAGACTTCAGGCACGTGCCACCACAGCCAGCTAATTTTTGTATTTTTAGTAGACAAGGGATTTCACCACGTTGGCCAGGCTGGTCTCGAACTTCTGACCTCAGGGGATCCACCCGCCTTGGCTTCCCAAAGTGCTGTGATTATAGGTGTGAGTCACCATGCCTGGCCTGCTCATTCTTATATACTCTATTTTTCAACTGCCTCTGAGGCTGTAGTTTGCCAACCAAGTGTAACAAAATCAAGTACCTACTGCCCCCTGCCCCTACAAAGGCTTATCATAATTTGCCTGTGGAATCTAACAAAAAGATAACTTTGTTTGGTCTTAATACTAAGTTGGAGTTACTTGAGGGCTCTAGACTCTAACAGATAAAATCATAAAATAAACCTCTTAAGATATGTGTACCCAGGTTAACAAGTCCTTTGAATGAATCTTCTGTAACTAAAGCAAAGACCTGTGCCTAACCCACTGAGTTTTCTGAACCACACATAGCCTTTGAAGGCAATTACTAAAGGCTGGATGCTTTAGAGGGAAAATAAAATCTATGTTTGGAATATTTTCTTGGAAGAGAACTGTAGTAGTCATCTCTAACAATCTCTAACATTAATTTAACACATTTTATAATTTTTCTTTTTTGCTAATGAAATCTCTTCATTCTGGTTATACGAGACCCATGGGCCAAAGAGCAGTGATGCCAAAACTCAAATAATAATCAGGAAACACAACTACGGCCTGTATCCTGCAATTAATTTCTTTTACCTGAGTGCTAATTATGGGCAGTATAATCAGAATAAATGTCATCTAAGAACACTGTTTTCCAGGTTTATTCTGCAGAAACTTCTTGAGTGGAGGAACTTGGGTTCTCTTCTGTATTATCTCCTTCCCAACCACACTGACCCCACCCCAACCCACCAAAGATCTTTTTTTTTTTTTTTTGAGACAGTCTTGTTCTATCGCCCAGGCAGGAGTGCAGTGGTGCGATCTTGGCTCAATGCAACCTCCACCTCCTGGGTTAAAGCGATTCTCCTGCCTCAGCCTCCCGAGGAGCTGGGACTACAAGTGCCCACCACCACGTCTGCTAATTTTTGTATTTTTAGTAGAGACAGGGTTTCACCACATTGGCCTGGTTGGTCTCGAACTCCTGACCTTGTGATCCGCCTGCCTCGGCCTCCCAAAGTGCTGGGACTACAGGCATGAGCTACCGTGCCCAGCTAGATCTTTTATTTATATATGAACTGTGTGCATCTAGGTTGCGCTCAATACCAGTTTGCTAAGTAAATAAAAGAAGTAGTTGACGGGTCCACAGCTGACTTACTCTGTAAACACAAGCTATTACTTTATTTGCTCAATCTTCTTGACATACCCACTTGTCAAAAGCAACACTGACTACTCCACAAATCTGGCTACTCTATCTTCCTTTGATTAATTTCCTTTGATTAAAAGGCTTATCATAATTTGCCTGTGGAATCTAACTCTAAAGGTCGTAGAGTTCAATCTCTTATACTTCCAATAGCTCATTATGCTCCACACACACCTTAGTAGTCCTTTAAGGGGGGCTTGAGAAATAAGATGCATTCCCGCTGTTGGTTATTTTATAAGCTAGCTTAGTGTCTTCCCAGAAAACAATGTTATAAATATTAGTTAAGGAATGGGAAATTTACCATGAAATTTTACATGTCTTCAGATTCCCCTTCACAACCCTGCAAGGACGATGGCATTGTCCACATTGACATTTAGGCTGAGGAAAGAAGTGGCTCTCACTGATCAGCTTTTGCCAAGTCACACAACAAAGATGCAGACCAGATCCATTTAACTTGGCACAGTACATGATTATCATTTCAATATCATTTATAAGCTTACAGAATGCGTGTGAATACAGTATTTTGCTGAATTCTTGTAATGACCCTGAGATGCTAGGTATAGCTGTTCCTACTTTACACATGAGGAAACAGGTTTATGAAACACGGGAGGCAGCAGAGGACAGTGCAAATGATAACAGAGCAGCTGTGAGAGTCAGAGGGACCTGGGTTCAAATCCCAACTGCACTTGTTACTCTGGGCATGAAAATCTCTGGGCCTCTGTTTCCTCCTTGCCATATGTATAATAATTCTCACCTTACTATGTTGTTTTAAGGCTTAAGTATATACAATTAAAGTATACAAAACACTGCCCAAGCACGCTGTTTACAGTAACTGCTGACTAAAGAGATCACATAAGGAATAAGAATGCAAATTTTTCCAGCTCAGTCCTCCAATTCCTAGTTTTTAACCATTCTGTCTACTAGCTGAAATATATTAAAATAGGGGCTCTGTTAACATATGTAGTTTAAATTCCATGTATGCATCCTCTTCTGCATCAATCTCTTCCTAACCCTTCTTTCTTTTGGTCTGATGTGACTGTGTTTTAGGTTAGAAGCTAGGTTTTTAACCCAGAAACGGTCACTCAGAGTCAAGTCCCAGTTTCACATTTATCTTACAACTCCTGTAGACGGCAAAGCCGTGCCTCTCACTCAGCATGGACGACTTGGAGTCTTCTTCTCATTAACAGACACGCTAATGGCTCAGGGCACAGTGCTTCTTGGTCTCTACATGCACCTGGTCACAAGCTTCACTCAGCAGAAGCACGGAAGACCCACGCTCTCCATATGGTTCCTAGGCTTCCCCTATCTTACGCACAGGATCAGAGTCCTGGGCTCTAAAGCGGGACAGGCACTGCACTGTCACAGGAACGGGGAACTGCAGGACCTCAGACAGGAGCCTGTACTCTAGGTGCCAGCACCTCCAGAGAGAGAGAAGGGAGAGAAGGGGGAGGTAAGAGTGACAGGGAACAGGGCAACGAGGCTGAGTAGATAAAATGAGTCAGGCCCGATTTATTTTGCTCAGGGAAACAGAAAGAAGTTCTGGTAACAGAATCAGGGCAGAGGTTACATCTTTGGAGGGGGTGGCTCTAGTCACTCACAACTTGGGAAAGCACCTTAATTATTTCCTTAACATAAACATCAAGGGCAAACCGACTGGGTTTGCCAAAAATATTAATTACCTAACTGCACTGATTCAGCCATTAAATGGAAGGATGTTACTTGTAACTTTTAAATATCCCCTTCTTTTACATGAACAAATGAAGTAAAAACAAAATTTCTCTTCCAAATATATATATTACTATATTTACCTAAATATTTGGACTTATTTTCCTCTCCCTGATCTAATATAATTTATTAACTTTTTAAAAAATTAAATGTGTCAGACAAAGCCAATATGCAACATTCTAAATAAAGTATTCTAGAACCATTGAAAAGGTAAAACATGACATATATTTGGAGATGAGATTATTAGGCATGTTTCCTCCTCTGTGCTATTTTTGGCTTTCCAAGTTTTCTACATTAGACTCTTATTACTTTGATTAGAAAAAATACTGAAACAATGTTTTAAGATTTTTTAAATTTAAGACTAAATATTTTATAGATTGTTTTTTGCTCTAAAGACTTCATTTTTACACTGGGAAGTTTTAAAGTCAAAGTAAAAAAAATAAATTTAAAAAGATTTTGTCTTTTAAAAAATTCATTGGACAGGATATTTAACTTGAAAAAATAAGGAAAATAGACTGTAATACTATGTAGTTGTTACACCATAGCTAATGACACTTCTACTGCTGACAGAATCCTTGGGTAAAACTTAAAAATTTCAATTCTGTCTAACGTTTAACAAAGCACAGTTATGTGCCATCTCCTAACACAACACACACTCCTGTCTCAACGTCATGCCTGCTCCATCTAGGCCTCTGCTATTCCCCGCCTCAAATCCAGATTGTCAGAACTTTCATAAGTTCCTCTTCTTCCCTGAAGTGTCTCTAAGAACTCCAGTGATCTTTTGCTCTTCTGTAACCTTAGGTCACACTCATTATCTATTTCCCTCCATTACATGTGTCCTCAATTTCCACCAGAGCAATTGCCTTCCTCACCCAGACCATAAAGCCTGAGAAGTTGGGGGGCTTCCTTCCTAGCTCCCTGCAGCCCATCCATGTGACTGGCAAGGTGATGGACACATCAGATAGTTGCACAGACAGCTGCTAAGCGAGCAAGGACATATCAAACTTACCACTTGATCCACCTTCTGATTATCAGCTGGTGATATCAGCCACTCGATGTCCAGCGGTCCCTGGTCTTCGGGACTAAGCGTAAATTTGCATGGCAGATAGGCAGTTTCCCCTTTGGCTTTTTCAATCATCTCTTCAGGAGTAGTGATACTCAAACTTCTGGCGAAATCTAGAGAAAGAAATGTACAAGGGACTAAGCATTTGCTATACGCTGACAGCCCACACAGTGCCCCGCAGCCATTCAGAAGCAGCACATTGATGCGAGGGATACAGGACGGGGTTTGGGTCCCGAGGAATGGAGTCCAAACTCAAGAGATGCCCAGTTTTTAATTTGTGCCTTTGTAAAAGTAGAATGACACAAGTAGTATCATCTTATTTGATACAATTCCCTTAAGGAACGCTGTGAACTTCCTGACATTATGTAAGTTTCTACTGGTAGAAGGTTTCTATATGCAAGCAGATGTTTAAAACTGAATTTGGCTAGAATCTCTGAAAGGTGAGTGATACAGGTTGGATTTGTGACCCCGCCCAAATCTCATGTTGAACTGTAATCCCCAGTGTTGGAAGAGAGGCCTGGTGGGAGGTGACTGGATCATGGGGGTGGATTTCCCCCTTGCTGATAGTGAGTGAGTTCTCAGGAGATCTGGTTGTTTAAAAGTGTGCAGCACCTCCCCCTTCTCTGCTCTGGCCACGTGGGACGTGCCTGCCTCCCCTTCGCCTTCTGCCATGATTGTAAGTTTCCTGAGGCCTCCCCAGCCATGCTTTCTGTACAGCCTGCAGAGCCAATCAAACCTCTTTTCTTTATAAATTACCCAGTTTTAGGTATTTCTCTATAGCGGTGTGAGAATGGACTAATACGGTCAGTCATGTCATACAAATTCAAGGCTACATTAATTCATGCTCACCACAAACACACAGGGAACTAAGTCACTGTCGGTAGGGTATATGCTGATCAACTGTGACACAGTTTCTGCTAAGGCTTCTTTAAATTTTTATTAGATTTAATTCTATAACCTTCTATTGAATGCTTAAAAATATTTCTAAGCAATAAGTTTTGATGAGGATAATTCAAAAAGAAAAGGAACACTGTCAATTTACTTATCTTTTAAAAATGTACAGCCAGGCACGGTGGCTCACGCCTGTAATCCCAGCAATTCAGGAGGCCAAGGTAGGTGAATCATCTGAAGTCAGGAGTTCGAGACCAGCCTGACCAACATGGTGAAACCCCATCTCTACTAGAAATACAAAATTGGCTGGGTATGGTGGCACATGACTATAATCCCAGCTACTTGGGAGGCTGAGGCAGAAGAACTGCTTGAACCTGGGAGGCGGAGGTTGCAGTGAGCCGACATTGTGCCATTGCATTCCAGCCTGGGCAATAACAGTGAAACTCTGTCTCAAAAAAAAAAAAAAACAAAAAAAACCAAATAGTTGACTCATATTATTTTTGAGACACTTCTTACTGTTCATCCCTTTTTATTTCCCTTCTGAAAAAGCCAATAATCACATTTATTTTATTTTATAAAAGACGTCTTAAAATTACATAACTTAATTTCACCAACATGGTGAAACCCCATCTTTACCAAAAATACAAAAGTTAGCCTAGCTGGGTGTGGTGGTGTGCACCTGTAATCCCAGCTACTCAGGAGGCTGAGGCAGGAGGATCGCTTGAACTTGGGAGGTAGAGGCTGCAGTGAGCCAAGATCGTGCCACTGCCCTCCAGCCTGGGTGACAAAGCAAGACTCTGTCTCAAAAAATTAAAAAATTAAATGCAAATTTAGTCTGTAAGTGAACAATCACATAAAACTTTTTTTCCTATTCATACTATAAAAGTATGCATAGCACTAGTTTGTCACATCTATGGTTTACTTGTGATTACCCAACATTTTCTTAAGTATAAATTCAAACATCTAAAGTGTGCATAACCATTAAGTTTCACTACTTTCTGTTGAAGAGCAACTCTATTTGGACCTATGTCACCTGACTCTGACAACCTTCAGAGCTGGATGATGACCTGGAGGAGGCCCTAAGCACTAAGATATGGTATGGTTCACGGGGCCTGCCTCTCTCTTCCTCTCCCTTTTCCCCTGCTCCCACCAAAAAAAAAAAAAAAAAAAAAAAAACACATTAGAGCAAAATTAGGAGTAAATCAATCCAAAGTCCTAATTCTCCACATGACTATCTTGATGTTGTTTTTCAAATAAATTTTGACAGAACAAACCAAAATGAAGAGGAGTTAGTCACTGCATGATTCTTTCCATTAGTCCTAAAATAAGCTTAATATACACAGACTATCAGTTCTAATAAAATTTTAATAAAGTCAAAGCCAATAGACTGAGAACTAAAGAAAATCCTGGTTACATTCAACACCATTTACGTTTAGGCACCATCGTAAGCTTTCAATCACATGTAAATGCACTCCTGAAATAAATTTAAATTGGGATTCAAATTATCTGCACCTGCTCCCTTAAACCTGAGGCCTGCCCAGCTTTGACCAACAGGATGTGCCAGGAATGACCTGTGTAGTTCCGAGGTTAGGCCTCAAAAACCCTTGCTGCACCCACTCTTGCCTCCTCGGTCACCGGCCACTGTGTGAACAAACCACAGAGGGGGCAACGGAGGTGTCTGGCCAACCCTCGAACACTCAGCCCTAGTCTAGACCAGCTCTCTGCAGCCCCACTGTTGAGCCCATAATTTTCCATCCTAGCCTAGTCTAACTAGCAACCCACAGGATCATGAATACATGATTTTTGTTTTAAGCCTCTAGAGTTTGAGTTGTTTTGTTATACAGCAAATATTGATCAGACATCATCCAAACCCACTGATCCAGCCCAAAAGTCCAACTACTCTGGCCTCCATTTCATGCCCATGTTTCTATTTAAAATGATATGATTTGGTATTTATGTACATAATCTCAAGTGTTTCTCCTAAATGTGTAACCTAAATACACTCTATTATTTCTAATAAACTCAGTTCCATTCCTATCTCATTCATTAAGGCATTTCTACCTCTCCACCCTACAATGATTTTTCTTTCTCTATGAATGCTGATTGTACTTTACTTTCTACCATCGGTATCACTTACTCGGCACTTAGCATATGTTGCCTTGGAATTTTTTTTCCTCTATAAATTTTATGGTGAAACTGACTTAGGTGGCATCCAGAGTTGTGTCACATGTTCTATTTTTTATTTTTTTAAGAGATGAGGTCTCACTATGTTACCCAGGCTGGTCTCTAACTCCTGAGGCTCAAGTAATCCTCCTGCCTTTGCCTCCCAAAGTGCTGGGATTACAGGCTTGAGCCACTGTGCCTGGCCTGTCACATCTTCCTAGATGTTGAGAAACTTATCTTCTTCCCATGTTACCTTGTATTTTTGCGAACTTTTAAAATGCATGCCCTGATTTACTATTAAATCATTAGCTCTATTAGGGCTGAAATAAATTGCAAATTGCGGCTACCTCTATCTCCTGCTGTAGTTCTTTGCACATAATAGAAAAGAATTAATGAGTGAATTATAAATTTGATCAATTTCAGAAATTTAGTTTGGTTATTAACACATCATGCATCAAATAATATGAGTAATCTAAGTACCCTTAAAAATAAAAATCTCATTCCAAAACAAACCAAGAAATAGTTCAAATATGGAGCTAAGAATATATAAGTGAGAATAAAAAATTGCTATCAATAACAATAAAAACTTCCGGGTTACTGTGTGTTTTTAGAGTTTTCATTTTGTAGAAATCAAATAAAAATGTTAAATAACTTCAATTAGACACCTACATTTGTAAAAGTTGAAATCCCCCAAATTCATGTTCTCAGTACTTACACTATACAAAGTGATCAAAATAAAATACAACTTAGTTTTTATATTATCTTTCTTTCTCGTTTGATACATAAAAAGTAATTTTAAAAAACTGCCTTAAAATAGTCATATATGTGTAACAAAATAATCTGAAAAGATATATGTCAAATTGTTAACAGCAACTACTTTTGAGAATTAGGATTTTAAGGAAGACAACTGTCCATTTCTGCTTTATTCTGAGATTTTTTTAAATGAGTATGCTGCTTATGATATTTTAAAACGATTTTTTAATGACTTTTAGATTTTTTTGTTTTTTGTTTTTCTTTCAAAAAATGGTTAAAGCCTTCAATTCCTCTTCACTGTGTTGCACTAGAAATGAATTAAAATCTTGAGATCATATAAAACAGTTCCTGGGTTTCCTAGCAACACTGAAGGGCCTCTTTTCACAGAGGAATAGTTTTTCAAGTGCTGAAGTACGCAACAGACACAAATTACATAAGACAAAAGACAGACACTTGGTCTCAGACAGCGGCCCTGGGCATCTTTCCTAATACTGCCCAATTTTATTTATGCAGCAAGTAGATTAACAATTTAACTTGCAAACTACTTGCAGGTTGAAACACGGTTTAAAAGGTAAATCAAATATCAGATCTTCTTACAATTTTATTCAAATTTATAATTCAGGATGTGATAAAATATGCGGCACATTATTAAGCTGCAAGTATTTGCAGTCTAGTTAATAAGTGCACAGCACTAGATCATATTATGTAAATAAACAGACGGAACCACATCCCATATTGGCAGTGACTGAAATAACATTTCCCAGTTTTCTGCTTGCTTTTCTTATCTCCAGTTTCTAAATCACTTGGATCTTTAAAGCTTCTCTTCTGCACAGTCTGACTTATATCTGAGCATCAAAGTGACATGAGTTCATCAAAGAGTATTTTTTTAGCCCTTGATGTCACCTCCTACTAAGGCCTTAGAAGATCTGGTTCCACTATAAGATTGGAAGCAAACTGGAGAGAATGGAAGAAGCTATTCTTCTAGAAGGGAGGTAATGTTATGAACTGATAACATGCGTTGGCTTCTTTCACTTGTTTTTTCAAATTTAAGCTGTTTGTTAACCTAGGTGGTCTTCAGTGATCTTTTCCTTCTGGCAATCTTAAAGTCATAAACATTAGAAAGTGCTCATGAAATGTTATCACTAGTTTTTTAAAAAGAGAAGTAAACATGAGAATTTTTAATAATGTTTTGAGTGAGGAAAGCCTTAGAGAAAAGTAGAACAGAAAAACACAAAAGCTATGGAAGAAGACAAAAATTTAACTATACTAAAAATCTTATTAAAAAATCACCATTTGGCAAAAACAGAGTAATAATTGTTTCAGGCAAAATATTGAAAATTGGTGCTGAAAGCTATGATGAGAAACAGCATTTGTTACATAATGTCAAAGTATCTTCCCACAAAACACTTTCATTACAGAGGAAAAAGTAGTAACTTTACAGTGAAGAAATCTGGTATACATCACCTTAATCAAACGATCAAATTTACCTTCACCAGAACAAATGGACATTATGTACCTCCTGATTAGAAAAGAACATAGTATTACTTCTGTAGTATTGCATACCAAGTCAAAAATGCATACTCTAGCCATGAAAAGACATGGAGTAAACTTAAACACAAATGCATATTACTAAGTGAAAAAAGCCACTGTATGATTACAACTATATGACATTCTGGAAAAGGCAAAACTACAGAGAGTAAAAAAAAAAAAAAAAATCAACAGATGCAGGGGAAAGAGGGAAGAGGAGAATAGGTGGAACATAGGATTTTTTTTTTGAGACAGAGTCTTGCTCTGACGCCTGGGCTGGAATGTAGTGGCGCGATCTTGGCTCACTGCAAGCTCCGTCTCCCAGGTTCACGCCATTCTCCTGCCTCAAGCCTCCCGGGTAGCTGGGACTACAGGTGCCCACCACCACGTCCGGCTAATTTTTTTTTTTGTATTTTTAGTAGAGACGGGGTTTCGCCGTGTTAGCCAGGATGGTCTTGATCTCCTGACCTCGTGATCCGCCCGCCTCGGCCTCCCAAAGTGCTGGGATTACAGGCGTGAGCCACCGCGCCCAGCCGGAACATAGGATTTTTAGGGCAGGGAAATGCTTCTGTGTAATACTATAATGGTGGCTGCATGTCATCCATTTGTCCAAACCCGTAGAATGTACAAAACCAAGAGTGAACCCCGATGTAAACTATGGACTCTAGGTGGTAATGTTATGTCAATACGGGTTCATCAATCCTAACAAGGTACACTCTGGTGGGGGGCGTGTTGACAAGCGAGGGAGATGTTGGTGCATGGGGGAAAGGGGTACAGGGGAACTCTGTACTTTCTGCTCGATTTTGCTGTAAATCTAAAACTGCTGTACAAAATAAAGTCTATTTTTAAAAAAGATTAACAAGAGAGCACACAACCATATTTATAATTAAATAAATATAAATTAGAATAACGTAACATATTTCAAATATAAAATTGACGGTGGTTAAAAAAATTCAATAAGGCCAATCTTGGCAAAAGTGTTGGAAACTGTGGCAACACAGAAAGTAAATCAGCACAACCTACTGTCAACGCAGTAGAAGACGTGTGAAATGTCAGTGTGCTAATCCACTTTTAGGAACTGCAGCTGAACTCTCATAACTGAACAGCTCATATGTACAAGGATATTACTCACTGATGCTCTCTGAAACACAAAAACATCTGAAAACAACCTAAATGTCCAACAACAGTCAGGAAAATCAGAGTAAGAAATTCAAGCTCACCTACCTCAGACAAAGAGCAAGGACAAACAGATCAGGTAGAACCAGTCCCCTCCAGCAAAAAGATGCTACTAAAATTTGGCTTCTGGGGAGTAATGCTGACTTTCACTCATATAAATAGAAGTATGACTAAATATTGCCACCTTCAGCTTTGGTTCCATTCACCCAACAGCAAATACAATCATCGAATGAAATTAGGTCTTTCAAAAGGAACATAACATTAAACATATAATGTATACTAATAAATATATTAATAGAATAAAAATACTTTTGGGGGACGGCGGTAGAGTAAATCATGTCCCCCCCAAAATTCATATGTTGAATCCCTGACCTCCTATGTGACTGTATTAGAGGTAGGGCTTTTAAGGAAGTGATTAAGATTAAATGAGGCCATAGCATAGAGCCCAGAACAGAAGGAACTGACATCCGCTTAAGAGAAGGAAATACCGGAGCACTCTCTCTGCCACGTGAGGATAGAGGGAGACGGCAGCTGTCTACCAGCCAGGAAGAGGGCCCTCACCAGAAACCAAACTTGCTGGCATCTTAATCTTGGACTGCCCAGACTCCAGAGCTGTGAAAAACCAAGTTTCTATTGTTTAAGGCATCTATGGTATTTTGTATTGGTATTTTGTCTATGGCATTTTGTTACGGCAGCCTGAGCAGACTAATACAGACTGCATACAGAGCAGTGAAGTTTCTCATCATGGATAGGGTATACTGTTCAACTGGACATGAAGGTAATGATTTCAGCAGAAATTCTCAAGAAGATTTAAACATATTGGGAATTCGCAAAATGATGGAAAAATGTACTTTTCAATCCATTAGCCAATAAAGACACGAGGGAACTGCCTGGATGGTCCCTCTCAGGAGAAAAAAAAATTATGTACATTAATATACAGAAGTGCACAGGAATTTAAATTTATTGCTTATCTGTAAGTCAAGCATTATGCAAAGGGCTTTAATTATTTCATCTGATCCTTACAAAACCTGTGGAACAGGCATTACAGACAATGACATCAAAGAACTGCTTCTTATGCAAAATCCAAGTAAATGTTGAATAATACCAGTTACTTAATCCAGACTAATGTGGAAGGAGAAGAGGGAAGTGAAAGATCATAAAGGCACTGAAATAAGAAAAATGAGGATATGAGACAAGAAAATTCAAGAGCAGGAAGAAGTCTGTTTAGGTAATAGGGATATCCTTGTAGATCCCCTGAGAATCTAAAATAAGGAAAGCACAAACCAGCGACAGTTTTAAAGCTGGGCTGGAAGACTTCTAATAACACAAGAAAATATGGGGGTAATTTTATAATTCAACCCACATACTTGATTTGGAGGCAGGGGGACCAGTGGCAGCAAGCTGAGATGATGTTTGATCAAACTGTTTGTTTCCCCAGCACAACCCTAAATTTCTCCTTTGAACTCCTTATCTCAGTGACGTGACCTACTACCAACACTTTTGGCAATCAATCCCTGCATAAGATCACAGATGCAAGAAATAGCTGCATCACCAATCATCTGCACAAACCTGGAGACAAAATGAAAGGCAGCAGGGTATCAACGTTCACTCATTCAAAGCATACTATGTCCTCTTTAATACATTCCAAATCCAACCATTTTTACCTATATCCAGGCCACTATTATCTTTCACGTGGCCTGGATGTAGCCTGCTAACTGGCTTCCCTGCAACCACACTTTCTCATTCTAACTTGTTCTCCATACTTCACCCAGAGTGTTCTCTATATAATTGCTTTTATTTATCTATTTTTTTGAAACAGGGTCTCACTCTGTTGCCCAGGCTGAAGTGCTGTGGCACAACCAAGGCTCACTGTGGCCTCAAACCCCTGGGCTCAAGGGATCCTCTCCTGCCTCAGCCTCCCAAGGAGCTGGGACTACAGGTATGTGCCACCATGCCCACTAATTTTATTTTTATTTTTATTTTCCCAGTGGAGTTGCAGTCTCGTTATGTTGCCCAAGCTGGTCTTGAACTCCAGGGCTCAAGTAATCCTCCCACCTCAGCCTCCCAAAGTGCTGGAATTACAGGCATGGGTCACTGCATCCAGCCTATAACTCCTTTTGTAAAAAAGACGTCACTGACATGTCTGACAATCTCTGGTCGCTCCTCATTGATTCAGACACCTTAATTCTCCCTCAAGGTCCTTTGACTAGCCACCCTCTAGCACCTTTAGCTTCTTACCACTTCCCACTCCCACAGTATAATACAGCCATCATCATCTCCATCATCATCTCGCCTCACTCAGCACGAGCACAGTGTAAGATACCTCCTCTTGCTGGGCGCGGTGGCTCACACCTGTAATCCCAGCACTGTGGGAGGCCAAGGCAGGCGGATCACGAGGTCAGGAGATCTGAGACCATCCTGGCTAACACGGTGAAACCCCATCTCTACTAAAATATAAAAATTAGCCGGACGTGGTGGCACATGCCTACGGTCTCAGCTGCTCAGGAGGCTGAAGCAGGAGAATGGCTTGAACCCGGGAGGTGGAGGTTGCAGTGAGCCGAGGTCGCACCACTGCACTCCAGCCTGGGCAACAGAGAGAGACTCCATCTTAAAAAGAAAAAAAAAAAGATACCTCCTCTTCTGCTCCATCCCACCTTTTAGGCTTACTATGGTCTCAGTTCAGCCCCTTCCTCCAGAACATATGTCCTCTAATTACTCCTCGGACTAGCACTAACAATGCTTTCATCACGGGCACTTTCCTCACTTTACTGAAACTGCGCTCACCCTCTGCCTCCAGGGACTATTTCACATTTGACTTTGGTGGCAAAGCTCATGCTGTTCTTGATCATCACTGGTTTTTTTTTAGCAGAGCAAAATTTTGGGCACTTGGCATTCAACAAATATTTGTTGAATGAAGGTTTTCTTTTTTCTATCGCTGAGGAAACAAAACAAAAGGAACACTTTGAAACATATTTTCTGTGTTTTTAACCTATCCCAGAAAGATACTAGATGTAAACCCTGATCAGTGATGGCACATGCACAGGGATTTTAAAGATCATGACTCATTGTAGAATTCAAGCAGGGACAGAGAGGAGCTATGAATTATGAGTTAGGCAACTGCATAACTGCATAATCTGTCTTGACATCTAAGCAGTCAACAAAGCACTTTGTTGTAACAATAAAACAGCAATCAGGCAAGTCTGGATGCCTGGAGGTAAGCAGATAACAATTTTGAGATCTCTGAGGGAAGTGGCAGGCAAAACAATGTTCACAGGCACAAGTGCCTTTGTATAAGAGAAGGGAAATTGCACTAGGAATGAATGACGGTACATTTACAAATAGTGAAAAAAATTGACAACAAAATGAACCACAACAGTGAGATTGTTTTGGTCTGGGACCAATAATAAAAACAACAAATCAGAGGAGGCACTAAGGGGAAAAAGACAAATCAGTCCACATGTGTGGAACACTGTTGGCATATGCTTTTCCTTCTATGTGTAAAAGTCCCTTTTCTCTCTTGCTCCACCTTGTCCCCAGAGAGCACCTCTAGTCATTTATCAAAATACATTTTAGGTTGGGCATGGTGGCTCATGCCTGTAATCCCAGCACTTTGGGAGGCTGAGACGGGCGGATCATTTGAGGTCAAGAGTTTGAGACCAGCCTGGCCAACATGGTGAAACCGCGTCTCTATTAAAAATACAAAAAATTAGCTGGGCATGGTGGTGGGCGCCTGTAGTCCCAGTTACTTGGGAGGCTGAGGCAGGAGAATTGCTTGAACCAGGGAGGCAGAGGTTGCAGTGAGCTGAGATCACACCACTGCACTTCAGCCTAGGAGACAGAGTGAGACACTGTCTCAAAAAGAAAAAAAATAAATAATGCACTTTACTTGTCAGCTCATCTCAGAAGTTCCCCTGATCCCCACAGGCAGTGTTAATTGCTTCCTCCTCTGTTTTATACATTTCCTCTAGGTATTTACATGTCCCTATTCTGAAGCACATACTAACTTAACTGGAAGTGAACGTGCTTCCTCTCTGGAGGGTGTGTCCCTAGACTTATTCAGTCAGCCTTCTCCCTTCCAGCCTTGGACAAGTAGAAGGAGGGAGCTCAGAGTAGAGGGAAAGTGAAAGGAAGGAGCTATCTGAAGGCAGACCGGTGATGGGAGAGAGGACCATAAGGCATGAGAAGGGAGCCCTGGGGTGACTGTGCATCCAGAGAAGCAAAGAACCCGAACAATGAAGCCTACATGGGAGAAACAGCTCAGGGAATTGAGCGAGCCTGGTCACATACTGATGGAAGGAAAGACAGGATACTTATTTTTTGATGAGAAATGTTAGCAAATCTGAGAAGAAATGAACACTGATGCTACTTTATGTATAGTTGTTGACATAAAAGAAGTATGTTAAGAAAAACTTTTATTGTGGATACTCTAAAATCACAACTACGTATTCTTCATTCTATAGACGAAAAGAGCTGTTATCTTTCAGCTATCTCTAGGATGAAATAAAGGAAAAAAGATTACACACTGATACATGATTCTTCTCGAAATATCTGGCGCCATTCCAAAGAAATTAACAAAAAAATGAAAAGTTTTACAAATAAAAACAGGAGTTTTCTTTATTTTGGAGGCAGAGTCTGGCTCTGTCACCCAGGCTAGAGTGCAGTGACACAATCTTGGCTCACTGCAGCCTCCACCTGCTGGGCTCAAGCCATCCTCCCACCTTAGCCTCTCGAGTAGCTGGGACTACAGGTGCACGCCACCATGCCCCACTAATTTTTGTATTTTTTTGTAGAGATGGGGTCTCACTGTGTTATTCAGGCTGGTCTTGAACTCCCGAACTCAGGCGATCCACCTGCCTGGGGCTATCAAAATGCTGGGAGTACAGGTGTAAGCCAACGTGCCCAGCCAATAAGAGGAACTTAAATTTATATTCCAAAGTCTTACATGCTTGTTCGGTTGCTTGGAAAGGGGATATGACCTTAATACCAAATGTTATGAAGAACTTATTTAATATTGAGCTTTGTGAAAAATGTCAAAACCCGTCATAAGGGTTACTATTTTAAAGGGAGAACACATTCTGAATGTGAATGCTGAATTCGAATCATAGAAATCAGAAGACTTACTATAAAAACACAATAATATGGCTCACCCCTGTAACCATCCCAGCACTTTCGGAGGCGCTGAGGAGGAAAGATCACTTGAGTCCAGGAGTTCAAGACCAACCTGGGCAACATAGTGAGAATTCATACCTACAAAAAAATAAAAAAATTAGCCAGGCATGGTAGATCTAAGCAGGGTACATCATAGTGAGAGCTCATATTTACAAAAAATCAAAACATGAGCCAGGTGTGGTAGTGCACGCCTGTGGTCCCAGCTACTAGGAAGGCTGAATAGGAGAATCACTTGAGCCTGGGAAGCTGAGGCTGCAACGAGCCATGACTGCGCCTCTGCCCTCCAGCCTGGGCAACAGAGCAAGACGCTGTGTCAAAACACACACTCAATAATAGTCAAAAAATGATTCACTACAGCAACTTTAAGAAATAAGTTAGAGGCCGGGCGCGGTGGCTCATGCCTATAATCCCAGCACTTTCGGAGGCCAAGGCAGGCGGATCACCTGAAATCAAGAGTTTGAGACCAGCCTGGCCAGGATGAAACCCCATCTCTACTAAAAACACAAAAATTAGCTTGGCGTGGTGGCATGTGCCTGTAATCCCAGCTACCCAGGAGGCTGAGGCAGGAGAATCACTGGAACCTGGGAGGCAGGGGCTGCAGTGAGCCAAGATTGCACCATTGCACTCCAGCCTGGTGACAGAGCAAGAGTCCTTCTCAAAAAAAAAAAAAAGGAAGAAAATAAGTTAGACAAATCAGGAACTAGTATGTTAAAAGATTTATAAGTAGATTTAGAGGTTCGAGAAAATGAAGAAGAAGATTGATAAAGACAAGTGTAATTTTGTGCATTTAATTACAAATACTATAGATGTCTAGGTTAGCAAGTCACTGAGATACTCTAAACTCTATACAAAAAGGTGACCACCATGCTATTTGCACCATTTCCTTTCCCCCTCTGCCAGACCCTAACTCCAACCTTTGCCTTTCTTCTTCCCAGGAAGTTGCTTTGAGATTAGCAATATTTGAAAGTCATCTAAATAGTGAGTATCCCAGTTTCTAGAAGGGAAAAACACTTTAAATATGTTAACACTAATTAACTCTACCAACTAAGGCTTTAAATACTGCTAAGGCCGGGTGCCGTGGCTCACGCCTGTAATCCCAGCACTTTGGGAGGCTGAGACAGGCAGATCACAAGGTCAGGACATCAAGACCAGCCTGGCCCACATGGCGAAACCCCGTCTCTACTAAAAATACAGAAACTAGCCGGGTGTGGTGGCAGGCACCTGTAGTCCCAGCTAGAGGCAGAAGAATCGCTTGAAACCCGGAGGCAGAGGTTGCAGTGAGCCAAGATCGCGCCACTGCACTCCAGCCTGGGTAACAGAGCGAGACTCCATCTCAAAAAAAAAAAAAAAAAAAAAAAAATATATATATATATATATATGTGTGTGTGTGTATATATATAGCTATATATATGTGTATATATATATATATAGCTATATATATATATATATATATTGCTGAGAAAGAGAAGAAAATACAGGGAAGTAGAAATTATGCTCTTCATTGTCTAGGAGTTTTAGTTCTTTAATTCCCACGAGTGTTACTCAGTATAGACTGTTAATATGTACTCAGAGCTAAGGAAATTAATACAGCAAGATAAATTAGTAACAATGAGAAATGGCATAAGTATACACACTTGCTCTTCTTTGTACTTTTCAAATATCAATTCCCAGCTCCCTATCCCCAATGAGAAATCAAAAAGCAGGCCCCCAGGAAATAAACTGGAATAGAAATGGGGAAACCATCACCTTAACAATAAACAGCAACTAAACAGTTACTGAGTGCTTATGACAGACCAAGCACTTTTCAAAATGCCCTACACGTATTAACTCTTTCCATTCTCATAACAACTCCAAGAAAAAGGTACTAATATTATGCATCCGTGTTTTGCAATGAAGAAACAAACACACTGAGACACATCTAAGCTACTGAAGGAGCAAGATTCAAATCTAGGCCGACTGATTCTGGAGCCACACTCACTCTGTATGTAGAAGTCAATCCACGAACATCATACAACAGTAATAAAGATTTCATTTCTGAAGTCACTATAAAATACAATGGGTGCATTATTAGAAATCCTATTCCAATCACCATGGTAGAGAAATGTTTGGAATTTATACTCTTCTTCTATGCTACATTTCTAGTAGCATTTTAGGTGGCACATGGTTCAGGGGTTTGGGTGAAACTTTTTCTTTTTTTGGAAAAACAGAAAAATAAATGTCAGACTAGGTTATCTGACTGTTGCCAAATTTATTACACAAAAAAGCTCTGTATGATTTTGGACAAGTTGCTTCCCTAGGGCTCAAATGTAAATTAGGGGTGTTGAACTAAATTATCTATTTCAGACCTAACTAAGTATGTTCTAATTCTAGCCCATTGATCAATCAACCAACAAGAAGCCTTCCCTGACAATCATTTCTTCTCCTCCCCTGTATCCACATCTCAAAGGCATTAGCAGGAGTTCTCTGAGTCCAGCTCCCAACAAATGCAGACATTTCTTAAACAGTAGGAGTTCTAAAGTTAGATCTGGGTTCAGATTCAAATTTATCTCACTAAATGCTTGGCCACAGGCAATTTCTAGCCTCTCCGTGACTAGATGTTTTCCTCTCTAAAATGAAGATTAAAAATAATAATGCCTACTTCATTGGAGAAATTAAATAACACATGTAAACCTCTTAGAACAGCTGCAGCACATCCTGGTGTTCACTCTTCAATAAATAGTAGCTAGTAGGCAATTCACTGTCATCTGATAAGCCTAATACTTCTACTATGATACATAACCCTATGTCTTGTCATCTTTTATATTTAAAAGGCATTTAGCAGTGCCTTCCACTAGGAAGAACTCACAATTTATTATGTAAAAAAAATGACACTGAAATGTATCCACTAGATTTGGCAATTAGAACATCATCGGTGTCCTAGGCCAAATCAGATTTAGTGAAGGTTTTGGGGAGCTGCAACAGGATATTATCTGACCACAGTGCTTGAGAGATGTGAGCAAAGACAGAAATGACTACTAGTTTGAGAAATTTGTTCTCGATGAGGGGAGAAAATAGACAGTGTATGATATGTGGTCAAGGAAAGGTTCTTTTTGAAATGGGAAACATTGAGTACATTTATAAGTCAAAAGGAAAAAGCAAATAGAATAGGAGACGTTAAAAATCTTATAGCCAAACACCAGAGACTAAAAGATCAAGCCCTCAAAAAAGAATGAGACCTAGAAAACTGTCAATAAGGACCTGTTCACCACACCTGTAATAGCAACACTTTGGGAGGTTGGGGCAGGAAGACTGCTTAGGCCCAGGAGTTTGAGACCAACCTGGGCAACATAGGAAGGCACCATCTCTAAAAAAAAAATTTTTAAGTTAGTTGTACGTGGTGGTGCATGCCTGCAGTCCCAGCTACTACGGAGACTGAGGTGGGAGCCTGGGAGGTCGAGGCTGCAGTGAGTTGTGACTGCATCACTGCATTCCAGCTTGGGTGACAGAAAAAGACCCTGTCCCCCACCACCAAAAAAAAAAAAAACCCAAAAAACAAATATCAGGAATAAGACACCTTTTATTAGACCCTAGGTACCGTAGCTCAAGCCTGTAATCTCAACACTTCGGGAGACAAGGAGGGAGCATCACTTGCTCAACCAGCCTGGACAATACAGTGAGACCTTAACTCTAAAAAACCAAAAAGAGATTGAAGGAAAGATGTAAACATTGGCACACTTATCGTTAAGTTTACACATTAGAGTACAAGAAATTGCAAGAATTTGTACCTGATATCCTCTGTGACAAACGGGGACTACAATATTAACTTAAAATACAAGAGGCTGAACATTTTGTAGGTAGAGAATTTTAGAGACTGGTCCAAGTCTGAGACACCTGTGAGGAGGAATGGCGAAACAAATCAGAGTCAACAGAGCAGCAGAAAAAGTCTGACATGAGCTGAGAGTTGATAAAGCTGAGCAAAGATATACTGGGATGTGCCAAATAATTTTCTCTAGTTTTACATATATTTGAAATTTTCCATAACAAAAAGAATAAGAAAAGAAAATTATAATGAGATGGCACTAACACATCCACCAGAATAGTCAAAATGAAAGAAGGCCATGATAAGGATGTAGCGCAACTGGAACTTTCTTAACTTTCTTTTTTCTTTTCTTTTTTTTTTTTTGAGACAGAGTCTCGTTCCGTCGCCCAGGCTAGAGTGCAATGGCACAAACTCAGCTCACTGCAACCTCCGCCTCCCTGGTTCAAGCGATTCTCCTGCCTCAGCCTCCTGAATAGCTGGGATTATAGGCGCCCTGCCACCACGACCAACTAAGCTTTGTATTTTTAGTAAAGATGGGGTTTCGCCACGCTGGCCAGTCTGGTCTTGAACTCCTGACCTCGTGATCCACCCACCTCGACCTCCCAAAGTGCTGGGATTACAGGCGTGAGCCACTGCGCCTGACCGCAACTGGAACTTTCATACTCTTTGATCGAAGTGTCAACTGGTACAATTAGCTTTGGAAAACTAACTGGCAGTATCAACCACAGTGAAACTTATGTATAACCTACAGGACTCAGAAATTCCATTGATAGGGAGAAATTTATGTGCATATGCATGAAAACACATGTAGGATAATGTCACAGTAGTATTTTCTTTTTCTTTTTTTTGAGACTGAGTCTCGCTCTGTCGCCTAGGCTGCGGTGCAACAGTGCAATCTCGGCTCACCGCAACCTCTGCCTCCTGGGCTCAAGTGATTCTCCTGCCTCAGCCTCCCTAGTAGCTGGGATTACAGGCATGCATTACCACGCCCGGCTAATTTTTGTATTTTTAGTAGAGAAGGGGTTTCACCATGTTGACCAGGTTGGTCTTGAACTGCTAACCTCAAGTGATAGGCCCATCTTGGCCTCTCGAAGTGCTGGGATTACAGGCGTGAGCCACCACGCCCGGCCTTCACAGTAGTTATTTCATAATGGCAAAAAAGCTGGGAAAAAGGGTCCATCAGTAGAATAAATAAATCAATTGTGATACAGTCACATAATAGAATATCACACAGCAATGCAAATGAATAAAACAAAGCTACACAACATGAATAATCTTACCAACATGAGAAGTAAAATAAGACAAAAAACACAAACTGTAAAATTCTATTTATATAAAATGTTAACACTAATCTACATTGTTAGAAATCAGAAAAGAGTGGAAAAAAGGGTGAAGGAGGCCGGGCCCAGTGGCTCACGCCTGTAATCCCAGCACTTTGGGAGGCCGAGGTGGGTGATTGATCACTTGAGGTCAAGAGTTGGAGACCAGCCTGGCCAGTATGGTGAAACCCCGTCTCTACTAAAAAATACAAAAAAAAAAAAAAAAAATAGCCTGGCATGGTGGCATGCGCCTGTAGTCCCAGCTACTCAGGAGGCTGAGGGAAGAGAATCGCTTGAACCCAGGAGGTGTAGGTTGCAGTGAGTCGAGATCAAGCCACTACACTCCAGCATGAGCAACAGAGCGAGACTCCATCTCAAATTAAAAAAAAAAAAGAAAAAGAAAAAGAAAAATAGTAAAGGAAGGGACTGGAAGGGGCATGACAGGGCTTCTGATATGTGGGTTGGGTTCTATTTCCGGATCAGGTTGCTAGGTATGCAGGTGTGGCCACTTTGTGACAATGCTCTACCCTGTACGTTTATAAAAATTAATGGTCTAAACTGTGTGGTAGTCTGTGCATGTCATAACTTCAATTAAAAGCTTTACTTAAAAATAAATTTTAGAATACCTGAAGGAATAAGCAACAAAAAAGCAAATTCAAATTGTCTTTGTGTTAAATACATAATGTTCTAACGCTTTATTAATGTACTTAATTCAAAAAGGCGGCCGGGCGCAGTGGCTCACACCTGTAATCCTAGCACTTTGGGAGACCAAGGTGGGTGGATCACTTGAGGTCAGGAGTTCGAGATCAGCCTGGCCAACATGGCAAAACCCTATCTCTATTAAAAATACAAAAATTAGCAGGGCGTGGTGGCACATGCCTGTAATCCCAGCTGTTCAACAGGTTGAGGCATGAGAATCACTTGAACCCGGGAGGCAGAGCTTGCAGTGAGCTAAGATCATGCCACTGCACTGCAGCCTGGGAGGGAGAATGAAACTGTGTCTCAAAAAAAAAGCCAGGTGCAGTGGCTCAAGCCTGTAATCCCAGCACTTTGGAAGGCCGAGGCGGGTGAATCACGAAGTCAGGAGTTCGACACCAGCCTGACCAACATGGTGAAACCACGTCTCTACTACAAAAATTAGCCAGGCATGGTGGCGGGCTCCTGTAATCCCAGCTACTCAGGAGGCTGAGGCAGGAGAATCGCTTGAACCAGGGAGGCAGAGGTTGCAGTGAGCCTAGATCGCGCCACTGCACTCCAGCCTAGGTGACAGAGTGAGACTCTGTCTCAAAAAAAAAAAAAAAAAAAAAAGACAAAAAGTCCAGTCAAATTGGACAATAAAAAGTACCTCCCCAAGCCACACAGCTGTGCATCACAGTCCGTGAGTAGGAGCAAAGAAACTGCCCCGGAGAACTGATCCACATCAGGAACGGGAGCTGGAGTCTGACCAGGACTAGTGACGAAATTCTGGTTTTAAAGTAGCCAGAAGACCAGTAGGGGTGTGAGAGTTGGGAAAGGCTCTGGAGGCCTCACTGATATTAAGGAGAAGGTGTGATGCAGAATGAGAAAGCTGGGAGGCATGATATTAGAGTTCAAGATTTTAGAAGTGAAGATCTAAGCATTAAAGGGTCTCTGGTTGGCCGGGCGTGCTGCCTCACGCTTGTAATCCCAGCACTTTGGGAGGCCAAGGTGGGCGGATCACCTGAGATCGGGAGTTCAAGACCAGCCTGACCAACATGAAGAAACCCCGTCTCTACTAAAAAATACAAAAAATTAGCTGGGCGTGGTGGCGCATGCCTGTAGTCCCAGCTACTCGGGAGGCTGAGGTAGGAGAATCGCTTGAACCCGGGAGGTGGAGGTTACGGTGAGCCGAGATCGCGCCACTGCACTCCAGCCTGGGTAACGAGCGAAACTCCATTTCAAAAAAAGGGTCTCTGGTTTAGCGTGGGAAAAAAGAAAAAAGAACTAAGCATGCCGGGCGCGGTGGCTCACACCTGTAATCCCAGCACTTTGGGAGGCCAAGGCAGGCGAATCACGAGGTCAGGAAATTGAGACCATCCTGGACAACATGGTGAAACCCCGTCTTTACTAAAAATACAAAAAAATTAGCTGGGTGAGGTGGCAGGCACCTGTAGTCCCAGCTACTCGAGAGGGTGAGGCAGGAGAATGGTGTGAACCCAGGAGGCAGAGCTTGCAGTGAGCTGTGATCTCACCACTGCAATCCGGCCTGGGCGACAGAGCCAGACTCTGTCTCAAAAAAAAAAAAAAAAAAAAAAAGAAAGAACTAAGCATAAGGAGAGCACTGCCTAAGTAAAATTGCTAAAAAATACCTTTCACTGTATTTGAAAGGTCAAGAAAATGTGGTGTAAGGATGTTAGAAAAGTGCATTGTAAAACGTAAATACTAAAATGCCGGATAATGCTGGGGCAGGGGGTGAATGTGAAGCTGAGCATTTCCTGTCAACAAGGAGAAGCAGGCTGCATTCCAGCCTGGGCGACAGAGCGAGATTCCGTCTCATTAAAAAATAAATAAATAAATAAATAAAAATAAAAAAATAAAAAAGGAGCAGCAACTATAAGTTAGATATAAGCAAAGGGCAGAAGTCTCAAAGGATGAGGGGTTCCCAAGGTGGAAGGAAAAATGGTTTAGAGATGCCAGTTAAGGCATGGAAGGAATAATCAGAATACCTTACATTTTCAGATAGCATATCTGCTATGATTCCTGCCTTGCTCTGCCTGGTACCATAGCTGCACGAATAATTGTCTGACTCCTCCCTCTGGATTTAAGCTTGCCAAGAGTACTAGAATGGTGTGTTACTCATTTAAATCTCCTGAAGCAACTATTACAATGCCTTGCCCATAAGTACATATTATTTATTTGCCCTCAAACTTCCACAAGAATTGAGGCTGCTTATCAGAAATATTTAATACAAATTTACAATGGAAAATCAGATAAGGGGAGCTAAAAAGTAAACATCCTGGCAGAGATTTGCTGAACTGGATTGTGACTCAACCCTTCCCCACTCCACTAGCACACAGACATACTCAACTTGGGGGAGCGTTCAAATTCCAATTCTGGTCAAAACTATTCTTCTTCTTGGTTGGTCTAAAAGTAGTGAATTATTTCAATCAATTGTTCACAGTTACAGATCCAACTCTTTGTTCTTCTCTTCCCCCCTTCTTACTACTGCACTTGACGAGTCAAAAGAAAAATTATTCTCCTTTTCAACCGAAATAGTATATTACCTTCCTCATATTCTCTACTACATAGATCCTAATTTCAGAATTCTCTGGCAAAATAAATGCAAATAGGGTATTTTGCATTATGGGTAAGGCAGATCAGTTGCCATGGTGAATATTTTCATCACCTTCATAGAATAATATGTATCACTCCATATAAGGAAATCTTCCTTTGCCTCCTGGCTCATATAAAACTTGCAGCTCGCTTCTCTTCCTCTTCAATTAACATGAGACAGGAAAAGTGACTATTTAGCAAAACAAAAACAAAAACAAAACACCAAAACCCACCCAGATGAAGTGTCTTATAAAGATGTGATCACAGAAAATAAGATATCCAAGAAATAGACACAGATGTTATTAGCAAAATGAGCAAATAGTGTATTTCCTTATAGAAAAGTCCTGAAGTTAATGAAGAAAAAGTTAACTCCAATAAGAAAATTATCCCTGTTGTGAGCATGTCTAACCTGATTGCCCCAATCTTGGTATAGATTCCTTTTTAATAACTCTAAGTGAATTCAAATTTCCCCAGCAACCATTACCTGGGGCCATTCTATCCTGCTTCTTTTGGACCTTTCCATAAATGCATTTATTTCCCCACCTAGGCAAATTAAAAATATAATTATTATGCATATACTTTTCTGCTTTATACTCAAGATGTGATTGGCTTTAACTATGGAATAAGGAGAGCTGATACAATTTTGTGTGCCTGTAACAAATGTTTTGATGACTACAAGAGATTAAGTAAGAAATAAGAAACTATTTTAGCTCATCGCTAACAGGAAACAAATACTATGTGACAAAAAAAAAATAACGATTTTAGAAGTAAAATCTCATGAGAACTATTCCAAAGGCATGTTCCATTTGAGAAAGCTGTTTTGATGGCACACTGCCCCCATGCTTTTTCAGGTTAAATGTTCTAGGACTATGGTGGAAGATGACTGGAACTAAAACTCCTAGTGCTGACCAATACAGTAGCTGCTGGCACTTGAAACATGGCTAGTGCAAATGAGATGTGCTGTAGGTCAAACACTGACCAGATTCTGGCAAAGTACGAAAAACATTTTAATATCCCAATATTTTTCATTTGAATACATGGGGAAAAAAGCATATTTTGTATGTATTGTGTTAAACAAAATATATTGTTTCATTTCACATTTTTCTTTTTGCCTTTTAATGTGGCTACTAGCAAATTTTAAATTACATATGTGGCTTGCATTATATTTCTGTTGGACAGCACTGTTCTAACACCAATGCCACAATTGCCTGGGCTTTAGGACTTGTTTCCTATACATGAGAATAATATGATGTGTCCTTTCTATCCCAAGGTTAAGAGAGTGGCTCTAAATGAGATGCGTGTGCAATTGTCTTTAAAAATAAGATATGATCATTTTGCTCATCCAGATTTACAAGTTCATTCTAGAAGTATCAGATTTCCACTGTACAACTGAGTAAGTTAAGAGTCTTCTCAATTCTTCCTGCAGAATTACCCTGGCACAAAACAAAGTCAAAAGTTTGTATCTGGTCCTTGACAGAAATCTCCCATGGGAACTGTCCAGTATTCAAGTGTTTAAAATACATGTGAGAGAGACTGAAGAGAATAAGTGATAGTCACTCCAACAACTGAACAAAGGTGGGGGCTGAACACATTTAGTTCATTGTATGTCCCTTGAGATTCCTTGAGAGGACTTCAAACATACAGTCAATCCACCCTTCCTCTGAAAATGTCTAAAACTCACATAGAACACACATCTAACGATGGGAAAGTGAAAAAATAACTGCAATTAGTTATGTTGTTTCTTCTTAAAATCTTAACATACTTTTATTTCTTAGAAGTAAATGAAATTAAAACCATTCCCATTCCACTTTGTAAGAAATATCTTTGAAAGAATGAAAATGATTTTAACGTTTCCAAAGAAATTTGCATTTTCTTAGTATGTATAAATGTTGGTTAATTTAATTGTTAATCCTTTTTCTCACCAAGTACCAAAGGACAAACTGAACCATACCACTGATCTCACACTTACCCTAAAAATATTGTTACTATTATCTCCTTCCCTTTTCCTATCTTCCTTTTTTTATCAATAGATCAAGAAAGTCTTTTCTTCTGCAAACACCCCACCAACTGAAATAAACTACAAAAACTTGAGTCAACTTAAACTCAAAGGCTTAATTTAAGTCTAATTGGCTAACTTTTTTTGGACACAGGGTTTCACTCTGTCGCCCAGGCTGGAGTGCGGTGGTGCAATCATAGCTCACTGCAGCCTTGACCTCCTGGGCTCAAGTGATTCTCCTACCTCAGCCTCCCGAATAGCTGGGACTACAGGAACGTGCCACCACACCCGGCTAATTTTTGTATCACACGTGGCTAATTTTTGTATTTTTTGTAGAGATGAGGTCTTGTTATGTTGCACAGGCTAATCTTGAGCTCAAGTGATTCTCCCACCTCAGCCTTCCAAAGTGCTGGAATTACAGGCGCACACCACCACTCCCAGCCTCTAACTGGCTTTTTTTTTTTTTTTTTTTTTTTTTTTGAGATAGAGTCTTGCTCTGTTGCCCAGGCTGGAGTGCAGTGGCATGATCTCGGCTCACTGCAGCCTCTGCCTCCCGGGTTCCAGCGATTCTCCTCCTGGGTAGCTCCTGATTCAGCCTCTTAGGTAGCTGAGATTACAGGCACACACCACCACGCCCAGCTGATTTTTGTATTTTTAGTAGAGACAGGGTTTCACTATGTTGGCCAGGCTGGTCTCGAATGCCTGACCTCAGGTGATCCGCCTGCTTCGGCCTCCCACAAGTGCTGGAATTACAGGCATGAGCCACCACGCCTGGCCCTGGGTAACTACTGAAAAAAGAATGGGTGAGGCAATAAGTTGAGGGAAGAAAGACAAATGGGAAGGCACAGAAGAGATCAATGTAGGCCAGGCACAGTGGCTCACACGTGTAATCCCAGCACTTTGGGAGGCTGAGGTGGGTGGATCACCTGAGGTCAGAAGTTCAAGACCAGGCTGGCCAACATGGTGAAACCCCAACTCTACTAAAAATACACACACACACACACACACACACGCACACACACACACAAAATCGCCTGGGCATGGTGGTGAGCGCCTGTAATCCTAGCTGCTTGGGAGGCTGAGGCAGGAGAATTGCTTAAACCTGGGAGGCGGAGGTTGCAGTGAACCGAGATCGCGCCACTGCACTCCAGCCTGGGCGACAGAGCAAGACTCTGTTTAAAAAAGAAAAAGAAAAATAAAAAGAACCAACCTAAATCCAAACCCAATTGAACAATTATTATTCTAGATTACTAGGTTTGTTTTCTTAAGAAACAGAAGTTAGATGAAAGACAGTAAGATAAACCCATAAGGTCATTCTGGTTGGATAATTTTTAATTGTTTTCTGCATTATTTTAATAATTATCTTATTTTAATAATTAATTTAATTTAATAATTATCTTCACATCAACTACTTGCTAGCCACCAAATAAACTGAATCCAAAGTTCCCAGCCTCAATTATTTCCTTTATTTAATGACACAAAGCATCAACTCTCATCTGATGATGACTTCTATGACAGATGAAAGGTGGAAATAAGGGAAGGGGAGAGAACTGGCTGCAAGTAGGAGAACTAAATGTGAGTGGTGATATAAACTCCACTCCTGAACACCTGGCAAAGCTGACACAAAGCTGACCTGTGCAGGACACAGAGCCCAGCCCTGCTCACCTCTTCCATGAGGTACCTATTCTTGATCTTCAAATGCTCTTTCTCTTCTAGGTCCTTCCCAAGCCTACAAACATGAATTCCTGTCTAGCATAACTTTCCCCATTTATGCAATGAACATGCCCTGTGCCATATACTGGGAATACAATGTAAACAGTGCCTGACCTATGAAATGTACATTCTGGCAAGAGAAAACAATGACAGTATCGGCATGCTTGATAAAGGTTAGAACATGCTGCAGTAAGTAACAGGATGTGCCTGGAGGACAGGGTAAAGTTCACTCAACAGGAGGCCAATTATGAAAGCATCTCAACAAGCTGAAGAGAGAATGGTATAACCTAGATTACAGGTAGTGGCTGGAGGGACACAATGACTTCGAAATTGGATATGAGCAGATGGGAAAATAGGAAAGGCCAAGTAAGATATTCATATTTTTGCCTGGGCATTTTGGTGTCTGAAAATGCCAATTAATATGAGAGAGAAGAGTGTGAAACAGAATCAGCTGGAGATGCCTGTGGGAAGTGTGTGTAGAGACATTAAGTGGATGGTTTTGATGTGGGTAAAGTTGGAGAAGGGAGACTAGAAATGTACTGGAGACTGTAGGCAAATAAACAGTAACTGCACCCATAAACTGAGAAATGTTGGCATTTACGGTACACGAAGGAAATGGACCATACAAAAGGAAATGAGGAATAGCTCAAGAGCAGAAAGAAACTGTTCAATAGAGCTATTTGTGCTGAGGTTTAAGAGGCTGAAGATACGATGTGACCACCGGATGTAGCCACAGTGTCAACTGCAATCTACAGCAACTGCAGTTTCATAGAAGTAGAAGGGGATGAAAATTAGATTGCAAAGGATGGAAGAATTAGTGGGCATGAAAGAAAATAATGCAGTCAGTACATGCAGGCTATTTTTTCCAGAAATCTGGTTAATAAAGAAAAATAAAGGCTGAGCGCAGTGGCTCACACCTGTAATCCCAGCACTTTCGGAGGCCGAGGCGGGCGGATCACCTGAGGTCGGGAGTTCACAACCAGCCTGACTAACATGGAGAAACCCCCGCTCTACTAAAAATACAAAATTACCCAGGCGTGGTGGTGCATGCCTGTAATCCCAGCTACTCGGGAGGCTGAGGCAGGAGAATCACTTGAACCCGGGAGGCAGAGGTTGCGGTGAGTCGAGATCGCGCCATTGCACTCTAGCCTGGGCAACAAGAGCAAAACTCCGTCTCCAAAAAAAAAAGGAAGAAAGAAGAAAAATAAGCCTAGGTGCCTGTAGTCCCAGCTACTTGAGGGCTGAGATAGAAGAATCACCTGAGCCCACTGCACTCCAGCGTGGGCAAGAGAGAGAGACACTGTCTCAAAAAAATAAATAATTTAAAAATAAAAAATAAAGGCAAAGCGACAACAGTACCGAAGGAATATAAAGAGGGATAAATAAGCTTGGTTAAAGTTGACGGAATCCAGATATAATAGATGGGATAACAGAGTGACATCCCTGAGAAGCCAAAAGGTCTGAAGTTCAGGAATTGGCCTTAAGGAGAAATACCATGTTTTGTGGAATGATGATGTGGACAAGATTGTAGGCCTAGATGGAGGGAAGTTAAAAGAGTCTTTATCTGCTGGCTTCTACCTTCTCCCCTGGGATATGCTACTGTCCTCTGGAATTAAGGCCACACATGCAAAGCTTCACTGTCAAACCACCTGCAAATGTGAAGTTTATTTTTCACTCTCCACTTACCTGATGCCCACTCCTCTATCAAAATTTGGAGCCTGGCCAGGTGCGGTGGCTCACGCCTATAATCCCAGCACTTTGGGAAGCCAAGGAGGGTGGATCACCTGAGGTCAGGAGTTCGAGACCAGCCTGGCCAACATGGCGAAGCCCCATCTCTACTAAAAATAAAAAAATTAGCCAGGTGTGGTGGCGGGCACCTGTATTCCCAGCTACTCGGGACGCTGAGGCAGGAGAATCGCTTGAACCCAGGAGGTGGAAGTTGTAGTGAACCGTGATCGTGCCACTGCACTCCAGCCTGGGTAACAGAACAAGACTCCGTCTCAAAATAATAATAATAATAATAAAATCTGGCTTCACTCTCACCTCTGCAGAGCTGTCTTCCCCATGGGAACTTTCTGAATGTTCTCAACAGTCTCCCAGTGCTAAAACCCACTAGCCTCACTTTTGCATCATTCTCTAGGACACCTTCATCCTCTAGGTCTCCTATATCCCCTATCACTCCTTCTTACTCCCAGCTGCTTCCTCATGTACTTATTAGAAGTTCATGTTTCCCCCGCCTCACATTTCACCTTCTCTTCTAGTCCTACCTGCATTTCCTCCTTAACTTTATACAGACGCCACCTAACAGCAGTGAATTCTCAAGTCTGTATCACCAATGTCTGTCTCTTTCCTGAAATCCAGTCCTGTGTTGCAATCTTCCTATCAGATATTTTTTTACCTCCTTGCCTCTCAGGCACCTCAAATACTACCTGTCCAAACTTAAGCTCATTGTCATCTCCCTAAAACCTGCTCCTTTTTATTTCCCGTAGGTTAGTGACATCATTATACACTCAAGCCAGAAATCTCTCCAACTTTTTCATGCTACTCATTCAAGCAACCAGACATCAGGTTCCACTACTATCTTCTTCAGAAAAGCTTTCCAGATCAAAGCAGAAGCCCAACTCTCTTCTGCTGCGTTTCAACAGGGACTGCTTACGTCCAGATCATCCCAGAGGATTCCTGTGTTAGCTCTATCAGTTCTACCTTCCTTGAGAACTGCTACATAGCTACCATTCAATAAAATAAATCTCAGCGTATAACCTTACTTCTCGACACTTCCACAAATGTCTTAGTACCGTGGGGTTAGGGTGCATAACCTGACAGACCTGTCAGCTCCCACCAAGCTCTCAGTATGGCCTTTAGATCTTTGCCCACACAAAACGTGGTCAGCAGTGACATCATGTAAAACTTGTTAAAATGCAAACTCACAAGCCCCACCTAGACTTCCTTGTAAGAATCATTCAGATGCACAAAGTTTGAGAAGCACTGGTTAGGTGCCTTACATGCACTGAACTACTCAACTCCCAAGACATATCAAACCCTTCAGATCTCTATGTCTTTGCAAAAGCTGTACCATCTGACTGGAAAATTCTGCCAAAGCTTTTGCAACTTGCAATGTCATGTTCTATTGTAGGGGCACCTGGCACATGGCTTTGCACATAGTAGTATCAGTACATTAAGTATCACTTAATTAACAGGTGAGTGTACTTGGAGAGTGAAGAGTGTTAGGTATTCGAATGGAAGTTGAATAGTTACGCAGTTGGAAATAGTGGCCCAGGATCCAAAGCAGAGGTGGGTTGAGGTGCAAATATATATTTTATATATATATGTGTGTGTGTGCATGTGCGTGCGTGTGTGTGTGTGTGTATACATATAATTTATTTTGAGATGGAGTCTCGCTCTGTCACCCAGGCTGGAGTGCAGTGGCGCGATCTCAGCTCACTGAAACCTCAGCCTCCCAGCTTCAAGCAATTCTCCTGCTTCAGCCTCCTGAGTAGCTGGGATTACAGACGCACATCACCACACCTGGCTAATTTTTGTATTTTTAGTACAGACAGGGTTTCACCATGTTGGCCAGGCTGGGAGCTGAAAATATTTTTAATTCACTACCAATACTTGGGAGATTACCATGATGGATACAAGAGGTCACCCAGGTTTAAGGTCAAGATTGACTATGGGCTAAACTATAAGGAAGGCTGACATTTAAGGGACCTATTTTAGAAGACAGTAAAGCGCAGGTCAACAGGGTGGGAAAGAACCAAAATAGGTGTCAAGGAGTTCCAAAGAGATAAACCAATTTGGCACATGCATTACTGTAACCTTTGGCAACTGAAGCAGGAGAAAAAATAGAACGAGGTCAAAGATAAAGCAGAAGCTCAGCTTCTTTAGATTAAAAACTGACTCAGACATGACTAGTGGAATAATCACTGTAAGGACCATCTTTATTAGATGAGAAGGGAGAGAGTGATGAACTGAAGAGAGCTCTATCATACACACAGGCCTAGTGGCAAAGAAGTTGAAAACTTTCAGTCATGCAAAAAGGACTTGCTGAACACTAGCTGTCTGCCAGGAGCCACAAGACCATGCAGGGACTGCAACAATGAATATAGGTAATGGCCCTGTCCTCTGATCTAGTGCAGTGAGCTAAGTTGGTAATCGATGGAGACCCCACAACAGACAGGGTAAGGAGCCAATGTAGGGAGGCTTGCCTTGGAGGGGAGGCATTTTTCCTCTGATGGTGGTATAATCGCAGGAATGAAAAGATTAAGAGGGGGCATATCGGGCAGCCATCTTGCTCTTGCCGCGTGCTGGTGCTGGAGGACCCTCCCTGCTTCAGATTTACCAACAGCATGAATCAAGAAAAGTTAGCCAAACTTCAGGCTCAGGTCCGGATAGGGGGCAAGGGTACAGCTCGCAGAAAGAAGGTGGTACATAAAACAGCCATGGCTGATGACAAAAAGCTTCAGAGTTCTCTAAAAAAACTGGCTGTGAATAATATAGTTGGTATTGAAGAGATGAACATGATTAAAGATGATGGGACAGTTATTCACTTCAACAATCCCAAAGTCCAAGCTTCCCTTTCTGCTAACACCTTTGCAATTACTGGTCATGCAGAAGCCAAACCAATCACAGAAATGATACCTGGAATATTAAGTCAGCTTGGTGCTGACAGTTTAACAAGCCTTAGGAAGTTAGCTGAACAGTTCCCACGGCAAGTCTTGGACAGTAAAGCAGCAAAACCAGAAGACACTGATGAGGAGGATGATGATGTTCCCGATCTTGTAGAAAATTTTGATGAGGCATCAAAGAATGAAGCTGGCATGGTTTTTGGAAGCTGGCATGGACTAGATTGAACAAATCAGCTATGTGGTTCCAAAGTTTTACAGACACAGAGAACATCACCTGTTACTAGTTCACTAATATAAATATTTTGTATATTAATAATGCTGTTCAGCATTTTTCTGTCATTTGATTTTGCATTTTGCCTTCCTCTCAGGATATTTTTTTGGTCAAAATATGAAGTATTGGTGCAGTTTGAGGGTGTTCTGGGTTTTGATTCCTGGTTTTTTTGTTTTTGGTTTGGGGTATTTTTGGTGTATGTTTGCTTATGTATGTGTGTGGGTATGTGTGTATACAGTGGAGAGCAAATTGGAAAACAGTTCTATTTATCCTCCTCCCTCCCCAGTAGAAATAAAAAAAATCTTTACATTTGTTACTTTTCTTTTCCCCCTATAAAACACAGAATTAATGGAAAGTGAGTATCTTGGATTTCAGATCTGAAGAGATTTTTACCATTAGTGGTTTGATTTTAATCTGCTTGGTTAACTATCATATTTTTCATACACTTCTCTGGGTTTAAAATGTCTTGAGGTATTTTGCCACTGGCTTCATGCTGGAGTAATGGGTAACATATCTTTGGTATGGTTCCCTTAGATTCACTTACCTAGTCAGACCCAGAAGAACTTCTTTTACTAGCTTGCTTCCTAAATGCCTTTTTTCCTTTCCTTTTGGTCTCCAAATGGCCTGGTCAGCTTTTGGTAATATTCTTCCTCATCTTCCACCTAGCTTGAGAAGGATGTTCTCCATATAGAGTTAAGCGAGTGCCTAATCCCACCTTTTGTAAGATTTTGTTCCCTCATCTTGAGGAACAACAACTTCAACTTTTTATTTCTCCCCGATTTTACAGTTTGGTAGATTTCAAACTGGAATAGCTAGCATGTGCTTGCTAAATAATTTTATGCCAGCCTTATCCTGTATCCTAGCTGTTCTTAATAGCAGGTACAAAAATGCCTCTTTTTCAGCAAGGTTGAAATTGGGAATGTGCTTTTGAATCAGAAGAAAATAGGCCAGACTCATCCCCCAACACAAATGGGCATTCTATGAAATGGTACTGGCCCTAGGAGGATTTCCTCAACCACTCTCCTACTCTTGGCCTTGAACCTACCTCTGGGTTGGATCTTACTATTGTAGCTGCTCACTATACCCTCCTGCATGCTTAGAATAATGCTTTGGGGGGAGCACTGGTAAAACACAGTATTTATTATTTTACCTCCTTTAAGAGGACTTGGAGGTAAGTTGCATTCATTCACTCAAGTTTCCCTCTTGCTGTCTAATAGAAGCTTACGTTTTGCTATATCAGCATTTGTTACAGCCAATATTTAAGGATAAAATTTAGAAAATATATCATTTCCTGGCCCATCATCAAACTAATACAGCTTAACCTTGCAGCTACCAACTTTTGTGTCAAGCTAGGTACCTTTATTTGATATCTGAGATGCAAGACCAATAATATATTAAGAGATCTACAGACATGAAGGCAAAGCTCTTGTATTTTTTTTCATCCAAACACCTCAATTTATTTTATAAATTTGGTATTTTTCTGTTTTTTTTCTATTTTTCATTGACAAAAATTGTGTATGTTTATCTACATATAACACATTATTTTGAAATATGTGTGCCTTGTGAAATGGTTAAATCCAGGGAATTAACATATGCATTACCTCACATACTTTTTGTGGTGAGAACACTTAAAATCCACTCATAGCAATTTTCAAAAATATAATACATTGTTATTAACTATAGTCACCATGTTGGATAATGGATTTAATTTTGTATCCCTTGACCAACATCTACCCAACCCTTCCACCTTCAACCCCCATTACCTGCTCCAGGATCCCCATTCTTGACACGTAAGGCAACAGACACACAGTGAGGCTTGGCCACCATCAAATAGCTAACAAGAGGTTGGGAGACCAGACTTTTTTAGTTCCATTCATGTTGGCAATTGAAGAACACCACCCCAAACTTTAACAAGATCCCTAAGTAATGCTGACGCTGCAGGTCCCTAGGCCACATTAGTTTACAATGTCAACCCAAGCCCTGGAGAAACTAGTGTCCTCACAATGCCTCAAAGTATTCAATTAAGACTATGACATTAAAGAGCTAATAATAAAAGCCTTCAGTATTTGACACACAGTCAAACCAACAGTAGGTTCTTAATAAATGACAGATGACCAGTGGTAGTAAGAGAAAGTGGCTGCTGTAGGGACAGAAGAGCATAGTGTGATGAGAACACAGATTCAAGAGCAAATCTGTGATCTTCACAAGTTAATTATATAACGACTCTGTGCCTCTGTTTCTCTATTTGTACAACAGGGATAAGTATAATAAATACCCTCTCGGGTTGCTTGGTGGATTGAATATATAGGTATGTAAAGCCCTTAGAACAGTATCTGGCATTTCATAACTGATCAAGGGTTTAATTTTACTACTACTGCTACTGCCACTGCTTACTACTGCTGCTACTACTGATTACTAGTAGTATGACTCACTAGTAGGCAGCCAATAAAAATGCATCGAAAGGAGTCCCATCTGCAGCCAGAGTATACCACAAAACTGTTTCAGAGCTGGAGGAATATCTATCACTGACGGTATAATCTGAATGAGTCTTTCCCTTGTTTTGCTAAAGTAGGAGTCAATCATGTTAACAGTGAACTTGAGTTAATAACAATGCCTTTTTTTTTGTTTATTTGTTTCAGAGACGGAGTCTAGCTCTGTCGCCCAGGCTGGAATGCAGTGGCGCGATGTGGGCTCACTGCAAGCTACGCCTCCCGGGTTCACGCCATTCTCCTGCCTCAGCCTCAGCTGGTACTACAGGCGCCTGCCACCAGGCTCGGCTAATTTTTTTGTATTTTTAGTAGGGACGGGGTTTCACCGTGTTAGCCAGGATGGTCTCGATCTCCTAACCTCATGATCTGCCCGCCTCGGCCTCCCAAAGTGCTGGGATTACAGGCGTGAGCCACCGCGCCCGGCCCATACCAATGCATTTCTAAATGGTCAGAAATATCTGAAGAAATAAAGCCATTCATCAATTAGTATGTCTTCTTTTTTTTTTTGAGACAGAGTCTCACTCTGTCGCCCAGGCTCGAGAGCAGCGTCATGATCTTAGACCTCATGAGCTTAGACCTCCCAGGCTCCGGCAAACCTCCCATCTCAGCCTCCCGCGTAGCTGGGACTATGACAAGCATCACTGCACCTAGCTAGTTCTTTTTGGGTTTTATTTTGTTGTATTTTTTGTAGAAATGCGGTCTCGCCATGTTGCCCAGGCTGGTCTCAAACTCCTACACTCAAATGACCCTCCCGTCTCAACCTCCCAAATTGCTGGGATTACAAGCACCGTGCCTGGCCTCAGCTGTTCTTAAACTGAAAAACTGGAATAAAGATAGTTGCCTTGTTTAGCTGAGACACTGGCCCTTCGAGTAGATGTTCACTGTACCCGTGTATACCTTATGAGCACAATGACTCTCTGCATCAAAATATTATTTCTTAGAATTGTGCCTATCAAAGTGAGGCATTCCAAAAAAAAAAAATTAAATCCAATTATCTAAATATTCCCGTTAAAACAACAACAACTAGTTCCTGCCAGGCATGGTGGCTCACGCTTGTAATCCCAGGACTCTGGGAGGCTGAGGGAGGCGGATCACCTGAGGTCGGGAGTTTGAGACCAGCCTGACCAACATGGTTTCTACTAAAAATAAAAAAGTTAGCCGGGCATGGTGGGGGGTGCCTGTAATCCCAGCTACTCAGGAGGCTGAGGCAGGAGAATCGCTTAAACGCGGGGGGCGGAGGTTGTGGTGAGCCAAGATCACGCCATTGCACTCCAGCCTGTGCAACAAGAGCGAAACTCCATTTAAAAAAAAAAAAAAGTTCCTCCACATAATTTATGTTCTTCCACTTTTCTGCTTTAGATGTGGTCTAAAACTATTTTTTTTTTTTTTCCCAGAGAACACACTGTGTTCTCAACTTCATCTTCAGGTTCGGCCTAGACAAAAAAAAGAAAAAAAAGAAAGAAAGGTGGGAATGTACCTGTAAACTGGTTCTATGACCCTTCATCTTCTCCGGAAGGCTTACTTTGGACATTTCAGCCCGCCAAGTCTAAATGATATATATCAAAAAGGTGGAGGTAGTGCTATAGGCTCAGATCGAAGATTAGACTTGCTAATAGAATGTTGATCCCATGAGTAATGCTCACAGCTGTGGCATCCAACAATGGAATTAACATTTCAACAGGAAGCAGAGAGCCATCCCAACAGAAAGGGCCACTAGATCCTGCTTCAGAGCACCTAACAACAAAAAATTACCCTTCCAGAGGCTATACTAAGTGCGCCTCCTAGGATCCCACCTACGGATTTTTAAAAATGAATTATTTGGTTATAAAACGCAGCAAGTGCTTAGTTTGACAAACAAGATCAGTTGGTTAAAACACCGACATGGAAAATCCGTTTTTTAAAGTGTCAAAATGATTACGCCTCCTAATGGTCCACGCATTTTTCACATGCCTTTTTTCCCCTCCCAGAGAAAGGAGCAGTCGACAAACGCACTTGGCAAATCCTCTAGCAATTACCCTGTACAACTCAGCCCGTCTTATCTCCAAAATGAACGACTCATTACAAACTCAAAAACGAGGTCACTGAATTCTCCTTTGCACTTCGCCCAAGGACTGCAGAAACCAATGCTACATTTTTGCAGGAACCCACTTTTGATTTTCCACGGTCTCCTTCACAATGCGCGTCTGGTTAGCAGCTCCTGCCTGGGCGAGCTGCTTCCAGGAGACTAACACCGTCCAGGCTGGCGTTCGCTCAGCGCCTCTTTCCTAGAGGTAGCCTGGCCGATCCGAGGCACCGGGCAGCTCCATGTCCATTGAATAATGGCGTTTGCAATTCAGCCTCCCCGCCTGGGCGACTCGACACCTGAAAACTCGCCGCCCAAGGTTTTTGAAATCGGGTAACGCTGGAGAGAACCGACACGAAGGCTGACAAGGGAGACGGCGAGAGCAAAGAAAGGCAAGCCCGCACCGGGGCAGAGAATGCTATGGGAGAGCTGCGAGGCGCACCCGACACGCCGCGCCCGAGCCCCTCCGCCTCCACCCCCCGCCGAGGGCTCCGTCCCCGGGCACTCCGCGCGCCCTGCGCGGCTCCCTACGGGACGGCTCCAGGAGCGCCCGGCCCAGCAAAAGCGCCCCTGTGCAATTCTGCCCGCCCCGCCGCCCCTGCAGCAGCGCCCCCAAATCGCGCCCGCCCCCTCCCCCACGCCCCATTGTTCCTGGGTGGCCGCGGGCAGCGAGCGCCCCCGGGCTGGGCGGGTGCTGAGGACCCCATGGCCCCTACTCACCCACTACTCCGCACAGGAGCACGAAGCACAGCAGGAGCGCCATGGTGGCTGCCGTGCCGTGGGCGGCGGCTGCAGGTAGGCGGCTCTCGCTCCTGGTCCCAGGCTCCCCGCGCCTCGCGCGCTCCCGACTGGCTCGCGGCGGCGGCGGCACCTCTGCACCCTCCGCCCCTCCTCCCAGCCCCCGCTCGGCAGGTGAACTCGCGTCACTTCCGGCAGCGGCCCGGGCCGGGCTGCGAGCGCCGGCTTCTCCAGCCGCGTGGGGTTGCCTTGGCAACCGGGCGAGGCGCTCTTCTGTCCCCGGGACCCTCCCGGCGCCGAACTCTCAGCCTCCCGGCGCGCGGCGTCGTAGGTCGCGGGCGGCCGCCTCCCACGCCGCAAGCCTGCGCAGGGGTCCCCGCCTCCATCCCTTAAGCTAAACCAGGGTTTTGCGCGCGGGGGTGGGGCAGCCCGTCTCCCACATACTGAAATTGCGTTGGCGCCCTCCTTTAAGGCGAGGCACGGGACACTCCCAGGGGCCGCCACTAGGGCGGCTCCTACCCTCCGCCCCGCCTGCACCCACCCGTCCCACCCCTCGCGGTTTGCCCCAGGGGCAGGTTCTCTGACCTCATGCTCACGGGATGCGACCTGTGCAGCCCCTGGCCTTCGCTCTCTTAACGAGCCGCTCTGGCTGACATAAAAAGCGCGAGAGGGCTTTTCTCCATCTCTGGTAGGGATAGAGCCCCTCTGCAGCTACCGATTTGGGAAATACCTGAGGTTTTTTCCACTTGCACAGAAAGGCTATTCTAGCCCTGAAGCTGGCTAGTAAGACGCTATAGTCCCAGCTACTCCGGAGGCTGAGGTAGGCAGACAACTATTATCCAATATTAGTGAGTGAGCTTTGAAAGTGGGGCTCAGTAGTTGTGGTTGAAGGCGTCAGTTGGAGTGTGGGGTCGGGGAATTGGAGATCTTGAAAGTTGTTGTCGGCTGCTCTTCCAGATAACGTTTATTTATAACTACATAGAGACTTTGTAGTGCCGCGACAGTTCCATAACAGAAATGAATTGAAGAAGAGGAGCGGTGGGTAAGAGCTTATTCCGCGGAGTGGGGCAGTAACTGGGCAGGTTTCATAGAAATGGCACCTACTTCGGGGTTGCTATGAAAGTTAAATGAGATAATGCACAAAAAATGCTTGGCACCCTGCCTGGCACGTAGTTTTAATTAGCTTCCACTTACTGAGTTCTTGCTTACAGGGTTCCTGCTTATGTAGTCTATAAGCTTACATAGTTTGTAAGTTCCTGCTTACTATCTAGACTAAGCAGGAACCCCCGTAAGCAGAATTCAGTAAGTGGAAGCTAATAAAACTAATATTGGAAAATTCTTATTATGCATTGAACCAGAAAAGAGAAGGGGCAAAGAAATCAGGTATCAAGAAGACCAGAATTGCGCAACTGCAGTTTAGCCTGGTGAGTTGCAATTCTGGCTGCACATGAAAATTACTTGGAGAATGTTTTAAAAATACTAGTGCCTGGCTGGGCGCGGTGACTCACGCCTGTAATCCCAGCACTTTGGGGGCCCAGGCGGGCGGATCATGAGGTCAGGAGATCGAGACCATCCTGGCTAACACGGTGAAACCCTGTCTCTACTAAAAATACAAAAAATTAGCCAGGCGTGGTTGCAGGCGCCTGTAGTCCCAGCGACTCGGGAGGCTGAGGCAGGAGAATGGCGTGAACCCCGGGAGGGGGAGCTTGCAGTGAGCCGAGATTGCGCCACTGCACTCCAGCCTGGGCGACACAGCGAGACTCCGTCTCAAAAAAAAAAAAAATATATCTATCTATCTATCTATCTATATATGTATATATATACTAGTACCTGAGCCTTACTCAAGTGATTCCAATTTAATTTGATTTAAGGGGAATCCTGCTTTACGGCAGCCCAATAAATGACAGATGACCAGTGGTAGTAAGAGGAAGTGGCTTTGCAAAATCATACCATCTGATTGTAAAGTTCTGCCAAAGCTTTTACAAACTAATAAGAGTTCAATACAGACGTAAGACAACATGAGTAACGGCTAGGGACTTCCCATTTGAGCAAACAGGAATTCTACTGGATATAATTGCGTGTAAATAATATTTGGAATTTAAATTTTTACTCACCACACTAAATGAAATCAAGCAGAGAAGAGCAAGTATTGAAGTTGTTCATCTGTTTAACAGTGTTCTACGAGAACTTTTCTATACTCGCTCTGTCGCCCAGGCTGGAGTTCAGTGACCCCATCTCGGCTCACTGCAACCTCCGCCTCCAAGGTTCAAGCGATTCTTCTGCTTCAGCTTCCCGAGTACCTGGGACTACAGGCGCGCGCCACCACGCCCGGCTAATTTTTGTATTTTTAGTAGAGACGGGGTTTCACCATATGGGCCAGGCTGGTCTCGAACTCCCAGCATGTTGGGAGGCAGAGGTGGACGATCGCCTGAGCCCAGGCGTTCGAGACCAGCCTGGGCAACATGGCAAGACCCCCCATATCTACTAAAAATAAAAAATGAGCCGGATGTGATGGCGCGCAGTGCCTGTAGTCCCAGCTACTCCGGAGGCTGAGGTAGGAGGACAAATATTATCCAATATTAGTTTTGTTATCTTCCACTTACTATGTGCAGGAACCCGGTAAGCAGGATCTCAGTAAGTGGAGCTAATAAAGTGAGCCCAGGAGGCAGAGGTTGCAGAGAGCCTTGATCCAAGAAGGAGAAGGAAGCAGAAAGAAGAAGAAAAGGAGGAGGAGGAGGAGGAAGAATTACCCAAAAGGATTTAGGAGGAGGAGGGGGGGGGGAGGAATTACCCGAAAGGATTTAGGAGGAGGAGGGAGGAGGACCGGGAGGACGAAGGGAGGAGGAAGGAGGAGGAGGAGGAAGAGGAACAACAACTACCCAAAAGGATTTTTATCTTAATCCCTTTCCTGGTACTTTTTCTTCTAATTCTTAGCTTTTGCCTCCTTCTGTGTTAGGCATTTGCATACCTATTAATCACTTTTCTTGTTCTAAATACTTCTAGAAGGCTGAAAAAGCACATTTTTTTTTTGTCTTCGTCACTTCTGAAAGCACATACTAGGTTCTCAAGTATTTCTCAAGTTGAATTGAATGCTTATTTTCTATGGCAATATGTTAATAAAATTTAAGTATCTGTGCAACAACAAATCATTGCACCTTAAATATATCTTTTCAGAATGTGCTTTTTTGGGAGAGGGGGACAGGATCTCGCTCTGTCGCCCAGGCTGGAGTGCAGTGGCGTGATCTCGCCCACTGCAACCTTGGCCTCCTGGATTCAAGCGATTCTCCTGCCTCAGCCTCCTGAGTAGCAGGGACTACAGGTGCACTCCACCACACCCGGCTAATTTTTGTATTTTTAGTAGAGACAGGGTTTCATCATGTTAGCCAGGATGGTCTAGATCTCCTGACCTCAGGTGATCGCCCACCTTGGCCTCCCAAAGTGCTGGGATTACAGCCGTGAGCCACTGTGCCCAGCCCAGAATGCGTTTTTTAAAACGTAAGTTTTACATCAATTTTTTTCTGCTGCTTTAGATTACTGAACACAGATTTTTTTAAAATGTACCATTCTAAGATTTAAATAATCTTGAAAGAAGCAGTCGATCTTATTTGGGGAAGTATTGTTCTTTAAAAAGTTACATGAAGTCATTTTTAGACTTTGGTTTGTGACTAAATTATTTCATAAACAGTAGCTAAAATTATGCAGTTATGTGAAATATATTAAAGACACCTTAAAATGCATTTGTGGCTGTTGTCAGCTTGGAAATTATGTCTTCTGGAAGCTATAATAAGATAATCTCATTTATTCTGGAACATATAAATTATTCTTTTTTGTCTTCAAACCAAGCTAAGAAATAGTGCACAGCCATTAAGTGAATTGCCCTGTCTTAGTAATGCACCAAGCACTCCACATTATATAGCCTCTAAACCAGCTTAAAGGTGATGATCCTTGCTCCATCAAGGCTATAATTACAGATACACAAATAACTGTGGTTAATAAAGCATCCATCCTTACAAAAATGTCTCAGCACTAATAGATCTATGAACACACCCATAGATTATTAAAATCCTACAATCATATTCAAAGGTTAATTTATACTTAAGAATTAAAGGATTTTCATCTCTTCTCAGCTTGGAATATGAAGACATGTGAATTAAGAAACTCTCTTTTTTTTTTTTTTTTTTTTGGGACGGATCTCCATCTGTCACCCAGGCTGGAGTGCAGTGGCATGATCTCGGCTCACTGCAACTTCGCCTCCCGGGTTCAAGCAATTCTGCCTCAGCCTCACGTGTAGCTGGGATTACAGGCATGCACCACCACACCCGGCTATTTTTGTATTTCTAGCAGAGATGGGGGTTTCGTCATGTTGGCTAGACTGGTCTCAAACCCCTGACCTCAGGTGATTTGCCTGCCTCAGCCTCCCAAAGTGCTAGGATTACAGGCGTGAGTCACTGCGCCAGGCCAAGAAACTTTCTATTATATGTGAAACTGCTGCTAATTTTTCTGTTTTCTGAAAAATGATAATGCTGTTCTTAAGAAATGAAGATTTCGCCAGTCACAGTGGCTCACGCCTGTAATCCCAGCACTTTGGGATGCCGAGGCGGGCAGATCACCTGAGGTCGTGAGTTCGAGATCAGCCTAACTAACATGGAGAAACCCCATCTCTACTAAAAATACAAAATTAGCCGGGTGTGGTGGCACATGCCTGTAATCCCAGCTACTCGGGAGGCTAAGGCAGGAGAATCGCTTGAACCTGGGAGGCGGTGGTGGGTGGAGATCGCGCCATTGCACTCCAGCCTGGGCAACAAGAGCGAAACTCTGTCTCAAAAAAAAAAGAAATGAAAATTTCTTTCTAGTGTGTTCTATTTACATTACCAGGAACATTGGCTTTATGGGTTAATACCATCCAAAAGTTACCTGTTTACTCCCAAGCAATGAATGTATAAATACATACACTTTTTTTTTTGAGACGGAGTCTCACTCTGCACCAGGCTGGAGTACAGTAGCGCGATCTCGGCTCACTGTGACCTCTGCCTCCTGGGTTCAAGCGATTCTCCTGCCTCAGCCTCCCAAATAGCTGGGACTACAAATGTGCGCCACCACGCCTGGCTAATTTTTGTGTTTATAGTAGAGACGGGGGTTTCAACATATTGGCGAGGATGGTCTCGATCACTTGACCTCATGATCCTCCCGCCTTGGCCTCCCAAAGTCCTGGGATTACAGGCGTGAGCCACTGTGCCTGGCCGCTTAACTTCTTTTTAAACTAACTTAAGCCAATCTCCCTGTTTTTAGCCCCACCTTCGCTTCACTCTCAAATATCCTGATACCATCAAATCCTGAAATTCTTGGAAGGTTCACTTTGACTACTGCTGGTTTAGAATTCAGCTGTCTGGAATGTGTTCAGTCAGTATCTCTCATCTATCTGCCTTCCAGTTCCCAAAATGTTGATATTGTCTTCTACCCTGTTATCTTTGTCTTTCTGCCTTCAGGCTTTTTTTTTTTTTTTTTTTAAACCTTTTAAATTCTATTAATGTGGTTTTAATAAGGGTTTCAGGAAGAATCACGGTAAATGCATGTGTTTAATTCTTCATTATTTTTCGGAAGTCTGCCCTCAGTTGGGATGAAATGCCCCCATGGATATTTAAATTTAAAAGTCTAAAGAAAATGAACATTTTTATTATTTTCCTGAATAATCATAGATCTTAGACTGTTTTAACTCCTATCATATCCCTTTCCTAATTTATAGTGTAATCCAATGTTTCTGTCCTGTCCACCTTCTAAGTTATACATTGACTTGTTTTTTAATAGTTGACAGTAATAGTCAAACTCTGTAAAATATTTGAAGATATTTATTCTGAGCAAAATATGAGTGACCATGGCCCATGACATGGCCCTCAGGAGGTCCTGAGAACACATGCCGAAGGTGGGCGGGGCACAGCTTGGTTTTATGCATTTTAGGGAGGCATGAGACATCAATCAAATACATGTAAGAAATACATTAATTTGGTACAGAAAGGCGGGGCAACTCAAAGTCGGGCGGGGTTCCAGGCTCTAGGAAAATTTAAACATTTCCTGGTTGACAATTGGTTGAGTTTATCTAAAGACGCGAGATCACAGAAAGGAAATGTTCAGGTTAAGATAAGAGATTGTGGAGACCAAGGTTCTTTTGAAGTCTTATAGTGGGTGCCCTTAGAGACAATAGATAACAAATGCTTCCTATCCAGATCTTTAAAAGGTGCTAGATTTAGGCCGGGTTCGGTGGCTCACGCCTGTAATCCCAGCACTTTGGGAGGCCGAGGCGGGCGGATCACCTGAGGTCAGGCGTTTGAGACCAGCCTGGCCAACATAATGAAACCCCGTCTGTACTAAAAATGCAAAAATTAGCCAGGCGTAGTGGCGGGCGCCTGTAGTCCCAGCTACTCGGGAGGCTGAGGCAGGAGAATGGCGTGAACCCGGGAGGCAGAGCTTGCAGTGAGCCGGGATCGCGCCACTGCACTCCAGCCTGGGCGACAGAGCCAGACTCCGTCTCAAATTTTCTTTTTCTTTTCTTTTTTTTTTTGAGATAGAGTCTCGCTCTGTCACTCACGCTGGAGTGCAGTGGCGCGATCTCGGCTCACTGCAAGCTTCACCTCCAGGGTTCAAGCGATTCTCCTGACTCAGCCTCCCCTGTAGCTGGGATTACAGGCGCCCGCCACCACGCCCGGCTAATTTTTTTGGATTTTACTATTAGTAGAGACGGGGTTTCACCACGTTGGCCAGGATGGTCTCAGTCTCTTGACCTTGTGATCCGCGGTCTGGGCCTCCCAAAGTGCTGAGATTAAAGGTGTGAGCCACCGCTCCCAGCCAGTTAATCTCTTTAGGATTGGGAGGTCCTAGAGGAAGAAGAACTAGCTATGTTAATAGAAATTCCTTACAGATGCAAATTTTCCCCCACAAAGGACAGCTTTCAAGATACGGCAAAGAAACATGTTTTGGGGTAAAATATTTTGATTTTCTTCCTTGTCTCTGAATGTTATGCCAGAGTCAGGTTGGAAAGTAAGTCACTATATATAGGGTTAAATAAAACCCATCTGATGAGAATTTATGATTTCTAGGCCATGACTCCCCAGACCCCTTAGATAAGAATTTGGGAAAGATAAAAAAAAAAAATCAGAGTTTAGTCCTCAATAGAGTCAATGTTCCTTTAGATTTGTCTGCATGTCTTTGTTCACCATTTCTTCTTGCATATCAAACCACTTCTGGGATAATTCCTTCTTCCAGAAGTATGTCCTTTACAAATTACTGAGTATCTTTTTTATTTTTTGTTTTGGCAACTTGATTACACCAAGAGGACTTTTTTTTTTTTTTTCCAGACAGAATTTCACTCTTGTTGCCCAGGCTGGAGTGCAATGCTGTGGTCTTGGCTCACTGCAACCTCCCCCTTCCAGGTTCAAGCGATTCTTCAGTCTCAGCCTCCCAGGTAGCTGGGATTACAGGTGGCCACCATGCCCGGCTAATTTTTATGTTTTTAGTAGAGACGTGATTTCACCATATTAGCCAGGCTGGTCTCGAACTCCTGACCTCAGGTGATCCACCTGCCTCGGCCTCCCAAGGTGCTGGGATTACAGGTGGGAGCCACAGTGCCTGGCCTAAGAGGGTCTTTTTAAAGCAAACTTTGTTTTTATTTGTTTAAAAATACCTATCTGTGTTATCCCTCAATTCTGGAAAAATCTCAATATTTAAATTCTTATTCAATGTTGCTTTTCCCATATCTCTCTATTGTCATCCTCTGGGGTGCCACTTAGATAAGTGTTATACCTTCTCATCCTATCCTTTATATCTTATTGTCTCATATTTTCCATGTATTTGATATTCTGAGCTGAATTCTGGGTGATTTTTTTCAGTTTTATCTACCTATTAACAACTTTGCTCTTCAGTTGTGTTGAATCTACTTTCAATTATCCTTAAGAGTTTTTATTTAAGTTGTGTATTTTTATTCATAATATTTAAGCTTTAAAAATATATATCTGCTTGGTTGCTTATTCCTACTCATACTTCCAGTTATCATTTCTTTAAACATGTTAAATATACTTATATATTATGTGTGCAATAATTGCATGATCTGAAATCATTATGTGTCTCATTTTGGTTTGTTTTCTTTTTCCTTTTCCTTTTTTTTTTTTTTGAGATGGAGTCTCACTCTGTTGCCCAACCTGGAGTGCAGTGGTGCAATCTCCGCTCACTGCAACGTCCACCTTCTGGGTTCAAGCAATTCTCCTGCCTCAGCCTCCCGAGTATCTGAGACTACAGGTGCACACCACCATGCCTGGCTAATTTTTGTATTTTTTGTAGAAATGGAGTTTCACCATGTTGGCCAGGCTGGTCTCAAACTCCTAACCTCAAGTGATCCACTTGCCTCAGCCTCCCAAAGTGCTGGGATTAACAGGCGTGAGCCACCATGCCTGGCTGGTTTTTTTTTTCTTTAATTAATTAATTAATTAATTTTTGGAGACAAGGTCTCTCTATGTTACCCAGGCTAGACTCAAACTCCTGGACTTGGCCAGGCACAGTATTCATGCCTGTAATCCCAGCACTTTGGGAGGCTGAGGCAGGTGGATCACCTGAGCTCAGGAGCTTGAGACTAGCCTGGCCAACATGGAGAAACCCTGTCTCTACTAAATATACAAAATTAGCCAGGTGTGGTGGTGCATGCCTGTAAACCCAGCTACTCGGGAGACTGAGGCAGGAGAATCACTTGAACCCAAGAGGTGGAAGTTGTAGTGAGCCAAGAATGTGCCATTGTACTCCAGCCTGGGCAACAAGAGCAAAATTCAGTCTCAAAAAACTCCTGGACTCAAGCAGTCCTCCCTCCTCAGCCTCCCAGGTAGGTGAGACCACAAGTGTGTGCCACTGTGCCCAGCTCTCATTTTATTGTCTGCTGTTTTTGTACATTTTTGCTTATGTTAGGCTTATTTCATGTGTTTTATGATGATTTTTTGTTATAAACTCATGTTTATGGAGCTTTATCTGTGTGAATTGTTTGAGGGTTTTAAGTGTTTTTTTTTTTTTTTTTTTGAGACGGAGTTTCGCTCTTGTTGCCCATGATGGATTGCAATGGCGCAATCTTGGCTCACTGCAACCTCTGCCTCCCAGGTTCAAGCGATTCTCCTGCCTCAGCCTCTCGAGTAGCTGGGATTACAGGCTTGTGCCACCACGCCAAGCTAGTTTTGTAGTTTTAGTAGAGCTGGGGTGTCACCATGTTGCCAGGCTGGTCTCAAACTCCTGACCTCAGGTGATCCACCTGCCCCGGCCTCCCAAAGTTCTGGGATTACTGGCGTGAGTCACTGCGCCCCGCCTTAAGTGTTTTTCTTGAGAGGGGATTTGTATTAGCTTCTGACAGGATCCTAGGGACACTCCTATTCCAGGAAAATGTTTAAAATACCCTCTTGGTGCTACGTTATAGATTATATTGTTAATGTAAATTCTGATCAGACACTAGCATGAGGAAGGGCTTGTAGTTACCAATTCTTTTTTTTTTGGTATTAAGGAGTGGAGAGTTTAATCGGCAAGAAAGAAGGGAGAAGAAAAAAGGAAGAAGCTACCTTGTACAGAGACAGATGCGGGGGCTCCAAAGCCAAGAGAAGAGACCCCCTTTTTTTTTTGAGACAGAGTCTCGCTCTGTTGCCCAGGCTGGAGTGCAGTGGCACTATCTTGGCTCATTGCAACCTCTGTCTCCCAGGTTCAAGCAATTCTCTCACCTCAGCCTCCTGAGTAGCTGGGATTTTTTGTATTTTTAATCGAGATGAGGTCTCACCATGTTGGCCAGGCTGGTCTTGAACTCCTGACCTCAGATGGTCCACCCACCTCGGCCTCCCAAAGTGCTGGATTACATGCATGAGCCACCGCACCTGGCCTATAATTACCAATTCTTAGATGAGGTTCATGACTCTCTTCAATAGCCTTGTAAATAGGGGAATATACCCCATGCCGTGTACATAAGCTGTATGGAGAAGTTAAACCACAGTTTCCTTTACTGATAATCCCCCAGGGTTTGTTTGTTTGTTTGTTTATTTGAGACAGAGTTTCACTTTGTCACCCAGGCTGGAGTGCAATGGCATGATCTCAGCTCACTGCAACCTCCGCCTCCTAGGTTCAAGCAATTCTCATGCCTCAGCCTCTCAAGTAGCTGGGCTTACAGGCCTGCTGCCATGCCCAGCTGATATTTTGTATTTTAGTAGAGATGGGGTTTCACCATATTGGCCAGGCTGGTCTGGAACTCCTGAGCTCAGGCAATCCACCCACCTCAGCCTCCCAAAGTGCTGGGATTACAGGCGTGAGCCACCACGCCCGGCCCAGGTTCTGTTTTTACTTAGCTTCCTCCATTCAGTTTATTGAATTACTTCTCAAATATTGTATTCAATTGCTTTTGTGGAATTCTCTAGTGTCCAGGTAGAATAAATAAATAGTCAAGGATGTCCTCAGCAAGTTTTCCTCAAAATATCTAAGGGCATTTCCAGGGCCACATTGTGACTTTCAGGGGCCTTAAGTACTTTCATCTTTGTGAACCCCTGCCACCATTAAAAATAATAATAATTGTTTTTACAACAGTGTTGGTATAAAGACAAATTTAATTCAGGCTGGATCATATCATTATTTCTTCTGATTTTAAAAGAAATTAAAACATTTTCACAGGCCCTGGATAAGTTGGCCCTGGGTTTTAAGTGTCTCACCCTCCCTCCATCTCTACTGTAAGCTATATTAGTGAAAGGAAAGAAAAGAGTGAACTACTGGGTGTGGTGGCTCACTCCTGTAACTCCAGCACTTTGGGAGGCTCAGGTGAGTGGATCACCTGAGGTTAGGAGTTTGAGACCAGCCCGGCCAACATGGTGAAACCCCGTCTGTACTAAAATTACAAAAATTAGCTGGGCATGGTGGCATGCACCTGTAATCCCAGTTACTCAGGAGGCTGAGACAGGAGAATCGCTTGAACCCGGGAGGCGGAAGTTGCAGTGAGCCAAGATCGCACCACTGCACTCCAGCCTGGGCGACAGAGCGAGACTCCTCTCAAAAAAAAAAAAAAAAAAGAAAAGGAATGAACCTATATAAATTTTCGTCTCATCCCTGTTTCCATTTCACTTCTTTTGCCAAAGTTCCCATTCTTATAGTATCCTCATCTCTAGTCCTTTTTCTCTACTTTCCTTCTTAGGCCAAAACAGTTCACAAAGTAGCAAACCTGCCCTGTACTAAAAATAAGAAAAAGATAAGATGTTTACCCAGGAATAAAAATCTTTTGCTTGTTTTATTTAAGCTTTTCCTTATCTTTGTGATCATGTTTGTATTTTGGTGTAGAGATGCTTTTGATTGGGCGTTTGAATGAAAAGAAAGAAGACTAGCAGAATAACGACTAATTTGTGTTCATTTTCTGAGATTTTACACTAGCTTTGGTGGTGTGCTTTAGGAAAAAAATTCAAAGAAAGAATGATAATGTCTGGTGTTTGTGACATACACACCCCCAGAGCATTTTCAGATTAGATGACTCAATGTTTGCATAGCGCTGTGGGCATTATAGATCAAAGATGCTGGGCTTAACTCAATGTTTGCATAGTGCTGTGGGCAGTATAGATCAAAGATGCTGGGCTTAACTCAATGTCAAACCCATTTAATTTATACCCAGATTATAAATTTAAATATTACAGAAGTGTGTGGCGCCTCATATACTTTGTATTTTGCTGGTTTCTTTTTGGCTGGGGACAGCTTTTTTTCTGATAGATAATAACAATGCTTTATGTTTATAGGCAGTATAACATCTTTCATCCAAGGAGTTCAAAGAACTCAGCAATTATGACTCATTGTTCCTTAAAATACCTTTATAAAACTGGAGGTGACAAGCATTGAGGTAAACTTGTTATAAGTAAGGAAACTAGAGTCATGGAAACATTAAAGCACTAGCCAGATATTTTGGGAATCAGAGATGGAATTCAGAATAAGTCCCCCTTCCTTTGATTAGAATGAAACCAGTGGCACCCTCATTTCCTCCTCATGAAGGGATTGATTCAAGGACTTCAGTTGCATTTATGATAAAGATAATACTTAACTGAAGAGTTTGCATTTACCTGCCTCTCTAAGTTCATCTCAATGTCCCCGTCCCTGCTGTGGCTGTTTCCTTTGCAGATGCTGTTCCCTTTGCCTGGAATACTTGACCTTCTCAAGCGGGTATCTCCTAGTCATCCTTACTATTTCAGAACAAGTATCCTTTCCTAAGGGACCCCTCTGATTACATTTGATTTAATTTGTATTACAGCTGTCTCTTCCTTTCTTTGCCATTGTGGTGTGTGCTTGACTCCACTTTTCGCCATGTTTTCTCACGCTTTCAGGATTAATTCCTGGCAATGAAACAAAAGCAAAATTATCCCATTCCACAGTAGATTCGGATGAAAACTGGAAATAAAATCGGGTACAACTCCAAGAGGAGATATTGGAGAAGAACCAAGCTGGGTCTGCAAGGAACTGCATACGAGATGGCACACGTATTTATGCTGTCTCAAGGTCATGACCATGTTACCATATCAAGCTGAAAATGTCACCACTATCTGGACAGTTGGTCATGTTTTATTGGGAATATATTTTTTTCCTCTCTGAATCTATTGTGAATGCGCTGGTTGGCTGGGTTCAGTAATAAATATGTGAGACCTTTCATTTGAAAAAATAAAAATAATAATAATTTGCATTATATTTCTCAAAGCACCGGTCACCTCCCCTTCAGAGCACTTTCTACAATTGCAGTGTCAAACTTGAATGTGTTATTTGTTTGATTGTTTGATTCATGCCTATCCCACTCACCCAACTGTAGGCTCTGTGAGGGCAGGGTGCATGTCGGTTTTTCCTTACTGTTGTAGCTCCAGCATCTAGTTTAGTACTAAATATAGGCTCAAACGTATTTGTTGACTGAATGCATTTAGATTTTAGAAAGAGTGTTCTTTCTTTAAAAGAACAAAGAGAGAGAGAGAGATAGGTACTGGCTTTGTTTCCCAGGCTGGTCTTGAACTACTGGCCTCAAGTGATCCTCCTCCCACTTTGGCCTCCCACAGTGTTGAGATTACAAGCATGAGCCACCATGCCCAACCAACAGTGTTCTTTCTTTTTTTTTTTTTGAGATGGAGTCTCGCTCTGTTGCCCAGGCTGGAGTGCAGTGGCATGATCCCAGCTGACTGCAACCTTCACCTCCCGGGTTCAAGTGATTCTCCTGCCTTAGCTGGGACCACAGGCGCTCCCCACCACATCCAGCTAATTTTTGTATTTTTAGTAGAAACAGGGTTTCACCATATTGGCCAGGCTGGTCTTGAACTCCTGACCTCGTGATCCGCCAGCCTCGGCCTCTCAAAGTAGTGGGATTACAGGTGTGAGCCACTGCGCCCAGTTGAGTGTTCTTTCAAAATTTGCACCCAAATTCTGCAACTTCAACTTGGGATTATAATTAGGGAGAAAATGATTGGCATTCTAATTATTCTAAAATCTGCTTGAACAGAAAATTTATAGAATGCCTTAACAACTTAAAATATAGTCATTAAAACTTGAGTAAGATAAGAGACAAATTAGGAAGGTAGTGAAAGGGGGAGAGCTCAGAAAAACTGGGATTAAGGGGATCTACCACAATTAATACAAAATTTAACTCTGGTTATTAGAAATCTGAGATTAGACAGGAAAGCCAGGGGATTATTTCTGTAGCAACTGTTCCCACTTGAATCCAAGAGGCAGACTCCTCTCCATGCATCTTTTTTGCTCTGGGTGAGGGGGTCCTCACTGAAGATTTTTCTAGGGCACCTGAAGAGAGAGAAGACTGAATGCATTAGAGCTGTCTATTCTCTGGCCTTATTGAGGGGCTCACATCTGAGACTCCTGGAGAATTGCTGCCAGCAAAATCCTTGTTGTACTGCCCAGGTGCTCAAATTTGACAGAATGGGCAAGAATCCCTCTTCTTCTGAAGTCAGGCTTTTTGATTTAGCAGAGAGAACAATCTAAGTTTGCTTTTTTTTTTCTTTCCTTTTAAACAGGGGCCTATCATAATCCTGTCTGTGTTTTGGAAAGAAAACTCTAGAGGCAGTGCCAAGGATGGATCTGAAGAGGGCAGAAAAAACAAAAGGGAAATTATTGAAGAAATTGTTTTTAAAGTCACAGTAAAAACTGGTGGGGTCTGAACTCAAGTTGTTACAGCAATCTGAGAGGCTTAGGAGATTTTTGGAGGGATGACTAGCAAAATTTGAGCCCAGCTGGATATAGGCAGTGAGGAACAAGAAACAAAGCTGTTTCAGGTTTCTAGATTTGGCAATCAATGTAAAAAGGTGCTGCTAATTGAATAGGGTTAGTGGACAAGCAGGTTTAGTGGAATACAAATGTTAGGTTTTCAATGCCCGAGGGACATCCAAGTGAAGATGCCAGAAAGAGAGCCGACCTGGCTGGAGATCTAGATTTTGGAACCTAGATTGTACTCCTTTGAGGAATTTGTTTGTTTTTCATATTGGAAGTAAAACTAAATGCATCTTCTCATAGCAGCTATGCTGTAAATGAATGTAGTTAATTTACCAAGGAAGCCTCCAAACACCCATTTAGCCTACAGTGTTCTTGACAGAGCGTGGTGAAATATTTATAAGAATGTTTCTAGGAGGACTTGTATTCACCAGGCCAAGTCAGTACTCCAGTAAAGCATCTTTCATGAAAAAATGCTCACCATCACTGGCCATCAGAGAAATGCAAATCAAAACCACAATGAGATACCATCTCACACCAGTTAGAATGGCAATCATTAAAAAATCAGGAAACAACAGGTGCTGGAGAGGATGTGGAGAAACAGGAACACTTTTACACTGTTGGTGGGACTGTAAACTAGTTCAACCATTGTGGAAGTCAGTGTGGCGATTCCTCAGGGATCTAGAACTAGAAATACCATTTGACCCAGCCATCCCATTACCAGGTATATACCCAAAGGATTATAAATCATGCTGCTATAAAGACACATGCACACGTATGTTTATTGCGGCATTATTCACAATAGCAAAGACTTGGAACCAACCCAAATGTCCAACAATGATAGACTGGATTAAGAAAATGTGGCACATATAAACCATGGAATACTATGCAGCCATAAAAAATGATGAGTTCATGTCCTTTGTAGGGACATGGATGAAATTGGAAATCATCATTCTCAGCAAACTATCACAAGAACAAAAAACCAAACACCACATATTCTCACTCATAGGTGGGAATTGAACAATGAGAACACATGGACACAGGAAGGGGAACATCACACTCTGGGGACTGTTGTGCGGTGGGGGGAGTGGGGAGGGATGGCATTGGGAGATATACGTAATGCAAGATGATGAGTTAGTGGGTGCAGCGCACCAGCATGGCACATGTATACATATGTAACTAACCTGGACATTGTGCACATGTACCCTAAAACTTAAAGTATAATAATAATAAATAAAAGAAAATATGAAATAAAAAAAAAGCACCTTTTCTTGCTCAGACACAGAATTAGGAGTCAAACCTTATTCTCCTTCCTAACAAAGGAGCATAGATGGTTTAAGGGCAAAGTGCAGATTCTTTGGTGTTGAACTAATACTGCTTGTAGTTTTAGGGAGACAGGGTTACATTTTCATGTTACAAAGTGAGAGAGAGAATTGGCAGATGTTTCAGGAAAGGATAAGTATCTAGCTTAGGCAGAGGCTGATAGTAATGGAGTGGAAAGTTGGAGTGAAGGACCCTGATTAGGGTTGAAGGAGTGAGTAGCAGGAGTGGTAATTCAGCAAGAATAGGATGCCTGGGAACCACAGATCCCTGGCAGCTTTGGTGACCTTATTATTGAGTTTGGGAAGATAGCAGCCACACATTCTACTAATCAGTAATGAAGAAGAGAAGGAAGGTGAAGTGGCGTGGGTATCCAGGAGCAATAGGAGTGGGCAGGGAATGGTGGTTCTTTGGATACTAGATGACTCCCTGTTAGGACAGCCATTTGTAGGTATGTTGATTTAATTTACGATTGCTGGTAGCAAAAACATATTATCTCAACTCACAACTCAAACTCTAAAGGACAAGGAAACTTGCACATTTCTGATAAAGGAGGAACTCTGCTATTATGCAAATGGACATGTTGTTCAGCTGATCTTACCTATCCCTACTTTTATAGCTTTCAAAGTCAGTTAAGCCAAACTCAAAAGTATGTGCCTTTAGTCCCAGCTACTAGGGAGTTCAGTTCAAATTCATCCCGCGCAACACAGCAAGACCCCATCTCTTTAAAAAAAAGTCAGTTAAATGTTTCTTATTCAAAAACACTTGACAGGTACAGTTAGATGGAATAAGTTGTAGTATCCAATAGTAGAATAGGGAAATTATAGTTAACCATAATTTATTGTACATTTCAAAATAGCTAGAAGAATTATTATGTTCCCCACACAAAGAGAAGATATATATTTGAGGTGATGGATACCCCCAATTACCCTAATTTGATTTCACATAGTATACATGTATCAAAATATCACAAGTACCCCCAAAATAGGTACAAATATTATATATCGTTTTTTAAAGCACTTGAAAGGTTTACAAAGTCTCTCATTACTAAAAAGCATTCTTGTCACCATTAGGCATTATGATTTCACTTTCATGAAAACTTTATTGTACATAAAAATAAACGGGGGTTGATTTTCTCCTTTTTTGTTTGTTTCCATTTCCCTGGCAGTGCTATTGCTAAGCAATGAAAAAAAGAAAGGAATATAGGGGGTATCACTAAAGGGAGACTGATTTCTGTTGGGTCAGTGAGTCACCCAAACTTCAGATATGGCAGGAGATGCTGGGTGCGGGTGACAGTTGATCCTTTGTAGAAACTTAAGAAAAATGAGAAAAGAACACTTAAACATATTTGATATGTATTGATTCAAAAAATATTTAGGTAGTTGCAATTTATAGCATTTTCATTTTTATGTTATTCAGATGGAGATTAAATATTCTCTGGCTTGACCAAGTAGAAATGCATTCAGCGCATATGTTGGACTGTTAACATGATAGGAATTTTCCAGACTGTGTCTTGTAGATGTGTTAGGCCACATCTTTTCTGAGTTCCTTATTCTAGTATTATATATTTCCTGCTTCCTTGCTTAAGGAGAGAAATGGACTTTGTGTGAATAATCTCAGCAGCTCCCCTATGGGTCTCAACACATGGCTGCTGGTTTCCTGAAATTCTTTTTGTGTAGATGCTCTATCATGCGAGAAAATTGCTTAATGGACAGGAGAAAAATCCAATGGACAAACATTGGCAACTCAAACAGAAACTCAGATGACAACTCAAAATGGATAATTAGGTTTGGTCTGTAGAACTGCAAAAATCCATCTGCCAAACAACATGCCTGCGGTTCCCAGAGTCCAGCTACTAAAACTCAAATAGTCTCTTAAGAAGGATGAGTGCCAAATAAAGGGAGAAAGAAGGAAAGCTCTCAAACCAAAACAAAAAACAAATAAACCAAATCAGACTGTAATCTTCAACAAAACAGAATTAGTGAAATATTTAGCCTCCATGATATCGCAGGTCAGCTCCTTTTTCATTCATTTTATTTTTTCCCCAAGGCCTCAAAGAGCTCCAGAAATTTTTTTTAAGAAGGTATGCTGGGCACAAAAACCTAAAATGTTAGGAAGAGTAATGTATTTTCTTTATAAGCTACCTCTAGTTTGGTGTACAGTATAGTGAGTTTAAATACAAAGTAGGGTCTGATTTACCATTAAAGAAGGGATCAGTGAAATACAGGTAGATTTCCAAAGATGGATATAAAACTGGTCTGACTCAGCAGACATTGTGAATTTAGTATTGATTGAAGTACAGATGAACCAGTTGATAGCCAGAATGGATAATCTGTAAGAGAACCAATAGGATAGTCATTTAACTTGGGCTGAGAACTTTTCCCCAGAAGCTGACCCTAAGGTACAGATTTGGGTGCAGAGTAGAAGGTGATCTCAAGCACGAGTAGGGAAATAGGGAAGTAAAACAACCATGGAAAAAAGCCAAGAGAGGGTATGTTGGTGGCAGGTTGACCTTGTGGATATTGGGTCAATCCTAATGGGAGATCCTGAAAGATTATATAGAGTAGGTCTTGGAGTTGTCCCATCGGAGGGGTGAGGAGCTGGGGTGTTTATTCACCAACTTTCATCTGTCAATGGTTGAAGGCTTTTCCTGGAGGTATGAACTCCCAAATTTTCACCATCTGTCTCTTAGGGGTCTAGCACACTCCTGCAGCTAAAGAAAGTCCTCAGGCAGTCAGTCATTGGTGCTTGCCCGTAGGAAAAATGGGAACAGTGAATGCAGAATGGTTATGGACCAGGCACTGCTACATGGCATCTGCTATATGGTTAAATTTTTTTGGTGGCTATCAATCACTTGGAGAATTTGATTAAAGCTAAAGATCCTTAGGCAGTCATTGATTGGGAAAAAATGATAAAGAATCTTCTCACTAAGAAAAATAAGTGCATATATGTTGTTGTTGCTATTGTTGTTGTCTTGTTTTGTTCTCTTGAGACAGAGTCTCACTCTGTTCCCCGGGCTGGAGTGCAGTGGCATGATTTTGGCTCACTGCAGCCTTGACCTCCCGGTCTCAGGCGATCCTCCCACTTCAGCCTCCTGAGTAGCCGGGACTATAGGCATGTGCCTCCACACCCAACTAATTTTTGTATTTTTTGTAGAAATTAGGTTTTGCCCTGTTTCCTAGGCTGGTCTCAAACTCCTGGGCCCAAGTGATCTGCCCACCTCAGCCCCACAAAGTGCTAGGATTACAGCCATGAGCCACTGCACCCAGCCTATAAATGCATATGTGTACATGACTTTGTATTCAATTTACTGGGATTTCCACCTGAAGTGGCAAAGAGTCTGTGTCTTTGAGGATTTATGCTGATCTATGGAAAAATTGTACTTTGTCTTAGCATATTAGAAGTTGATATGGTTTGGATGTCTGTCTCCTCCAAATCTCATGTTCATGTTGAGATGTAATCGCCCGTGTTGAAGGTGGGGCCTAGTGGGAGGTGATTGGATCGTTGGGGAAGATCCCTCATGAATGGATTAATGCCCTTCCCTTGGTAATAAGTGAGTTCTCACTCAGTTCAAGCGAGAGCTGGTTGTTTAAAGGAGCCTGGTTCCTCCTCTCTCTCTTTCTCCCTCTCTCACCATGTGATGTGCCACCTCTGCCTTCACCTTTGGCCATAACTGTAAGCTTCCTGGGACCCTCACCTGAAATAGATGCTGGCATCATGCTTCCTGAATAGCCTGCAGAGCCATAAGCCAGAATAAACCAGCTTTCTTTATAAATTACCCAGCCTCAGGTATTTCTTTATAGCAATGCAAAAACAGGCTAATACAGAAGGTGAGTACAGGGTGTTTGGGGCCAGCCAGGAATTATCAACCCTGGACAGAAGGTATCATGAGATCCAAATGATAGACTCCATGTTTACATTGAAACACTGTTTTTGATGGAAGAATGGATGACGTTTTTAGCAGGCCTCAGAGGTGTGAAGGAGAGAGACCCAGGTGTTCACGTGGCAGGTGGTAGAAAACTAAAATATCACTGGAAAAGTTTTATGCCGGAGAAAGCCCTAGAGACTGAAGAATAGTATCTTTCATCATTGTGTAAATTGTGAACCCTGCTCTGATACTGGTAAGGCCATCTAAAATTTCTGTGGGAATAGCACAACTTCTATGTTATTTTAGTTTATTTCTTTTTTGAGTAGGTGATGCAATTATGTGGCTCCAACTTCAGTAGAGGATTTAAAAGTAAACAATTGTAGCCGAGCACAGTGGCTGACGTCTGTAATCCCAGCACTTTGGGAGGCCAAGGCAGGTGGATCACTTGAGGTCAGGAGTTCCAGACCAGTCAGGGAAACATGGCAAAACCCTGTCTCTACTTTAAAAAAAAAAAAAAAAGGAAAAAATCTTTTCTTATGCCTGACTGTCAGTCACCTAGACTTTCTCTAGAAGCAATAACAGTTATCAGTTTGTAGCATAGTAGTATGGATGGCCATGGGAGGAAGATTCCCAGTACCTAGTAAAATGAACCATTATTGGGAAACAATACCTGCAAGTGCTATGATGTCATCATGACCTTGGAACAAAGGCAGCATCATAAAACCAGTAAATACAGTCCACTGTACCTGCCCAGGTAAAGCAGGAGGCTTTTTGGTTTACTGGTAAGATTTCTGGGCTGGCGTACGCCTTGCCTGTTGCAGCATGCAGATGTTCTCTGTGTGGTGGCTTGGGAATCACTGGACATTGTTTGTGGCTTGGCTGTATCTTAACACCTAATGACCCACTGGTGGGGATTATGGTACTAGGTCCCTGGGTTCTGGTATACCCTCATGGGCTAGACAGGCAGGAGTCTGGTTCAACTGCATAGATAAAACCTTTTTTAAATCAGGTGCTGGTTAAGGGAGATATCATAAAACAACCTTTGAAGATACAAGAATTCTGTGTTTTTGTTTCTCAAGAGGACCTGCTAATCCTGTCAGAGACCAATTAGTGGTTAGTAAGTGAAGGAGAATTTCTCACTCTCTTGAAGGAGAATTCCTCACTCCCTTAAAGGAAAATAAGTGGTGGCAAAGTGTTTGGCCTACGTTGTTCCCATGTGGTGCCTGCGTCACCAGAGGTGAGCAGTGGGAGATCGGAGCTATGGCTTATGTACTAGAAGTTCTAATTTGAGGGTTCGAGGCATCTAGGTATTTCAGAAAATTAAGCTAGAAAATACTTGAATTTTTTTCTATTTCTTGACTGATTAAATTACAGTAAAAAACAAAAACAAAACAAAACAAAAAAAAACACCCACACAAGAATCAGGAGGAATAACTATCCATGATTCAGCTTCTTGTAACGGTCCGTGATTCAGCTTCTTGATAATCTGCCAGTGCTTGTGGTTCCTGGTAAGTCTGTTTTAACCACAGCCTGACTTCCCCTAAGTACCACCACCAAGTCCCTAAGGCCGACCTGATGGCCGAGGAGTTTTAGCCTTTGGTTAGGAACATGAGCGTGTGTGCTTGTGTGTGTGTACCAAGTTTGATAGTTCTGAGTTATTTAGAAAGAAATGTACACACCGGAATAGAAAGAGAGATTATCAACAAATGTTAGTTCTGGTCTTTCTAGAAACTGATGTCAAGACAGGATTTGAAGTGTGAGAAATTTCTTGGAGAAAACACTTGTGAAGGAAAATTGAGCAGAAAAAAGGAGGGTTGAGAGAGCTTCAGATGCAATGCTGATCTCATCCCTGGGATGGAGAGAGGGCAGGAAGGAAGAATGAGTAGGATGTCTTAGACTGCAGTGCAGTTCTAAGAAAGTTTTGTCCAGGTTGATGCGGAATCCTCAAGCCAGAATCACCAGGTGAAAAATGGGTCTGCCTTTGTTTCCCTGCCACACTTGGTCCCTGGCCAGGAGCAGCCCATTGGAAGCTTAACCTCAGTACCCACGCATAGGGGATACACAGCACAACACATGGGGTTGTCCCACGGGATCTGCGCAAACAGGGCTGCTTTTACAATTTTGCATATCTGCAATAAATTTTTGTAGGAGTTTGGAGTATTTTAGGATGGTAGAGGCGGTGAAATGAAATTGCAGTAACAATAGCCATAATAATCTGCATTTATACATGCACCAAGCCTTTCCTAAGAACTACACATGTATGAAATCATGTAATGCTTACAGTAGCATTGGGAATTGATCCTTTACGCAGGGTTTTCTCAATTTCAAATGACAGAAATTCAGCTAAAATTAACTTAAGTAAAAATAAAATGTATAGAAATTATCTGCTCATGTAATAACCAGAATGTCTCAGAGCTGGGATTAGAGGGAGGCCAAGTAAGGTAAACTCATGTAAGTGCAGACTAAGATCCTGTTTTCATTTAAAAATTAGCCAGGCATGGTGGCTCATGCCTGTAATCCCAGCACTTTGGGAGGCTGAGGTGGACGGATCACAAGGTCAGGAGTTCGAGACCATCCTGGCCAACATAGTGAAACCCCATCAGTACTAAAAATATAAAAAATTAGCCCGACGTGGTGGTGGGCACCTGTAATCTCAGCTACTCAGGAGTCTGAGGCAGGAGAATTGCTTGAACCCAGGAGGTGGAGGTTGCAGTGAGCCAATATCGCACATGACACTCCAGCCTAGGCCACAATGCGAGACTCCATCTCAAAAAAAAAAAAAAAAAATTAGTATTTGACCCAGCAATCCCATTACTGGGTATATACCCAAAGGAATACAAATCATTCAATTATAAAGATACATGCATGCATATATTCATTGCAGCACTATTCACAATAGCAAAGACTTGGAACCAACCCAAATGTCCATCAATGATAGATTGGATAAAGAAAATGTGGTACATATGCATCATGGAATACTATGCAGCCATAAAAAGGAACGAGATCATGTCCTTTGCAGGGATGTGGGTGAAGCTGGAAGCCTCCTCCTCAGCAAATTAACACAGGAACAGAAAACCAAACACTGCATGTTCTCACTTGTGAGTGGGAGCTGAACAATGAGAACACATGGATACAGGGAGGGGAACTACACACACTGGGGCGTGTCAAGGGAGGGTGAGTTTTGGGGGAGAACATTAGGGAAAAGAGCTAATGCATCCTGGGCTTAATACCTAGGTGGTGGGTTGTTAGGTGCAGCAAACCACCGTGGAACACATTTACCTATGTAACAAACCTGCACATGTACCCCGGAACTTAATAATAATAATATATATTTTTTAATTAGTACTTTTGGGCCAGGCGTGGTGGTTCATGCCTGTAATCTCAGCACTTTGGGAGGCCGAGGCAGTCAGATCACCTGAGCTCAGGAGTTCGAGACCAGCCTGGTCAACAGGGCAAAACCCCATCTCTACTAAAAATACAAAAAAATTAGCCAGGCATGGTGGTGCATGCCTGTAATCCAGCTACTCTGGATTCTGAGGCAGGAGAATTACTGGAACCCAGGAGGCAGAGGTTACAGTGAGCCGAGATTGCGCCACTGCACTCCAGCCTGGGTGACAGAGAGGCAAGACTCTGTCTAAAAAAAAATAAATAAATGAAATAAATAAACAAATAATGGTGTTTTTTTCCTTGTGGATTTTTTGGGCATTAATTTTGATTCTTAAAAGTATTATTGGAAATATTTTCTATGTTCATGTTCTGACAAATAGGAGGGAATAATATATTTTATTGAAATAAAGAATTAAAATATTTTTATTATAAAAAAGAAAATACTGTATTTTCTTTTATTACTGAGGTTTCTTTGCATCCCTTTAAAATTTGCCCCTCAAATTAATGCCTCGCTTACTTCACCCTAGTCCTGGCCCTGCTTCAGGCCTAGCTGAATCCAGAAGTTCAAATGATCACATCATGACTCAGTTCCTTTGGCTCTGCTTGTATTTGGTTTGGCTCTATGTTAGGCAGGTGCTTTCTACATGTGGCTTTTAATACTCACAGTCTTAGATGTAGAGAGGCTGTTTCTCTTCTAAGTGCACCGCTTACTGATCTTTGAAAAAATATTCTGCTTGAATCCATCTGAAACATATGATACTCTGGAAGAATTTTTGAACGATAGGGTACCCTCCAATCCAGGAAGATGTGGAGTTTCTGGATTAATCTTCTTTCCTTTCTTTTTGGAAACTCAATTTTTTTTTAAAAAATCATGTTTATAGTTTTTAAAATTCTCATTAGAAGGTAGAAATAGTTTTATCAATGACTAAGTTTTCATATTGACTAGGCAAAAAATACAAAATGTCCTTCATTGAGGCAGCTTTTTATGAAATGTTAATATTTTTCTCTTTGTGAAATAATACATCAAGAACATCTGTTAAATGGGAAAAAAGTAAGTTACAAAACTTTATCATATAACACAATTTCTGTGAAATATGTTTGTGTGTGTGTATGTTAAAATGCATATGATTTTTTCTGAAAGATAGAAAAAAACTGATAACAGTGATTGCTTCTGAGGAAGAGAGTTGTTGGCTGGGAGATGAGGAAACAAAAATTAAATTTTCACTATATATCCTTTTCTATCTTTTGAATTTGTATATGCATGCATTGCCTATTTAAAAAATAAATAACTTTTTATATAATTTATTTTTCACACCAAATATGTGATGGACACTATTATAGATATTAGGGAACAAACAAGTTTTTTGTTCTCCTGGAGTAAATCAACAGGCCTTAATTTAATCAATTTAGTAGAAAATGAAATTCATTATAAGATCCCTAGTGTGTAATACAGTTAGATAGCATGGCTACATTTGAATGATCAGTATTGACATAGAAGGTGGTTTTCATTTTTTCACTTCTGACTTCCTTTATTCAAAATGAAACCCAGCAGAGGTACAGACTCAGATATGCTGGAGTTTTGACAAATGTGCTGAGATTAAAGAGACAGAAAGTAGTGTTGGTTGATACTGGCAGTCTGTCCCCAACAGTAAATGCAAAGTAGAATTCATTACTGACCTATGCCCATAACAATAAATATGGGTTGTTTTATCAACAATGTTAAGGACTGTTCATACATTGGTATCCAAAATTCCTGGGAGTACACAGATTTTTAGGAACACCTATTTTCTGAGGACCAAAGAGTTAACCAAGTGCCTCCGGTTACTATTTAGGAGGTGGTTCTCATAGTTATGAGGAAGCATAAGTGCCTCCATAAATTTGCAGGATCCTTAGCTACTACTCCAGGAGGCAGTAGGTGCTCAGGAGGATGGTAACAGGTCACAGAATGCTAGGCAAGATGATGGCAATGTATGCTCCTCCAATTAGGAGACATGGAGAAGCAGTAGAAATAACAGTGACTCAGTGATGGTGAGTAGCATTACCTCCTGTTTGCTCCTATGCTCAACCCCAGAGTCTGAAGAGCTTCCAAGTCAGTATTAGTAGCCAATGGAAGGATATATGGATGCACAGGAACCATGGGGCCAAAGAGTTATCCCATCACCAGAGGCAGGAGAAGGAACCCATCCGCAAAATAAGGAACTGTTCTGCCGCCAATGTGGCTAGATTTGCTTCTGATAATTTCTTCCCTAGACTGTTTATCTTAGAAATCTGGAAGAAACAGCTTCTCTATCTCCGTTTTTATCTTTTTTAATATCTTGGGCTTTACTAGTATGAAAACAATTACCATTGGTAGGTCGGTTATTCAAGTCTTTCTGGACTAGTTAGGTAAAATGCTTGATTAGTATATTTACATCAGTGTTTTCTCCTCTTTATGGTTTTAAATCACCATCGGTGATTTTCTAACATATATGATTCTAAGTCATAGAAGTTAAGAACACAGAAGAGCCAAAAGACCAACCTTTCTCATTTGTTTTGCAAATAATGCTAAAATTAAGGGGGTAAAAAGAGCTACTAATTTATCCCTATTCAAAGACAAATGATTCTGCTAAAATTAGTTGACAATTTGGAAAAATAAATTTAGTTGGTTCACGTTACAACATAACCAAATGGCTTAAAGAACTTAAAAAATGAAGTAATAGAATAACTAGAAGAATATGTGTGTGTGTATGTGTGTGTGTATTTGACATTTGATCATATTTATATGACCAAATGTGAAGGTTTGAGTGTATGCTGCTGCCAATGTCAGAAAAATATGTTGCTTCCAAGTACAGGGGAGGACTCTACAGGGCAGGAATGCCTAGGTCAGAAAAAAAGGACAAATGGTTACACACACACACACACACACACACACACACACACACACACACTATGCAGAAAAAACCTTTATTATTTTTGGTAAACCTTACTGAAATATAACATACTTGTGGAAATGTACACAAATCATAAGTGTGGATAAATTTTCAGCAAGTGAAATTTCCTGTGTAATAAAACAAAAGGAAGAAAACATAAAGGAAATGATTGATAAGTTTAACAGCATAGACAATTTAAAACATCTGTATGTCAAAAAATGTCAAACACAATTACAAAGGAAAAATGACAAACTAGAAAAATATTTGCAAATACATGACATAGGATAATTACCTTAATCTTTATTTTTTCAAAGTAAAAAGCTCATTAAGAAACTTGAATATTACAGCTAAAAAATGGGGACCCGGCATGGTGGCTCACGCGTGTAATTCCAGCACTTTGGGAGGCCGAGGCTGGCAGATCACCTGAGGTCAGGAGTTCCAGACCAGCCTGGCCAACATGGTGAAACACTGTCTCTTTTTTGTTGTTGCTGTTGTTGAGATGGAGTCACTGTGTCGCCCAGGCTGGAGTACAGGGGCACAATCTCAGCTCACCGCAACCTACGCCTCCTGGGTTCAAGTGATTCTCCTGCCTCAGCCTCCTGACTAGCTGGGATTACAGGCGCCCGCCACTGTGCCCGGCTAATTTTTGTATTTTTGTAGTAGAGATGGGGTTTCACCATGTTGGCCAGGCTGGTCTTGAACTCCTGACCTCAGGCGATCCACCCGCCTTGGCCTCCCAAAGTGCTGGGATTACTTACAGGCATGAGCCACCGCGCCTGGCCTATTTTTTTTTTTTTTTTTTGAGATGGAGTTTCGCTCTTGTTGCCCAGGCTGGAGTGCAATGGCCCGATCTCAGCTCACTGCAACCTCCGCTTCCTGGGTTCAAGCGATTCTTCTGTCTCCAAGTAGCTGGGATTACAGGCATGCACTACCATGCCTGGCTAATTTTGTATCGTTAGTAGAGACGGGGTTTCACTGTGTGGGTCAGGCTGGTCTCGAACTCCTGACCTCAAGTGACCCACCTGCCTCGGCCTCCCATAGTGGTGGGATTACAGGCGTGAGCCACCGTGTTCGGCCTGAAACCCTATCTCTACTAAAAATACAAAAATTAGCTGGGCGTGGTGGTGGGCACCTGTAATCCCAGCTACTCGGGAGGCTGAGACAGGAGAATCACTTGAACCTGGGAGGCAGAGGTTGGTTGCAGTGAGCCCAGATCATGCCACTGTACTCCAGCCTGAGTGACAGAGAGAGACTCCGTCTCAAAAAACAAAACAAAACAAGCAGAAAAATGGTAAAGTATACAAGAGGCAATTAAATGTATGAAAATAAAAACCTGGCTGGGCACAGTGGCTCACGCTTGTAATCCCAGCACTTTGGGAGGCCGAGGGAGGCAGATCACGAGGTCAGGAGATCGAGACCATCCTGGCTAACACGGTGAAACCCCGTCTCCACTAAAAAATACAAAAAATTAGCCGGGCGTGGTGGTGGGCACCTGTAGTCCCAGCTACCCGGGAGGCTGAGGCAGGAGAATGGCGTGAACCCGGGAGGCGGAGCTTGCGGTGAGCCGAGATCGCGCCACTGCACTCTAGCCTGGGCGACAGAGCAAGACTCCGTCTCTAAAAAAAAAAAAAAAAAAAAAAAGAGAAAAAAAGAAAATAAAAACCTTTCTCTAGTAATTAAATAAATTGTCCATACTGAAAAAAAACCATATACTGCCCTATAAAGGAAGGTGCAGGGACAGCCTTTTTATATGCATTTCTGGTGGGAGCATAAACTAGTTGCTTAGCGTGCATGTGGGGTGACGGTGAGGAGTGGGAAGGAGGTGGCTGTATGTGGTTTGCTGTGGTTACCAGGGGCTTGCGACCCGTATAGGCACTTTTACCCAAACATTCTAGTTCTAGAAATGTGCTTCAAGTAAATAATAGTAAAACACAAGGAATAACTTAAAATTTCTAAAAATAGGAGTTTGTTTAAATAGATTCACTGCTGCTTGATTGGTTGGTAAAAAAAAAAAAATTAGGAAACATTTTTTTCTAAAGATAAACAGGGTATATAACTGTAATGGTATGATCCTCTTTAGACATTAAAAGATACCATGGCAGCCGGGCGCGGTGGCTCACGCCTGTAATCCCAGCACTTTGGGAGGCCGAGGCGGGCGGATCACGAGGTCAGGAGATCGAGACCATCCTAGCTAAAACGGTGAAACCCCGTCTCTACCAAAAGCACAAAAAATTAGCCGGGCGTGGTGGTGGGTGCCTGTAATCCCAGCTACTTGGGAGGCTGAGGCAGGAGAATGGCGTGAACCCGGGAGGCGGAGCTTGCAGTGAGCCGAGATCGCGCCACTGCACTCCAGCCTGGGCGACTAAGGGAGACTCCGACTCAAAAAACAAAACAAAACAAAAAAAAACAAAAACAAACTAACAAACAAAAAAGATACCATGGCCAAGTGCAGTGGTGCACAACTGTAGTCCCAGCTACTCAGGAGGCTAAGGTAGGAGGGTCACTTGAACACAGAAGTCTGAAGCTGTATGCACTATGGTTGCACCTGGGACTAGCCACTGCACTCCAGGCGGGGCAACATAATCAGACTTTGCCTCTTAAAAAAAAGACATCGCCGGGCGTGGTCGCTCACGCCTGTAATCCCAGCATTTTGGGAGGCTGAGGCGGGCGGATCACCTGAGGTTGGGAGTTCCAGACCAGCCTAACCAACATGGAGAAACCCCGTCTCTACTAAAAATACAAAATTAGCTGTGTGTGGTGGCACATGCCTGTAATCTAGTTACTCGGGAGGCTGAGGCAGGAGAATTGCTTGAACCTGGGAGGCGGAGTTTGTGGTGAGCCAAGATTGCGCCATTGCACTCCAGCCTGGGCAACAAAAGTGAAACTCCATCTCAAAAAGAAAAAAAAAAAAAAAAGATATCACAGAAGACTATTGAATAAGTGAAAAAAAATTGTAATATGGTAACTGAAGACATCAAACTGTAAAACTAAACACATGCTAAAATTCCAGTTTTTGAAATGAATTATCTATATAGACAAATATACTGAAAAAAGACTGGTAGGTTTTACATCAGAATACGAACAGGTTTAAATCTGGATGAAGAAATATAAGTGCTTTTTATTTTCTCCTTGTACTTTTTTATATTTTCCAAGTTTTCCGTAATGAGTGTTAATTTTGTAATCAGCAAAAATGAATAGTTTAGGTAATAAAAATAATTTTAAAATTTTCTATTGTGTGATTGCATAAAGTTCATATCCTAGGCAGTAAACAACATTTTCCATATATATATAAATATATATATATATATATTTTTTTTTTTTTTTTTTTTTTTTTTTTTTTGAGAGACAGGGTTGCACTCTGTTGCCCAGGCTGGAGTGCAGTGGTGCAATCATAGCTCACTGCAGCCTCAACTATCTCAGCTAGAGCAATCCTCCCACCTCGCCCTTTGAGTAGCTGAGACTACAGGCATGCGTCACCTTTCCTGATGAATTGTTTTTTCTTTTTGTTCTTTTGGGTGAGATGGTGTCTCACTATGTTGCCCAGGCTGGTCTGGAATTCCTGCCTCGACCTCCCAAAGTGCTGGGATTATAGTGGTGACTCTTTTTATCTTCTCTGTCTAAAAAGATTAAGAAATTTTATACTAATCTTTACAGACGTACATGTTATATTTGCCTCTCTGTGGTGAAATCCAGGCTCTTGAGAAGCATTCAACATATAATTTAAAGATTACTTAAGAATAACTGCTAATAGGCTAGGCACAGCGTCTCACGCCTATAATCCCAGCACTTTGGGAAGCAGAGGCAGGCAGATCACCTGAGACCAGGAGTTCGAGACTAGCCTCGCCAACATGATGAAACCCCATCTCTACCAAAAATACAAAAATTAGCTGGGTGTGGTGGCACATGCCTGTAGTCCCAGCTACCTAGGAGGCTGAGACAGGAGAATCACTTGAACCCAGGACACAGAGACCGTAGTGAGCTGAGATCACACCACTGCACTCCATCCTGGGCAACAGAGCAAGACTCCATCTCAAAAAAAAAGAAAGAAAGAAAGAAGAAAGAAAGAAAGAAGAAAGAAAGAAAGAAAGAAAAGAAAGAAAGAAAGAAAGAAAGAAAAGAAAGAAAGAAAGAAAGAAGGAATAACTGCATAACCACTAATGAAAGACAAAGGAAATACCGTTGACAAACAATAGAGATACATATTCCCCCAGAGCACCAACTAGATAAATGTATTAAATTCCTAGTGACTCAAATTACTATGATAATATCTCAGCACTGTTTGAAAGGGTCCACTGAATTCCAATTATATAAATATTAAGCTTTTATTCACCTGCCTAATGGGATTATCTGCCACTAGGGATCACAAGATATTTTTTTTTTCTCTTTTTCTGCAAAAGATGTTGCCACTGCCTCCCTGTATAGGTAGAGATGGAAAATCACCCTGACCAGATCCTTATGCCTTTTTTTGCACTGAGAAAGCTTGAGTGATGCCCAGGAGAAAGGTAAAAAGAGGCATTTTGTTTAAAGCCAGCTCCTGAGCTGAGAAGTTGAGAACTTTTACATTAGGAGACCATGGTCTTCTGGGAAGGGAGAGATAAATACTTCTTTCCCTGCTCCCCAAGCTTGTTCCCCAAGATTTGCTTTCTGGTGGATTTGTAGATCTGGACCAGGGTGGTCCCAATCAAGGCCCAGATGCAAATAATGCAGCACTGTACCCAAAATAAGATGTGGGAGCAAAGAGCTGGCTCTGACCTCTAAATCAGAGCCCCGAGGAGCTCTGCAGAGCTGGAGGAGTTGGCCCTGCAGTCTCTACTACACCAGCCACCCTGGGCCCCCTGCTTCATTTTATTTATTTATTTATTTATTTATTTATTTATTTATTTATTTATTTATTTTTGAGACGGAGTCTGGCTCTGCCCCCCAGGCTGGAGTGCAGTGGCGCAATCTCGGCTCACTGCAACCTCCACCTCCCGGGTTCAAACAATTCTTCTGCCTCAGCCTCCCAAGTAGCTGGGATTACAGGCATGAGCCACCATGCCCAGCTAATTTTCGTATTTTTTAGTAGAGACAGGGTTTCACCATGTTGGTCGCGCTGGTCTTCAACTCCTGACCTCATGATCCACCTGCCTCAGCCTCCCAAAGTGCTGGGATTACAGGCGTGAGCCACCGTGCCCAGCCCCTGCTTCCTGAGTTACTATTATTGTGACTGGAAGAGCTGGCCCCTTACTACTCTCACTTGGGATTCTTGCCTCTCAGGGGATGCATGTGCTTGAGGATCTGCTATGGTTTTAAAGGGCTCTGCACCAGCAACCCTAATGATGACAGTCTCTACTTTGGTTCTCAGGATAAAGACTTTGAAGACAGAAGCAATACTTGCTTCTCCACAATACTTATGGAGCAATACTCACTTCTGCTCTTAGACCCAGGCCAGTGGGACCACTGCTGTGAATCCCATACCGGCAAGCGCCACATATTACTGAAACAGCCACAAAATAAATGTATTAAAGAACACATAGGCCAGCCGCATTGGCTCATGCCTGTAATCCCAGCACTTTGGGAGGCTGAGGCAGGTGGATCACCTGAGGTCAGGAATTTGAGACCAGCCTGGTCAACATGGTGAAACCCCATCTCTACCAAAAATACAAAAATTAGCCAGGCATGGTGGCCCATGTCTGTAATCCCAGCTACTGAGAAGGCTGAGGTGGGAGAATCCCTTGAACCTGAGAAGCGGAGGTTGCAGTGAGCTGAGACCACACCACTGCACTCTAGCCTGAGCAACAGAGTGAGACTCATCTCAAAAAAACAAAAAACAAAAAACAAAACCAAAACACATGGACAACTTTGTCATTCTAATGACCACGCAGACGCAGAATGACCTGTCACCCTAAACGATCAGTCCTGAGGCTAACGTCATTGAGGCCCCAAGGAAATGATGGATTCTCCACATGTCCTGCTGATGTTCTTGAAACCAAAAGCCAGCATGATATGCTGCTGCCAATGTCAGACAAATACACTGCCTTGGAGTGCAGAGAGGCTCTCAGCCCAGGAGTGCCTAGGTAAAAAGAAAGCACAAAGGGTCAAATCCTTCCACTCAGAGACAGTATGAATGCAGAGATCCTTGCTTAATGGAATCATCATTTTCCAAGTAATGAGGACCTTCCATTTTCTGTCTTGTTTTCATGTTCCCAGTTAGGAGTACCTCTGAAGGAACTCAAGAATGACAGAGTGTTTGGAACAGCACTACATAAGACTGAACAATTCCTCTTACTCTTAAATGTTCATATAGTCTGAGCATACTGAAATGGGAGAAGGAGTCTTTATTTGGGCAACTAGATGGACACTGAATGCTAGAATTATGCTGATTTTAGTTTCAAATATTAATATAAAATATAATTAAGTTCAAAAATTGAAATAAGAATTCAGCATTTAAAAATAATTTTGGGCCGGGCATGGTGGCTCACGCCTGTAACCCCAGCACTTTGGGAGGCCGAGGTGGGCAGATCACCTGAGGTCAGGTGTTCCAGACCAGCCTGACCAACATGGAGAAACCCCGTCTCTACTAAAAATACAAAATTAGCTGGGCATTGTGGCTCATGGCCTGTAATCCCAGCTACTCGGGAGGCTGAGGCAGGAGAATCACTTGAACCCGGGAGACAGAGGTTGTGGTGAGCTGAGATCGTGCCATTGCACTCCAGCCTGGGCAACAAGAGGGAAACTCTGTCTCACAAAAGAATAATAATAATAATAATAATTTTGATTTGAAATTGTGATATTCCTTAATTCTCATTTGTAGTTTTCAAAAAATAACATTTAAAAAAATATGAAAACTGTTCATGTTTTGATCTTTCATGTTTCTTTAATTTCCATATTTTGATGAAAGTAATAATCAAATTTGGTATACTTTGTACATGTTCATCATCAAATTTTGTACACTTTGAATATAATTACGTTTTATTATTTATTTATTTACTTATTTACTTTTTTGAGCCAGGGTCTCACTATATCTCCCAGGCTGGTCTCAAATTCCTGGGCTCAAGCAATCCTCCTGCCTTGCCCTCCCAAAGTGCTAGAATTACAGGCATTAACCACCACACCCAGCCACATTTTACTTTTTAATTCCAATATCTTTACTGTCTATAGATCACAAATTATCAGAAAATCGTAAAGGCAGCAATGAAATTTGTGTTTTATTGCAATGAGGATCAATGAGGATGATAAAAATTGATTGCTATAAATAATAACATTTATAAATTAAACGTCTTTTTTGAAACAGCAAACAGAGGATGGTACCCTGTTTTTCTCCCTTTCTCTTCCTCTAGTTTATTGTATGCATAGGAAAAAAAATAGGATAATGATGAAATTATCTCTTTAATTTCAAACAATATCAGCTTTGCCCTCATCAACCAGAACTTTTAAATTGAATTAATTTTAAGAGCTTGATTTACCAAAAATACTCCTTTAATTCTCCACTTCACTTATTTACATTCCTCTTTCTAAAATGAATACTATAGCAAAGAATGAAAAGGAAGCTTAGGGGGGCCAATTCAAATAACACCTTTAGGAGGCATGTATGATACACAAACAACAGGAAGTGGATTATACATAGGTCACCTTTTGGTGCATTATTTTTCTTAGCATTCTTGGAACCCACTATAATCCACACTTACATAAATCTGTCAACAATACTGCTGGTAGGAATGTAATTTGGGAAGGGTTTATGGAAAATATACAAGGTATATTCAGAGAGTTGTAAATAATAAGGGTAGCAATTGGGTAGGTAATTTATAACGAGTTCTTCTTTCGTATTGTCACTACTGTTTTATTTAAATTATTTCATTTAATCCTTTTTTTTTTTTTTTTTTTTTTTTTGAGATGGAGTCTTGCTCTGTCGCCCAGGCTGGAGTGCAGTGGTGCGATCTCGGCTCACTGCAACCTCCGCCTCCCGGGGCCATGCCATTCTCCTGCCTCAGCCTCCCGAGTAGCTGGGATTACAGGTGTGTGCCACCATACCCAATTAATTTTTGTATTTTTGGTAGAGACGGGTTTCACCATGTTGGCCAGGCTGGTCTTGAACTCCTGACCTCGTGATCTGCCTGCCTCAGTCTCCCAAAGTGCTGGGATTACAGGCATGAGCCGCCAAGCCTGGCATTATTTCATTTAATTCTTACTCTAGGGAAAGGTACTATTATTTTCTCCAGTTTAGAGAAAACCAAAGCCAAAGATACTAAGTATTTTGTATAGAGTTTCATAGCTAGTAAATGGAGGTAAGGTGCAAACACAAGCAATCTTACTGTGAAACTTTCACTTTTGAGGATGAAATTAGGCCCCAGGGTCTGGCCTTGCTTCTGATGCTGCCTCTGACATTTATTAATTGTGTGACTTCAGGAAATGATACTTTCTCAGCCTAGATTTTCTCATTTGTAAAATGACAATAGCATCTTAGGTTTACGTGATCATTAAAAGAGATAATGTAGGTAAAGTTCTTAGTAAAATATCTGGTACTAGAGTAAGTGCTCAATAAATGTTACTTATAACTATATTATTATTTTAAACTGCTTTTTATACTACTTTAAAAATATTCATGCTCATTGATCTAGTAAATCTACATTTTGGAATCTATTCTGAGGAAATAACAAACATGGATATGCAGACAAATGTATGTACAAGTATGTTCTCTGAATTTCTATAAAAATGAGATTTTAGAAAAAATTTCGCTATGTAGCAAGGGGGAAATAATTAAGTAAATTACTCCATATGATGGACTGTTAGCAGACATGAGTCCAGGCAAGGTGGCTCATGCCTGTAATTCCAGCACTTTGGAAGGCCGAGGTGGAAGGATCACTTGAGCCTAGGAGTTTGAGACCAGCCTGGGTGACATAGCATGACCTTATCGCTACAAAAAATTTAAAAATTAGCCTGGTGTGGTGGTGCTCATCTGTAGTCCTAGCTACTAGGGAGGCTGAGGCAAGAGGATCCCTTGAGCCCAGGAGTTCAAGGCTGCAGTGAGCCATGATTGTGCCACTATACTCCAGCCTTGACTGCAGAATGAGACCCTGTCTCAAAATAAATAAATAAATAAATTAATTAATTAATTAAATAAATAAATAACTTCTCTACAAATGGATTCATAATATACATTCTATTTCTAAATACAATTATAATTTAAATTTACAATATGGCCAGGTGCGGTGGCTCACGCCTATAATCCCAGCACTTTGGGAGGCCGAGGTAGGCAGATCGACTGAGGTCGGGAGTTCGAGACCAGCCTGGCCAACATGGAGAAACCCCTTCTGTACTAAAAACACAAAATTAGCCAGCCGTGGTGACATGCGCCTGTAGTCCAAGCTACCCAGGAGGCTGAGGCAGGAGAATCGCTTGAACCTGGGAGGCTGAGGTTGTGGTGAGCCAAGATCACACCATTGCACTCCAGCCTGGACAACAAGAGTGAAACTCTGTAGCAAAAAAAAAAAAAAAAAAAAAAAAAAAAAAAATTACAATAGAAAAGAAACAAGTGAATTCAAAATCAGAGCATATTTTCTCAAGTCAATTGTAGGTGAAATAGAAAAAAAATGGCCGGGTGCGGTGGCTCATGCCTGTAATCCCAGCACTTTGGGAGGCCGAGGCGGGTGGATCACGAGGTCAGGAGACCGAGACCATCCTGGCTAAACCGGTGAAACTCCGTCTCTACTAAAAATACAAAAAATTAGCTGGGCGTGGTGGCGGGCACTTGTAGTCCCAGCTCCTGGGGAGGCTGAAGCAGGAGAATGGTGTGAACCTGGTAGGCGGAGCTTGCAGTGAGCCGGGATCGCGCCACTGCACTCCAGCCTGGGCAACAGAGCGAGACTCCGTTTCAAAAAAAAAAAAAAAAAATTAGAGCGTAGTTCTTTACCAAAAGAGATACTATTTCCTAAAAGATTTATCTTAACAATGAATTTGTGGAAAATATAGAAGCATTGGAGTCAGTGTGTTTATTTAATAAAATCTTTGCGGTTTACCTATCAATTAACAACGGTCTTCTAGAAAAAGATTGAAGACCTCAGTATTCCTGTAATTCCTCTCATCTTTGTCATTGACATTATTTATTGACATTATTTTTATTATTTGTATATTGTATGATTTTTAACATTTACTTTCTACTCTATTGATAAAAACTGGAAATTTTAATAAATTTCCATAGGAACTTATTTCTCCAATTTAAAAGAGTCAATGCTCACTGCCAGTTTTTTCACTATGATTTCTGTTTCTGAATGCTTTGCTTTGATGAATCTTTTAATCAGCTGGTCTTCCCTAACAAGTAATTCTTTTTTTTTTTTCTTTTTGACACAGGTCTTAGTCTGCTGCAGACTGGAGTGCAGTATCACAATTATGTCTCATTTCAGGCTTGACTTCCCAGGCTCAAGCAATCCTCCTGCTTTGGCCTCCCAAAGTGCTATGATTATAGGCAGGAACCACTGCGCCTGGCCTAGTTCTTTTAATGAATCTTGCATTGCCTATTCATTATTTTATTTTATTTTATTTTATTTTCTGAAACAGAGATTTGCTCTTGTTGCCCAGGCTGGAGTGCAAATGGTGTGATCTCGGCTCACTGCAACCTCTGCCTCCTGGGTTCAAGTGATTCTCCTGCCTCAGCCTCCCGAGTAGCTGGGATTACAGGCACCTGCCACCACTCCCAGTTAATTTTTATATGTTTAGTAGAGACGGGGTTTCACTATGTTGGCCAGGCTGGTCTCAAACTACTGACCTCAGGTGATCCACCTGCCTCAACCTCTCAAGGTGCTGGGATTGTAGGCGTGAGCCACTGTGCCTGGCACCTAACATTTTTTATTTATGAAAATATACACTTCTACTCTTGAATAACATCTCGTCTGAATATGTTATTCTTGGGTCACAATGTATATGTTTGATATTTTGGGGCCACATGCTATTTCCCTTTTAGAGGATTGTTTTAATTATCTATTGCTGTGAAACAAATTACTGGAAATTTTAGCCTCTTAACACAACAAATCTTTATTATGATACATAGTTTCTGAGGGTCAGAAATCTGGGAGCAGCTCAGCTTCAAGGTCTGGCTCAGGATCTCTCATGATACTGCATTCAAGCTGTGGGCTAGGGCCGTAGTCATGTCAAAGGCTGACCAGAACTAGAACTTCCACTTCCAAGACGGCTCACTCATGTGGTGGTTGTTGCAAGTTAGTTTTTCATTGGCTGTTTGTGAAAGATTTCAGTTCCTTATCAGGTTGACCTTGGCAGAGCAGCTGGCTTACACCAGGGTGACTGGTCCAGGGGAGAAAAGTGAACCAGGACAGAGGCTACAGTGTCTCTCTTTCTCTTTTTTTTTTTTTGTTTCACTCTTGTTGCCCAGGCTGGAGGGCAATGGTGCCATCTCGGCTCACCGCAACCTCTGCCTCCCAGGTTCAAGTGATTCTCCTGTCTCAGCCTCCTGAGTAGCTGGGATTATAGACATGTGCCACCACGCCCTGCTAATTTTTTGTATTTTTTTAGTACAGATGGGGTTTCTCCATGTTGGTCAGGCTGGCCTCGAAATCCTGACCTCAGGTGATCTGCCCGCCTCGGCCTCCCAAAGTGCTGGGGTTACAGGCGTGAGCCACCGCGCCTGGCCTACAGTGTCTTTTATAATGTAGTCTTGGGTGTGACATACCATCACTTCCACGGGATCCTATTGGTCACACAGACCAACCCTGTTAAAATGAGGAAGGTGACTACACAAGGATATAAACACCAGGAGGCAGGAATCGTTGAAGGTCATTTTAGAGATTGGCTACCATTGCCCTTTTTTCCTTCTGGCATTGAGTATTGCCACGGAGATTCGGCCAAAGTTTTCTCCCTTTGGTGGTAGTTTATCTATAAAATCTAGATGCCTGGAAAAAAAGTCTTCATTCTTGAGCCTCATTAGCTTGTCTATGAGTTGAATGTTCTAAATCAAATTTTCCTGGAGGTGATATTTTGTTCTGCAGATTCAGTTTTTGTCTCATTTCAGGGGTATTTCTTGAACTGTATCTTTGAATAAAACTTTCTTTACATTTGTTGAGTTTTCTTCAAGAACATCAGTTATACTTAGATTATTTTCATATGGAATTCCTTTAATCTTTATCTTTTTCATTATGCTTTCATTATGACTATCTTCTTATTTACCATCGGTTGAAAACTTTTGTACTAATATTGTTTTGGCCCTCATTTTTTTTTCTTTAGGACTGCAATATTTTATTTGTTTTCAGAAAATCATTATGTTATTTGATCATTTTATCTGAGAGATTTTCTCAGCTCATGTTTTTGTTAAGCTATCTTATAGTGTAAAACAATTGTTAAAATACTTTCTTCTATTCTACATAATACAGGGCCCTAGATATCTCCCAGTATGATTTGGTTAAACTAAAGGGAAAATATAGATAAACAATATTAAATGGCACTTTATAACTTTCAATTCTCATAAGTCTGAGGCACTTAGAAAAGAAATGCTTTTTTTCCCTCTGCCCTTGTGAACATGGCTGGGTAATGGATGATACTTTAACCAAGTAACTCCGTAGCCCCTCCAGTTCTGAGATGTAAGTAGGAATTCAGAAAAGACAACCTGGGTACAGGTTTAGATAAAGAAAATTATCATTAATGTCTAATGCCTTTTTTACTTTTACATTCTTCTTACAACACATTTTTGTAGATTATTCAAATTTTTTCATTGGTATTTTGCCGTAATAAATATTGTTTAAAATAAGTAAAACTAACAGGAGGGAGAAGTTTGGGATATCATTTTAATTCCTAAATATTAGACGTGTAGTTGATTTTTACTTTGTCTGTTTTATATCCATGTGGAATTATATATATATATAGTATATATTTCCATAATTGTTTTAGGTATATAAACAGATGTGTATACATATTTTAAAACACACACACACATAACTCGGGCATATTAGAGATACTTTCTAACATCTGCTTTTTTCACTTAGTGATATTGAAAATTTTTTATATCAGAACGTAGAGATTTATTCAATTATTTTTAAAAGTATCATTATTTAGTTATCCTGTTCTCTGCAGACATTTGTTTCTATTTATGCATATATGCTGTACTGCCACAACACTTATCTTTGTTCATATATCTATGTGTGCAGACATGAAAGTAGATCTATAGGACAAAGGCTTAGGAGGAATTCATAAAATTCTTAATGTACATTAGGTGTGATTTGTGAGGCACCATTCTGTAAGAGGGACTTTACCTGTGTCCTTTGAAAGTGAGTGTATTAGTCTGTTTCCATTACTATAAAGGAATGCCTGAGACTGGGTAATTTATAAAGGCAAGAGGTTTATTTTGGCTCATGGTTCTGCAGGCTGTACAGGAAGCAAGATGCTGGCATCTGCTTCTGGTAACGGCCTCAGGAAGCTTACAATCATGGTGGAAGGTGAAGAGGGAGCTGGTATATCACATGGCGAGAGAGAGAGAGAGTGCAAGAGAGGAGGAGGTGCCATGTTCCTTTAACCAACCAGTTTCCATGAACTAACAGAATAAGAATTCATCCATTACCATCTGGAGGGCACCAAGCCATTCCTGAGGGATCTACCCCTGTGACCAAAATGTCTGCCACCAGGCCCCATCTCCAACACTGGGGATCACACTTCAACATGAGACTTGGAGGGGACACACACCAAACCATATTAGTGGGCAACTCAGATTTTAGTGGCGTTTATCATGTTTGGGGCCCTTCTTAACAACACCTGGAAGTCTCTGAAAATTGTGGGGTTTTTTCCTACCTTTTTATATGATATTTTTAAATTGGTCATTCAAAAAGATACAAAACATTACTATTGTACTGCAATTCCGTAATTAGTAAACTAGGTACAATTTATTATACCTCCTGGATATTGGTGACATCCCACTCGGTTTGCCCCAGGAGTAAGCCACATATGGACCTGTGCAGAAGATGGGTTTTTTTTTTGTTTTTTTTTTTTTGAGATGGAGTCTCGCTCTGTCACCCACGCTGGAGTGCGGTGGCGCGATCTCAGCTCACTGCAACCTCCGCCTCCCAGGTTCAAGCGATTCTCCTGCCTCAACCTCCTGAGTAGCTGGGATTACAGGCGTGCGCCCCCACGCCCGGCTAATTTTTGTATTTTTAGTAGAGATGACGTTTCACCATGTTGGTCAGGCTGGTCTCGAACTCCTGACCTCGTGATCTGCCCGCCTTGGCCTCCCAAAGTGCTCTGATTACAGGTGTCAGCCACCGTGCCCAGCCAGAAGATGTTTTTTAGCATAGCACAGGTTCTGCCATTCATGTTACTCAGGAGCAGTCTAGATCCTAAAGCGAGGGCCTGCAATTAAAGACTGAGTAAAAACTGGCAGAGCAATTTGCTGCATGGAACACTGCTGAGAGTGGCATCTTCTGCTTGCTTCTTACAGATAATAGCAGTATTAGTACTTTGCTTAGCTTATAATAAGCATTCAATCACTGTTAACTAGGCATTTTATATGCATTATATCATCTGCCATTACCACCATCCTATGAGGTAGGGCTATGAAAATCCCATTTGCTAAATACACAAACCTTTGTCACTGCTAATATACCTAGTGAATGGCAAAGCTGGAATTTGAACCCTGGCCGTCTGACTTCATAGATCGGACAAAGGACATGTTTTCTTCTACATTAGACATTGGCCCCAAAACGGCACACCTCTGCATGTTCAATAGCAGTGGCAGCATTTTCAGCAAACACTGGCATCACAGCTTCTGCTTTGCAGATTGGAAGTGATCTGAGTCATATCTAATAACAAGAACTAGACCCAGTTGCTCATGAAAAATAGGCTCTAGTCCCTCCTAGAACAATTCTGGAAGGCTATGGGAAAACCGGAGTTCCCAGAGGATAGAAGGAACAGATCTGGGGTTATATAAATTTGTGGCTGTGTTTGTCCATAGTTTTGCCCAAGGCCTGGCTTTCCTAAGTGTGCATATGTACACATGTACAGCTCCTGATGCATGTGAAAACCAAGACACATAGACCATACGTGACTACAAGGGTGTTGACTCTCAACACTTTCTCAGTCAGGTATTGGAAAAACTTGTAGCTGAAATAAGATAAACAGCTCTGTACTTGTTCTCTTTATTGTCCTGGCTCTGATTCACCTGCTGATCCTTTGGAACTCTCACACCAGTTTTTATCCCAGGCTGAGCCATATAGCTTCAAGCCAGGTTGGTAATTTCCTGATATGGGAGTAAATATAGAAACTTTATAGAATTCTCAGTTTCTGTCTACAGCTGTTCAAGTTTCAGTGAAACACTCACTATATCATGCCTAATTATCCAGATATATCTGTGTCTATTTGCTACAGTTCACTCTCTCTGCTTGGCAGGATTCTTCTTTTGCACTCAACAAAATGTCTTTTCCTTTTCGGTGATAGAGAATTTTTACTTTTGATTTTTTTTTATGTCTTGCTTTTGAAAGAATGTTCCAGGGCTGAGTGCTTTATGAGGACTCTTTCCCACTATGTAAAAGCAGTTTACTTCAAGGTTCTTTGGGGAATTATTCAGTGTCAGTACCTTACGTCTATACCAGCCCCATTATTTATAATTATTACATAGCCTGATGGAAGAAATACATTTGCATGCCAACAGAAAATTGTTAACAGTGAGGATTTGGAGTTTGATTGGTTTAGGTTCTAATCCAAAACCCTGTTCTTCCAAACCTTGGACAAACTAACTTCTCTAATACTCAATCTTCTTCACTTTAAAGTGACGATTAAATGACAAACCGCAACAATTCCAAAAAGATCCTCCCCTTTCTTTTATGTGTTGGAAACACTTACAAGGAGACTGTTCTATATTTTACTTATGTATTAAGATCTTTTCTTGGCTGGGCGTGGTGGCTCACACCTGTAGTCCCAGCACTTTGGGAGGCCAAGGTGGGCGGATCACTTGAGGTCAGGAGCTCGAGACCAGCCTGGCCAACATGGAGAAACCCCGTCTCTACTGAAAGTACAAAAATTAGACAGGTGTGGTGGCACATGCCTGTAATCCCAACTACTCAGGAGGCTGAGGCAGGAGAATCGCTTGAACCTGGGGTGGGGCAGAGGTTGCAGTGAGCCAATATTGTGCCACTGCACTCCAGCCTGGGTGACAGAACGAGACTCTGTCTCAAAAACAACAACAACAACAACAACAACAAAACTTTTCTCTTTGGGGAAAGTAGTGTTGGGAAATAAAATTTTTGAGGCTGTTAGAAAACTTTAGCTTCCCTGAAATTTACAAATCTTTGTGTTCTTTGAGTACCAATTGCTTCTGACAAAATTTTTAAAATCTAAATTTACTCAGAGATTTTACTATCAGGTAATTTTCAGTCTGGCAATGATTTTCTCAAAACCTAGACTTCTTGAATATTTTGGTATTTAAAAAACTACATGAGAATATGAGGGTTTTTTTTTTTTTTTGATGGTTCCTTGCTCTGTCGCCCAGGATGGAGTGCAGTGGCACGATCTCAGCTCACTGCAACCGCTGCCTCCCGGATTCAAGCGATTTTCCTGCCTCAGCCTCCTGAGTAGCTGGAATTATAGGCACCCGCCACCAAGCCTGGCTAATTTTTGTATTTTTAGTAGAAACAGGGTTTCACCATGTTGACCAGGCTGGTCTCGAACTCCTAACCTCAGGTGATCCGCCCGCCTCGGCCTCCAAAGGTGCTGGGATTACAGCTGTGAGCCACCGTGCTGAGCCTGAGATACTTATTTAAAAGACGAGATGGGCCGGGCGAGGTGGCTGATGCCTGCAATCCCAGCACTTTGGGAGGCCGAGGTGAGCGGATCACCTGAGGTCGGAGTTTGAGACCCGACCAACATGGAGAAACCCCGCCTCTACTAAAAATACAAAATTAGCCAGGTGTGGTGGCTCATGCCTGTAATCCCAGCTACTCGGGGGGCTGAGGCAGGAGAGTGACTTGGACCCGAGAGGCGGAGGTTGTAGTAAGCTGAGATCATGCCATTGCACTCCAGCCTGGGCAACAAGAGCAAAACTCTTGAACTCAAAGAAAAAAAAGACAAAAAAAAAAAAAAAAAAAACAACACAGAGATGGTGATTTAAGAACTAACAGCAGGTCGAGCGTGGTGGCTTACGCCTGTAATCCCAGCATTTTGGGAGGCCAAGGCAGTAGGATCACTTGAGCTCAGGAGTTTGAGGTCAGCCTGGGCAACAAAGTGAAATGCCATCTCTACTAAAAATCAAAAAAAGTACCTGGACGTGGTGGCACGTGCCTGTATTCTCAGCTACTCAGGAGGCTGAGGCAGGAGGGTCGCTTGAGCCCAGGAGTTAGAGGCTGCAGTGAGCTATGATCATGCCACTGTACCCCAGCCTGGACAACAGAGCAAGACCCTATCTAAAAAAAGAAAAAAAAAAGAAAGAAGAAAAAGAAAAAGAAAGAAAGAAAAAGAAAAGAACTAATAGCAGATATATTTTTGTTGTGGTAATATATACATAACAAAATTTAGGTAGGGCAGCATAGTGAGACCCTATTTCTACAAACAAACACTAAAACAAAGAAACCCAGCCAGGTGTGATGGTACACTCCTTAGTCCCAGCTACTTGGGAGGCTGCGATAGGAGGATCACTTGAGCCCAGGAAGTTGAGGCTGCAGTGAGCTATGATTGAACCACTGTACTCTAGCCTGGGTGACAGAATGCAACTCTACCTCTAAAAAGAAACACACACACACACACACACACACATAAAATCTACCATATACCATTTTAACCATTTTAAAATCTACAGTTCAGTGGCAAGTGGCATTAAGTATATTTACATTGTTATGCAACCATCACCACCATCTATCCTCAGAACTTATTTTATCCTCTCAAACTGAAATTCCACACCCATTAAACAATAACTCCTCGTGCCTCCCTTCTCCCAGCCCCTGGCAACTGTTTGATTTTCTAATGGCAGATAATTTTAAAGACAAAGCAGCGTGGCGCGGCTGCACGCCTGTAATCCCAGCACTTTGGGAGGCGAGGCGGTCAGATCACGAGGTCAGGAGATCGAGACCATCCTAGCTAACACGATGAAACCCCGTCTCTACTAAAAATACAAAAAATTAGCCGGGCGTGGTGGTGGGCACCTGTAGTCCCAGCTACTCGGGAGGCTGAGGCAGGAGAATGGCGTGAACCCGGGAGGCGGAGCTTGCAGTGAGCCGAGATCGCGCCACTGCACTCCAGCCTGAGAGCAGAGCCAGCTCCGTCTCAAAAAAAAAAAAAAAAAAAAAAGACAAAGCAAACAGGATGATGCTTCCATAGCTGGTAGCAAGCTTTGTATTTCTGCCCCAGGTCTGTGTCATTTCTAAACTATCCCACTGAGATATTAATTCAGCTTCTTCAGAAGGATATTACAGAGGAATGCCCAGTTTGACCGGATCACCTGGGACCAGCCAGTGCTGGGCAGTCCCCAGTCCCTTGGTAGGTGCTGTCAGGGGCTGGGCCACCTGGCTGCAACCCCACCAACTTCTGCTGCTTTTGAGAAATCAGTCCTGGACAAGTGCAGGGGCTCACACCTGTAATCCCCATGGCCTGAGGCCAAGAGTTCATTACTGGCCTGGGCAACATAGCAAGACCCTGTTTCTACAGAAAATTTAAAAATTAGCCAGGCAGGCCAGCCATGGTGGCTCACATCTGTAATCTCCACACTTTGGCAGGCCAAGGTGGGAGGATCATTTGAGCCCAGGAGTTTGAGACCATCCTGGGCAACATGGTGAAACACAATCTCTACAAAAAATACAAAAATTAGCTGGGCATGGTGGCATACATCTGTAGTCTCAGCTACTTGGGAGGCTGAGGTGGGAGGATCACTTGAGCCCGGGAGGGCAAGGCTGCAGCGAACTGTGATGGAGCCACTACACTCCAGCCTGGGTGACAGAAAGAAACCCTGTCTAATACAAAACAAAACAAAAAAATTGGCATGGTGGTGTGCACCTGTAGCCCCAGCTACTGGGGCGGCTGAGGTGGGAGGATAGCTTGAGCCTAGGAGTTTGAGGCTGCAGTGAGCTATGATCATTGCCTGGGGGGGCATAGTGAGACCCTGTCTCAAAAAAAAAAAAAAAAAAGAAAGTAAAGAAAAAGAAAAAGAAAGAGTAAATCAGTCTCAGCCTTGGTATCTTGTCAGCCTCTGACTCTTTCAAGCCTTGAATTTCAGGCGGAGGACTCCAGCGGGTTTAATACCCATCTGCCAATGTCAGCTCAGTTTCCATTCCACCAGGAATTTACTATTCAGCAACCCAACCCTGTTTTCTTCAGCCCAAACACTGACCTAGTAAAAGCGTACCAGACCTTGGGTGCATATCTGTAAAATGAAGAGGGTGAATTAGGTAATCTCAAAGGTATTTTGCAGCCCTGAAGTTGTTACTCTCTGTTTAAGAAAAACAAATAGTGGTCCTCATGTAAGAGGCTAGATAAGCTTTTTCTGTAAAAATTCCCTCTCTTACTAGTATTTGTCATGTTGTGATATAAATACAAATGCTGAAAGCGTTATGTTTGGTTTGAAAGTTCAACTAATGGTCAGCAAAGGGTTAATTGTAAGTCAACATAGGATTGGGAGTTTGGAAACAAAAGAATTTAGAAGAAAAGGTAATCCGTTAGTCAGTACAAAGAATTTCATATCCTGAATATAATCCTGAAAAAATTGAAGACCTAGGGGCCTTTGACAGACTATTTTTTTTCTTTGCATAAAACAGTTTTGACTTTCACTCTAATGCAGCCTTAGTCCGGTTGAAGGCAAGTAGCTTGCTATTTGATAGGGCTATTTGCATTTCAAAGCTAATCAGTATTAAATAATCCGCTGGCAAAAGAAGAGTAAGAAGGTCACTGTGTGTATTTTATTATTGTGTAAACTTGGGAAAACAAGCTGAGAGTCTGAGAAAGCTCAAATTCTAACAGATAAGAAAGTGTTTTATGTAAAAGGTCTCTTAATGAGTGAGTTAGTCTTTATTTCTCTGACTTACTTCCGCAGAGTCAGGAGGATCACATGACAGCTAGGCTTTATAAGGAAATAAAAACAACCCGTGAAGAGAAAAACCATTTATTTTCAATACTTAAGGTAAAAGAACTTCTTAAATATTTAGTTTTTATTCTTCTGTAACTTTTGAGAACATTTAATAGTTTTAATTAATTAACATTTAATATTAAATTATACTATTTCATTGGCCAATTCATATCAAACTTGATTATAACTCTAATTCAGTGGTTCTTAACCCTGGCACGTTAGAATCACCAAGAGAAAAGAAAAATATTGATGTTCGTTCCTACCCCAGAGAGTTGATGTAATTAATTTGGGGTGTGGTCTGGTCATCAGTAATTTCTAATAATTCCCAGGGAATTCTCCTGGGTTGAAAGTTGAGAACCATCCGGGTGCAGTGGCTCATGCCTGTAATCCCAGCACTTTGGGAGGCCGAGACAGGTGGATCATAAGATCAGGAGTTCGAGGCCAGCCTGGCCAAGATGGTAAAACCCCGTCTCTACTAAAAATACAAAAATTAGCCGGATGTAGTGGTGGGCGCCTGTAATCCCAGCTACTCGGGAGGCTGAGGCAGGAGAATCGCTTGAACTTGGGAGGCAGAGGTTGCAGTGAGCCGAGATTGTGCCACTGCACTCCAGCCTGGGTGACAGAGAGCAAGACTCCATCTCAAAACAAACAAACAAACAAAAAACAAAAAAAAAAAGAAAGGAAGAAAGTTGAGAACCATTATCCATTATTATAATTTATATGCTGAGTATATCCTCCTCTGCAAATAAGACCTCAATGACTCTCCCATTGTTTACAGTATGGTCTTAAATTTTAATTGCATACATCTATTGGTTAAAAAAAAAAAGAAAGAAAATTAGAGGTGCGGCGGCTCCCACCGGTATGATGTCAGCACTTCAAGAGGCCAAGACAGGAAGATTGCTTGAGCCTAGGAGTTTGAGTCTAGCCTGGGCAACACAGTGAGACCCTGTCTCTACAAACATTTTAAAAATTAGCCAGGCATGGTAGCCTGTGCCTGTGGTCCCAGCTACTTGGGATGCTGACATGGTAGGACTGCCTGAGCCCAGGAAGTCTCAACTTCCTGGTTTAGTCCTACCACTAAAGCCTCAGCTTTAGTGAGTCACCGCACTCCAGCCTGGATAACAGAGTGAGGCCCTGCCTCAACAACAAAAAGAAGAAAAAATTAGAGCACATACCAAAGTATATGTGTGTATGTATATGTGTGTATATATATATACACACATTATTATACACACATATATATTCAAATTATTTAGATGTGTTATTTTTACCAATATGTTATCTATATTACAAAACAGAAAAAAGACATTAATAAAACTATGAATAATTAATAAATAATTTCTTCCTATACCCCTTACCATCCTTTTAGCCACTTCACTTTGGAAACAACTGTTTCATAGGATAAAGAATAAATTCCAGGCTAGGCACAGTGGCTCATGCCTGTAATCTCAGCACTTTGGGAGGCCGAGGCGGGTGGATCACCTGAGGTCAGGAGTTTGAGACCAGCCTGGCCAACATAGTGAAACCCCGTCTCTACTAAAATACAAAAATTAGCTAAATGTGGTGGCGCATGCCTGTAATCCCAGCTACACGGGAGGCTGAGGCATGAGAATCACTTGGGCCTGGGATGTGGAGGTTGCAGTGAGCCAAGATCACGCCACTGCACTCCAGCCCAGGAAACAGAGTGAGACTCTGTCTCAAAAAATAAAATAAAATAAAACAAATAAATAAATAAATAAATTCCATATCATGGAGTTCAAGGTTTTTCTCTAGGCAAAATTTCATCTCTCTTTTATTGTTGTTTGTTTGTTTTTGAGATGGTGTCTCACTCTGTTGCCAGGCTGGAGTGCACTGGTGCAATCTTGGCTCACTGCAACCTCCACCTTCCGGATTCAAGTGATTCTCCTGCCTCAGCCTCCTGAGTAGCTGGGACTACGGTCGTGTGCCACCATGCTCAGCTTATTTTGTATTTTTAGTAGAGACAAGGTTTCACCATGTTGGCCAGAATGATCTTGATCACTTGACCTCGTAATCCGCCTGCCTCGGCCTCCCAAAATGCTGGGATTACAGGTGTGAGCCACCACGCCCGGCCTCTTTTATTGCTATATATCCTACTGTTTTAGATTATCGTTACTTTTTTTGTTGCTGATTTTTTTTTTTTTTCAGACGGAGTCTCGCTCTGTTGCACAGGCTGGAAGGCAGTGGCGCGATCTCAGCTCACTGCAACCTCCGCCTCCCAGGTTCAACGCGACTCTCCTGCCTCAGCCTCCTGAGTAGCTGGGATTACAGTGTGCGCCACCACGCCTGGCTAATTTTTGTATTTTTAGTAGAGACGAAGTTTCACCATGTTGGTCAGGCTGGTCTTGAGCTCCTGACCTCGTGATCCACCCACTTTGGCCTCCCAAAGTGCTGGGATTAAAGGCATAAGCCACCACGCCCGGCCTGTTGCTGATGTTATAAAATCATCACTATATATTTTACTATTTTATGTCCAGTTTCTCAGGGAGTCTGAGATGAGAACTTGCAGGTAGAAAGTTTATCGAGGAGTGAAGGACATAGGATTGGAGCACTTGCAACAAAGCCCTTAGCCAAATCTCATTCTGAAGAGGGGCTCTGGGATGCTCCCCGTGCATCCTTGCATTCCACTGCGTTCCTTGCATTCGAGGGCTTAGCACAGACTGTTCCTCACTCTGGAATATTTTACCCTCAAATTTCACAGGCTGGGCTTCTGGTCTGGAAAAGCTCTCTCAAAGGATGGATAGAATTTAGATAGACGGTAAACTCCCTGATTAGCAGTGAGCTGATCTGTTATACTTTTCTATCTCTCACACTGCTTAATACATACTAGGCCCTCAGTTCTAAAAATATATATGTTTATATTATTATATATTAATTACATATATATGTGTAATTTCAATTAACATGCTGAGTGAGGCCAGGCACGGTGGCTCATGCCTGTAATCCCAGCACTTTGGGAGGCTGAGGTGGGCGGATCACCTGAGGTCAGGAGTTTGAGACCAGCCTTGCCAACATGGTGAAATCCCCGTCTCTACTAAAAATACAAAAATTAGCTGGGTATGGTGGTGGGCGCCTATAATCCCAGCTACTTGGGAGGCTGAGGCACGAGAATCGCTTGAGCCCCGGAGGTGGAGTTTGCAATGAGCCAAGATTTTGCCACTGCACTCCAGCCTGGGTGACAGAGCAAGACTCTGTCTCAAAAAAAAAAAAACAAAACAAAAACAAAAAAAGCATGCTGAGTGTATAAATTGAATAGCTAGAGAAGACTGGACAAAGATTTCAGGCTGGTAGCAGAGCTGGAGGGAAACAGAGGTGACCGAACTCAAGACATGCCGGGGGGTCAGAGAGAAAGTGCATTTGGTGGGAAAGGAGTGCTCTTTTGCAGGAACAAAATGGCCAAGAGGATCAGCAACAGAAGGTAGGGTTGGAGATTTTTGTAGACCTTAAATAATATATTTTATGTTGTTCATTGTATGAAATGAAGAACACATAAAATCTTGCTAAGGAAACACACGTCTGAGCATTGTTATTTCCAGTCCCAGGACTTACATGGTTAAGTCTGAATTCCTCAACCAGACTTCCATTCTTAAATGTTTCAAGTCTCTTTTCATCCCTTAATCTTCTTGTTTTCCCATTCCTCTGACATCCCCACGTGGTCACTACACACCCTAGCAAATCCCCCAGTTGGAATTAATCTTCCCATATTCTCAAGGCAGTCTGTTTCACCCATGGCTATAGACCTTGTTAGCTTGCCAGTTGACTGAGTTCTTTGAGTAGATGTCATCGCAGGCACCAGATTGCATGCATACAGAGAGCGTGGGCAGTGTCTTACTCATCTTTGTCCACGCTCCTTCCAGCACTCAGTAGAGAGTGGTATTCAGGGAAGGTCATTTGAAATAGTGATTTCTTATTATAAACCAGTGAAAAGGCTGAATGTTGTTTCCTCTTTTAAACTGACATTGATACACATTACAAGTAGGCCAACATAAAAAAACTGCTTAATGGATAGTAAAAGGCACAGTTATATAAATTCCTCTGCTTGAAGAATTATTTCTACCTGAATCACAAGGTGTTTTCCATCCAACTAACAAAAGTAGTTGCGTTAAGTCTTCGAAATGTTTGACGGGGTGAAAAAAATTATGAGAAAGGTCAGTTACTATTAGGAAAAAAAGTTTTTCTACTGAGAGGAGAACCTGTCATGACTAGATTTTATGACCTTCCTGGCTGGGTTCTGTTAAAGAAACACAAATTTTCTCTTGTCATAGTTTGATTTTTTTTTTTTTTTTTTTTTGAGACAGAGTCTCGCTTTGTCACCCAGGCTGGAATGCAGTGGCGTGTTCTCAGCTCACTGCAAGCTCCATCTCCTGGGTTCACGCCATTCTCCTGCCTCAGTCTCCTGAGTAGCTGGGACTACAGGCACCCGCCACCACGCCCGGCTAATTTTTTGTACTTTTAGTAGAGACGGGGTTTCACTGTGTTAGCCAGGATGGTCTTGATCTTCTGACCTCGTGATCCACCCGCCTCCACGTCCCAAAGTGCTGGGACTACAGGCGTGAGCCACCGCGCCCGGCCAGTTTGATTTTTTTTTTTTAAGTGAAGGAACGGTCAGGGTAATTATACTTGACATTTTGTGGATTACAAAGATCATGTTGTCAGCTGTGTTGGGTGCAGGGCTGGACTTTATTCCTTTAGCTGATAAGCATTATCAACATTTACAAGACAGAAACCTTATATGAAAGTCATTATTTGTATTTCCTGGTTCATAGTTGGTTTCGAATCTCTGCCTGTACCGTGCTTATGTTTGATTACTAAGTGTGCTTTCATATCAGGGACAGAGAGAGTCTCCGGACATGGAGGAAGCCACTAGACAAGGCCAATAAAAACATAAACCTGGGCTATTTTTAATGAATAACCAGTAGGTATGAATGAGTAACAAATGAGCAGTAATCTGGCTGGGCGCGGTGGCTCATGTTTGTAATTCCAGCACTTTGGGAGGCTGAGGCTAGCAGATCACTCGAGTCAGGAGTTCAAGACCAGCCTGGCCAACATGGTGAAACCCTCTCTAGTAAAAATACAAAAAAAATTAGCTGGACATGGTGGCGTGTGCCTGCAGTCACAGCTACTTGGGAGGCTGAGGCAGGATAATTGATTGAACCTGGAAGGCGGAGGTTGCAGTGAACCGAGATCATGCCACTGCACTCTAGCCTGGGTGACAGAGCGAGACTCCATCTCAAAACAAAGAAACACACAAACAAACAAACAAACAAATAAACATACAGTAATCTACTTGAAAATGGAAAAATGTTTCTTAATCCCCCCTGGAGGGCTATAGATAGGTGACTATGTCATACATACCATTGTATGTCCCTCAGTCAATATACCCCGGAAGGGAATGCCCCCGCTAGAGCTCAACTCCAGAGACTATACTGAGAATGGTGCCCTTACAAGTTGGAGAACATGGCAGCCCTAGAAGGCATTCAATAATACTTTCTTTTTTTTATTTTTGAGATAGGATCTTGCTCTGTCACCTAGGCTGGAGTACAGTGACACGATCATGGCTTACTGTAGCCTTGACATTCCGGGCCCAAGTGATCCTCCTACCTCAGCATAAGTTTTTTTTTTTTTTTTTTTTTTTTTTCAATTTGTAGAGACAGAGTCTCCCTGTGTTGCCCAGGCTGGTCTCAAACTCCTACGCTTGAGCAATCTTCCCCCTTGGCCTCCCAAAGTGCTGGGATTACAAGCATGAGTCACCACGCCAGCCAATAATGATTTCTTGATTGAAGGAATGAATGAATTAAAAGGTTCATCTTTGGACACAAAGGCAGACAAAAGTTTGACAAAAGGCATTTTTGAAACTAGGACCTTTATTATAATATTAGTCTAAACAGTGGGACCCATGAATAAGCATGGCAATGCTATATTCACCATAGCAGACATCCTTGAAAATGTGCCTCCCCAGATAGATCAGCTAAGAAAGAATAATTCTACATACAATCACTTGCAGATATGTTTCCTGATAGAAATACCAGGGACAAAGCTAACATCAATGTCAAGTCCAGAAAATGATTTTTGAATGTTGGTAGTTTCCCTCTTCACATTCTGCTCTCTTCACTCTCCTATCCCTGAAGCACAGATGCTGTCCTTTAGTTTGAGTAAGTAAGAAGTGCCAGTGAGTCATATTAGCTATTTTTAATGCACAGACATGTGAGGGATCTGTTTGATGGAGGACTTGCTTGCCAGCAATCGAGTTCGAGAAAGTCCAGGGCTTCAAGCCAGATTCTGGAGTGAGGCAGAAATGGGGACTAGACAGAAAAGATTGTAGGCTTTTCAGGCTAGAACGGAGAAAGTGCAGATGCAAAACTAGGGTTTAATTTGAGGAATCATTTAGAGTAGGTGTTGATTTAGGAAGATCTAAAAGACGTAGAATTAATGGAAAGGTTAATGATGGGCCTCTTGAAGTGAGCGAATGATGACAGATTATGGGATACACTTAGCTCCTAATTATTATGTATTTTAATACCTAGGTGCTAAAAAGTGGTAGCTAAAAATAAATAGTCATATATTTTTAAATAGTAGATTTCTTCCCTTCCCTAAATTTCTAACCTTGTTTCATGAACACAAACCTAATTTTAAAGGTAAAGGAAACTCATGCCAAGCAGCAAACAAAGAGACTGTATTAATTCTTCAGTTCACAAGTAGGGAAGTATTGATTGAGATTAGAGAATTATTTGTTTGCTTATTTATGGTATTAATTTATATATTTGGTTTCTTGCCTTACAGATAATTTAGGCAGAAATGACAGCTACCTGCCTTAAGACAACAAACCTACAATCTATAACATTCTCCCACCCAGCAATCTCACATATCTGGAACCCAGATGGGAAACTAGAATAACCCTCCAAATCTTTACCCATATAAATAGGTGTTATAAGATTCATGCGTTAAGTCAGTCAGTACTTTTCAACCACAATAAACCACTCAAGCCCTCACTCATTATTTGTTTACTTTAATTTTAGACATAATGATAATAAGCTTGGTTATCAGGGTTTATTTAGCCCACAGGAGACCACAGGAGCATGTGGCTGCACATTTCCTTTGGAATGAACAATTATAAAAGGGTTTTCACATCCATCATTAGCTGCTCAAGGCAGACACAGCAATAGCATCAAGAAGTGTCAGTTGAGTGCCTGACAGCCCCAAGAAAACAGAATAATTCTAAACAGTAGGCAGATAAACCACAAAAATAGACTAGTCTGTAGCCACGGTTAGGAAGAAAGAGAAAGACATATGTCACCATTCTCAGATGGCATCTCTTTCCAGACTCAGAACCCCACGTGCATAGAGAGGTTGTCCAGTCCAGGCCCCTGGTTAGCATACAATTCACATCAACAGTTCTCTTTTTGGGTGGTCAGACAGTTCTGCTGATGTGTTGGCAAGGAATCTGTGATGATTAATTTTATGTGTGATAAATTTTCTTTTTTCTTTTTTTTTTTTACCAGCACTCCTGATTTGGAATGGATTTTTTTTTTTTTTTTTGAGACAGGCTCTCACTCAATCATCCAGGCTGGAGTGCAGTAGCACAATCACAGCACCCTGTAGCCTCAATCTCCCAGGCTCAAGCAATCCTTCCATCTCAGCCTCCTTAATAGCAGGGACTACAGGTGTGCGCCACCATGCCCTGCTAATTTTTTATCTCTTTGTAGAAACGGAGTTTCTCCATGTTGTCCAAGCTGGTCTTGAACTCCTGGGCTCAAGCAATCTACCCGCCTCAGCCTCCCAAAATGCTGGGATTACAGGCGTGAGCTACTGCACTGGGCTAATTTTATTTTCTTTAACTTGGCTGGGTCGTAGTACCCAGATATATGATCAAACATTATTCTGGATGTTTCTGAGAGCGTGTTTTTGGATGAAATTGACATTCAAGTTGGTGGACTTTGAATAAGACAGGTTACCATTACTTTTTTCATTTTTAAGACAGGATGATATGGTTTGGCTTTGTGTCCCCACTCAAATCTCATCTCTAACTGTAATCCCCACATGTTGAGGGTGGGACCTGGTGGGAGGTGATTGGATCATGGGGGTGGTTTCCCCCATGCTGTTCTTGTGATAGTGAGTTCTCATGAGATCTGATCGTTTAAAAGTGTAGCATTTCTCATCCTCTGTCTCTCCTGCCACCTCATGAGGAAGGTGCTTGCTTCTCCTTCACCTTCTACCATGATTGAAAGTTTCCTGAGATCTCCGCAGCCATGCAGAACTGTAAGTCAATTAAACCTATTTTCTTTATAAAGTATGCAGTCCCAGGTAGTTCTTTCCCCACCCCCCACCTCCACCCTCTGAGACAGATTCTTGCTTTGTCGCCCAAGCTGGAGTGCAGTGGCAGATCTCGTCTCACTGCAACCCCCACCTCCTGAGTTCAAGCAATTCTCTTCCCTCAGCCTCCTGAGTACATGGGATTACAGGAGCGTGCCACTACAACTGGCTAATTCTGTGTTTGTATTTTATTTTATTTAATTTACTTATATATTTTTTGAGATGGAGTCTCGCTCTGTCGCCCAGACTGGAGGGCAGTGGCACAATCTCAGCTCACTGCAGCCTCGACCTCCTGGGATCAAACGATCCTCCCACCTCAGCCTTGTGAATAGCTGGGACCACAAGGCATGCGCCTCCATGCCCAGCTAATTTTTGTATTTTTTGTAGAATTGGGATTTTGCCACGTTGCCCAGGCTGGTCTCAAACTCCTGAGCTCAAGGGATCCACGTGCCTTGGCCTCCCAAAGTGCTGGAATTACAGGTGTGAGCCATCACGCCTGGCCCAGATTACTCTTCCTAATGTGGGTAAGTCTCATCCAATCAGTTGATGGCTTGAATAGAATGAAAGACTGAGCTACCTGCCGCGAAAGGGAATCTGTAGCAGATGACCTTCGGACTTGGACTGCAGCATCAACTCTTTCCTGGGTCTTCAGCCAGCTGGTCTACCCTGCAGATTTTGGACTTGCCAACCCCCATAATTGTGTAAGACAATTTCTTTATAAACAAGTTTCCTTGTGTGTATATACATCCTATTGATTCTGTTTCTCTGGAGAAACCTGCCTAATACAAAATCCCTTTCCAAATTAGGGCATGATACATTGCATAGCCCCGGATGTGACAGTAAATAAAAATTCATAATGAAAAATGTTCTTTGTAGCATTATTTATAACAACAAATTGAAATTAGCCTATATGCACATCAATAATGAATTGAATAAATGAATTATAAAACTACTTTCACGCCATAGAAAGCAATCGAGATACAACTGTATAAAATGGTGGTGGTGATGTAAAAGTATGACCAAGGTAGATTGTTAGAGAAAAAATGCAATTTGCCTTGAAGTACACATAATTGGATCCCACTTATGTAGAAATTTATATAGTTGGAAAATAGTATAATAAAAATAGGTAACACTTACTGAGGGCTTCCTATATGCATTCACTTCATTCATTCAATTCGACAAATATTTATTGCATGCTGTGCTGGGTGACAGGCTCTCAGCAGTAAATTAGACCAGTGGTTTTCAACCTGGGTGATTTTGCCCCCCAGAGGACATTTGGCCATGTCTATAAATAGTTTTTGTTGCAGGTAGAAGTGGGTAGAAGCCAGAGATGCTGCTACACAACCCACAGTGTGCAGGACACCAGCCCCTCTTTCCACTACCGGAAATTATTCAGCCTAAAATATCAGTAGTACAGAGGTTGAAAACCCCTAAATCAAACAAAATCCCTGCCTTTATGGAGTTGGCGGTAATTAATTTAATTCTCATGTTGCCTCTATTGGGTAGGTACTATTATGATCCTCATTTTATAGATGTGGAACACATAGCAACAAAAAGGTCAAGTAAAGGCACAGGCCAGGGGCCGGGTGTGGTGGCTCACACCTGTAATCCCAGCACTTTGGGAGGTGGAGGCTGGTGAATCACTTGAGGTCAGGAGTTCGAGACCACCCCGGCCAACATGGCGAAACCCTGTCTCTACTAAAAATACAAAAATTATCCTGGCATGGTGGCACGTGCCTGTAATCCCAGCTACTTGAACCCCGGAGGCTGAGGTTGCTGTGAGCCGAGATTGTGCCACTGCACTCCAGCCTGGGTGACAGAGTGAGACTCCATCTCAAAAAAAAAAAAACCAAAAAACAAAAAACCAGGCACAGTGACTCACGCCTGTAATCCCAGCACTTTGGGAGGCCAAGGCGGGTGGATTACCTGAAAGGCCAGGAGTTTGAGACCAGCCTGACCAACATGCGGAACCCCGTCTCAACTAAAAAAAATTAGCCAGGCATGGTGGTGGGCGCCTGTAATCCCGGCTACTCAGGAGGCTGAAGCAGGAGAATTGCTTGAACCCAGGAGGCGGAGGCTGCAGTGAGCCGAGATGGCACCACTGCACTCCAGCCTGGGCAAGGGCGAAACTCTGTCTCAAAAAAAAAAAGACACGGGCTAAACGACTCACAGGTACCTCTGTAAATTGGGGTTAGGGTGAACTTTCACTTTTACATAATATATTTTGATATATTTAAAATTTTAATAAACTTATTTTACTTTTATAATAATTAGCTTTGTAATTAAAATGTGAGTTAAAAATATTTTAAAATGATTTATCACTTCCAGTTACTTGTTTAAAACAATCCTACCTTTCCAGGCCCTCCATGATCTAGTCCCATTTGCTTCTCCAACTCTCATTGCTCCTCGCCTCGTGCACTCTCCATTCCAGCTACCCTAGGTTAATGTCTTTTTTGAGTTTGGGACTTTTGTTCGCTCATTATTCCATTACCTGCGAAACCAAGTAAGATCTTGCACATAAATTATGAATCAAAATGAATTATAAAGAGGAGTTTCTTTCATATTGAATCAAAATCCGCTTTTCTTTTTTTTTTTGAGACGGAGTTTCGTTCTTGTTGCCCAGGCTGGAGTGCAATGGCGCGATCTCCGGCTCACCGCAACCTCCGCCTCCTGGGTTCAAGCGATTCTCCTGCCTCAGCCTCCCGAGTAGCTGGGATTACAGGCATGTGCCACCATACCCGACTAATTTTGTGTTTTTAGTAGAGACGGGGTTTCTCCATGTTGGTCAGGGTGGTCTCGAACTCCCAACCTCAGGTGATCCGCCAGCCTCGGCCTCCCAAAGTGTTGGGATTACAGGCGTGAGCGACTGCGTCCGGCCCAAAATCTGCTTTTCTGTAATGATTTTTACCAATTAGTCTTAGTATTCTATTAGATATTTACAGTTTTCTTTATTCCTCTCTCTCCCCACCCCTTCTCTCTTTCTTTTTTCTTTTTTTTGAGACAGAGTCTCGCTCTGTTGTCCAGGCTGGAGTGCAATGGCGCGATCTCGGCTCACTGCAGCCTCCGCCTCCCAGGTTCAAGCGATTCTCCTGCCTCAGCCTCCTGAATAGCTGGGACCACCGGCTTGCACCACCACGCCTGGCTAATTTTTGTAGTTTTAGTAGAGACCAGGTTGATATTTACAGGTTTCTATTCAAGGCATCGTCACAAGACAATACTACCAACATTTAAATATTTATATATAAGTTTTCTCTAAGTTAAGCTTCTCTAACGCTTTCAGACATTTTGCTGGCTGAACCTTGTTTCAATAGCGCTTACCATCCTAGCTTCTTTTCTTAGCTAGAATACTCCACTTTGCCAATATCCTTCCTGAAGTGTGGCATGCTGGAGAGTACACCAGAGTCCAGGGGTGAAACGAGTAGTTAGAAAGCAAACAGCCTCCTGTGCTTTGTTTTTTTCTGAACTTTGTGTATGTGGAGCTCTCATTGCACTCACTTCCTTGACGGTGTGTCCCACATCACTGAATCACAGTTCACTGCAATAATCAGCAATGGCTGTCACGGTGCTGAGTCCTCAGTAAGGTATTATTCAGCGCATTCTGCTTAAGATGGCAGGAAAGCATTTAATATAAATAGCATTTAATGCAATTTATATTTTTATATAAATGAATTCAATTTTTAAAAAAACTGGTGTTTATTCAAGAGGCACTCACACGGCTATCTGGAGCACTTTATTCTCAAAAAACCCCCCAATTCCCCCAAACAATCTGGAGAGGCAACATTTAATTGTATCATGAATCAATAAGTAGCAATACTTCAAGTGACCAACTTTTTTGTTGCTGTTGAGGCAGTGTCTCACTCTGTCACCTAGGCTGGATTGCAAGTGGCATGACCACAGCTCGCTGCAGCCTTGACCTCCCAGGCTCAAGCAATCCTCCCTCCTCAGGCTCCTGAGTAGCTGGGACTACAGGCACGTGCCACCATGCCCGGCTCATTTTCTTTTTTTTTAGTTTTTTTTTTTAGAGACAAGAGTCTCCCTGTGTTGCCCAGGCTGGTCTCGAACTCCTGGGCTCAAGCAATCCTCCCCACTCGGCCTCCCAAAGTGCTGAGATTACAGGCATGAGCCACCATGCCCAGCCAAGTGACCAAAATATTATCATCTTCCTTCTCCATTATCTAGTCTCTTGCAACAAAGAACACCTTCCAGTCGCGTTCCAATCATGTTACTGCTTTTCCCCAACTCTTCTATCGGTGCATGGGTGGTTCAGTGGTAGAATTCTCGCCTGCCACGCGGGAGGCCCGGGTTCGATTCCCGGCCCATGCAGCACGAAAATGTGTTTTGGACCGTGCGCGGGAGGTTGCGGTAAGCCGAGACTGCACCGTTGTATTCCAGCCACAGCAACAGTGAGAGAAACTTCGTCTCAAAAACAAACAAAAAAACTTTCGAGGGGTCCCAAATGCTTCTTAAATTGAATGATTTGTAGAACAGGCTTTGTGACCCAGTGACTAACTGACCATCCTTTATCACAAAAGACACTAGTTTTCCTCCCATATAGCATTTCCTCCACAGTCAGGAGAGAGACTTTCCCCCAAACATGTCTCAGCTCAGCCATCTGGAGTTTGCGCATGTGTTTGCCATGTTAATCCCTCCTTCGTAAGCGCTCTCTCTGGGGTTATGAATCTTCTCAAACGGTATGAGTTTGACAGCTAAAATGGACTGATTTAAATCACTGTTCGCACACTGAAAATACAGTGGAATCAAGGTTCAGAGAAGATGGCCTGAGGACCTTGCTTTACTAGGAAGCAAGTTCTGGAACGGACACTTGCTTTTGGAGCACCCTTTCCTATCTTCTATTTAATTACTTAATCCTTTATTATATTCTCCCTGTCCCCTATTGCCCCCACCCCTGCACTTTTTAACCTCTTCCTGTAAGACACTAAACATATAAAAGAATATAGGGGAAAACAGTAAAAATAACAGCTAACAATTGATAAGAGTGTTTCAGATAGATCCGGGCTCTTCACTTACTTTATCCCTAGTCTTCACAACGGTTCATATAAGGAAGAGGTGGACGCAATTTTTTTTTTTTTTTTTTTTTTTTTGAGACGAGGTCTCTCTCTGTCGCCCAGGCTGGAGTGCAGTGGCGCGATCTCGGCTCACTGCAAGCTCCGCCTCCCGGGTTCACACCATTCTCCTGCCTCAGCCTCCCGAGTAGCTGGGACTACAGGCGCCCGCCACCACGCCCAGCTGATTTTTTGTATTTTTAGTAGAAACGAGGTTTCACTGTGTTAGCCAGGATGGTCTCGATCTCCTGACCTTATGATCCGCCCACCTCGGCCTCCCAAAGTGCTGGGATTACAGGAGTGAGCCACCGCGCCCGGCCTGGATACACATACTTTAAAGACGTAAAATTGGCTGTTTAGTAATTATTCAGAGCCACACCAGTACTAAATTTATTAAAGAGGAAACAAAAAAAATTTGTAACTCATTATTAGATATCACTGTACCCGTGGGGAGAATGGAACAGGGACATTTGTGGATGGATATGTGCAAAAAAAAAAAAAAAAAAAAAAAAAAAAAAAAAAAAAATTCAAGAGCCATTGATGATTCTTTTAGCAAAAAAATGGAAGCATTATGAATTACGGTGCAAGGGTCAAGGAGTATTGGGAGCTAGTTTCCCTGACGAATGCTGAGTCCATTAGAAGTTGGAACCATTAGACTTTTGAAAACCTATAGAAAAGAGAGTGGATGGTAGCTAGGCAGCTAAAAAGTCTTTGATGCTTTATTTTTGTATGGGCTTACTATTACAATTATTGGGAAGTAATATTTGGGTGGGAATATTTCTATATCAAATAGTCTGTATTTGCATAGGCTGACATTTAGATTGAATCTACAGTAGGATTACTACACAGCTTTGAGATCTGGGTTTGTGAAGCACATGGTTCATAACATAAAAAAGAGTGATTTGAATGTCTCACAATTTTCATTATGACAACTTGGATGAACAACATCTACAGTAATTTCTAAGTCTCACACCATTCCAGCCACACCCAGTCTGGGCAACACAGTGAGACCCCATCTTCAAAAATACGTAAATAAATAAATAAAAGAAGAATAAAGAAAAGAAAAATGGAGATTTCTTTGTATATGTGTGTATAAAAATCAGGAAGCTAAGACAAAATATTCCGAAAGTATGAGTCACAAAATTATATTACTTGACATATGATCAGGGTCACAAACTGAGATAATTGTATTTTGAAAGATTAATGCTAAAAAAGTTGGGAAACTGTATACACGATTACAGCATGAAATTAAGAAAATAATAAGGCAAGCAGTTTTATCCTGGATAAAACATTTTTTGGTGGGGTGGTGGGGGTAGGGGGTGCCCTGGTGAAGACTAAGCAATCTGTTAGACAAATTCTAAAAGAGCTGAGCTGTAACATTTTTATTTATTTATTTATTTATTTTTAAAATTATTTTAGATTTCAGTCTTGTTCGGGAGTGGTGGCTTATGCCTGTAATCCCAGCACTTTCAGAGGCCGAGGCCGGCAGATCACCTGAGGTCAGGAGTTCCAGACCAGCCTCACCAACATGGTGAAACCCCGTCTCTATTAAAAATATAAAAATTAGCTAGGTGTGGCGGCGTACGCCTGTAATTCTAGCTACTCGGGAAGCTGAGGCAGGAGAATCGCTTGAACCCAGGAGACGGAGGTTATAGTCAGCCGTGATCGCACCCCTGCACTCCAGCATGGGTGACAGAGGGAGACTCTGTCTCAGAAAAAAAAAAAAGATTTGAGTCTCACCATGTTGCCTAGGCTGGTTTCAAACTCCTGGCCTCAAGCAACCTTCCTACAGGCGCGAGCTACTGCTCCTGGAAAGACTATATTTCTTTAAATATTAGAATTTAAAGACCATCTGGGAATAGAGTTGGCTTGGAGGGAGGATGAAGAGATTGGAGCTGTTGATGGAAAACAAAACACCATCACATTTTTTCCCTTGCTCTTCTGCCAATAAATATCGGTTGACCTCCTGCATTGATCTCCCTCATTGCTATCCCCAATTTATTTTTTTTAATATTCTAAATGTGTAAGATAAACCTGAGAAATATTTGACCTCATGCAACAATGTAATTTCCATTCTCAGTTCCTCCAAATCAGGGAGCTGTCTATATTCTCATTTTTCAGGAGTAAGATTTGCAGATAACTGTAAATCCATGCTCACTAGCAGTGTAAAATTTATACAGAGGAAACTACAAGTAGATAGAGTTGTTGTTAAGTTCAGCTCTGTCTGATTTAGAAATGAATCTCGTGTTTGGATAATCTAGTCTTAGCTCATTCTATTTATTCAGCCAAGTTATTTCCTGCACAGATCCCTCCTTTGCCTGCCAACTGTAATCATTTTTTTCTTTTCATGTTAGTTCCCACTACTCCTATTTGAAGTGCCACCACATACAGCTTGCGGTTGCTTTACTTTCCATCTAGTTAATCTCACCCGTACTGGTCATCTAAACAAGCCAATTCTTCCCAATCTCTTGATTTTCTGATCATTCCTTCCATAATGAATCTATGATCTGATGAGTAACTTTAGTTATTTTTAGTGTGTCCCTTACTCACTCTCCTAAGTGACGTCACCTCTCATGTTGCCTCATCAGGAAAATGATTAGGCAACATGGAGTAGGATTAGATGGGGTGTCCTCAATTCTGGGTGCATATTAGAAGTATTTGGGGAACTTTAAAAAAATACTGCTTACCCGGGCCTGCTGGCTTATGCCTGTAATCCCAGCACCGTGGGAGGCTGAGGCAGGTGGATTGCTTGAGCTCAGGAGTTTGACACCAGCCTGAGCAACATAATGAGCCCCTGTCTCTACACACATGCACACACGCACACACACGCGCACACATGCACACACCCGCACATACACAGCTACTCCTTCACCACATAAGACAAGTGTAATCAAATTTTCTTAGCATAAGACCTGGGCGTTGTTGGCATTTTATTAAAAGCTCAGCCAGAGTTAGGAACCACAGGAAGAATGATTTTCACCTACCTTTCCAACTTTATGATTCCCTTATTCTCTTTTTTTAAAAAAATTTTTGTAGAGACGGGGATCTCCCTGTGTTGCCCAGATTGGGATCAAACTTCTGGGCTCAAGTGATCCTCCTGCCTCAGCCTCCCAAAGTATTGGGATTTCAGTCATGAGCCACTGAGCCCGGTTGATTCCCTTATTCTTTTTTTTTTTTTTTTTTTTTTTTTACATATTCTTGCTCTGTCAGACGGGCTGGAGTGCAATGGCGCGATCTCAGCTCACTGCAACCTCTGCAACCTCTGCCTCCCGGGTTCAAGCGATTCTCCTCCTCATCCTCCTGAGTAGCTGGGATTACAGGCGCCCGCCACTACGCCTGGCTGATTTTTGTATTTTTAATAGAGATGGGGTTTCAGTATGTTAGGCTGGTCTCGAACTCTTAACCTCACATGATTCGCTGGCCTCGGCCTTCCAAAGTGCTGGGATTATAGGCGTGAGCCACCACACCCGGCCCCTTAATATTATACTTACTGACTTGCACTGTTTTTCCTCTATAATTTTTATAAGACACTAAAGGAGACGGGCTTTCTTGATGTGATTCATTAACAGTTTGAATATGACTATTAATATCATACCCATAACATATGATATTAGTGAGATTATGTGACATCGTTATGTGACATTTTAACCACAAGGGTATTAAGAAAAATAAATACAGTAGGGAGCAGAGCTTGAGCCCACATTTCTTAAGAAGTTAAAAAAGAAGCTTATGTTTTTTGCATAACATCTTTAATGCTTCCATATGCTAAATGCTGAATGTACAATTAAGATGCCTTCCGTGGTGTCTCTGCTGAGGGAGACAGTCAAGAAAACCAGTGATTCAGAGAGGCGTGCATGAGATGCGATGGCAAAAAAAAGAACTACCTGTCTCAGACTGGGACGCAGGGGACGATTTCCACACTCCTATGTCTGAAGAGTACTATACAAGTATCTAGAGGAAAAGGGGGTGGAAGTTGAAGGGTAGTGAGACAGGAATAATACAGGGTGGTGGTAGGAGAATAGAAAATTCTAGGCAGCAGTTTCACATGACTAGCAAAAAGGAAACTGTTGAAATAGCTGCATAAACTAGGGGCTGATACTTTGCAAACCAGGGTGTAGACCAAGCTGGCTGAGGCTGACTGGACCCAACATGGTGCTGGATTTCACCTAGGTCTCATGAGGACTTCACTGTACATTCATTAACATACTAAATTACATACCCACCAATGCCATGACACTTCTGGGAACACCCATATTTGGTGTAAAAATGGGTGGCACCACAGTTCCAAGAAATCTTCACCTTTTTTCCAGAAATCTTCATGAATATTTCACCCTTTGGCTAAAGAAACCCATAAAGATAGCAGCCCCAAGCCCCTCTGGGAGTGTCTCTCTCTTGAGTAGGCCTGAACTGCACTTCCGTGGAGATTCACTTTGCAGTAAATCTTCATACAGTCACTGTTTTCTGACTCGTCGTCTTTGGATTCCTTCTATATCGGTGTCAGGTGCCTGGACATTAGCAGGGGTCAGGGTCTCACCAGTATTTGGGGACCTCCCCCAGCCAACTGATACCGTGGGTTGACAGGTAAGATGTCCTCTGAGAAGTGCAAGGAGTTCAGCGAAATGTGGGCAGTTTGGGATGACAAGGATACAGAGGTTATGGAAGGGGCATATCGCGAAGGAGCTTATTTCAAATTCATTCACCAGATATTCTCTCTTCACCTCACTATAGCTTAATGGAATTGCTCCACCTCACCTTTTACGAGAACCAGTACGACATTAGTTAAATATTTTCAGAAGTGTATACTACTGAAATAAATTGAAACAAAAATGAAGTCTTTGGGAAAGAAAATAACTCAAAACATGCTTATAATAGACTCCCGATTTGGTGAAACTTTTATTCATGTTGCAACGTTTTTAAAATTTGTTTTCATTTTTCTTTGACCCATATCATTGTTATACTAGAGCTTAACTTCTTATCTCAAAATATAATTCCTTATTTTTCCTGTTCTAGGAACTATTTGGCTAAATTATTTTTCTTCATAGTCATTGGGATTATAAGTACAAGGATGCTTTCTACACATGTATGTTTCAGCTTAAAATGAATAGCCCTTGAGCATGTTGCATGATGTCTGCCTTCTCCGTCACTCTGTAATTTCTCTCTTTTTCTCTCTCTCATCTTCTGTATCTGCAAAAAATAAATCTGTGGTAATTTTCATCACTCATTAAGCTCATATTGATTTCTGCCTCTCCTGGAATTTATGGTACTGGATGCATTTTAATTTTTAAATAAAAGTGCCCCAAATTATTTTGTATTATTTTCTAACTATCTTATTAATTTTGCCTGTCTACATGATAGTAATATAATAATGGTTAGAATATTAAGACACATGAAGCAAGAAAATATTTTTCAAATTAATTAATTTTATTATTTTATTTTATCTTTATTTTTTATGAGATGGGGTCTCACTATGTTGCTCAGGGTGGTCCCAAACTCCTGAGCTCAAGCGATTCTTCCACCTTGGCCTCCCAAAGTGCTGGGATTACAGCCACCATGCCCTACCTAGAAAACCTTAAAGATTAGAAAAATAGAAGGACGCCGGGCACTGTGGTTCATGCCTGTAATCCCGGCACTTTGGGAGGCTGAGGTGGGCAGATTACGAGGTCAGGAGATCAAGACCATCCTGGCTAAAAAGGTGAAACCCCGTGTCTACTAAAAAAAAAATACAAAAATTAGCCAGGCATGGCAGCGGGCACCTGTAGTCCCAGCTACTCGGGAGGCTGAGGCAGGAGAATGGCGTGAACCTGGGAGGTGGAGCTTGCAGTGAGCCAAGATAGTGCCACTGCACTCCAGCCTGGGCAACAGAGCGAGACTCCGACTCAAAAAAAAAAAAAAAAAAAAAAAAAAAATAGAAGGACTGAAATTTCTAGCTATTATAATATGTTAAAATGTTCAATAAATAGACCTGCACTTTATTGGTGTTAGAAATGACTTGTAGATCAGTACAATAGAATGAACAGCCCATAAACATGTCTAAGTTTATTTAAGTGTTTAAAAAGAAGATAATTCAAATTTAGTATGGATCAGTAGACTGGTATCTCAAAGGACTTTGACAAATCCAGTATTTCTTCCTAGTTTAAAAATAAAAGCAAACAAAGCAAATATACAGATAAGGAACTTAAACCATCACTAAATAGGAATAAATGTAAAGTCTTTGAAATTAAAATTGCGTGTGTATGTGTGTATATGTTTAAACTATATGTCAAAGCCAGTATCGTTTTTCATGGAAGCATTAAAAGATTTTGCAATGGAAGGCAAAGAAGTCCATCATCACTACTAGTACTCCTAATTTAGTGGTACTACTCAATGTAATTACTCAATGTAATTACACGTGAGAAAGTAGTAAGAGGTATGAATACTTGAAAGAGGAGACACAATTATTGTTTGCAGATAATAATATATCAATTAAAACAGAAGAAACAATGAGATAAATCAGTAAGCTAGTTGACTTCACACACACAAAAGTATCTAAATCAATAGTTTTTCTTTATATAAAGAAGGCTTGATTAGATAATATAGTGGAGTAAAGTTACCAACTGCAGTAGCAACCAGAGAAGAAAAAATTATTAGAAAAAGAGCTGAGCATGATGCCACACATCTGTAATCCCAGCTACTCAGGAGGCTGAGGTGGGAGGATTGCCCTAGCTCAGGAGTTTGAGATCAGCTTGGGCAATATAGCACAAGACTGTCTCGAAAAAAACCCAAAACCAAAACCAAAACAAACAAACAAACAAAAAACAGAAAGAAAGATAAGAAAAAAAAACTAGAAAGAAAATTGACAAGAAATGGGCAGAAACTAGGTGAAGAAAAGTTAACACTCTTGAAGGATTTAACAGACAAGGATCTGAAGAAATACTCTAATACAAACTGCTGGAGCTGGGCGTGATATCTCAAAGGGCATGTTTAAAACAAGTTTAGATGATTGCTAAATTTTCTTCTGAGGAGGGCAATTTCTGGTAACTGGAGGGCCCTTTGTTTGGCTGAGCATCAAGGCAAGTTTGAGGAAGCAAGTTGAACAGAAGAACTGATTTGTTTGCCAGCCACCCTCTACCCCAGTCCCAGATATAACAGATAATGAGTAAGAACAGACATGTCTATGAGGGATTTTTTTCTGTGAGATGTGTTTTGCAAAACCTGTTTTCCACCTTCTCTATGAAAACTCCGGTGATGTTTACATGTTCACTGAGGTTTTTACATTAGAGGATTATTTAAGAGCTTCAAAGACAGGCTGAGTTCACGTATCCTGGTAGTCATAAGGTAAGGGATGAACACAAATGCAGCTATATATGGTCTTGGTGTTCCCTCCTGGTCCCTCAAATTAGGAGACACCTGAAATCTGGGTTTGTTAATTAACTAATTAATTTTTATTTATTTATTTTTGAGACAGAGTGTCGCTTTATCACCCAGGCTGGAGTGCAATGGCCTGATCTCAGCTCACTGCAACCTCCGCCTCCTGGGTTCATGCGATTTTCCTGCCTCAGTCTCCCAAGTAGCTGGGATTACAGGCATGTGCTGCCACAGCCAGCTAATCTTGTGTTTTTAGTAGAGACGGGGTTTCACCATGTTGGCTAGGCTGTTCTTGAACTCCTGACCTCAGGTAATTCATCCTCTTCAGCCTCCCAAAGTGTTAGGATTACAGGCGTGAGCCACTGCACCTGGCCAGAAGGCTGTTTATTGTAGAATTAATTATAATTATAGAAGTTGAAAAGAATTCAAGCAATCAATCATAGGGTATTAGTTAAATAACTTATAATACATCCACTTAAGAGAATACTATGTACCCATTAACAATGATGTGGTATGCTGGGCGCAGTGGCTCAGGCCTGTAATCACAGCACTTTGGGAGGCCAAGGTGGGAGGATTGCTTGAGCTCAGGAGTTGGAGGCCAGCCTGGGCAACATGGTGAAACCCTGTCTCTACCAAAAATACAAACAATTAGCCAGGCATGGTGGCACATCTGTGATTCCAGCTATTCAGGAGGCTGAGGTGGGAGGATTGCTTGAGCCCAGGAGGTAGAGGTTGCGGTGAACTGAGATCACGCCACTGCACTCCAGCCTGAGCACCACAGAGAGATCCTGTCTCAAAACAACAACAACAACAACAACAACAAAAGCACCCCAAAAAACAACCAATGATGTGGTAAATATTTATATACTGACATAGTGATTTGTTGTTAGGTAACAAAGACAATTTCTACAACACAATATAATTTATGATATTTTGGTAGGAAAAATTTATCCATGTGTATCAGGTACCATATATATCAGGTCCCATGGAACCGTAGTCTATAAATGTATGCATGTTTAGGAGGCGGAATTATGGGGGATTGGAATGCTTTCTATGCTTCTCTATGTTTTCTGTTTTTTAAATGAAATAAACTCGTATGATGATGATGAGGGTGAAACAAGCAAGACAAATGTGCCCATCAAATCTTTTAGGGCTCTAATATCTTACTACTCCTTGAAAAATATTTGTGTTATGTTTTCCCTTCATCTTAGTTTATAACTTTTTTTCTTTTTGAGACGGAGTCTGGCTCTGTCGCCCAGGATGGAGTGCGGTGGTGCGATCTCGGCTCACTGCAAGCTCCGCCTCCCGGGTTCACGCCATTCTCCTGCCTCAGCCTCCCGAGTAGCTGGGACTACAGGCGCCCGCCACCACGCCCGGCTAATTTTTTGTATTTTTAGTAGAGACGGGGTTTCACCATGTTAGCCAGGATGGTCTCGATCTCCTGACCTTGTGATCTGCTCACCTCGGCCTCCCAAAGTGCTGGGATTACAAGTGTGAGCCACCGCCCCCGGCCCTTAGTCTACTCATTTAAAAAGAGGCAAGAGTTTCTCTCCCTCTCCTTCGGGGAGCTGCAGCTTTCCTTGTATTTTTTGGCATGAACAAGCTGTAGGAAGGGTGGATCAGTGCCTTCCTGCAAACCCCAGCAGTGTTTCAGGTAAGAACGTTACTGTTTTGGCACCTGTTCCAACACAATCACCCAGGGCAATTCCAGTGCCAAAAACTTTCTCAATGTGTGTGGGTATATAACATTCTGGGAAGTGACCTAGCTAATCACACATGGACATAAATATGGGAAAAGCTAATCACACGTGGACATAAATATGGGAAAAGACACTACAGACTATTACAAGGTGGGGAGTGGGAGGGTTGAAAAACCTATGTTGTGGTATGCTTACTACCTGGGTGATGGAATTCGAACCCCAAACCTCAGCATCATGCAATATTCCCATGCAACTAACCAGCACATCTACCTCTGTATCTGAAATAAAAGTTGAAGTTTAAAAAAAACAGGAAAAAGAAAGCCAAACGTGAGTGGGCTGGGTGGCTCATGCCTGTAATCTCAGCACTTTGGAAGGCTGAGGCGAGAGGATTGCTTGAGGCCAGAAGTTCAAGACCAGCCTGGGTGGCCGGGCACGGTGGCTCATGCCTGTAATCCCAGCACTTTGGGAGGCCGAGGTGGGTGGATCACAAGGTCAGGAGTTCAAGACCAGCCTGGCCAAGATGGTGAAACCCTGTCTCTACTAAAAATACAAAAAAAATTAGCCAGCTGTGGTGGCAGGTGCTTGTAATCCCAGCTACTCAGGAGGTGAGGCAGAGAATTGCTTGAACCCAGGAGGCGGAGGTTGCAGTGAGCCGAGATCAAGCCACTGCACTCCAGCCTGGGCAACACAGCAAGACTCTGTCTCAAAAAAAAAAAAAAAAAAGACCAGCCTCGGCAACATAGTGAGACCTCATCTCTACTAAAAATAAAAATTAAAAGATTAGGGGACTGTGGTGGCATGTACCTGTAGTCTCAACTACCCAGAAGGCTGAGGCAGGAGGATTAGTTGAGTCCAGGAGATCGAGGCTGCAGTGAGCTGTGATTGCACCACTGTACTCCAGCCTAGGTGACAGAATAAGACTCTGTATAAAAAAGAAGAAAAGGAAAAAAAAAAGAAAGCTAAACATGAGCTGTTAGGCATGGCTGCACATACACACACACACACACACACACACACACACACACACACACACACACATTTTCCGACTTTTTTCAGACATTTTCAGACTGCTTTCGGTCTTGAAACTAGGCCAGTATGCCGACTACATGGGATGTTACATCATTTTTCTTGCTACTTTTCTATGTATTTTGCAAGCTGAATCAGTGTTCGCAGATACTCTTGCGTTTCAGTCCGAGTAAGATAGTCTTTAAGATACCTTTTAATATGCACGTTGAAAAGATAGAATGTATGATGCTGAGATTACAGGGATTGAGAAAGGCAAAGTATGTGAATCAGGTAGGCCAGTTCTCTGGCTTTGTAATTTGACATTTTAAATGAGTAGCACATCCTTTAACCAACAAAGTTATGGGGTAGCCTAGAAAGAGAAACCACTTGAATTTTAAATAGAGGATACAGAGAAGAGGACAGAATCTTCCCTGTGAACTATCTTAGCAGCATCTGGTTCTTTTGAGGTACTTTGAATGTGTTAGAGCTTAGAAACGGATACCCCAAAATATGGCACTTTGACATGCTGAACTGAAAAAGAAGCCTCAAGGTCTCTTGGACCTCCTCCCTGTCCTGTCTCTTAATCCTCCTTGCAGGATGAAGTTGTCCCCTGAAATTCCTTATTTGCCTACATTTTGGACCTGACAATGAAGAAAACAATTACTTCTGGCCCCTTCCCTGAGTTTTTATTAACTGAACTCATGGGAAGAAAGACTGAATTCTATCAACACGCCTGGACAGACTGGTCACAAACTATTGTCTGCTCTGCTGGCCCAAAAGACTTTATCCCAGGCCACTGTAGGTTCTCCAGGCCCATCGAAATCCCCTAAAAATCATCTACACGTCTCTATCTGTCTTTCCCCTAAGAAGTATATACAACCATCTGTACCTCACTGGGATATTGGACAATCATTCTGTGATTCTCCCTCATGCTCACTAACACATCTGTAGGCCATTTTGCCTATTAATCTGCCTTTTGTCAGTTGATTTTTCAGTAAGCCTTCAGATGGCAAAGAGAAGTTTTTCCTTGATCCCTATAAATTTATAGTAGAATGTATGCTATAAAAGACCTGATAGCCCCATTGTCATGGATGACATTTCTCTCATGTGGGTGTGCCAACTCGTGCAGATGACAATTTTATAAATGTGTGTGCTCCTGTGAATTAGACTGTTATAGTAACATTAAACTGCTAAAGAACTTCACCTACTTTCTGGATTTGCAAGTAAATAATTTGGCTATTTTTTTTTTCAGTCTAAAGGCAGATAGCTGATAAGCTACATGAATTGGCCCAGTGGATTAAGTAATTTTTCATAATGCCTGATTACTAGTTTCTGAGAGTAGGATATCTAGAGAAGGAGTTTTTGGGGGAGATAGGAACAGAGGCTGATCAGTTTATTTCTTTATGCTTTGACCTCCTCTAAGAAAAATGCTGGCTGCTACAAAAGTTTCTATCTTAACATTTTTCTGCAAGTTTGTTATTACCATTTATGAACTCCCCATTTCCCACAGAGGAAGGAAAGAATAGACAGAACTGAGTGATAAACTAGACAAAGGGAATGGCTTAGTAGGACATGGCTTCTGCCTTTTGTGTTTCCAGTATTTGTCTACTGCTAAGGAAATCAGTATGTGGCACATAACTGGGGCAAAGGATTCAACACTCAGCACTTCGAGCAAGAAGTCACCATCATTAGCATTATTGTGGCAGCTACAAGGAGACGCCCAACAATTTACTGCAAATGACATAAAATAGATACACTGACTCCCAGCTGGATTTTTACTATTTTTGTCCACATTCTGAGGGCTATCAAAATACTTTTTAATTCACTTCCAGACCATCCCAACTTCTACAATGACTCTTTCTCTCTACAACCAGCTAAATTTAATTTCATTATGATTTGCCAAAGGTTAACTGAGAAAAGTAACAGCCAAGAATTAAGAAAACAGGTATAACATGAAAGAGGGAAAAAATCATTTATTTTGAAGGGTGGCCTGACCAAGCAACATGGCTCCAGAGTGGAATGAAAGAGATAAAAATAGGAAGACGATTGGGTGAAGCAGAAAAAAAAAAAACAGAAGCAGTAGAAACAGATCAATGAGAATGTGTTTCTAGAGCCTATTATGTTTCTGAAGTTGAAGTGATAAACATATTGCATACCCTTTGTTCTAGAGACCTTTCAAAGGACAGAATTCCTTTTCTCAAGCATTGAGCTCTCTCCATCTTTAGAGTCTTTTCAGTCTGTTTCACACAGTGTCAGAAGAAGGTTGCCTCAAAAGTTGGTAGAATTACTGTAATTCCCTCCATGACAGTAGTAAAGTTGGATCCTGCTGATTAGAGCAAAACACAAAAGCTCACTTCCAGAGAACTGTGATCTTCTCATAAAACAGTTGGCATCGCCTGAAAGGGAGGTATTGTTGGTAGGTAAGCCAATGTCCTAGGGCCTGGGACTCAGCCAGCATCTCATGTAACAACCATGCTGCCTATCCACTTTTGTTTGTTTTCCCAGACAAAAATGATTGCAACACATTTCAGAGCCAATGCAAAAACTCTGCCTTTGTAATATGCTGACTTGCTGTCAATAATTAGATGTTCTAAATTGCTACACTAGACAATGAGGTCCAACTTAAAAAAAAATACAAAAACCCAGTTAAAAGCTCAATTGGCCAAGAGGTTATTTCTGCAAAATGATCACCAGTGGTTTTTTTCTTTTCTTTTATTTTTTGTGGGGGGCGGGTGTGGAGTAGATGAAATGTGTCCAGAGAAGAAAAAAAAATCATACTTCTGTAAATATTTTCTTAACTTCCTTTTGCCAGGCAGCTCTGGTTTAGTGAGACATACACTAGGTTAAATTTCAAAACACTTGGATACTAACTGTGCTACTTTGGAGCAAGCCATTTAATCTCCCTGAGGCCCAGATCATTCATCTATAAAGTGAGAATAGTAATACTTCGACTGACCACGTCACAGTATGATTAAATATCCAATGATATATTGTACATGAAAGCATTTATCAACTGCAAGTCATGATACTAATGTGAGGACTGTAGAGTTGCCTTTATTTTCCTCAGAGCAGATTTAATTCTGGGGTGCTGGAGAGAAGTAGGAGAGGTTCAGCTCCAGCTCTATCTCATTTCCCCACGTCTGAGAGGCTGGAAGAGAAAGGAGTGGATCTTGAGTTGGCAACTCCCATTTCTCCATCAGCAGAAAGAGAAAACTGGTTTTCAGGTTTCCTCCTACCCCATGAAGTAAGAGTCCCTTCCTCTAAATATTAAAGAAATTTATTAACTATCTAGATTTTCCTTGACTTTTGCTTCTTTATCTAGGCTATGTTGTTCAATATGACAGCCACTAGTGATTTGTGGTTACTGAACTCAAGAAATATGGTTAATCAAAATTGAGATGTGCTGTTAGTGAAGAATACATGCCAGGTTTTGAAGATAATAGTCCAAAAATACCTGAAAGAATGTAAAATATCTCACTAATGTTTTTTATGTTGATTTCACATTGTAAAGATAATATTTTAGATATATTAGATTGTACAAGATATGTTGTTAAAAATAAATTTTATGTTTCTTTTGACTTTTTCAATTGTAGCTACTATAGTTTAAAATTTTATATTTTATATCACTTTATATGTCTTTTTTTTTTTCCAAGATGGAGTCTTGCTCTATTGCCCAGGCTGGAGTGCAGTGGTGTGATCTCGGCTCACTGCAACCTCTGTCTCCCAGGATCAAGCGATTCTCCTGCCTTAGCCTCCCGAGTAGCTGGGATTACAAGTGTGTTCCACCACTCCTGGCTAATTTTTTGCATTTTTAGTAGAGATGGGGTTTCACCATGTTGGCCAAGCTGGTCTCAAACTCCTGACCTCAGGTGATCCACCCACCTTGGCCTCCCAAACTGCTGGGATTACAGGCATGAGCCACCGCACCCAGCCTCACTTTATATTTCTATTGGATTTGGACAATCAGAGAGGAAGGAAAAACCCGAGTCCCCAGTAGCCTTATTTCATGCCTCTTTCTTTCCATTTTTCAGTCTCTCTCCACCCTCATGCGTTCCAGGTATTGGGAAGTCAATTCTTTTGAGACAAACATCAAGAAACCAAAGAAAGATCAATAGGAAGATCATTTCATCACATTTATAGCACATGGCACCAAATAGACAGTCAGCATCCATTCAGTCAATCAATCATGCATTTAATTAAAATGAAGAATACAGAAATTTGGCAATCTCATGTCCTGAAAAAACAGATACACTAGGAATGAGTAATTTCTCTTTTCACTCTTACAAGTTCTGAAAAGGAGGAGATACTATGATTAGGCTATGAACTATACTGTGTATAGTCACTTATTAAAATCTTATTTTATATAATGGCTATCTGTAGGCATTTAAAAAAAACTCCCTTCTAAAGGTCTAGATATCTTGAGGTCAATAAATGTGCTCTGTATCCAATAAGTACTGAGCAAATGTTGTTGAATATAATGAATAAAATAAATGATATAATCAGTCTATCACTTTATCTTTCTAACCAAAATTAAAATTTGAAGCTAAAATGTTGTATGGTTGATTCGATGATGATATAGGCATTAAAACATGAGTTGTGCCTTAAGGTATGCTTTGCTTTTATCTGATAAAACAATCTTATTTAAATTTTTTTTTTTTAAATAATAGAGACTGGGTCTCAATATGTTGCCCAGGCTGGTTTTGAATTCCTGGGCTCAAGCAATCCTTCTGCCTCAGATTCCAAAAGTGCTGGATTACAGGTGTGAGCCACCACACCCAGCCAAAAAAATCTTATTTTTAAGTCACTTCAAAAAGTAACCCATTTGAGAGTGAATAAATTCTTCCCAGATTAAATCCTGGCTGATGAAGAACACTTATTCCTAAAATAAAATCCCCATCCATTTTTGTCATCTCAGCAACCATCTAAAAATTGTCCCAGGAACAAACTGATTCACCCTATATGAAATAACAGAATAACAGAGAAGAACGATAATCCCATTAACCTGGTAGATCCGGAATGAAATGCAGCTGGAGGATGGAGCAGATTGGAGGTGGGAACAGGGAACACTCAGCAGGCTCCCAGCCCCGAACACCCCTGGAGTCTCAACAGCCTCAATCCATCTGGAAGGGAGGGCTTGGGGGAAGGGCTGAGCATGGCTGCAGGGATCAAAGCTAAGCAGGGGAAAACAGCTAGAGCACTGTCTGCTCTTTGAGCAAAGATAATAGAGTCCTCTCTGTGGTGAAGAGAATGAACACACAGGAAGATTTAAAAACACAACAAACCCGGAGCCGATCAGATTCCTTTATTCCATACCTCAAACTCATCAGGCTTGTCCTCAATTCAGAGTCTCTCTATATTGAATTACAGGGTTAGAAAAATAAAGGGCATCCCATTGAGTGCTTTTCAAACAGTGGGTTGCCACTCTTTAGTGTGAGAGAATCAATTCAGTGGGTGGAGGTTTGCATTTAGAAACTGAAATAAATTAGAATGGAAAATAGAAGGAATTGCATGGAAAAGGGATAAATATTGTTTCATGAATTTTTTGGTGTGTGTGTGTTTGGTACAGGTAAAATACATCTTACTGTAGGCATTAGCCAAACTGTGAAACTGAAAATTAGTCAACTCTATCTCCCTCCCGTATTATTATGGGTTATTAAAATCAGTTCTTCAGGCCTTCAGGAATAGGCTTTTTAGAACCTCCACAGCTAATTCTCTGTTGAGGTATTCCTCCTGCATTCTAGAAATATAGACAATGTCACAGACTCAGTGCAAACCATCCTGAAAAATAGCTCCAGGATCAGGCATTGCATTATGAGGAAGCTAATACTGTTTGTCAGAATCTGAGGGCAGCCTCCCTTTAAAGACCCTAATTAAGGAGAGGGAATGAAGAAAAAATGGTAATAGCATGCCTCAAATGTGAGGCTGCCTCTTGGCCACTATTCATTAGAAAGCCCACAAACTGTGGGCTCTATTTAAGGAACGTCTGGGATGGTTTTGGGCGGGGAAGCAAAACAGACCCAGTCAAATACTTCCCCTTTTATTCTCAACTCTGTTGTCAGCTTACTTTTCTCACCTTGATTTATTTCTTGAAATTTTAGTCAAATTCATTGACAATTTGCCTTATGATTCACAAAGTAGATGAGAGTGAATAGAGAAGCGACCTGACAGAGAAGAGAGCAGGACTATTTAAAAGATTCTGGCAAGAGGTGAGAACATTCCTCGATCCACTATAGAAAACCACCAGTGATCAAACAAACACAGTGAATTCCATTTCTAGGTCTCAAGGAATTAAGCATAACATTCAAAGTTGACTAGATAAAGGAAAGATTTATTATTACTATTATTTTGAGATGGAGTTTCACCCTTGTCATCTAGGGTGGAGTGCAGTGGCCGGATCTCGGCTCACTGCAATCTTCGCCTCCCGGGTTCAAGCGATTCTTCTGCCTCAGCCTCCTGGGTAGCTGGGATTCCAGCTACCCGCCACCACGCCGGGCTAATTTTTGTTTTTGTAGTTGAGAAGGGGTTTCGCCATGTTGGCCAGGCTGGTCTCAAACTCCTGACCTCAGGTGATCCACACGTCTTGGCCTCCCAAAGTGCTGGGATTACAGTTGTGAGCCACTGCGCCTGGTCAAGGAAAGATTATTAATGACAGACTTCATTGCGTTCTGCAAAGCTGAAAGGCAAGGAAAGAACTGGGGGATGGAGGGGGGATTTCCCTAAAAGAAGTCCTAGTAAAGTTGTATATCAAGAAAAAGGCAGATATCTTCATATCCAGACACAAAAGAAAGTTCTTAAGGTTTTACAATGGTATGGCCACTAACACAACCTTTCAAAGAGGAGCAAACGTCCTTATCGCCCCAAGAAATCAAAGTAAACCATGTGAAACCCAAGTGTAGGAAATCCCGCTGCTCAGATAAAGTATCCAGTGTAGCACTGAAACAGCACTATTGCTTTCAGGCAGCCTGGCTTAACCTTGAGTAAAGCCTTTCCTGGGAGTTCAGCTCAGTGAAACAGACATTCTGTCAACTGTATCAGAGACAAGGATTTTAGCTGTAATTATGGTCTGCTAATCTGGTGCAGCTTTAGTTAAACAAACAGAATCAGCACATTATCATTAGGGAGGCAACATAGTTTTCTCTCCCTTCCACAGAGCATTGCTCTAGGAGAGAGACGACTATTGAAAAGTTTGGCTGCTGTTACCAGTTTTACTTCTATCTAATCTTTTAGGAGCTCAGTTTCTCCAAATGAAGAAATGTGTGGCACCCTCCCATCTCAGGATTGCCGAAAAAACACAAAAAAGGCAGTGTTTAAACATGTCGTAACTGGGCACTGAATTGTTCCTGATGAGTCTGTACTGTTCTGTCCTTTCTCTCCCACCATCTCTGGGAAACTGGAATGAAATGGGTCTCACTGCCTACTTTTTTGTCTTTTCTTCCCAGGCCCTTCTCTCCTCTGGTTAACCCGGTCTGAAGACTTGGAGACATCTGTCATATTTTAGATACAGAGGAGTATTCCATCTTAAATGGTTGCTTTCAGAGTACTAATTCTTGGCCTCCCTCCCCTGCCCCAGTAAAGAATATCTTATGGTGGGAAATTCAGTTTGCTGAAAGCTGGATATTAAACATAATTTTGAGATATAGCTCAGCTAATATTTCCTTCGAATTATGCCATGACAGCAAAACTTGCCTCATTTACGAGCCCTTTAATATGAAATTGTCTTCCTCCTTCCCTCCCTTTCTTTCTCTTTTTCTCTTTCCTCTCCTCCCTCTTTCCCTCCCTCCCTCCCTCCCTCCCTCCCTTCCTTCCTTCCTTCCTTCCTTCCAATATTTCTGCATGTCCACCATGTGCTAGGCTATCTCTAGCACAATCTCTCCTCCAGACACTCACTTTAGTGGGAAATGTAAATATAAAAATTGAAAACATATGTTATTTTAAGTGTCAAAAGACAAAATTACAACAAATTTAGTTATAGATCAAAGATGGGCATTTATTTGGGATTTATAAATCAGGGCAGCCTTCATTCCATAAAATGTACTGAAAGCTCTCACGAGCAACTGCTGAACAGTGGGTTTTACAAGGTGGGAACAAGGAAACAGAACAATAGAAAAAAAAAAAGCTTGACTGGTAAACATTAGGTTACTTCAGGTTACTTTTTTATATGAGTTTAAGCAAACGGAAGTGTCCTTATTATAGCTGACTCAGACTGCAATCTCCAGTTTTCAGGAAAAACTGATCTGTTTTGAGATCTATCGACTTCCTTAAAGTTTCATTTTGATGAAGTGGCATTTAGCACAAGTGACTCCATTTTGGTCTGGTCTGGTCCCTTGGGGCCTAGTGCAGAAGCTCAGTCCAAAACAATAGTGTTCCATAATGCTGTTTAACGTAAGAGATGTTTGAAAGAGGTACTTCTGGCCAGGGCTTGGTGGGCCAGAAAATACTTTTTGGTGAGATCTGAATTGAATCTTCAAGGGTTTGTGGGCCTAAAGTGCAGGCGAAGGGATACTGTAGACAGAGGATGGCAGAAGGAGGAATGGAATGAGAAAAAAGATGATTTTCCAGAGACTATGTGTGATGTGACTGAGTAGCAAGGGATGGGCTGAAGAGGCAAGTAGAGTCATTCTATTGTCTTGTGATCTTGCTTTTTATTCTAGAGATAAATGACTTTTTTTCCACATAATTATAGCAGCAGACATTTTTCCCAAATTAAATTTTATATGGCATTCCGGCTGGGTGTGGTGGTTTATGCCTGTAATCCCAGCACTTTGGGAGGCCGAGGTGGGCAGATCACCTGAGGTCAGGAGTTCAAGACCAGCCTGGCCAACATGGTGAAACCCTGTCTCTACTAACAATACAAAAAATTTAGCAGGGTGTGGTGGCATGCACCTGTAATCCCAGCTACTTGGGAGGCTGAGGCACGACAATCACTTGAACCTGGGAGGTGGAGGTTGCAGTGAGTGGAGATTGTGCCATTGAACTCCAGCCTGGGCAACAAGAGTGAAACTCCATCTCAAAAAAAAAAGAAAAAAAAATTTACATGGGATTCCAACATTAAAAGATTTTCTTTTCTTTTCTTTTCTTTTTTTTTTTTTTTTGTGACAAAGTCTCTGTCTGTCGCCCAGGCTGGAGGGCAGTGGCTCCATCTCGGCTCACTGCAAGCTCCGCCTCCCGGGTTCACGCCATTCTCCTGCCTCAGCCTCCCGAGTAGCTGGGACTACAGGTGCCCGTCACCACGCCCAGCTAATTTTTTTTTGTATTTTTAGTAGAGACAGGGTTTCACTGTGTTAGCCAGGATGGTCGCGATCTCCTGACCTCGTGATCCGCCTGCCTCAGCCTCCCAAAGTGCTGGGATTACAGGCGTGAGCCACTGCGCCTGGCCAAAAGATATTCTTTTTAATATAGAAATTAGGTTTAGATTAAAAGGAAATTTAATTAGGATAAATTTATTTTATAAATTAAAGCAATGAACATTATGATGTTTGAATGCAAATTTGATACAGAGATTATGGATGGCAATTGTATCTTATACTAGCCTCAGCATTGCAATTCTTTTACATCTGAGTTTTTTTTCTTGTATAGTGGCAAGATAATTTTTACACAGATACATAGTTGCAAATGGTAACAACTTTAACATGAATTACCTAGAAACTCAGGATACTCTTCCATGGAAAGAGATGGCAGAGAAAGTTTTGTCCTCAGTTCTATACAGAAACGAAATTCCAGTTTGGGTGACTAGGAGGATAATGGTATTGGCAACTAAAACGATTCCTCTCTAAAGAGAGAGAAAATTCCAAGAGAAAAAACATGAATTCGATTTTGGGTATTTTGTGTTTAAGGTGCTTTATTTAGAAATATAGGAAGCTTCCTTATAACCATGGAAATAATTGGTTCACTAAAAACCAAAGATGAAATATTGTTCTTTTAGGATTGTATAACCTCATGTAATCTTTTCCTCTGACCTCCAGCTGTGGCCTACTTTTGATGAAATTTTAATGGTTCATTCCAGAACCTCATCACTCTTGGAAATTCATGCAGCCACTTAGCCTGAAATTCCGAATTCTGCTGTTTCATCATTTCAGATTTCTTGACTCGGCTACAGAGGCATCCAGGACAATGTCATTTTGTGTTTAGCAAAACTGAAATAACTCACAGACTCTTGTGTTCTTTTTGATTACTACACATATCTAAGCTAGGTCATGCTAGCATTCTTCTCTCTCAGTCAAGCTGAATTAAAATGTATTTTAATGAATGGCATGTTATAGAGCAAAATGTTCATGTTGTTTCCCTAGCAGTATAGCACCATGATCATTCATTTATTCATTTACTTAATTATTCATCCGGTAGAAACATGCTATATCCTTCCTTGATGAGGGTAAGTGACTATTAGTTTGCTAGGGCTGCTGTAATAAAGTATCACAGACTGGGTGTCTTTTTTTTTTTTTTTGAGACAGAGTTTTGCTCTTGCCCAGGCTGGAGTGCAATGGCACAATCTTGGCTCACCGCAACCTGCACCTCCCAGGTTCAAGCGATTCTCCTGCCTCAGCCTTCCCAAGTAGCTGGGATTACAGGCATGCGCCACCAAGTCCGGCTAATTTTGTATTTTTAGTAGAGATGGGGTTTCTCCATGTGGGTCAGGCTGGTCTCAAACTCCTGACCTCAGGTGATCCGCCTACCTCGGCCTCCCAAAGTGCTGGGATTAGAGGCGTGAGCCACCGCGCCCGGCAAGACTGGGTGTCTTAAATAACAGAAATGTATTCCTCGCAGTTCTGGAGGCTGAAGGTCCAAGATTGAAGTCCCGGCAGGTTGGTTTCTTCTGAGGCCTCTTTCCTTGGCTCGCTTGCTGCCTCTTCACATGGTCTTTTCTCTATGCAGGCATACTGGGGTCTCTCAGTGTGTGCAAATTTCCTTTTCTTATAAGGACACCAGTCAGACTGAATTAGGGCCCACCTTAATGGCCTCATTTTAACTTAATTACCTCTTTCATGACCTTACCTCCAATGACAGTCACATTTTAAGGTACTTGGAGTTAGGGCTTCAACATATGAATTTGGGGCGGGGGATGGGGGATGGGGGAAAGGAGGCACAATTTAGCTCATAACAACGGTTAAATATTTTGCTTTGGTTCTTACAAAAAAGGCAATTCTAACCTCAGTAGATTTAAGCTTTCTTCATAGCATCATGACGTCTTCCATTTTCATTTTTATTTCCCTCCCTCCCTCCCTTCCTCCCTCCCTTCCTTCCTTCCTTCCTTCCTTCCTCCCTTCCTTCCTTCTTCTATGGGATCTCGCTCTGTAACCCAGGCTGGAGCGAGGTAGTACAATTGTAGCTCACTGCAGCCTCGAACTTCCGAGCTCAAGCAATCTTCTGCCTCAGCCTCCCGTGTAGCTGGGACTACAGGCCTGTGCCACCATGCCCAGCTAATATTCTTTCTTTCTTTCTTTCTTTCTTTCTTTCTTTCTTTCTTTCTTTCTTTCTTTCTTTCTTTCTTTCTTTTCTTTCTTTCTTTCTTTTTCTTTCTTTCTTCTTTCTTTCTTTCTTTCTTCTTTCTTTCCTTCTTCTTTCTTTCCTTCCTTCCTTCCTTCCTTCCTTCCTTCCTTCCTTCCTTCCTTCCTTCCTTCCTTCTTTCTTTCTTTCTTTCGTTCTTTCTTTCTTTCTTTTCTTTCTTCTTCTTTCTTTTTTGTGGAGACGGGGGTCTTGCCATCTTACCCAGGCTGGTCAAAAACTCCTGGGCTCAAGCGATACTCCTGCCTTGACCCCAAAGCACTGGGATTATCGGTGTAGGCCACCTGCAGCTGGCCTCATTTGCATGTTGATGGAACTCAGAATTAACCTTTCCCTCCCCTGTTGGATAAAGGAAGGTAAATCTTTTCAGTGAGGAGTCATCAATAATGCAATATTTTTCAGCCTTTTTACTACCCCAACACATAGGAGGCAAGTCACGCACCCACAATAAATGAAGGGCTCACTTAAGAGCCTGAGCTGTGGATTCCCACAGATTTGAATGCAAACCTTCCCTTTACACCTTACTCCAAAGCTGTGTAACTTTGTCCAATATCTTATCCTCTGCAAAAATACAGTCCACGCTACTTTATTTTATTTTTAAAATTTTTTGAGTAAATATAAGTGTACATATTTATGGGGTTCATGAGATGTTTTGATACAGGCATGCAGTGTGTAATAATCACATCATGGAATACGGGGCCTCCATTCCCTCCAGCATTTATCCTTTGTGTTACAAACAGACTAATTATACTCTTTTAGTGATTTTTTAAGTGTACAATTAAATTATTATTTACTATATTCACCCTGCTGTGCTATCAAACACTGGATCTTATTCATTCTTTCTAACTATGTTAAAAGTATGGAACACATCACAAATTTGTGTGTCATCCTTGCACAGGAGCCACGCTAATCTCTGCACTGTTCCAATTTCCATATATGTGTGCCATGCTACATTAGTAGAGAGATCCCTACAATACTGTGGCTTAAGAAGAGAGATGTTAAAATTAGCTGGGCGTGGTGGCAGGCGCCTGTAATCCCAGCTGCTTAGGAGGCTGAGGGCAGAGAAATTGCTTGAACCGGGAGGCGGAGGTTGCAGTGAGCCAAGATCCTGCCACTGCACTCCAGCCTGGGTGACAGAACGAGACTCCGTCTCCCAAAAAAAAAAAAAAAAAAAAAAAAAGGAAGAGAGACATTTGTTTTTCTCTCCTGAAATAGTCCTCAGTGAAGCAGAACAGGGTAGGGTAGGATGGACAGCTCAGCCCATCCTCAAAATATGGCTTCTATCTCTGGATCTGTGAGGGCTGTTCTAGCTCCTGCCATTACATCTACATCCCAGACAGCAGGAATGGTCAAAGGAACAAGAAAATACACCCTTATTTCTTTTAAAGGCAAAGCTTGTTAAATAAAAGCACTTATATCCTATTGGCAAAAAGTTACATGGTCTTATCTGGTTGCAAAGATGCTGGGATAATATAATCTATAACTCAATGGTCCTGGGCACAGCTAAAACCTGGGGGTTTCAATATTTTTAAATTTTATTTTATTTTATTTTGAGATGGAGTTTCACTCTGTTGCCCAGCCTGGAGTGCAGTGGCGCAATCTCCGCTCACTGCAACCTCCACCTCCTGGGTTAAAGCGATTCTCCTGCCTCGGCCTCCTGAGTAGCTGGGATTACAGGAGCCCACCACCACACCCAGCTAATTTTTGTATTTTTAGTAGAGACGGGGTTTCACCATGTTGGCCAGACTGGTCTCGAACTCCTGACCTCAGGTGATCTGCCTGCCTTGGCCTCCCAAAGTGCTAGGATTACAAGAGCGAGCCACCACGCCTGGCTGGGGGTTTCATTATTAAAGAAGGAGGAGACTGACTAATATTGTTGTATGTCTTAGCTTGGGTTCTTGCAAAGTAGAGTCTAAGGCAAGGGACTTGGATGCAGGTAGTCTATCTGCATTTACCTATTGACTGATGATATTGATCCCAGGAAGCAGAAGTGAGGTGTGAGAAGAGAGAGACAAGGAAGTGAGAAAGCCTATAAAGTGTGTGCTACTCAGTTGGAAACCATTATGGAAAAATAAGGCCCACTTACACTCGGGATCAGCTGTGGAACTTCATAGACTGTGCTTCAGCATTGTTCCACTGAAGGACAAGGAGGCTGGGGCATTAATCTGCTGACTTCCATCCACTGTTACTTACTAACTCTCCTGCACTTCCAGGCTGTGGCCTGCTTGGGTGTCCCCAAGGGACACCACAGCACCCACTGAAGGTGGGGCACTTGCAGCATGCATGCCGCTGTTCACATTAGTGCCACTAATGTCAGGTGGGCCCAAGGGATGGGGCACAGGGCATCTTAGGCAGGTGCTTCTGGGTAGAACTAACCCTTTCATTTTCCATCCACACCCTGCAGTGAGCATAATGGAGCGTGTGTCCCAGAGTTGGGTGGGGACTGGGAGAATGTTTTTAAAGCACCTGAAGCAGATACTGGCATGTAGTACGTGCCCAGTAATGTTAGTTCTCTTTCCTTCCACTTCCCCTTTGTCACCTTAACACACCACCTTAACATCTTAACAATTAAATTTATCCTATTAACATAAAACATCCTCATTAAGTTCTTCAGCCTTTCTACAGATTTAATAACTTAAGCTTTCATACTAGGGGAAAATATCTGCACATCATAGTTTTTAATTTTTTTTTTTTTGAGACGGAGTCTCCCTCTGTCGCCCAGGCTGGAGGCAGCGGCGTGATCTCTGCTCACTGCAACCACCACCTCTCAGATTCAAGTGATTCTCCTGCCTCAGCCTCCCGAGTGGCTGGGACTACAGGCACGTGCCACCACGCCCAGCTAATTTTTTATATTTTTATTAGAGACAGGGTATTCACCATGTTAGCCAGGATGGTCTTGTTTCTTGACCTCGTGATCTGCCCACCTTGGCCTCCCAAAGTGCTGGGATTACAGGCGTGAGCCACCACGGCCCAGCCAATTTTTAAATTTAATATGAAATATTTATTTCAGATTTTGTGGCCAACTAATGGCTGCACTAGACAGATGCAAAGGTAAAGTGTGTAATAGGATTACCTGAATGAAAGTCTGTATCCATAATGAGAAGACAATCTTATATGCTCTTTAATGCCTCTATTATACCCATAACTGAGAAATTTAACAATTAAAAACAATGTGCCAGGGCTTCACGAAGTCTCTGTAGGTGCATAGGCGCCGGCATAAGAGGTGGCTGCCAAGTCACATTCATTCATAAATTCTCCAAGCGTGCCTATATGAGAACAACACTGTTCTAGAGGTTGTGATTAAGATACGGTCCCTGCAAATGTCAATTTGATAGTCTGTAGGAATGGGGGAATGATTAACCACAGGAGGATAACTACAGGTGCTATAAGTCCTTATGTCACTGAAAGGTTTGGATAGAAGTGGACAGTTGGGCTCAGGTGGAGAATGAAAGAAAGAATTGAGTGATATGTAATGATTGTGTTTATCAGCTAAACAAAATGTTCACAGAGTCTTCAAGTATCTTCTTACAGGTGAATTATTTTAAATTTTATTTTAAAGCGTCATCATACATACAGCCAAGCATGGTGGCTCACACCTGTAATCCCAGCACTTTGGGAGGTTGAGGTGGGCAGATTACTTGAGTCCAGGAGTTCAAGACCAGCTTGGGCAATATGGTGAAACCATGTCTCTACAAAAAAATACAGAAATTATCCAGGCATGGTGGTACGGGCCCGTGATCTCAGCTACTCAGGAGGCTGAGGTCGGGGGTATTGCTTGAGCCAGGGAGGCAGAGGTTGCAATGAACTATGATCATGCCACCACACTTCACTGCACTCCACTGCACTCCACTGCACTCCACTGCACTCCAGCTGGGGCAACAGAGTGATATTCCGTCTTAAAAAAAGAAAAAGAAAAAGAAAAAGAAAAATCATCAAACTGTAAAATTAACTTATCAGCCAGGTGCGGTGGTTTACACCTGTAATCCCAGCACTTTGGGAGGCTGAGGCAGGCAGATCGCCTGAGGTCAGGAGTTCAGAACAGCCTGGCCAACATGGCGAAACCCTGTCTGTACTAGAAATACAAAAATTAGCCAGGTATCGTGGGCCTGTGGTCCCAGCTACTCAGGAGGCTTAGGTTGGGGGTGGATTGCTTGAGCCAGGGAGGCAGAGGTTGCAGTAAACTGTGATCGCACCAATACGCTTCGTTGCGCTCCACTGCACTCCACTGCACTCCACTGCACTCCGGCCTGGGCAACAGAGTGAGAATCTGTCTCAGGAAAAAAAAAGAAAAAAAAAGAAAAATCACTGAACTATAAAATTGACTTATTTTTTGGTGTATCATTTTATGAATTTTTTTTCCACACCTGGGATTACAGGCATGAGTCACTACACCTGGCCTTGTTTTATGAATTTTAACACAAGTATAGATTTATGTAACCACCACCACATTCAGCGTACAGGACAGTTCTATTACCTTACGACTCTTTCATGCTATGTCTTTACAGTCATACCTCCTCTAACTCCTGGCAACCACTGATCTCTTCTCTGTCACTATAGTTTTGTCTTTACAAGAAGAATGTCACATAAATGGAATCATACAGTATATCTTTTGAGGCTGGCTTAATTTTTTTGAGATGGAGTCTTGCTCTGTCTCCGGGCTGGAGGCTGGAGTGCAGTGGCTTGATCTCGGCTCACAGCAACGTCCGTCTCCCGAGTTCAAGCGATTCTCCTGCCTCAGCCTCCCATGTGTCTGAGATTATAGGCGCCCGCCACCACACCCAGCTAATTTTTTAATTTTAGTAGAGAACAGGTTTCACCATGTTAACCAGGCTGATCTTGAACTCCTGACCTCAGGTGATCCACCTGCCTCAGCCTCCCAAAGTGCTGGGATTACAGGCATGAGCCACTATGCCTGGCCAGTTTGTTCTTTTTTATTGTTCAGTGTATTCCAGTGTATGAAGGCATTGCTTTGTTTATTCATTCATCCACTGAAAGACGTTTGAATTTATTTCAGTTTCTGGCAATTATGAACAGAGCTGCTATAAAAGCAGACTACTAATTAGTCACAAAGGAAGAAAGAGATACTTTCACTGTGAAGAAGTGATTAAGCTTAACATCAGTAATAATGTGACAAACGGACGTCAGGGGAGCCTCCAGATGCGATGCACTGAGAAGGGCACATTATTCCTGTACTCTTCCTTCCAAAATGCATGGTCTGTATTTCAGCATAAGGAAATAATCAGACAAACCCAAGGCGAGAGCTGTTCTACAAAACTACTGACCACTACCCTCCAAATATGACAATGCCGCGAAAGACAGAAAGAGCAGTGAAGTGTTTCAGAGTGAAAAAGGCTAAAGACATGGCAACCGAATGCAATGTGTGACTCTAGATGGCAAAAACTTGGCTAGAAAGAATATTATTGAGAAAACAATATCAGAAAAGTAGTGTTGTATCAATGTTAAAACTTCCTGATTTTGATCACTGTATTGTGGTTATGTAAGAATATTCAAGAGAATGTCTTTGTTTTTAGATTCTTGCTGGGGTAAACAAGGATATCTGTTATTTATTTATTTATTTATTTATTTATTTATTGAGATGGAGTCTCACTCTGTCACCCAGGCTGAAGTGTAATAGTGTGATCTTGGCTCGCTGCAACCTCCGCCTCCTGGGTTCAAGCAATTCTCTCCTGCCTCAGCCTCCCAAGGAGCTGGGATTACAGGCACCCACCACCACGCCTGGCTAATTTTTGTATTTTTAGTGGAGATGAGATTTCACCAGGTTGGCCAGGCTGGTCTCGAACTCTTGACCTCAAGTAATCCACCTGCCTCAGCCTCCCAAAGTGCTGGGTTTACAGGCTTGAGCCACCATGCCTGACTAGATACCTGTAATTTATTTTCAAATGATTCAGAAAGGGAGAGAGAGGGGAAGAGAGATTGAGAACTTTGAAAAAATTAACAACTAACAAATTTCATATAGGTGTATAAATTAATTCTTGTAACTTTCTGTAGGCTTATGACTTTTCAAAACAAAAAGTTGAGGAAAAAGCAATTTTATAAAAAGAAGAGTCAGCCAGGCATGGTGGCCCACATCTGTAATCCTAACACTTTGAGAGGCTGAGGTGGGAGGATCACCTGAGCCCAGGAGTTCGAGATCAGCTGTTCCACAGTATGCTCACAAGGAAACCCCTACAAAACCTTTAACTCCTTAGATGATGTTTGGTTGGACTTTGTTGGGAAAAAAGTCATATATAGAGGCTAGTTTCAAATTTATCTTTTCATATTTTATGCTTCCTCTTATTATTTCTCCCAGCATCTATGTGTGATGATGTGTGGAAGAGGAGATGGACAAGACTAAAGGAAATTATCCAGGTCCCCACTGACAGTGCTAAGTGACACGTGGGCCATGGCAGAATGTGGAGAAACAGCTGGGAACAGAGAACTCCACAACAAACCTGCAATGGGTCTTTTCCTAAATATATTAGTGATAGGTGGCCCTAAAAGTGGAGAGAAACACTGGCTCAGGTAAGTCAAATTAAAAAAAAAAAACTGGTTTGGTGGTTTGGTACCTCTCAGAGGTAAGGAAATGATAGTATAGAAACTTGGTAAGTTTAAACCAGATATAATGGGCAGGTGTATAGGTTCTGAACTTCTAAAATTGAATGCTTCTGTAATGTTTGGGGAAGCTTGGAGAGCCTATAGGCAGAGGATCAGTTTTGAGGTGATTGCTGTGATCTAGGTATGAAATGGTGAAAGCTGGCCTTGGGTGATGTATCAGTCTGTTCTTGCATTGGTATAAAGGAATATCTGATGGCCGGGCGTGGTGGCTCACACCTGTAATCCCAGCACTTTGGGAGGCTGAGGTGGGCGGATCACCCCAAATCAGAAGTTCGAGACCAGCCTGGCCAAAAAGGTGAAACCACGTCTCTATTAAAAATACAAAAATTAGCCGGGTGTGGTGGCACATGCCTGTAATCCCAGGTACACGGGAGACTGAAGCAGGAGAATTGCTTGCACCCGGGAGACAGAGGTTGCAGTGAGCCGAGATCGCGCCACTGCACTCCAGCCTGGGTGACAGAGCAAGATCTGTCTCAAAAAACAAAAACAAAAACAAAAACAAACAAACAACAAAAAAGAAATATCTGAGACTGGGAAATTTGTAAAGAAAAGAGGTTTAATTGGTTCACGGTTCTGCAGGCTGTACAGGAAACACGATGGGGGCATCTGCTCAGCTTCTGGGGAGGCCTCAGGAAGCTTACAATCAGGGCAGAAGGTGAAAGGGAAGCAGGCACATCACATGGCCAGAGCAGGAGCAAGAAAGTGAGTGGGGGTGGGGGGAGGGGAGCGGCGCTACACACTTTTAAACAACCAGATCGCAGGAGAAGTCTCTCATGATCACGAGAACAGCGCCAAGGGGATGGTGCGACACCATTTATGAGAAATCCACCCCCGTAATCTAATCGCCTCTCACCAGGCTCCACCTCCAACATCAGAGATTAAAATTTGACATGAGATTTGGGCAAAGACTCAGATCCAAACCATAACAAGTGGGGTTAGTATGGAGGAAGCAAGAGGGAAGGCGTCAAAGAGATAAGAAAGCCATGGGAGAGAAAGGAAAGCAAGGCGCCCAAGAAGGTAAAAGAAGAAAGTAGAATGAGTAGGGGGTAGAAAAGAAATGAAGATGGGTGTGAAGGATAGTGGACAACATTTGTCTCCACAACACTCACTTGAAAATGTGAAAAATTAAAAGGTAAAATATTCAAGTGATGGGATAAAAGTGTTAAGGTGAGGAAAATAACATAAAATTCTTGTGATATAAAATTTTAATCAGAAAATATCCTTGGATTAGCACAGGAAATAAGGTGAATACGGTGACAAGTCAGGTTGTCACAAAGTGTTGTCAAGATAGAATGTCAGGAAGGTACCGAAGTCAAATTTTGACTTTTTGCACAAGGTAGGCCTTAGAATTGGATTGTTATCCTTTCAACTTCTTCTTTAGAGTCTCCTTACTTGAACAACACTCTTTACTTCGGAGTAAGTGTAGGATTTAAATACAGAAATTTATACATAGCGTTTTAATCTAACTTAGCCAAATCTAATTTTTTCCTGAAAATACAATGGGCAGAATATATTTATGCTTGTATTTGGTTTTAAAAGCGCCAAAAGAGAAAGACTATCATTATTAAAAGAAAAAAATAAGTCTCTTTTTTCTTACTAAAGAAATGAACGTCTTAATTAATTTTAAAATTCTGTAACAACACATTTTAGGTTTAAGCCACAAATGACAAATTGCTTCTCTATACTACTTAAAAAAAACCTTAAAAAATACTTTCAAAGTTACAGATGAGCTGCAAGAAATGTACACATATCTTTTAAATATGTATCCTTTATCCAGATTCATAAATTAACAATTTGACACATTTGCCTTACTACTCTTTCTACTTATAATGCATATTATTGTTAATTTTTCCCTGAACCATGTAAGAGTTAATTGCAGATATCATTTTCCTTTATTTCTAAATACTTCAATGTGAATTTCATAATAAAAGGGACACTTCCTTACATAACCACAGTCCAATAATCCTATTAAGAAGTTTAATATTATTACCTAATATACTGTCAATATTCAAATTTGGCAATTGTCCAATATGTCCTTTTAGTATCTCTTCCTCCCCACGATATCCAGTCCAGGGTCACACATTGCATTTACCTGTCATGTCTTTTTTAGTTTCTGTATTAGTTATCTGTTACTGCATAAAAATTACTCAAGTCTGGGCATGGTGGCTCACGCCTGTAATCCTAGCAATTTGGGAGGCTGAGGAGGGCAGACCACTTGAGGTGTGGAGTTCAAGACCAGCCTGGCCAACATGATGAAACCCTGTCTCTAGTAAAAAAAAAAAAAAAAAAGAAGAAAGAAATACAAAAATTAGCTGGGCATGGTAGTGCATGCCTATAAGCCCAGCTACTCAGGAGGCTGAGGCAGGAGAATCGCTTGAACCCAGGAGATGGAGGTTGCAGTGAGCTGAGATCGTGCCACTGCACTCCAGCCTGGGCAATAGAGCAAGACTCCATCTCAAAAAAAAAAAAAAGACTCCAAAACTCAAGTTTAAAATAACTCACAGTTTCCCCTGGATAGAAATCCAGCTGCAGCTTACCTGGATGCCTCTACCTAAGGATCTTGCAGTCAAGGAGATCCAGCAGGAGTCACTATGATCCAAGAGCCTGACTGAGGAAGGATCCACTTCCCAGATCGTTCATGTGATTTTGGGCAGCATTCACTTGCTCATGGGTTGTTGGACTGAGGGCCTCAGTTTTTTACTGGCTGTTGGCTGGAGGCCTCCCTCACTTCCTTACCATATGGACCTCTCCATATGGACCAACTCTTGTTGTGAGCTGCAGGCTCATGGCAGCTGGGTTTCATCAAAGCAAGCGAGAGTAAGAGACTCAGCAAGACAGAATTTAAAAGCCAAATAAAGAAGTAGGTTTTTAAAATTTATAGCTTTAATAGATTGAATTAATTTTAGTAAGTAACTATTGAAATCATTTTTCTATGTACAAAATTCACTCCTAGGCTCAGCATGGTGGCTCATGCCTATAATCCCAGCACTTTGGGAGGGCAAGGCAGGAGGATCGCTTGAGCCCAGGAGTTCAAAACCACCCTGGGCAGCATAGTGAGACCTCACCTCTACCAAAAAAAAAAAATCAGTTGAGCATGGTGGTGCTTGCCTGTGGTCCCAGCTACTCAAGAGGCTGAGGTAGGAGTATCATCTGAGCCTGGAAGGTCAAGGCTGCAGTGAGCTGTGATCATACCACTGCACTCCAGCCTGGGTAACAGAGTGAGACCCTGTCACAAAAAAAAAACAACAAACAACAAACAAACAAATAAAATTCACTTTTGAGGACACCAAAAATCTCAGACCAACACAGACTAAGAGTTTTAGCAGGCTAGATGCCAAGTACATACACTCTTTCTATGGAAGAGAAAACTGGGTTTAATGACTCGTGTAAGATTTTAGAGCTCTTCTGTCATTATCTGCATTCTCCTTAGAAACTCATCCTTAAACATGACACTGTTTTTAGAAATATCAATAAGCAAATTTCTTGTCTCCAAAGTTGGACATTTTCTGCCGCATGCTTATATTTTCTCCACAGAAGAATTATTCAAACTCTCCCTACTGGATATATAGACATCCTTGTGCTTGCCAGCAGTGATACCATGCACTTCTGCTAGGTAATGGGTGCATGAGTCCCTTTACATTTTTCTTTTTTTTTTTGAAACAGAGTCTCACTCTGTTTCCCAGGTTGGAGTGCAGTGGCATGATCTCAGCTCACTGCAAACTCTGCCTTCCAGGTTCTAGTGATTCTCCTGCCTGGCATGCGCCACCATGCCCAGCTAATTTTTGTATTTTTAGTAGAGACGGGATTTCGTCGTGTTGGCCAGACTGGTCTGGAACTCCTGACCTCAGGTGATCCGCCCACCTCAGCCTCCCAAAGGGTTGGGATTACAGGTGTGAGCCACCACGCCCGGCCCATGAGTCCCTTTTCTAGAAGGCTGGGAGGTTCCCTGACTCTGTCTTTGTTCTTTGGGGACTTTCTGCATTTGCCTGTATTCTCCTCTATATTTTCGTCTCCTGGTCTCTCCCAGCTGTGTTGTTTGCTTTTGGAAATTCTAGTCATCCACTTGCCACCTATCATATGAGTGGGAAGCTATAATAATAATATAATAATAGCTTTCTATTATTCCTTGTCTTTACTCAGAAGTTATTCTTTGAGAGAGGACAGTGGAGGCTTCTCTTGAACAATGCAGGACTGTGAAGAATAAAACATTAATTTAAAAAATCAATAGACATTGTGCTGGTTCAGAGTTTCCCAAACTCTTTTGGTTTATGGTGCCATTTGTGTTTTAATTTTTTTCACAACATTCCTGGGCCAAAAAACAAAAACAAAAACACTCCCCCTTCACTCCTTGCCAAAACAACCCTAGCAGTTACGTGTATTAAGTTAGTAGGTTCAAACACCTTTAAATATTTATGTTTTAACAACCAAGTAGCTATTTGGAAAGCAAACATATAAATATAAAGAACAAGTAATACTTAGTTTCATTCTTGAATGAACACAGTTACTAATGGGACGTGTGTGCCTGTGGGGCACTGCCAACCGGACAAGTTTGGAATCAGAATGAACATGTCACTCTCATTTCCTATTCCACATTGCTTTTTCATATGGCACTTTCTAAAAACTTGTAGTGACTGCTGAACACCCAGCCTTGCAAAGAAAGGGCTGGCTTTGAAGGGAATGTAGGCTGATCTAATGAAACTGCGAACCACCTCGAGGTAGAGACTGAGTGGTGTCTGGTAGATGCCACTGTGCTGTCCTCAAAAATTTATTTTTTTAAATTTTATTTTATTATTACTTTTTTGAGATAGGGTCTCACTCTGTTGCCCAGGCTGGAATGCAGTGGTGCAGTTTCAGCTCACTGCAACCTCCACCTACCCAGGTTCAAGCGATTCTTCTGCCTCAGGCTCCTGAGCAGCTGGGATTACAGGCCGTGCCACCACACCCAGCTAATTTTTGTATTTTTAGTAGCGATGGGGTTTCACCGTGTTGGCCAAGCTGGTCTCGATCTCTTGACCTCAAGTGATGTGCCTGCTTCGACCTCCCAAAGTGCTGGGATTACAGGCTTGAGCCACCGCACCCAGCCTGTCCTTGAAAATTTAAAATATGCTGCTGGGTCTTCTGAGTTCTCTGTGGCACCTGGTGGGGGTCGGGGTACCTCAGAGCACGGCTTGGAAACTGCCGTGCTAGATGAAGGAAAGTGAAAAGACATATTTCCTGTAAGGGCCCTAGCTATAGTGCAACACACAGATGAGTTGTCTACTGGCTATGCCATAAGGCAGATGACAGCAGTCAAAACATAATAGACTTCCCCTACCGTTTGTCTGTTATCTGAATTCCTTTCTTACATTTGGAATATCTATACTATTGGTCTTGCTGGGAGGCAGAGTTCATCTTCCACTGTAAAATCTGAATAGACTTGAAACTTACCTCTCAACCTCCCCTGAAGCTGGGGCCTGAACCCATGACTTAGGTGTGACAATCAGACCCATGAGTCTCAGACCTGGAGACAGAAACCAAGGGTCAAAAGCAGTGGGGACATCTTTCTGGCTGTGGGGTGTTGGGCTGCATGCTGGCAACCAAGACAGTGGTAGGGCCAGGGTCAATGCTGGCAGTATGGATGGTCTCCACAGTGGCTCTGTGATGCAGTGGTATCCTCACTGGATTTGTTCTGTGGCTTGGTTTTGGCTGTGGTTTTGGTGGCGTAGCCTCCTCTTTTTAATGCCTATTCTGAATGTAGTTCTCTAGTCTTCCTGAAGATGTGGACAACCAAGTGTACCTCCAATAAATTCCTTTTTCTGTTTAATTTGACCTAACTTCTTTCAAAGATGGGGAAATAATAAGAAATATTCCTGGAAGATCTCCAATAACAGAAGAGAGGCAAGATTATAGATGTAATATTACACTGACTTTACTAGATGAAACAAGGAACTTGGCGAGTTTTGAGATGTGCCTCTGAAAGCTCCAGATAGCAAATAATAATCAGTGGGGAACCAGCCTCAAAGGCTGAAAAAGCTATATACAAGGAGGGTTTAGATAATATGGACAGACTTGAGACAGGAGAAGGCTTGGAAATTTAGCACAGAATCCATTAGCCCCTATTACGTGATTCTCAAAATGATACATTTGTGGTAAGTAGGAAAGTTTCTAAAGTATTTGTTATTAGGGATAATGCTTAGAAAGTTTGCAGACCCCCGGAAAAGGTAGGATAATACGCACTAAAGAGGAGCTAGCCAGGACAAAAATAAATAGAAATCAGGTTTGAGATGAACGGTAGGCTGATGAGAGGATTAAACGTAGGTGGAATTATCCAAATAGAGGAAATAAGAATGGACAAAGGTTGTTCGGAGCACAGATGCTTTTGGCAGACATTTGTTTCTCATTGGCAGATGCTCCATAAGGCCAAATATAGAAGAATGTGCTAGGAAATGAAATAACTGGATCAGAAAGCAAAAGGAAAAGAATGTAGTTTACCTGCACCAACTTAGACATGTGAAATATTTGAAACTCAGGTGCACCTGCCCGAAAAGAGGAGAAGGACAATATCAGGAAATGAAATCCTAGAAGCATACCCATGGCTGAAGAGAACATTCTGGCAGAAAGAATTGTTCTGCTGTTTTGAAGTAACACAAATCCCTCAAGATGAAGAACTAGATTTGGAGGTGGACCAGCAGAAGGTATCTGTCTTCTCTTGCTTCAGTAGACTAGAAGAGGACGTACATTTTTAGCCTACACACTCTTTGTGAAATAAACTGCATCCCCAATTTTGAAATTGACAGATTGTTTGGCTTCAATGACATGACACAACTTCAGGTGTGACTCATTTCCTCCCTTGATAAGTGAAATTATGATGTCACGTACACATGCCATTGTTAGGTACACATAGGCTTGTGGGACTTCCATGCTCTTAGGAAATATATGCGGTGGGAGTATTTGGCCCAAAAGCCTCTCAGCTATTAGGCAACATTATAATTTATATTACCTATTCAAAAATAATCACTGGTTCTAGCAGTGTTCAGAAAAACACATGAATATTCTTAATATGAAATTTCATTTTTAGTTCTCAAAGCTTGGTTTAAAAACAATTACCTAAGCTGTTTTAATTATGCTTTAGGGTTCTATCCTATCCACCCATCTTGTTAACCTGCAGGCTGAACATAACCTCTCCTGTGTATTTTTTTTTAATCAAATTCTTGTACATCAACTCTTCCTATCACGGGAAGAAGGGAGGTTCATTCAGATATGAAAATGCTTACCTCGTTACAACACTAGGAGAATAAAATGTTTTTATGCTGTTGAAATTATTTGTTTTGGCTGGGCGTGGTGGCTCACGCCTGTAATCCCAGCACTTTGGGAGGCCAAGGCGGGTGGATCACAAGGTCACGAGTTCGAGACCAGCCTGGCCAATATGGTGAAACCCCATCTCTACTAAAAATACAAAAATTAGCAAGGTATGGTGGCACATGCTTGTAGTCCCAGCTGCTTGGGAGGCTGAGGCAGGAGAATCGCTTGCACTGGGAGGCGGAGGTTGCAGTGAGCCGAGATTGCGCCACTGCACTCCAGCCTGGGTAACAGAGCAAGAGTCCGTCTCAAAAAAAAAAAAAAAAAAAAAAAAGCAAACAAAAAAATCACAAAGAAATTATTTGTTTTGAGTTTGGGTCAAGATTTAATTATTGGATTCATTTTCCTTCTATAATGGTCAGTGACAGAGAAGGAACCAGAAGGTTGGGAAAAAGCCCCTGGAGATTAGAGGAAGTGAGCCAATAGCAGATGTGTACTGATGCCATGGGTCTGCCAGTGCACTTGGGTCTTCTTCTGCATACTTGGCACAAAAATTTAAAAGAATCGTCATTATTGTTTTAACAAGTGGATGTGAATGGAGCCCTTCACATCCAATAATCTGCAGTTCCAATATTATATCCTACGATTTCATCCCACATATTCCATGCAACCACCCTACGGAGTTCCTCATGGTTACCTTTCTACATCAAGACCTTTTGTGACTTTGTTGTTTGCTCCTGCTCTTGTTTCTTTATCAATATCCTTCTTCTTCTTTCTAGTTTGTATGGAGTTATTTGTTATATCATATGTCCACCAAGCCCGGCTAACTTTCGTATTTTTAGTAGAGACAGGGTTTCACCATGCTGACCAGGCTGGTGTCGAACTCCTGATCTCAGGTGATCCACCTGCCTCAGCCTCCCAAAAGTGCGGAATTACAGGCATGAGCCAGCGCTCTCGGCCTATTTTATGATTTCTGATGCCATCTTTTAACTTCACCACATGCTGGGATTCAGAGCTGCCAGATCTATCACCCAGACATTTTTGTTCCTGCCACATTGCAGGAAAATTATGATGAAATAATCACTGATTCTAGCAGTGATTCAGTAAAAATTGAATTGAGGCCGGGCGTGGTGGCCCACACTTGTAATCTCAGCACTTTGAGAGACTGAGGTGGGAAGATCGCTTGAGCTCAAGCGTTGAGACCAGCCTGGGCAATGTGGTGAAACCTCATCTCTACAAAAAATACAAAAAAATTAGCTGGGTGTGGTGGTGCCAGCGTGTGGTGCCAGCGTGTATTCCCAGCTATATGGGAGGCTGAGGTGGGAGGATTGCTGGAACCCAGGAGGCAGAGGTTGTAGTGAGCTGAGATTGTGCCACTGCACTCCAGCCTGGGTGACAGAGTGAGACCCTGTGTCAAAAAAAAAAAAAAAAAAAAAAAGAACTGAATCCTCTATGTTAGTGTATGTATGGTCAAACTCACTGTCTAGAATGTTTTAAGAAAGACTGTGTATGTTTGTCTTGATTTTCACTTTTACAGCAATGTGTTGTGAAACAAAAAAGTCACTAAAATTCAATGAATGTTTTGTTTCATCTATAAAAAGCAGCATTTTTCTTTTTTCTACCCCAGCTCCTAGACAGATTAACACAAAAAGTTGCATTTTTCTGGATGACTTTGAGATGCCCTTTGATTTTTACATCCTTAGTTTGTAATCCAGGCCTTTCAGTGTGACCTGAGGCAATTTACTCAACCTCTCTGTTAAATGAAGAAAGTATTTCCAAATTCGAGGTGGTTGTGAGGATTAAATGAGATTATATCTGAAATGGATTTAGATTGTTTCAGTCAATAAGTATTCATTGAGCACCTGCCTACGTGTCAGAAACTGTGCTAGATATTAAAGTTCAATAAGATACTATCTCCATCCTGGGGGAAGCTGCAATCTCGAAGCCTTGCCTGGCACATAATATGGACTCAAAAACTGTTACCTTCCTCCTTTCCCTTCCCAGTTCCTCACTACCAGGATTTGGAATGAAATGAGGAGAAAGCTTTACATTTTACATTTGTTTCTCACATGATATTCAGAAACGGAGATGAACCTTACTTCAAGATCTAAAGCTCAACTCATGCCATCCCTTAACAGAGACAGGGACAACATAATTTGGAAATAACAAGGCCAGACAAGAGCAATCCTAGATCACATGGGAGTTCTGTACTCTCAGAAGTATGTTGTGGGAGTAACTGGCCCGATGTTCTCTCAGCCTCTCTCAGCTGAGAACAGCATTTAAGATTTCCTTATCATCTAAAAAAATAAATAATTTATCTTTTGTTAGCAGAAGAATGAAGTAAACACAGTGACTAACTTTTCCTAATGCAGTAGTTTTATACAATAAAACAGTTTCTTAAGAAGGTTATACTGTTATTTTGGAAACAAGCCACCCAGTGGATTTGGCCTCCAGGAATACTGACCACACATTTTGAAAATTTATACCGGCCAATCAGTTTTGACACTTCCATCCTGCCCTACTGGTTTGCTTTACTTCATCTCATTTAGCACCGTGTCTGTATGTCAATCAGCTGCATATATCGTAAATTGTAGCCGCATGATACCAGATCTCCTGCTGTAAATGAGCAATGAAATGATTTACTCACAAAGATGTTCTTAACTACTTACATTTTTTTTTTTTTAAAGACAGAGTCTCGCTCTGTCACCAGGCTGGAGTGCAGTGGTGCAATCTCAGCTCACTGCAACCTCCCCCTCCTGGGTTCAAGTGATTCTCCTGCCTCAGCCTCCTGAGTAGGTGGGATTACAGGCACATGCCACCACCCCTGGCTAATTTTTGTATTTTTAGTAGAGACGGGCTTTCACCATGTTGGTCAGACTGGTCTCAAACTCCTGACCTCAAGTGATCTGCCCGTCTCAGCCTCCCAAAGTGCTGGGATTACAGGCGTGAGCCTCCGTGCCCAGCTAGAATTTTAAAAATAACCAAGTTCAAAAAGTCAGAAAATACTAGACTTTTATTTTAAAGTGCCAAATATCTGGCTGTTGCTGCTGTGGAGTTTGGCTAGGTGCGTTAATATAGTGAGTTATACTGATAATGAATAATAGACAATTAGCTATCAAAGTAGGAAGAAGTGATTTCACATAGCAAATTATAACTTTAAAAGTATTTTTTAAAGATAAATGATCTATATGTAAACAAACATAGATACCTTTTACTTTTCAGACACTAAAAATAAAACAGTGAATAAAGTTGCTTGAAGTTGCTCTCACTCTAATTAGGAGAGGCAAGTACAGAAACACATGATCACAGAACAGTGTGAGAAGTACTTCCATAGAGGCAGGTGGGAATTGCTACAGGAACACGGAGGAACAGAGGAGCTGCTGCTTGAGGTGTCTGGGAAAACTTCAGAGCACGGAATATTTCATTTCCTATAAGAAGAAAAGGGAATCACTGGTTAGAAAAGCAGGGGGAGGGAATTCTTAGTAGAGGAAAAAGGATCTTCACAAGCATAGAGATGTAAAGGAGCATTCAGGGATGCCAAGCACGTATTTGGGATGCAAAGTGGGCAATGAAGCTGCTATGCTTGGTTGTGTTTGGTTGTGTCTGTTTGCAACTAGTCCTTTGTGCAGCTCTAAGGAGTTGGGACATTGTTCTCTGTCTGGGAACCACCAGATGTTTTTAATCAGGACAGTGAAAGTCTTGTATTTGTACTGGCATTGGTTGGTCTGTGCACCTGTTCCTTGCCTGCTACAAGAGCCTGTAAGGACTTCTAGATGGCCTGCATATTATTCATGGTCTCCAGCTTCAGCAGGTAGGAGGTAGAGGCCTAATACTCAAGCAGCATGGCATTTAGGATGTGTAGCTGGAGGAGAATCTCTGGAATTTTAGTGCAAAGCATAGAAAGACGGTCCTGGTGTCTTGGCAAGAGATCCACAAGGTTGCTGCAGTTTTGCAAGATGGAATAAAATGTGCTTGTAACTCTTAGCTCCATTTGCAATTGTGAGAGTTCTGTTTCTATGCATTGTTAGAAATTGAGTAGTGTGTCCAGAGTCACCAATGCAAACTTGATTTTTCAATAGAAAGCCAAAACTTCGTTTATTCAGAGAATTGAAGTCATTACTTGTTACCCATTCTAGACCTGCCACATTAAAAAAGAAGCTGAGGAAACCTTGTAGTCACAAATGCATGTGAGTGGTGGAGGTTACGGTAGACTCCCCGACATCTGCTCCCACCTTCCCCTATTGAGAAGTTACGATGTAATATGAGGCTCAAGAGTTGGATGTGTCTTGTCTAAAGGAAGTGCTATTTTCTTGGCAGTGATTGGTTTAGAAGTTGGTATGTGACTCAATTCCAGTCAAAGAGATGCAAGGAGAAATTTCCTGTAGGTGTTTCAGAAAGTTCTCTCCTTTTGAAAGTGTTAGATGAGAAACCAGTTTCTCTATCTTTTGCTGAACGTAAACAAGGAGCACATAGCTCTGATTGCTACTGGAAGCCATCTGAAGACCTCAAGGTCAAGTTAGGTTGAAGCTCTGGGCTAAGCACTAATACAGAAGGAAACAAAGTTTGATGCCATGGTCGTCTTCCAATCATTCACCTTCAAAACCCATCAAACTTCTGGCCTTCCAGTTGTGACAGTTGTGATAATTAAAACATTTCTTTGATGTAAAATGGTTTAAATATTTTCTGACCCTCATTTCTACTCCATTGTGCTAGGCTACCCCCTTGTTGAAACCATACCACCCAGTTGTGCTGCTTTCTTTCTGCCATTGTCCCCTTGACTCTTCGTTCATGGTTTTATACTCATTTAGACAACTGACAACAGACACGTGTCTTCTCTACTCAAATCCTGCCATCATCCTGGGTGACTTCAACTTTCTTGGGATGCCATGCTTGGTAGCTTTACATTAGGTACAGTGAACGACCTTTACTTCTGTTCCTCCCCAGCACTCATTTCTGAAGTCACATACTCTAAAATCTGTGATTTTACTTCCGATCACAAAGCCCTATCTTGTCACTTCTCCTACCTGTACTATTTCCTTCCTTTCCATGTAACATGTTTTTCTTTTTCATCACATCCTCCCTGTTCTGGCTTCCTTCCTGGCTTCCCACTTGTTCAGTTTCTTCCTATTTTGCCTCCCTCCCTGAATACACCAAAAACCTATGTTTCAATTCCCCAATGGCCCCCTTATCAACACTCTCACTTCTCTCTACCCTTTGGCCTTCTGCTAATTCTGGATATTCTTAGCTTTTAAGTAATTGGACCATTATTTTCACAGCTAATAGTTTTGGGCATGGTGTTGCTGGAGGAGAAGCACATGATTAGACTGAATTAATTTGTTATTTTCAATCCACCTGGATTTATGAACCATTCTTTTTTCTTTCCTTTTTTTTTTTTTTTTTTTTTGAGACGGAGTCTTGCTCTGTTGCCTGTTGCCCAGGCTGGAGTGTAGTGGTGCGATCGCGGCTCACTGCAACCTTTGCCTCCTGTGTTCAAGAGATTCTTGTGCTTCAGCCTCCCAGGTAGCTGGGATTATACGTGCCCACCACAACGCCTGACTAATTTTTGTATTTTTAGTAGTGATGGGGTTTCACCATGTTGGCCAGGCTGGTCTTGAACTCCTGACCTCAAGTGATCCACCTGCCTTGGTCTCCCAAAGTGCTGAGATTACAAGCGTGAGCCACTGCACCAGACCATTGTTTTTTTTTTTGCTTTATTCATACTTTCCCCAGTAGTGACCATTGACAGCATTTATCTGATCTTCAAACCTCTATTCTTTCTCTCAGTCCCTCATTCTTAGCAGACAGACTGGCTTCTTGCTTCCCATAGAAAATAGAAGCTACCAATATAACTTACCTCACATATTCTTATCCCCAATCCTGCTGCCTCCTTCCCCAGCTTTCCACCTTTTCCTTCTGTCTTAAAGGAAGAAGTATCTTCCCACTTAGTGGAGACCCCTCCTTCCATGGAAACTCTTGACCTTATGAACTTTTGCTAGCTCTAGAGTTTTACTAATGATTTTCACAGCTTCTCGGTCCCTGTTTTCTCTGGTTCCATTCCTATGGAGACCAGCACATGCTGGCTTACTCTTGGCAGAATCACTAGTAGCCACTTCCTGAGTTATACTGACCAGAGCAGAGGGTGCAGGGGGACCCTGAGCTTCAGTAGCTGACGGCAAGGGAATTAGCTAAACTGGTGAAGAGTTAGCATTCAGATGCCTGGGGGGAGCCCCAAGCAATTTGTCTTCCCATTGGTGTTTACTTTTAACTCTCTGTGACTGAGCTTCTGCCTCCAGCTCCTGTTTAGTGACCTGATCCCACACTGGGATTACAATTTTAGCTCCCCTTTGCCTGCTTAGCTAATGTTCAGTTAGGTTGCCTTTTGTTGCAAAACTGCTTTTGTAGTAATCTTAAGCAAGAAGAAATCTTGTTAGAAGGATATGGAGATCTCCAGGAATCAATGAAAGACTGCAGGAAAATTTTGACGAAAGGGCAAGAACCAGGGCAGCTACAGAGCAAAAGGATGCCTGGCTAGTCAATGGTGATTTTGCCACGACACTATCACCATTACTGTGGCTGTGAATGGATTCTGACTATTTTGTTTTCTTTGTGTTACTTATTTATAACTCAAACACTTGAGCAAGAACATCCAGTTGGCCTACCTGAATCTCTTGCTTGTGTTGTGACTGCCAGGGTAGGAGCAAAGACGATGGCTGGGAGGGATTGGCTTCCTTCATGTTCCCTAGCAGGTAGGATGTTCATCCATCAAGACTGCCCTGGCAAGGGCTCTTCTGGCTTTCCAATATCCACACGCATACTTCTTCCCACACTTACAGTGATGAGACAAATATTCTCATTTAATGTAATGCCTGAAAACAAACTCATCCTCTCCCACTGGGACAAGAATTCCTGACTTTCTTCACTTGGAGACTAACCCAGTGGCTCACTTTTTCACTTCATTTCCTCAAAAAAGGAAATGCTACAATTTTCTTTCCAACACAGGTAACTGCATTTTAAAATGATAGCCTCCATTGCTTCTGAGAACAATATCAAGGAAATGTAGAACTATTAGAGTAAATAAGCAGGCCAGGCATGGCGACTCAAGCCTGTAACCCAGCACTTTGGGAAGCTGAGGTGGGCAGATCCCTTGAAGCCAGGAGTTCGAGACTAGCCTGGCCAACATGGCAAAACCCTGTCTCTACTAAAAATACAAATATTAGCTGGGCATGGTGGTGCCACCTGTAGTCCCACCTGCTTGGGAGGCTGAGGCAGCAGAATCACTTGGACCCAGGAGGTGGAGGCTGCAGGGAGCTGAGATTATGCCACTGCACTCTAGCCAGGGTGAACAACACTCTGTCTCAAAAAAAAAAAAAAAAAAGAATAAGAAATAAGCAGCATATTTACTTCAAAATGTAATAAAGGACCTCTGACCTAATTTCCAAGGAAGTTTTTACTTTTTATTTTAGCAGGCATTTCACCTATTGAAACAGGTGAACAATGACAAGTTCAAGGTTGAAATACAAACATTTCCCCTGTTAAACCATGGTATAACCCAAGGATAAATAAGTTTCAGTGAAATGACAGCCACCAAGAAACACACACCAGTTTTCTCAATTTCCCCCATTATTGACTTTCATTATTTGTAGACTCTTCCTAGTCTACTAATGAAAGTGAATTCTAAATAGCACAATCATGGTATGACAAACACAATGAGAGAACAAAATATTCCAGAGAAACCTGAGTGTCGAGCATGAATGCCTGCTCTTTTCTCCTTCTGCTTCGGGCAAAGGGGTTGGGATCCCTTACTGTTAGAGATAGTTATTTTCTTAACACTCTATCATTACCATTAAATCACATGGGATTGGGTTGGTAGCTTGTTTACTTTCTGTTACAATGTGGCAACTTCAAGTTAAATGCCTTTAATTAAAAGTCAAATTTCTCTAGACCAGTGGTCAGCAACATTTTTGGGACCAGGATGGGTTTTGTGGAAGACAATTTTTCCACCAGAAGGGGGGCAGAGGGTGATTTCAGGATGATTCAAGTGCATTACATTTATTGTGCACTTTATTTCCTTTATTATTACATTGTAATATATAATGAAATAATTATACAATTCACCATAATGTAGAATCAGTGGGAGCCTTGAGCTTGTTTTCCTGCAACTAGACGATCCCGTCTGGGGGTGATGGGAGACTGATCTGTTAGGAGGTAGAGCTCAGGCAGTAATGCTTGCTAGGCCGGTGGCTCACCTTCTGCTGTGTGGCCCAGGTCCTAATAGGCCGCAGACCGGTACTGCGGGTTGGGGACTCCTGCTCTAGGCTGTTCAAATTCTAGACCAGGACACCAATAAAGATTGACACATCCCCACCTGCTGGGATATTCTTTATCATCTTGGTTATCAAGGTTGAAAGACAAAGCCAAATGCTTTGAATAGAAGTGTTCAACTGGCTTCTCGGGGCTTTAGGAATCGAAATCACTGATATAGTTTTGCTGTGTCCCCACCCAAATCTTATCTTGAATTGTAGTTCCCATAATCCCCACGTATCATGGGAGGGGCCTGGTGGGAGGTAAGTGAATCATGGGGTCGGTTACCCCCATGCTATTCTCATGAGAGAGAGTGAGTTCTCATGAGATCTGATGGTTTTATAAGGGGCAGAAGCTCAGCTTCACTCGGCTCTCCTTCTTCCTGCCATCATGTGAAGAAGGATGTGTTTGCTTCCCCTTCCACCGTGATTGCAAGTTTCCTGAGGCTTCCCCAGCCATGCGGAACCGTGATCAATTAAACTTCTTTTCTTTGTAAATTACCCAGTCGCTGGGCAGTTCTTTATAGCAGCATGAGAACGGACTAATACAATCATTCAGTATGTTACCTGCCAATCTCAGATAGAACTCAGTGGATATGAAATCTAGTTTCCCTAGTCTTCAATGCAGACTAACAGTATGTTATAGTAATAATGAGAGTAATAGTAATGTAATATTTTATATATATTCAATGATTTACTGACTGAAATGATCATAAAACTTTATTAGCGAATCCATTATTCATATTTACACTATAAGTTAGTAATTATGCAATTCACATTGTTTTGTGTTTCTTATTTATTTGCACTGCTATATTTGATTTTTCACAATTTACATCACTTTTAGTGGATTTAGCAGTTATGGAAATGTGCTGCTCAGATCTCCTGCTGTGGGGAAGATGTAACTGGTGCATAGCTGCTGGGCTCTGAATCTACCATTGCATTTCCTCAAAGGCTACATTTCCCACAAGCTGCTCTCAGCCAATACCTGAGAATGGCAGGGACATTAAAGCAGGTCAAACCCTGCAAAGAGCAGGTATCTTCCACAGGGTGACTTTGGCTTGAATATGTCTCATTTGCCTGGCTGAAGCTTCTTAAAATGTCCCTGCATTCTGAGACTCTACTTATCCAACCCTTTCTCTCCTCTCACCTTCAAACTGTCAGAACTTGTATCATTGTCTGAAGGCCGGCCTTGCCTCTTCTAGCTCCCCTCATTCCTTCTCTAAGAGGTGTTTCAAATAAATTTCTTGCATATTTAATCCGATCTTCACGTCTGCTTTTGGAGGATCTGAACTAATGCAAGACATACTGTTAGTGTTCCAAGAGGCAGTAGTGTGATCATGTTGAATGCTCAACTACCTACCCTTTAGCTTCCATATCATATGAAGTAACTACATATCTTTGTTATTTCTTCTTTAAACATTTTTATTGTGAAACATAACTTGCAAATATATAGAAATGTGCACAAAACAAGATCGTACAGCCTAATGAATGATCGTTAAGGAAATGCTCATGGAACCACCAGAAAGGTCATGAAATAGGACATTGCCAGAACCTAGAAGGTCCCCAAATGTTTCCTCCTAGACATTACTTCTTCTCTACCATATGGAGAAAGAGCTTTACTAACTTTTAAGGCAACAGCCTTTTTGCATTGGTTTACAGTTTTCTCTCCTAAGCATGCATCCCCAAACAATGAACTTTCATTTTGCCTTCTTTTTTTCACTCTATATAAATGGAGTCATGCACTATATTTTGTGTCTTGCATCTTTCACTCATTATGTGCTTAATATTCACCCATGCTCATCATATATTTGTAGTTTGCTAAATTTTATTGCAATATAGTACTCCATCTTATAATACATGAACTTAGTTATCCATTTTCTATTAATGGATACTTGAATTATTTCAAGATTGGGATTATTAAAAAAATGCTGTGGACATTCTTGGATCTGTTTCTTAGTGCATATGCATGCATTTGTTTGGTATCTCCTAGCATAGTGCTTGAATTTCTGATCATAGGATATGTGTACCTTCATTTTAGAGAGAATAGTGGGTTGGTTTCCAAAGTGATTATATCAATTTACACTCCCACCTGCACTGTGTAAGTTGCTCTGCACCCTCACCAATACCTGCTATTGTCAGTCTGTTTAAAGAAAAATAAAAAGCCAAAAGTTAGAGAAATCATATCTTTAGGAGAACTGAGAAATGATACTTTAGAGTGGAAGTTAACATGCAGATTGTGAAAAGTATGAGTCAGGAAGATACGGATTTTTTTTCTCCTTCTGTAAATGGATCTTTAATGGTATTTACCTTGAGAAGGTGTTGTAGGAATAGGTAACAGAATTCATGCAAAGTACTTAGAACAGTAGCTGAAACATGATAAAGAATCTTAAGTACTATAATCATAAATAATCATAAATACTATTACTTCTATTTTTAATTTCCATGGAAGAAAAGGTAGGTGGAATAAATAGAAGTTTGAAAGGAGATATTGAAATATTGAGCAGTTTGGTAGAAAAGATATATTCTGGACAGAAGGAAATTTAGAAGCAAAACCATCTGTGGAGAGTGAGATGCTTTGGCTGACACATGGAGGAGTAGAAGGAGGCTAATTCTGGAAATTGGGGTTGAGAGATCCTTGAGTATAGGGAAGAGCTTTAATGATTGATGAAGTATTTAGATCCCTTCTTTTCTACTTTGACACTTGAGGAAGATTCTTTTTTTTTTTTTTTTTTTTTTTGAGATGGAGTTTCACCTTGTTGCCCAGGCTGGAGTGCAAATGCGCGATCTCCGCTCACTGCAACCTCCACCTCCCAGGTTCAAGCAATTCTCCTGGTCAGCCTCCTGAGTAGCTGGGATTACAGGTATGTACCACCATGCCTGGCTGATTTTGTATTTTTAGTAGAGATAGGGTTTCTCCATGTTGGTCAGGCTGGTCTCGAACTCCTGACCTCAGGTGATCTGCCTGGCTTGGCCTCCCAAAGTGCTGGGATTACAGGCATGAGCCACTGCACCCGGCTTTTTTTTTTTCCCAAATTTTCCTATTGTTTCTGCATACTGGCTTTGTATTAGTCTGTTTTCATGCTGCTGATAAAGACATATCCAGGACTGGGTAATTTATAAAGAAAAAGAGTTTCAATGGACTCAGTTCCACATGGATGGGGAGGCCTCACAATCATGATGGAAGGCAAAAGGCACATCTTATGTGGTGGCAGGCAAGAGAGAATAAGAACCAAGTGAAAGGGGTTTCCCCTTATAAAGCTATCAGCCCTTGTAAGATTTATTCACTACCATGAAAACAGTATGGGGGAAACCTCCCCAATGATTCAATTATCTCCCACCAGGTCCCTCCTACAACATGTGGGAATTATGGGAGCTACAATTCAAGCTGAGATTTGGGTGAGGACACAACCAAACCATATCAGGCCTCTTCCTTGATTAGTTCCTATTTCTTCTTTTATCTTTTTAAGTTATTACATCATTATGGCAAGTTGCAGAAAAATGATCACAGATTCTTTCCCTTCCACTAAGAAGTCCAGTCTATCCCTGTAATTCTTCAATCTGGATTGGCCCTGTGATAAGATTTGGCTGTGTCCTCACCCAAATCTCACCTTGTAAAAATCCCCAGGTGTCAATAGTGGGCCAGGTGGAGATAATAGAATCATGGGGGCGGTTATCCCCATACTGTTCTTGTGGTAGTGAATAAGTCTCGTGAGATCTGATGGTTTTACAAGTGGGAGTTCCCCTGCACAAGCGCTCTCTTTCCTGCTTCCATGTCAGACGTCCCTTTGCTCTTCCTTCACCTCCATTATGATTGTGAGGCTTCTTCAGCCATGTGGAGCTGTGAGTTCATTAAGCCTCTTTCCTTTATAAATTACTCAGTCTTAGGTATGTCTTTATTAGCAGTGTGAGAATTGACTAATAGACCCTGTGACTCATTTAGGCCAACTGATTGTGGGAGATAAGGCATGGTACGAATTCTGAGCCTAAGGCTCAATAAGTTTCCACAATTCTGTCTACTTTCTTGGAACCCTCAGATTACCATGGGAACAAACCCTCACTAGCTTGCTGTAGAGACCACATGGAAAGGGGCTCCAGGAGTCCCATTCATCCCAGACAACACCAACTTAAAGCAGTCAGGCCTGGCCAATCCATAAGATGACCGAGGACATAGGAGTGAGCCCACCTGAGTAATTATCCCAGCCCAACCCAGCCCAGCCTAGAAGAACCACTCTAATTGCTGACGGCAAAAATGAGGTAGTTGTTGTTTTAAGCCATTAAATCCTGGGGAACTTTGTTATGCAGCAGAAGCTAACTGATGCACACAAACTTATTTTAGAGTCTCTTTCAGATTATTCTACCACTTATTTTTTTTCTCTTTGCTGTATCTGCTAATTCTCCATTATGGTGGTTCATTTCTTTGTAAAGGTTGTAATTTTTTACGGTGACCCATTTGCACTGAAGAATTTTGTTGAGAGCCTCTGCATTTCCTGGTTATGATTGTAAAAGATCAGTTTTTAGTTTTCTTCTCCTTGACCCTAGCAATTTCAATAGTCTGAATGAAGCATTAATTTTTTTGGCTTGTAAATTTTGCACTACGTGAGTGGTTTAAATTTGTATATAGATAGCAAGATTGTTTTCTGTTATTTTGGTTAGTTGGATAATTTTTCTAAATGCATTTTTCGTAAGTTGGGAAGCTTTTTTGTGATTGTCAGTATTACCTGGTGACTCAATTTAAGCTCCTCCACTTTTAGCCCCTGAAGCTACATCCTCTATTCTCTAATGGGTATTAAAACCTCAGCCCTACAGGGCAGTTTAAAATTTTGGCTTCTGAAAATAGTGTTTTTTCTTGTTTGTTTTTGTATCCATGTTTGTTTCTATGTATGTCAGGTCAATCTATAATGTTTCTGTACATCTGGCTAGGATTCTGAAGCATTGATGACTGTCTGCTGAGTAACTGCTACAAATTTAGAGTACATTCATTATTGGTTCTACTCCCTCTATTAGCTTCATTCAATCTCTTTAATTATCTGTCTTACCCTGTCTCCCTTGAGTAGTTTATAAGCTTGTTGGAGAAAAGGATCTCATTTTGTTCTTTTTGTATTCTGCCTCTTCAAAAATATCTAGGATAATAAATGTTCAATAAATATTTTAAAAATCCACTTTTAAAATGTATAATTTAAAAATAATTTGTGAAGTAACAGGCTCCATGGAAAGTTTTAAAAATATACATTTACTGTCAAAAAAACTATATCTCTCACCCCAAACAAGATTCAGATTATGAAATGGAAGTGATAAAGTTTTCTTTACCATTCATGAAGGTTGATAAAATATTGAAGAGAGCCTTATTAATGTGAATCTTCCCATTGAGGTCACATGAACATCAGGGTCACCTCTCTGATCTGCTTTCTATCACCTTAGAGCCAACCTTTTAAAATTTTTTTGATACAAGGTCTTATGTTGCTCAGGATGGAGTGCAGTGGCACAATCATGGCCCACTGCAGTCTTGACCTCCCAGGCTCAAGTGATCCTTCCACCTTAGTCTCCTGAGTAGCCTGGACTGCCCGTATCACCATGCCCAGCTAATTTAAAAAAAAATTTTTTTTTTTTTTGAGATGGAGTTTCGCTCTTGCTGCCCAGGCTGGAGTGCAATGGCGCAATCTTGGCTCACCGTAACCTCCGCCTCCCGGGTTCAAGTGATTATCCTGCCTCAGCCTCCTGAGTAGCTGGGATTACAGCCATGCGCCACCACGCCTGGCTAATTTTGTATTTTTAGTTGAAACGTGGTTTCTCCATGTTGGTCCGGCTGGTCTCAAACTCCCGACCTCAGGTGATCCACGCGTCTTGGCCTCCCAAAGTGCTGGGATTACAGGCTTGAGCCACCGCACCTGGCGCTAATTTTTTTTTTAATTGTTTCTAGAAACAAGGTCTTGCTATGTTGCCCAGGCTGGTCTCGAGCCCCTGGGCTCAAGCTATCTGGGTGCCTTGGCCTTCCTAAGTGTTGGGATTATAGGCATGAGCCACCGCACCTGGCCCTGAGAAGGACATTTTAAAGGATAAACATCCAGATGAAAACATACAAGGGTGAGGTCTGGAAGGGGTGTGCCACCCTCCCGGCACTTGGATGAATTCTTCTTCATTTTCCTGTTGGCCTCCATGTATTTAGCTTTCTGGAAGTTCTAATCATTTTTAATCCAGTCATTGCTGTGGCTACCAGGCATGGCAGGTGAAACTAGACTTCCCCTTGTCTTAGTTGCACTGTGAGTGTTGTGCTTTCTGCCATGGGCTTCTTTGTCACAGCCCTGTAAAGATGCCTGGGGGAACGTGTTCTGCCATTCTGATGCATGGACAAACCTAAAAGGGAGGAAGTGCGAACGCTCCATGTGGCAATGCTTGACCAGTAGAAGATGGGCGACTGGATGAGTCCTCTGCTTTTTCATCCCCCCAGGTTGACAACCCTGCATCACATCAACACGGCTTCTCAGAGAGTCTCCAGGAGGTGGGAGGATCAAGGCTCTGTTGCCCATAGTGATGACCAGTTTTGTAACATACGTTTGGTTTGACTTTCTCTCCTCAATTCCTTTCTACTAAGTCCCTTACTCTTGTTCCTTAGGATTACTGCCCCTAAATTCCTCTTACCTTGTCTCAGGAAACCCAGGCTAATACAGGGAAACGAAACTGATATATCAGAGAACAGTTGGTAAAGAGGCCTAAGTTCCCTGAAGGAGGGTTTAACTTTACCAATCAATTCAAAAATCTTTAGAAACATATGCCTGGTTGAGAAAAAATTGACCAAGTTGAAGAGAATGTCTTTTAGAATTCTAGAGCCTGGAGAGACCTGCAGAAGGACATTGTTAATTCTGGTGAAGGAATTATTAAGCCATAGATGCCTAGGAGGTTGAATTGGTAGGGAAGGGTGTACTGGTAGTGCAGAGCCAAAATAAGGCGGAACTTAGGACTTCCAAAGCAACTAAATGTTTTTCTCCCATATTGCAGGCTCTGTGTTCTCCACTAACTTCCTCTCTTTTCTCAATTGAAAAGGATGTATTTTGGCATTGCTTAAGAGATGTGCTGGAACCATGTGGCTCCAACTGATAATTGAATCAAGAATCTGGTGCCTAATGTGGGCAGACCAGATGGCTAACAGCTTCTGCAAAATGTTACTCGAATAAAGCCCATTCTTCTATGACTAATAAACTATATGTGGCAATAAGATATTTAGAAGGTTGAGGCCAAAGAGAATAAAATGCTCTCTAGGCCCTCTAACCCTGGTTGGTTTCCTGCCTTGTCCAAACTGCTGACAGCGCATATCTCAATTAGCTGGGGAATTTTTTGTGTGTCTTTTTCACGGTGGTGCTGATAAGCTCTGCTGTTAGTAGTGGACACCGGTTTGATTTTAACCACAACTTTCTTTTGGGAATTATGCTTAGGGTAACTTGAACAGAGACTTATGAGACAAAGGGAAATTTAATCTATCTCTTGAGTGAACATTTATCAAATAGAACAGTGTATAAAACTTACTATATCAAGAAAAGCCAGCCTTTATATGAAACATGGCTTCTCTCAAGTTTAAACAGATTGTTATATAAATAATAGGTGGCAGTGAAAATAGCAAGAACAACAAGTTATCAAGAGTCTACCTGTGTGAGGCTAGATACTGTGGCTACTTTCCATACAGCATTTCTAGTCCTCAGAACAACTCTGCAAGGTAAATATTATTATCCTCATTTTCCAATTGAAGAAAATGTGCTTTCAAGGACACACTGCTGGTAAATTGCAGTGCCTCAATTAGAATAATCATCATCACTGTAATCAAAAAGATTGCTGGCATTTGTTATGTACATACTGATGACCACATCTGGGATGAGCACCTTACATATGATTTTAAAATTTAATTCTCATCATAACCCCTTGAGTTGGTTCATGCCTATTCTAGAAGAAGGAAATGACTTTTGAAGGTTAACTTCATCAAGGGCAAATAGCAGCTCTGGGATTTTAACTGAGATATGAAGGGCTCTTAAGCCTTCATTTATCCCATGAAGTCTCTGAAAACAGATTTCTTATACCCTGCCCTATGCATGATAGAAACGTGTCTCAACCGACATGGTTCTATCAAGCATAGGACAGAGAAACTTCCATTTCCCACTATTGCCCCAAAGGTCTGGCTAACGCTGCTCTCTTTAAGAAGCTGCTAACATCTCTAGCTTAAGCAATGTGCAAAACAACTGATGCGAATAAAACGCCTTCCTCCAAGGCCTCTTTTATACACAATTCATTTTCTGGAGTAACATAACCTAGAGATAGCCCCGCAGGTCAACCAGTGGAACATTGGTAACTTCAGTGCCTCAGTAAAGCAACGAACAAGATTTAATGGAAATTAGGCACATTTTTATGGTAAATCAGTTCCATTTGTGAGATTTGCTCACACAGTGTCTAAGAAACCATGATAAGCTAGCAAACTACATTGACAATTGATTCCAAAATCTGCTGTCATATTCTCCTTCCTTCTGACGTGGCATGTTTCTCTCTTAGATGGCAAAATTATAGATCCCTGGGATTCTAGGTAGGAAGAAATAATTTTAAATGTAGGTTGCATAGCAACTTTTTGGGTTTTAGCAAAGCATCTTTGACATTTCTGCCTTCAGAGAGGAACCTAAGGACAATACAAAGGAGGAAAGAAACAGAAAAAACAGTCTCGTTTTTATTTCTAGACTTGCCAATGAAGTGTTAGACAATTTCCTTATTTTCTATTTGATTCCCCAAACACCCAGCCTTTCCTTTTACACTCACCCTTTAACTTTTTTTTTTTTTTGAGACAGGATCTTACTCTGTCACCCAGGCTGGAGTGCAGTGGTGTGATCTCCGCTTACTGTAACCTCCGCCTCCTGAGTTACAGCGATTCTCCCACCTCAGCCTCCTGAGTAGCTGGGACTACAGGTGCGCACCACCACACCTGGCTAATTTTTGTATTTCTTGGTAGAAACAGGATTTCACCATGTTGGTCAGGCTGGTCTTGAACTCCTGATCTCAAGTGATCCACCTGCCTCAGCCTCCCAAAGTGCTGGGATTACAGGTGTGAGCCACTGTGCTCGGCCCTTTAACATTTTTTACTTAAATAAAAAGCAGAACTTTTATTGAGAGTTCCTTAAAATAAAAGTAAAGCCTATTAGCTCATTCCTAAATCACAGAATAATATAGTTATATAAATCTGTGGCACGCAAAAATACAGTTTTCATACACAATTGCATTGTGTATGAAATTGCAAGCTAAAGCTAGTGAATTGCAAGCTAAATTGTGAATTGCATTGTGTATGAATTGCATTGTGTCTGAAATTGCAAGCTAAAGCTGGTGAATTGCAAGCTAAAGAGTAAAGTGCATGGATAGAAATAAGACCCACTGCTAATAAGCTGTAGTAAGTTGGAAAAGGCTATTGATCTCTGTGAACAGTTTCTATATCTGTAAATTGGGGTTACTGGTTTTAAGTGCCTCTAATATTCTAGGCCCTAAGATTTTTGTGTATTCTATTCTATACAAATGCAAGATCATAATATAGACAATACCCAAGAAGAAAAGATGAGGAATTCCTGGTTATAATCTGCTAATTTATTTGTCTGTTGTATGGCTTATGGTTTTTCTTTACTGCGTTTCCTAAAGGGACACAAGTGAATTACTATTGTCCTGTAATTTCTGTTTAGAAACCCTTTTCAAAGAGAGAAATCCTGCTAGCTCTCACTGGCCTTTGATTTGACAGTGTCACCGAAAAAAAATATATATCTGCCGGTGATTTAACAAAGTCCAGACTCTTGAGTGAAAGGGCAGAACCCAGGGGGTTGATCTGATTTTCCAGATCCTTTAATGTGAATTGAATGCAAGCTCACAAGGATGTCTTTCATTGGCTAACATCTTCCCTTTCTTCTCATATCCCAAATAAGAGGAGACAGTGCAGAACCTGGGTCATGTGAAAGGGAAAGTAGGCATGCCTGCATACTCTTTCCCCATGCCTCAAGAAATAAGAGGAAAGAGAGTTCTGTGTTTGTTGATTGCCTTACTGAAGTAAGCCACTTACTGTGGTAAAGCATATGTGAAGGCCTTACTGTTTTATCTTTTCTTTCTTTCTTTCTTCTTTCTTTCTTTCTTTATTTCTTTCTTTCTTTCTTTCTTTCTTTCTTTCTTTCTTTCTTTCTTTCTTTCTTTTCTTTCTTTCTTTCTTTCTTTCTTGCCTTTCTTTCCTTTCTTTCTTTCTTTTCTTTTGTTTGACGGAGTTTCGCTTTTTTGCCCAGGCTGGAGTGAAGTTGAAGTGGTGTGATCTCTCAGCTCACTGCAACCCAACCTCCACCTGACGGGTTCAAGCAATTCTCCTGCCTCAGCCTCCTGAGTATCTGGGATTACAGGTTTACGCAACCACACCCGGCTAGTTTTTGTTAGAGATGGTGTTTTGCTATGTTGATAAGGCTGGTCTCGAACTCCTGACCTCAGGTGATCCACCTGCCTCAGCCTCTCAAAGTATTGTGATTACAGGCATGAGTCACGGTGCCTGGCTGGGCCTTACAGTTTTTACTTTACAGATAGAGAAACTGAGGTATGGCATGATTAATACCTAAAAAATTACACAGCTAGACACTTGTGGAGTAGGAATTCAGTCCTAGATGTGTCTCTACTGCCTCCCCTAAATGCTGGGTCCATGGTGCCATAAAAGCAGGGGGCATCCCATGGCCTGTAGCAATTGTTGACAGTAAGTTAGATTGTTTCTCTGTTTTTAAGTTCAAGGATGTGAGTTGAATTAGTAAATGTTTTATAGTGGAGTCTATTAAAAAAAAAACGCGCAGCTAGGCATGGTGGCTCATGCCTGTAATCCCAGCACTTTGGGAGGCCGAGGTGGGTGGATCACCTGAGGTCTGGAGTTGGAGACCAGCCTGGCCAACATGGCAAAACTCCATCTCTACTAAAAATTAGCTGGGTGTGGTGGTGCACATCTGTAATCCCAGTAACTTGGGAGGCTGAGGCAAGAGAATCACTTGAATCCCGGAGGTGGAGGTTGCAGTGAGCTGAGATTGCACCACTGCACTCCAGCCTGGGCAACAGAGCAAGACTCTGTCTCAAAAAAAAAAGTTATAGGCCGATGCAGTGGTTCATGCCTGTATTTGCAGCATTTTGAGAGGCCGAGGTGGGAGGATTGCTTGAGATAAGGAGTTTGAGACCAGCCTGGGCAACACAGCAAGACCCTGCCTTTAGAAAAAATTAAACAATTAGCTGCAGTGAGCCACGATTGCATCACTGTACTCCAGCCTGGGCAATAGAGTGAGACTCTGTTAAAAAAAGAAAAAAAAGGTGCTTTGAACACCTTCATTAGGAATTTGTGCTGACTGAATTTTTTTGTAACTCTCAATTTTTTTTTAATGGCTTTAAAAGTAAGTGATGCTCAGAGAAGATAAGAAAATATGTACCTATAGTAGAGAGTTTGAGGGCAGGGGGTCCATATCTACCAGGAGGCAGCCTCTGATAACAGTCTTCACACAGGGCTTTGCACAAGTATATCACTGATGAAATTTAGAAAAAAAAAATAGCCTTTTCCCAAACCCCTGAAGGAGGTAAGTCAGTGATGAAGAGGTATTAGCAACACCGTATTTTCTTTAGGCCTAATCAGAACATGTTGGCTAAGATTTCTGAAAATCAAATTACAAACAGGTATTTGGTGCCTTCAGAAAAGGCAATATCTGTTTGGGTGAAGTAGCAGCAACCATAAGAACATAGCAAAGAAAGAAAAGGTGTGGGTGGTTTTTTTTCCCTTTATTTTCACAATTTCATTTTATAGATTGCTCAGTAACATCTGTTGGTTATTGAAAATCCCACGAAGAAAATTAAAGGCCCACGATTCACGGCTTTGCAAACACACACTGCGGAGTGGCTCATTTCTGAATACATAACTACCAGGCATGCTCCAGCATCAGCTCAGTTTGCCCTCGTTTCCTTACTCTTGTAAACGCAAAGGAGGGTGGTTTCTTTTACATAGACTCTGCCTGCCCTTTCCCTGCAACTCACCAAAGCAAAATAAACTACACTTTGGAAAATCCTGTCAAATGTAGCTTGGATTTGATATTTCTATTGACATTTTTAAGTTATACTAGATGAAAACTACATATGTTGCTCTCTCCCTCCCTCCCTTCTTTCCTCTCTCTCCCATCTTTATTTTTGTTTTTACTTTTTGTTCTTATCAAAGATATAAATGTATAAAGCTGAAAGAGTCAAATAATTATGAAAAACAGCAGTTCCCTGTTCCTGTCTGCCCATCTTCTTCTCCCTAGGGAAAACTACATTCCCCCATCTTCCTATCTTCCTTCCTCCCTCCCTCCCTCCCTTTCTCTTTCTTTCTTTCTCTTTCTCTCTTCCTTCCTTCCTTCTTTCTCTTTCTTCCTTTCTTTCTTTCTTTCTCTTTTTCTTTCTTTCTTTCCTTCTTTCTCTCTTTCTTTCCCTCTCTCTCTCTTTCCTTCCCTCCCTCCCTTCCCTTCTCCCTCCTTCCTTCCTTCCTCCCTCCCTTCCTCTTTTTCTCTTTCTTTCCTTCATCCCTTCCTTTCTCCTTCCCTTCCTTCCTTCATTCCTCCCCCTCTCTCTCTTTCTCCTTCTTTCCCTCCTTTCTTCTTTTTTTTTAAAGATGAGTTTCCACTTTGTTGCTTAGGCTGGCTTCAAACTCCTGGGCCCAAGTGATCCTCCCACCTCAGCCTTCCCAAGTAGCTGAAACTACAGGTGCACACTACTATGCCTAGCTTGTATTTACTTTTTTGCCTGTAAATAACATGCTTATAGGACTACTTTATTTTTCAGTTTTATGCGTTGTCTATCAGTTTCTCACTGTAGAAGATGAGGATTTTGTTTTCTTTCTTCCCCCATCTTCACCACACCTATCCACTCCTTCCATATATTTACTTATTTTTTCACTATGATTATGCTGTAATTTTGTTTGGATTAAAAATCAGTGTTCACATATTATGAGAGATATTCACAGGTTTGTAATCATAATGTTCCTTTTGTTCATGCCACTATGACCATTTTCCTTTCTTGAAGATTCTTTTGTTCATACCACTCTGACCCTTCATCCCAGTCTATGCCTGTTTGTCTGGTGTAATAAATAGCAATGCTTTCTCTTGCTGTCAGTACATCCCAGTTTGGAAAACATGCTATTTAACACAAAGCCTTTGCCAGTTATCTGGGGATATTCTAGCAATTACATTGTGCTGGGAGAAATTTCTTCCAGAGGCTTTTGACTAACTGCAGTTGGAACTAGTCCTCTATGCCAGTGTACAGCTGTCATTCTGTACTATTTACATCATCTAGTAGAGTCCTGCCACCCCTTTCTCATGTTGAATCTCCTTTTCCCTGTATTTTATACTTTCCTGTTTCTTGATTTATTCCCTCCTATTAATGGGCCTAATCTTTTAGTAGCATCCTGACGAAGAATGCACGGGAGGCAACTTTTTTCAGTCCTTGCATGTCTGAAAGCTATTTTCTTGACTCTCTATCATCACAGTCAATGGAGGGTTTATCTGGATACAGTATTTGAGTTTGGGGAAAAATGTCCCTTCAGAATTTCTAAGGCATTGTTCTATTGCCTTTTACTTTCTAGTCTTCTTGGTGAGAAGTCTGAAGGCATTCTTTGTATTTAACCTTTTTTTTTTTCTTTTTTCTTTCTGGAAACTCTTAGGATCTTTTTTTGTGCCATTTTCCTGAAATTTCACGACGTACATGGTTCTATTTTTGTCTATTATGTTGTATGTGTAATTAACTTTTTCAACCTGGAAACTTATCTGAGAGTTCTGGGTAATTAACAAACTTATTTCTTCAGTGACTTACTCTCTATTTGCTAAAACCTTTGGTCTCTTTGTATGGTTTTTAAATTTCCATAATTTCTCTCTTATTTTAGCTCAAATCTGTGGTAAATTTCCTAAATACTAACATACTCCCCCTCTCTCCACATCCACATAAATGACTTTTTAATTTATGTTTTCATTTTACTTATTTTCTGAATGTTCTTTTTAAAAGTATAGATTCTTATTTTCATTTTATATATAATTTTTTTTTTGTTTTCTTCTCCTGGCATAGTTTCTATTTTTCCTAAGTTTTCCTTTCTGTTTGTTTATTGTGGTCTTTGCATTTTATTAGAGGTTTTCTGCAGATATTTGCTAATTCTTGGCTGTATAGTTATAGATCAATTTTGCTTTATATTAAAAGAAAACAACTTCAAATTCACAAGGATTAAAGGAAGGCATATTGTAATTTTTTTTTTATTTTTATTTTTCAGATAGAGTCATTCTGTCACCCAGGCTGAAGTGCAGTGGCATGATCTTGGCTCACTGCAACCTCTGTCTCCTGGGTTCAAGTGGTTCTCATGCCTCAGCCTTCCAAGTAGCTGAGACTACAGGCACACACCACCACGCTCAGCTAATTTTTTGGTATAGTAGAGACAGGGTTTTGCCATGTTGGCCAGGCTGGTCTTGAACTCCTGGCCTTAAGTAATCCACCCACCTCGTCCTCCCAAAGTGTGGGGATTACAGGCATGAGCCTGGCCTATATTTTTGAAAGCCTCTAGGACTGGGCGTGGTGGCTCACGCCTATAATACCAGCACTTTGGGAGGCCAAGGCGTGCGGATCACTTGAGGTCAGGAGATCAAAACCAGCCTGGCCAACATGGCAAAACCACGTCTCTTCTAAAAATAAAAAAAAATTAGCCGGGCATGGTGGTATGTACCTGTATTCCCAGCTACTCACTGCATTCCAGCCTGGGTAACAGAGCCAAGACTCTGTCTCCAAAAAAAAAGAAAGAAAGAAAGAAAGAAAGAAAGCCTCTAACAGTGTCTGGAAGTTATAGGTAGTCAACAAACGACACATTACTATTATGAAAATAAAGAATATTTTTGGCTTATGAAAGAAGAACATTGAATACATACATTTTAAAATCAAAACTCTTCTTTGAGATGTAACTAAAGCTTTGCACCCATGAATGTGGAGGTTTATAGGTTAATTTTATGTAACACTAACCACTATGTGATCAGTTTCTCATTAGTGTTTGATAACACAGGGAAAGTCTTTCGAATTCACAGTTCACTCTGCCTTAGCCTCCAAGTTCCTCTGTGACTCAGTGGCCCTCATTTGTTCCACCCAAAGTGTGGCTGTCCCAGACTGTCACAACAACAAATCTATCTGCTTCCTTCTGGAAGCTGCTTCTGCTTGGTCATGGGAGTGGCTACGGTTACGGCTACTTTGACTTGTTGGGTTGCCAATCCTACTTCTTTGTTATCTCTGTAAAGCTGTCCTGGACCGTCCTCATCTTGGGAATGGTAAAAGGCTGGAGCTACACAGTCTGGTCAGTAAGGAGTTCTGGTTTACTCATCCTAAGCATTTAGGGGTGTCTACATGCCTGCTCCAGAAGCCTCCATTCTGCCCACTGCTGCTCTTGACGTTGTCTGTCTAAGCCACTCTTGAACTTGGATTTGAAAGGAATGTAGTTTTAATCTTTGCACTTAATTTCTGCCAGACTTTGGGTGAAAATACCGGATGTTGTGGTTCTCACTTTCCTTAATATTAAAATGAAAGCAAGACTATTAGCTTTACAGTATGGTTGCAAAGACTGTATGGTGCAGCCATGTGAAAACTCTGTATACCCACTGACACAGATTCGACTTGGAAGAGTTTATCCTTCACAAATACTCAAATAACAGCACAGAAATAGGAAAAGAATGGGTATTGCTTATAACAGGATAAAACTGGAAATAAGGCTGGGCTCAGTGGCTCACGCCTCACTCCCTTGGGAGGCCGAGGCAAGCAGATCACCTGAGGTCAGGAGTTCGAGACCAGTCTGGCCAACATGGTGAAACCCTGTCTCTACTAAAAATACAAAAATTAGCCAGGCATGGTGGCACGGACCTCTAATGCCAGCTACTTGAGAGGCTGAAGCAGGAGAATTGCTTGAACTGGAACCCAGGAGGTGGAGGTTGCAGTGAGCAGAGATCATGCCACTGCACTCCAACTTGGGCGACAGAGCAAGATGCTCTCTCTAAAAAAAAAAAAAAAAAAAAAAAAAAAAGAAGTAATCATTAATAGAAACTGCAGCTCTTAGAAAGAATGAGGAAGGCAGATTTTATGTACTGGTAGAACAATCTTGCAATCATTTAAGCAAAGTAAACACAAGGCAAATTTGCATGTATAGTATGATATAATCTAGGTAAAACAAGTCAGTATGCTCACATGTATATAAGCGCAAATATTTGCATTCTAAAAATATCTGGAAGGAAAGATTTTGAACGGTTGAAAACCGTTACTTCTGCGGAGTGGAATTAGGGAATGATTAAGTAGGATGGGGTGCTTTTGATTTCTACTTTATACACTTCCATAATTTTTTGCTTTTATTTTTTAGTATCAAAAAAGATTGGAAGAAAACGTTAAGTGACATAACACTTGACTCTTTATGAAATTGAAATATGTTAGCATTTTTTTCTTTTTCACTGTTTTTTTCCACCTCCACCCCCACGTTGTTCCTATCCATATGTCTGTGTAGATGAATGGGCTCCTGAGAGTTAACAGCCTGGAGGGCTGCACAAAGTCAAGCTTCCTTTGTTGTGAATACAGCCTAGAGCAGCTGGGAGATATTATTGCGGACACCATACCAGCAATGAGGTCATTTTGTGTCTTCCAACATCCTTTGAGAAGAGCGCGTAGCTATTGTGCCCAGTGAATGCTAGAGTGGAAATCCAATCATACCTACCAGGGCTGAGGGTGTTGTCCTATAGTCTGACAGTGAATGTCTGTTCCTTAAGATAAGGCAACTGGCTTTATGCCTTTAAAAGCTACCTTTTCAAACACTGAGGTGCCTATATCCTTATTAGTTCTTTAGAGATGTTTGGGGCAGATTTCCTCAAGCCATAATCTAATGATTATAATAAAACTATTGTGCTCCAGGAGCTCTTTCTATTTCCCTCTCTCTCTAAATTAAATTACATTTTTTATTTTATCTTTTATTTTATTTTTTCGAGACAGCATCTTGCCCTGTCATCCAGGTTGGAGTGCAGTGGTGCGATCATGGCTCACTGCAGTCTCTACCTCCTGGGATCAAGCGTTCCTCCCATTTCAGCCCCCTGAGTAGCTGGGATTACAGAAGGGTGCTACCATGCCTGGCTAATTTTTTTTTTTTTTTTTTTTTTGAGATGGAGCCTTAAAAGGATCTTGAGACAGGATCTTGCTCTGTCACCCAGGCTGGAGTGCAAGTGGAGTGATCTCAGCTCACTGCAACCTCTGCCTCCTGGTTCAAGTGATTCTCCTGCCCCAGTCTTCTGAGTAGCTGGGATTATAGGTGTGCACGACCACACCTGGCTAATTTTTGTATTTTTAGTAGAGACGGGGTTTCACCATGTTGGCCAGGCTGGTCTCGAACTCTTGACCTGAAGTGATCTGCCGGCCTTGACCTCCCAAAGTGGTGGGATTACAGGCGTGAGTCACCATGCCTGGCCTTTAAAAATTTTTTTTTGTAGAGACAGGGTCTCACTGTGTTGCCCAGGCTGGTCTTGAACTCCTGGGCTCAAGCAATCCTTCTGCCTTGGCCTCCCAAAGTGCTGGGATTACAGGTGTGAGCCACCATGCCCAGGCTTATTTTATTTTACTTTAGAGAAGGGGCCTTCTATGTTGTCTAGGTTGGTCTTGAACTCCTGGGATCAAGTGATCCTCCTGCCTCAGCCTGCCAAGTAGCTGGGACTACAGGTGTGCACCACCATGCCTGGCTTTGTATTTTAATTTTTATGAAGATAATCTTGTGTATAGTTAAAAAGGTCAAATAGCTTATGCTGAAAAAAAGGGCTTGCTTGTTCCACCTTTCCCATTTCATGAAAACAAAACTATACCTAAGAGGCAATACCACACTTAACACTTTTATTTATTTTCCTACATTTTAAAAGTAATACACTTTTACTTCTATTTTTTGATTTTCTGTTTTAGATGTCATCTATTTATTTCCTAGTATAGAATATAAAATTTATTATGTTTTATGCCTGTCTACCTTCCCCAACATACTCCTCCCATTTCTCCCCTTTGCCAATATATTTAGTCACAATTTTTTGGGTAAGTCAACATCTAGAGTTTACCTTATTGTTTTATGTGTAATTATTTTCAGAGATGAGTCACGCAGTGGTTGGACAACAATTCTTCATGGGTCATTTATATTTCTGCACATTTTAAGGGCACAGGTAGTGACAGGTTTTGTTCCAGACTGCGATTTCCAGGATATAAATATAGTGAATAGCCTTGGACTATAGAGACAGCATCTCCCTCCAGAGCAGATGACAGGTGTGTTTGCTATCCAGTATGGTAAAGATAATGTCTTCCACGGGGCCAAAAGTCATGTAGGTTTGCTTTCAACCCATTATAAAAGACTGAGGTTCCCCAAGCTCAGGGTTTTTTAGCTGTGATACAAACCCACTGCATATGCAGCATCTGCCTTGGATACTCTTTGTCACCACCATGGGAACTGGAGGGCAAGGGGAACCAGAGTGACCATAAAGCTCATATTGCTTACTGTTTTGTGAGTAATAAAATCCTTTGCCTCTGACCTGGGAGTCTCAGGTCTTTCCCCAGCATCCATGAAACTATGGCAGGCTAACTTGTTGGCTTGCAAATAAGATGAAGTCTCAGACCATTCCCAGTTCTTTATCGTAGTAAACTCTGGCTTCATTTCCTTTCTTGTACTTTCCTTGTACTTATACTTCTCAGGCTTAATATTTTGTGTGTGTGTGTGTGTGTGTGTGTGTGTGTGTGTGTGTGTGTGTTTTCTTTGCTAAGTTTGTACATCCTGATGAGATACAGTGGGAAAAGCATAGCATAGTTTCCGTAATATTCCTGTGAAGGATACCTGTCCTGTGTCTGCTCCCGAGAAACACTGTGATGGTCATTACATGGAATATGAAGCTTTTACTCTTTATTTTAATTCAATTTTATTTTTTTGAGATGGAGTCTCGCTCTGTCACCAGGTTGGAGTGCAGTGGCACGATCTCGGCTCACTGCAACCTCTGCCTCATCGGCTCAAGGGATTCTCATGCCTCAGCCTCCTGAGTAGCTGGGACTACAGGCACGCCCCACCACACCCAGCTAGTTTTTTTGTATTTTTAGTAGAGATGGGGTTTCACCGTGTTGGCCAGGATGGTCTCGATCACTTGAGCTCGTGATCCGCCCGCCTTAGCCTCCCAAAGTTCTGGGATTACAGGCATGAGCCACTGCACCAGGCCGCTTTTACTCTTTAAAAATGGTTAAGGACATCAAAGGCAGAATTATTGTTTTAAGCTGAATGAATATGATGAGACATAAGAACTACATGCAACATATATTCCTTGGAACAATCCTGAACCAGAAAGGAAAAAGAGAGAGTTTTGGACAGTTGGCAAAATTTGAATGGGAGAGTTTTCTTGTTTTGGGGAAATACACACTGGATTATTTAGGGATAATGGGACATCGTGTCTGAAGCTTTCTCTTAAAAAGTTCAGAGTATGACTAATGATAATGGATCACTTCCTCTCCCTACATATACACAGAGAGACGGGGTTGGTGTCCATGCATATTCAGAAAAATGTTAATGTTTGGACAATCTGAATGAAAGGGATACAAGAATTCTTTGTTCTGATCTGAAAGTTTTTATGTAAGTTATTTTAAAATAAATTATTTTTTATAAAGAGTGGCAGTAAATCCTGATTAGAAGTTCCATATTCAGGCAGGGCGCGGTGGCTCACTCCTGTAATCCCAGCACTTTGGGAGGCCGAGGTGGGCGGATCACGAGGTCAGGAGATCGAGACCATCCTGGCTAACATGGTGAAACCCTGTCTCTACTAAAAATACAAAAAATTAGCTGGGCTTGGTGGCGGGCACCTGTAGTCTCAGCTACTGGGGAGGCTGAGGCAGGAGAATGGCGTGAACCCGGGAGGCGGAGCTTGCAGTGAGCTGAGATTGCGCCACTGCACACCAGCCTGGGAGACAGAGTGAGACTCCATCAAAAAAAAAAAAAAAAAAAAAAAAAAAAGAAGTCCCATGTTCCTGTGAAGCTTATCAAGTGTGTCAGGTTTTACTGTAGAGAGCTCAGGCAGGAGCTGGCTGTCTTGGGGGATTCTTGGCTGTCGGTATTCATAGGGCTAGACAGTTTCCCTAAAGGACATTTTCATTATCTCCTATGATGGAGTATAAGTCTAACAGTCATTGTTCTGAGGGCCTACTACCAGAAGGGAACTAGAAATCTCACTCTTCTGAAAATAGACTGATTGAACATCTATGTTATCCAATGAACGTCTATGTTATTAATAAGAAACCTACCATCTTTTGTGACATGTAGTCACCTGCCTGCATGGACGGTGGGAGGAGACTGAAGAGTCTGTTACCTCCTTTTTCAGACTTTTAACAAATTCTTCTGTTTTCAGCCCTACTTGCAAACTTAACACCTTCAGAGGCCCCTGGTTCCTCTATTGATAGAAGTTTTCTGAGTTCATGAATCAACTTTCTTCTAGTTGTTTTTTTCTTTTTCAGGTACTCAGCAGAGCAGAGATATATGAGTCCAAAGCCATTTACCAAAGGTTATAAGCTTTTCATTTTGTGTACAATAATCATCTTTTTTTGGTGTACAGTAATCATCTTCTATAATCACCTTTTCTGTTCTCCTCATTTTTGTGGAATTATGCCCTTTCACATCATTTTTGTTATTTTAGTGGGGTTTCAGGAAGGAGTAAGAGAAATGTGTGTGTGTGTTTCCTATCACTTGCAATTAACAGGAAGATCTTTCATTACCTGAGCTTGTTTTTTATCGAAGATTAACTCCCTATGGGTCAGGAAGTAGACATACTGTGTAATCATTTGGCACAGACTCCAGGCTAACACTAAAATATTATTATATTGGGAAATGAGAATAAAGAGAACATTTTTTAATATAAAAAGGAAATGATTATTTCTTGGATGATAATTTTTTTTCAAACTGAACCTTTGATTTGTATTTTTTTATTCTTGGATTACTTTTTCTTCATAGTCCATCCATTGTTCAATTAAAATGGGCAAAGGAAAGAGGTCCAGCCCTTAGAATATTTTTATATTAAATAAATACTTATAAAGTAATAAAATTTTCATTTTGTTTCCATACTATGAATAGAAATAGCCTCCTTTATAATATCCCCAGAGTATGAATAATAGAGAAATTATTGATGTATTTAGAAAGACTTCTTTAAACATACTCTACATTTTTATCTCTGAGAAAAAGATAATTAAGCTTATGATTCCCAAATTGTGCACTGAGGCACCCCAAGAAGTTGCAGTGACCTCACAGGGGCCACACGACATATTGAAAATTCTCAAGAAAAACACAGAAACATTTGTTGGCTGCTGCATGAACTACTGGCTCAAAATACCTTATAATTTAAACCTTAGATTGTGCTGTAATGCTTTTCTAAAAGACATATCTTTGGAAGCTGGGTTTTCAGAAGTTGCTGTGATAAAAAATAGATACTATATGACAATTAACATGGAACGGGAAATAAGGGTGGTGGTGGTGAATTTGGTTCTAAAGGTTGGGTGTCTAGTGCCCAATAGGTGCATGTACCTCACTGGTAACTGTGATGGTGTTAAAATGTATCCAAAATTCTTTAACAATCTTCCCTTTAATGGATGAATCCTAATTCCTTTCCCTTTGAATATGGGCTGGACTTAGTAACTAGCTTTTGAAAACTAGAATGTGGCAGAAGGGCAAGTGTGAGACTCAGAAGTCTAGATCATACAAGGCGTTTCATCTTCCTCTTTGCTTTTTCCTGTTGATCACTCAGTTTTGGGGAAGCCAGCTGCTTCACGGCTTGAGCATGTGAAGATGCTCAAGCAGCCCTGTGGGTGTGCCATGTGGAGAGGAAATGAGCTCTTTTGCAAAAAGCCAGCAGGGAGCTGATGCCACTGGCCAATAGCCATGGGAATGAACCATCTTAGAAGTGGGTCCTCCAGCCTCAGGTAACCTTTCTGGTGACTGCATCCCCGGCCACCATCATGAAGGCAACCTCATTAGGGATCCTGAGCGACAGCCATCCAGATAAGCTCCTCTGGCATCCCTGACCCACAGAAACTATGAGATAATAACGACTTGTTGTTTAAGCCACTAAATGTTGGGGGTAATTTGTTATGAAGCAATGGGTAACTAATATAGTCAGTGTGAGATAATGAAATAGGCCAGGAACAGTGGCTCATGCCTGTAATCCCATCACTTTAGGAGGCCAAGATGGGAGGACGGCTTGAGCCCAGGAGTTTGAGACCAACTTGGGCAACATAATGAGACATTGTCTCTACAATTAAAAAAAAAAAAAATTAGCAGGGAGTGGTGGTGTGCACCTGTAGTCCCAGCTACTTGGGAGGCTGAAGTGGGAGGGTCACTTGAGCCCAGTAGGTCGAGGCTGCAGTGAGCTTGGGTCACTGGAGCCTAGGTCCAGCCTGGGTGACACAGTGAGACCCTGTCTCAAAAAAAAAAATTTTTTTTCCCATTTGTTTATGTGTGTAATTTTTTCAAACAGCGAGTAAGTTGTTAGAATGTAAATACTTCTTAAGTTGCATAAACCTAACTATGTAATAAACAGAACTTTTTTTTTTTTGGAGCATGCGAAAAAAGTTACTGAGACACTAACTGTGCCATACACTGACAAAATTTGGGTACCTCATCAGTAATTAAGTTAAAGATAGTTGCTAAATGTTTTTTCTCTTAATTTTTTAGGAATATACAATAATTCTCATCTATTTTTTGAATGTAGAAACTTATTACGTTTTGACATTGAAACTTTTTTTTTCTTAGTATGTCAGTGGGGAGAAGAATACATTTCAAATTAACCACCATCGAGGAAAGTTATAATTTTCTAGTATTCAATAAACATGAACGAAATCATTGGCTTATAGAGATGAAATATGTGAGGAGTAATATAACATTTAAGAATAAAGTAACTCGCACATACAGTGAAGAATGGAAATACCAGCTTATGGATACAGTAATATGTGAAGGCAGTAGGTGCCATTTCAAAGCAGCAGTTGGTTTACTAAAAATAAAAAGAGGCCAAGCGCCCTCTAGTGGTAGCTGTTGATATAATTTAATAGCAGAAAAAAACTAACACAAAGTGCCTTCCTTTACCTTGAGACAGTGTTTAAAAGGTACTTGTTCTTTACTTTATCAATACTATTAAACCCTTCGCTATGGCTTTGTTTTTGAAGTTTTTTTGAATGAAAGAACGCCACCAATGACTTTTAATGCCAAATTCAGCAGCATTGGGTAGTTTTTTTTTTCATATAGGAGAAACAAAACCTTTCCATATTACATTAAAAAAAGCTCAATGAAGCATAACATTTTCTCAAAGCAGATTGCATCAGCGCCATGCAAGCAACTTAAAAACATAAGGTGGCCCTTATTTAGTGAATTACATTGACTGTAATGCAGCATCTTCCAACTTTCTTGTCCATCTCATAAACAAATATTTAAAACACAAACAGTGCAAAACACTGCACTGTGAGGAGGGGTTGAAGAGAGGCAAGGAGGCTTTCAGAAAAGTGAACCAGTGTGGTGTGGTTCAGAGAATAATGATGGGGGTTGGGGATTAGGATGCTGTGGGAACCTTCACAAAGCCTCTTACTTGATCCCAAGGGAACAGGTAAGGCCTCCAGGAGGAAGAAGCATATCAAGGTTGGGCTGTAGAGCTGAACTGGTAAAGTTGCTTTGCTGTCTTAATTTATCCTAGCTTCCTAAAATGAACGCTCTAATAAACTGTCGCTTGGACTAAAAATAAATTGCTGTAACAAAAGGATAACGACCATGCTTTGCAAATTTGCTAATTACTATTTGTTCTTGTAGTAAGGATTCTCTTTTTGTCTCAGAGGACTGTGACATTATTGCCTCTCAAAACAATGAATCATTTTTCACTAAGAAGATTTCTCCAAGTGTTCACTTCACCTTGTCTTTGAAATTGCCAGCCATCTATTCTCCAAGGCTGATTAGTAATGAATAGAGGAGGACCTTTTTAACTGACAATGCAGTTAATAGAGACCCTAATGTTTGAAAATGCAAAATGATCTCAACTTATCTTTAACGTGAGTTAAAAACAATTGGTTTACACTTTTACAGATAAGTGTAGTATGTAGAAACATATAAACTTGGTAGAATTTTAGGATCATAAACCTATCCGCATGTCATTTCAAATATGAATTTAGCTCACAAATGTCTGTACTCCACAGTAGACTGGAGTTGGGTTTTCCTAGTTCCAGAAGTATATTCACTTACAGAGAAGTCAATAGGTATCTACTTACAGGAAGCCAGAAGAGTGGGAATAAAAATTTCTAATTAATACAATTTTTTTCACTCAATTGATCAGCAAGTAACCCTAAAAGACAATGTATTAGCTTTACTTAGATAATAACTAATGTAATAGAAAAATGAATTTTCCAACATGTAAGAAGTAATTTAGGAATTACATCTGTTCCTAGTTATTTCTTATAATCATGAGTCACAAGCCATCATTCTTGAAGGTAGTTTGCAAATGTAACAGATGAGGAATAGCTATGCCCAGAACAGCTTGGACACTTAGCTTATATCAAAAGAAAATCTATATCCTATGAATTCTTTTGGTTGTAAATGAGGAAATTCAACTCAGTCTTATTTAAACAAAAAGCAGACTTATTGGGCCGTGTAACTGGAGTGGGGCAGGACTGGTACCAGGCACAACAGAATTATGCCTTCTCTTCCCATCCCTTGGCTTCCTCTGTGTCGACTACCCGGACTGGTATGGTTAAAGTGCAACCCTATATCTACCCAGAGGAAAAGAAGTCATTCTATGAAAAGGATACTTGCACACACACATTTATAACAGCACAATTTGCAATTGCAAAAATGTGGAACTAACCCAAATGCCCACCAATCAATGAGTGGGTAAAGAAACTGTGGAATATATATACCATGGAATACTACTCGGCCGCAAGAAGGAATGAATTAATGGCATTCACAGCAACCTGGATGGAATTGGAGACTATTATTCTAAGTGAAGTAACTCAGGAATGGAAAACCAAACATCACATATTCTCACTCATAAGTGGGAGTTAAGCTGTGAGGATGTGAAGGTATAAGAATGACACAATGGACTTCGGGGACTCGGGGGAAAGAGTGGGAAGGGAGTGAGGGATAAAAGACTACAAATTGGGTTTAGTGTATACTGCTTGGGTGATGAGTGCATTAAAATCTCACAAATCACCACTAAAGAACTTACTCATGTAACCAAATACCACCTGCTACCCAAAAACCTATGGAATAAAAAAATTAAAAAAAAAAATCTCTTGCCAATCCAGGAGACCTCCCCACAAACACAGAAAAAAAAAATGTGCAACCCTACACCCTGGGAGATACCTACATCTTGATCTCTACAGATCAGCCACATAGACATCATCTGTGAGCTTGTTAAAAATGCAGACTCTCAGGTATACCTACATCTACTGAATCATAATCTCAAAATTAAAAGATCCCTGGGTGACTTAGAGTCTGAGAGTGTCCATAGAAGACCACTGTGGCTAGGGAAAGGGATTTTATAATTGGCTGGGCCAGGGCCTCACTGGCATTAAAATAGTGATAGGAGTGAGAGAGGGTGATGGGAAACCCTATCAGAATCACATGATTGAGGCAAGAATATCACCTGGAAGGAGTGTAATGATGGATGGTGAAAACGCATTAGTGCCGTAACTGGCAAATTCTGGTTTTGGTCAGAAGAAAGAAATGGTTTAAGATCAATGTCATTGGCTGGGTGTGGTGGCTCACGCCTGTAATCCCAGCACTTTGGGAGGCCAAGTCGGGTGGATCATCTGAGGTCAGGAGTTTGAGACCAGCCTGGTCAACATGGTGAAACCCTGTCTCTAGTAACAGTACAAAAATTAGCCAGGTGTGGTGGTGCATGCCTGTAATCTCAGCTACTCGGGAGGCAGAGGCAGGAGAATTGCTGGAACCCAGGAGGCAGAGGTTGCAGTGAGCCGAGATAGTGCCACTGTGCTCCAGCCGGGGCTACGAGAGCAAGACTCCACCTCAAAAAAAAAAAAGCAACGTAATTTCTGAGAAAACATTGAAAACAAATTGGAGATTTTCAAGATGGTTTCTTTCTTTCTTTTTTTTTAAATTATACTTTAAGTTCTAGGGTACATGTGCACAACATGCAGGTTTGTTACATAGGTATACATGTGCCATGCTGGTTTGCTACACCCATTAACTCATCATTTACATTAGCTATTTCTCATAATGCTATCCCTCCCCCAGTCCCCCACCCACGACAGGCCCCAGTGGGTAATATTCACCACCCTGTGTCCAAGCATTCTCATTGTTCAAGTCCCATCTATGAGTGAGAACATGTGGTGTTTGGTTTTCTGTCCTTGTGATAGTTTGCTCAGAATGATGGTTTCCGGCTTCATCCATGTCCCTGAAAAGGACGTGAACTCATCCTTTTTTATGGCTGCATAGTATTCCATGGTGTATATGTGCCACATTTTCTTAATCCAGTCTATCATTGATGGGCATTTGGGTTGGTTTCAAGTCTTCGCTATTGTGAATAGTGCCACAATAAACATATGTGTGCATGTGTCTTTATAGCAGCATGATTTATAATCCTTTGGGTATACACCCAGTAATGGGATGGCTGGTCAAATGGTGTTTCTAGTTCTAGATCCCTGAGGAGTCACCATACTGTCTTCCACAGTGGTTGAACTAATTTACACTCCCACCAACAGTGTAAAAACTTTCCTACTTCTCGACATCCTCTCCAGCATCTGTTGTTTCCTGACTTTTTAATGATCGCCATTCTAACTGGCATGAGATGGTATCTCATTGTGGTTTTCATTTGCATTTCTCTGATGACCAGTGGTGATGAGCATTTTTTCATGTGTCTGTTGGCTGCATAAATGTCTTCTTTTGAGAAGTGTCTGTTCATATCCTTTGCCCACTTTTCGATGGGGTTGTTTGTTTTTTCCTTGTAAATTTGTTTAAATTCTTTGTAGATTCTGGATATTAGCCCTTTGTCAGATGGGTGGATTGCAAAAATTTTCTCCCATTCTGTAGGTTGCCTGTTCACTCTGATGACAGCTTCTTTTGCCATGCAGAAGCTCTTTACTTTAATTAGATCCCATTTGTCTGTTTTGGCTTTTGTTGCCATTGCTTTTGGCATCTTAGTCATGAAGTCTTTGCCCATGCCTATGTCCTGAATGGTATTGCCTAAGTTTTCTTCTAGGGTTTTTAATGGCTTGAGGTCTAACATTTACGTTTTTAATCCATCTTGAATTAATTTTTGTATAAAGTGTAAGGAAGGGATCCAGTTTCAGCTTTCTACATATGGCTAGCCAGTTTTCCCATTACCATTTATTAAATAGGGAATACTTTCCCCATTTCTTGTTTTTGTCAGGTTTGTCAAAGATCAGATGGTTTTAGATGTGTGGTGTTATTTCTGAGGCCTCTGTTCTGTTCCATTGGTCTGTATTTCTGTTTTGGTACCAGTGCCATGCTGTTTTGGTTACTGTAGCCTTGTAGTATAGTTTGAACTCAGGTAGCGTGATGCCTCCAGCTTTGTTCTTTTTGCTTAGGATTGTCTTGGCAATGTGGGCTCTTTTTTGGTTCCATATGAACTTTAAAGTAGTTTTTTCCAATTCTGTGAAGACAGTCATTGGTAGCTTGAGGGGGATGGCATTGAATCTATAAATTACCTTGGGCAGTATGGCCATTTTCATGATATTGATTCTTCCTATCCATAAGCATGGAATGTTCTTCCTTTTGTTTGTGTCTTCTTTTATTTCATTGAGCAGTGGTTTGTAGTTCTCCTTGAAGAGTCCTTTACACCCCTTGAAAGTTGGATTCCTAGGTATTTTATTCTCTTTGAAGCAATTGTGAATGGGAGTTGACTCATTATTTGGCTGTTTGTCTGTTATTGGTATATAGGAATGCTTGTGATTTTTGCACGCTGATTTTGTGTCCTGAGACGTTGCTGAAGTTCCTCATCAGCTTAAGGAGATTTTGGGCTGAGACTATGGGATTTTGTAAATATACAATCATGTCATCTGCAAACAGGGACAATTTAACTTCCTCTTTTCCTAATTGAATACCCTTTATTTCTTTCTCTTGCCTGATTGCCCTGGCCAGAACTTCTAACACTATGTTGAGTAGGAGTGGCGAGAGAGGGCATCCTTATCTTATGCCAGTTTTCAAAGGGAATGTTTCCAGTTTTTGCCCATTCAGTATAATATTGGATGTGGGTTTGTCATAGATAGCTCTTATTATTTTGAGATATGTTCCATCAATACCTAGTTTTTATTTATTTATTTATTTATTTATTTATTTATTTATTTTTTCTTTCCCTCCCCCTCCCCCCTCCCCACCACAGTCCCCAGAGTGTGATATTCCCCTTCCTGTGTCCATGTGATCTCATTGTTCAATTCCCACCTATGAGTGAGAATATGCGGTGTTTGGTTTTTTGTTCTTGCGATAGTTTACTGAGAATGATGGTTTCCAATTTCATCCATGTCCCTACAAAGGACATGAACTCATCATTTTTTATGGCTGCATAGTATTCCATGGTGTATATGTGCCATATTTTCTTAATCCAGTCTATCATTGTTGGACATTTGGGTTGGTTCCAAGTCTTTGCTATTGTGAATAATGCCGCAATAAACATACGTGTGCATGTGTCTTTATAGCAGCATGATTTATAGTCATTTAGGTATATACCCAGTAATGGGATGGCTGGGTCAAATGGTATTTCTAGTTCTAGATCCCTGAGGAATCGCCACACTGACTTCCACAATGGTTGAACTAGTTTACAGTCCCACCAACAGTGTAAAAGTGTTCCTATTTCTCCACATCCTCTCCAGCACCTGTTGTTTCCTGACTTTTTAATGATTGCCATTCTAACTGGTGTGAGATGATATCTCATAGTGGTTTTGATTTGCATTTCTCTGATGGCCAGTGATGACGAGCATTTTTTCATGTGTTTTTTGGATGCATAAATGTCTTCTTTTGAGAATTGTCTGTTCATGTCCTTCGCCCACTTTTTGATGGGGTTGTTTGTTTTTTTCTTGTAAATTTGTTTGAGTTCATTGTAGATTCTGGATATTAGCCCTTTGTCAGATGAGTAGGTTGTGAAAATTTTCTCCCATTTTGTAGGTTGCCTGTTCACTCTGATGGTAGTTTCTTTTGCTGTGCAGAAGCTCTTTAGTTTAATTAGATCCCATTTGTCAATTTTGGCTTTTGTTGCCATTGCTTTTGGTGTTTTGGACATGAAGTCCTTGCCCACGCCTATGTCCTGAATGGTAATGCCTAGGTTTTCTTCTAGGGTTTTTATGGTTTTAGGTCTAACGTTTAAATCTTTAATCCACCTTGAATTGATTTTTGTATAAGGTGTAAGGAAGGGATCCAGTTTCAGCTTTCTACATATGGCTAGGCAGTTTTCCCAGCACCATTTATTAAATAGGGAATCCTTTCCCCATTGCTTGTTTTTCTCAGGTTTGTCAAGGATCAGATAGTTGTAGGTATGCGGCGTTATTTCTGAGGGCTCTGTTCTGTTCCATTGATCTATATCTCTGTTTTGGTACCAGTACCATGCTGTTTTGGTTACTGTAGCCTTGTAGTATAGTTTGAAGTCAGGTAGTGTGATGCCTCCAGCTTTGTTCTTTTGGCTTAGGATTGACTTGGCGATGCAGGCTCTTTTTTGGTTCCATATGAACTTTAAAGTAGTTTTTTCCAATTCTGTGAAGACAGTCATTGGTAGCTTGAGGGGGATGGCATTGAATCTGTAAATTACCTTGGGCAGTATGGCCATTTTCACGATATTGATTCTTCCTACCCATGAGCATGGAATGTTCTTCCATTTGTTTGTATCCTCTTTTATTTCCTTGAGCAGTGGTTTGTAGTTCTCCTTGAAGAGGTCCTTCACATCCCTTGTAAGTTGGATTCCTAGGTATTTTATTCTCTTTGAAGCAATTGTGAATGGGAGTTCACTCATGATTTGGCTCTCTGTTTGTCTGTTGTTGGTGTATAGGAATGCTTGTGATTTTTGTACATTGATTTTGTATCCTGAGACTTTGCTGAAGTTGCTTATCAGCCTAAGGAGATTTTGGGCTGAGACGATGGGGTTTTCTAGATATACAATCATGTCGTCTGCAAACAGGGACAATTTGACTTCCTCTTTTCCTAATTGAATACCCTTTATTTCCTTCTCCTGCCTGATTGCCCTGGCCAGAACTTCCAACACTATGCTGAATAGGAGTGGTGAGAGAGGGCATCCCTGTCTTGTGCCAGTTTTCAAAGGGAATGCTTCCAGTTTTTGCCCATTCGGTATGATATTGGCTGTGGGTTTGTCATAGATAGCTCTTATTATTTTGAAATACGTCCCATCAATACCTAATTTATCGAGAGTTTTTAGCATGAAGGGTTGTTGAATTTTGTCAAAGGCTTTTTCTGCATCTATTGAGATAATCATGTGGTTTTTGTCTTTGGCTCTGTTTATATGCTGGATTACATTTATTGATTTGCATATATTGAACCAGCCTTGCATCCCAGGGATGAAGCCCACTTGATCATGGTGGATAAGCTTTTTGATGTGCTGCTGGATTTGGTTTGCTAGTATTTTATTGAGGATTTTTGCATCAATGTTCATCAAGGATATTGGTCTAAAATTCTCTTTTTTGGTTGTGTCTCTGCCTGGCTTTGGTATCAGAATGATGGTGGCCTCATAAAATGAGTTAGGGAGGATTCCCTCTTTTTCTATTGATTGGAATAGTTTCAGAAGGAATGGTACCAGTTCCTCCTTGTACCTCTGGTAGAATTCGGCTGTGAATCCATCTGGTCCTGGACTCTTTTTGGTTGGTAAACTATTGATTATTGCCACAATTTCAGCTCCTGTTATTTGTCTATTCAGAGATTCAACTTCTTCCTGGTTTAGTCTTGGGAGAGTGTATGTGTCAAGGAATGTATCCATTTCTTCTAGATTTTCTAGTTTATTTGCGTAGAGGTGTTTGTAGTATTCTCTGATGGTAGTTTGTATTTCTGTGGGATCAGTGGTGATATCCCCTTTATCATTTTTTATTGTGTCTATTTGATTCTTCTCTCTTTTTTTCTTTATTAGTCTTGCTAGCGGTCTATCAATTTTGTTGATCCTTTCAAAAAACCAACTCATGGGTTCATTGATTTTTTGAAGGGTTTTTTGTGTCTCTATTTCCTTCAGTTCTTCTCTGATTTTAGTTATTTCTTGCCTTCTGCTAGCTTTTGAATGTGTTTGCTCTTGCTTTTCTAGTTCTTTTAATGTGATGTTAGGGTGTCAATTTTGGATCTTTCCTGCTTTCTCTTGTGGGCATTTAGTGTTATAAATTTCCCTCTACACACTGCTTTGAATGCGTCCCAGAGATTCTGGTATGTTGTGTCTTTGTTCTCGTTGGTTTCAAAGAACATCTTTATTTCTGCCTTCATTTCGTTATGTACCCAGTAGTCATTCAGGAGCAGGTTGTTCAGTTTCCATGTAGTTGAGGGGCTTTGAGTGAGATTCTTAATCCTGAGTTCTAGTTTGATTGCACTGTGGTCTGAGAGATAGTTTGTTATAATTTCTGTTCTTTTACATTTGCTGAGGAGAGCTTTACTTCCAACTATGTGGTCAATTTTGGAATAGGTGTGGTGTGGTGCTGAAAAAAATGTATATTCTGTTGATTTGGGGTGGAGAGTTCTGTAGATGTCTATTAGGTCCACTTGGTGCAGAGCTGAGTTCAATTCCTGGGTATCCTTGTTGACTTTCTGTCTCGTTGATCTGTCTAATGTTGACAGTGGGGTGTTAAAGTCTCCCATTATTAATGTGTGGGAGTCTAAGTCTCTTTGTAGGTCACTCAGGACTTGCTTTATGAATCTGGGTGCTCCTGTACTGGGTGCATATATATTTAGGATAGTTAGCTCCTCTTGTTGAATTGATCCCTTTACCATTATGTAATGGCCTTCTTTGTCTCTTTTGATCTTTGTTGGTTTAAAGTCTGTTTTATCAGAGACTAGGATTGCAACCCCTGCCTTTTTTTGTTTTCCATTTGCTTGGTAGATCTTCCTCCATCCCTTTGTTTTGAGCCTATGTGTGTCTCTGCACGTGAGATGGGTTTCCTGAATACAGCACACTGATGGGTCTTGACTCTTTATCCAACTTGGCAGTCTGTGTCTTTTAATTGGAGCATTTAGTCCATGTACATTTAAAGTTAATATTGTTATGTGTGAATTTGGTCCTGTCATTATGATGTTAGCTGGTGATTTTGCTCGTTAGTTGATGCAGTTTCTTCCTAGTCTCGATGGTCCTTACATTTTGGCATGATTTTGCAGCGGCTGGTACTGGTTGTTCCTTTCCATGTTTAGCGCTTCCTTCAAGAGCTCTTTTAGGGCAGGCCTGGTGGTGACAAAATCTCTCAGCATTTGCTTGTCTGTAAAGTATTTTATTTCTCCTTCACTTATGAAGCTTAGTTTGGCTGGATATGAAATTCTGGGTTGAAAATTCTTTTCTTTAAGAATGTTGAATATTGGCCCCCACTCTCTTCTGGCTTGTAGGGTTTCTGCCGAGAGATCCGCTGTTAGTCTGATGGGCTTCCCTTTGAGGGTAACCCGACCTTTCTCTCTGGCTGCCCTTAACATTTTTTCCTTCATTTCAACTTTGGTGAATCTGACAATTATGTGTCTTGGAGTTGCTCTTCTCGAGGAGTATCTTTGTGGCGTTCTCTGTATTTCCTGAATCTGAACGTTGGCCTGCCTTGCTAGATTGGGGAAGTTCTCCTGGATAATATCCTGCAGAGTGTTTTCCAACTTGGTTCCATTCTCTGCATCACTTTCAGGTACACCAATCAGATGTAGATTTGGTCTTTTCACATAGTCCCATATTTCTTGGAGGCTTTGCTCATTTCTTTTTATTCTTTTTTCTCTAAACTTCCCTTCTCGCTTCATTTCATTCATTTCATCTTCCATTGCTGATACCCTTTCTTCCAGTTGATCGCATCGGCTCCTGAGGCTTCTGCATTCTTCATGTAGTTCTCGAGCCTTGGTTTTCAGCTCCATCAGCTCCTTTAAGCACTTCTCTGTATTGGTTATTCTAGTTATACATTCTTCTAAATTTTTTTCAAAGTTTTCAACTTCTTTGCCTTTGGTTTGAATGTCCTCCCATAGCTCAGAGTAATTTGATCGTCTGAAGCCTTCTTCTCTCAGCTCGTCAGAATCATTCTCCATCCAGCTTTGTTCCGTTGCTGGTGAGGAACTGCATTCCTTTGGAGGAGGAGAGGCGCTCTGCGTTTTAGAGTTTCCAGTTTTTCTGTTCTGTTTTTTCCTCATCTTTGTGGTTTTATCTACTTTTGGCCTTTGATGATGGTGATGTATAGATGGGTTTTCGGTGTGGGTGTCCTTTCTGTTTGTTAGTTTTCCTTCTAACAGACAGGACCCTCAGCTGCAGGTCTGTTGGAATACCCTGCCGTGTGAGTGTCAGTGTGCCCCTGCTGGGGGGTGCCTCCCAGTTAGGCTGCTCGGGGGTCAAGGGTCAGGGACCCACTTGAGGAGGCAGTCTGCCCGTTTTCAGATCTCCAGCTGTGTGCTGGGAGAACCACTGCTCTCTTCAAAGCTGTCAGACAGGGACATTTAAGTCTGCAGAGGTTACTGCTGTCTTTTTGTTTGTCTGTGCCCTGCCCCCAGAGGTGGAGCCTACAGAGGCAGGCAGGCCTTCTTGAGCTGTGGTGGGCTCCACCCAGTTCGAGCTTCCCGGCTGCTTTGTTTACCTAAGCAAGCCTGGGCAATGGCGGGCGCCCATCCCCCAGCCTCGCTGCCGCCTTGCAGTTTGATCTCAGACTGCTGTGCTAGCAATCAGTGAGATTCCGTGGGCGTAGGACCCTCCAAGCCAGGTGTGGGATATAGTCTCGTGGTGCGCCATTTTTTAAGCCGGTCTGAAAAGCGCAATATTCGGGTGGGAGTGACCCGATTTTCTAGGTGCGTCGGTCACCCCTTTCCTTGACTCGGAAAGGGAACTCCCTGACCCCTGGCGCTTCCCAGGTGAGGCAATGCCTCGCCCTGCTTCGGCTCGCCCACGGTGCGCGCACCCACTGGCCTGCGCCCACTGCCTGGCACTCCCTAGTGAGGTGAACCCGGTACCTCAGATGGAAATGCAGAAATCACCCGTCTTCTGCGTCGCTCACGCTGGGAGCTGTAGACCAGAGCTGTTCCTATTCGGCCATCTTGGCTCCTCCCCCCGGAAGCCCAATACCTAGTTTATTGAGAGTTTTTAGCATGAAGTGCTGTTGAATTTTATCTAAGACCTTTTCTGCATCTATTGAGATAATCATGTCGTTTTTGTCATTGGTTTTGTTTATGTGATGGATTATGTTTATTGATTTGCATATGTTGAACAAGCCTTGCATCCCAGGGATTAAGCCAACTTGATCGTGATGGATAAGCTTTTTGATGTGCTGCTGGATTTGGTTTGCTGGTATTTTATTGAGGATTTTCACATGAATGTTCGTCAGGGATATTGGTCTAAAATTCTCTTTTTTTGTTGTGTCTCTGCCAGGCTTTGGTATCAGGATGATGCTGGCCTCATAAAATGAGTTAGGCAGGATTCCCTCTTTTTCTATTGTTTGGAATTGTTTCAGAAGGAATCGTACCAGTTCCTCTTTGTACCTCTGGTAGAATTCGTTTGTGAATCTGTCCGGTCCTGGACTTTTTTTGGTTGGTAGACTATTAATTATTGCCTCAATTTCAGATCATGTTATTAGTCTATTCGGAGATTAAACTTCTTCCTGGTTTAGTTTTGGGAGGGTGTTTGTGTCCAGGAGTTTATCCATTTCTTCTAGATTTTCTAGTTTATTTGCGTAGAGGTGTTTATAGTATTCTCTGATGGTAGTTTGTATTTCTGTGGGATTGGTGGTGACATCCCCTTTATCTTTTTTTTATTGCGTTTATTTGATTCTTCTCTCTTTTCTTCTTTATTAGTCTTGCTGGCAGTCTATCAATTTTGTTGGTCTTTTCAAAAAACCAGCTCCTGGATTCACTGATTTTTTGAAGGGTTGTTTGTGTCTCTGTCTCTTTCAGTTCTGCTCTGATCTTAGTTATTTCTTGCCTTCTGCTAGCCTTTGAACATGTTTGCTCTTGCTTCTCTAGTCTTTTAGTTGTGATGTTAGGGTGTTGATTTAGATCTTTCCTGCTTTCTCTTGTGGGCATTTAGTGCCAAAAATTTCCCTCTACAGACTACTTTAAATGCATCCCAGAGATTCTGGTATGTTGTGTCTTTGTTCTCACTGGTTTCAAAGAACATCTTTATTTCTGCCTTCATTTTGTTATTTTCCCAGTAGTCATTCAGGAGCAGGTTGTTCAGTTTCCATGTAGTTGTGTGGTTTTGAGTGAGTTTCTTAATTCTGAGTTCTAATTTGATTGCACTGTGGTCTGAGAGACAGTTTGTTGTGATTTCTGTTCTTTTACATTTGCTGAGGAGTGCTTACTTCCAATTATGTGGTCAATTTTAGAATAAGTGTGATGTGGTGCTGAGAAAAATGTATATTCTGTTGATTTTGGGTGGAGAGTTCTATAGGTGTCTATTAGGTCCGCTTGGTCCAGAGCTGAGTTCAAGTCCTGGATATCCTTGTTAATCTTCTGTCTCGTTGATCTGTCTAATATTGACAGTGGGGTGTTAAAGTCTCCCATTATTATTGTGTGTCTCTTTGTAGGTCTCTAAGGACTTGCTTTATAAATCTCGGTGCTCCTGTATTGGGTGCATATATATTTAGGATAGTTAGCTCTTCTTATTGAATTGATCCCTTTACCATTATGTAATGGCCTTCTTTGTCTCCTTTGATCTTTGTTTGTTTAAAGTCTGTTTTATCAGAGACTAGGATTGCAACTCCTGCTTTTTTTTGCTTTCCATTTGCTTGGTAGATCTTCCTCCATCCCTTTGTTTTTAGCCTATGTGAGTCTCTGCATGTGAGATGGATCTCCCAAACACAGCACACTGACGGGTCTTGACTCTATCCAATTTGCCGGTCTGTGTCTTTTAACTGGGGGCATTTAGCCCGTTTACATTTAAGGTTAATAATGTTATTTGTGAATTTGATCCTGTCATTATCATGTTAGCTGGTTATTTTGCCCGTTAATTGATGCAGTTTCTTTATAGCATTGATGGTCTTTACAATTTGGCATGTTTTTGCAGTGGCTGGTACCGGTTGTTCCTTTCCATGTTTAGTGCTTCCTTCAGGAGCTCTTATAAGACAGGCCTGGTGGTGACAAAATCTCTCAGCATTTGCTTGTCTGTAAAGGATTTTATTTCTCCTTCACTTACGAAGCTTATCTTGGCTGGATATGAAATTCTGGGTTGAAAATTGTTTTCTTTAAGAATGTTGAATATTGGCCCCCACTCTCTTCTGGCTTGTGGAGTTCCTGCAGAGAGATCCACTGTTAGTCTGATGGGCTTCCCTTTGTTGGTAACCTGACCTTTCTCTCTGGCTGCCCTTAACATTTTTCCCCTCATTTCAACCTTGGTGAATCTGATGATTATGTGTCTTGTGGTTGCTCTTTTTGAGGAGTATCTTTGTGGTGTTCTCTGTATTTCCTGAATTTGAATGTTGGCCTGCCTTGCTAGGTTGGGGAAGTTCTCCTGGATAGTATCCTAAAGAGTGTTTTCCAACTTGGTTCCATTCTCCCCATCACTTTTAGGTATGCCAATCAAACGTAGATTTGGTCTTTTCACATAGTCCCATGTTTCTTGGAGGCTTTGTTCATTTCTTCTTACTTTTTTTCTCTGATCTTGTCTTCTCACTTTATTTCAATAATTTGATCTTCAATCACGATACCTACAGTGTTCTGTGTTTAAAGGGTCCCTGCACTTGGCTTAGTGCTCAACTGTCACTGTTTTGAAACTGCTAATCATTTTAACAAGGAGATCTGCATTTTTATTAGTACCAGGTCCCACAAATTTTGTAGCTGGTCCTGCTTTTGTCTAACAATGATGACTGGTAATATTTCTTTTTCTGAAGACAAAATTGGTCAGAACACAATGTTTGAATGGCTAAGAAGAAATCAGAAGTGTTCTAATATATGACTTTTTTGACAGTTATAGCCTTCCACATGCTACGATTATTTATGTATCTACATTATGTCTTCTATTACACTGGGGACTTCTGAGAGGACAAAGTATGTTCCCACAGCATATTTCTATTGTCTGTCTGTCTCTTTCTCTATCCATCCATTTGTCTAACTGCATATTAACAGTTGATATAATCTCATTTGATCTTCATCTAAACCCTGTAGGTGTTATTGTTGTTATTATTATTACCGTTATTATGTACTTATTATTACTGAAAACTGTGGCTCAGGGAGGTTATATGTCTAAGTCCACTCCCTTCATTATAATGAAGTTAGTGTTAGAACATAGAGTGACATGAATAGCAGCAGCTTCTTCTTCTTCTTCTTCTTCTTTTTTCATAATGCTTTCAATTTTCTAAGGTGCTTCTATAATCATTTCAGAAATTATAACTTTTATTGCACCAATGAAGAAACAGACTCAGAGATTTTGACAGATTGTTCAAAGCATAGTCATAATAATTTGCAGGCTCAAAGTTTGATCCAAGCTTAACTCCATCGACTGTTTTACAGTTCCAGGGGAAAAAATGAGGTACAACCAAAGTGTTCTAGTTTACATCAACAGATTTTTGCAAATGGTACATTTGTGCTAGTAAATTTTCTTGAGAGGGAGGACTAGAAGATACTACCTGCTTCTTTTTCTCTGTACAATTTTATCTATCTTAAAAATGTTTCTTCAGGTGCATTCTGGCTGCCACAAAATCTCTACAAACATTGTTAAAATAGTTTCAGCTAGTCTAATACAAACGTATTTGAAAACATAACCGGCAGGTACACTCAGTATCTTGAGAGTTCATGAGCAATGAAAATAATTATAAGAGTTATATACACAAGTCAGGTTGCTTAAGTATTTAAGCAAATATGTAATTATCTCATTAGTTTTAAAACAAATATTTCTGATTAATAATTGAAACAGGGCTCTAGTTGAAAAACACTAAAATTTGGGGGAAGAAAGTGAGATACTGGAAGGAAACACCTTGATTAAATTTTAATTTTCTGAAATCAAGATATAATTTAAAAACTGTTCTGAAATATTTAAACACTGTAACTTGAAACTCCTTCAGCCTCTATGTGGACAAATAAAATTGGCTAGTTTCAGAATTCCTTTACAGGAATAACTTTTCTCTATTGTCCTATAATGATATTCTCTAATCTCCTCAATGAAATAATTTTGTTTTGTTAAAAAATGTGGTCTCTGTTTTAAGAAGTAGAGTCAATTTTCAAGCTGATAATTTATCTGATATTATTACTATAAAGTAATTTGACAAAAGAATTTGGCATAATGAGCAAGGCTTGCTGAGAAATAAGATCAATATTCTCCATTATGGAAAGAGGAGAATAATTGTTTCACTTAGCTACAAAATGAAGAGATGGAAAACTGCATGTGATTAGAGGAAATTAGTCACTACCTGTTTCTCTTCTTCCTCATAGAGAAAGATTTTGGTTAGAAGTAGCAGAGTGAATCAGAAATCTGGTATGTGATGCCAGCGTGGGAATGCTTTTTTTTTTTTTTTTCTGTTTTCTTAGGTTCACTGAATGAGGCTCTGTAAATTAAAGTGACAGAAGACAGCTTAACAGGAGAGAAGGTTTGTTACATGTAAACATGCATGGCTTCACAGAAGAGAAGAGAAAACCCAAAGAACTGGTTAGACATGGGAGGTTCTATGTCATTTTTACAAAGAGTAATAAATCATGGAGAAGTAATTAGACAAAGGAACAGGGGGCTTAGTTTTCTAAGGGAGTTAAATTTTGGAGAGGTAAATATATAAGGGAAATTGATGGAAGATAAGGGTTGTCTTAGCCTGTTTGGGCTGTTATAACAAAAATGCCATAAACTGGGTAGCTTATAAACAACAGCAATTTATTCTTACAGTTCCGGAGGCTGAGAAGTTTAAGATCAAGGTGCTGGCAGATTTGATGTCTGGTGAAGGCTCACGTCCTGGTTAACAATGGCTGTTTTCTCACTGTAACCTCACGTGGAGGAAAGAGTGAATGCGCTTTCTGGGGTTTCCTTGTAAGGGCATTATTTCCATTCATGAGGGATCCGACCTCATGACCTAATAATCTAACACCATCACCTTAGGAATTTGAATTTCAACAGATAAATTTTGGGGGGACAAAAACTTTCAGACCACAGCAGAGTTATTTAGCAAGAGTTGTTACACAGGCTCCAGTTGTTGCCTTCTCCATTGATAAGAGTTGTCTCTGGTGATTAACAGCATCCTTCTCTTCCTGGTGTGGGAGGGGGAGACACTTTTATAAATGGATATTTACATTGCCTTTACAAAGGGAAATTTACACCCTGCTTTTAGACAGAAAGGAGGAAGGCAGAGAGCTTTTCCTGCACCTGCTATTGCTTAATTATCTTCAGCTCAAAATAATCCTTATGATAAAGTGGTATATTTTGGAGTGGCATACTCTAATTCCTGCCACCAGCATATATTTATAGAATATTTTTACCTGTGACTTCTCATCAGGGCCAGCTTCATGGCCATGTGACCTGTGTAGTCTCACGAGGCTCCACATGGGGAAGGACCTTGTGCTTATAATTGTTTCACTGCTGTGCCTTCGTTGTTTTGAAATTCTTAATAATTTATCAGTAAGGAACTTTGCTTTTCATTTTGCAGTGGGGCTCAAACTATGTGGCTACAAGCCATGTGACCAGTTCTCTCTGTGATGCTGCTAAGCCTGTTTAGCAACCTCTAGGTGGAAACCCCAAACTGCCATCACGGCCGGGCCACTCCTGGTTTTCCACTCTGAGCACAGGCTTTGCTTCCTACTTCATCAGGTGTGGTAAGCCTGAGTTCCCAACACATGTCTAAAAGTTACCTGGGCTGGGTGTAGTGGCTTACACCTCTAATCCCAGCACTTTGGGAGGCCTTGGTGGGAGGATCGCTTGAGCCCAGGAGTTCAAAACCAGCCTAGGCAACATAGCAAGATCCCATCTCTACAAAAAATAAAAAATTAGCCAGGTGTGGTGGCGCACACTTGTGGTCCTGGCTTGCGAGGCTGAGGTGGGAGGATCACTTGAGTCTGGGAGGTTGAGGCTGCAGGGAGCCATAATTGTGCCACTGCAGTCCAGCCTGGGGACAGAGTGACAAAAAAATAATTAAAAAGTTATCTGCATGCTTATCTCTGTCTTTTTCTCTGGAAAAAAAGATATATATATATATACATGTATATATATATATACGTATATACGTGTATATATATACACGTGTATATATATATACACACACACATATATATATATTTTCATTTGGGCTACGGAAGCCTCAACTTGTCCCACTTTCTCCAGAACCTTCTTCCATCAATTTTTTTCCTCTCCTAGGTCTTCAGCCTTTCTCTTTTCATTGGTTCCTTCTCTAAACAGATGCTTTATGAGGAGTGCTCTTGTTGGGCACTGGTAAAATGGTTTAACCACTGGACAGCTTTTATAGTGTACTACGCTGTTTTTGCATTGCTATAAAGAAATAGCTCAGACTGGCTAATTTACACAAAAAGAGGCTTAATTGTCTCTCGTTTCTGCAGGCTATACGGGAAACATATTGCTAGCTTCTGCTTCTAGGTAGGACTCAGGAAACTTATGGTGGAAGGTGAAGGAAAATCAGGTATGTCACGTGGCAGGAGTTGGAGCAAGAGGCGGGCAGGGGTGGGTGGGTGCCACGCTTTTTTTTTTTGAGATGGAGTCTGGCTCTGTCGCCCAGACTGGGTGCAGTGGCATGATCTTGGCTCGCTGCAGCCAGAACCTCCAGGGTTCAAACGATTCTCCTGCTTCAGCCTCCTGAGTATCTGGGATTAGGCACCTGCCACCATGGCCCGCTAGTTTTTCTAGTTTTAATAGAGATGGGGTTTCATCATGTTGGCCAGGCTGGTCTCAAACTCCTGACCTCAGCTGATCTGCCTGCCTTGGCCTCCCAAAGTGCTGGGATTACTGGCATGAGGGGTGTCACACTTTTAAACAACCAGGTTGCATGAGAAATGACTCACTATCACAAGTCATGAGGGACCCACCCTCATGACCCAAACACCTTCCACCAGGCCCCATTTCCAACATTGGGGATTACCTTTCAACATGAGATTTGGGTGAGGACACACATCCAAACTCTATCATATAGTATCCACTTGTCTTATGGAAACATATTCTTTAAACCCAAAGGAGGGGATGCAGCTGCCCTGGATAGTGGTTAACAGTTTGGACTTCGTGGAGTCCAAAGCTCAGCTCTGCTATTTACTAACTGTGTGGCCTTGGGCATGTTACTTAACGTCCCTATGCCTCTGTTTTCTTATGAATAATATGAATAATAATAGTCCCTACTTCAAAGGGCTGTTAGGAGAATAGAATGAAATTTGTTTAGAACAGTGTTTGGCATGTAGTAAGCACTATTTAAATTATTACTCCTTTCTTCAGCTCCACTGTCTTTCTCCTGCCCATTTCTTCATATCAAAGGATGATGTGTAGGGGAAACCAGAATACTGTTCTGCTTGTCAAAGAAATTACAAAACATTTGGAAATACGTGAAAAAGATGGGCATTGTGTCCCTTTAGTGTCAGAGCTTTTGTCTTCAGCTGTGGTTCCTCAGCTGTCAAATCTGGATAAGAGAGAAGATACCATTCAGCATCTTGCACACTCCTCTTAAAAATTATTACTAAACAAAAATGAAAGCATTCTGTTACAAGCGCTGCCAAATACATGCTGAACTTGTCAGCCTGTAGCATCTTCTTTGGGGAGGGGTGAGGGAAATTTGGGGAATGCTGTACATGGATATCACCAAAGGAATCTTCTTTTGATCTCGCCCACCGCCCCCACAAAAAACCCAGAGACTATGAAGGTAATACATCTTTAACATCAAAAATGGAAAATGTCAGCATCTTCCAAATTTCTGTTTTCCCACCAAGCAGAGGACAGAGTCATTAGTTTTCCTGTTAAAATTGTACTTGCTTGTTTTTTTTGTTTTTGGAGAAACATTTTGTTCCTTGGGTGAAATCTTCTGAAACATTGTCTGGGGCAGTTTAATATCATCAAAATCAATACAGTTGTCTAAGTCAGAAAACTAGGCTGTATCTAAGTTTCACGTGCATCCCTATAACCTCACCTCTTTGCTATCCTTCTAATTGTCTCATTCTATTGATTTTTAGCTCCAATCTCTCATACCTACCACTTCTCCTAAATCTAGTTTAAGCCCTTTCCTATCTCAGTGGCTCTCAACACTAGTAGGGCATTAAAACTTTCCTGATCTTTATTTCTATGCACATATACACACACATATGTATACACACACACTTATATATACACAAATACACACATATGTACCTGAACTAAATATATCTATTTCTGGGCCCACCTCAGGCCAACCAAACCAGAACCTCTGGGGATGAAGCCCAATATTGTTTCCAGGTTGTTGTTCTCATGTTCATCCAGGGCTGAGGACTGCTGACTTTTTTAGACAGTGCAGTCACTGCTTTGCAGTTCCCACTGGGTCTGTTCACCTTCTTCTAATGGATCCCAATACTGACTCAGAATAATTTCCTGGTAGATAAACCGAATCATGCTCTGCTGTGTGTAATCACCTCTGTGATTCCCTTTCCACATAGGTTATAATCTAAGCTTTTTAGCTTGGCAGACAAGATCCTTCACGATTCTTCCAAAGCCTTCGTGTCCACTCCACTCTCACTGTTGCATCAGTAGCACTGTATACTTTACATCAAAATGCTCATAGGTTTCTTCAGCACCAGATTTTCAAGTTTCTGGCCCCTTTTACTTTGTTCTTCTTGCTAGAATGTCTAGGGGGTTGGTGCATCATTCAAGGGTACACCCTCTTAAAGGCTTCTTTTCCTTCATTAGTTTTTTTTTTTTTTTCTGGTGCAGTTTCACTCTTGTTGCCCAGGCTGGAGTGCAATGGTGCAATATTAGCTCACAGCAACCTCCACTTCCTGGGTTCAAGAGATTCTCCAGCCTTGCCTCCTGAGTAGCTGGGATTACAAACATGTGCCACCACGCCCAGTTAATTTTGATTTTTTTTTTTTTTTTTTTACTGGAGATGGGGTCTCACCATGTTGGTCAGGCTGGTCTCGAACTCCTGACTTCAGGTGATCCAGCTGCCTGAGCCTCCCAAAGTGCTGGGATTACAGGCATGAGCCACTGTGCCCAGCTCATTAGACACTCCTTCTCACTTGCTATCATTTCACCTTGTTCACACATGTCCCAACCCCTACCTATGTTATATAACAAAGACGATGCTAACTTGAGAGTATTATGAATGCTCAGGTTTCAGTCTGTCTCTGCTATATCATTTGCTGCTCCACAAGAATTCTTATCTTGAAATGTACCTGGCATGTAATAGGTGCTTAAGTAAAGTCTGCCGACTAATAAATGTGCATGAAATTACATCAGAACATAGAGTGTGAAAAATGATAATCATGGGGAGTGGGAATAATGACAATGCATATACAAAGTCTGGTTCCTTTTTCTATCTTCTAAGGTAGCCTGAAACCCAGAGAGGCAAGTGACCCTTTAAAGGACATTTTGACATCAGCTAAAGGGGATGGGAAAGATAGAGGCAGAGTCAGCTTTCTTTAAGACGGCACAGTGCTGGTGCCTTCTTCCTTCCTCTCTACTCCCCACAACCAGAGTGATAGCTGCATCCATCCAACAATGATGACCACATTGATGACATGTTCAGGCTGTCCAGGATAGAACCAGTTTACATCTTTTTTTTTTGTTTTTTTGAGACGGAGTCTCGCTCTGTCACCCAGGCTGGAGTGCAGTGGCACAATCTTGGCTCACTGCAAGCTCTGCCTCCCGGGTTCATGCCATTCTCCTGCCTCAACCCCCAGAGTAGCTGGGACTACAGGAGGCAGCCATCATGCCCAGCTAATTTTTTTTTTGTTTTTAGTAGAGACGGGGTTTCACTGTGTTAGCCAGGATGGTCTCTATCTCTCGATATTGTGATCCGCCCGCCTCAGCCTCTCAAAGTGCTGGGATTACAGGCATGAGCCACCATGCCCAGCCTACATCTATTTCTTAACATACTAAAATTATTAACAGTGTCCCCTTAGGGCTCTCAAAAGTATCGTGGTTTGGGTAACACATTACATATATGCTCCAATTCAAGTTTAGTTTATAGAAGATCAATTTGCTATGTTATGTTGACTGAGTCATTTGGTGTGCATGATTACTGTCTTAGTTTGTGTTGCTATAACAAGATATATTAGGCTGGGTAATTTATAAATGACAGAAATTTGTTGACCCCAGTTCTGGAGGCTGGAAGTTCAAGATCAAGGTGCCAGCAGATTCAGTGTCTGGTGAGGGCTTGCTCTCTGCTTCAAGATGGCGACTTCTAGTTGTTTCCTTACATGGTAAAAGAGACAAACTCTCCTGGGCCTTTTATGTAAGGGCCCGGGAGACTAATCCCACTTATGAGAGCTCTGACCTCATAACCTAATCGCTTCCCAAAGGTCTCACCTCCCGACACCATTGCACTGGAGATTGAGTTTCAACATATGAACTCTGGGGGGACACAAACATTCAGACTATAGCAAGTACAAATGTAAATATTGTGAATACACGCACCTTAGTCTTTGATACGGTTTGGCTGTGTCCCCACCCAAATCTCATCTTGAATTGTAGATTCCATAATCCCCACCTGCCATGGGAGGGACCTGGTGGGAGGTGATTGAATCATGGGCTTGGGTTTTTCTCATGCTGTTCTCATGATCGTGAATTACTCTCATGAGATCTGATGGTTTTGGAAGGGGGAGTTCCCCTGCACACGCTCTTTTGCCTACTGCCATGTAAGATGTGCCTTTGTTCCTGTTTCACCTTTCACCATAATTGTGAGGCCTCCCCAGCCACATGAAACTGTGAATCCATTAAACCTCTTTTTCTTTATTGATTACCTAGTCTCAGGTATGTCTTTATTAGCAGTGTGAGTACAAACTAATACAGTCTTCTACCCAAAATGGGAAATGAACCAAGTTTCCACATAAGCTGCATGTTCTTTTCTTTTTTCTGATTTTTCATGGTGACAATTATTATGATGTTCATGAACATATTATCAGAAGAAATCAATGAAAATCAGAAACTGACTTCCTTTTTTTTGATTTCTCACTTCCTAAGTACTTCAAAACTGGTAATAAGTTATGCCTATGAATGTCGAAGATTTTGATGTATATTTCATATTATATTTTATATTTAATTTATAATTAAAAGCTTATGCATGACAAAAGAGGTACTGAAACAGTTGCTGTTTAACATATCCATAATGATTTCTCAAGATACGAGGCCTGGAATATGTGTTTTCAATTATCTAAAGGTCAAGAAGAAATGTTTGTGAATAAGGCTCAACTGACAATAAGCTCATAATGAAATACTTAGGACAAGGAAGAAAAGATGAAATTTTATCTTATTTTTTTTGACTTCACAGTGGGGTTGTCTAGTAATTGCATCTTAAGGGTTTGGTTCACTACAGCTAAAAACATTATTGCTTTTAGTATTTGTTAATGTTGACTAAAGCCTAGCTTAGTTATTTTTAATAGAGATTTTTTTGGGGGAATAGAATGAAGGAAATTAATGGTTAAGGTTAAATCTTGGTGAGCTCAGGATAAAGCCACCATTTTAAGCCCAGGGCAGACTTCAGCCTTTGAAGATCAGAGTGAGTAACCATGGAAAGATATAGTGATCTGGTGGCAGGAAATTACAGGGACAACTTTTTAAATTACAGAGACAGTTTTTGAGTGCTTCAGCGTGAAATTGCTAAAACAAACAGTAGTAGCAGGAGTTGCAGTAGTAGTTGCAGCCAACATTTATTTATTTATTTATTTATTTATTTATTTATTTATTTATTTATTTTTGAGACAGAGTTTCACTCTTGTTGCCCAGGCTGGAGTGCAATGGTGCAATTTTGGCTCACCACAACTTCTGCTTCCCGGGTTCAAGCGATTCTCTGCCTCAGCCTCCCGAGTAGCTGGGATTACAGGCATGCGTCACTGTGCCTGGCTAATTTTGTATTTTTAGTAGAGACAGGGCTTCTCCATGTTGGTCAGGCTGGTCTCGAACTCCTGACCTCAGGTGAACTGCCTGCCTCGGCCTCCCAAAGTGCTGGGATTACAGGCATGAGCCACTGTGCCCGGCCAGCCAATATTTATTATGTGATATGCTAACCTTGTTCCAGACATGGGGCTAAGATTTTTATGTGAAATATTTCAGTTAATCCTCGCAACAATTTTATGATATGACTCTATTCTTAACTCTATTTTGCAAGTGAGAAAATCTAGAATTAGTAAATTGTAAAGCCTGGAAAGAAACATCTGTCAATCTGACTGCATCTCTGACAGTACAGTAAATGTTTTTAATAGATGCCTCTTATTGAGTAGTTACTATGTGATGACTGCTTTAAAATTATTATTATTATTATTGACAGAGGTTGTCATGCTGTTGCCCAGGCTGGAGTGCAGTGGCATGATCGTAACTCACTGCAGCCTCAAATCCCTGGGCTCAAGTGATCCTCCCACCTCGGCCTCCTGAGTAGCTGGGACCACAGGAATGTACCACCACACCAGGCTGAATTTTTAAAATTTTTGCAGAGATGGGGGTCTCACTATGTTGCCCAGGCTGGTCTTGAACTGGTGGCCTCAAGCAATCCTCCCACCTTGACCTCCCAAAGTGCTGGGATTACAGGTACAGGTACAGGCTACTGCATCCAGCCTAAAAATATTTTTAATCTTCATAGTACAAATGTGTTATTCCCATTTTTCCCAGGAGGAAACTGAGCTTTGAAGTGCCTGGATCAGTTTTCTATTACTGAAATAACAAATCACCACAATTTTAGTGGCTTAAAATGACAAAATTTAAAATCTATTCTCTTACCATTCTGGAAGGCAGAAGTTCAAAAATCAATGTTTCAGTAGGGCTGTGTTCCTCCAATCTCTGCTTCCATCATCACGGCTCTGTCTTTGACTCTGACCATCCTACCTTCCTTTAAGGACCTGTGTAATTATACTGAACTTATCTGGATGATCCAGGATAATACTATATCCCCATCTCAAGATCCCTGACTTAATGACATCTATAAAGTCCCTTTTGCTATGTAAAATAACACATTCACAGGTTCTGGGGATTAGGATGTGGACATCTTTGGGGGGCCATTATTCAGCCTATGACAGTGCCTAACTAATTTCCCCCGGGTCACAAAGCTGGTAAGGGTTCAAGGTAAGATTTGGATCTAGATGTCTTCTGGTTCCAAAGTTCAGACTATTTCTGCTCTATCATATTAGCAATGATGTGAGATTCTTTTAGAATGATCTTATCAGTCATTCAAAGAAACAATTCTTGAGATTGTAAAAACAGCCACATACCCTGATAGGTATTGGAAAAATATGAAATGTTTTATGAGTTTGAGTCATTTTTGCACAGGTGCCTTATTAATCTCTGTATTTTTCAAAAGTGCAGGGGATTAAATATTAGATTAAATAATTAATGAATAAGGTAAAATAACTTGCAGAATGGGTATTATTAGGCTCCTTTTTCTTACATTAAACCATTTTTTTTCCTGCTTATTTCTCCCTTCCACAGATTAATTCCAGGTTAAATTTTCAGATAGTGTGCTTTAAAAAAATTTTAATTTTGTTCTCAGATCTGTAAGATGGAAATCTTTCCTGGATAGAGCATAGACATGAACAAAAACCATCTGGTTCTGTCTGTTTTTCAATGTCTATATTTTCTTCCTCCACTCCTGTACCAAAAAAGCAGCACAATGTTTAGAGGTCTTCTATGGATTTTAGAAGGGGACTGTACATCTATTCCAAACCTTTAACTAAGTGTCCTGAAAGGCTGCCAGCCAACTCAGAGCAGGCTCTGGAAGAGACACCTCTTTAGCTGGACCAGGGGATCTGTCATGTATTCTTCATGCCTCTGTAGATTCAAATGTCTATGGCAGATCTGGATGCTGTATGAAGTCTAAGGCAGGCTCTAATTGGGAAATTATATAGAGGCACTTAATAATAGAAATTTGTAGCAAAATCATGCTCTCTTTGACTTTTTTTTTTTTTTTTTCCCTGAGACAGAGTCTCGCTCTGTTGCCCAGGCTGCAGGGCAGTGCATGATCTTGGCTCACTGCAAGCTCCGCCTCTCGGGTTCACGCCATTCTCCCACCTCAGCCTCCTGAGCAGCTGAGACTACAGGCACCCGCCACCATGCCCAGCTAATTTTTTGTATATTTTAGTAGAGACGGGGTCTCACTGTGTTAGCCAGGATGGTCTCGATCTCCTGACCTCGTGATCTGCCCACCTTGGCCTCCCAAAGTGTTGGGATTTCAGGAGTCAGCCACTGCGCCCGGGCTTTTTTTTTTTTTTTTTTTTAATTTCTGTTTTTTTGAAACAGAGACACTCCAACTCTGTTGCCCAGACTGGTGTGTAGTGGTGTGATCATGACTTACTGCAGCCTTGAACTCCTGGGCTCAAGCAATCCTCCTGCAAAAATATTTCGTAGAGATGGGGGACTACATTGTCCAGACTGGTCTTGAACTCCTGGTCTCAGGTTATCCTCCTGCCTCTGACTCTCAAAGCACTGGGATTACAAGTGTGAGCCACTGCGCCTGGCTCTTGGACTGTTTTATTTGAGAAGCAGTTCTTGTTTTTTTTCTACTAGAGATTAAATTCCTGGCTATGGTGCTCTAGGTGTTCATAGGATCTGTACTGCCCATCAAAGACTAGGTAATATCTGAAACTAAGCCATAAACTAGAGTGGTTCAGCGGCCCTTTAACATGAAATTGAAATGGTATATTTTAGCTCCAAAAAACCAAATCTAGTTGACTAAGCAGGTAGTTCTCACTCCCAAGATGCCAACTTTTGCTGTACAGCCACATCTCTGCTAAACTCTTGCCTATGATTGCAGAGGAAGTTTCCTTAGATGAGTTAATTAGGAAGAAAAAGAAGGAGCCTTGGCAGGGCGTGGTGGCTCACACCTGTAATCCTAGCACTTTGGGAGGCTGAGGCCGGCGGATCACCTGAGGTCGGGAGTTCGAGATGAGCCTGACCAACATGGAGAAACCCCCTCTCTATTAAAAATACAGAATTACCCGGGTGTGGGGGTGCAAGCCTGTAATCCCAGCTACTCTGGAGGCTGAGGCAGGAGAATCGCTTGAACCCGTGAGCCGAGATTGCGCCATTGCACTCCAGCCTGGGCAACAAGAGTGAAACTCTGTCTCAAAAAAAATAAATAAATAAAAATAAAAATAAAAGGAGCCTCTTTACTGGTGGCTACACATGAACCAGAACTGGACTCTGGCCCAACTGTAGACCTAAGAGGTGGCCCTGAGGGAGGGCTGGGAAGAGAAAGCCTCCTAGTGGGCAAAACATAGAGCAATGTCCAATTTACCTGGAAGGAGAAGTGGCCTGAGAAAGTGGATCCATATCTATTATGTTTTCAGAGACTTTGATGGAATAACTTTGAAGGATTGGTGACAAGTGTGCTTGAGTACTTAGATGCATCTTTTGCCAGATGTCAGAATATTTGCACCCCATGTGTATGCTTATGAGAGGTGACCCACTACAGAAGAGGCTGTCAGTGATCAAGTAGACAAGGGGACTTGTTCTTTTCTGCCCTTCTTCTAGTTACTCCATGTATTAGTCAGTTCTTGCATTGCTATAACGAAATACCTGAGACTGGGTGATTTATAAAGAAAATAGGTTTAATTGGCTCTTGGTTCCACAGGCTGTACAGGAAGCATAGAGCCTTCTGCTTGGCTTCTGGGGAGGCCTCAGGAAACTTTTAATCATGGCGGAAGGTAGAGGAGAAGCAGGAATGTCTTGAACATCTTACACGGCCAGAGCACGAGCAAGAGACAGAGGTGGATAAGTGCCACACACTTTTAAACAACCAGATCTCGTGACTCCTTTATCATGAGAACAACACCAAAGGATTGGTGTTAAACCATTCATGAAGGATTCACCCCCATGATCCAGTCACCTCCCACCAGGCCCCACCTTCAACACTGGGGATTACAACTGGATATGAGATTTGAGTGGGGACACAGATCCAAACCATATTGCCCCAGTGCTTGCTTAATGCACTTAATCATATACAAGATAACACAGAAACTATATCCAAGAGGCATAAAATATGCATGGTTCAACAAAATCAACTTCCTCATACCATAGCTGACATGGCAACCGTCATGGATGAGTGCCCAATTTGCCAACAGCATTAACTGACTCTGAATGGCAATATGCCGTTATGTTTCTAAGACACCAGGAAGCCACTTTGTTGATTTCACTGGGCACAGAGCAACATACAAGAGAAAATAACACTTTCCTGGTAGACTCAAGAATGTATTTTGTATTTCTACTTGCCTTCTTTCATGACTGTGCTTCTGTAGCAGCACTATCTGGGGACTTACCGAATGCCTAATTGTGTTAACCTTCTGTCAATGCCGTAACAACTTACCATACGTTTAGTGGCTGTTGATTATCTCAGAGTTTCTTTGGGTTAGAAGTCCATGCACAGCATGGTTCTGTTGGTTCTCCACTTAGTCTTCCAAGGCTGAAATCAAGTTGTTGACAGGGATGTGCTACTTTCTGGAGGCTCTAGGAGAGAATCTACTTCCATACTCATTCAGGTTGTTGGCAGAATTTAGTTTCAAGCTCTTGTAGGACTGAGGTCCCCATTTCTTTACTGGCTGTCAGCTGGGTCATTCTCAGCTTCTAGAGGTTGTTCACGTTCCCTGGCTTGTGGCCTCTGTCAAAGTCAACAATGGTGGTTTGAGTCCTTCTCATACTTCAAGCCTCTCTGCCTTATTTCTCTAATACTGGTCTTCTGTCACATCTCCTCTACTGACTTTTCTGCCTCCCTCCTCTGCTTTTAAGAGCTAATATAATTACACTGAGCCCAAGTAATCCAGAAAAATCTTGCTATTTTAAGGTCACCTGATCAATAAAATTAATTTCTTTTGCAAAGTCTTTTCTCAGCAGTGCTTGGTGGATTTCACAAGTTTTAGAAATTAGTGCATTATTGAATAATCAGGGGACAGGAATCTTGGGGAGGACATCCTTATAATTCTACCTATAACACCTATCCACTGTCAGGCCACGAGGTTTTTTTCCTAGTACGGTACCTATGATGGTTAATTTTATGTGTCAACTGGGCCATGCAGACATTTGGTCAAACATCATTCTGGGTGTGTCTCGAAGGGTATTTCTGAATGAGGTTAGCATTTAAACTAGTAGTCTGAGTAAAGCAGATTGCTCTCCTCAGTGTGGATGGGCCTCATTCAGTCATTTGTAGGTATGAATAGAACAAAAAGTCTGACCCTTCCTTGAGTAAGGGGGATTTCCTCCTGCCTGACTACTTTTGAACTGGGTCATTGGCCTTTTTCTTCCTTCAGACTAGAACAGAAGCATCAGCTCTTCTTGGGTCTTGAGCTGTTGACCTTTGGACTGTGACTTACACCATCAGCTATCCTGGTTCTCAGTTCTTTAAACTCAGACTAGAACCATTGGCTCTTCTGGGTCTCCAGCTTGCTGACTAGATTCTGGGATTTCTCTGCCTCCACAATAGTGTGAATCAATTCCTTATAAAAAATCTCTCTCTCTCTACACACGCACACATACACACACACACACACAGACACACACATTCTATTGGTCCTTCATTCTGTTTGTCTCTCTCTCTTTTTTTTTTTGACAAGGTCTTGCACTGTTGCCCAGGTTTGAGTGTAGTGGTATCATCATGGCTTACTGCAGCCTGATCCTCCCACCTCAGCCTTTTGAGTAGCTGGGACTACAGATGTGCATCACCATGTCCAGCTAATTTTTCTATTTTTTTGTAGAGATGGGGTTTTGCTATGTTTCCCAGACTGGTCTCAAACTCCTAGGCCCAAGTGATCCTCCTGCCTTGGCCTCCTAAATGCTGGGATTATAGGCATGAGCCACTGTGCCCGGCGAACAATGAAAGAAGGCAATAGGCTTTCAATTGTAAAAGATTCATTGATATTATTATATATTCCACCCACCACCTGAAAAAAATATTCTTATGGAACTGAATCTATTGAAAACTCAATTAGAGTATCATGTAGGTGATAATACTTGCAAGGTTGGAGTGATATCATACATCCATATGCTCTAAATCAGTAGTCAAAATACATTTGTCCAGAAGTCAGAATACAAGGGTCTGAGAATCAAGAGTGCAAATAAGATTGATATATCTTACTGTTCCACCTATTTTATCTTTTAACAATAGTTTACTCTGATTCCCCCAATTCTGGCTTAATTAATTCTTATTTGAAAGCTTTTGTAACCAAATAAAAAGACTTCCCAGAGACATCTACAGACTGAAATATGCACCCGTCCCCAGATAAAAAATATGCTTACACGGATTTGAAATTGAGATTTTCACACCTGAATAGGAACATTTCAGCTGATGACATAACAATAATACCTACCACGTGAGGCAAGTATTATTGAACTAAAATTCAAGAGAGACACCTGCCCATTTTTAAATCCTTCATGCCACCGCGTAACTAGGCACAAAAAAGGGATGCAAAGTTGGCTGAGGGTAAATGAGCCTGTTATTAAAAGGAATGATAGCTACCATTCTGGGAGAGTGTGAGAAAAGTGCCTTGAACCAAGAGATCACTTGGCTTTCTATCAGTATTGCCACATCAGATGGTAAAGATCAAGGGTAAACTGCACGTTCCAAGGTCTCCAATTCTTTTATTAGGAATACAAGTTTGGGTTATTTCACTCAGTAAATAACCCAAGCCAGCTAAGCTGCTGGCTTACAACAGAGGAATCTGGAAGATGTGGAGGAATTGTCTTAACTTGTCAATCGGAGCCTTATGATCACTTGCAGATCTGTATTATCTATTGTGATTTGTGCTCTTGCTCTCTCAATTATTTTTTCTCCTTTAACAACTATTCTACAAACATCCTGTTCTCACAAATATCCTATTTTCTGTAGGATGTACTAGTATTATTTAGCTTTACAAATTAGTCCACAGATTATAGAATGTCATGGTATTCTCTATCATGATATAGATCTAAGGATAATAGCCATAGATCATGTGTCTGTGTATATATACACACACACACACATGGCTATGTCATCCGTATGTTTATAAATCTCATCATATATACATATATGATTTAAAAATTGATTCTCCATTGGGGAGGTGCATCCATTTTCAATTGTAGACGAGAGAGTGGATTATCTTAGTACTTAAATTTATTGCTGCTGTTTACAAGTTTAAATATAGAAGAGGGAATTGGCTGACTTTGGGAACCTAAGTGGGCAAGGGTAGTGTACACTCTCGGGCTTTGTTATTGCCCAGAATCTTTGGAATACCCTAATTTAGTTTGGAAAAATTTCCATATTATATTGGGAAGTTATCCTCCCCAAGATAGATACCAGAAATTAATTTTACCAGCCTCTTTTTGTACTTAGGATATAGGCAATTGCTTCACTAGTGAGGCACTTACGATGTTGATATGAAACAGTAGAAGTTGAAGATCAGATCCCATGCAGAATCCATTCTTTTCTGGCAAAGCAAATGGTGGCATCAGGTTTTTAGGGGAATCGGTGATAAAGATTCTGTTTTAGCGTCTGTACCCAGTTTGCCATCTGAGACATCTCTATGGGGGAAGTTCTACTGATTCGTGTGCTTTTTTTGCCAGTGGCATTTCCAGGATGAACCCACTGGCCCGCTCAAAGGCTGTGAGCCACATAATATATTTGAACAAATTTTATTTTATTTTTTTGTGGTTGCATTCTGTCTTTCTCCTTCTCTCTCTCTCTCCTCTCTCTCTCTCACATCATTTATTCTGGAAGAAGCCAGCTGCCATGTTGCCCTATGGGACGAATCATATGGAAAGGAATTGCGTGTAATCCCAGCACTTTGGGAGGCTGAGGTGGGCAGATTACCTAAGGTCAAGTTTGTTTTTCTGGTTCCTTGAGGTGTGACCTTAGATTATGTGTTTGTGCTCTTTCAGACTTTTTGATGTAGGCCTTTAGGGATATAAACTTACCTCTTAGCACTGCCTTTGCTGTGTCCCAGAGGTTTTGGTAGGTTGTGTCACTATTGTCGTTCAGTTAGAAAAAATTTTAAATTTCCATCTTCATTTCATTTGTGACCCAGTGATCATTCAGGAGCATGTTATTTAATTTCCATGTATTTGCATGGTTTTGAAGGTTCCTTTTGGAGTTGATTTCCAGTTTTATTCCACTGTGGTCTGAGAGTGCCTGATATAATTTCAATTTTCCTAAATTTATATTGTCTATATATTGTGTATAATATTGTCTATCTTGGAGAAAGTTCCATGCACTGTTGAATAGAATGTATATTCTACCGTTGTTGGATGAAATGTTCTGTATATATCTGTTAAGTCCATTTGTTCCAGGGTGTAACTTAAATCCTTTGTTTCTTTGTTGAGTTTCTGTCTGGACCTGTGTAGTGCTGTCAGTGGAGTATTGAAGTCTCCCACTATTATTGTGTTCCTGCCTATCTCATTTCTTAGGTATATTAGTAATTGTTTTATAAATTTGGGAGCTCCAGAGTTAGGTGCATGTATGTTTAGGATTGTGGTATTTTCCTGTTGGACAAGGCTTTTAATCATTATATAATGTTCCTCTTTGTCTTTTTTAACCTCTGTTGCTTTAAAGTTTGTTTTGTTTGATATAAGAATAGCTACTCCTGCTCATTTTTGGTGTCCATTTGCATGGAATATCTTTTTCCATCCCTTTATCTTAAGTTTATGTGAGTCCTTATGTGTTAGGTGAGTCTCTTGAAGGCAGCAGATGGTTTGGTGAATTCTTATTCATTCTGCAATTCTGTATCTTTTAAGTGGAGCATTAGGCCACTTACATTCAATGTTAGTATTGAGATGTGAGGTATCATTCCATTCATCATGCTATTTGTTGCCTGTATGTCTTGTTTTCTTTTTATAATTGTATTTTTGTTTTATAGGTCCTGTGAGATTTATGCTTTAAAGAGGTTCTGTTTTGATGTGTTTCCATGATTTGTTTCAAGATTTAGAGCTCCTTTAAGCAGTTCTTGTAGTGGTGGTTTGGTAGTGTTGAATTATCTCAGCATTTGTTTGTCTGAAAAAGACTGTATCTTTCCTTCATATATGAAGCTTAGTTTTCACTGGATACAAAATTCCTACATGATAATTTTTTTTTTTTTGAGGAAGCTTAAAATAGGGCCTCAATTCCTTCTAGCTTGTAGGGTTTCTGTTGAGAAATCTGCTGTTAACCTGATAGGTTTTCCTTTATAGGTTACCTGGTGATTTTGTCTCACAGCTCTTAAGATTCTTTCCTTTTGTGTCCAGAGTTGGTTCCTTCTGATGGGTTCTTGGTCTCACTGATTTCAAGAATGAAGCCGTGGACCTTCGTGGTGAGTGTTACAGCTCTTAAAGGTGGCATGGACCCAAAGAGTGAGCAGTAGCAAGATTTATTGTGAAGAACAAAAGAACAAAGCTTCCACAGCATGGAAGGGGACCCGAGAAAGTTGCTGCTGCTGGCTGGGGGTGGCCAGCTTTTATTCCCTTATTTGTCCCCACCCATGTCCTGCTTATTGGTCCATTTTACAGAGTGCTGATTGGTCCATTTTATAGAGTGCTGATTGGTCCATTTTACAGAGTGCTGATTGATCCATTTTACAAACCTGTAGCTAGCCACAGAGCACTGATTGGTGCATTTTGCAATCCTAGCTACAGAGTGCTAATTGGTGCATTTTACAATCCTCTTGTAAGACAGAAAAGTTCTCCAAGTCCCCACTCGACCCAGGAAGTTCAGCTGGCTTCACCTCTCACTTTGTCTTAACTTTAGATAACCTGATGACAAAGTGGCTAGGCAATGATCTTTCTGTGATGAATTTTCCAGGTGTTCTTTGTGCTTCTTGTATTTGGATGTCTAGGCTTCTAGCAAGGCTGGGTAAGTTTTTCTTAATTATTCCCCCAACTATGTTTTCCAGACTTTTAGATTTCTCTTCTTAGGTTCCTGTTCTTCAGGAACATGAATTATTCTCAGGTTTGGTCATTTAACATAATCCCAGACTTCTTGGAGGCTTTGTTCATATTTTCTTATGCTTTTATCTTTGTCTTTGTTGGATTGGGTTAATTCGAAGACCCTGTCTTTGAGCTCTGAATTTCTTTCTTCTACTTGTTCAATTCTCTTGCTGAGACTTTCCAGAGTATTTTGCATTTCTATAAGTGTGTCCATTCTTTCCTGAAGTTTTGATTGTTGTTTATTTATGTTACCTATTTCCTTGAATATTTCTGTGTTCACTTCTTGTATCACTTTTTGTAGTTCCTTAGATTGGGCTTCACCTTTCTCTGGTGCCTCCCTGATTAGCTTAATAATTAACCTTCTGAATTCTTTTTCAGGTAAATTGGGGATTTCTACATGGTTTGAGTCCACTGATGGTGAGCTAATGTGATTTTTTTGGAGGTGTTAAAGAATCTCATTTTGTCATATTACCAGAGTTGGTTTTCTGGTTCCTTCTCATTTGGGTAGGCTCTGTCAGAGGGAAGGTCTAGGGCTGAAGGCTGTTGTTCAGATTCTTTTGTCCCATGGGGTGTTGCCTTGATGTAGTACTCTCCCCCTTTTCTTAGGGATGTGGTTTACTGAGAGCTGAGCTGTGGAGATTGTTATCTCTCTCCTGGATCTAGCCATCCAGCAAGTCTACCAGGCTCTGGGCTGGTACTGGGGGTTGTCTGCATAGAGGCCTGTGATGTGAACCGTCTGTGGGTCTCTCAGCCATTGATACCAGCGTATGCTCTGGTGGAGGTGGTGGGGGAGTAAAATGGGCTCTGCGAGGGTACTTGGCTTTGTTGGTTTATTGCACTATTTTTGTGCTGGTTGGCCTCCTGCCAGGAGGTGGTGCTTTCCAGAGAGCATCAGCTGTGGTAGTATGGAGAGAAACAGGTGGTGGGTGGGGGCCCTAGAACTCCCAAGAGTATATGGCCCTTTGTCTGCAGTTACCAGGTTGGGTAGGGAAGGACAATTGTGTGGGGGCAGGGCTGGGCATGTCTGAGCTCAGACTCTGCCTGGGTGGGTCTTGCTTCAGCTGCTGTGGGGAATGAGGATGAGGTTCCCAGGTCAATGGAGTTCTGTTCCTAGGAGGATTATGACTGTCTGTACTGTGTCATGCACAGTAGTGAGTTGTCAGGGAAGCAGGGGAAAGCTGGCAGTCACAGGCCTCACCCAGCTCCCACACAAAATTTGAAGGGCTGGTCTCTCTCCCATCTTGCCCCTTCCCAACAGCACCGAGTCTGTTTGTAGGCAGTGGGTGAGCATGGCTGATAACTTGCCCCAGGTTACCCACCTCCCAGCTGCAAATGCAAATATGGCTTTCCTTCTTACCCCACATGTGGAGTCTGCACATTGGATTCATGCCCTCCCCTGAGTTCTAGCCAGGAAGCTTTTTTTTTTTTTTTTTTTCTGATGGAGTCTTGCCCTGTCACCCAGGCTGGAGTGCAGTGGAGTGATCTGGGCCACTGCAAGCTCCGCCTCCCGGGTTCACACCATTCTTCTGCCTCAGCCTCCCTATTAGCTGGGACTACAGGTGCCCGCTACCACACCCGGCTAATTTTTTTGTATTTCTTTTCAGTGTGTTAGCCAGGATGGTCTCCATCTCCTGACCTCGTGATCCGCCCACCTGGGCTTCCCAAAGTAGGAAGCTTCTTGATGAGTTCAAATTGTTACAGAGTTCAGCTGGAGATTTCCTTCTTCCTGTGACCTCTTCCCAGTGTCTCTGGCTGCTCCCACGAAGGACCCCTGTGAGGCCAGGGAAAAGTGGCTTGCTAGGGGACCCAGTGAACTCCCAGGGCTTTTCCTGCTGCTTCCACTACCCCTGTATTTCACTCAGCTCTCTAAATTGACTCAGCTCCAGGTAAGGTCAAAATCTTCTCCCATATTCTAGACTTTCAGTTTCCCCAGTGGGGGTTGTGTGTTCGGGGGCAGGCAATCTCCCTTTCCCACTTCCACAGTTTGGGCACTCACAATATTTAGGGTGTCTCCCAGGTCCTGCAAGAGCAATTTGCTTTCTTCAGGGGGTCTGTGGATCTTCCCAGTTTTCCTGGTTTATTACTGTAGTTGTTCTGGAGCAAAAATTCATGATACAAGCCTCCACACACTGCTCTGTCTGAGTCAGAGCTGCAGTCTAGTCCTGCTTCCCATCCACAATGATCCCCATGATCCCGATTCACTTTTCAACACCACATGATCAAATGTGTCACATCCTTTAATTTCTCAGGCATTCCACTGAAAAGTTCTTTTTCTATCCCCTTTGTGTTTTCGCTCTTCAGTGTTTTAAGGACAATAATTATGAAGATCATGGGATTAATGACTAAAGTTTCAGTATTTTGATTTTGAGTCAATAGGAAGTATTTAAATGCATCTTTGATAGGAATGTAAAATAGGTCATTTGATAGTATGGCAACACGGACTTGAGTTACCTGCATAGACGTGATATTTGAAGCTGGTTGTGCCTAAGATAATAGGAAAGAAGAAAACAAAGAGAGGCATAAGTAATTAGACTTAGTAGGCCTTTTCATGGACTTGAGGAAAAAGCTAAAAAAGAAGGAGAAGCATTGTTTAAACCACATATTATAATTATAAATTAGAACCCATTCTTTACCAGCACTATTAAAAAGTTTATAGGAATACCAACTGATTTTAAATTGCATCTCTCATTTCTTCTGACCTTTCTAATACAGAAGTTAAGTTGCTAAGTATTGGCAGAGAAAAGGAGAACTTGATATTTATATAGTGCATTTGCTAGGAAATTGGTTACTGGAAAAATCATTTTATTGTTAATTAAGTAGTATTTTAAATGTTTTATTTAGATTGAGTGGGAGTCAGATCTCATTATTGAAAGCTAACTAGTCACTGTTCAAGGATGAAATAATCTCTGGTGAAGCTGAAAATTCTAATTTCCTCACATAGAAAAAAGCACAAGTGATTCTTATTCCTCAGAAAGCCTATCTACTGTGAAAGCATAATTTCAACATTCAAGAAGAGAGAAAGCAGCCCTAAATCTCTATGAAATCAAATTAAGTCAGTGGATGGTTGTATGAGGAAATGAAAAGAAAGCAAATAGAACTTGTTAAATGTATTTGTTCATGAAAATGGTTTATAAAATTCATTGTGAATGAAATTATTGTATATATTCGTTTGCTAAATTTTATGGACACAGCACAAATTTTTTCTTGAGAAGAAAATTAAGAAAAAATTCAAAATGGGGAAAAACATTTAAGGCATTGCTGTTTATTATAATGCAGCAGATTAATGTGAGGAGTTTAAATTACTATAATAGTTTATGTGGTTGAAAGTTGCAGTGGTATGGTAACTGTGGTAGGCAGAATAATAGCCCCCAAATATGCCCACCCCTGAATGTCTTGAACATGTGAATACATTACCTTACATGGCAAAGGAGGCTTTGTGGTTGTGATGAAAGGAACAGATGTCAAAATGGGGGTATTATCTTGGATTATCTATGTGGGCCCAACATAATCGTATGAGTCCTTAAAAGTGGGTAAATTTTCCTGGCTGTGTCGGGGGATGAGATGGAAGGAAGAGAGATTTGAGGCTTTGGAAGGCCTCTGCCCACTATTACTGGTTTTGAAATGGGGAAGGGAGCCCTGAGCTAAGGAATGCCATGGCCTCTAGAAGATGGAAAGTCCTCGCTGACAGCCAGTAAAGAAATAGAGATTTATGTCCTACAACACGAAGAACTGAATTCTGCTGACAATCTGAATGAGCGAGGAAATGAATCCTCCCCTAGAGCCTCCGGAAAGAGACACAGCACTGGATTTTAGTCCAGTGAGACCCATGTTAAATTTCTGACCTCCACAATGGTAAGATAATAAACTTATGCTGTTTTAAGCTGCTAAGTTTGTGGTAGTTTATAAAAGCAGAAATAAAAAAAAATGGCAGCTTTATTTGAAATATGCATAACTATTGAATAAATGAGTTCCGGTAAATTTCCCAATCTAGGTAGGTTTGTACTAAAGTGTTTTTTACACCTTCTAGATAAAGCTGATTTTTAGCTTCCAATGACAAAAAATCGGTCTAATTCTTAAAATATCTATCATTGTTTTGAGTTATAGTTTAAAGATAAAGTTGGAATCATGTTTTCAGTGGTTATTACACATCATTAACAACAATCAATAAGATTGTTCCAGTATACACGATCAACATATAATCAGTAGTGTTCCTATACAACAATAACGTTCTAGCTGAAAAAGAAATCAAGAAGGCAATCCCACTCACCTTAGCTATGAAAAAATATGTAGGGATATATTTAACCAAGGAGGTGAAAGATCTCTACAAAGAAAACTACAAAACACTAATGAATGAAATTGTAGATGACAAAAACAAATGGAGAAACATCCCATGCTCATGAATTGGAAGAATTAATGTAGTTAAAATGACCATACTGCCTAAGGCAATCTACAGACTCAATGGAATCCTATCAAAATGCCAATGTCATTTTCACAGAATCAGGAAAAAAAAATCCTAAAGTTCATATGAAACTAAAAAAGAGCCTGAACAGCCAAAGCAACCCTAAAAAAAAAAAAAAAACCAAACAAAGCTGGAGGCATCACATCACCTGACTTCAAATTACATTACAAGGCTATAGTAACCAAAACACTATGGTACTGGTATGAGAGACACATAGATCAATGAAACAAAATAGCAAACCCAGAAATAAAGCCACATATTTATAGCCAACTGATTTTTAGCAAAGCTGATAAGAACATACATTGGAGAAAGGACATCCTTTTCAATAAATAGTGCTAGGAAAATTGAATATTCATATGCAGATACGTGAAAATAGACTTATCTCTCTCATCATATACAAAAATCAACTCAAGATGGACCAAAGACTTAAATGTAAGATCTGAAACTATAAAAATACTTGAAGGAAACATAGGGAAAATTCTTCTGCTTGTTGGTCTAGGCAAAGTATGACTAAAACCTCAAAATAACAGCCAACAAAATAACAAAATAGACAAACAGGACCTAATTAAACTAAAAAGCATTTGCACAACAAAAGAAACAATCAACAGATTGAACAGACAACCTGTAGAATGGGAGAAAATATTTGCAAACTATGCATCTGACAGACGACTAATATACAGAATATACAAGAAACTCAAACAACTCAACACAAAAAACCCCAAATAATCACATTAAAAAGTGGCAAAGGGCATGAACAGACATTTTTCAAAAGAAGACATACAAATGGCCAACAGGTGTATGAAACAATGCTCAACATCACTAATCACCAGAGAAATGCAAATTAAAATCCCAATGAAATATCATTTTACCCTAGACAGAATGGCTATTACTAAAAAGTCAAAAAATAACAGCACTGGGCATGGTGGCTTACTCCTGTAATCCCAAGACTTTGGGAGGCTGAAGCGGGAGGATCACCTGAGGCCAGGAGTTTGAGACCAGCCTGGTCAACATAGTGAGTCCCTGCCTCTAAAAAAAAAAAAAAAAAAAAAAATGCCAAGCATAGTGGCGTGTGCCTGTAGTCCCAGTTACCCAGGAGGCTGAGGTGGGAAGATTGCTTGAACCCAGGAGTTGGAGGCTGCAGTAAGCTGTGATTACACACTGCATTCCAACCTGGGTGACACAGCAAGACCTTGTCTCAAAAACAAACAATAGATGTTGGCGAGGATGTGGAGAAAAAGGAACTATTATACACTGTTGCTGGCAGTGTAAATTAGTGCAATCTCTATGGAAAACAGTATAAAGATTTCTCAAAAAGCTGAAAATAGAACTACCATTTAATCCCAAAGGAAAAGAAATTAATATGCCAAAAAATACCTGCACTCATATGTTTATCACAACACTGTTCACAGTAGCAAAGATTTGGAATCAACCTAGGTGTTTATCAATGAATTATTGAATAAAGAAAATGTGGTATATATACACACAATGGAATACTGTTCAGCCATTAAAAATAAGGAAATCATGTCTTTTGCAGCAACATGGATGGAACTGGAGATCATTATCCTAAGTGAAACAAGTCAGGCACAGCAAGAAAAATATCACATGTTCTCACTCATATGCAGGAGCCAAGAACTGTATACACATGAGCATAAAGAGTGAAATAATAGACAATGAAGACTTGGAAGGGTGAGGGATTGGGAAGGGAGTGGATGATGAAAAATGACTCAATAGGTACAGCGTATGTTATTCAGGTGATAGATACCCTAAAAGCCTTGACTTGATTACTATGCAATCTATGGATGTAACAAAATTGCTGTCCTACCCCATACATTTATAGAAATGAAATCAGATTATTCCTTTAGCTTCCTCATAACTACTGTAATATGTAAAAGGAGTAATTTACCTTCACCATATCGGTAAAATGATGATCTATATGAACATTAGGTTGGTTGCACATACAGACCCGATGGTTTTCTTGGCTATACTAAGAAGGCTGCCTCGTAAGGTCACTAGATATTTCCTTCAACCAAAGAATAAGAATGCAGCTTAACTTGTCACTCTTTTAATGCATGCGGTATAGTATTGTGGAATGAGCACAGTAGTTGGAGTCAAAACCTTGGTTGAAACTCGCTTTCACTATGTGAAAGAGGACTCAATGAGTATGAATGATAGTTTTCTAATTTGAAATTTTCTAGTTTTCTAATTCGAGATATTGGAATAATATCTACCTTAAAACTTACTCTTAAAGTGGAATGATATTTGTCTACAAATCTTATACTGTCATTATAATGTATAATATACTGTCCAAACACTAAGTACCAACGTGACTTTCCACCAGGAATTGAAGCAGATCCTGTAGTAAAACTACTACAGGAAAAAGAAAGTTGGGTGGAGTGGGTAGGCAAGGTGGAGATAGGAAGAATGAAAGGTGTAAAACTGATGGGAGCAACAGAAGAGGAGCTGGCAGGCCAGGGAACTCAGACAAAGATCTCATTAATCCCAGAGGTGGACAGAGCTGAGCATATCAGTGGCAGTCATCATCAGAGGCCTCTTGGGCAGTGCCAAGGATGGCAGGAACAAGCCAGGGACTGTCGGAAATGCAACTGAACCCTGGGTCTCTAGGTTTCAATGAATGATATTAATAACCACTACTGGAAATCTCCTCGCCTGTGTCCCCACCCAAATAATGCAGTTTCTTCTTGTAGCTGTTTGAACTCTTCAGGTTGAATAGATGGATCCAATTTAAAGAAAAAGAGATATTTTGTATGCAGAAACTGGAATGGCACACAAAACCTCAGAATAGGACAACAGGACTTCCCAGGATGTGGATCTAACTAAAGAATTGGGAGGGAATAAGGGTGTGTGCTTTTGCTTCTTTTCTGGGCTTCTTACTTTACATTATTTTCTCTCTGCATAATTGGTTCCATCATATTTATACTCTGGTAGAAAAAAATTGGTTTCCAACAGCTTTCGAGTTTTAGATAAAAATAGGTTTAGTCATCTAGAGACAGAGGCTGATTGGTTTCTTATTACAATTTTAAAAATCTTTGGGGCAGGAGCTGCCTGTGGCCAAAGCTAGAATAACTTGAGCAACCAAATAAAGTATCATTGAATTATAGCCCAAAGTATAAAATAAATATTTATGAATCCCTGCTAATACAAATAAATGACTAAATAAATAAATGAATGGAGAAGATGAGGAAAATCTCCTGTGCAGAAAAATTTCAAAAAGTTTATGTAGATAGTAGGTCCTTAAGAAGGTGGAACATAACTCCACACTCCTTAAGTGTGGGCTGCACATAGCAACTTCCTTTCAAATTCTACATTATTGAAGGAGGAAAAGAATAACTTTATAGTGAAGAAAGCTGACAAACACTACTTCAGCAAGGTGATCAAAATTAACATCAACAGTGATAATTCATGATGATAGTGGAGTACCTTGATATGATTTGTTGAGAATGACAGTTGATCTCTATAGTCTTTCTTCCCAAAACTCATAACCCCAGTCTAACCATGAAAGAAACGTCAGATAAGTTCCAACTGAGGGACTTTTCAAAAATACCTGATCAATACTTCTCAAAAGCATCAAGGTAATCAAAAAAGGGGTATCTTAATATATAAATATTGGTTAATTAACTATAAGAAGTGTACCATAATAGTGTAAGATATTAATAACAGGAGAAATTAGTTGTGGGTGTAGTGTACACTATCTCCACAGATATTCCATAAATCTAAAATAATTCTAAAATAAATAGCTTATTTTAAAAAATCATTGGAAAGGGAACTGATGAACTCGTCTTGGTCAGATATTCACCTCTGAATTAATCAACTGAGGTCAACAGTGTGATGAGGCAGAGCTCGAGGAACATGGTAACTTATTGAGTCATAGTCATTGTATTAGTCTGTTTTCATACTGCTGATAAAGACAATCCCAAAGAGGTTTCATTGGAATTACAGTTCCACATGGCTGGGGAGGCCTCAGAATCATGGCGAGAGGTGAAAGTCACTTCTTACATGATGGCGGCAAGAGAAAAATGAGGAAGAAGCAAAAGCAGAAATCCCTGATAAACACATCAGATCTTGTGAGACTTCTATCATGAGAATAGAATGGCAAAGACTGGCCCCCATGATTCAATTACCTCCCCCTGGGTCCCTCCCATAACATGTGGGAATTCTGGGAGATAAATTCAAGTTGAGATTTTGGTAGGGACACAGCCAAACCATATTATTCTACCTCTTGCCCCTCCAAATCTCGTGTCCTCACATTTCAAAACCTACCATGCCTTCCTAACAGTACCCCAAAATCTTAACTCATTTCAGCATTAACCCAAAAGTCCACAGTTCAAAGTCCTGTCTGAGACAAGGCAAGTCCTTTCTGCCTATGAGCCTGTAAAATCAAAAGCAAGCTAGTTACTTCCTACATACAATGGGGTACAGGTATTGGGTAAATACAGCCATTCCAAATGGGAGAATTTGGCCAAAACAAAAGGGCTACAGGGCCCATGCAAGTCTAAAATCCAGCAGGGAAATCAAATTTTAAATCTCCAAGATGATCTCCTTTGACTCCAGGTCTCATATCCATGTCACACTGATGCAAGAGGTGGGTTCCCATGGTCTTGGGCAGCTTCATCCCTGTGGCTTTGCAGTGTACAGACTCCCTTTTGGCTGCTTTCACAGGCTGGCATTGAGTGTCTATGGCTTTTCCAGGTTTGTGGTGTAAGCTGTCAGTGGATCTACCATTCTGGGGTCTGGAGGATGGTGGCCCTCTTCTCACAGCTCCACTAGGCAGTGCCCCAGTAGGGACTCTGTGTGGGTCCTCTGACCTCATGTTTCCCTTCTGCATTGCTCTAGCAGAGGTTCTCCATGAGAGCCCTGCCTATGCAGCAAACTGTTGCCTGGGCATCCAGGGGTTTTTATACATCTTCTGAAATCTAGGCAGAGGTTCCCAAACCTCAGTTCTTGACTTCTGCACACCTGCATGCTCAACACCACGTGGAAGCTGCCAAGGCTTGGGGCTTCCACCCTCTGAAGCCACAGCCTGAGCTGCACATTGGCCCCTTTCAGCCATGGCTGGAGCTGCTGGGACACGGGACAAAATCCCTAGGCTGCACACAGCATAGGAACCCTGGGCCTAGCCCACAAAACCACTTTTTTCTCCTAGTCCTCCAGGCCTGTGGTGGGAGAGGCTGCCAGGAAGTTCTCTGACATGGCCTGGAGACATTTTCTCCATAGTCTTGGGGATTAACATTAGGTTCCTTCCTGTTTATGCAAATTTCTGCAGCTAGCTTGAATTTCTCCATAGAAAATGGGTTTTTCTTTTTCTATCACATAGTCAGGCTGCAAATTTTCCAAGCTTTTATGCTCTGCTTCCCTTATAAAACTGAATGCCTTTAACAGCACCCAAGTTACCTCTTGAATGCTTTGCTGTTCAGAAATTTCTTTCACTGGTTACCCTAAATCATCTCTCTCAAGTTCAAAGTTTCACAAATCTCTAGGGCAGGGGCAAAATACCACCAGTCTCTTTGCTAAAACATAACTAGAGTCACCTTTGCTCCAGTTTCCAACAAATTCCTCATCTCCATTTGAGAATACCTCAGCCTGAATTTTATTGTTCATATCACTATCAGCATTTTGGGCAAAGCCCTTCAACAAGTCTCTAGGAAGTTCCAAACTTTCCCACATTTTTCTGTCTTCTTCTGAGTTCTCCAAAATGTTCCAACCTCTGCCTGTTACCCAGTTCCAAAATCGCTTCCACATTTTTGGGTAACTTTTCTGCAGTGCTCTACTCTACTGGTATCAATTTACTGTATTAGTCTGTTTTCATGCTGCTGATGAAGACATACACAAAATTGGGAACAAAAAGAGGTTTCATTGGACTTATAGTTCCACATGGCAGGGGAGGCCTCAGAATCATGGTGGGAGGTGAAAGACAATTCTCACATGGTGGTGCCAAGAGAAAAATGAGGAAGAAGCAAAAGCGACAACCCCTGATAAACCCATCAGATCTCGTGAAACTTATTCACTATCACGAGAATAGCATGGGAAAGACCAGGCCCCATGATTCAATTACCTCTTCCTGGGTCCCTCCTACAACATGTGGGAATTCTGGGAGATACAATTCAAGTTGAGATTTCAGTGAAGACACAGCCAAACTGTATCAGTCATGTTGGGGAGTGTGTGTGTGTATGTTTGTGTAGTGGAGCAGAGATGCTGGTGGAGAAATCCTAGAAAACAGTGCTGGATAGATAATAGATGCCCATCAAATTAGAATTTCTGCTTTACCCCATATCTCATGGTTATTTGAAAGTTCTTGAGATTGTCTTCTGATCTCACAAACAATTATTTTTTTTTCCACTCAAACTCTCTCTCCTCTCTCACTCTGGTTTGATGTCTGTGGCCCTCAGCATGCTAATTGGTGCCCTGAATTACATCGTCACCCAGAGAACTGTCCAAGGTACTGAATCCTGATGGTGCTAAAATATTGCTAGAAAACAATTTGGTAGACACTTTGGAAGACATAAATAAATTAAACAGAAAGTAGAAAATATTTAAAATGCATAATCTAAGAGACGAAAATAAGCTACCAAGAATTCCACAAAGAGATGACAAAGAAAATGATGTAGACAAAATTAGCAAATAAAAAATCCAAGGTGATTTTAACTTGCAATTAAAGACTGCACTGAGTTCCCAGCACAATGAATGAAGACACATTCTTAGACATACTGTGATGATTAATACAGAGTATCAACTTGACTGGACTGAAGGATGCAAAGTATTGATCCTGGGTGTGTCTATGATGGTGCTGCCAAAGGAGATTAACATTTGAGGCAGTGGGTTGGGAAAGGCAGACCCACCCTTAATTTGGGTGGACACCATCTAATCAGCTGTCAGTTTAGCCAGGATATAAAGCAGGCAGAAAAACATAAAAAGGCTAGACTGGTTTAGCCTTCCAGCACATATATTTCTCCTGTGCTGAATGCTTCCTGCCCTTGAACATTGGACTCCAATTTCTTCAGCTTTGGGACTCAGGCTGGCTTCCTTGCTCCTCAGCTTGCAGATGACCTATTGTGGGAGGTTGTGATTGTGTGAGTTATTACTACCTAATAAACTCCCCTTTATATATACACCTATTCTCTCGTTCTGTTCCTCTAGAGAACCCTGACTAATACAGATTTTGATACCAGGAGTGGGGTCCAGAACAGGAGAAGGCTCTGTAACTGGTTCAGGCTGCTGTGCAAGTTGCTCTGCCACTTGGGCCATATGACCCAGCAGATACAATCGTGCTTGAGGTGTCAGTGGCAGATAGGGATACTGTTTGGAGCCTTTGGCAGGCCCCCATAGGTGAATCACAGTGAAGGCCTCTAGGATTTAGGATCAAGGCCCTGCCGTCTCCTGCAGATAACCACTCTCCTTTTGAGAGACAGCTCTTGGCCTGTTACTGGGTTTTGGTGGAAACTGAACATTTGACTATGGGTCATGAAGTCACCATGAGAGCTGAACTGCCTATCGTGAACTGGGTGCTTTCTGACCCGTTTAGCCATAAAATGGGTAGTGCACAGCAGCATTCCATCATCAAATGGAAGTGGTATATATACGTGATCAGGCTCAAGTAGGTCCTGAAGGCAACAAGTAAGTTACATAAGGAAAGTGGCTCAAATGCCCATGGTCTCCACTCCAGCCACCCTGCCTTCTCTCTCCCACCCTGCACTGATGGCCTCATAGGTTGTTGCCCATGATCAGTTGACAAAGGAAGAGAAGACTAGGGCCTGGTTCACACATGGTTTTGCATGATATGTGGGCACCACCTGAAAGTGGACAGCTGCAGCACTACAGCCCCTTTCTAAGACATCCTTGAAGGACAGTGGTGAGAGGAAGTCTTCCCAGTGGGCAGAACTTTAAGCAGTGCACCTGGTTGTGTACCTTGCATGGAAGGAGAAAGGGCCAGATGTGTGATTATATACTGATTCATGGGCTGTAGCCAATGGTTTGGCTGGATGGTCAGGGACTTGAAGGAAGCATGATTGGAAAATTAGTGACAAATAAATTTGGGGAAGATGTATGTGGATGGACCTCTCTGAGTGGTCGAAAACTGTGAAGACATTTATATCCTGTGTGAGTGCTCACCTATAGATGACCTCAGCAGAGGAGAATTTTAATAATCAAATAGATACGATGACCCGTTCTGTGGACAGCAGTCAGCCTCTTTCCTCAGTACCCCTGTCATCACCCAATAGGCCTGTCAAAAAAGTGGCCATGGTGGCAGGATGGAGGTTACTCATGGGCTCAGCAACATGGACTTCCACTCACCAAGGCTGACCTGGCTATGGCCGCAGCTGAGTGCCCAATTTGCCAGTGGCAGAGACCAACACTGAGCCCTCAATATGGCACCATTCATTGGGGTGATCAGCCAGCTACCTGGTGGCAGGTTGATTATATTGGACTTCTTCCATCATGGAAAGGGAAGTGGTTTGACCTCACTGGAATAGATACTTACTCCAGATATGGGTTTGCCTATCCTGCAAGCAATGCTTCTACCAAGACTACCATCCATGGGCTCATGGAATGCCTTATTCACCATCATGGTATTCCACACAGCATTGCCTCTGACAAAGGCACTCACTTTACAGCTAAAGAAGTGCAGCAGTGGGCTCATGCTCATGGAATTCACTTGTCTTACCATGTTCCCATCTTCCTGAAGCAGCTGGATTGATAGAACGGTGGAATGGCCTTTTGAAGTCACAATTATAATGCCAACTAGGTGACAATACTTTGCAGGGCTGAGGCAAAGTTCTCCAGAAAGCTATGTATGCTCTGAGCCAGCATCCATTATATGGTATTTTTTCTCCTATAGCCAGAATTCATGGGCCCAGGAATCAAGGGGTGGAAGTGGTAGTGGCATGACTCACCATCACCCCTAGTGATCCACTAGCAAAATTTTGCTTCCTGTTCCCATGACATTATGTTCTACTGGCCTAGAGGTCTTAGTTCCAGAGAGAGGAACACTGCCATCAGGAGGCACACGAACAATTCCATTAAATTGGAAGTTAAGATTGCCACCTGGACACTTTGGGCTTCTCCTACCTTTAAGTCAACAGTCTAAGGAGAGAGTTACAGTGTTGACTGGGGTGATTGACCCAGACCATTAAGATGAAATCAGTTTAGTACTCCACAACAGAGGTAAGGAAGAGTATGCATGGAATACAGGAGATCCATCAGGGCATCTCTTAGTATTCCCATGTCCTGTGATTAATGTCAATGGGAAACTATAACAGCCCAATACAGGCAGGAATACAAATGGCCCAGAGCCTTCAGGAATGGTTTGGGTCACTCTACCACAAAAAAACCGTGACCTGCTGAGGTGCTTGCTGAAGGCAAAGGAAATACTGAATGGGTAGTAGAAGGTAGTCATCAAATCCAGCGAGGATCATGTGGCCAGTTGCAGAAACAAGGACTGTAATTGTAATGAGTGTTTCCTCCTTCTTTTGTTAAAAACATGTTCGTGCATGTATACACTTGTACTAAGAACATATCTCCATTTCATTTTCTTTTCTCCTTTATTATGTGACATTAGATTTATTGACTTCATATCAGCATTTAAGTATTGTTAACTCTATGTAATAGCATTTTTTTTGGTGATTGGTGGATTTCTGGTTGTACGAAGGACAGTTATATTATGTTAGGCATAATTATACCTTAGTATTGTCTTTATTTGAAGATTATGTATGATCTCAGGAGGTGCGTATGGGTTCAAGTTGACAAGCGGTGGACTTGTAATGGTCAATACTGAGTGCCAACTTGATTGGAGTAAAGGATGCAAAGTATTGATCCTAGGTGTGTCTGTGAAGGTGTGGCTAAAGGAGATTAACATTTGAGTCAGTGGGCTGGTAAAGGCAGGCCCACCCTTAATCTGGGTGGGCACCATCTAATCAGCTGTCAGCTCAGCCAGGATATAAAGGCAGGGAGAAAAAAGTAAAAAGGCTCCACTGGCTTAGCTTCCCATCCTACATCTTTCTCCTGCACTGGATGTTTTCTGCCCTTGAATATTGGACTCCAAGTTCTTCAGCCTTTGGACTCAGACTGGCTTCCCTGTTCCTTGCAGATGGCCTATTGTGGGACCTTTTGATTGTGAGAGTTAATACTACTTAATAAACTCCCCTTTACGTATATATCTATTCTATTCGTTCTGTCCCTCTAGAGAACCCTGACTAATACACATACCATTGTGAAAATTCAGATTGCTAAGGATATAGAGAAGTTTCTAAAATTTTTCTTGAGGAAACAATGTGACCTGCAGAAAAATGGCAAGTCTCATATCACATTTTCCATCAGCAATGTTGAATGTTAGAAGATAGTACAGAATGACATTGGATTTCTAATAAATAATGTAAAAAAAGTCATAAAATATCTTCTGCTCCCTTGCAAGGGAGGTTATTTGAGGTTGGGCTGCATCTAAATGAGGAAGAAAAGGTAAGCAGAAAAAATCTTGGCATCCTGGAGACTGTGGGGCCAATTTGTCTCTAGAAGAGCTACAAAGGGAAACCCCAGAAATACAGCCATGCAGCAGGCCTGGAGGGCAGGCAGTCTAAACAGAGGCATCAAAAGAAATGGTGATTCAGTAAAACTATACTTATTTTTCTAGGCTTTTTCTCCATCCCAGTAGATATAAAATACTAATAAATTTGAAGACAAGACAAAAGGGTGGGAGGAGGAAGAGGATCAGAAAAAAACAACTATTGGATACTAGACTTAGTACCTGGATAATGAAATAATCTGTACAACAAACCCCCATCACATGAGTTTACCTATATAAAAAACCTGCACATGTATCCCTGAACATAATATAAAAGTTAAAAATATCACAACGATCAATCTACACTGCTTTGATCTGCAGAAAACCATGTTTACATTCTTAACGCTCTCAATGACTTTCAAATTAGACTTCAACCTACAGCTAACCCATGGCAGAATTAATTATATATCAATACCCTTAACTTTAGCATTGCAAAAGTTATTATGCAGATGATAAAATTTGCAGGAGAAAAGAACATAGTGATGCTGAAATGAAAACTATGGTCATTAATATCATCATCAAACATGAGAAGAAAGATTATGGATGCAACATCTTTGGGTTTGGCTTAGTATTTGGCCAAAGTATGCACTGGGTTTACTGCTACAAAATATACATTCCCACAGCTTTGAAATAAAAAATAAAGATGTTAATATTTTACTAAAGACACAAAGAAACTACACGGGAACTCAAAATATGGATATAACAACTGGTTGGAAGGAGGCTAGTGGTAAGCCAATGATTCCTCATTTATTATAATAATTAGATTATACCTAAATTTTATAAATCAGAAAACAGCATAAGAAGTATATTATTAAAAGATATGGAAGTAGAAATTGTGTAAAAATGATACGGGGTAGAATAGTTGTTTCTAGGAGATGGACTAACAGATGTAAAAAATGGGAAAAGTGCATGCATTAATTCAACAAAATGGAAAAACAACTCTAAAACAGGTGATGAACTAGCAAAAGTGTATTTGGTGAGGTTAAAGAATTCTGTTAATAGAAGAATCAATTTCCATCATGTTGCATTCATGTGATTCTCTATTGAAGATTCAAACCACTGAAGGACAGTATGTAAGTTCCACCCCAGTGATCAAGTGGGCAAGGTCCTGGAATTATCAGTCTAGCAGCACTGTAATGAGCAGGGGAAGGAAAGTTCAACAGGGAGGTGTTCCTAAGCACACAGAAACAATACCTGTCACTACATCCCATTGCTCGGCTCTTTAGTGTGCTTGCATTCATGTGCGCGCGCACACACACACACACACACACACACTCTTACTATTCTTTTCTCCCTCTTTTATGAACGTTTGTTAGAATGACTATTTAATTTTGAGAATTCTTGTGGTTTATTGTGTTATACCATTTAGTGTTATAGATGAAAGTTTGATGCTTACTGATTTATTTTTCTTGAGTTGCTTTGTTATTTAGAAGCGATTCAAATTTCTTTTTAGCCTTAGAAAATATGTATTTTTCTGGGCTATTTCTACAAATAAGTTTTATTCTCCCAAATAATCTGCCCTGCTTTCAGTTAGTTCTTTTTATCTGAGACTCAAGTTTTTCTTTGGTTCAGGAACAATTAATGTCGTTTTATTTTTGATGAATCTTCTCTTTAGTCTGTTTTTTTTTTAAATTTTGCAACTGTCTTCCATTCCTTGTATATTTTAAAGCATAATTTTAATTTTAAATATTTTCATATTGCTTCTTTGGAGAATTACTTGAATTATTCCCAATATTCTACTTAGTAGCATCTATTTTGCTGTTCTATCACTCTCTTGATATTTTTATTTTAGCAACAATGTTTTATGTTTTCATATAAAATTAGTAATTTTTAGAGAGTTCTCTTAAAATGTCAGTTTATGCATATTTATTTTACTAAAATTTCATTGCATATTAGAAAATCGTTTTCAGTTTCTCAGATTTATTCTCTCAGTGGGGGTCATTTGCTCAGCCTCCTCTTTTGAGCTGGGATTCTTTCTTCTCATAAGTTCAGTAATAGTTCTAATTATCTTCTAATTATTATAAATAAATATCTTGATAATCAGTGTTAGGAACTGGTGTATGTGTTTTATTTTTGGCAAAAATATTCATTAGTAATTATTTTAAAGAGCATATCCTGCTGGGAAGTGAAGGGGGAAGGGGGATAAAGAGAAGTTGATTAAGGGGTATAAAAATACATTTAGATAGAGTAAATAAGTTCTAGTATTTGGAGTACAGTAGGCAAACTATAATTAACAATACTTATTGGATATATATATTTTTATTTTTATTTATTTATTTATTTATTTTTGAGAGGCGCCTCGCTCTGTCACCCAGGCTGGAGTGCAGTGGCACGATCTCGGCTTACTGCAAACTCCACCTCCCGGGTTCAAGCAATTCTCCTGCCTCAGCCTCCCGAGTAGCTGGGACTACAGGAGACTGCCACCAAGCCCGGCTAATTTTTTTTTTTTTTTTGTATTTTAGTAGAGACGGGGTTTCACTGTGTTGCCCAGGCTCGTTGCGAACTCCTGAGCTCAGGTAATCCGCTTGCCTTGGCCTCTATAAGTGTTGGGATTACAGGCGTGAGCCACCTCGCCCTAGAAGAGAAGATTTGTAATGTTCCCAACACAAACAAAAGATACATGTTTGAGGTGATGGATATCTATGTTACCCTGATTTGATTATTGCACATTGTGTAAGGGTATCAAAATATCACTTGTACCCCCAAAATATATACAACTAATATATATCAATAAAATACACAAAGAGTATATTTTGACTATGAATACAGAAAAAGCATTACAATAATAGATAATTAGACATACTTCACATTTTTAAAAACACAGTCATTATTTGAAATGATTCAAGACAGAAAAAACGTACATTCATCTGACTATTGACATTTTGTTTTTTGGTTTTAAGTTTGTTAGATTAAATAAAAATCCAAAAATATCCAAGCACAGTTTGTCACTTAGAAAATAAAAACCATGGCCGGGCGCGGTGGCTCATGCCTGTAATCCCTACACTTTGGGAGGCTGAGGTAGGTTGGTCACCTGAGGTCAGGAGTTCGAGGCCAGCCTGGCCAACATGATGAAACCCCGTTTCTACTAAAAATACAAAAAATTAGCTGAGTGTGGTGGTGTGTGCCTGTAATCCCAGCTACTCAGGAGGCTGAGGTAGGAGAATCCCTTGACGCCGGGAGGTGGAGGTTTCAGTGAACTGAGATTGCGCCACTGTACTCCAGCCTGGGCAACAAGAGCAAAACTCCATCTCAAAAAAAAAAAAAAAAAAAAAAGAAAGAGAAAAAGAAAAGAAAAACCATAACTAAAGCCTGTAAGACTGCTGGAATATAATATTGAATAAGAATTAGATGAATTTTATTTTAAATATTTAGAATTAAAAATTTTGATCATTTATTGTAAATTGAAGATTGTGGAAAAAAAACTTGACCTAATAAAGTACTTAAAAACTTGGAAAATAAACTTTAAGAGAAGAGACATGGTAGTACAATGCAGGTTTCCTCAACCTGTATCTCTTAGACCATTGAAGCACTTTATGTTACAGCAATTTGTGTAGACATAAGATTCGGTTCAGGTACCTTTTTCAGTAATTGTTTATTTGCTCTTAGGAGAGTTATTTAAGCACTCTACATCTCATGTTTTCTAATCTCTAAAATGACACCAATCAAATTTTCAAATCCATATAAAATTCAGGCCTCATGATGAGATGAGCAAAGGATGTGACAAAAACCTAGCACAATGTGGTGAGGACTGTGGTAAAGACGAGAACAAAGGTATCATCAACTACCTGGCTCCAGCCCATAATTACTACAAGAGAACACCAGTCTAGTATTGCCAGATCTTCAGATATTGATGTGCAATATTTGAAAATGTGGTGGATAATTCCAAATGTTTAGAAATATTGTGTGTGCTGAACAATACATGTCTGCAAACCAGATCCACCCTATAGATGAGCCATTTTAATCCCTGGATTAGCTGTTCTTTAATCAATCCTCAAATACTGACATTTTGTGATTCTATAGGAACATAGAACAGTTAAGAATATTAAGTCAGGGCCACCTATTAACAACTTTGGTATATTGTTGCTGCCCGAATAACATATTGTATTTTTATATAGAAAAAGTCCATTTGTTTTTGAATTATTATTAAGGTATAAGAACTATTTTCAGTTATTGGGAAAGAAAAAGGACTTTGAAGACTCTAGTCTATCTATGAGAAAGCTTTTAGGAGACCTGTAAGTAGAGCTTTTATGAAATGTTAATGTACAAGAGTGGTAGGTGGTTAGGAATCAACACTATACACTCCAGTGGGGTAGTAGCAGGACTAGATTTATGGGAGTCAACTCAATCACCAAGAGTATTACTAAAATGATAGTAAAAGCCCATATGAGGATCCAGTTATCAGTCAATGACCTGATCTAGGAGTTAAAAGCTTATATGGATCTCATGGAAGCCTGCCAATACTTGTCCTCATAATACATGATAAAACCCTGGCAGTAAACTACTCCCGGGAGTTTGGCATTAAATTAGAGAGGCGGCAGCTCCCTTTTTGGCTGTTTTCAGATATCCAGGCACAGTCTTCTAATACACTCTGCTAATTTAGAAGCCAGAAAACGTAAGTTCTATTTCAATATTTCTCCAACACTTCATCTCTCCTCTCTCTGCTGTTACATAATTCAGAGATATGAAAATATTAATGTGTGATATGCTCATTCAGTGTGCTACAACTTTCTATAATTAATGTCACACACTTATAGTTTGAAGAGACGCCTAAGAAAGACAATCTCATTCTTTCTAGGAAATATGTATATAAGTACTTGTGCTTTAGTCAGAGGTAGTTTTTGTTCCTAAAACTTAGAAATCTGGCCAGTCTAACTTGTGTGTAATAAGGAGACAATGTTATTTTTCAAATAGCAGTCACCAGAATTCTTTTTGCATAGAAGTGTCTTTATTTAGGAAAATAATTATCTTTGTAATAGAAGAGGTAGAATTTGGTGTGCCCAAGGCAATGGGAAAGCGGGGGTATGAGGGGCAGAGTGGGAAGAGGAAGAGAAAGGACAGTAGAAGATTGAAATTGCATAATGTGAATCCACCCCAAATCTTTAGGAACATCTGATAAACTCACAAATTGTTTTTAATTAAAATTTAAATTAAAATTTAATTAAAATTTTAATGTTTTCAAATGATATTATATATGGTGTATATATAGAATATAGTATATATATAGTATACGTATACTATACGTATACTATATATAATAGCACAAAATATATCGCACTATACATGTATACTATATATATACTATATATATATATATATATAATAGCACAAAATATATCACACAAAATATTTACCACATTAACTAAATTTAAGTATATAGTTCGGTGGCATTAGATTCCTTCATATTGTGGTGCAGCCATCACCACCATCCATCTCCAGAATTTTTGTTTTCCAAACTGAAACTCCATACCCATTATCTCTCCACTTTCCCCTCCCCACAGCCATTGTAAACTACTATTCTACTTTCTATCTCTATGAATGTGACAACTTTAGGCACCCCATATAAGTGAAATCATACAATATGTCCTTTGTGACAAATTCTTTTTTTATTTATTTTTTATTTATTTATTTATTATACTTTAAGTTTTAGGGTACATGTGCACATTGTGCAGGTTAGTTACATATGTATACATGTGCCATGCTGGTGCGGCTGCACCCACCAACTCGTCATCTAGCATTAGGTATATCTCCCAATGCTATCCCTCCCCCCTCCCCCCACCCCACCACAGTCCCCAGAGTATGATATTCCCCTTCCTGTGTCCATGTGATCTCATTGTTCAATTCCCACCTATGAGTGAGAATATGCAGTGTTTGGTTTTTTGTTCTTGCGATAGCTTACTGAGAATGATGATTTCCAATTTCATCCATGTACCTACAAAGGACATGAACTCATCATTTTTTATGGCTGCATAGGATTCCATGGTGTATATGTGACACATTTTCTTAATCCAGTCTATCATTGTTGGACATTTGGGTTGGTTCCAAGTCTTTGCTATCGTGAATAATGCCGCAATAAACATACGTGTGCAGGTGTCTTTATAGCAGCATGATTTATAGTCCTTTGGGTATATACCCAGTAATGGGATGGCTGGGTCAAATGGTATTTCTAGTTCTAGATCCCTGAGGAATCGCCACACTGACTTCCACAATGGTTGAACTAGTTTACAGTCCCACCAACAGTGTAAAAGTGTTCCTATTTCTCCACATCCTCTCCAGCACCTGTTGTTTCCTGACTTTTTAATGATCGCCATTCTAACTGGTGTGAGATGATATCTCATAGTGGTTTTGATTTGCATTTCTCTGATGGCCAGTGATGATGAGCATTTTTTCATGTGTTTTTTGGCTGCATAAATGTCTTCTTTTGAGAAGTGTCTGTTCATGTCCTTTGCCCACTTTTTGATGGGGTTGTTTTTTTTTTCTTGTGAATTTGTTTGAGTTCATTGTAGATTCTGGATATTAGCCCTTTGTCAGATGAGTAGGTTGCGAAAATTTTCTCCCATTTTGTAGGTTGCCTGTTCACTCTGATGGTAGTTTCTTTTGCTGTGCAGAAGCTCTTTAGTTTAATTAGATCCCATTTGTCAATTTTGGCTTTTGTTGCCATTGCTTTTGGTGTTTTAGACATGAAGTCCTTGCCCATGCCTATGTCCTGAATGGTAATGCCTAGGTTTTCTTCTAGGGTTTTTATGGTTTTAGGTCTAACGTTTAAGTCTTTAATCCATCTTGAATTGATTTTTGTATAAGGTGTAAGGAAGGGATCCAGTTTCAGCTTTCTCCATATGGCTAGCCAGTTTTCCCAGCACCATTTATTAAATAGGGAATCCTTTCTCCATTGCTTGTTTTTCTCAGGTTTGTCAAGGATCAGATAGTTGTAGATATGCTGGGTTATTTCTGAGGGCTCTGTTCTGTTCCATTGATCTATATCTCTGTTTTGGTACCAGTACCATGCTGTTTTGGTTACTGTAGCCTTGTAGTGTAGTTTGAAGTCAGGTAGTGTGATGCCTCCAGCTTTGTTCTTTTGGCTTAGGATTGCCTTGGCGATCTGGGCTCTTTTTTGGTTCCATATGAACTTTAAAGTAGTTTTTTCCAATTCTGTGAAGACAGTCATTGGTAGCTTGAGGGGGATGGCATTGAATCTGTAAATTACCTTGGGCAGTATGGCCATTTTCACGATATTGATTCTTCCTACCCATGAGCATGGAATGTTCTTCCATTTGTTTGTATCCTCTTTTATTTCCTTGAGCAGTGGTTTGTAGTTCTCCTTGAAGAGGTCCTTCACATCCCTTGGAAGTTGGATTCCTAGGTATTTTATTCTCTTTGAAGCAATTGTGAATGGGAGTTCACTCATGATTTGGCTCTCTGTTTGTCTGTTGTTGGTGTATAGGAATGCTTGTGACTTTTGTACATTGATTTTGTATCCTGAGACTTTGCTGAAGTTGCCAATCAGCTTAAGGAGATTTTGGGCTGAGACAATGGGGTTTTCCAGATATACAATCATGTCATCTGCAAACAGGGACAATTTGACTTCCTCTTTTCCTAATTGAATACCCTTTATTTCCTTCTCCTGCCTGATTGCCCTGGCCAGAACTTCCAACACTATGTTGAATAGGAGTGGTGGGAGAGGGCATCCCTGTCTTGTGCCAGTTTTCAAAGGGAATGCTTCCAGTTTTTGCCCATTCAGTATGATATTGGCTGTGGGTTTGTCATAGATAGCTCTTATTATTTTGAGATACGTCCCATCAATACCTAATTTATTGAGAGTTTTTAGCATGAAGGGTTGTTGAATTTTGTCAAAGGCTTTTTCTGCATCTATTGAGATAATCATGTGGTTTTTGTCTTTGGCTCTGTTTATATGCTGGATTACATTTATTGATTTGTGTATATTGAACCAGCCTTGCATCCCAGGGATGAAGCCCACTTGATCTTGGTGGATAAGCTTTTTGATGTGCTGCTGGATTCGTTTTGCCAGAATTTTACTGAGGATTTTTGCATCAGTGTTCATCAAGGATATTGGTCTAAAATTCTCTTTTTTGGTTGTGTCTCTGCCTGGCTTTGGTATCAGAATGATGCTGGCCTCATAAAATGAGTTAGGGAGGATTCCCTCTTTTTCTATTGATTGGAATAGTTTCAGAAGGAATGGTACAAGTTCCTCCGTGTACCGCTGGTAGAATTCGGCTGTGAATCCATCTGGTCCTGGACTCTTTTTGGTTGGTAAGCTATTGATTATTGCCACAATTTCAGCTCCTGTTATTGGTCTATTCAGAGATTCAACTTCTTCCTGGTTTAGTCTTGGGAGAGTGTATGTGTCGAGGAATGTATCCATTTCTTCTAGATTTTCTAGTTTATTTGCGTAGAGGTGTTTGTAGTATTCTCTGATGGTAGTTTGTATTTCTGTGGGATCGGTGGTGATATCCCCTTTATCATTTTTTATTGTGTATATTTGATTCTTCTCTCTTTTTTTCTTTATTAGTCTTGCTAGTGGTCTATCAATTTTGTTGATCCTTTCAAAAAATCAGCTCTTGGATTCATTAATTTTTTGAAGGGTTTTTTGTGTCTCTATTTCCTTCAGTTCTGCTCCGATTTTAGTTATTTTTTGCCTTCTGCTAGCTTTTGAATGTGTTTGCTCTTGCTTTTCTAGTTCTTTTAATTGTGATGTTAGGTTGTCAATTTTGGATCTTTCCTGCTTTCTCTTGTGGGCATTTAGTGCTATAAATTTCCCTCTACACACTGCTTTGAATGTGTCCCAGAGATTCTGGTATGTTGTGTCTTTGTTTTCGTTGGTTTCAAAGAACATCTTTATTCTGCTTTCATTTTGTTATGTATCCAGTAGTCATTCAGGAGCAGGTTGTTCAGTTTCCATGTAGTTGAGCGGTTTTGAGTGAGATTCTTAATCCTGAGTTCTAGTTTGATTGCACTGTGGTCTGAGAGACAGTTTGTTATAATCTCTGTTCTTTTACATTTGCTGAGGAGAGCTTTACTTCCAACTATGTGGTCAATTTTGGAATAGGTGTGGTGTGGTGCTGAAAAAAATGTATATTCTGTTGAATTGGCGTGGAGAGTTCTGTAGATGTCTATTAGGTCTGCTTGGTGCACAGCTGAGTTCAATTCCTGGGTATCCTTGTTGACTTTCTGTCTCGTTGATCTGTCTAATGTTGACAGTGGGGTGTTTGTTAAAGTCTCCCATTATTAATGTGTGGGAGTCTAAGTCTCTTTGTAGGTCACTCAGGACTTGCTTTATGAATCTGGGTGCTCCTGTATTGGGTGCATATATATTTAGGATAGTTAGCTCTTCTTGTTGAATTGATCCCTTTACCATTATGTAATGGCCTTCTTTGTCTCTTTTGATCTTTGTTGGCTTAAAGTCTGTTTTATCCGAGACTAGGATTGCAACCCCTGCCTTTTTTTGTTTTCCATTTGGTTGGTAGATCTTCCTCCATCCTTTTATTTTGAGCCTATGTGTGTCTCTGCACGTGAGATGGGTTTCCTGAATACAGCACACTGATGGGTCTTGACTCTATCCAATTTGCCAGTCTGTGTCTTTTAATTGGAGCATTTAGTCCATTTACATTTAAAGTTAATATTGTTATGTGTGAATTTGATCCTGTCATTATGATGTTAGCTGGTGATTTTGCTCGTTAGTTGATGCAGTTTCTTCCTAGTCTCAATGGTCTTTACATTTTGGCATGATTTTGCAGCGGCTGGTACCGGTTGTTCCTTTCCATGTTTAGCGCTTCCTTCAGGAGCTCTTTTAGGGCAGGACTGGTGGTGACAAAATCTCTCAGCATTTGCTTGTCTGTAAAGTATTTTATTTCTCCTTCACTTATGAAGCTTAGTTTGGCTGGATATGAAATTCTGGGTTGAAAATTCTTTTCTTTAAGAATGTTGAATATTGGCCCCCACTCTCTTCTGGCTTGTAGGGTTTCTGCCGAGAGATCCGCTGTTAGTCTGATGGGCTGCCCTTTGAGGGTAACCCAACCTTTCTCTCTGGCTGCCCTTAACATTTTTTCCTTCATTTCAACTTTGGTGAATCTGATGATTATGTGTCTTGGAGTTGCTCTTCTCGAGGAGCATCTCTGTGGTGTTCTCTGTATTTCCTGAATCTGAACGTTGGCCTGCCTTGCTAGATTGGGGAAGTTCTCCTGGATAATATCCTGCAGAGTGTTTTCCAACTTGGTTCCATTCTCCCCATCACTTTCAGGTACACCAATCAGACGTAGATTTGGTCTTTTCACACAGTCCCATATTTCTTGGAGGCTTTGCTCATTTCTTTTTATTCTTTTTTCTCTAAACTTCCCTTTTCGCTTCATTTCATTCATTTTATCTTCCATTGCTGATACCCTTTCTTCCAGTTGATTGCATCAGCTCCTGAGGCTTCTGCATTCTTCATGTAGTTCTCGAGCCTTGGTTTTCAGCTCCATCAGCTCCTTTAAGCACTTCTCTGTATTGGTTATTCTAGTTATACATTCTTCTAAATTTTTTTCAAAGTTTTCAACTTCTTTGCCTTTGGTTTGAATGTCCTTCCGTAGCTCAGAGTAGTTTGATCTTCTGAAGCCTTCTTCTCTCAGCTCGTCAAAGTCATTCTCCATCCAGCTTTGTTCCGTTGCTGGTGAGGAACTGCGTTCCTTTGGAGGAGGAGAGGCGCTCTGCGTTTTAGAGTTTCCAGTTTTTCTGTTCTGTTTTTTCCCCCATCTTTGTGGTTTTATCTACTTTTGGTCTTTGATGATGGTGATGTACAGATGGGTTTTTGGTGTGGATGTCCTTTCTGTTTGTTAGTTTTCCTTCTAACAGACAGGACCCTCAGCTGCAGGTCTGTTGGAATACCCTGCCGTGTGAGGTGTCAGTGTGCCCCTGCCGGGGGGTGCCTCCCAGTTAGGCTGCTCGGGGGTCAGGGGTCAGGGACCCACTTGAGGAGGCAGTCTGCCCGTTTTCAGATCTCCAGCTTCGTGCTGGGAGAACCACTACTCTCTTCAAAGCTGTCAGACAGGGACATTTAAGTCTGCAGAGGTTACTGCTGTCTTTTTGTTTGTCTGTGCCCTGCCCCCAGAGGTGGAGCCTACAGAGGCAGGCAGGCCTCCTGGAGCTGTGGTGGGCTCCACCCAGTTGGAGCTTCCCAGCTGCTTTGTTTACCTAAGCAAGCCTGGGCGATGGTGGGCGCCCCTCCCCCAGCCTCGCTGCCACCTTGCAGTTTGATCTCAGACTGCTGTGCTAGCAATCAGTGAGATTTCGTGGGCATAGGACCCTCTGAGCCAGGTGTGGGATATAATCTCGTGGTGTGCAGTTTTTTAAGCTGGTCCGAAAAGTGCAATATTCGGGTGGGAGTGACCGGGTTTTCCAGGTGCGTCTGTCACCCCTTTCTTTGACTCGGAAAGGGAACTCCCTGACCCCTTGCGCTTCCCAAGTGAGGCAATGCCTCGCCCTGCTTTGGCTCACACACAGTGCACGCACCCACTGACCTGCACCCACTGTCTGGCACTCCCTAGTGAGATGAACCCGGTACCTCAGATGGAAATGCAGAAATCACCAGTCTTCTGTATCGCTCATGCTGGGAGCTGTAGACTGGAGCTGTTCCTATTCGGCCATCTTGGCTCCTCCCCCATTGTGACAAATTCTTACTGAGATTGTTTTGGGCTGTGGAAAACAATGAAAGGGCTGAATTTCACATGAGGGACAGCATGGTTGGATCAGAGGACACTGAGACAGGCATGGCTCCAGGTGTATGAAACAGAGGCTTCTATTCTCTTCGAGCTGACAATTTCTTACCAAAAATCTTTGCTTTTGTCTCTGGAGCTCCTCTGATATGCTAGGGATGCCCTTGGAGGGTTCACTTTGTCTATGTGCATTGGTTTTTAAGAGTGAATAATTCAAATTCTTTGGGAGTTAGCACACTAACAATAAACAGTGAGAGCGTGTGCATAAATACTGCTGCTTTTCATTCTCCCAGCAGGTAGTTTTGAGAGGTGTTCTGTACACTTTTTTGAAGTCCATGTAGAATAGAGCCCTTTGCATCCACAGTGGCAATCTCAATAACACATCTTTCTATGGGTTCTTCCTTCTTTCGTTTCTCACTCTTCTCTTCCTCTCACTTCTGCTCACTGGGTTTGCTTCCCAAGTATACTACTTACTCACAAGTCTTGTCATAGACTCCACTTTTCCAGGAAGCTACTCTCTCTGAGACAGCCTGGTTTGTGTCAGGTATTTATCCATTCGTTATGGTTTAAATTATGTCCCTTCCCCTCAAATATGTTGAAGTTCTAGCTCTCAGGACCTCAGAATGAGATCTTATTCAGAAATAGAGCTGTTGCAAATCTAAGTAGTTAAGGCGAGGTCCTGTTGTAGTAGGTTAGACCCTAAATCTAATATGACTGATGTCTTCATAAGAAGAGAGGAGACACAGAGACGCAGGCACATGAAGAGAGTGCCAGATTATGACTGAGGCAGAGATTTAAGAGCTACAGTTGCAAGCCAAGGAACATCAAGGATTACCAAAAACCACCAGAAGCTGTGAAGAGGCAAGGAAGAACTCTCTGTTGCAGGCTTCAGAAGAAGCATGTTCATTCTGACATTTTGAGTTCAGACCTCAAGCTTCCAGAACTGTGAAATAATACATCTATTTTTTCAAAGACATCTAATTTGTGGTTCTTTGTTACACAAGCTCTAAGAAACTAATACACCATTGTTATAGCTTCTGTTGCCAGATGGTGAAGACATATGGTCTACTGTCCTCTTATGGGGGCAAAACTATCATAGAAGTGAATGTACTATGTTCAGAGAAGTGAATGTACTGTGTTCTTCAATAAGCCAGGTTAGGGCTGGAGTGGAAAACAGGTATCCATAATGTAAGTAAAACTTTTTTTTTAAAGGTAGCATATTGATGATAACTGAAAAAACAAAACAGAGAATTGCTTTAAAGTCTTTAAAAAGTAACAGTAGATTTTGTATCCTGCCCTTTACTGGATTAGTTCTAAGAGTTTGTGTGTGTGTGTGTGTGTGTGTGTGTGTGTGTGTGTGTGTGTGTAGTTTTAGCATTTTCTAAATATATGACGTGTCTTCTGTAAACAGAGATAGTTTTACGTTTTTCTTTCCAATTTGGATGCCTCTTATTTCCTTTTTTTAAATTTTTGTGGGTACATAATAGATATATATATTCATGAGGTATATGAGATACAGGCATATAATGCATAATTATCACATCAGGGTAAATGTGGTATCCATCATTTCAGGCATTTATCCTCTTGGCATTACAAAAAATCCAATTATACACTTTCAATGTTTAAAAATGTACAATAAATTATTATTGACAGTAGTCACCCTGTTGTGCTACCAAACACTAGCTCTTATTCATTCTATCTATAGTTTTGTACCCATCAACAATCCTTACCTCCCCCTCTCACCCCCATTACCCTTTCCATCCTTTGGCAACCATTATTCTACTCTCTATCTCCATAAGTTCAATTGTTTTAATTTTTAATAAGTGAGAACATGCAAAGTTTGTCTTTCTGTGCCTGGCTTATTTCACTTAACATAATGCCCTCCAGTTCCACTCATGTTGTTGCAAATGACAAGGTCTCATGTTTTCAACCACAAAGTTGAAAAGTGTCATGTTTTCTTTATCCATTCATCTGTTGATAGACACATAGGTTGCTTCCAAATCTTGGCTATCATGAATAGTGCTGCAATAAATATGAGAATGCAGATATCTTTTCAGTATACTGATTTCCTTTCTTTGGGGTATATACCTAGCAGTGGGATTGCTGGATCATAGGGTAGTTGTACTTTTAGTTTTTTGAGAAAACTTCAAACTGTTCTCCATACAGGTTGTACTAATTTACATTCCCACCAACATTGTACTAGGGTTCCCCTTTCTCTACATCCTTGCCAGCATTTGTTATTGCTTGTTTTTTGGATAAAAGCCATTTTAACTGGGATGAGATGATATTTTACTCTAGTTTTGATTTGCATTTCTCTGATCAATGATGTTGAGCACCTTTTTATATACCTGTTTGCCATTTGTATGTCTTCTTTTGAGCAATGTCTATTCAGATCTTAAGCTTATTTTTAAATTGGAATATTAGATTTTCTTTCTATAGAATTGTTTGAGCTCCTTATATATTCTGGTAATTAATCCTTTGTCAGATGGATAGTTTACAGATATTATCTCCCATTCTGTGGATTGTCTCTTCGCTTTGTTGATTGTTTCCTTTGCTGTGAAGAAGCTTTTTGACTTCATGTGATCCCATTTGTCAATTTTTGCTTTGGTTGCCTGTGCTTGTGGGGTGTTACTCAATAGATTTGTGCTGAGACCAATGTCCTGGAGAGTTTCCCCAATGTTTTTCTTTAGTAGTTTCATAGTTTGAGATCTTAGATTTAAGTCTTTAATCCATTTTGATTTGATGTTTGTATATGGCTAGAGATAGGTGTCTAGTGTCATTCTGCATATGGGCATCCAGTTTTCCCATCAGAATTTGTTGAAGAGACTGTTCTTTTCCCAGTGTATGTGCTTGGCAACTTTGTCAAAAATGAATTCACTGTAGATGTATGAATTTATATCTGAGTTCTTATTCTGTTTCATTGGTCAATGTGACTATTTTTATGCCAGTACCATACTGTTTTGATTACTATAGATCTGTAGTATAATTTGAAGTCAGATAATTTGATTCCTCCAGTATTTTTCCCCCTTAGGGTGGCTTTGGCTATTCTGTGTGTATTGTGATTTTATATAAATTTTAGGATTACTTTTTTCTATTTCTGTGAAGAATGCCATTGGTATTTGGATAGAGATTACATTGAATCTGTAGATTTCTTTGGGTAGTATGGATATTTAACAATATTAATTCTTTTTTTTTCCTCTAAGAGGGAGTCTTGCTCTGTCGCCTAGGCTGGAGTGCAGTGGCACGATCTTGGCTTACTGCAACCTCCACCTCCTAGGTTCAAGGGATTCTCCTGCCTCAGTATTCTGAGTAGCTGGGATTACAGGTGCCCGCTACCACACCCAGCTAATTTTTGTATTTTAGTAGAGTTGGGGTTTCACTATGTAGGTCAAGCTGGTCTTGAACTCCTGATTCCAAATGATCCACCCACCTTGGCCTCCCAAAGTGCTAGGATTACAGGCGTGAGCCACCATGCCCAGCCAACAATACTGATTCTTCTAATCCATGAATATAAAATATCTTTCCAGTTTTTTGTGTCCTCTTGAATTTCTTCCTTTTTTTTGTTTTGTTTTTTAGACACAACGTCTCACTTTGTCACCAATTGTTTTAATTTTTAATAAGTGAGAACATGCAAAGTTTGTCTTTCTGTGCCTGGCTTATTTCACTTAACATAATGCCCTCCAGTTCTGGAGGGCAAAGCTGGAGTATCATGGCACAATCATGGCTCACTGAAGCCTCAACTTCCCAGGCTCAAGTTATCCTCCCATCTCAGCCTACCGCATAGCTAGGACTACAGGCACGCACCACCACATCCAGCTAATTTTTTCCTTAAATTTATTTTTTGTAGAGATATGGTCTCACTATATTGCCCAGGCTGGTCTTGAGCTCCTGGGCCCAAGCAGTCCTCTCACTTTGGCCTCCTCAAATGCTGGGATTATAAGCATGAGCCACCATGCCTGTTTCTCTTTAATTTCTTGCATCAATATTTTATAGTTTTCATTGTAGAGACCTTTCATTTCTTTGGTTAAATTTATTTCTAGATATTTTATTTTATTTGTAGCTATTGTAAATGGGATTACTTTCTTGATTTCTTTTTCAGATTTTTCACTGTTGGCATATAGAAATGCTACTGATTTTTGTATGTTAATTTTGTATCCTCCAACTTCATGAATTTTAAAAATCAGTTCTAATAGTTTTTGGTGGAGTCTTTAGGTTTTTCCAAATATAAGATTATATCATCTGCAAACAAGGATAATTTGACTTCTTCCCTTTCCAATCTGGTTGCATGTTTTTTTCTTTCTTTTGTCCGACTGTTATAGCTAGGATTTCCAGTATTATGTTGAATAACAGCAGTGAAAATTGGCATCCTCTTGTTGTATTCCAAATCTTAGAGGAAAGGCTTCAGTTTTTCCCATTCAGTATGATACAAGTCATGAGTCTGTTGTGTATGGTTTTTATTGTGTTGAGGTATGTCCCTTCTATACCTGTTTTTTTGAGGGTTTTATCATGAAGAGATGTTAAATTTTATCAGGTGCTTTTTCAGCATCAATTAAAATGATCATATGGTTTTTGTCCTTCATTCTGGTGTTATGATGTATCACATTGATTGATTTGCATATGTTGGACCGTTCTTGAATCCCTGAAATAAATCCCACTTGGACATGATGAATGATCTTTTTAATGTGTTGTTGAATTTGGTTTGCTAGCATTTTGTTGAGTATTTTTGCACCAATTTTCATCCGGGATATTGGCCTGAAGTTTTCTTTTCTTCTCTTTTTTAATGTGTCTTTTGGTGTCAGGGTAATACTGGCCTCATAGAATAAGTTTGGATGTATTCCATCCTCCTTTTTTTTTTTTTAATAGTTTGAGGATGTTTGATAATAATTCTTCTTTAAATGTTTCCTAAAATTTAGCAGTGAAGCCATTCGGTCCCAGGCTTTTCTTTGTTGAGAGACTTCTTCAGAACAGTTTCGATTTCATTACTTTTTATTGGCATGTTCATGTTTTGGATTTATTCCTGGATCAATCCTGGTAGGTTGTATGTGTCTAGGAATTTATCCATTCCTTCTAGGTTTTCCAATTTATTATCATAGAGTTGTTCATAGTAGCCTCCAACGATACTTCGAATTTCTGCAGTATCAGTTGTAATGCCTCCCTTTTAATCTCTGACTTTATTTATTTGAGTCTTTTCTCTTTTATTCAAAGTTAGTTGGGTTAATGGTTTGTCAATTTTGTTTAGCTTTTCACAAAACAACTTTTTTGTTTCATTGAGTTTTTTGTATTTTTAAATTTCATTTTCATTTATTTCTACTGTAATATTTATTATTTCTTTCCTTGTACTAATTTTGGATTTGGTTTGCTCTTGTTTTTCTAGTTCTTTAAGATGTATCATTAGACTATTTAAGCTTTTTTTTTTTTTGGACATAGTTTCACTTTGTCCTTCAGGCTGGAGTGCAGTGGTGCATACATGGTTCACTGCAGCCTGAACCTCCTGGGTTCAAGGAGTCTTCCTACCTCAGCCTCTCAAGTAGCTAGGACTACATATGTGCACCTGGCTAATTTTTGTACTTTTTTATAGAGACAGGGTTTGGCCATGTTGCCCAGTCTGGTCTCAAGCTCCTGAGCTCAAGTGATCCACTTGCCTCAGCCTCCCAAATTGCTGGTATTACAAGTGTGAGCCACTGTTTCTAGCCTATTTAAATTTTTTCTACTTTTTTGACACAGGCTCTTGTTGCTATATACTTTCCTCTTAGTACTGCTTTCACTGTATTCATAGGTTTTGGTATGTGGTGTTTCCTTTTTTATTTGTTTCAAGAATTTTCTTTTTTTGTTTTTGAGACAAAGTCTGTCTCTGTCACCCAGGATAGAGTACAGGCATGATCACAGCTCACTGCAGCCTTGACCTCTTGAGCTCAAGTGATCTTCCTGTCTCAGCCTCCTGAGTAACTGGGACTACAAGTGCACACTGCCAAGCCCAGATAATCAATTAAAAAAATTTTTTTTTTATTTTTTAGTGACAAGTTGGTCTGAAACTCCTAAGCTAAAGGAATCCCCCCACCTTGGCCTCCCAAAGTGCTGTGATTATAGATGTGAGCCACTGCACCTGCCAGTTTCAAGAAAAAATTTAAGTTTCCTTCTTAATTTCTTTACTGACCCACTGGTAATTCCAGAGCATATTGCTTAATTTCCATGTGTTTGTATGATTTTCAAAATCCTCTTGTTATTGAATTCTAGTTTTATTCATTTGTGATCAGAGAAGATACTTAATATAATTTCATTTTTTTGGAAGTTTAAAGACAAGTTTTGTGGCCTAACATATTGTCTATCCTAGAGAATAATCCAGGATAGACAATGTGTATTCGTTAGTGGTTGGATAAAATGTTTAGTAAATATCTATTCATCTGGTCTTCAGTGCAGTTTAAGTCTGATGTTTCTTTATTGATTTTTCTGTCTGGATGATCTGTTCATTGCCAAAACTGTGGTATTGAAATATCCAGCTATTATTGTATTGGGGGTCTATTTATCTTTTTACATCTAATAATATTTGTTTTATACATCTGGGTACTTCAGCATTAGGTGCATGCGTATTTACAATTATTATATCCCGTTGCTGAATTGACATCGTTATCATTATATAATGGCATTCTGTGTCTCTTTTTACAGGTTTTGTCTTGAAATCTATTTTGTCTAAGTATAGCTAATCCTCCCCTTTTTTGGTTTCTGTTTGCTTGGAACATCTTACTTTATTTATTTATTTTCAATTTATGTGTATCTTTATAGATAAATTGTTTTTTGTAGGTAACATATCATTGGGTCTTGTTGTTTTTATTCATTCAGCAAGTGTATTTTGATTGAAGAGTTTAGTCTTTTTACATTCTATGTTATTATTGCTAAGCAGGGACTTATTCGTGACATTTTATTTGTTTTCTGGATATCCTGCAGCCTCTCTCTTCCTTTTTTCCTTCCTTCCAGTCTTCCTTTTAGTGAAAGTGTTTTTTCTCTTGTGATATGTTTTAATTTCTTTTTAAAATTTTTTGTGTTATCTGATATATTTTTTTTGATTTGAGGTTATCATAAGGTTTGCAAATATATCTTCTAATCCATTATTTTATTTTATAATCATTATTTTTTATTATACTTTAAGTTCTGGGATACACGTGCAGAACGTGCAGTTTTGTTACATCGGTATACATGTGCCATGGTGGTTTGCTGCACCCATCAACTCGTCATCTACATTAGGTATTTCTCCTAATGCTATCCTTCCCTTAGCACCCCCACCTGCTGACAGGCCCCAGTGTGTGATGTTCCCCTCCCTGTGTCCATGTGTTCTCATTGTTCAACTCCCACTTATAAGTGAGAACATGCGATGTTTGGTTTTCTGTTCCTGTATTAGTTTGCTGAGAATGATGGTTTCCAGCTTCATCCATGTCCCTGCAAAGGACATGAACTGATTCTTTTTCATGGCTGCATAGTATTCCATGGTATGTATGTGCCACATTTTCTTTATCCAGTCTGTCATTGATGGGCATTTGGGTTGGTTCCACATCTTTGCTATTGTGAACAGTGCTGCAATTAACATACATGTGCATGTGTCTTTATAGTAGAATGATTTGTAATCATTTGCTAACCCATTATTTTAAACTGATGACTACTTAAGACTGCATAAACAAATAATCAAAAAGAAAACTAATAAAAACTCTATACCTTAACATTGTCCCTCCTTTGTCTCTTTTTAACTTTATGTTGTTTCTGTTTATATCATTTCGTGTTATGTTTTGAAAAGTTGTAGTTACTAGTTTGGATCAGTTCATTTACTAACCTTTCTACTCAAGATATGAATAGTTTATACTCCACTATGACAGTGTTATAACATTGTGTTTTTCTCTGTACTTGCTATTAACAGTAACTTTTGGACCTTCAGATGATTTGCTATTGCTCATTAACATCTGTTTCTTCCAGACTGAACTTTCTTTAGCATTCTTTATAAGAATGGTGTGGTGTTGATAAAATCCCTGAGCTTTTGTTTGTGTGGTAAACTCTTTATTTCTTCTTCATGTTTGAAGGATATTTTTGTTGGTTATATTATTTTAGGATAAAATATTTTTCCTTCAGTCCCCTAAATATATCATGTCACTTCCTGTTGGCCTGTAACATTTCCACTGAGAAGTCTGCTGCCAGACGTATTGAAGTCCTTTGTATGTTATTAGTTTCTTTTCTTTTGCTGCTTTTAGAATCCTTTTTTATCCTTGATCTTTGGGAGTCTGGGCTTGTTTGTACCTATCCTTCTTGGGAAGGCTTTTGAGGTATTCAAAAGGTTTGTGACCTAAGTCTTTGATCACTACATCCATCTCTGCCTTAGGGAGCACCCTAAACCCACAAATGCTATTGCAGTTGCAAACTCATTGATGTATCATCTTGCAGGAGACTCTCCCTGTAGCCACCACAGCTGGGAATGTGGTGGGTCACACCTGAAGCCAGCATGACTCTGAGTCTCACCCAGGACCCACAGTGAGTACTTCCTGGTGACCACTGGTGATTATTCAGGGCTCAAGAGCTCTTTAGCCAGTCCATGATGAATTCTGTCAGGACTGGGTTCTTCCCTTCAAGGCAGTGGGTTCCCTTCTGGCCCAGGGTGTGTCCAGAAATGTAAACTGAGAACTAGGGTCTAGGATGGGGGCCCTCAGAACTCTGCCTGGTGTCCTATTGTACAGTGGCTGAGCTGGTATCCAAGTTGCAAGACTAAGTCCTCTTTACTCTCGCTCTCCTCTCCTTTAGTGGAAGAAGGAGTCTTTTTTAGAGCTGTGTGCTGTGCTGCCTGGAGTTGGGGAGGGGTGACAGAAGTACTCCCTTGGTCACCCCAGCTGGTCTCCCTAGATTACATGCACCACAAGTCTACTGGTTCCAAGCCCAGCACAGCCCCAGGACTTGCCCAGGAATTTCATTCCTTGTGGCCAATCTGCATTTTCAATTTATTTAGGACCTCAGAACACTTCAGCCCATGGCAGCAGGGCTTACCATAACTCAGGTTCCAACTGCTGGGATGGACAATTCACCTCTGGCAAGGGCTGGTCTAAATGCTGCCTTTATGAGTGCTGGCTAAGTTCTGCTCCATGTTGCTTTCCACCGTGCTAGGGCAGCACTGAGTTCCAATGCAAAGTCACATAATCCCTGTGCTTTCTCTCCCCCAAGTGCACAAATTCTTTCTATGCACCACATGATCACTGCTGGGGGATGGGGGAGGGGTGGTGTAGGTTATTTTAGAGTGTCTTTTCCACACCTTTCAAGGCCTCCTTCCTTATTATGATGTTAAAACCAGGTACTGTGTTTCCTCACCTGATTTTTGGTTCTTATGAAGGTGCTTTTTTTTAAAAATTTGAATAATTGTTCAGTTTGGTGTTCTCATGGTGGGAGATGATCACTGGAGGTCTCTATTCAGCCATGTTGCTTCACCTCCTTCTCTCTTGTATTTTTTGTCTGATTGCTCTTGCTAGATCTTCCAGTACTCTGTTGAGTAGGAATCCTTTCCTTGTACCAGATCTTAGAGGAAAATCTTTCCATTTTTTTTTCTCCACTGATTATGATTTTAGTTGTGGGCTTTTCATAAATGGCCACTATTATGTTGAGAAAATTTGCTTCTTATATCTATTCTGAGGATTTTTATCATCAAAGGATAATAAACTACGTTATATTGTTTCTGCATCTATTGAGATAATCATGTAGTTTTTATCTTTTATTTTGTAAATGTGGTGCATCATGTTGATTGACTTGCATAAAACCAAGCTTGCTTCTCAGGGACAAATTCCAGCTGGTTATGTTATAATATTTTTGATGTGTTAAGTTTGCTTTGGTAGTATTGGATTGAGAATTTTTGCATTTATGTTTATCAAAAATATTGGCCAGTAGATTTCTTTTCTCGTTGTATTTTGGCTTTGGTATAAGGATGTTGCTGGCCTCATAGGATGAGTTGGGGGAGGAGTCTCTCCTCAATTTTTTGAATAGTTTCAGGAGAAATGATACCAGATCTTCTTTTTATATCTGGTAGAATCAGGCTGTGAATCCATCTGGTTCTGGGCTTTTTTTTTTTTTTTTTTTTTGGTTGCTAGGTTATTTATTACTGATTCAACTTCAGAGCTCATTATTGGTCTGTTCAGGGAATCAATTTCTTCTATTTCAGTCTTGGGATAGTGTATGTGTACAGAAATTTAACCATCTCTTCTAGGTTTTCTAGATTGTGTGCATAGAGGTGTTCATAGCAGTTTGTGATGGTTATTTTTATTTCTGTAGGGTGAGTGGTAACATCCCCTTTGTCATTTCTAATTGTGTTTATTTGGAACTTTTCTTCTTTATTAGTCTAGCCAGCGGCCTATCTAGCTTATTATTTTTTTTTTTCAGAAAGCAACTCCTGGATTCATTGATCATTTGAATGTATTTTTGTGTCTCAATTTTTTTTTCACTTTAGCTCTGATTTTGGTTATTTATTGTCTCCTGCTAGCTTTGGGACTGATTTGCTCTTGCTTCTCTAATTCTTTCAGTTGTAACATTACATTGTTTATCTGAGATCTTTCTTACTTTTGATGTGGCAGTAAGTACTATAAGTTACTCTCTTAACACTGCATTGGCTGTGTCTCAGAGACTCTGGTATGTTGTATTTTTATTCTCTTTAGTTTCCAAGACCTTTATTTCTGACTTAATTTATTATTTACTCAAAAGTCATTTAAAAGCATGTTGTTTATTTTTTAATGGTCTTTGAGCTATCTTATGAGTTCTGACTTGTATTTTTATTGCACTGTGGTCCAAGAGTGTGTTTTACATAATTTCAGTTCTCTTGCATTTGCTGATGATTGTTTCATGTCTAATAATGTGGTCAATTTTAGAGTATGTGCCACGTGGTGATGAGAGAATGTATGTTCTGTTGTTTATGGGTGGAGAGTGCTGTAGAAGTCTATGTAGTTTCTGATGAAGATCCATTTGGTCTAACATTAAGTTCAGGTCCTGAATATCTTTGTTAGTTTTCTGCTTAAACAATCTGTCTAGTACTGTTATTGGAGTGTTGAATTCGTCCACTATTATTGTGTGCGAGTCTAAGGCTCTTCATAGGTCTCTAAGAACTTGCTTTATGAATCTGGGTGCTCCTGTGTTGGGTGCACACATATTTAGGATAGTTAGGTCTTCCTGTTGAATTGAATTCTTTACCATTATATAATGCTTTTTGGTGCCTTCTTTGATCTTTGTTGGTTTAAAGTCTGCCCTGCCTGAAATTAGAATTGCAACACCTGCTTTTTTCTGATTTCCATTTGCTTGGTAGATTTTCCTCCATTTCTTTATTTTGAGCCTATGAGTCTCATTATGTATGATATGGGTCTCTTGAAGACAGCATGCCATTGGGTCTTGCTTTTTTATCCAGCTTGCCACTCTGTGTCTTTTAAGTGGGGCATTCAGCCTGTTTACACTCAAGGTTAGTACTGATATGTGTGGATTTGATCCCGTCATTGTATTGTTAGCTGGTTATTATGTCAGCTTGTTTGTGTGGTTGCTTTACAGTGTCACTGGTCTGTGTATGTAAGTGTGTTTTTGTATTGGCTGGTAACAGTCTTTTCTTTCTATATTTGGTGCTCCTTTCCCAATTTCTTGTAAGGCATGTGTGGTAGTAATGAACCCCCTCAACATTTGCTTATCTGAAACAGGCTGTGTTTCTCCTCCGTTTAGGAAACTTAGGTTGGCTGGATATCAAATTCTTGGTTTTAGACATTTTTCTTTAAGAATGTTGAATATAGGTCCCCAATCTCTTCTGCTGAGAGGTCCACTCTTAGCCTGATAGGGTTCCCTTTATAGGTGACTTGCTCTTTTTCTCTAGCTGTCTTTAACATTTTTTTTCCTTTCATTTCAACCTTGAAAAATCTGATGATCATATGTCTTAGGGATACTCTTCTAGTGTAGTATCTTTCAGGGTTTTCTCTGTAGTTTGTTAATTTGACTGTTGGCCTCTCTAGCAAGGTTGGGGAAGTTTTCATGAATGATGTCATGAAATATATTTCCCAAGTTGTTTGTTTTCTCCTTGTCCCTTTCAGAGATGCCAGTGATTTGCAGATTTGGCCTCTTACATAATGCCACATTTTCAGAGGTTTTGTTCATTTCTTTTTATTACTCTTTCTTTATTTTTGTCTGTCTTATTTCAGAGAGACCGTCTTCAATTTCTGAGATTCTTTTTTTCAGCTTGGCCTATTCTGTTGTAAATACTTGTGATTGCACTGTAAAATTCTTGTAGTATGTTTTTCAACTCTATCAGATATGTTACGTTCTTTTTATACTGGCTATTTCACCTTTCAGCTTCTGTATCATTTGGTTGTATTCTTAGTTTCCTTGGATTTGATTTAGCCATTTTCCTGAATGTGCAGAATTGCAGGTTTGTTATATAGGTATACACATGCCATGGTGGTTTGCTGTACCCATCAACCTGTCATCTACATTAGGTATTTCCCCTAGTGCTATCCTTCCCCTAGTCCCCCATCCCCTGACAGGCCCTGGTGTGTGATGTTCCCCTCCCTGTGTCCATGTGTTCTCATCATTCAACTCCCACTTATGAGTGAGAACATGCAGTGTTTGATTTTCTCTTCCTGTGTTAGTTTGCTGAGAATGATGGTTTCCAGCTTCATCCATGTCCCTGCAAAGGACATGAACTCATCCTTTTTTATGGCTGCATGGTATTTCATGGTGTATATGTGCCACATTCCCTTTATCCAGTCTATTATTGATGGACATTTGTGTTGGTTCCAAGTCTTTGCTGTTGTGAATAGTTTTGCAATAAACATATGTGTGCATGTGTTTTTATAGTAGAATGATTTGTAATCCTTTGGGTATATGTCCAGTAATGGGATTGCTGGGTCAAATGGTATTTCTGGTTCTAGATCCTTGAGGAATCACCACACTGTCTTACACAATGGTTGAACTAGTTACACTTCCACCAACAGTGTAATAGCATTCCTATTTCTCCACATCCTCTCCAGCATCTGTTGTTTCTTGACTTTTTAATGATCATCATATTAACTGGCTTGAGATGGTATATCATTGTGGCTATGATTTGCATTTCTCTAATGACCAGTGATGATAAGCTATTTTTCACACATTTGTTGGTGGCATAAATGTCTTCTTTTGAGAAGTGTCTGTTCATATACTTTGCTCACTTTTTGATGGGGTTTTTCATTTTTTTCTTGTAAATTTGTTTAAGCTCCTTGTAGATTTTGGATATTAGCCCTTTGTCAGATGCATAGATTGCAAAAATTTTGTCCCATTCTGTAGGTTGCTTGTTCTCTATGATGATAGTTTCTTTTGCTGTGCAGAAAGTCTTTAGCTTAATTAGATCAAATTTGTCAATTTTTGCTTTTGTTGCCATTGCTGTTGGTGTTTTAGTCATGAAGTCTCTGCCCATGCCTATGTCCTGAATGGTATTGCCTACGTTTTCTTCTAGGGTTTTTATGGTTTAATGTTTAAAATTTAAGTCTTTAATCCATCTAGAATTAATTTTTGTATAAGGTGTAAGGAAGGGATCCAGTTTCAGTTTTCTGCATATGGCTAGCCAGTTTTCCCAACACCATTTATTAAATAGGGAATCCTTTCCCCATTGCTTGTTTTTGTCAGGTTTGTCAAAGATCCAATGGTTGTAGATGTGTGACATTATTCCTGAGGCCTCTGTTCTGTTCCATTGGTCTATATATCTGTTTTGGTATCAGTCCCATGCTGTTTTGATTACTGTAGCCTTGTAGTATAGTTAGTTTGAAGTCAGGTAGCATGATGCCTCCAGCTTTGTTCTTTTTGCTTAGGATTGTTTTGGCTGTATTAGCTCTTTTTTGGTACTATGTGAAATTTAAGATAGTTTTTTCTAATTCTATGAAGAAAGTCAGTGGTAGCTTGATGGGGATAGGATTGAATCTATAAATTACTCTGGGCAGTATGGCCATTTTCATGATATTGATTCTTTCTATCCATGAGCATGGAATGTTTTCCCATTTGTTTGTGTCCTCTCTTATTTCCTTGAGCAGTGGGTTGTAACTGTCCTTGAAGGGGTCCTTCACATCCCTTGTAAGTTGGATTCCTAGGTATTTTATTCTCTTTGAAGCAATTGTGAATTGGAGTTCACTCATGCTTTGGCTTTCTGTTTGTCAATTATTGGTGTATAGGAATGCTTGTGATTTTTGCACATTGATTTTGTATCCTGAGACTTTGCTGAAGTTGCTCATCAGTTTAAGGAGATTTTGGGCTGAGATAATGGAGTTTTCTAAATATACAAGCACGTCATCTACAAACAGAGACAATTTGATTTACTCTCTTCCTATTTGAATACCCTTTATATAATTCTCCTGCCTGATTGCCCTGGCCAGAACTTCCAATACTATGTTGAATAGGAGTGGTGAGAGAGGGCAACCTTGTCTTGTGCCAGTTTTCAAATCAGTGTTTCCAGCTTTTGCCCAATCAGTATAATATTGGCTGTGGGTTTGTCATAAATAGCTCTTATAATTTTGAGATACGTTCCATCAGTATCTAGTTTGTTGATAGTTTTTGCTAAAACTCAAAAAGGCTGTTGAATTTTGTCAAAGGCCTTTTCTGCACCTATTGAGATAGTCATGTGGTTTTTGTCATAGGTTCTGTTTATGTGATGGATTACGTTTATTGATTTGCATATGTTGAACCAGCGTTGCATCCTAGGGGTGAAGCTAACTTGATCGTGGTGGATAAGCTTTTTTATGTGCTGCTGGATTCAGCTTGCCAGTATTTTATTGAGGATATTCGCATTGATGTTCATCAGGAATATTGGCCTGAAATTTTCTTTTTTGGTTGTGCCTTTGCCAGGTTTTTGTATCAGGATGATGCTAGCCTCACAAAATGAATTAGGGAGGAGTCCTCCCTTTTTTCTATTGTTTGGAACAGTTTCAGAAGAAATGGTACCAGCTCCTGTTTGTACCTCTGGTAGAATTTGGTTGTGAATCCGTCTGGTCCAGGCTTTTTTTGGTTTTTAGGCTATTAATTACTGCCTTAATTTTAGAACTCATTACTGGTCTATTCAGAGATTTGACTTCTTCCTTGTTTAGTCTTGGGAGGGTGTATGTGTCCAGTAATTTATCCATTTCTTCTAGATTTTCTAGTTTATTTGCATGAAGGTGTTTATAGTATTATCTGATGGTAGTTTGTATTTCTGTAGGATCAGTGGTGATATCCCCTTTATCATTTTTTATTTTGTCTGTTTGATTCTTCTCTCTTTTCTTCTTTATTAGTCTGGCCAGTGATCTATCTATTTTGTTAATCTGTTCAAAAAACCAGCTCCTGAATTCATTGATTTTTTGAATAGTTTTTCATGTCTCTATCTCCTTCAGTTCTGATCATATCTCAGTTATTTCTTGTTTTCTGTTAGCTTTTGAATTTGTTTGCTCTTGTTTCTCTAGTTCCTTTAATTTTGATGTTATGGTGCCAATTTTAGATCTTTCCCACTTTCTCCTGTGGGCATTCATAATATAAATTTCCCTCTAAACACTGCCTTAGCTTTGTCCCAGAGATTCTGGTACATTTTGTCTTTGTTCTCGTTGGCTTCAATGACCTTCTTTATTTCTTCCTTAAATTTTTTTTTTTTGAGACTGATTCTTGCTTTGTCACCCAGGCTGGGGTGTGGCGATGCAATCTTGGCTTACTGCAAGCTCCGCCTCCTGGCCTGCCTCAGCCTCCTGAGTAGCTGGGACTACAGGCACCCGCCACCACACCTGGCTAATTTTTTTTTGTATTTTTGGTAGAGATGTGGTTTCACTGTGTTAGCCAGGATGGTCTTGATCTCCTGACCCCATGATTCACTGGCCTCAGCCTCCCAAAGTGCTTCCTTAATTTTTTTATTTACCCAATAGTCATTCAGGAGCAGGTTGTTCAGTTTTCATGTAGTTGTGCAATTTTGTGTGAGTTTCTTAATCTTGACTTTTAATTTGATTGCACTGTGGTCTGAGAGGCTCTTTGTTATGATGTCCATTCTTTTGCATTTGCTGAGCAATGCTTTACTTCCAATTATGTGGTCAATTTAAAAATAAATGTGATATGGTGCAGAGAAGAATGTATATTCTGTTGATTTGGGGTGGAGAGTTCTGTAGATGTCTATTAGGTCTTCTTGGTCCAGAGCTGAGTTCAAGTCCTGAATATCCTTGTTAATTTTCTGTCTCTTTGATCTAATATTGAGAGTGGGGTGTTAAAATCTCCCACTATTACTGTGTGGGAGTCTAAGTCTCTTTGTAGTTATCTAAGAACTTGCTTCATGAATCTGGGTGCTCCTGAATTACATGCATATATATTTACAATAGTTAACTCTTCTTGTTGCATTGATCCCTTAACCATCATGTAATGCCCTTTGTCTTTTTTAATCTTTGTCGGTTTAAAGTCTGTTTTATCAGAGACTAGGATTGCAACCCCTGCTTTTTTTTTGGCTTTCCATTTGCTTGGTAAATCTTCCTCCATCTCTTTATTTTGAGCCTATGTGTGTCTTTGCATGTGAGATGTGTCTCCTGAATACAGCACACTAGTTGGTCTTGTCTCTTTATCCAATTTGCCAGTCTGTGTCTTTTGATTGGGGCATTTTGCCCATTTACATTTAAGGTTAATATTATTATTTGTGAATTTGATCCTGTCATTGTGATGTGAGGTGGTTATTTTGCCTGTTAGTTGATGCAGTTTTTTCATAGTGGTCTTTACATAGCTTTCGATGGTCTTTACAATTTGGTATGTTTTTGCAGTGGCTGGTACCAGTTTTTCCTTTCCACATTTAGTGCTTCCTTCAGGAGCTCTTTTAAGGCAGGTCAGGTGGTGACAAAATTTTTCAGCATTTGCTTGTCTGTAAAGGATTTTATTTCTCCATTGCTTATGAAGCTTAGCTTGGCTGGGTATGAAATTCTGGGTTGAAAATTCTTTTAAGAATGTTGAATATTGCCCCCCCAACTCTCTTCTGGTTTGTAGGGTTTCTGCCAAGAGATCTGCTGTTGGTCTGATGGGCTTCCCTTTGAGGGTAACCCGACCTTTTTCTCTGGCTGCCCTTAACATTTTTTCCTTCATTTCAACCTTGGTGAATCTGATGATTATGTTTCTTGGGGTTGCTCTTCTCGAGGAATATGTTTGTGGTTTTCTCTGTATTTCCTGAATTTGAATGTTGGCCTGTCTTGCTAGATTGGGGAAATTCTCCTGGATAATATTCTGAAGAGAGTTTTCCAACTTGGTTCCATTCTCCATGTCACTTTCATGTAGACCAATCAAACATAGGTTTGGTCTTTTCACATAGTCCCATATTTCTTGGAGGCTTTGTTCATTCCTTTTTATTCTTTTTTCTCTAATTTTGTCTTCATGCTTTATTTCACTAAGTTGATCTTCAATCTCTGATATCCTTCCTTCCGCTTGATCAATTTGGTATTGATACTTGTGTATGCTTCATGAAGTTCTTGTGCTGTGTTTTTCAGCTCCATCAGGTAATTTATATTCTTCTCTAAACTGGTTATTCTAGTTAGCAATTCCTCTAACCTTTTTTCATGGTTCTTAGCCTCCTTACATTGGGTTAGAACATGCCCCTTTAGCTCGGAGGAGTTTGTTATTACCCACCTTATGAAGTCTTATGAAGTGTTATTACCCACTTCTGTCAATTCGTCAAACTCATTCTCTGTCCAGTTTTGTTCCTTTGTGGGCAAGGTGTTGTGATCCTTTGGAGGAGAAGAGGCATTCTGGTTTTTGGAATTTTCAGCCTTTTTGTGCTGGTTTTTCTTCTCTTCATGCATTTATCTACCTTTGGTCTTTGGTGTTGGTGATTTTCGGATGGGGTTTCTGTGTGGACGTCCATTTTGTTGATATTGATGCTATTCCTTTCCATTTGTTAGTTTTCCTTCTAACAGTCAGTTCCCTGTGCTGCAGGTCTGCTGGATTTTGCTGGAGGTCCACTCCAGACCCTGTTTGCCCGGGTATCACCAGCGGAGGCAGCAGAACAGCAAAGATTGCTGCCTGTTCCTTCCTCTGGAAGCTTTGTCCCAGAGGGGCACCCACGAGATGCCAGCTGGAGCTCTCTTGTATGAGGTGTCTGTCGACTCCTGCTGGGAGGTGTCTCCCAGTCAGAAGCCATGGGGATCAGGGACTTACTTCAGGAGCCAGTCAGTTTCTTAGCAGAGCTTGAGTGCTGCCCTAGGAGATCTGCTACTCTTTTCAGAGCTGGCAGGCAGAAACATTTAAGTCTGCTAAAGCTGTCCCCACAGCCACATCTTCCCCCAGGTACTCTGTCCCAGGGGAGATGGGAATTTTATCTAGAATCCCCTGACTGAGGCTGCTGCCTTTCTTTCAGAGATTCCCTGCCCAGGGAGGAGGAATCTAGAGAGGCAATGTGGCTACAGCAGCTTTGCTGAGCTGTGGTGGGCTCTGCTCAGTTTGAACTTCCCAGTGGGTTTGTTTACACTGTGAGGGGAAAACTGCCTACTCAAGCCTCAGTAATGGCAGATGCCCCTTTCGCTACCAAGGTTGAGCATCCCAAGTTGATTCAGATTGCTGTGCTGGCAGCAAGAATTTTAAGCCAGTGGATCTTAGCTTGCTGGGCTCCATGTGGGTGGGATCTGCTAAACTAGACCACTTGGCTCCCTGGCTTCAGCCCCCTTTCCATCAGAATGAACTGTTCTGTCTATCTGGAATTCCAGGCACCACCTGGGTATGAACAAAACAAAACAAAACAAAACAAAACTGCAGCTAACTCGGTGTCTGCCCAAATGGCCACCCAGTTTTGTGCTTCAAATCCAGGGCCCTGGTGGTGTAGGCACCCGAGGGAATCTCCTGGTCTGTGGGTGGTGAAGACTGTGGGAAAAGCATAGTATCTGAGCCAAAATTCACCCTTCCTCATGGCACAGTCCCTCATGGCTTCCCTTGGCTAGGGGAGGGAGTTCCTCGACCCCTTGCACTTCCCAGGTGAGGTGACGACCCACCCTCCTTCGGCTCACCCTCCATTGGCTGCATCCACTGTCTAACCAGTCCTAATGAGATGAGCCATGTACCTCAGTTGGAAATGCAGAAATCACCCACCTTCTGCTTTGATCTCACTGGGAGCTGTAGACCAGAGCTGTTCCTATTCGGCCATCTAGCCAGCCAACCCCAGTTTTTTTTTTTGTTTTTTTTTGTTTTTTTTTTTTTTGCAATTTTTTTCTGTGTCTTTGTCATGAGGTTTTTGCCAGGTATTATATCCAGAATGGTATTGCCTAGGTTGTTTTCCAGGGTTTCTATAGTTTTTGGTTTTAGAATTAAGTCTTTAATACATCTGAAGTGAATTTTTATATATAGTGTAAGGAAGGCACCCAGTTTCAATCTTCTTCATATGGCTAGCCAGTTATCCCAGCACCATTTATTGAATAGAGAGACTATTCCCCATTGTTTGTTTTTGTCAATTTTGTCAATGATCAGATTTTGGCAGGTGTGTCACATTATTTCTGGGCTCTATATCCTGTTTCATTGGTCTATGTGTTTTTGTACCAGTACTATGCTGTTTTGGTTACAGTAGCCTTGTAGTATAGTCTGAAGTTAGTAATGTGATAGCTCCAGCTTTGTTCTTTTTGCTTAGGAATGTATTGGCTATTTGGGTTCTTTTTCGATTTCATATAATTTTTTTTTTTAGCTTGGATACAGGAATTTTATTTTCTTTTAAGATGCACGTGGGTCACATTCAACACAAAAAATGAATAAGTTGCTTGTTTTTTCTTTTTGTGAGACAGTGTCTTGTTCTGTAGCCCAGGCTGTGTGCAGTGTTGCAGTCATAGCTCACTGCAGCCTCGACCTCCCAGGCTCAAGCGATTCTCCCACCTCAGCCTCACAAGTAGCTGGAACTACAGGCATGCGCCACTATGCCCAGCTAATTTTTAAATTTTTGGTAGAGAACAAAGTCTCACTATGGTGGCCAGGCTGGTCTCGAACTCCTGGGCTCAAGCAATCCTCCTGCCTCGGCCTCCCAAAATGTTGGGATTACAGGTGCAAGCCACCACACTGGGCCTACTTCTTTATGAAAGAAGCCCTTCCTAAACAACACAGAAAACTCCCCTAGAGGGGCCCTAATACGAACTGAACAGAAAAACCCCCAACTCAGGCTTGTTGATCAATCCTTTTCCACAGAAGTCGGACCAGGTTCTGTTATCATTATAAAATTATACTGTATTGAATATTTTTAAAAACAAGGAGGGAAAGAGAACAGGTTCTTGCAAAGAAAGGTACAGCCTCGACTTCTTTCAAGCACCCATGATCTCCCGTGTACATGCTGCCCACACCCAGCCAGCCATCATGGGACTCAGACAGGGTCAGATGGGATGCTGATGGGAAGGAAAGGCAGGGCCCTATTCTGTGGGGCCCTGCAGCAGCTGAGCCATGGTTTGGATGATGTGTTGCCAAGATTTTTTACTTGCACAGCTGAGAAGCAGGTCACTTAGTTTCTCAAGGACTAGCCAGCCTCAGTGCAGAGCTGAAGGTAAAGTGACCCTTACAACCCTGTAGCCTCGCCATGTAACATCCAGGTGACCTTTCTCTGCCAAAGTGCTGACTGTGCTCGCAGTCCTTGTGTGTCCAGAGTTGGTTCCTGCCAGTGGGTTCACAGTCTTGCTGACTTCAAGAATGAAGCCGTGGACCTTCACGGTGAGTGTTACAGCTCTTAAAGATGGCAAGGACCCAAAGAGTGAGTGGTAGCAAGGTTTATTGTGAAGAGTGAAAGGTGGCTACCTTTAGGATCCTGCTGATTGGTGCATTTTACAGAGTGCTTATTGGTGCGTTTTACAGAGTGCTGATTGGTGTGTTTTACAGAGTGCTGATTGATGTGTTTTACAGAGAGCTGATTAGTGTGTTTTACAGAGCACTGATTGGTGCATTTTACAATCCTCTTGTAAGACAGGAAAGTTCCCCAAGTCCCCACTTGACCCAGGAAGTTCAGCTGGCCTCACCTCTCAATAGCCCTCTAAACAGGACACCACAGCTGCTCTTGGGAACTGGGCAATGACCATTCTAGCTACTAACTGCTGGATAGGGGTGAAGAAGGGGCCCTGCAGTTTTAGTGTCCTCCAGAGGGGAACTCTCTAGGCCAGTCAAAGGGCCAGTGGGTCAATCCAGTTGTCCTCGTTAGAAGTTGTGAGTTGAGCTCATTTGGGGTTCCATTTGTAAGACCACCTGTAGCTTGATGACTTCAATCCTAGAGGAAACAAATTTGGCAAGGATGTTAAAAATACAGGGCCTGATCAGAGAAATGCAAATCAAAACCACTATGAGATATCATCTCACACCGGTTAGAATGGCAATCATTAAAAAGTCAGGAAACAACAGGTGCTGGAGAGGATGTGGAGAAATAGGAACACTTTTACACTGTTGGTGGGACTGTAAACTAGTTCAACCATTGTGGAAGTCAGTGTGGCGATTCCTCAGGGATCTAGAACTAGAAATACCATTTGACCCAGCCATCCCATTACTGGGTATATACCCAAAGGACTATAAATCATGCTGCTATAAAGACACATGCACACGTATGTTTATTGCGGCACTATTCACAATAGCAAAGACTTGGAACCAACCCAAATGTCCAACAATGATAGACTGGATTAAGAAAATGTGGCACATATACACCATGGAATACTATGCAGCCATAAAAAATGATGAGTTCATGTCCTTTGTAGGGACATGGATGAAATTGGAAACCATCATTCTCAGTAAACTATCGCAAGAACAAAAAACCAAACACCGCATATTCTCACTCATAGGTGGGAATTGAACAATGAGATCACATGGACACAGGAAGGGGAATATCACACTCTGGGGACTGTGGTGGGGTCGGGGGAGGGGGGAGGGATAGCATTGGGAGATATACCTAATGCTAGATGACACGTTAGTGGGTGCAGCGCACCAGCATGGCACATGTATACATATGTAACTAACCTGCACAATGTGCACATGTACCCTAAAACTTAGAGTATAATAAAAAAAAAAAATTAAAAAAAAAAAATAAAAAAATAAAAATACAGGGCCTGAAGGCAAGTAATAGCAAGATGGCTCTCACAGGACCTAGAAAGGGGAGAAGCCATGTTGCCCAACTCCAGAGGTTGGTATAAAAGTTTGAAAGGTGTTGTCTGATTTCAGAAGACTTTTCCTGCAAATGCCAGGTGGCGTCTCATACTATCCCTGAATTGTTAGTGTAAAAACAACACTTTTCCCCTAAGAAGGTGCAAAGTCCTCCTTTCTCAGCAGTGAGGAGGTCTAGGCCTCGGCAGTTTTGGAGAGTCACTGTTGCCAAAGGGTCTATTTGGGACTGTAGAGTGAGGATAGATTTCATTATTTCTTGCACACTGTCAGAGAAATCCTTTGAGAGTGCGTGGTAATAGGATAGTGAAGTAGATAAACTGGCTATTCTGGTTCCTGTAGCAGGGGCCATTCCTAACCCTATAAGTAGGGGTATTAGTTTTATGGCCCTGCACTGATGGTCTTGAGCCTTGAGGGGCACTGATAGGGTCTGATTTCCTGGGGCGATGTCAATGGTGGGACTTAGGAAGACTAAGGTGCAGGTGCCTGTCCGTTTGGTGGGGAGGCAGATAGATATAGGTTGAAGTTCCATATAAGAAGAATATGCCTTGGCTGGGTAGACAGAACTGGTTGTGTATGTTAAAAAGGTGTGTGAATTTGTTGTTTTCATTTTCCCATACTCTTAGAGTACTCGCGAAGGTAGCTTTGGTGAGCGGCTGGAAATGGGTGTTGGGAGGAAACTGAGTGGCTCCCTGTGTTCCATTTTCCCACTGGAGATAAAATCATTTTGTATCTACTAGGAACCATTCAAGAGAGTAATTGAAAGAGGGGATGAGAAGGCATTTGCTAGTGTTGGGGACACTGCTGCAGGGGGTCCAGAGGAGAATGGTCATGCAGGGAATGTGTTTGCCATTACAAAACCCAGACTGTTTGTTAAGCAGGGAGAAGGTGATGATTTTTGGGGATCCTGAGAAGCAGAAAAGCCATCTGAATGGAGCTGTTTGGGTGACTCGGAAGTTACTATGATCAGTTGGGGCTTGAAGTTGTAGGGTGTAATTACACTGATGGGATAATAGGTGCCCCAGGGGCAGGCCTGATAACAGGTTGAGTTGGATGCATAAAGGGGCTTGGAAAATTAGATGGTATTCCTGGTTACAGGGCTGTGTATGTGCTTTTCACTGCTCCTGTGAGGAGCAATAGGTGAGGTTGGAAATGTAAGAGTGTAAACGCTGGATTGTGTGCCCTGCTTTGTTCCTATCAGAGATGGGGAAGTCAGCTAATGATTGCATATTTAGAAGTTGGAAAGGGTCTCTTCCTTCATAATGGGAGTGGTAGGTTAAGTTAATAAAGACCCAGTTTTTTGTGGGAACGAGAGTGGCAACATAAGCAGTGGCTGATAGAGAGATACAAAGCCGACAGTCATTTGCCAGGGAAGGATTGGACTGGTTTAACAGAGAGTGGGTTAAGTTGAGAGTCTTGTAGAGGTAATTAGGAGCCAGTGGAAGGGGAGGGGTGACTATGTGGGGTATCCAAGGAAGCAGGAGGGTTATATAGACAAAGTGTAAGTAGAAAGGTAAAGAGGGTTCCCTGGAAGATGAGGTCTTTTTATCCAGTCTGAGTTAAAGGTAGGATTAAATTGCCATCAGAACGAAGGATGATAGAAAAAAGGTTGATGTGATTAGGATTTTCATCCCGGCAGAAGCTACAGTATATAATCCTACTGCAAAGAGTATGTTTAGTATACTGCCTAATAATGTGATGAAACAGTAAAAGGATTCCATTAAAGGGGCAAGGAGAGGTGTTAAAGATTATGTAGGTTTTCACTTAACTTTTTTAAGTAGGAAGGGGTTTTTCCTCAGGATCAGCTGAAGGAGCCTTTTTAGTTTGGGATGTTTCCTTCTGAAATAGGAGACGCAAGTCCTCCAATGGTTCACAGGTGTATTGAGGCTGGTCTGGCTGATCTTGGGACTCCTGATCTGATGGTCCTGCAGGTTCCTCAGGGGGTGTCCAAAGTTTAACTCGGGTGTGGTGAATCCAAGATTCCCCTCCTGCTACCTTAACTGCAGTGGGAGTAGAGAGGATTACTGAGTATGGTCCTTCCCACAAGGAATTCATAGATGGGAAGGTAGAGGGAAGGGACTTGACCAACACTAGATCTCCCAGTTGGAACAACTCTGTTCCCTTTTCTCTGTGATGTCCTTCAGGTAGGTTTTTAATGTTTTGTTGGTATTTTTCCAAAGAAGTTATGTCTTTGACCAAGTTGGCCATTTCCTGATCAAGTAAGAGGTCATTTGTGAGAAAAGGTCATCCATACAGCATTTCATATGGACTGAGCCCCATTTTGTGAGGGGAATTTTAGATTCTCAACAAGGCCATGGGCAAGAAAGTAGGCCATGGGAGATGAGTTTCTTGTGTTAGTTTCCTTAAGTGCCTCTTGAGTGTTTCATTTGCTTTCTCAACCTTCCCTGAGGTTTGTGGCCTCCACGTGCACTGAAGGTGATATTGTATCCCTAGTGCCCTGGAAATTCCCTGAGTTATCATGGCTTTAAAAGCCGGACCATTGTCACTTTGTAAGTTTTGGGGAAGCCCAAATCTAGGAATTATTTCATGAATTAGGACTAACCACTTCCTGAGCTTTCTCTCTCTTGCAAGGGAAGGCTTCCATCCAATTTGTAAAGGTATCAACACATACCAAGTATTGAAATCCCCTTGATTTAGGCATATGGATGAAGTCTAACTGCCAATCCTCTCCAGGATAGTGACCTGTTCTTTGTTTCCCCGAGGGGAGCCTTATGATGGACCAATGGATTATTCCTTTGGCACACCTCATAGGCTTTGACTACTTGCCGGATGGTCTGGGGAGAATTGACTGTGTAAATAGGGATTTGGCCATTTGATGAATGTTCTCAATACCCATATAAAAGGTTTAGCAGAGGGTCTTAAGTATTTCCCACTGGCTGGCTTCGGGTATGAGTACTTTTCCCTCTTCTGTCATTAACCACCCCGAGGGGAGAAAACTATGCCCCCATGAAAGTCCCCATTCTGTTTTGGACGGGAATACTGGGGCTTAATTTCTTGGAGAGGGTTGTTCCATACCGAGGGTCCTTCCATAGGTATTTCTAATGGGAGGTTCCACCTGGCAGCAATTTTGGTCTCAGCTTCTGCCCGACAGTTTCTTTCTGCCTTTTCTCCTTCATCTTTTTGATGGCTTTAGCAGTGTAAGACTGCCACCTCCTTGGGTTTTTGCACTGCATGCAATAACTCCATGATTTCCTTGTGGTATTTAATGGGGGTTCCCCTAGAGGTTAGGAACTCCCTTTCTTTCCATATTGCAGCATAAGCATGTAGAATTAGATAAGCATACTTGCTAACTGTATATACATTTTTTGCCATTAAACAAATTAGATTATTTATTAGATGAAATGGACAAATACTGTATATACATTTATTCTTTTTTCCTTTCCCAGTTCTAAGGCTCAGGTAAGCACCACTAGTTCTGCTAACTGGGTGCTGGTCCCTAGGGGAAGAGGCTTAGTTTCAAGTACTGTTACATCACTAACTATGGCATAACTTGCCCTTCATATCCCATTCTCCATAAATGAACTTCCTTCGATATATAGGGCAAGGTCAGGATTAGCTAAGGGGACCTCTAAGAGATCCTCTTGAACAGCAAAAGTCTGGGCTACAATTTGTTGGCAGTCATGCTTGATTGGTTCCCCATCCTCTGGGAGAAAAGTGGCAGGGTTGAGGGCCACACACATGCATATTTGAAGCACCAGTTCCTCAGGGAGTAGTGCCTGGTATCTAAGCAGACAGTTGTCTGATAGCCATAGACTTCCTTTGGCACCTAGTATGCCATTTACATCACGAGCTGTCCAGACAATGAGATCCTTTCCTTGTATTATTTTGATAGCCTCTGATACTAACATGACCACTGCCACAACTACCATAAACAATGAGGCCAGCCTTTTGCTACTACATCAATTTCCTTACTTAAGTATGCCACTGGTTGTGGGGTTGTCCCTTGAGTCTGAGTAAGGACTCCAAGAGCTATTCCCACTCTCTTTGTGATGTATAAAGAGAAGTTTTGTCCTGTGGGAAGGCTTAAGGCTGGAGCTGGTACTAGGGCCTGCTTTAAGGTTTTGAAAGCTGTTTCTGCCTCTGGTTCCCATTATACTAGATGAGTATTTGCCCTCTGGGTCTCCTTGATTGAGTATAGAGTGGCCTGGCCATCTCGCTGTATCTGGGGATCCATAGTTGGCAAAAACTGGTGATCCCAAGGAACCCCCGTGACTGTTTTAATGTCTTAGGGTGAGGACAAGTCAGTATAGGCTGTATTCATTCTTTGCTGAGGGCCCTGGTTCTCTGGCTAAGACTAGACCTAGATATTTGACTTGTTGTAGGCAGAGCTGGGCCTTTGATTTACACACCTTGTACCTTTGATTAGCTTCAAAGTTCAAGAGATCTAGAGTAGCCTGCTGGCATGAGGCTTCCAAACTGGTAGCCAAAAGTAAATCATCCACATACTGAAGGACCAGAGTGCCTGGGCTTGAGAAGTGGCCTAGATTTTGGGCCAGTGCCTGACCAAAGAGATGAGGGCTATCCCTAAAATCTTGAGGCAAGACTGTCCATGTAAGTTGGGACGTGTGGTCTGTGGGATCCTCAAAGGCAAAGAGAAACTGGGAGTCAGAGTGCAGGAGAATACAGAAGGCATCCTTGAGGATCAGAACAGTGAACCATTCTGCTGACTCTGGTATTTGAGAGAGCAGTGTATAGGGGTTGGCTACAGGTGGATATAGAGGAATTACTGCCTCATTGATGAGTCTAAGATCTTGCACTAGTCTCCACCGACCATTTTGTTTTTGTATTCCTAGAATTGGGGTGTTGCAGGGACTGCTGAATTTTCTTACTAAGACTTGAGCTTTTAAATGTCTAACAGTATCCTTTAATCCTTTACGAGCTTCAGGCCTTAAGGGATATTGCCTTTGATAAGGAAAAGTGATGGGGTCTTTTAGCTAGATTTGAACTGGGTGGGCATTTTTTGCCCTTCTGAATTGTCCTTCCAATGCCCAGACTTCAGGGTTGATTCCCTCCTCAAGTAGGGGACAACAAATGGGTAACTTGTCCCCCATATTCATGTAGATAATAGCAATGGCTAATATGTTCCTCCCTAATAAGGGTGTGGCACTTCCAGGCATAACAAGAAAGGCACGTGAAAAGGGCAAATTCTCCCAATTACAACTGAGAAGGTGGGAGAACTACCTGTTTACAGGCTGTCCCAGGATTCCTTGGATGGTAATGGACCTTGAAGAAAGCCGTCCAGGGCAGGAGATTAACACTGAGAAGGCCACGCTAGTGTCCAGGAGGAAGTGAATTTCCTGGCCTTCAGTGGTTAAACTTACCTGGGTCTCACTGAGGGTGATGACATGAGCTGGCACTTGCCCCAGGCACCCTCAGTCCTGTTGTTGGATCATCTGATTGGGGGCTTCTGGCCCAGAGAGCCTTTGTCCTCTGGGGCAGTGCACCTTCCAATGATTGCCTTGGCATAGTGGACATGGGCAAGGGGGTGGCTTGTTTCTCACTGGACAATCTTTTTTAAAGTGTCCTTGCAACCCACGCTGATAACAAGCCCTGCCAGGTGATTGGCCTGCTCCATTTCCTGTCCTCTCTGAACTACCAAGGTTTGTTTGTCTGAGGGCCATGACTAAGGCTGTGGCCTTTCTCTTATCTCACTTTTCCTTTTTGGCCTGCTCCTCTTGGTCCCTTTTATAGAACACTGAGATTTCTAGGTTTAATAATGCCTCTAAATTTTGTTCAGGACCCAGGGCTAGCTTTAGGAGCTTTCTCCTGATATCTGCAGCTGATTGGGTAATAAAGTTATCCTTTAGGATCAACTGACCCTTGAGGGAATCAAGTGACAGGAGGGTATATTGTCTTAAGGCCTCCTGTAGCCACTCAAGGAAGGTGGTAGGATTTTCTTCCTTTCCCTGAGTTATGGTGGACATCATTGAATAATTCATGGGCTTTTTCCTAAGTCTTCTTCATTGACACAGGTCAACAGATATTTGCAACCCTAGTCCCCATGACCTGAGTGGAGGTCCCAGTGGGGATCCATACTGGCTATGGCTTGCTGATCAGTAGAGAATTTGTCCCTTTCTTCAGCTGTCATTCTATCATTAACCTGACTAAGATACCATGTATCTCCAAACTCTTGGGCTGCAGCTAAAGCCACATTCTTTTCATTAAAAGCCAGGGTTTGTTCTAACAATAGCATGACAGCTCTCCAAGTGAGGTTGAAGGTTTGCCCTAGACCCCGTAGGACATATGTGTACCTATCAGGGTATCTGAAAACTTCCCCAGGTCTACCTTGATTTGCTTTAAATCAGAGAGGGAGGAGGGGTCATGTACCTGGGTTGGGCCAAATTCCCCTCCCCTTTCAGCTTGAAGGGGACATAACCAATAGCCTGGGGGTTTTATGGTCCCATGGATATTTCTTTGCTTGTTTCCATCTCAGTGGGGGAGATTAGAGGAGGCTCACCACTAATAGGAAGGGGAGCTGTAGGAAGGCTAGAATATGGGGATAAGCTGAGAGGTCTTCCTGTGGGATATAGATTGTAAGCTTTGCATAGTTGTGGATTATCCTTCAATAAAAAGAAAGCTTGGACATAAGGTATTTCACAACATTTGCCTTCCCTCTTACAGAAAAGGTCAAGATGCAGGATAGTATTATAATTTATACTTCCCTCAGGTGGCCATTTTTCCCCATCAGGGAGAGAATATTGGAGCCAGGCTATAGTGCAGAAAAAAATAAGCTGCTTCTTTTTCAGGGTTTGTGGGTCAAATTGGTCCCAATGGCTTAGGATGCATTTCAAGGGTGAGCTCGTTGATGCCTGAGTGTTTCCCATCTAAAACAGAACAAAAAACCGCCTGCAGTTTTGATCTGTTTTTTCCCACCCCAGAACCTGCAATGGTCCCTGGACCCTACTATTCAGAATAGTTGTGCTCACCAAAGCAGCAGTGGAAACACTTATTTTCCTCCTAGACAACAAAGAGGGCCAAGAAAGGTCAGATTTAGTGGCCCTTACTGATGCATTCTTGAAAACCTGTTAGAGTCCTAAGCATTTTCTCCTGTTGGTATTGGGAACTTAACCTTGTCCTATAAAGATGATATGCCTCAAAATGGAGTGGAGGGCCATACCTTGAGGGAGGAAAGGGATCTCCAGGATTGGAAAAGTGATGCCTTTTGTCCTCACTTCTCATCATATGAATAGGAAGGATATTCCCCCAATTTTGCAGTCTATAATTTCTGAGACTCCCCATATCCTAGCTTCAAGAATAGCCTTTGTTAGGCCTGCTAGCCTGAGGAGGGATCCTAAAATTCCAGATAGTTCCACCTGCAACAGGGCTCTGGGCAAAAATTATGTGCCCCAGGGCACCTATTTCCTGTTGAAGAATTCGGCTCTTTCTGATTTGTAAGCCTGGGTGCCTGAAGAAGGGAACAGAGTCCCAAAATCTATATTAGAAATCATCCTTATAGGAGAAACTAGAAAAGCACCAGGGATAGGGAGTGATTTTTAGAAGCAGGACTAGCCTTGGAGAAGAGAGGTGAGAGAAAGTTTGTCTGACAGGCATTAGGACCCAGGAGACAAGTGTCAGGATAGACAGGACAGATGGGTGAGTCTCGCTTGGGCAACATAAGTTTGAGAGCTCTGCTCATAGCTGCAGGGTCAACCAAGTTTTTGTTGGGACCCTGGAGCTGATTAGTTTTCCTCTCTGTTGACCCTCAGCTCAGCCCAGAAGTGCAGGGAAAGCAGAAGCTGGTTCCAGGCAAATGAACACTCCTGACTCCGAAGAGTTGGGGGTTGTTAGAGAGCCCTTTCCCAAAAAGTCTGACACCTGTGTCTGTAGTCCAGCAGCTGTGCCATTTGCTTTTGACTGGCTGACAGGTGCCTGGTGTTTAGCCCCCAAATTCTAAGGAAAAATAGGACAGAATAGCAAGTGAAAGGGGTCCAATGGTACTCACCACGTGGTGATATCCTGGATGAGCCCCCAAGATGTGTCTGGGGTTCGTTCCTGCAAGTGGGTTTGTGGTCTTGCTGATTTCAAGAATGAAGCTGCAGACCTTCATGGTGAGTGTTACAGCTCTTAAAGATGGCAAGGACCCAAAGAGTGAACAGTAGCAAGATTTATTGTGAAGAGCAAAAGAACGGTTTCCACAGTGTGGAAGGGGACACAAGTGGGTTGCTGCTGCTGGCTGGGGTGGCCAGTTTTTGTTCCCTTATTGTCCCCTTCCATGTTCTGTTTCTATCCTGTCAGAGTGCCCTTTTTTCAATCCTCCCTTTGACTGGCTGCTTTTAGAATCCTGCTGATTGGTATGTTTTACAGAGCACTGATTGGTGAGTTTACAAATCCTCTTGTAAGACAGGAAAGTTCCCCAAAGTCCCCGCTGGACCCAGGAAGTCCAGCCGGCCTCATCTCTCACTTGGAAAGCACTTACATTTTTAACAGAAAGGACCTATAATTAGGGCAGTATCTGATGCTCTGATCTGGGAGAAGGAGAAAAGGAAAACAGCCCTAGGATTCTTGCCCACAGTTCAGCACATAATGCCATGAGATTCTCAAAACCTGACATTCCCCAGGGAAGGGCTGACCCTCTTCAGTGAGGCTTACTTGAAAGATGCTTGAACTGCTGGGTAAGGTCTTGGTTTTTCCTCACTCTCAGAGAGACTCCAGGTGGACTCCCAGACCCCCAGACCAGCCCTCCACCCCTGACTTCAATCTCAGAACAGCTGAACTCTGGAAAGTCAAGATCACCTGATGACATGGAAGGCTCAGAGCAGATGGTTGGTGCAGGGCCTGCACGGTGCTAGTGATCCTGAGGTACAGGTATAGTATGATGGCCACAGTCCAGAAGAATGAGCTGGTGTTGGTGAGGGTGGACAGCACACCTTGCAGCATGCAGTTCCATGACAGCCTGCGAAGTCCTGCAGCATCCCATAGAAGTAGGAGGCAGCTGAGAGCAGGTTGGCCAGTGACAGGAAGAGCAGCAGGCACTGTGCCTGGCTTCACAGGTCGGGCCACAGGGTGCACATGGCCACCAGCAGGCCTGAGCTGAGCACAAAGAATGCACAGGACAGCAGCACCACAATGCACTCTGAAGGCACCAACTCGGTGGGCAGCACAGGCGGTGACATGGTGTGGGGGCTGGGAGCTGGAGGAACGTGAGGACAGAAGCTGGGCCGCATGTGTGGCCACCACTGCCACCATCTGGGCAGCAAGGCACCCAAGGCAGGTGTCCAGGTGCCCACCCTGCCTGCATCTGGCCACTTCTGGCCCATCTGGGCCCTGGGCCCTCAATTTCATATAAATTTTAAAATAGTTTTTTCTAGTTCTGTAAAGAATGTCATTTGTAGTTTAACATGAATAGCATTCAATCTGTAAATTGGTTTGGGCAGTATGGCCATTTCAACAATATTGATTTGTCCTATTCATGAACGTGGAATGTTTTTCCATTTCTTTTTGGCATTCTGACTTCTTTGAGCAGTGTTTTGTAATTCTCATTGTATAGGTTTTTCAGCTTCCTAGTTAGCTGTATTCTTAGGTATTTCATTCTTTTTGTGGCTATTGTGAATGGGATTGTGTTCTTGATTTGTCTCTCAGCTTGGATGCTGTTGGTGTATAGGAATGCTAGTAATTTTTGTACATTGATTTTGTATCCTGAAACTATACTGAAGTTGTGTATCAAATCAAGGAGCTTTTGGGCAGAGACTATTAGGTTTTCTAGGTATAGAATCATGTCATCTGCAAACAGAGATATTTTGACTTCCTCTCTTCCCATTTGGATGCCTTTTATTTCTTTCTCTTACCTGATTGCTCTGGTTAGGACTTCCAACACTATGTTTAATAGAAGTGGTGAGAGAGGGCATCCTTGTCTTGTTCTAGTTTTCAAGGAAAATGCTTACAGCTTTTGTTGATACAGTATGATGTTGGATGTGAGTTTTTCATAGATGCCTCTTTATTTTGAATTATGTTCCTTTAATGCCTAGTTTGTTTAGGGTTTGCAACATAAAGAGATGTTAAATTTTATTGAAAGCCTTTTCTACATTTGTTGTGTTAATTATGTGGTTTTTGTTTTTAGTACAGTTTATGTGGTGAATCACATTTCTTGATTTGCATATGTTGAATCAAACTTGCATCCCAGGGATAAAGCATACTTAATCATGGTGGATTAGATTTTTGATGTGCTGCTAGATTCACCTTGCAAATAATTTGTTGAGAATTTTTACACTGATGTTCATTAAGTATATTGACCTGAAGTTGACTTTTTTCATTGTGTCTCTGCCAGGTTTTGTTATCAGGATGATGCTCGCCTCATAGAATGAGTTAAGGAGGAGGTTCTCCTCCTCAATCTTTTGGAATCATTTTGGTAGAAATGGTACCAGCTCTTCCTTATCCATTTGGTAGATTTTGTCTATGGATTCATCTGTTCTTGATTGGTGGGCTTTTTATTACTGATTCAATTTCACAATTCATTGTTTGTCTGTTTAAGGATTCAATCTCTTCCTGGTTCAATCTTGGGAGGTTGTATGTTTACAGTAATCTATCCATTTCTTTTAGGCTTTCTAGCTTCTGTGTATAGAAGTGTCCATAATAGTCTCTGAGGGCATTTGTATTTATGTGGGGTAATGGTAACATTCCATTTATCATTTCTGATGGGTTTATTTGGATATTCTCTCTTTTTTTCTTTATTAGACTAGCTAGTGGTCTATCTATCTTATTTTTTTTCAAAGAACCAGTTCCTGGATTCTTTGTCTTTTGTGTGTGTGTGTGTGTTTGTGTGTGTGTGTGTGTGGTGTGTGTGTGTGTTTTACATCAATTTCCTTTAGCTCAGCTCTAATTTTCTAATTTCTTTTCTTCTGCTAGCTTCGGGGTGGATTTGCTCTTGCTTCCCTAGTTCTGATGTGTTGTGATATTAGGTTGGTAATTTGAGATCTTTCCAACTTTTTGATGTGGACATTTAGTGCTATAAAATTTCCTCTTAACACTGCATTGGCTGTATCCCACAGATTCTGGTATGTTGTATCTTTTTCCTCATTAGTTTCAAATAATTTCTTTATTTCTGCCTTAATTTTATTACTTACCCAGAAGTCATTTGGGATGAAGTCATTTAATTTCCATGCACTTCTATGGTTTTGAGTGACTTTCTTCTCATTTATTTCTATTTTTATTGTGCTGTGGTCTGAGTATGTGGTTGGTATAATTTCTGTTTTTTAAAATTTGGTGAAGATTTTTTATGGCTGATTGTGTTATTGATTTTAAAGTATGTGCCATGTGCAGATGAGAAGAATGTATATTCTGTTGTTTTTGGATGGAGAGTTCTGTAGATGTCTATAGGTCCCTTTGTTCAAGTGTTGAATTAAGGTCCCAAATACCTTTCTTAGTTTTCTGCTTTGATGATTTAAAACTGTCACTGGGGTCTTAAGTGTTTCCCACTATTATTATGTGGTTATTTAAATGTCTTCATTGGTTTTTAACAACTTGCTTTATAAATCCAGGTGCTCCTGTGTTAGGTGCATATATATTTAGGATAGTTAAGTTTTCTTGTTGAATTAAGTCCTTTACTATTATGTAATGCTCTTCCTTGTCTTTATTGATCTTTTTTAGTTTAAAATCTGTTTTGTCCAAAATTCAAATAGCAACCCCCTTTTTTTTTCTGGTTTCCATTTGCTTGGTAGATTTTTCTCCATCCCTTTGTTTTGGGCCTATGGGTTTCATTGCACATGAGTCCCTTGAAGACAGTTTTGCTTCTTTATCCAACTTGTCACTCTGTCTTTTGAGGGCATTTATCTTGTTTACATTCAAGGTTAGTACTTACATGTATGGATTTCATCCTGTCATCACGTTATTAGCTGTTTATTATTCAGACTTGGTTATGTGGTAGCTTTATAGCATTACAGGTCCATGTACTTAAGTATGTTTTTGTACTGGCTGGCAGCAGTCTTTCCTGCCTATATTTAGCACTCCCTTCAGGATCTTTTGTAACGCATTTGGTGTTAATGAATTCCCTTAGCACTTGCTTGTCTGAAAAGGCTCTTATTTGCTTATGAAGTTTACTTTGGCTAGATATAAAATTCTTGGCTGAAAATTCTTTTCTTTAAGAATACTGAATAGATGACACGTCGGGCAGCTGGGAGAAGGAGGCAGCAACATGCACAATTATGTATGAAGCATGCATCGCAGCTTTATGAAAATAAGGGTGAAGAGCCTGGCTCTAAGAGCCGGGGCTATACAAGAAACTTTTCCGGCTCTCCCTCTCCCTCTCCCTCTGTCTCCCTCTCCCCACGGTCTCCCTCTCATGCGGAGCCGAAGCTGGACTGTACTGCTGCCATCTCGGCTCACTGCAACCTCCCTGCCTGATTCTCCTGCCTCAGCCTGCCGAGTGCCTGCCATTGCAGGCACGCGCTGCCACGCCTGACTGGTTTTGGTGGAGACGGGGTTTCGCTGTGTTGGCCGGGCCGGTCTCCAGCCCCTAACCGCGAGTGATCCCGCCAACCTCAGCCTCCCGAGGTGCCGGGATTGCAGACGGGGTCTCGTTCACTCAGTGCTCAATGGTGCCCAGGCTGGAGTGCAGTGGCGTGATCTCGGCTCACTACAACCTACACCTCCCAGCCGCCTGCCTTGGCCTCCCAAAGTGCCGAGATTGCAGCCTCTGCCCGGCCGCCACCCCGTCTGGGAAGTGAGGAGCGTCTCTGCCTGGCCGCCCATCGTCTGGGATGTGAGGAGCCCCTCTGCCTGGCTGCCCAGTCTGGAAAGTGAGGAGCGTCTCCGCCCGGCCGCCATCCCATCTAGGAAGTGAGGAGCGCCTCTTCCCAGCCGCCATCACATCTAGGAAGTGAGGAGCGTCTCTGCCCGGCCGCCCATCGTCTGAGATGTGGGGAGCGCCTCTGCCCCGCCGCCCCATCTGGGATGTGAGGAGTGCCTCTGCCCGGCCGAGACCCCGTCTGGGAGGTGAGGAGCGTCTCTGCCCGGCCGCCCCGTCTGAGAAGTGAGGAGACCCTCTGCCTGGCAACCACCCCGTCTGAGAAGTGAGGAGCCCCTCCGCCCGGCAGCTGCCCCGTCTGAGAAGTGAGGAGCCTCTCCGCCCGGCAGCCACCCCATCTGGGAAGTGAGGAGCATCTCCGCCCGGCAGCCACCCCGTCCGGGAGGGAGGTGGGGGTGTCAGCCCCCCGCCCGGCCAGCCGCCCCGTCCGGGAGGGAGGTGGGGGGGGACAGCCCCCCCGCCCGGCCAGCCGCCCCGTCCGGGAGGTGAGGGGCGCCTCTGCCCGGCCGCCCCTACTGGGAAGTGAGGAGCCCCTCTGCCCGGCCACCACCCCGTCTGGGAGGTGTGCCCAACAGCTCATTGAGAACGGGCCAGGATGACAATGGCGGCTTTGTGGAATAGAAAGGCGGGAAAGGTGGGGAAAAGATTGAGAAATCGGATGGTTGCCGTGTCTGTGTAGAAAGAAGTAGACATGGGAGACTTTTCATTTTGTTCTGCACTAAGAAAAATTCCTCTGCCTTGGGATCCTGTTGATCTGTGACCTTACCCCCAACCCTGTGCTCTCTGAAACATGTGCTGTGTCCACTCAGGGTTAAATGGATTAAGGGCGGTGCAAGATGTGCTTTGTTAAACAGATGCTTGAAGGCAGCATGCTCGTGAAGAGTCATCACCAATCCCTAATCTCAAGTAATCAGGGACACAAACACTGCGGAGGGCCGCAGGGTCCTCTGCCTAGGAAAACCAGAGACCTTTGTTCACTTGTTTATCTGCTGACCTTCCCTCCACTATTGTCCCATGACCCTGCCAAATCCCCCTCTGTGAGAAACACCCAAGAATTATCAATAAAAAAATAAATTAAAAAAAAAAAAAAAAAGAATACTGAATATAGAACCCCCATCTCTTCTGGCTTGTAGGGTTTCTGCTAACGGGTCTGCTGTTAGCCTGGTAGGGTTCTATTTGTAGATGTATTAGTCCATTTTCATACTGTTATGAAGAAATGCCCAAGACTGGATAATTTATTAAAAAAATGGTTTAATGGACTCACAGTTCCACATGGCTGGGGAGACCTCACAATTATGGCAGAAGGTGAAGGAGGAGAAAAGACACATCTTACATGGCAGCAGGCAAGACAGCATGTGCCAGGGAACTGCCATTTATAAAACCATCAGATCTCGTGAGACTTATTCACTGTCTTGAGGACAGCATGGGAAAACCTGCCTTCGTGATTCAATTATCTCCCACCAGGTCCCTCCCACAACATATAGGGATTATAGGAGTACAATTCAAGATGAGATTTGGGTGGGAACACAGCCAAACCATATCAGTAGGCAGCCTGCACTTTCTCTCTAGCTTTCTTGTCAGGTTTTCTTTCATTTTGACCTTGGAGAATCTGATGACTATATGTCTTGGGGATGGTCTTCTTGTTTAGTATTTCACAGGGATTCTCTAAATTTTCTGAATTTGAATATTGGCTTCTCTAGTGTGGTTGGGGAAATTTTTATGGACAATATCCTGAAAAATGTTTTCCAAGCTGGTTAATTTCTCTTCCTTTCTTTCACAAACGCCAGTGAATCGTAGAATGTGTTTCTTTTCATAATGGCATATTTCTCAGAGCTTTTGTTCATTCTTTATTTTTTTTAAAATTTTTCTCTGACTGAGTTGTTTTAGAGAGAGTCTTCAAGCCCTGATATTCTTTCCTCAGTTTGGTCAATTCTGCTGTTAATACTTGTGATTGCATTATGAAATTCTTGTAGTGTGTTTTTCAGCTCTGTCAGATCAGTGTGGTTCTCTCTTTTAATGACCATTTTATCTATCACCTCCTATATTGTTTTATTGTAATCCTTAGATTCCTTGGATTGGGTTTTCACTTTCTCCTGTATGTCAATGATCTTTGTTTCTGTCCATATTCTGAATTCTATTTCTATCATTTCAGCCATCTCAGCCTGATTAAGAACCATTGTTAGGAAACTAGTGTTATCATTTGGAGGTAAGAAGACACTCTGGATTTTTGAGTTGCCAGAGTTCTTGTGCTGGTTCTTCCTCATCTTTGTGGGCTGATGTTCTTTGAAGCTTTGATGTAGCTATCCTTTGGATGGTTTTCTTCTCATTTTATTTTATTAGATGTCCTTGGGGGTTTGATTGTAGTGTGAGGTGGATTCAGTAAACTGGCTTCATTTCTGGAAGATTTTTGGGGGCCAAGACTCTGCTCAAGACTTCTGGACCATGTCCTCTAACTCTGGAGGACTGGTATTGGGTCCCTGGCTTTGTCCTCTGGCCCCTCAGGGTTAGGAACCTGCTGCACTGGAGGGGCAAGGTATTCCTGGACTGCTGGTCACAACACTCTGGTGGGTGTTGCCAGACAAAGAACAGTTTGTAGAGTGGTGACAGCAAAATCCATCCTCATTCACACATACCAGCATCAATGGCAGTACAGCAAAGCATGCGCTCACTGGCTGTGGTGGGGTGTTGGCAATTGCAAGGGTGCTGGCCTCTTTGCTAGCATTTGCAGTAAGGGGGTGTTAGGATGCAGGCAGTGCACAAAAGTGCAGTGGCACAATTATGGCTCACTGCAGCCTCCAACTCCTGAGTGCAAGCATTTTTCTAAACTCAGCTTCCTGAGTAGCTGGGGCTACAGGTACATTCCACTATGCCTGGCTAACTTTTAAAATTTTTTTGTAGAGATGGGGTGTCACTTTGTTGCTCCAGCAGATCTCAGACTTCTGACATCAAATGATCCTCCTCCCTCAGCCTCCTGCTAAAGTGCTGAGATTACAGGTGTGAGCCACAATGCCTGGCCCAGATTTTTTTTTTTTTTTTTTTTACTAGTATAGAAAATAGAGTAAAGTTTTGTATATTGTGTGTATTCTGCCACCTTCTGAACTTATTAGTTCTGGCAGTTTTTGTGTATTCCTCAGGAATTTTCACAAACAGGATTATGTCATCAGCAAATAAAGACAGGTTTACTTCTTTATTTTCATTATAGAAGGTTTAATTTTTTTCTTTTTCTTTTTTTCTTATTTTGCCTTATTGAATCGGCTGTAACTGCCAGTATATTATTGAATAGAGGAAGTAGTAGTGGAAATCATTTGTTTGTTCCCGCCATTAAGAAGAAAGCATTCAATGTTTTACTATTAAGTATAATATTAGCTGAAGGGCTTTTGTATATACCATTTATCATAATGAGTCTTTATATTCCTAGTTACTTTAATATATATAATATAGTCATTATTGACAAATAAAGATTGTGTATATTTAGCCTTGTATAATAATGTGACATTTTGATATATGTATACATTGTAATGTGATTACCACAATTAACATATTCATCACCTTATATAAATATTGTTTTTCATTGTGAGAACATGTAAGATCTATTTTTTAAGCAATTTCAAGTATACAATACATTAATATTAACTATAGTTACAATGATTTACTTTAGATCTCCAGAACTTATTCATCTTATAACCAAATTTTGTAACCTCTGTCCAAAATATCTTTATTTCTGCCATTGACCAGCTCCTTGCAATCAGTTTTTTACTCTATGTTTCTATGAGTTCAGCTTTGGATTTCAAATGTAAATGAGATTATGCAGTATTTTTCTTTTTGTGTCTGGCTTATTTCACTTCGCATAATGTCCTGTAGGCTCATCCATGTTGTTGCAAATGGCAAAATTTTTTTTGGGGGGTGCTGAATAATATTCTATTGTACATATAGTTGGCCCACTGAATCTGTGAGTTCCACATCCACGAATCAATTAACTGGATCAAGAATTTTTGGGAAAAAAGGACGTTTGTGTCTGTATTGAACATATACAGACATTTTTTGGTCACCATTCCCTAAACAATAGAGTTTAACAACTATTTACATAGCATTTAGATTGTATTAGGCATCCATGGATTTTTGTATCTATGGGGGATCTTGAAATTGATACCCGTAAGTACCGTGTGGCTGAAGATCTGTTTCTTCTTTTAGTTCTCCTCCCAAACTCTTTAAACTCAGATTAAATGATTTATATTGATCTACTTTTAATTTTACTTATTCCTTTTGCTATCATCTCAAATGTACTCTTGATTCATGCTAGTCAGTTTTTCATTTCAGTTATTGTACTTTTCAACTTCATAATTTGCATTTGTTTCTTTTTTATATTTTCAGTTTTCAACCTCAGATGCTATTTGATAATTTATTGTTATCACAATTTTATTCTTTGTTCTCCAGAAAAGATACCCCAGATGTGACTGTAATGATCTTTTTTTAAACAAATTTTATTTTTATTTTAAGTTCTGGGGGTACATGTGCAGAATATGCAGGTTTGTTACATAGGTAAATGTGTGCCATGGTGGCTTGCTGCATCTGTCAACCCATCACCTAGGTATTAAGCCCAGCATGCATTAACAATTTTTTCTAATGCTCTCCTTCCCCCCACCCCACCACATGACAGGCCCCCCAAGTGTGTGTTATTCCCCTCCCTGTGTCCATGTGTTCTCATCTTTCAGCTCCCACTTATGAGTGGGAATATGTGGCATTTGATTTTCTTTTCCTGTGTTACTTTGCTGAGGATAATGGCTTCCAGCTTCATCCATGCCCTTGCAGAGAACATGATCTCATTCCTTTTATGGCTGCATAATACTCCATGGTGTATATGTACCATATTTTTTAAATCCAGTCTAGCATTGTTGGGCATTTGGGTTATTCCATGTCCCTGCTATTGTGAATAGTGCTGCAATCAATATACGTGTGCATGTATCTTTGTAATAGAATGATTTATAATTTGGGGTTACATACCCAGTAATGGGATTGGTGGGTCAAATGGTATTTCTGGTTCTAGATCTTTGAGGAATCCCTGCACAGTCTTTCATAATGGTTGAACTAACTTACATTTCCACCAACAGTGTAAAAGCATTCCTATTATTTTCTAATTTTATTTCATTGTGGTTAGAGAAGATGTTTGATATTATTTCAAATGTTTTAAGATTTGTTTTGTGACTTAACCTATGGTCTATTCTGGAGATTGATTTATATGCTGAGGAAAAAATTATGTATTCTGTAGCTCTTAGATAAAATGTTTTGTAAATATCTATTGGATGCATTTGGTCTACAGTGCAGATTATGTCTGCACTATTTCTCTACAACCTTGCCAGTATCTGTGGTTTCTTGACTTTTTAATAATTGCCAATCTATTTGGTGTGAGATGGTATATTATTGTATTTTGACTTGCACTTCTCTAATGATCAGTGATGTTGAGCCTTTTTTCATATGTTTGTTGGCTGCAGGAATGTCTTATTTTGAGAAGCTTCTGTTCATGTCCTTTGCCCACTTTTTGATGGGGTTGTTTTTTTTGTTTTTTGTAAATTTGTTTAAGTTCCTTGTAGATTCTGGAATTAGACCTTTGCCAGATTGATAGATTTCAAAAATTTTCTCTCATTTTTTAGGTTGCTTGTTCACTCAGATGATAGTTTCATTTGCTGTGCAGAAGCTCTTTTAGTTTAATTAGATCCCATTTGTCAACTTTTGCTTTTGTCACAATTGCTTTTGGCGATTTTGTCATGAAATCTTTGCCTGTGCCTATGTCCTGAATGGTATTGCCTAGATTTTCTTGTAGTGCTTTTATAGCTTTGGGTTTTATATTTAAATATTTAACCCATCTTAAGTTAATTTTTGTATAAGGTGTAAGGAAGGGGTACAGTTTCAATTTTATTCATACGGCTAGCCAGTTCTCCCAGCACCATTTATTAAATAGGGAATCCTTTCCCCATTGCTTGTTTTTGTTGGGGTTGTTGAAGATCAGGTGGTTGTATATGTGTGGTCTTACTTCTGAGTTCTCTATTATTTCACATTGGTTTATATATCTGTTTTTGTACCAATATCATGCCGTTTTGGTTACTGTAGCCTTGTAGTATAGTTTGAAGTCTGGTAGCATGATGCCTCCAGCTTTGTTCCTTTTGCTTAGGATTTTCTTGGCTATATGAACTCTTTTCTGGTTCCATATGAATTTTAAAATAGCTTTTTCTAAGAATTTCTAAGAATTCTCTGAAGAATATCAATGGTAGTTTAATGGGAATAGCATTGAATCTATAAATTATTTTGGGTACTATGGCCATTTCCATGATATTGATTCTTCTATCCATGAGCATGGAATGCTTTTCCATCTGCTTGTGTCCTTTCTGATTTCCTTGAGCAGTCATTTGTAGTTCTTCTTGAGGAGGGCCTTCAATTCCCTTGTTAGCTTTATTCCTAGGTATTTTATTCTCTTTGTAGCAATTGTGAATGGAAGTTCATTCATGATTTGGCTCTCTGCTTGCCTGTTGTTGGTGTATAGAAATGCTTGTGCTTTTGCACATTGATTTTGTATCCTGAGACTTTGCTGGCATTGCTTATCAGCTTAAGAAGCTTTTGGCCTGAGATGATGGGGTTTTCTAGATATAGGATTATGTCATCTGCAAACAGAGACAGTTTGACTTCCTCTCTTCCTATTTGAATACTTTTATTTCTTTCTGTTGCCCGATTGCCCTGGTGAGAACTTCCAATATTGTGTTGAAAAGGAGTAGTGAGAGAGGGCATACTTGTCTTGTGCTGATTTCCAAGGGGAATGCTTCCAGGTTTTGCCCATTCAGTATGATATTGGCTGTGGGTTTGTAATAAATGACTCATTATTTTGAGGTATGTTCCTTTAATACCTAGTTTATTGAGAGTTTTTAACATGAAGGGATGTTGAATTTTACCAAAGGCTTTTTGTGCATCTATTGAGATAATCATGTGGTTTTTGTCTTTAGATCTGTTTATGTGATGAATTTTTTTTATTGATTTGCATATGCTGAACCAGTCTTGCATCCCAATGATGAAGCCAACTTGATGATGTTGGATAAGCTTTTTGATGTACTGCTTTATTTGCTTTACCAGTGTTTTATTGAGAATTTTTGCATCAGTGTTCATTAGGGATACTGGCCTGAAGTTTTCTATTTTTGTTTTGTCTCTGCCAGGTTTTGGTATCAGGATGATTCTGGCCTCATAGAACAGTTAGGGAGGAGTCTCTCCTTTTCAATTATTTGGAATAGTTTCAGAAGAAAGGGTGTCAGGTCCTCTTTGTACTTCTGGTAAAATTCGGCTGTAAATCCATCTGATCCTGGGCTTTTTTTGGTTCATAGGTTATTTATTACTGCCTCAATTTCAGAACATGTTATTGGTCTATTCAGGGATTCGACTTCTTCCTGGTTCAGTCTTGGGAGGTTGTATATGTCCAGGAATTTATAAATTTCTTCTAGATTTTCTAGCTTATTTGCATAGAGGTGTTTATAGTATTCTGTGAGGATTGTTTGTATTTCTGTGGATCAGTGGCAATGTTCCCTTTATCAGTTTTTATTGTGTTTATTTGATTCTTCTCTTTTCTTCTTTATTAGTCTAGCTAGCAGTCTATGTCTTTTTTTTTTTTTCAAAAAAACAGCTTCTGTATTCATTGATTTCTTTTGAAGGGTTTTTCATGTCTCTATCTGATTCAGTTATGCTCTGAGCTTGGTTATTTCTTGTCTTCTGCTAGCTTTGAGGTGTTTTTTTTTGCTCTTGGTTTTAGTTGTTATGTTAGAGTTTTGATTTGAGATCTTTCTAGCTTTTTGATATAGGCATTTAGTACTATAATATTTCCTCTTAACACTGCCTTAGTTGCATCCCAGAGATTCTGGTACATTGTCTCTTTGTTCTCATTGGTTTCAAAGAACTTCTTGATTTCTGCCTTAATTTCATTATTTACCCAGAAGTCATTCAAAAGCAGTTTGTTCAATTTCCATGTAGTTGTGTGGTTTTGAGTGAGTTTCTTAATCTTGAGTTCTAATTTGATTGCACTGTGGTCTGAGAGACTGTTATGATTTTAGTTCTTTTTCATTGGCTGAGGAATGATTTACTGTTAATTATGTAACCAATTTTAGAATAAGTGCCATGTGGCACCAAAAATAATGTATATTCTGTTGTTTTGGGGTGGAGAGTTCTGTAGATATCTATCAGGTCCACTGGTTCCAGAGCTGAGTTCAAGTCCTGAATATCATTGTTAATTTTCTGTATAATATTGTCAGTGGGGTGTTAAAGTCACCCACTATTATTGTGTGGGAGTCTAAATCTCTTTGTAGGTCTCTAAGAACTTGTTTTGTGAATCTGGGTGCTCCTGTATTGGAGGCATATATATTTATGATAGTTAGCTTTTCTTGTTAAATTGACACCTGTTTTATTATATAATTCTTTTCTTTGTCTTTTTTGATCTTTGTTGGTTTAATGTCTATTTTGTCATAAACTAGGATATCAACCCCTGCTTTTTTCTGTTTTCCATTTGCTTGGTAAATTTTCCTCCATTCTTTTATTTTGAGTCTATGTGTGTGTTTGCATTTGAGATGGGTCTCTTGAATACAGCACACCAATGGATCTTAACTCTTTATCCAGCTTGTCATTCTGTGTCTTTTAATTGGGGCATTTTGCCGATTTACATTTAAGGTAAATATTGTTATGTGTGAGTTGGAACCTGTCGTCATGATGCTAGCTGGTTATTTTGCAGACTTGTTTCTGTAGTTGCTTCATAGTATCATTAGTTTGTGTACCTCAGTGTGTTGTTGTAGTGGCTGGTAAAGATTTTTCTTTTCCATATTTAATGCTTCCTTCAGGAGCCAGGCAGTCCTGGTGTTAATAAATTTCCTCAGCATTTGCTTGTCTAAAAAAGATTTTATTTCTCCTTTGCTTATGAAACTTAGACCAGACATGAAATTCTAGGCTGGAAATTCTTTTCTTTAAGAATGTTGAATATTGGCCTCCAATCCCTTTTGGCTTGTGGGAATTTTGCTGTTAGTCTGATGGGGTTCCATTTATAAGTGACCTGGCCTTTCTCTCTGGCTGCACGTAACTGCTTTTTTTTTTTTTTTTTTCCCATTTTGACCTTAGAGAATCTGATGATTGTGTGTCTTGAGATTGATTTTCTCATGGTGTATCTTACTGAGGTTCTCTGGATTTCCTGAATTTGAATGTTGGCCTGTCTTGCTAGGTTGGGGAAGTTCTCCTGGATGACTCTAAAGTGTGTTTCCAACTTGGTTCTGTTTTCTCCATCTCTTTTAGGTACCCCTATTAGTTGTAGGTTCCATCCTGTAACATAATCTGATAGTTCTCAGCAGTTTTGTTTGCTCCTTTTCTTTCTTTTTCCTCTAATCTTCTCTGCCTGCCTTATCTCATCAAGGTAGTATTCAAGCTCTGATATCTTTTCTTCTGCTTGGTCTACCAAACTGTAGGTGGATCTACCATTCTGGGGTCTGAAGGATGTTGGACCTCTTCTCACAGCTCCACTAGGCAGTGCCCCAATGGGGACTCTGTGTGGGGGGCTTCATCCCCACATTTCCCTTCTGCTCTGCCCTAGCAGAGGTCCCCCATGAGCACCCCATCCCTGCAGCAAACTTTTGCCTGGGCATCCAGGCATTTCCATACATCTCCTGAAATATAGGTGGAGGTTTCCAAACCTTAATTCTCGACTCCTGTGCACCCACAGACTCAACACCATGTGCAAGCTGCCAATAGATGGGGCTTCAACCCTCTAAAGCCATGGCCTGAACTGTAGCTTGGCCCCTTTTAGTCACAGCTGGAGCAGCTGGGATGCAGGGCACCAAGTCCCTAGACTGCACCCAGCACTGGGACTCTTAGCCTGGTCCATGAAGTCATCTTTTCTTCCTTGGCTTCCAGGGCTGCTGTGAAGACCTCTGATATGCCCTGGAGACATTTTCCCCATTGTCTTGGGAATTAACGTTCAGATTCTCATTACTTATGCAAATATCTGCAGCTGGCTTGAATTTCGCCTCAGAAAATAGGACTTTTTTTTTCTATCACATTGTCAGGCTGTAAATTTTCTGAACTTATATGCTCTGCTTCCCTTACAAAGCTGAATGCCTTTAACAGCACCCAAGTCACCTCTTAAATGCTTTTCTGCTTAGACATTTCTTCTACCAGATACCCAAAATCATTTCTCTCAAGTTCAAAGTTTCTCAAATCTCTAGGGTAGGAGCAAAATGCCACCAGTCTCTTTGCTGTAACATGAGTCACTTTTGCTCCAGTTTCCAACAAATTCCTCTTGTTCATCTGGGACCACCTCAGCCTGGATTTTATTGTCCATATCACTATCAGCATTTTGGGCAAAGCCATTCAACAAGTCTGTAGGAAGTTCCAAACTTTCCCACATTTTCCAGTCTTCTTCTGAGCCATCCAAACTGTTCCAACCTCTTCCTGTTACCAAGTTCCAAATTTGCTTCTACATTTTTGGGTACCTTTTTAGCAATGCCCCACTCTACCAGCAGCAATTCACTGTATTAGTCCATTTTCATTCTGCTAATAAAAACATACTCAAGACTGGGCTATTTACAAAAGACAGAGTCTTAATATTGCTTTTGCTGTATCCCTGATCATAGGTTTAGGATGTTGTGTTTCCATTATCATCTGTTTCAAGACATTTTTTAGTTTCTTTCTTGATTTCTTTATTGATTCACTGGACATTCAGGAATGCATTGGTTTATATCCATGTATTTGTACAGTTTCCAAAATTCCTCTTGTTATCAATTTCTAATTTTATTTCATTGTGAGTTTTAAACCTTGTTTTGTGACCTAACATATGGCCTGTTTTTTGAGAATAATTCATGTGCTGAGAAAAAATGTGTATTCTGCAGCCACTGAATGAAATGTTCTGTAAATATCTATTAGACCCATTTGGTCTTTAGTGAAGACTGAGTATGACGTTTCTTTGTTGATTTTGTATCTGGAAGATCTGTTCAATGCTGAAAGTGGAGTGTTGAAATCTCCAGCTATTATTGTATTGGGGCCCATCTCTCTTTAGCTCTAATAATATTTTCTTTATACATATAGGTTCTCTAATGTTGGGTACATATATATTTAAAGTTGTTATATTCTCTTGTTGAATTTGCCACTTTATTATTGTATAGTGACATTTTTCTCTTATAGTTTTGTCTCAAAATCTATTTTATCTAAGATAATTATAGCTACTCATGTTCTTTTTTTTAGCTATGAAATATCTTTTTCCATCCCTTTATTTTTAGTCTATGTGTGTCTTGATGGGTGAAATGTATTTCTTGATGGCAACAGATCAATGGGTCTTGTTTTTTCATTCATTCAGTCTTTTTTTTCATTCAGTCTATGTCTTTTGATTAAAGGATTTAATCCACTTACATTCAATGTTATTATTGATAAGTAAGGACTTACTTCTGCCATTTTTTAAATGTGTTTTCTGGTTTTTTTGTGGTGTATTCTTCTTTCTTTCCTTCCTGTAGGTGTGCTTTATTGTTCATTCTTTTTTCCTTTTTTCTCCCCTGTGTGTTTTCAAATAAATTGTCTTCAGGCTCACTAATTCTTCTTTCTGCTTGATCAATTCTGCTACTAAAGGACTCTAGTACATTCTTCAGTGTGCCAATTGCATTTTTCAGCTCCAGAACTTCTGCTTGATTCTTTCAAATTATTTTAATCTCTGTTAAATTTTTCTGATAGAATTCTTAATTCCTTCTTTGTGTTATCTTGAATTTATTTGAGTGTCCTTAAAAAGGCCATTATGAATCCTGTGTCTAAAAGGTCACATATCTCTGTTTCTCCAGTATTCATTCCTGGTGACTTATTTAGTTCATTTGGTGATGTCATGCTTTCCTGGAATGCCTTGATACCTGCAGAGGTTTCTCTGTGTCTGAGTATTGAAGAGTTATGTATTCATTGTAGTCTTCTCAGTCTGGAATTGTTTGTACCCTTCCTTATTGGGCAGGTTTTCAAAATATTTGAAAGGACTTGGGTGTTATGATCTAAACTTTATCTGTTTTATGGGGGCATTCCAAGCCAGTAATGCTGTAGTTCTTGCAGACTCATAGAGATATTGCTTTAATGGTCTTATACAAGATTCAGCAGGATTCTCTGGATTACCAGGCAGAGACTCCTATTCTCTTCCCTTTCTTCCTAACAGAGTATGTCTCCCTGTTCTGAGCCGTCTAAAGCTGGAGATGGAATGACACAAGCCACCATCACTATGACTGCACTGAGTCAGACCTGAAGCCAGCACAACACTGGTTCTCCCCCAAGGCCACCTGTATCCATTTCCTGTGTACTGCCTTTGTTTGCTCAAGGTTCTGGGGTTATACAATCAGCAGGTGGCAGAGTCAGCCAGGCATCTGTTCTTCCATTAAAGGTGGTGACTTTCCCCAGGCCTAAGGTGGGTCCAGAGATGCCACCTTGGAGTTGGGGTCTAGAGGCAAAAAGCTTAGAAGTCTACCTGGTGTTCTATTGTACTGCACCTAAGGTGGCACTCAAACCACAAGACACAGTGCTTCCCACTCTTCCCTTTTTTTCCCAAAGGCAGAGAAGCCTCTCCCACCACAGTCCCATCAAGCATTCTGCCAGACACCACTGATATTTCCTTAAAGCTCAAGGGTTAAGTCAGCTTATTGTGAATTTTCCCTGGCCTGGGACTCAACCTTTAGGGCAGGAAGCTCCCCTCCAGCCCAGGGCAGGTCCAGAGATGCTGTCCGAGAATCCAGTGCTGAAATCGGGGACCCCCCCCCCCCCACACCCCCAGGAGCCTGCTTGGTGCTCTACCCTGCCGTGGTTGAGTTAGTACCTGAGGTGCAAGACAAAGTCTCCTTTACTTTTTCCTCTGCTTTTCTCAAGTAGAAGGAATTTCATCCCTTCACCACCACTGCTGGTAATATGTTGAATCTCACCTAAAGCCAGTAAGCCTCAGAGGCTCACCCAAGGCCCTTGACAGTATCTGGGTGTAGATCTGGTTGTTCAGGGCCCAACGGTTCTTCAGTTAGGTGATAAATGTTGTCAGGACTTGTTTCTTGACTTCAAGGCAGAGGATTTATTTTCTGGCTCAGGCCGTGTCTAGAAATGTGGTCTGGGAGCTAAGGCCTGTATCAAAGGACTTACAACTCTAACTAGTGCCCCATCCTGCTGTGGCTGAGCTAGCATCCAAAATGCAAGACAAAGTCACCCACACTCTTCCTCTCTTCTCTTCAAGTGGAAGGATGGGGACTATTTTCGAGCTGTGAGCTGTGCATCCTGGGGTTAGAGAAGGGGTGATGTCAACGCTCTCTTGGCTGTCCCAGCTGATGTCTCAGTACGTCATGTGCCCCCAAAGTCCATCGTCTTCTGGGCCCAGTTAAGCCCTAGAACTCACCTAAGACTTTCAGTCCTTATGGCCTAGGCTACCTTTCAAGTTTATTTGGAGACACAGAGCACTTTGGCCTTAAGTGCCAAGGTTTGCAGGAACTCAAATTGGGACCGCTGGGATTGGCAATTCCTCTCTGGCTAGTGCTGGTTAAATGTTCCCTTCCTGGGTGAGTGTCAGCTGAGTTTGGTCCAGTTTCCCTTTCTGCTCTAACAGGACAGCACTGAGGCCAATGCCTCACAATTGCTGTGCTTCCCCAGCACCCAGAGATGCTGTCTGCACCATGCCACTGCTCCCAGGGTTGTGGTGTGGGGGGCTGGCATTGGAGATTCAAGATTGTTTTTTCTGTCTCTTCAGTGTGTTTTTCATCATTACATAGTTAAAACCAAGTACTATGAGGGCTCACCTGATTTTTGGTTCTTATAAAGGTATTTTTTTCCTTCTGTGTCGATAGTTAAATTGGTGTCCTTATGGGGGAACAGTTGGTGGAACTTTCTATTCTGCCATCTTACTCTGCCTCTCTTCCTGACTGCCTTTTCACCCCATTTGTTTGGGGCACCTTTTCTTGTTTCTTTACATGTCTGTATTTTTTTTGTTCTTATAACTAGGCATATGTCTAGTTACACATAATGTATTGTTGCAACTCTGGATTCTGATTTTTTTTGTTGTTGTAGATTGTTGTTGCTGGTGTCTGTGTTTAGTAATTTTCCAGGACCAAACATGTGGAGTCTTTTTTCGTTTTCTTTCTTTCTTTCTTTCTTTTTTCTTTTTCTTTTTTTTGACAGAATGCATTCTCTGATGTTTCTACTCAGTTTTTCTTTTCTTTTTTTTTTTAAATAATCTTTTTAGCATTCTTAACGGTAGCCTCTTAGGGGTTCACCCTTGTGACAGCATAGCTTAGTGGTTAGCCAATGATTGTTCAGGAAACATGCTCAACTACCTTGACCCAGTAATATTTTCACCCTCTTTGCATTGACTTGACTGTATGTTTGGGAACATATTCAAAATTCAGGCAGTTCACAAGTCAGTTTCAGCTTTTGCTTTCTTTTAGGACCTCTCACATTTCTTCTGTGCATTCACAAGATTTCATATTCAGTCAGGGATGAATGGATGGCTAGGGCCCTTTCTGGTTTCTCCTACACATGTGCATCTGTGCAGCCTTCCAAATTTCCAGAGACAGAGAGGAACTTATCAAGTCCCAATAATATCATCTCATTCCCCACTCTTCTTGTTCATTTTCTAGCTAGTTTGCCACTTTGTTGCTTGCTCTGGCTAGGACCTCAAGCTTAGGATAGCTATGTGGTTGACCTTCCCTATTTGTTTGCCACAGAGATTGCGACTATTTTCAATAATGCCCCCGGACATAGAGTTGCTTGGTGCTCCACTTCAAACTAAGTGATCCCCCCTCCAACAGCAAAGCTGCTATTTTTCACAGCTTGTCCTACCTTCAAGTATCTACCATGCTAACAAAGCTGGAAGGTAGTGGGGGAAGGGAGCAGCTCCCGATATAAATGCCCCAGACTCCCACTGTCCTTCCTGGAGGCTTTTCCTGAATAAATTCATCTCAATTTGTTGCATGATTTTGGACAATTTATGGAGTCTTCAAATAGTTGTTTTTGACAATTTTCTTTAGATTTGTGGTCACTTTTTAAAAATTATACTTTAAGTTATAGGGTACATTTGCACAATGTGCAGGTTTGTTACATATGTATACATGTGCCATGCTGGTGTGCTGCATCCATTAACTCCTCATTTAACATTAGGTATATCTCCTAATGCTATCCCTTCCCCCTCCCCCCACCCCACAACAGGTCCTGCTGTGTGATGTTCCCCTTCCTGTGTCCACGTGTTCTCATTGTTCAATTCCCACCTATGAGTGAGAACATGTGGTGTTTGGTTTTTTGTCGTTGCGATAGTTTGCTGAGAATGATGGTTTCCAGCTTCACCCATGTCCCTACAAAGGACATGAACTCATCATTTTTTATGGCTGCATAGTATTCCATGGTGTGTATGTGCCACATTTTCTTAATCCAGTCTATCATCGTTGGACATTTGGGTTGGTTCCAAGTCTTTGCTATTGTGAATAGTGCCGCAATAAACCTACGTGTGCATGTGTCTCTATAGCAGCATGATTTATAATCCTTCGGGTATATACCCAGTAATGAGATGGCTGGGTCAAATGGTATTTCTAGTTCTAGATCCCTGAGGAATTGCCACACTGACTTCCACAATGGTTGAACTAGTTTACAGTCCCACCAACAGTGTAAAAGTGTTCCTATTTCTCCACATCCTCTCCAGCACCTGTTGTTTCCTGACTTTTTAAAGATCGCCATTCTAACTGGTGTGAGATGGTATCTCATTGTGATTTTGATTTGCATTTCTCTGATGGCCAGTGATGATGAATATTTTTTCAGGTGTCTTTTGGCTGCACAAATGTCTTCTTTTGAGGAATGTCTGTTCATATCCTTCACCCACTTTTTGATGGGATTGTTTATTTCTTGTAAATTTGTTTGAGTTCATTGTAGATTCTGGATATTAGCCCTTTGTCAGATGAGTAGGTTGCGAAAATTTTCTCCCATTCTGTAGGTTGCCTGTTCACTCTGATGGTAGTTTCTTTTGCTGTGCAGAAGCTCTTTAGTTTAATTAGATCCCATTTGTCAATTTTGGCTTTTGTTGCCATTGCTTTTGGTGTCTTAGACATGAAGTACTTGCCCATGCCTATGTCCTGAATGGTATTGCCTAGATTTTCTTCTAGGATTTTTATGATTTTAGGTGTAACATGTAAGTCTTTAATCCATCTTGAATTAATTTTTGTATAAGGCGTAAGGAAGGGATCCAGTTTCAGCTTTCTACATATGGCTAGCCAGTTTTCCCAGCACAATTTATTAAATAGGGAATACTTTCCCCATTTCTTCTTTTTGTCAGGTTTGTCAAAGATCAGATAGTTGTAGATATGTGGCATTATTTCTGAGGCCTCTGTTCTGTTCCATTAGTCTATATCTCTGTTTTGGTACCAGTACCATGCTGTTTTGTTTACTGTAGCCTTGTAGTATAGTTTGAAGTCAGGTAGCGTGATGCCTCCAGCTTTGTTCTTTTGGCTTAGGATTGACTTGGCAATGAGGGCTCTTTTTTGGTTCCATATGAACTTTTAAGTAGTTTTTTCCAATTCTGTGAAGAAAATCATTGGTAGCTTGATGGGGATGGCATTGAATCTGTAAATTACCTTGGTAAGTATGGTCATTTTCATGATATTTATTTTTCCTACCCATGAGCATGGAATGTTCTTCCATTTGTTTGTATCCTCTTTTATTTCATTGAGCAGTGGTTTGTAGTTCTCCTTGAAGGGGTCCTTCACATCCCTTGGAAGTTGGATTCCTAGGTATTTTATTCTCTTTGAAGCAATTGTGAATGGGAGTTTACTCATGATTTGGCTCTCTGTTTGTCTGTTATTTGTGTATAAGAATGCTTGTGATCTTTGCACATTGATTTTGTATCCTGAGACTTTGCTGATGTTGTCTATCAGCTTAAGGAGATTTTGGGCTGAGACAATGGGATTTTCTAGATATACAATTATGTCATCTGCAAACAGGGACAATTTGACTTCCCCTTTTCCTAATTGAATACTTTTTTTCCTTCTCCTGCCTGATTGCCCTGACCAGAACTTCCAACACTATGTTGAATAGGAGTGGTGAGAGAGGGCACCCCTGTCTTGTGCCAGTTTTCAAAGGGAATGTTTCCAGTTTTTGCCCATTCAGTATGATATTGGCTGTGGGTTTGTCATAGATAGCTCTTATTATTTTGTGATACATCCCATCAATACCTAATTTATTGAGAGTTTTTAGCATGAAGCATTGTTGAATTTTGTCAAAGGCCTTTTCTGCATCTATTGAGATAATCATGTGGTTTTTGTCATTGGTTCCGTTTATCTGCTGGATCACATTTATTGATTTGCATGTGTTGAACCAGCCTTCCATTCCAGGGATGAAGCCCACTTGATCATGGTGGATAAGCTTCTTGATGTGCTGCTGGATTCGGTTTGCCAGTATTTTATTGAGGATTTTTGCATCAATGTTCATCAGGGATATTGGTCTAAAATTCTATTTTTTTATTGTGTCTCTGCCAGGCTTTGGTATCAGGATGATGCTGGCCTCATAAAATGAGTTAGGGAGGATTTCCTCTTTTTCTATTGATTGCAATAGTTTCAGAAGGAATGGTACTAGCTCCTTCTTGTGCCTCTGGTAGAATTCGGCTGTGAATCCATCTGGTCCTGGACTTTTTTTGGTTGATAAGCTATTAATTATTACCTCAATTTCAGAGCCTGTTATTGGTCTATTCAGAGATTCAACTTCTTCCTGGTTTAGTCTTGAGAGGGTGTATGTTTCCAGGAATTTATCCATTTCTTCCAGATTTTCTAGTTTATTTGCATAGAGGTGTTTATAGTGTTCTCTGATGGTAGTTTGTATTTCTGTGGGATTGGTGGTAAGATCCACTTTATCATTTTTTATTGCGTCTATTTGATTCTTCTCTCTTTTCTTCTTTATTAGTCGTGCTAGCAGTCTAGCAATTTTGTTGATCTTTCCGAAAAACCAGCTCCTGGATTCTTCGATTTTTTGAAGGGTTTTTGTGTCTCTATTTCCTTCAGTTCTGCTCTGATCTTAGTTATTTCTTGCCTTCTGCTAGCTTTTGAATGTGTTTGCTCTTGCTTCTCTAGTTCTTTTAATTGTGATGTTAGGGTGTCAATTTTAGATCTTTCCTGCTTTCTCTTGTGGGCATTTAGTGCTATAAATTTCTCTCTACACACTGCTTTGAATGTGTCCCAGAGATTCTGGTATGTTGTGTCTTTGTTCTTGTTGGTTTTGAAGAACATCTTTATTTCTGCCTTCATTTCGTTGTGTACCCAGTAGTGATTAAGGAGCAGGTTTTTCAGTTTCCATGTAGTTGAGCAGTTTTGAGTGAGTTTCTTAATCCTGAGTTCTAGTTTGATTGCATTGTGGTCTGAGAGGCAGTTTGTTATAATTTCTGTTCTTTTACATTTGCCGAGGAGTTCTTTACTTCCAACTATGTGGTCAATTTTGGAGGATAAGTGCAGTGTGGTGCTGAGAAGAATGTATATTCTGTTGATTTGGGGTGGAGAGTTCTGTACATGTCTATTAGGTCCGCTTGGTGCAGAGCTGAGTTCAATTCCTGGATATCCTTGTTAACTTTCTCTCTTGTTGATCTGTCTAATGTTGACAGTGGGGTGTTAAAGTCTCCCATTATTATTGTGTGGGAGTCTAAGCCTCTTTGTCGGTCTCTAAGGACTTGCTTTATGAATCTGGGTACTCCTGTATTGGGTGCATATATATTTAGGATAGTTAGCTCTTCTTGTTGAATTGATCCCTTTACCGTTATTTAATGGCCTTCTTTGTCTCTTTTGATCTTTGTTGGTTTGATGTCTGTTTTATCAGACTAGGATATGCAACCCCTGCATTTTTTGTTTTCCATTTGCCTGGTAGATCTTCCTCCATCCTTTTATTTTGAGCCTATGTGTGTCTCTGCACATGAGATGGGTTTCCTGAATACAGCACACTGATGGGTCTTGACTCTTTATCCAATTTGCCAGTCTGTGTCTTTCAACTGGGGCATTTAGCCCATTTACATTTAAAGTTAATATTGTTATATGTGAATTTGATCCTGTCATTATGATGTTAGCTGGTTATTTTGCTCATTGGTTGATGCAGTTTCTTCCTAGTCTTGATGGTCTTTAAAATTTGGCATGTTTTTGCAGTGGCTGGTACCGGTTGTTCCTTTCCATGTTTAGTGCTTCCTTCAGGAACTTTTCTTTTAGGGCAGGCCTGGTGGTGACAAAATCTCTCAGCATTTGCTTGTCTGTAAAGGATTTTATTTCCCTTTCACTTATGAAGCTTAGTTTGGCTGGACATGAAATTCCAGTGCTTCCTTCTAAAACTTTTCTTTTAGAGCAGGCCTGGTGGTGACAAAATCTCTCAGCATTTGCTTGTCTGTAAAGGATTTTATTTCTCCTTCACTTATGAAGCTTAGTTTGGCTGGATATGAAATTCTGGGTTGAAAATTCTTTAAGAATGTTGAATATTGGCCCCCACTCTCTTCTGGCTTGTAGAGTTTCTGCTGAGAGATAAGCTGTTAGTCTGATGGGCTTCCCTTTGTGGGTAACCCGACCTTTCTCTCTGGCTGCCCTTAACATTTTTTTCTTCATTTCAAATATGTTGAATCTGACAATTATGTGTCTTGGAGTTGCTCTTCTCAAGAAGTATCTTTGTGGTGTTCACCATATTTCCTGAATTTGAATGTTGGCCACGATGCTAGATTGGGGAAGTTCTCCTGGATAATATCCTGAAGAGTGTTTCCCAACTTGGTTCCATGCTCCCTGTCACTTTCAGGTACACCAATCAGACGTAGATTTGGTCTTTTCACATAGTCCCATATTTCTTGGAGGCTTTGTTCATTTCTTTTTATTCTTTGTTCTCTAAACTTCTCTTCTTGCTTCATTTCATTGATTTGATCTTCCATCACTGATACTCTTTCTTCCAGTTGATTGAATCGGCTACTGAGGCTTGTGCTTGTGTCTTGGTTTTCAGCTCCATCAGGTCCTTTAAGGACTTCTGTGCATTGGTGATTCTAGTTAGCCATTCATCTAATTTTTTTTCAAGGTTTTTAACTTCTTTGCCATGGGTTCAAACTTCCTCCTTTAGCTCAGAGTAGTTTGATCGTCTGAAGCCTTCTTCTCTCAACTCGTCAATGTCATTCTCCGTACAGCTTTGTTCCATTGCTGGTGAGGTGCTGCATTCCTTTGGAGGAGGAGAGGCACTCTGATTTTTAGAGTTTCCAGTTTTTCTACTCTGTTTTTTCCCCATCTTTGTGGTTTTATCTACCTTTGGTCTTTGATAATGGTGATGTACAGATGGGGTTTTGGTGTGGATGTTCTTTCTGTTTGTTAGTTTTCCTTCTAACAGTCATGACCCTCAGTTGCAGGTCTGTTGGAGTTTGCTGGAGGTACACTCCAGACCCTGTTTGCCTGGGTATCAGCAGCAGAGGGTGCAGAACAGTGGATATTGCTGAGCAGCAAATGTTGCTGCCTGATCGTTCCTCTGGCAGTTTTGTCTCAGAGGAGTACCTGGCCGTGTGAGGTGTCAGTCTGCCCCTACTGGGGGATGCCTCCCAGTTAGGCTACTTGGGGGTCAGGGACCCACTTGAGGAGGCAGTCTGTCCATTCTCAGATCTCCAGCTGTGTGCTGGGAGAACCACTACTCTCTTCAAAGCTGTCAGACAGGGACATTAAGGTCTGCAGAGGTTTCTGCTGCCTTTTGTTTGGCTATGCCCTGCCCCCAGAGGTGGAGTCTACAGAGGCAGGCAGGCCTGCTTGAGCTGCGGTGGGCTCCACCCAGTTCGAGCTTTCCAGCCACTTTGTTTACTTACTCAAGCCTCAGCAATGGTGGGCTCCCCTCCCCCAGCCTCACTGCCACCTTGCAGTTTGATCTCAGCCTGCTGTGCTAGCAATGAGTGAGGCTCCATGGGCATAGGACCCTCCAAGCCATGCGTGGGATATAATCTCCTGGTGTGCCATTTGCTAAGACCATTGGAAAGGTGCGGTATTAGGGTGGGAGTGACCTGATTTTCCAGGTGCCATCTGTCACCCCTTTCTTTGACTAGGAAAGGGAATTCTCTGACCCCTTGTGCTTCCCGGGTGAGGTGATGCCTTGCCCTGCTTTGGCTCACACTCAGTGCACTGCTTCCATTGTCCTGCACCCACTGTCTGACACTCCCCAGTGAGATGAACCCAGTACCTCAGTTGGAAATGCAGAAATCACCCATCTTCTGTGTCGCTCACACTGGGAGCTATAGACTGGAGCTATTCCTATTCAGCCATCTTGGCTCCACCCCTGTTGTCACTTTTTAGGGAAAGTATTTGCTGAGCTTCTTATTCTACCATTTTGGAAGTCCCCTTTTCAGAAATATTTAATTGTTGATAGGCATGATTTAGTTTCTACCTAGTTTTTGATCAAGCATCAAGCAGTTGAGATTCTTAGATAATCAAGTGCATTTTACTAATGACTCCATAAATATTATATTCTGATTTTTAGAAACATATCCATATTAGAAAATGTACATGAACAGGGCTAATTTTCTTCATGTATTGGAATGAATGTTTTGTATTTATTTTTGAATTCTTTTCCTATCCAAACTCTACAATTGAAGATAATGGAACAGGAGATAAAATTGAAAGCTTTTGAAATTGTCTAGATAGTAGACTGAATATTTGCGATGTATTTTCTACTCTCTTTTTCTTGATTACATTTTAGTAATATGAAATAAAAACGGTCAGCCATTAACAGCAGAACATATGCAACCTATTTAAACCAAAAGTCTTTCAAGCATCTCAGGAGCAGACCTGAGAAGCTTTTCTAAGTTAAATGTACAATAATCATCTAACAAGAATAATCTGACACTTTATATGTGACCATGATGGCAAATAAAATTGGATTGCTCCCAATTTGATAGCCCATGGAGGGTTGTACAATAATTTTATGCTAATTCTAAAAAACCTATGATTTCTACTTTTAGAAATTCATGATCAAATTTATCTTCTTATCTGTGTGGAGTTTAGGAAAGAAACACATCATGCTAAAGACAACAAAAGCCTGAACAAAGTCCCTCTATTTAGTCAAAATAGAATTTCACAAACAATGGAGTTTAAAATTCAAATGTCTTCAAAGCAGTTGTAATAATAATTGTTTCCACTAAGGTGTGCTAGATCTCCAAATATTATTCATGCTCTCCTTGTCTTACCACACTGCACTGAATTTCACCGTGTTCATTGCCTTCCCCAGGGCTGCCAAGCATTTACCACACAGGAGGTTTTTAAGCTGGAGCAACAATGTGCTGCACACAAATTCAGCTAAAACACAAAAGAAGACAAGAAATCATTTAAAAATGTTAAATGAAAAGAAAAAAATAGTTGCATTGTGAATTGGTGATTTTTATAAACAGACTCAGGTATTGACTTTGATTTTGCAGAAATAATTTGGTTTGTTTGAGAAATTCTAGAAGGTTAACCTAATAGGAGGAAGTTTTTCAGGCAATTTTTCTTCTAATAAAACTCTCTAATGTCCTATTATTATTTATAACTAGTGTTACGAATGTAAGTTATCTTTTGCTTTAATAGCGTATCAGTCTGACGCTATCATTTGTTCATGATGATTTAAATCCCTAGAGGTTCCTGAGATCATCTAGTGAAGTTTGAAAAACAACTAACACAAAAGAGCAGCTCTAAATAGTGTGTCAGGCAGAAGATGGCACAGATTTGGGAGTATAACAAAACCTTTTAGTCTGTAGAAAGAAAAATTAATTCTTATTATTTGCAATACTGAAGTTATTTTTTTAAACAAATCTTAAAGTTATCAACTAGAAATTTAGCTATCTTGGTAAAAGCCTTCTCTATAGCTGGTAATTTAATGATAGACTCTGAAAGATTTGCCAGGAGAATGTGCTAACTTTTCCCAGAAACAAAATCTGGGTTCTTCATAGGGATTTCTATGCACACATCCACCTTAGTTTGAAAGCATTTTTATATATGCAAATAACTTTTTTTGGTCATGTAATTTTACTTAGAATGTGAATGGGAGTTTCTTTTTTTTCTTGATTTTACTGTGATTTCAGTTAAAAAGACAACTTGCACTTTCTCACCTCTAAATGAATATGATTGCTTCAGCAGCTTGTCCACTTAAATAATTTGGTTTCATGATTTTGATTATATTCACTAATCATTGTAATCAATGGCCATCTTAATAGTAATTTTTAAAATGTCAGCACTAAATTTACATTAACCTTAAAGAAAAACCTCAAATATTTTAGTACTTAAATTGTTACCATAATTTATTTTTGTAAACAAAAAGCAGTTTATAGTCAGTTGAACAACTGGAAATCAGTTGATAAGTAACTAGATATAGATTGTTTTAAAAATAAAAAATTTTTTGGATCAAGCTGGAAAGTTTTTACCAAAATCAATATTTTTTCATATATATAGTTGTAGTTTCGTAGTTCATGTTATTATAAAATATTATCTTACTTAGACCAAATTTTATATTTAAAAAGTCTTTTTGGCTACGATACAACTCCTTTTGTTTTGATAAATTTTCAAAGTAATAGTAATGAAAATGCATAATCAAGTAAGTGAATTTTCATATACATGAAAAATTTCATTAGAGTATTGGAAAAATGACATGTTTTATAATTCTATTGCCTTTTCATGTGGTTATTAAATTAGTGAGTTGACAAATGTGAAATGACGTCTGTACTTTTACTGAGATATGTTGTTTAAGTAACAGTAGTGTGACTGGGAGACAATTTAGGACAGTAGAGTTTTTACACTCTTAACCGGGAAAATTTTTTCATTTGTGAGATCATTTGAGTTAATTTATTGTAACTACTGTATCCATAATTTTTGCCTGCTAAAGAATGGCGATTATTATTTCCTAAAACCTTAAATAAGGGCATAAGATTAATTAAACCCATTTTGTTGATCCAGAGGAAGAAGGAAGTATTTTGTATTTCAAAATATAAGTTTAGAGAGATTATTATTTGATGTTATGGAAATATAAAACAAATAGAAATTTTATACCCTGTGTTTAAACTTCAGATTTTTAAAAAGTACTTTCTAAAAACAAAGAGGAATGGATGTTGAATATCACACACAGCTAAAAGCTAATAAGAGAAAATTGTAATCATGCAGGAAGGTATTTAAACCCATTAATTACTTGTTAAAAGGATATAAATGAGAAAATAAAAATCTTCAGCATTTAGAACAGCAGCCATTCCTGCTGAATGGAAAGCACTGTGCAACTTGAAGGTAGATTGACTGGAAACTTTGGGAGGCAAGTAAATGGTGCCTGACTTGCGTTAAGACACAGCATTTCATCTGGTTTAGTTTTAGTTTAGGTTTAGGGCATTAATATGTATCTTTTCTAAAAACAAAGCATGTTTTGAATTTATTTAGAAATTCTACCCGGAATATTTATACCAATTAATACTCTATATTTAACACACACAAAAAATAAAAGGCCCCACTCCATTTCCTCTTTGACAATAAATGGAACTAAGAAGTCTTCCCTAGGAATGCTTTCCCAGAAATATTTAAAATAAATACAATTAAGATAAATTCCGTAGATAATTTTTTTGAGAAACGTGTGCATGTAATGTAGAAAATTTAAGTGTTATTATTTATTTGAGTAAATGGGGTAAGGTACAAGCCCTGTGTAAATTAGAAAACATTGCCCATCTACATCTGAAGAGGAATTTGGCTTGGTTCGATGCCAAGGGTCAAGTAGAGGCACAAATCTCACATGTTGGAGGTCCTGGGAGCCTGACCAGGAGGACTCAACGGAGGACAGATGGAAAAACTACAGACTGATCTTATTTCACAACTTTAGGAGGATCACTCTGAATTTATTTTTCTTTAAGTAGGAGAGAGCTACATTGTACATACGGAAGCTTAAGTTTGGAAAGAGGAAAGCTGAAAAGAGGAAACTTCCAAACTGTTTGTGGACAGGTGGGACAGGGTGGTGGTGAGGTGATGGTGGAGACCAAATCTTGGAAGACCCAGGTGATGCTGTATTATGTGCACAGTGTCATTCCCCTGAAAGCAAGTCAGCTTACAGAGATTCAGGACCAGAGAAAAGATAAATTATAGTAAGAGGTCAGGAAGGTAAAAAATACAGATCCAGGATTTTTTTAAAAAATTAAAAGTGGTCTACAAATTTGATTATATATTTCTTGGTAGTCAAAGAAAGTTATTTTCATCATCTATGGAGAGAAAGTATATCAGTTTCTCATAAAAAGCAAATAATTTCCTTTCATTGTGTTCTAAAAGAATATAGGAGAGAATTTTATGATTAGTAGTTTATTACTTTGTATTAAGATTTTTGTCTTTAATTTTTCTTTTAAAATGCAAAAGCTGATAGCAAATATATGCTGTATTAAGCCACTAATACCTGCAAATTATAAATAATTTTTATATAGTCTGTGTTTGGAGGTTGGGCTTAATTTTTTCAAAGGTTAATCATGGAATCTGTAAAAGAATGGTTTATAATTTAGATTTCCATTCCCTAGGTTTTATTAGTTCCAGCTCTCTGAGTTTAAAATTGCCTATATTGGAAAAGAAATCAAATACGTGATTACCTGTATAGAAAATAATTTAATGGAACTACTAAATGATAACTAAATTATAATTTTAGACATTAGGCACACTGGAAAATCTTTATGGTTTGCTGACTTAATCTGTATTATCCATGTTGTCACAATGTCAATAAACCTTCACTTTTTAATTAAAAACTTTTTTTTTTTTTAAGAGATGGGGTCTTGTTATATTGCCCAGGCTGGAGTGCAGTGGCTATTCACAGGTGGGGGATCATAGTGCACTGTATCCTCCAGCTCCTAGGCTCAAATGATCTTCTAGCCTCAGCCACCCAAGCAATAAATCTTCACTTTTAACAGGTGAAGACTGAGGGTTATTTCTGTGAACATACTTTCTAACTAGGTCAAGTTCAGTATTATTGATTCAGGGAAACCAGTTTTTAAAGAGAAGCAGCATCCACAGAGCAGCTTCTAATTTGTCCTGTGGCTAATCTTGAGGAAAGGGGGGGTTGTAATTGATGTTAAAGACATGGACTACAATATACCTACGTGAATAGTTTTTAGATTTGGTGATGGGTATGCAATATTTGACATGGGTGAGTCACATCATTTTATTTTTTTACCTTCTTCTTCCCTTATGTTTATTGCTTCATATTATTAAAGAACTGCTTGTCCACTTCATTAACATTTTAATCATGAAAGCCAAAGAAAGCATTCTACTACAGGATATATCTCCATGTATGTTGGTTTTATTTAATATTCTTCTTGTTTTTTTCAATAATTAATGTACAAATAAAGAAAAAATAAATTGCACTTAAAAACCAAATAAACTCCACAACTCAACAGCAAATAAAGGATTATGCTGAAATATGAGCTTTGACAACACCAAAACCATGAGTAAAAATATAACTTATATTCATTTTTAGCTGTATAATTATAAAAGTAACTACTTGTAACTACTTTTATAATTAATTTTTGACATTGGTGTCATGTGATATATACAAAAGAATAGAAATGACAGCTATAATCAGCTATGCATTTTGTATACTTTTTTCTTTTCTAAAGTGAGTTTGAAATGGCTGAATATATAGTTTTTTACTGTGATCTCATAGGACAAAATTGTTAGTGTCTCTCTAAGATACCCAAATATTCCAAAAGAACATGAAGCATACCAGTGTGTTTCTTCTCTCTAGTCTTTGTTAGGGGGATGTTTAATGTCCCTGAGAAGCCTTGAAGATGCTCATCAGTTTCTCTCTATTTTATCGCCTACTAAAAAAAATCCTTTGTTATGACTATCCTCTAGTTAAAGAAGAGAAGATGGGGCTTCTTATTTTAATTGGTCAGTGGGGAAATCCCTGCCACGTGACAAATCATGTTCTTTTCATTGCTGAACACGGTTTTTGCTTTTCTGTGTTTTCAGACCTCACAGTCTGGAGTATGAGGTGTTTTATGTAGGACACAGCGGTAGGAAAGAGCTTCTAATAGTCTACTGGGTAGGGCATAGATTTAATTTCTATTAATTTTTCTAGATATCATCTTGGGAGCCAGAAAGCCAGACACTTAGTCTCTTAAATGTGTATAGGATATAATGTGTGCGTATGAAATATTTCTACCTCCCCAAATGTTCATCCAAAATAATTATAAAAAAAAGAAAAGAGGAGAGACAGAACTAACTATATGGAATGGAAAGATCTAGAAGACTTCTAAGTAAAGTGAAATGATATTATGGGATGCCAATGTGATAATTTACCTCAGCTAATGAAGTCGAAACTAAAATTGAATTGTATATTCAACAGAGGGCCCAGTCCTTTTTAAATAAATGTATTTCAGAGTATAAGTCAGTCAGCTTAAGGAGCTACTACCAATATAACCTGAGACTAGATAAGAGTTGCAATATTAGCTATTTGCTCTCCTTAGCTTTATTTAAGAAGAAAATCTTCCACTGATATTTTGTTGTCAACTATGTAATGGCAACAAAGGGTTTTCTTCCTCTTAATAAGTCTGAGCATGATTATCTACTGTTTTTAATACTTCAATATTAAGTTAAATGTAATATTTTTATAGCTATGTAAATGAATTCCTATATTTTGGTAACAGTTACTAATTTTGGTAATTGAAAAACATATTTTAACATAAAAACATATATAAATCAAGATTTAACCTTCTAGGTTTGCTAAACTCTTGTTCGTGACTATAACATTCAGAGTCAATTTAAAATAGATATAATTTATTGTTATTTGTTTTTTTTCCAGCAGAAGATTAGTTGTTTCCAGCATATTTTTGGTAATTACACATATATTTCAAAAGTTTATTTTCATGTTTTCTTTCTATGTGGTAAAATTCTCTTTTAAGTTTTCCTAGTATTATTTTTGGAGAAAATATACTCTCTAAACTTGTCCTATGCAGATATAAATTTTAATGTCCTTGATACATAATACATTCTCAACAGAAAGTCACACAGACAATGTACAAGAAAAAAGGCAGTCTTTCCCCCCCTCAAGACTGTAAAGTATTTCTGTCAGATAGTAAAAACGTAAAGTTAGAATTTATTGGACAGAGGATGGAGGGCAACCTGTTGTTATGTTGGTATTCTCACAATTTTTCCATTTAAAAATATACAGATTTAATGTGGCATTTATAAAGGAAAACATCATCCTCGCTGTATGAAGTCATGAATACCATTTTATAGAGTGTGTTATGGGGAATTGTGGTTTGAATTTTGAATTAATACAGAAAAACTAAGGATACCAACATAAAGCAGTCTTATGTTTATGCAGACTTATTTACCCAAAATGTGGCCCTTATCTGAGGTAATATTTACACAGCATAAGCAATCTGAAGAAAATTTCTTTTCTGAAAGATCTTCATAAAACAGTGCCCTAAGAGACAACTGTTAAACTACAAGCACTGTTTACTTTTAACTCTCTTTCTTATTAACTCCCTCCCCAACACTGCTTAGCATTCCAGAGAAGGCTAGAAAAATATTTATTCTGGTCTCATTTTTATTTAGATTACTATAAAATTATCCATTTATAGAAGTAGGTAATGTATTCTTTGACTCTTTTTAGTATGTAATTCTGGTCGTAACTTACTTTCAGGAATTTAGAAAGGAGATGTTACATAAGGCCACTCAAAAGTAATACTATATACTCTGTATTAGCTATGTGACAAATGGAAGAAAATGACCACAGATGTTTGTTACTAATAATATTAACGCTCTTGATTTCAAGAAATATTTAAAATACATGAAATAAATATAAAAGTCCAAGGACTTACATGCAATAAAAGCATATGCTGCATGTGCCCCTAAAGTTGTGTGTCATACTGTTGGAAAACTTTTAAGTTTAGAGACTGTCTAAAAAGTCAGGCAAAATTATATTTGCTAGTGTGATTATAGATTTTAAATGTGATAAAATGACACAGGCCAATAGAAATTGGCAAAATATAGTTTTCATGGGGCTATAACAGTCGTAACAATAAAATTACTCATTTTCTAAATTGAAAATCTCTATTCATACCCAAAATAAATTGGAATTATTTTGAATGATAATTTTTTTTAAGGAAGATAGGGAAAATACCGTAGTAGCTGTTGAAATTTCAGGCATGTGTAAAAAAGCATTTTCATTGTAATGCTAAAAAGAGATATGTATTACACTATAAACACTGGTTTCAATTTGGGTACATTTTAATTTTAGGCAAAGTTTTCAAAATATGCACAAAAGCTTCTTATTGCAGATAGGAAATAGCAACTAAAAATGGGGTTATTCTTGGAAGGATGATGATCAGAGGACACCTACCAGGCAATGTGGACTTAAAAGTAATAAAATTGATGTTTAAAGCCATAAAGATTTTTACTCTACAAAACAAAATGTTGCACATATAGGTTAAGACACTGGTGTTATATGCAAGATATTGATTTAGATTTGACAGAAATGTCATACTCTCTATTTAGTTTAGAGTTTTAAAAGTCAATAAACTAGAAATAATATAGTCCTTAAGTACTTTAAAAGGACCTTAGGGGAAGAAAAGATACAGATATTAAATGAGTAATCAGTTAAAATTTAGCAAAGCAGCCTAATTTAGACTTCTCTAAATTCATGGATAGTCTTCTGGCTTTAAAGACGGTTTGATTATTTTTATGTGCACAGCCAGGCAAACCAAGTAAACCAAATGTTGTCTTTTTAAAGTTACTTTAATTACTAGCTAAGAATCATTTGCAATTAGTAGAGTGTACAAACAACAATACTTGCTCTTGCTTACATAGCAATTACTTGTGTGTAAATAGAGACCTGAAAATTTGTAAAATAATGCTTTTCTCTAAGAATGAAAATTTTTTATTTGGAATTAATATAGAGTTATCTTTGTTTATAAATAGTGAAAGGTAATTTCACCCAACATCTTACTGAATTAAAATAAATTCTGTATAAATCATCTTTGAACTAATGCATTTCTAAATAAAAGCAATTTATGTATTGCTTGTTCAATGTATTCTTTTGAAGGCATTTTATTTCTTCACACTCTTGCTTCCATGATTCCTATATTGACCTCATCTTATACAATAGGAAGTCCATGTACAAACAAATCCCTATTAATATCCAAAATAGATTGGAGATAATTTGTTTTTAAAAGAGATTCTTCACTTTGAAAAGATTCACACTGGAATTACTTTGAATAATAATATACCCCTGATTTCATTAAAACACACACATTTTAGCTCATGCATTTTTAAGATTATAAGTTATTTTCAAGATCATTTAAAACAGTACTTTTCAAAGTTTAATAATGCATATACAAATCACCTGGAGGATATTGTTAAAATGCAGAAATAATTGAGGAACTCTGGATGGGGCCTAAGATTCTGCATTTCTAATAAGTTCCCAGGTGCTGATAATCTCAGGGCCATACTTTGAGCTACAGGGACCTAAAACATCTATCTAAATGCTGTTGATTCTTGGATGACCTGACCTTTGTAAAGTTTTTTTTTTTTTAATTTATATAAGGGTATGGGGCACAGGTAAAATTTTGTTGCATGCCTAGATTGCATGGGGGCCAAGTCAAGGCTTTAGGGTAGCCACCACCCAAATAATGTGCATTGTACCCATTAAGTAATTCTCATGCGGCAAGATACACCTTGCATGTCTGTAACAGCAGATTTTTTTCTACATTAATATTTCCTGAAAGGCTCAGAAGAAGGAAACCAACTGTGTTACTACCTGGATTTAAACAGACTTAGTTTTCATAGGCTCAAACTATTTCTGTATTCTAAGAAAAATTTGTCCTGATTTGTGAACTCAGTTAAGAGATTTCAAATCTCTGAGTTTTAGATTTCGCATGTGGGAAATGAAGAATGGAATGAATACAAGGCTGAACCTGTAATAGATACACAAATATATTTGTTGCATGAATGAAATAATCACTCTCAGCTTTATATTTTCTGGTTTTAGAAATCAAGGGGAGAGTGCTTTTCTTGAACAATGAAACATATGTCTAGGTCACATTAATAAAAAGTGATCACATTTGCATTTTAAAAACACTAGACAGTATCCTGGGCAAGGTGGCTCATAGCTGTAACCCCAGTAGTTTTGGAGGCTGAGGCAGGCGGATCATTGAGGTCAGGAGTTCGAGAGCAGCCTGGCCAACATGGTGAAACCCGCCCCCCTCCACTAAAAATACAAAAATTAGCTGGGCGTGGTGATGCATGCCTGTAGGCGCAGCTACTCTGGAGGCTGAGAGAGAAAAATCGCTTGAACCCGGGACGTGGAGGTTGCAGTGAGCCGAGATCGCGTCACTGCACTCCAGCGTGGGTGAAAGGGCGACTCTGTCTCAAAACAGCAACAACAACCACAACAACAAAACATTAGGCAGAACATGCAGACAGCAGGTGAAGAGAAACAACTTCGATGAGAATGCATTAAAATTGTATTTTCAATTTACAGCACTCTCTGGGCTCTTCGGTATCTAACTGTTCTGAAGATGGCCACAAAGAGGACATAGGTTGACCTTTTCCTAACCAACTTATCTCAGGAAAAATATACATTCTCTCTCCTGGTCTACTTGAAAGACTTTTTTTTTTTTTTTTTTTTAGCTGAAAGAAGGTTTCCAAGCCCTTTATTTCAATAAATCTTTCCTGATTAATTTAGGAAGCACAAAGGAAGTATCTGACTCCTGTAGATACCACACTTCCCTATCCCTCACCATGTATTTATTCTTATATTTGACTCTTTTATTTTTTTAGTAAGTACTTTTAAATTTTATATAAAACTTGTTATAGGCTCTCTAATTACAGACTACAATGACTCAACCAAAAAGTGGTGAACATGATTTTAAAAAATGGCACAAGCTATTTGAAATGGTAAGATCCAAGACATAGGTTCGTGCTAACCATGACTAAAAATAGGTTGTTCTTTCTTTCCAGACCAACACTATGACTCTGTATCTTTATACCTTCAACTTATGTTCACAAGAAACTTCTGAGTTATCTAACTTGAGAGCTTCTGAGGACATTTTTAGGCTGACTTCTTTTGTGTGGCTACATTAGTAGGGTAAACAGTGTGGGAAGGAAAGGTGTCAGCAGAGCAAAGTCATCAGTCATGGAAAGTAATACCATATGCTTGTCTTTTTTCTAACTGGCCAGAGCCAAGTCACGAAATATGGATACACCATCTTTTGCAGGTTTAACCTGGCAAGCAGTGAAATCATGTGGAAGGCTTCTCTTGGGTTTTCACAAATCAGAGTTTAGATTTAAGGGAATCATATAAAGAAAAAGTTTGCTCAGGGTGGTAATCCAAAGAGTAGGAACCCATAAGAACATACTATTTGTTAAAAGACGACTGAACTCTCTCTGTTATTAAATGGCCATCTTTTGAGCCTCCCCAAGAGCCTTCCCACCTTTCTAACTGCCTTCTTTCCCATGCCCCAGTTACTTACCTAGTTGTGAAATATTTTTTAATGTCACCTTTGACTTTTCCCAACTTAAATTGCATCTATTTTCATATTCTAGAAAAAAGAAAATAGCATTTGAAAAAGGAAAAGATGATCAAGCACTTTCAAAGACAAAAAATACAATGCATCTATAAAGGCAAATGTAAGTTAACCAGCTGTGTGCAGGACACTAAGATTTCTCTTTGGCTGCTTCTATCAGTGAAAGTAGACTACTAGAAAATATTGGCATCAGGAATCTCCTCATCAATCTAGAACAGGAGAATCTTTGAAATGCAGAGAAAAGACTACATGAGGCTACTCCCCTACCTGCCAAATCTTTGAGGTCCTCTTTAGAAAGATGATTCTAGCATTGGAATAATAGCATTGTGGTATGGCTTTAAAAAATTCACAGAATAATCTTAGTCAAACTTGTTCAAGTACAATGTCACTCTTGGGATATGTTAAATTAGAACTTGTTTACGTGGTGTTATTTTAAGGGTCGATTCTCTAAATATCTCCTCAACCAAGTGCCATGATCTTTAGAAACTAATTTCTGTGAATTTTTATTTTCTTTTTCAGTTAGTGGGTTTTAATTTTCAGTGCAATGCTTTTCAGAACCTTAGCAGCTGTGGCCCACAAGTCTGGCTAAGTCTGGCTAAGTCTGGCTCTCAATGTTTTCTCCAACTGTTAGGCGGCATTGAGTGACTAAATCTGATGAACAGGGAAGACTTCTGACAGACACTGAATTGGGAGAAGGAGCCTTCCTGCTCCGAGACCAGTGACATGTACTTGGAAATGATGGTAAGAAAAGGGTGTGTAATTACAATGATGAAGGGAGTCATCACCTCTGGGGACACCTGCAAATCCCTGCCTACTAAAGGAGAAGCTCAACTCAGACAAATCCAGATACATTTTTATGTGTATGTTTCTTTCTTAAACTTGAAGAGAGAATTAAAATATAATTATTAATTTGAAAAGTAATTAATATTGGTAGCTCTCATTAAGAGTAACATACGCTATATTCCCAAGATTGACAATACTGAGTGATTTAGGAAATGATTTATTTCCAAAATCTCTGTGGCATTTGACAGAGTTGATCACACTGTTCTTAATGAAAATTTTTTCTCTTCTGATTTTTTTTTTATATTATCTTGGCTCTTTGGGTATCTCTGACAACTAGTTTCATATTTATGTCCCTTACTGTCTCCTTTTGTTGCGTTTTTTTCTTCTTCCCCAAATGCTCCAGATTTCTATCCTCATACCACCACCCCACCCCATGCACAATTTGTTTTTATCCAATTCTCACCATTAAGATTGTAGCAGCTTTTATTGCTTCATGCAAATAACTCCGAGATCTACAGCTCCGCTCCAAAGCTCTGGCTACCCATTTCCAACTGCCTGCTAGACATCATTATTTGCATGTTCCACAGTTTCTTTAAACTAAAAATTTCTCAAAACAGATTTATCACCTTCCTCCACAAAACAACTCATTATTCCTAAATATCCAATTTCTGCCAGATATAACACTTTTCTTCCATTGACTCAGCCTGAGAAATATGGGGTTTTGTTGGAGTCCTTCATCTCTGCCTAATTAGATATCTCTTCTTCCTTTCCATCTTTTAAGTTCTGCCTGTCTCGGCTTTAGTTCACAGTCTCAAGACTCCTTCCACACTTAATTCAAGTGCTATTGTAAGGTATACTTGTGTACTTGTGTATCCACATCAAAGGATTTAGAACTTACAAAGCAAAAATTGTGACTTTCTACTTTTTAAGCTTGGGGCACATAACACAGTATTTCAAGCATAGCAGATATAAAATAGATAGTTGTTACATTATAAATCCATATTATGGGAGTAGTAAAAATAATAAAACATAAAAACAATGCCCAAACATGATCATTAAAACAAAATGCTAAAACATAGCAAATACTATTTTACTGATTTGATTTGGAAAAGAGCCTTGACTAGTCAACGTAAGTTCAAATTTAAAGTGGAATTTCTTTAAATTATTTGTCCTATATTGTGACAAATCCTGTCTCACAAGATTGACTTTAATAATTTAAATGTTTCTTTGGATTTTAGATTTGAAAGCTAAGTGTATGTAGGTGGAAAAAGATGACTCTGACTTGAGTTGATAGGATTAGGAAACACCCCAGCTGAGTAAGCTTTTGTGGCTGTGATTCACCTAAAATGCAAAGGGTAGAGAGTTGTATAACTAATGTTAGAGACAGAGACCAATTTTAAATACAGGAGAGAGATTTAGACTACTAAATACCACCTTGCTTATGCAGCCAGAGATAATTTCACTTGTCTTAGAAACAAGAATTGAAAGTGGCATTAGTTTTAAAGCATCCAGTGAAACTAGCATAATGACCACATATCTTTATTCTCCGTCTAAATGAAAATCACATGACAAAACTGAAATGGGCAAAAGTGGATAGAAAGGCCTTTGGGTATTATAATTGCCAAGATATGGACTTATTAATATTCTAGTCAGCTTATGCTTCTGGCAGTTTCTTATTGTCAGCCCCTGTTTTCCCTAGTATGGATTATTTGGAGTTTGGGAGTCCAGCACCTTCAGATCCAGCATTATCCAGTTATGGAGCCAATTCTGAACCAGGCTGGCAGAACATTCATAGACCCATAATCATCCATAGGTGAGAATTAGGCTTAGTCTCTCTTGTGTCATCTCCCTTGTTGTTATCCCTTTACTGTCTTCACTTTGCTTCCTATCTGGCTTAGATTCCATGCATTAGTAATTTTTTTTGAATAAAAATTTTCCACCTCAGGGATAAATGGTGATTGAAAGTAAAATCAAGTTCAGTTAGAGAAAAATAGAATGTTATATTGCTTTTCATAAATTACGTATCTACGCCAGTTTCAATACCTCTCTAAAAATAGGCAAAATTGCCTTGCCCTTCTGTCTTTCATCACTTCTCTCTGGCAAAGTACCAGCCCTTCATCACCTGAAATACCTGGTTTCTCTAAGAATGTGCATAAGCAAACGAGCACTCATAGAGAAAATAATGAACTCAGCATAGTGCTTTCAACTTCCATTCATTAGTTCCTTACTTGGACCTTAATATTGACCAGTGAGCCTGCTACACTTTACTGGTCAACCCTCTCCCATTCTGTGCAAAAAATATTTCACAACTTTTCTACTCTCCTCAAACTTCTGCATGTAACTTTGTTACATTCTTCACAGAGTATATAAAAACCACTGGGTGAGTCTTCTCAACTTTTTGTCACCAAATCTATTCATGTACTCATAGACGGATGTATCTACCTTCATTTTGTCTTCAGTTCTCTTGTACAAGATAGTACTATTCTTCTTTCTAGCTAAGGTCCAGTCTTCCATCTCTTGCTTCTGATTATATTCCTGCTATCCTTCTCAGGAAACTTATTAGCTTACCTTCTCTTTCCCCAGTCACTAAACCAGGATTCCTCTACTCAATCATTTCCATGTACATTTAAATGTGTTTAAGTATCTCTTATCTTAAAATAAAAATGTCAAAGACTGCAAGTAGTATGTACTCCACTTTCAAACTATAGCCCTATTTCTATTCTCCTCCTTGAAGCCAAATATCTTGAGAGAGTTAGTATTTGTTGTCTTGTATTTCTCACTGCTTACTCATTCTCAGCCTACTTCACCTACACCAATTATTCCAGTAAAATTTTCTTTTATTTTCTTGTTTTTGAGACAAAGTCTCACTCTATCGTCCAGGCTGGAGTGCAGTGGTGCTATCTCGGCTCACTGCAACCTCAACCACCCGGTGGATCAAGTGATCCTCCCACCTCAGCTCCCCGAGTAGATGAGACTATGCGTGCATGCCACAATACCTGGCTGATTTTTTGTTTGTTTGTTTGTTTTATAGAGATGGGGTTTTGTCATGTTGCCCAGGTTGGTCTCGAACTCCTGAGCTCAAGGGATCCACCTGCCCAGGTCTCCCAAAGTGCTGAGATTATAGGTGTGAGCCACTGCGCCTGGCCACTCCAGTAAAATTTTCTTAGTTAATGTGAACAATGACCTTCATGTTGCTAAATCCCATGATTATTTTCAATTCTTATTTTACTTTGACTCCTCAAAGAAATTTGATGATCTGACAATCTTAACTACTCCCTTCTTCTAACATTGTGCTTTATTATTTCTTTCATCACTTGTTTATTCATATGAATGTCATATATGTTCAGCATAACTATGGTCATAGGCTACAAGGTATTATTAAATGGAAGGAAAAAATCACCTGTTCACAGTCCCACTCTATAGGGTAACTACTTATTTCTGTTTTTAGGTGTTGTAGTGGTTACTATCATAATTTTCAGCAGTGTACTTATACCTCTATTTCTTGATATGTTAACTTTATAAGAGTAGTAATAGATTTCATGGTATAAAAGATGGTAAATTTATCTAATTTATACTTCCCCATTCCTCCCCCAAGTTTTGTTGATTACATTTGTAACAGGATGTTGAATGAAAGCTTCTCCTTTGACCCAAGGCTCAGAGCTTGCTAAAGAAGGGGCTTGAGATAAAGGGAGATGTTTGAATTGGATACAAATTTGAAATTCTGATTTAGACAAAAGTATACCTTTTCAACATAAGTCTTTTATTACAAAATTACGTTTGTTTCTGTAAGTGAAAGTGACCAGAGAGCCAAAGGATGTGCTCAGATATTAGTAATGGAAGGAAAGAGAAACCTCAGAGTATGACTGAAGGCAACTTTCAGAGGAAAATCATTCCTGTTTGATTCTGGATCAAACAGGAATCAGAATCTTTAATTTACCTATTATATATTATGTTTGTTTTTCTATTGGTAGCATTTATAACTCGAGATACAAAATATAAATTTTTAGTTCTTTTTTTCATTTAGAAAGAGAAAATTGATACTTTTTGGCATGCTTCTCACAAGTCTCCACTTCTAAACTCCTGTCAACTACATCTTCACTCTCAAAGTATAAAGTTTACATTTTATTGTGCAAATATAATCATTTTAGGCACTTTGTACACTGATTCTGAATACTGAAAGCAAAGAGTTTTGCAATACTTTGAAAATGTAAGTGTTATTTACTATAAAATCAGGTAGTGTAATTGGATTTACAGCTAATAAATATAATTCTAAGTCATTGAAATAATCCTCCTTTATATAGATTGTTTCAAATATCAAGATTAAATGGATTGTCTTTCTATCATTTTCTCAAAATGATGCTTAATTTTAGTTTATTTTATATTTGAACCATGAATTACTTGTATAGCATTCTACAAAGCTGGAGGCATCATGCTACCTGGCTACAAACTATACTACAATTCTATAATAACCAAAACAGCATGGTACTGGAACCAAAACAGCATGGTACTGGTACCAAAACAGATATATAGACCAATGGAACAGGACAGAGCCCTCAGAAATAACACCACACATCTACAACCACCTGATCTTTGACAAACCTGACAAAAACAAGCAATGGGGAAAGGATTCCCTATTTAATAAATGGTGTTGGGAAAACTGGCTAGCCATATGCAGAAAACTAAAACTGGAGTTTCTAATTGACTTCTACGTTGTTTTACTTATCACTTAATTAAGATCTTTTAGATTCTTGACATATAATCTGTTATGATTTCTGTTTCATTCTTTGTCCTAAAGACATTTTTTTTCTGGAGTTCTCCTATTTGCTTTTCTAATTGGTATCCGTTGGTTTCAAGTCTATTTCATAGCCATAATATTGGGTCTCCTTTTTACTGAGCTCCCGTGTTGTTCTAGAATTTTTTGGACCACTTGTCTTTTACTTTTTGATATTTTCTTATTTATTTTGCTAGAGTGGATCCTCAAGTAATTTTTAGGAAGAGTGTGTAGGTATGTTTACAATCTCCTATTTATCTGAGCCTTCATGAAAATACATGTACTTTTTTTTTTTCTTAGCTTAATTCTGCCTGCTTAGGACTTAATAGGCACTTTTCATTTTGGAGACTTGTTTTTCCTTAGCTTTCAAAGAATTTTTCTGTGTGTGTTTTTTTTTTTTTTTTTTTGATGTTTTTCTTTCATTTTGTCTTCTCTGTTCCTTCTTCTATTATTCCATTAGATGAATGTTGGATGCCCAGAATGAACCCTATATAACATTTAAATTTTGTTTTATATTAGGTGTTTTTCTTTTTTTTTTAATTTCACACTTTTCAATGTGAATTCAAATTTTCTTCTAGGTCATCTGATATTCATCCCACACCGATTTTATTCCCAGTTCTTCAGGCATCACAACTAGTAGGCACTTAATGCATGAGTTAAGGAAGCTGGAAATTTACTCTTTGTGCATACTTGGAACCATAGTGCATGGAAAAATGCCCACAGGTTACATTATTAGAATTAAAAATTCAGTGATTAAGTGCCAATTATGAGTCAGGCATTGTTATTGGATCTGGGGATACACTCGTGAATGGAACAGGACTTCTTATTTTATTTATTTATTTTTGAGATGGTGTCTTGCTGCCACTGCCCAGGCTGGAGTGCAGTGGCACAATCTCGGCTCACTGCAACCTCTGCCTCCCAGGTTCCAGCGATTCTCATGCCTCAGCCTCCTGAGTTGCTAGGATTACAGGCATGCGCCACCATGCCCGGATTCCCTGTTCTTATAAACTTAAATTCTCTGGAGTGCATAGAGGGAAGGAAAAAATAAACAAATAAATAGAAAATATGTATGAACATGCATACATATATTCAAAAATAGATGCATGAAAAATTAATTGTATAAATAAATAAATAAGGAAAGTATCACATTGTGGATAATGCCGTGCAGAGAATTAAAACAGTGATATGCTGCAGATTGGTTAGGTAGTCACCTTTAGATTGGGTTGTCAGGTACAGCCCGTTTGAAGAGGTGACATTTAAGTTGAAATTTGAAGGGATAAGCACAGAAGGGTATTTGAGGCAGATGGGACAGCTTGTGCAAAGCCCAAATGTAGAAACAGAAAGAAGGCCAGGGTAGTCAATGTGTGGTGCATGCAAGAGAGTAGAATGATTGAGATTAGAAACAAAGACAGACTTCTGGGGGTTTTGTAAGTCAGAGAAGAAATTTGAATTTTCTTTCAAGTGTTATCGTAAATCATGAGGAGATTTTTAAGTAGGGAAGTAGTACCATCTGATTTGCCTTTTAGGATGATTTCTCCCATCACTGTAGAAAGAAGATACTGTAGTGGCACTGAAGTGGAAGCAGGAGGACCAGTGTAAGAAGGCTACCATTATAGTCCAGATAAGACATGATTGTGACTTTGACCAGCCCTAATAGTAGAGGTGGAAATAAGTGGATCCAGTGAAATTGCAGAGTCAATGTGTACATGTTTTTTTGATTTTGCAAGTTGTTCTCCAAAAAGATTTTACTAATTGATACTCCTCCAATGGTGTATGAGAGTATAGGATAATAATAATGTGAAGCTAGAAATTGTCTTAGAAATCTACACATTAGTTTTACAAAGGATGAAGACAAGATCCACTGATCTTATATGCATTAGTCTAAGATGACAAGTTCTTTCGCTGGGAAGGGACCCCAGGCATCTGCCAAGTTCTGGTGATCTATTATATACCACAATATTTTCTCAGGATTTCTCTTCTCTATGTGGCTTATTCTTTTTTGACACTCTGCTACAGCACCTCTCCATGTTCTGGATGCACAGATATGTACTGTATTTCTTCCTTTAGATTAGGAGCTCTGAGGGGAGGCAGTACCTGTCAGCCTGTGTTATAGTGCACAGGAAGACTGGCACTTAAGAATCATCAATGACTGCAAAAGCAAATCACTGAAAAAAAGAAACCAATCATTCATTATGTTATTTTTTTCTGCCACAATTTGGTCACTGAGACTGGTGAGTCCCAATAGCCCTATCATAGTTATTCAATATGTATACTCACATTTCAGGTACTATTAGGTAAAGAATCCAGATACTCTTTTCCAGTTATATATAATAGAAAGGATTTGAAATTCAGATTCAGAAACCTTGAATTCAAGTTCTGGCTTTGATCCTTTCTGACAGCATGTCCTTGGGCCTTTGTTTTCTCAGCTCTAAACCAGACTAATAATATGTATGTGTCCTTCCTAAGTCACAAGATTTTACAAGATTCTGAATGTTACATGTGAAAAGAACTTGTAAACTACGAAGTACAAACAAGTGCTACTATTTTGCAAGTATAGTTGATTGAGCTCTAACTATGTTATGGGTCAACATCATAATACAGACTAGCACACATTTTATTACATAATTATTCTATCAGAAAATATTTTTTATTAGCTGGGCTCTATTTTTTTCAGAAAAAACTTTTAACATGCCAAAGAGATTCATTTTTTATCAAATTGATAAACAGTTATTTTCCTTAGCATATGTGGATATGCAAATATATCTAGGATTTCGATTATGCTTGAAGACCTTAGCTAATGCAGAGAAAACATTGTTACATGTAATAGATCACCAGAACTTGGCAGATGCCTAAGGTCCCTTCGCAGGGAAAGGACTTCTCATCTTGGACTAATGCATGTAAGATCAGTATGCCTTATTTCAATCCTTTATAAAACTAGGGTATATTTCTGAATTGAAAAACTACAAGCACATTGACCAAGCAATTTCACTGGATCACTTTTATTTTTGATTTAATGGACAGAGTGACTTTCACTTGAACAATACTAAAATAAACAGTATGCATAGATGGGTTTACTAACTATACATTTTATTAATTATAGTACCATGGAAACTGGATTTTTACAGCTTGATAGAATATTCCATCTTACCTGCTAAATGGATGTATGATTTTTGGAATATTAAAATAATTTTCTTCAGTTCTACATTATACAAATTCAACCTTTTCTTGCACGATTATTTTTCTGTGACACAATGGATGATTATGCAAAGCCATTTATGTAAGTGAATTGCTCAGTGATATTACCAGCCAAAATTGTAGGTTGAGGTCAAGTGATGTCAAGTCATTATTTAAAGAAACAAAGACAAAGGGAATAAGACAAATCGTAGAGGAGAAATTTAATACATTTTGGCAACATGAGTAGGAAGGTCAGCAAAGGACAAGAAGCTCGAGTGATGTCATAATTGGCTTCAGTTCAGAAGTGGCAGAGTGGCAGTTAGCCAAAAAGGCACTTTGATATTGTTTGTTTATATATTGCTATTTAGCAATCCATATCCAGAAATGGAGATTACTGCACATAATTTTATGGTGGATGACTGAATATTGTGGTCACTGCTTTATTTTAAACTTTGTTTCTAAAATGTAATGATCATATCTTACTGTGAGCTCTCACTTTTAGGATGCATTTTCTCCATGCATGCAGCTCTGCAGGACCCTCTACAATCTGAACAGATTCAACTGCTGCAGATATAGTTGTGTGATGTGGTGATATGGATATAGGTTTTGAGTTCAGATAAAGCATCTAAGACAGAGTCTCATGATCTTTTAAAATTATAAATAATCATATTCCTGCAGCTTTCTGTCCTGTTTCACGGGTAGTACTTATGCTATTCCTCTAAAGAGGGAGAAAGGAATTGGCTGAAAGGATGTTTTCCTTTTTCAGATTCTCATTAGCTTGCATTGTGTACTTTATTCTTCTGCAGAGTGTGGCCACCTGAATAGATCTTACTCTGTCAGCTACAAAACATGTATTTAGTAACTGATGGATTTTTATTAGAGGTTTTAGATGACATTTTGGTTATATGTAGATATTATAGGGCACACTTGTCCAATAAGAATGTAATGGAAGCCACAACCATGATACATATATTATTTTAAAGTTTCAAATCACCACATCAAAAAAGTTAAAATTAATAATATATTTTCTTTAACACACTATATCCAAGCCATTACATTTAAATATGTAGTTGAAAATAGCCCTGATGCTGCAATAGCTTGTCTGGAGGCTGCAACTGATACTTATTCTCTTATTTCTCTTCTACCCATTCAAGATTCTCTTCACTCTTGGTTAGCACCTTTGCTAGCCTAGGTGGCTAATCCAGTGGGTGATCTTGACCCTCACCCCTGTGGGCTATGAGCTGCTGGTTATCATTTTCTTCTTAGGCTATCCAGCAGCCTAACTACTTATTGTCATATCTGGACAGAAGTATCCACTTTGTCTTTCCCGTGATATCTCTTGCCTCCAAATGCCAAGCAAAAATCCTGGGGTTGGGAAGATGTCAGACAACTACTAAATATGTCTCTTCCAATAGAATGTGAAAGATAGAGGAAGGACTTACTGGGTTGTTCCATGCCCTGTTGCATCCATTGTAAACTAGACCAAATGAATATATTTATTACCATCTACCTCCACTCTGACATGGAGTTCTGAATAATTTTGAGTTTCTGTATAATCAATGTGACCTTAAAATTTTTGTGTATTCTCTATCTCCAGTTTATGATTACCTGAGTAAATGGTCATAGGTTTCTGTGAAGAAGGACTGGTTGAATCATCACCATATAATGTTGCCCACTCATTGTATAATGATTATTCATGGATTTGGCCTCTTCTTCAGTCACCAGATGCTCCAAGCAAAGGTTGAGATGAATCTTCAGAGGGAGATGTGCTATCTTGAAAGGCAGAAGTCTCTGCATCATCTTCAAGTAAAGGGGTGTATTCATGCTGCTGATAAAGACAAACCCAAGACTAGGCTATTTACAAAAGAAAGAGGTTTAATGGACTACCAGTTCCATGTGGCTGGGGAGGCCTCACAATCATGGTGGATGGCAAGGAGGATTAAGTCACATCTTACATGGATGGCAGCAGGCAAAAAGAGAGAGCTTGTATGGGGAAACTCCTGTTTTTAAAACCATCAGCTTGCATGAGACTTATTCAGCACCATAAGAACAGCACAGGAAAGACCTGCCCCCATGATTCAATTACCTTCCACAACACATGGGAATTGTGAGAGGTACAATTCAAGATGAGATTTGGGTGGGGGCAATGTCAAACCATATCATTCCATTCCTGACCCTTCTCAAATCTCATGTCCTCACATTTCAGAACTGATCATGCCCTCCCAACAGTTCCCCAAAGTCTCAACTCATTTCAGCATTAACTCAGAAGTCCACAGTCCAAAGTCTCATCTGAGACAAGGCAAGTCCCTTTTGTCTATGAGCCTGTAAAATCAAAAGCAAGTTAGCTACTTCTTAGATACAATGGGAGTAGAGGCATTGAGTAAATACAACCATTCCAAATGGGAGACACTGGCCAAAACAAAGGGGTTATGGGCCCCATGCAAGTCCAAAATCCAGCAGGGCAGTCAAATCTTAAAGCTCCAAAATGATCTCCTTTGACTCCATGTCTCACATCCAGGTCATGCTGATGCAAGTGGTGGGTTCCCACGGCCTTGAGCAGCTCCATTCCTGTGGCTTTGCAGGTACAGCCTCCTTCCAGGCTGATTTCATGGGTTGGCATTGAGTCTCTGTGGCTTTTCCAGGTGCACGGTGCAAGCTGTTGGTGGATCTACCATTCTAGGGTCTGGAAGATGGTGGCCTTCTTCTCGCAGCTCCACTAGGCAGTGCCCAAGTAGGAGCTCTGTTTGGGGGTTCCGACCCCACATTTACCTTGTGCACTGCCCTAGCAGAGGTTCTCCATGAAAGTGCCACCCCTGCAGCAAACTTCTGCCTGAACATCCAGGCACTTCCATACAACCTCCGAAATTTAGGTGGAGGGTCCCAAAGCCCAATTCTTGACTTCTGTGCACTGGCAGGCTCAACATCATGTATAAGCTGCCAAGTCTTGAGGCTTGCACCCTCTGAAGCTGCAGCTTGAGCTCTACATTGGCCCCTGTCAGCCACGGCTGGAGCAGCTGGGACATAGGGCACCAAGTCCCTATGCTGCACACAGCATGGGGACCCTGGGGCCGGAAACAAAACCACCTTTTCCTCCTAGGCCTCTGGGACTGTGATGGGAAGAGCTGCCATGACAGCCTCTGATACTCCCTGGAGATATTTTCCCCATTGTCTTGGAGATTAACATTCGGCTCCGTGTCACTTATGCAAATTTCTGCATCCAGCTTGGATTTCTTCTCAGAAAATGAGATTTTCTTTTCTATCAATTGTCAGGCTGCAAATTTTCCAAACTTTTATGCTCTGTTTCCCTTTTAAAACTGAATGACTTTAACAGCACCCAAGTCACATCTTGAATGCTTTGCTGCTTAGAAATTTCTTCCATCAAATACCCTACATCATCTCTCTCAAGTTCAAATTCCACAAATCTCTAGGGCAGGGGCAAAATGTCACTGGTCTCTTTGATAAAAAATAGCAAGAGTTACCTTTACTCCAGTACCCAACAAGTTTCTCATCTCCATCTGAAATCACCTCAGCCTGAATTTCATTGTCCATATTACTATCAGCATTTTGTTCAAAGCCATTTAACATGTCTCTAGGAAGTTCCAAAGTTTTCCTTATTTTCCTGGATTCTTCTGAGCCCTCCAAACTGTTCCAACCTCTGCCTGTTACCCACTTCCAAATTTGCTTCTACATTTTCGGGTATCTTTTCAGCAGGGCCCCACTCTACTGATACCAATTTACTGTATTAGTCCGTATTCATGCTGCTGATGAAGACATACCCAAGACTGGGCAATTTACAAAAAAAAGAGATTTATTGGATTTACAGTTCCTCATGGGTGGGGAGGCCTCACAATCATGGTGGAAGGCAAGGAGGAGTAAATCATGTCTTACGTGGATGGCAGTAGACAAAAAGAGAGAGCTTTTGCATGGAAACTCCCATATTTAAAATCATCAGCTTGCATGAGACTTATTCAGCACCATGAGAACAGCATAGGAAAGACCCGCCCCCATGATTCAATTACCTCCCACCAGGTTCCTCCTATTACAAGTGGGAATTGTGGGAGTTACAATTCAAGATGAGATTTGGGTGGGGACAAAGCCAAACGAAGGGAGCAGTGTTCATTTTTTACAAGGAAAAACGGATCCTTTCTGGTGGACCCAGAAGGTTTAAGAGAATCCAGGTATTCAAGATTTTATTGTATTTATTTATTTTTCTTGAGACAGAATCTCTCTCTGTCACCCAGGCTAAAGTGCGGTGTTGAAATTATAGTTCACTGCAACCTTCACCTCCTGAGCTCAAATGATTCTTACTCTGTCTTTTGAGTAGTTAGGACTACAGGTGTGCACCATGTTGACCCTGCTATTTCTCTCTCTCTCTCTCTTCTTTTTTTTTTGTAGAGACAAGGTCTCCCTATGTTGCTCAGGGTGGTCTGGAACTCCTGGCCTCAAGTAATCATCCCACATTGGCCTCCTGAAGTGCTAGGATTACAGGTATGAGCCACTAACCCAGCCATATTTAAGATTTTTGAGTCATACACCTGGATATTTTAATTTCATGTGTACTAATCAAAGTTTTGGTCTAGGCATTGCAGACTTGACTATTTTAAAATTTTACTTTCTCTGAAATTCTGCTGACTTTATAATTCAGTTCCTGGAAAGATTGTCAGTTTTATTTTTTTTTTCTTCACCTATAGTATTGCAGAAATTCTGTTTTTTTTTTTTTAATTATTATACTTTAAATTCTGAGGTACCTGTGCGGAATGTGCAAGTTTGTTACACAGGTATACATGTGCCATGGTGGTTTGCTGCACCCATCAAGCCATAATCTATGTTAGGTATTTCTCCTAGTGCTATCCGTCCCCTAGCGCCCCACCCCCTGACAGGCCCCGGTGTGTGATGTTCCCCTCCCTGTGTCCATGTGTTCTCATTGTTCAGCTCCCACTTATGAGTGAGAACATGTGGTGTTTGGTTTTCTGTTCCTGTGTTAGTTTGCTGAGAATGATGGTATCAAGCTTCATCCATGTCCCTGCAAAGGACATGAACTCATCCTGGTTTTATGGCTGCATAGTATTCCATAGTTTATATGTGCCACATTTCCTTTATCCAGTCTATCATTGATGGGCATTTGTGTTGGTTCCAAATATTTGCTATTGTGAACAGTGCTGCAGTAAACATGTGTGTGCATGTGTCTTTATGGTAGAATGATTTATAATCTTTTGGGTATATACCCAGTAATGGGATTGCTGGGTCAGATGGTATTTCTGGTTCTAGATCCTTGAGGAATCGCCACACTGTATTGCACAATGGTTGAACTAATTTACACTCCCACCAACAGTGGTGGGAAAACAGTGTAAAAGCATTCCTATTTCTCCACATCCTCTCCAGCATCTGTTGTTTCCTGACTTTTTAATGATCGCCATTCTAACTGGTGTGAGATGGTATCTCATTGTGGTTTTGATTTGCATTTCTCTAATGACCAGTGATGATAAGCTTTTTTTAAATATGTTTGTTGGTCACATAAATGTCTTCTTTTGAGAAGTGTTTGTTCATATCTTTCACTCACTTTTTGAGGGGGTTGTTTTTTTCTTGTAAATTTGTTTAAGCTCCTTGTAAATTCTGGATATTAACCCTTTGTCAGATGGATAGATTGCAAACATTTTCTTCTATTCTGTAGGTTGTCTGTTCACTCTGATGATAGTTTCTTTTGCTGTGTAGAAGCTGTTTAGTTTAATTAGATCCCATTTGTCAATTTTGGCTTTTGTTGCTATTGTTTTTGGTGTTTTAGTCATGAAGTTTTGCCCATGCCTATGTCCTGAATGGCATTGCCTAGATTTTCTTCTAGAGTTTTTATGGTTTTTGGTCTTACATTTAAGTCTTTAATCCAACTTGAGTTAATTTTTGTATAAGGTGTAAGGAAGAGGTCCAGTTTCAGTTTCCTGTATATGGCTAGCCAGTTTTCCCAATGCCATTTATTAAATAGGGGATCCTTTCCCCATTGCTTATTTTTGTCAGGGTTATCAAAGATCTGATGGTTGTAGATGTGTGGCATTATTCCTGAGGGCTCTGTTCTGTTCCATCAGTCTATATATCTGTTTTGGTAACAGTACCATGCTGTTTTGGTTACTGTAGCCTTGTAGTATAGTTTGAAGTCAGGTACCATGATGGCTCCACCTTTGTTTTCTTTTGCTTAGGATTGTCTTGGCTATACAGGCTCTTTTTTGGTTCTATATGAAATTTAAAGTAGTTTTTTTTCTAATTCTGTAAAGAAAGTCAGTGGTAGCTTGATGGGGACAGTATTGAATCTATAAATTGTTTTGGGCAGTACAGCCATTTTCAAGATATTAAGTCTTCCTATCCATGAGTATAAAATATTTTTTCATTTGTTTGTGTCCTCTCTTATTTCCTTGAGTAGAGGTTTGCAGTTCTCCTTGAACAGATACTTCACATCCCTTGTAAGTTGTATTCTTAGGTATTTTATTCTCTTAGTAGCAATTGTGAGTGGGAATTCACTCATGATTTGGCTCTCTGTTTTTCTACTATTGGTGTATAGGGATGCTTGTGATTTTTGGACATTGATTTTGTATCCTGAGACTTTGCTGAAGTTGCTTATCAGCTTAAGGAGATTTTGGGCTGAGACGATGGGGTTTTCTAAATATACGATCATGTCATCTGCAAACAGAGACAATTTGACTTCCTCTTTTCCTAATTGAATAAGCTTTATTTCTTTCTCTTCCTTGATTGCCCTGGCCAGCACTTCCAATACTATGTTGAGTAGGAATGGTGAGAGAGGGCATACTTGCCTTGTGCTGGTTTTGAAAGGGAATGCTTCCAAATTTTGCCCATTTAGTATGTTATTGGCTGTGGGTTTGTCATAAATAGCTCTTATTATTTTGAGATACATTCCATTGATACCTAGTTTATTGAGAGTTTTTAGCTTGAAGGGGTGTTGAATTTTGTTGAAGGCCTTTTCTGCATCTGTTGAGATAATCATGTGGTTTTCATTATTGGTTCTGTTTATATGATGGATTATGTTTATTGATTTGTGTATGGTGGACCAGCCTTGCATCTCAGGGATGGAGCTGACTTGATCGTGGTGGATAAACTTTTTGACGTGCTGCTGGATTCGGTTTGTCAGTATTTTATTGAGGATATTTGCATTGATGTTCATCAGGGATATTGGCCTGAAACTTCCTTTTTTTGGTGTGTCTATGGCAGGTTTCGATATCAGGATGATCCTGGCCTCGTAAAAAGAGTTAAAGAGGAATCCTTTTTCTTTGGTTTGGAATAGTTTCAGAAGGAATGGTACCAGCTCCTCTTTGTACCTCTCGTGGAATCTGGCTGTGAATTCATCTGGTCCCGGGCTTTTTTTTTTGGTTGGTAGGCTATTAATTACTGCCTCAATCTCAGAACTTGTTATTGGTCTATTCAGGGATTTGACTTCTTCTTGGTTTAGTCTAGGGAGGGTGTATATGTCCAGGAATTTATCAATTTCTTCTATGCAAATAAAGTGTACAGGTGTTTATAGTATTCTCTGATGGTAGTTTGTATTTCTGTGGGATCAGTGGCAATAATCCCTTTATCATTTTTTATTGCATCTATTTGATTCTTTCTCTCTTTTCTTCTTTGTTAGTCTGGCTAACAGTATATCTATTTTGTTAATCTTTTCAAAAAATCAGCTCCTGGATTCATTGATTTTTTGAAGTGTTTTTCATGTCTCTATCTCCTTCAGTTCTGCTCTGATCTTAGTTATTTCTTGTCTTCTGCTAGGTTTGAATTTGTTTTCTCTTGCTTCACTAGTTCTTTTAATTGTGATGTTAGGGTGTTGATTTTAGATCTTTCCCACTTTCTCCTGTGGGTATCTAGTGTTATGAATTTCCCTCTAAACACTCCTTTAGCTGTGTCCCAGAGATTCTGGTATGTTTTGCCTATGTTCTCATTGGTTTCAAAGTACTTATTTATTTCTGCCTTAATTTTGTTATTAACCCAGTAGTCATTCAGGGGCAGGTTGCTCAGTTTCCATGTTGTTTTGAGGTTTTGAGTGAGTTTCTTAATCCTGAGTTCTAATTTGATTGAACTGTGGTCTGAGAGACTGTTATGTTTTCCATTATTTTGCATTGGCTGAGGAATGTTTTACTTCCATTTATGTGGTCAATTTTAGAATAAGTGTGATGTGATGCTGAGAGGATTGTATATTCTGTTGATTTCGGGTGGAGAGTTCTGTAGATGTCTATCGGGCCCACTTGGTCCAGAGCTGAGTTCAAGTCTTGAATATCCTTGTTAATTCTCTATCTCATTGATCTGTCTAATACTGACAGTGGGGTGTTGAAGTCTCCAACTATTATTGTGTGGCAGTCTAAGTCTCTTTGTAGGTCTCTAAGAACTTGCTTTATGAATCTGGGTGCTCCTGTATTGGGTGCGTATATATTTAGGATAGTTAGCTCTTCTTGTTGCATTGATTCCTTTTATCTTTTTTGATCTTTGTTGGTTTAAAGTCTTTTATAAGAGACTAGGATTGCAACCCGTGCTTTTTTTGCTTTCCATTTGCTTGGTAAATCTTCCTTTATCTCTTATATTGAACCTATGTGTGTCTTTGCACATGAGATGAGTCTCCTAAATACAGCACACCAATGGGTCTTGACTCTTTATCCAATTTGCCAGTCTGTGTCTTTTAACTGTGGCATTTAGCCCATTTACATTTAAGGTTAATATTGTTATGTGTGAATTTGATCCTGTCATTATGTTAGCTGGCTATTTTGCCTGTTGTTTGATGCAGTTTTTTTCATAGTGTCAATGGTCTTTACAATTTGGTATGTTTTTGCAGGGGCAGGTACTGGCTTTTCCTTTCCATATTTAGTGCTTCCTTCAGGAGCTCCTGTAAGGCAGACCTGGTGGTGACAAAATCATTCAGCATTTGCTTGTCTGTAAAGGATTTTATTTCTTCTTCGCCTATGAAGCTTAGTTTGGCTGCATATGAAATTCTGGGTTGAAAAATCTTTTCTTAAAGAATGTTGAATATTGGCCCTCACTCTCTTCTGGCTTGTAAGGTTTCTGCAGAGAGATCTGCTGTTAGTCTGATGGGCTTCACTTTGTGGGTAACCTGACCTTTCTCTCTGGCTGCCCTTAATATTTTTTCCTTCATTTCAATCTTGGTGAATCTGACAATTTTGTGTCTTGGGTTGCTTTTCTCAAGGAGTATCTTTGTGGTGTTCTCTGTATTTCCTGAATTTGAATGTTGGCCTGTCTTGCTAGTCTGGGGAAGTTCTCCTGGATAATATCCTGAAGAGTGTTTTCCAACTTGGTTCCATTCTCCCTATCGCTTTCAGGTACACCAATCAAATGCAGGTTTGGTCTCTTCACATAGTCCCATATTTCTTGGAGGCTTTATTTGTTCCTTTTAATTCTTTTTTCTCTAATTTTGTCTTCACACTTTATATATGATCTTTAATTTCTCTGATATCCTTTCTTCCACTTGATTGATTCAGCTATTGATAGTTGTGTATGATTCATGAAGTTCTTGTGCTGTGTTTTTCTGCTCCATCAGGTCATTTATGTTCTTTTCTAAACTTGTTATTCTAGTTAGTTATTTCTCTAACCTCTTTTTTTAAGGTTCTTAGCTTCCTTGCATTGGGTTAGAGCATGTTTTTTTTTTTTTTTTTTTTTTTTTAGCTTGGAGGTGTTTGTTATTACCTACCTTCTGAAGGCTACTTCTGTCAATTCATCAAACTTATTCTTTGTCCAGTTTTGTTCCCTTGCTGGTGAGGAGTTGTGATGCTTTGGAGGAAAAGAGGCCTGGTTTTTGGAATTTTCAGCCTTTTTCACTGGTTTTTCCTCATCTTCGTGGATTTATCTACCTTTGGTCTTTGATGTTGGTGACCTTCGGATGGGATTTATGTTTGGACATCCTTTTTGTTGATATTGATGTTTATTAGTTTTCCTTCTAACAGGTGCCTCTGCTGCAGGTCTGCTGGAGTTTGCTGGAGGTCCACTCCAGACCCTGTTTCCTGGAGGTCCACTCCAGACGCTGTTTGCCTGGGTATCACCAGTGGAGGCTGCAGAGCAGCTAAGATTGCTGCCTTTTGCTGCCTCTGGAAGCTTCTTCCCAGAGGGGCACCCACCAGATGCCAGCCGGAGCTCTCCTCTATGACATGTCTGTCGACCCCTGCTAGGAGGTGTCTCCCAGTCAGGAGACATGGGGGTCAGAGACCCACTTGAGGAGGCAGTCTGTCCCTTAGCAGAGCTCGAGCGCTATGCTAGGAGATCTGCCACTCTCTTCAGAGCTGGCAGGCAGGAATGTTTAAGTCTGCTAAACCTGTGTCCACAGCCCTCTTTTCCCCCAGGTGCTCTGTCCCAAGGAGATGGGAGTTTTATCTATAAGCCCCTAACAGGGGCTGGTGCCTTTCTTTCAGAGATGCCTTGCCCAGAGAGGAGAAATCTAGAGAGGAAGGCTGGCTATAGCAGCTTTGCCAAGCTGTGATGGGCTCTGCCCAGTCTGAACTTCCTGGCAGCTTTGTTTACACTGTAAGGGGAAAACAGCTTTCTCGAGTCTCAGTAATGCTGGACACCCCTACCCCACCAAGCTCGAGCATCCCAGGTTGACTTCAAACTGTTGTGCTGGCAGCAAGCATTTCAAGCCAGTGGATCTTAGCTTGCTGGGCTCCATGGGGGTGGGATCCACTGAGCTAGACCACTTGGCTTCCTGGCTTCAGCCCTCTTTCCAGGGGAATGAATGGTTCTGTCTCACTGGCATTCCAGGTGCCACTGGGGTATGAAAAAAACTCCTGCAGCTAGCTCAGTGCCTGCCTAAATGGCCACCCAGTTTTGTGCTTGAAACCTAGGGCCCTGATGGTGTAGCCACTTGAGGGAATCTCTTGGTCTGCAGGTTGTGAAGACTGTGGGGAAAGCATAGTTTCTGGGCCAGAATTCGTTGTTCCTTATGGCACAGTCTCTCATTGCTTCCCTTGGCTAGGGAAAGGAGCTCTTTGACCCCTTGTGCTTCCCAGGTGAGGCGACACCCCACCCTGCTTTGTCTTGCCCTCTGTGGGCTGCACCTACTGTCTAATCACTCCCGGTGAGATGAGCCGAGTACCTCAGTTGGAAATGCAGAAGTCACCTGCCTTCTGCGTTGATCTCACTGGGAGCTGCAGACCGGAGCTGTTTCTATTTGGCCATCTTGCCAACCACCCTGGGGCAGAGATTCTTCATATGCTGCCAAACAATCCCTGTGGTTTTCACACTTACTTTAAATTGGTAATTAATTATCTCCAGTTTTCCATTGTCTTTCTCCAGTGAAATGACAGCCCTCAGCAACAGTCATTTCTTCCATAGTTTTTATAATTATTATTTTCCCCAAATTTCTCAAATGCTTGAGATTCTGTCCCCAGACAATGCTTTCTTTTCCGATCCCATTCATCTCAGGTGAAAGTCTTAACAATTTCATTGTTCTAATATGCCTGGAGCTAATAATGCTCTACCTATCACCAGTGATGGGGTCCTCACTGCTAGCCATCAGCAGATGACTCAGCTCTAAAATACCATTTTATATACTGCTTCTTAGGACCACTCCTGGCTTCAACTGCTTTAGGTCACCATTCCTGGAAACAGAATTTGAGGTGGAGATTTGCTTGCAGAAATTTTATGGGTGAATGCTCTCAGAAATTAGATTAGAAAGGATTGAAAGAAGCAGGATGAGGCAGAGGGAGAGGTTGAAAATGCCTTGTGATTGCAACAAAGAAGCTCTGGAGTTTATGGATCTTCAGATTTGTCCCAAATTAAAACATAAAGGATTGGTTTTCTTACTCTCATCTTTCCACCTTGCCAGTTAACCAGCCACTGGATGTAAACTGCCCCTAGGGCGGAGCATAACTTTGGGTTAGATGGTTTCCACATGCCAGGAGAAACACTTAGCTGTGAGCTATTAGCAGCCAATACTCCCAAAAGCTGATGCATTGGTCAAGAAAGGTACTTGTGGGTGGCATACCTCAGACCCACTCCATTAGATCCCAGGCTTGGAGTGATCTGCTTCAATGTAACACATTTTTGTGCAAAACGTTAGAGTGCACAGGATAACACTCTCAGGCTTTGTTCTCAAGGTAGGGGACAGACTTTGTGTCTGGAATCCCTTTCCCCAACCTAAATGTTAAGGATGAAATTCCCAAAGACTACTAAAATTATCTTCTAATCCCGGGGCAGTTATGTTTCTGTAAACTTGTGCTTTAATGACATGAAGGCTCTATCCCATTAGACTATTTGAAAATTGGCATAGTATATAGTACTGAGCAATCACTGGTATATTTCTGTCAATCGATGATAAAAATATCTCAGTGAGGAATAAATATCTAAACATGTGAGCAACGTTTATGATGGAGGCGTTATGCACAATGGAGAAGCCTTAAAAACCAGGTATCTCATTCAGTGTAACATTTGCATATAAATGACTTAATCAGGATGCAACATAGTGTGTTTAGAAAAATAGATACTCAGCATGCCCACTAGACTGCACCTATAAACACAACATGTCTCTGGACAAATCTTTTTGGACTCCTTAAGTTCAAAGATAAAATAGATCATGGGCTAGTAGATAAAAACATCTGTGACAGGCTTTAGTTATTTATGTAACTTAAGCACAGTTACTTTTGGGCACCAAGTCACATCAACCATCATGATCTGAAATTTCTGCTGAAGTTTTGCTGACAGTGAGAAATTTGAATGTTACCAACAGAAAATTATTTAATATAAATATTTGGTACACTTTGGTACCAAAGTGTACTTTTTCTCATCAGTTTCTTCCATTCTCTCTTCTTGACTCATTTAATTGCAAATAACTAGTACAGAGAATGGACCAACAGGCATACAAAGAATTGTAACACAAATGGACAGTGTCTTATTTGTAGCTTTTTGATGAAAGTGAATAAATGAAACCCAGTTGGATATCCTCCTGCTCATAAAATACTAGTGTAAATTTACTATATAGCTGTCTTATACTTTTTAATAGCTATATGAATATATTTAATATTATTCAAATATGCATAAGAAGAAGTAACCTCTGTATTAACTTCCTAGGATGTTCAGTTAGACACAATATCTCTGTTAGCCAGTATTAAGGCAATATCTCAAGTCATTGATGGCACAATAGACCTGTAGTCTTAGTTTTTTTTCTCTTCTCTCTCTGGATTTATGATACAGACTCTATTGGCCACTTTTCTGTCCTTATCCTTATTTTTCCCCTTCTGCAGAATTTGGCAGTATTGATTATTCCCGCTTTAGAATTATTTTCTCTCCTCTTAGGTTTTCTGCATGCACCACGGTGTCTAGATTACCTTCCAACCTCTCTGTTTATTCCTTCTAGTAATTTCTCTGTCTACATCCCATAACTATTGGTGTTACTCAGGAGTTCTACCTTTTTTCCTCTCTCTTCTTTCTGCCCTTGATAATTCATTCACTTACATGACTCCAACATGACCTATATGCCAATAACTTCCAAATCTATGTCTTTAGACATACTGGGCCATCTTTCCATGGATGTCCTATTGGCTTCTCACATTTTAGCCCAAATTGCATGACTATATATATACAGTGAAGTTCAGTTTGAATCATCATTAATTGAGAAACAGAAATGTAAGGTAAATTATAAACGAGATGTTTGTGTTCTATAACATCTCATTTTGTTCTCAGGCACACAGTCTTATCGAGGGCAGATAGCATGAGATCTTGCCAATTAAGCATGTATCAGTCTGTTCTGCATATTAGTCTTATTTTTTTTTTTTCTGGTAACTACTCAGTCTCCCAAAATTTCCTTCCACTCTCAAAGGTTCTTTTCTCCTCTTCCTTCTAATACAGTATTTGAGTGCAAAAAGAAGCTTTAATTGTCCTGATGACACTAGGGGAGGGGCATGTGGGCCAGAGCTCTTTTTCCATCACTGTTACTAACCTCCAGACACCTCGGCTAGTCTTTGGAACTAGCCTCTGCCTTTTGCAGGGTAGCTCAATCCACATGGTCTATCAGTATCCTGAGTTGATCTCCACTGGGGTGTGAGTTGTCCCACCAGATTTTTGTTGTGTTGTGCTGCATTGACTTTGTTAAAATTCTTATTTTGTTTACTTTTATTGATATATAATAGCTGGACATATTTTTGGGGTACATATGGTATTTTGATACATGTATACAATGTGTAATGATCAAATCAGGGTAATTGGGATATCCACCACCTTAGACATTTATCTTTCCTTTGTGTTAGGAACATTGCAATTTTTCTTTCCTAGCTACTTTAAAATCTACAATAAGTCATTGTTAACTATAATTTTTATATTCTACTTATGAATACTAGAACTTCTCTATTCTTTTTATCTAACTGTGTTTTTATACTCCTTCACAAACTTTGCATGTATCTTGATGATTTCTTTCCCCACCAGTGCCTTTAATTATGTGACTGGACCTGCAGAATTCCTGGTCTTTTCTACAGTCCATCCTTCCTACACCTGCCCAGCAGAATTATACTCCTCTCGCATGGCTGCCCTCAGGACCTCCTGTCTGGTAAGCTTCCTCAGTAATTGCTACTTTATAACCTCCATGCTATGATTGATATTCTAACCCCCCTTTTATTGGATTTTTAAAATTGCCTCGAATCTCCTTAGAGTAGGTCACCATAGAGTAGGAAATAATCAGTTCTGATGTATTGAGATATACTTGTCACTCCCAATCCCTCCAGGAGACTTGATTCCAGGATATGCCAGTTTCCATGTATCAGTAAGGGTCTTTGCAGAACCAGAGATGGCACAATCCAATTGGACAATTTCAGTAGAGTTTAATGGAGGGATTGTTTTTTAAGGCACTAAGAAGCCACAGGCAGTGTAAGACTCAGGCTAGAAGCAGCAGGATTTCTTGGCAGAAGCTGGGTTTCTTACTTCATAGATGCAGAAAATTGATCTGAAGGGAAAATGGAAGATATCCAGCAGGTTCAGCTTCCTGGTCTAGGTTAAGGAGAATACTAGGATTGAAAAAAGAGGCAGATAATAATTCTAAAAGAGAAAGAGAGAGAGAGAGACCTACCTTTTTGCAAAACCTATTTTTCTTCCAACATTACCTAGTACTTCATTATTCAAGCAGGAAATCGGAGAATCATTCTGGATTTCTCTTTCTCTACTTTTATCTCCTCACCATAGCTAGTAATGATACTTAACAGTGAATTCTTACTGTGTACCACAAATGGCGCTGAGTACTTTTACATGCATTATGTCAAGCATAATCTTATCCAGGAAGTACTATTTAACTGACACATAACTGAAGTTTAGAGGAGTTAGTTTCTTCGTGGTTTTATAATAGCAGAAGTAGCTGTAGACCCTAGAAGTCTAGTTTAAAGCCTGAATTGTTAATCTCCACAGTGTATTGCAAAGAACCAATTGCTAAGTTCAAATGTTGACTTTATTATCATCTCTTCATTCCCTTCTCGGCTTAAGCAAAGTTTTCCTAATGGATATACACATATCTACTCTTTTTCTGTCTCTAATCCATAACTCCTTACTGCTATTAAAGTTATGTTACTGAAAGAAAAAAAGCAAAACATAACCATATTACTCTTTGATTAACTCCTCATGTTAGTTACCTTTTGATGATAATATAAAGTCTATATCTATATGCCTTCTCAGAGCATGTGAAACTTACCACAGTCTAGGAATAGTTTATTTTATTGGTTCCATTTGTACTTTATTAGTTCCATTGTTTTTGACAAATCTCTCCAGATATACTCACCAACATACTTTTCTTTTCTTTCTTTTTTTTTTTTTATTTTTTGAGACACAATCTTGCTCTGTGGCCCAGGCTGGAGTACAGTGGCCTGGTCTTGGCTCATTGCAACATCTGCCTCCCATGTTCAAGCAACTTTCCCTGCCTCAGACTCCTGAGTAGCTGGGATTACAGGTGACCGCCAGCATGCTTGGCTAATTTTATTTTTTTTTAGTAGAGACAGGGTTTCATCGTGTTTGCCAGGCTGATCTTGAACTCCTGACCTCAAGTGATCTGCCCACCTTAGCCTCCCAAAGTGCTTGGATTACAGGCATGAGCCACAGAGCCTGGACCAACATACTTTCCTTTAATGATTCAAACTTATCACCATTTCCTAAACGTACTATATTCTTTTATGCCTCTTATATTTATTTATGTTTTTGCTAGAGTATCTGACCTACCTCCATTGACATCTTTTTTTTTTTTTTTTTTTTTTTTGAGAAGAGTTTTGCTCTAGTTGCACAGGCTGGAGTGCAATGGTGTGATCTCGGCTCACTGCAATCTCTGCCTCCAGGGCTCAAGCCATCCTCCTGCCTCAGCATCCCAAGTAGCTCGGATTATAGGTGCATACCACCATACCCAGATAATTTTTGTAATTTTTTAGTAGAGATGGGGTTTCACCATGTTGGTCAGGCTGGTCTCGAACTCCTGACCTCAGGTGATCCACCTGCCTCAGCCTCCCAAAGTGCTGGGATTACAGGGATAGCATTGATCTATAAATTACTTTGGGCAGTATGACCATTTTCATGATATTGCTTCTTCCTATCTGTGAGCATAGAATGTTTTTCCATTTGTTTGTGTCCTCTCTTATTTTCTTGAGCAGTGGTTTGTAGTTCTCCTTGAAGAGGTCCTTCACATCCCTTGTAAATTTTATCCCTAGGTATTTTATTCTCTTAGTAGCAATTGTGAATGGGAGTTCACTCATGATTTGGTTCTCTGTTTGTCTATTATTGGTGTATAGGAATGCTTGTGATTTTTGGACATTGATTTTGTATCCTGAGACTTTGCTGAAGTTGCTTATCAGCTTAAGGAGATTTTAGGCTGGGATGATGGGGTTTTCTAAACATACAATCATGTCACCTGCAAACAGAGACAATTTGACTTCCTCTCTTCCTATTTGGACCAGGTTTTCTTTTTTAACCTTGAATCATCTTGGTGGCCATCCTGGGAACCCTTTCCCCATTTTCCATGTCAGCCTCTGCTTGTTGCCTAAATGCTCATTAAAGATGTGGAGTGAGTATATGCTCTAATGGCTACCATGTCACTATCATGTTATAGAACTTACTTTACAAATTGATCACACTGTATTATTTCTTATCTATTTTTCTCACTTCTTTTCCCACTTAAGTGTACATATCTATTTTCATTTTTATTAAAATATATCTTTTCTCTATGTACAACCCATTTTATACCTGTAAACGTAATGGATATTTTTTCTCATGTAATATCTAGACCAGAAGTAGAAAACTCAGTTGCTGTGAGAGTCTAGGTAAGAGTAGAGTTTGAAACTGCCAGATAGAAGAAAATAGAGTGATGTCAGGACTGTAGAAAGAGGAATGCATGCTTCAACTGAAGGTATTACAATTTAACTTAAAACACTTCTCTGGCAAAAATCAATTTAAACATTTTCTACAGACCTGATTCTCTTCCTGATTTAAATTATTGACAAAAACATTGATAACATGGAGGCTCTGGAGACACTTTTGCTCATTTATTTATTTAACACACATTTATTGAATGCTTGGAGAGTTCCAGGTTCCCGTGTAGGTACCATGCCTGTAAATACTGATACTAATGCTAGCACTAACACTAATACTGATACTAATAATTTGTCTCTGATCCTTAGGTTCTTTGGGCCTAGTAAAACCGGCAGAAAAATACATGCCAAATTATAGTACTATGTGATAAAAGAAAATAAGTGGTAGGTTTCTAGAGGGCCTGGGAACACAGAAGAGGGGATGGGTGACACATGAGGGCTCAGTGCTTAACAAAAGAGTTAACCTCTTGCTTAAATCTCAAAAAGGAAATTTATGGTTTTGCTGAATGGGAAATAGTAGGTTGGGAAAGGTAGACAGAAAGCAGATATTTTGAAAATTAGGTCACACAGTGATTTTTTTAAAAAGAGAATTTTAACAAGAGACTTATATGTATAGAAACATTTCTACTTGTTACATCCATTAAGGTTGATAACGTTTAAAAAACAATGTTCCTCATAATGCTGAAGATAATTCATTCTAAGTTGCATTATTCTAAGGATTTTAAAAAGGAGAATCATTGTTTCATAGCTATTCATGATTAAGTTTGCATGCTGGTCTTTCTGGTGATTTCTAGAATACCAGAGAATGCTGACTAGTAGGACAAAGGGAAAAAAAGTGAAAAGATTCATCCTGTACATTGTTTCGAAGTTTCTTAATGAACATTTATACATTAAATGTTCCCTTTCCCACCCTTTTGTTCTTATAACTATTAACAATCATGGAGCATCGTTCTGTGGGACAGCATTTTATAAGGTGCTGATCTGTCCTATAACAAATCAATATAAAAAAGTGAAAAGTTATGGTCATTTAGGGGATATTTGGGCTATTCTGGCTCAAATAATAGTTCATTTAAAAATTCTTTTTATTGTACTATTAGCAAAAAGTTGTTAAGCATTTTACCAGCTCATTCCATTACTAAATTCACTTTTTATTGAAGAAGTTGAATTGAATAGTTGTTTTTGAAATGAAAACAGTCCTCATCAGGCCGGGTGTGGTGGCTCATGGCTGTAATCCCAGCACTTCAGGATGCTGAGGTGAGTGGATCACAAGGTCAGGAGTTCGAGATCAGCCTGGCCAACATAGTGAAACCCTCTCTCTACCAAAAATACAAAAAAATTAGCCAGGTGTAGTGGCAGGTGCCTGTAATCCCAGCTACTCAGGAGGCTGAGGCAGGAGAATTGCTTGAACCCGGGAGGCAGAGGTTGCAGTGAGCCGAGATCACTGCCATTGCACTCCAGCCTGGGAGACAGTGTGAGACTCTGTAAAAAAAAAAAAAAAAAAAAAAAGGAGCAGTCCTCATCTGCTACAAATAAAGACAAATGAAAAGTATTTGCAGAGATGACACAATAGAGTTATAATAATGATTAATCATGCCTCAGTGTCATCAGAAGTTGTTATTTGATGTTTGGTATTCTAAAAATATAAATAAAAACGATAGGTATTGCTGAGTATTCATTTTCATTTAATAAAATGAAAACTAGGTTTCTGCCTGTCAAGTGAAAAAGTGCATAAGGGCAAGGAAATAATGTATGACTCTTCAGACTGGTAGGGGTTTCCAAATAGAGCTAAATGAATTTTTAGGAAGTATAATAAAAATGTGATTGGTTTCTTTTAACTTTGGCAAGCATTTTTAAATTTCCTTGCCATGTTTCTTATTACAACGTTGTATAATATTTAAGGTTAGAAGTTAACCTATGAAGATCTGTTTTCAATAACATCTAAATTGTGACACTTGCTTACCCGTATTGCTCTTAAAGCTCTGTAGAGAACAAATGCAAGAATCTCCCTAGAGATTTTTCTTTTGCAAGGGAGTTTCGGCACTGCACAAGAACAGTAGATAGCAAACACCAAGGGCCATGTGACTCTCAGAGATGAACAGCTGGGCTGAATAAGAAGGAGAGCAAAAGAAAACAACACCCACATGTGTGAAAAAGTTGAGTTCAGCTTTGTTGGAACATCAAAAAGCAAGAAAACCCTAAAAGCACACTGACAGAGAACTGGTTAAATGTATTATTGTATAGACATAAAATAAACTACCCATTAAAATAAATGGTGTAATCCTCTATGTGCTGAGGAGAAAATACCTAATTTACAAGAAAAAAGAAAGAAAAAAGGAAACAAAAGCAAGGTACAGAACAAAGTGTCAAATATATTACTCCTTTTTGTCTTTAAAAAGATGTAGAAGAATAGATGGGCCTGGGAATTTTTTAAAAAGATATGTAAGAAATATTGATGAAGCTTACCTGTGAAGAATGAGATTAGGTATCTGGGTTGGCAATAAAACTTACTTTTTATTGTATAAACTTTTTGAATGGTGTGTATGTTTTTGTCTGTGTGTTCTATGGGGTTATTATTTTGTAAAAAAAAAAGTTAGCTAGACTATGACAAAGTCAATTTGGTGTTGTGGTTGAGCTGGGTGCAAGGAAGAGATTTCCTTTTGCGTGCACTATCTGTCCATTCTCATAAACATTATGAGCATTTCTAAAAGAGGCCACTGGGAGCAGTGGAGAATGCATGGACTTTGATATAGGGTAGATTTCAAGTAGCACATATTTAAATGTTGACTTTTATTAGTAGCGATTGACTTCATACAGCTGAACCATGACTTCCCCATTTATAAAATGGAAATAATTCTTATCTTGTGTATTAGTATTAAGGAAGTGTCTAGCTCAGTGCCTGTTGTTATGGTTTCTATCTATTAAATTGCCATCTTTCTTTGGACCGTTTTAAATTTTATTAGTCTCATGCAATATGCCATTTATTTCTTTTCTGGAGATCTGGAACTTTGGGGAGCATCTATTATATAACAAACTATTTTCATATGGCCCATCTTTATGTGGACATTAAAAAAAACTTACTTATTTGCCCATTTGACTCAAAAAATTGTACATACTTATGGTGCACAATATGATGTTTTGAAATGTGTATACATTGTAGAATGGCTAAATCAAGATAATTAACATATACATTGCTTCATGAACATATCATTTACTTGTGATGAGCACACTTAAAATATACTCTTTTAACAATTTTTAAGTATACAATGCATTATTATTAGCTATAGTCACCAGGTTGTACAGTACAATAGATCTCTTGAACTTATTCCTCCTAACTAAAATATTGTATCCTTGACCAACATCACCCCAATTTCTCTTTCACCTCAGCCTGTGGTAACCACTATTCTACTCTCTGCTTCTATGAGGCAATAAACTCTGTGTTTTGTTTGTTTGTTCGTTTAGAGGATCTCACACTAAACAGGATATCAGTGTGTTGCCCAGGCTGGAGTGCAGTGGTGCAATCATAGCTCACTGCAGCCTTGAACTCTTGAGCTCAAGCCATCTTTTCACCTCAGCCTCCCAAGTAGCTGGGACTACAGGGGCATACTACCACACTCAACTAATCAATTCTTTTTTTTTTTTTTTTGAGAAGGGGCTCACTATGTTGCCCAGGCTGGTCTCTAACTCCTAGCCTCAAGAAATCCTCTTGCCTCAGCCTCCCAAAGTGCTGGGGTTACAGGCATGAGCAACACTGCCTGGCAGAAGACAACTGACTTTACATAAAGAAGATTACCCTTCATAATGGGGATGTGTCACATACCGTGAACATCCCACTGGTTCTGTTTTTCTGATGGAATCCTGACTGATACAGATTTGGTACTGAGAGTGGGATCTGCTGTAAGAAATACCTAAAAATGTGCAAGTGGCTGAAAGAATTTTTAGGTGTATAATAGAAAAAGCCTAAATTGCCTTGAAGACATGGTTGATAGAAATGTGAATATTAAAGGTATTTCTAGTGAGATCTCAGGAAGAAATGAGGAGCATTTTATTGGAAACTGGAAGAAAGGTGATTCTTATTACAAAATGGCAGAAAACTTGTTTGAATTGTGGTCTACTGTTGGGAGAGAGGGGAACTTGTAAGCAATAAACTTGGATATTTAGCTGAGGAAATTTCCAAGCAAAGTGTTGAAGTTGCAGCTTATAGTACAATTCCAGAGGAAAAAGATAAATGGAAGAAGGAACTCATGCAAAAAAGCAATGAGCACTTGATAATTTGGACAGTTCTTGGTCTATTCACATTGTAAAGGATGCCAAAGTTAGAAAATTTGCTGCTAGAAAAGCATTCTCTGGGGACAGGGCCAAATGTGTGGCTGGACAACCTTTTCCTGAAGAGATTGGGTGTGACTTATGGAGCCAATAAAATGTCTCAGGAGAATCCAGCAATAGAGATGAAGTGTTCAAGGAAGGATCTGTTGAGTATCCTCTTGTCTAATCATGTGGAACCCTATGAATTACAAAGGAGACTCACAACATTTTTGAGAATGTTATACCAAGAGAAATTCTAACAGTTTTGGCTGAAAGGAATTGGATAAAATAAAAGAATGTTTCTGAACTCCCAAAATTCTACAAGCAGAAAAAGGATAATAGAGTAATTTGCCTGCAAATATGTGCCCCTTTACAATAAAAAAGAGTAATAATTCTGAGGGCAGTATTTTGAATGCAGAGGCAGTGGCCAACGAGCCTTCCTGGGAGCAGAGGATGGGTTCTGTTTAAGTCCGGAGAGGAGAGCCTTCATGGGCCCAGTGGACAGAGCTTTGAGCTATGGAGAATTTTCTCAGGTTTTGAAACCTAACAGAATTTTTCCTGTAGGGCTTCAAACTTACTGGAGACCAGCGACCCCTTTATTTCTTCCAGTTTTCTCCTTTGGAATGAGAATGTTTTTTCTATGCTTATCCCACCTTTGTATTTTGGAAGCAGACAACTCGTTTTATAGTTTTATAGGTCCACAGATGGTGAGGAATTTTCCCCCAAGATGGATCATATGGAGAGTCTTGCCAATACCTGATTTAGATAATTAAAATATTAGATTTGGGACTTTTTGAGCAGATGACTTTTAGATAAGATTTTGGATTTAGAGTTGATGCTGTAATTGGAAAACTTTGAGTGATGCTGGAATGGTGTGATTCCCCATTTTCCATTTAGGACAGATGTAAATTTTAGGGGGCTGAGGGCAGGCTACAGTGGTTGAATGGTGTTCCTCAAAAAGATATGCATGATACCTAATCTCTAGTATTTGTGAATGTGAACTTATTTGGAAATAGGGTTTTTGCAGACATAACTAAGGACCTTAGGATGAGATCATTCTGGATTAGGCCTTAAATTCAGTTACTGGTGCCCTTATAAGAGGGAAAAGGAAGGCAGGTTTGAGACACACAGATACAAAAGAGAACCCACAGAGGGAAAGGCCATGTAAAGATACAGGCAGCAATTGAAATAATGTGTCTACAGGTCAAGAAATGGCCAATTACTTTGATAGTCACCAGAAGCTAGGAGAGAGACATGAAACAGATTTTCCTTCAGAGCCTCCAGAAGTAACTAACTTTGCCAAAACTATCATTTCTGATTTATAGAACTGTGAGATGATTAATTTCTGGTGCTTTAAGCAGCTAATTTTAAAATTTTCTATTATTTTAAAATATTTTTTGTGGGTACATAGTAGGTACATATATTTATGGGGTACATGAGATATTTTGATACAGGCATGTTGTACATAATAATCACATGAGGGTAAATGGGGTATAAATCACTGGAAGCATTTATCCTTTCCTTATGTAACAAACAATCCAATTATACTCTTTTAGTTATTTTGAAATGTACAATAAGTTATTGATGACTGTAGTCACCCTGTTGTGCTATCAAATACTAGATATTATTCAGTGTATCTAACTATATTTTCATACCTATTAACCATCCCCACTTTTGCCCCACTCCCCTCCTGCCCTTCCTAACCTCTGGTAACCATATTTCTACTCTCTATCTTCATGAGTTCCATCGTCTTAATTTTTAACTCACATTAATAAGTGAGAACATGCAAAGTTTGTCTTTATGTGCCTGGCTTATTTCACTTAACATAATGACCTCTAGTTCCATCCATGTTAGTGAAAATGACAGGAGTTCATTATTTTTTATGGCTGAATAGTACTTCATCATGTATATGTATCACATTTTCTTTATCTATTCATCTGTTGATGGACACTTAGGTTGCTTCAAACCTTGGCTATTGTGAATAGTGCTACAATAAACATGGGAGTGGAGATATCTTTTCAATATACTAATTTTCTTTCTTTTGGGTAGATACCTAGAAATGGGATTGTTGGATCAGATAGTAGTTGTATTTTTAGTTTTTTGAGGAAACTTTAAACCATCCTTTATAGTGGGTTGTATTATTAATTTACATTCCCATCAACAGTGTATGAGGGTTCCCTTTCCTTCACATCCTTGCCAGCATTTGTCGTTGCCTGTATTTTGATAAAAGTAATTTTATTTATTTGTATATTTATTTACCTTTTTTTTTAGGTTTGGGGGTACACGTGAAGGTTTTTTATATAGGTAAACACATGTCACAGAGGTTTGCTGTACATATTATTTCATTACCCAAGTATTAAGCCAAGTACCTAATAGTTATCTTTTTTGCTCCTCTCTTTCCTTTCCCTCTCCCCCTCAAGTAGGCCCCAGTGTCTGTTGTTTTTCCTTTGTATTCATAAGTTCTTATCATTTAGCTTCCACTTATAAGTGAGAACATGTGGCATTCAGTTTTCTGTTCCTGTGTTAGTTTTCTAATAATAATAACGTCCAGCTTTTTCCATGTTCACACAAATGACATCATCTCATTTTTTTATGGCTGCATAGTATTCCATGGTGTATATGTACCACATTTTCCTTATCCAATCTGTCATTGATGGGCATTCATGTTGATTCCATGTCTTTGCTATTGTGAATAGTGCTGCAATGGACATTTGTGTGCATATGTCTTTATGGTAGAAAGATTTATTTTCCTCTATATATCCAGCAATGAGATTGCTGGATTGAGTGGTGGTTCTGGATGAGAGCCATTTTAACTGGAGTGAGAAGATATCTCATTATAGCTTTGATTTCCTTTTATCTGATGATCAATGATGCTGAACACCTTTTCATATACCTGTTTGCCATTTGTGTGTTATCTTTTGAAACATGTCTATTCAGATCTTTTGCCAATTTAAAAATCAGCGTATTAGGTTTTTTACTATTGAGTCGTTTGAGCTCCTTATATATTCTGGTTATGAATCCCTTGTCAGATGGGTAGTTTACAAATATTTTCTCCCATTCTGTGGAGTGTCTTCTCACTTTGTTGATTGTTTCTGTAGCTGTTCAGAAGCTTTTCCAACTTGATGTAATCCCATTCGTTCATTTTTGCTTTGGTTTCCTGTGCTTGTATGGTATTACTCAAGAAAACTTTGCTCAGACCAATGTCCTGAAGAGTTTTCCTCATGCTTCTTATAGCAGTTTGCAAGTATAAGATTGAAGTCTTTTACTAGTTTCTTTAGATTTAAATTTTTAACCCATTTTTATTTGATTTTTGTGTATGATGAGAGATAGGGGTCGAGATTCATTGTGCTGTATATGGATATCCAGTTTTCCCAGCAGCATTGATTGAAGAGACTGTCATTCCCCAAAGTATGTTCTTGACACCTTTGTTGAAAATGAGTCCACTGTAGATATATAAATTCATTTCTGGGTTCTCTATTCTTTTCCATTGGTCTATGTGTCTGCTTTAATGCCAGTACCATACTGTTTTGGTTACTATAGCTCTGTGGTGTAATTTGAAGTCAGGTGATGTGATTCCTCCAGTTTTGTTCTTTTTGCTTAGGATAGCTTTGGCTGTTCTTGATTTTCGTGGTTCCATATAAATTTTGGAATTTTTTTCTTCTCTATTGCTGTGAAGGATGTTACTGGTATTTTGAGGGATTGCATTGAATCTGTAGATTGCTTTGGATAGTATGAACATTTTAACAATATTGAGTCTTCTAATTCATGAACGTGCAATATCTTTCTATTATTTTGTGTCCTCTTCAATTTCTTTAATCAATGTTTTATAGTTTTCATTGTAGAGAACTTTTACTTTTTTCGCTTAAGTTTATTAGTAGGTATTTAATTTTACTTATAGCTATTATAATTGGATTACTTTCTTGATATCCTTTTCAGATTGTTCACTGCTAGCATATGGAAATGCTACTGATTTTTTGTATGTTAATTTTGTAACCTGAAATATTACTGAATTTATTGATTCTAATATATTTTTTCTGGAGTCCTTAGGTTTTTCCAAATATAAGGTCATAACATCTGCAAACAAAGATAATCTGACTTCTTCTTTCCCAGTTGGGTGCCCTTTATTTTTTTCTCTTGTCTGATTGCTCTAGCTAGGACTTCCAATATTATGTTGAATAATAGTGGTGAACGTAGGCATTCTTGTCTTGTTCCAGATCTTAGATGAAAAGCCATCAGTTTTTCCTCATTCAGTATGATACTAGCTGTGGGTCTGTTGTATATGGCTTTTATTTTTTTTGAGTTATGTTTCTTCTGTATCCAGTTTTTTAATTGTTTTAATCACGAAGAGATGTTGAGTTTTGTCAAATGTTTTTATGCATCAATTGAAAGGATTACATGGTTTTTGTCCTTTAGTCCGTTGATATTATGTATTATACTAATTGACTTGGGTGTGTTGAATCATCCTTGCATCCTTGGAATAAATCCCCCTTGGTCATAATAAATAATCTTTTAAACATGTTGCAGAACTTGGTTTGCTAGTATGCTGTTGAGGATTTTTGCGCCTATGTTCATCAGTGATATTGATGTATAGTTTTCTTTTCTTGATGAGTCTTTGGTTTTGGTATCAGGGTAATGCTGGCATTGCAGAATGAGTTTGGAGGTATCCATGCTCCTCTATTTTTTGGAACAGTTTGTGTAGGATCGGCATTTGCTTTTCCTTAAATGTTTGGTAAAATTCAGCAGTGAAGTCATCAATTCCTGGGCTTTTCTTTACTGGAAGTCTTATTGTGGCTTTGATCTCATTACTTGTTATTGTTCTTTTCAGGTTTTAGATTTCTTAATGGTTCAGTCTTGGTAGGTTAAATGTGGCTAGAAATTTATCTGCTTTTTCTAGGCTTTTCAATGTATTGATATATATATATATATTTTCACTTGTTTGATTCATTGTGATATTCATCTTTTTGATTCACTGTTCATTGTGATAATTTGTTTTGCAACCCTAGGGAACTGATACAGTGTATATTCCCAAAAGACAAAATACTCATATATATATATATATATATATATATATATATATATATATATATATATATATATATATATAGTTGCTCATTATAGCCTCTAGTGATCCTTTGAATTTCCATGGTATCCATTGTAATGTGTCCCTTTTAATCTCTGATTTTATTTATTTTGGTCTTTTTTTCCTTAATAAGTCTGGCTAAAGGTATATCAATTTTGTTTATCTCTTAAAAAAATCAACTTTTTGTTTTGTTAACATTTTATATTGTTTTCTCCATTTCAATATTATTTCTGCTCTGATCTTTATTTTTTTTTCTTCTACTCATTTTAGGTTTGGTTTGCTTTTCCTTTCCTAGTTCTTTAAGATGCATCATTTGGTTGTTTATTTCAAGTTTTTCTACTTTTTAGGTGTAGATGTGTATGCAATATACTTTCCAAATCATACTGCTTTTGCTGTACCTCATAGGTGTTTGTATATCATATTTCCATTTTCATTTCTTTGATTCATTGTGATATTCATTGTTTTGATTCATTGTTCATTGTCATAATTTGTTTTGCAAACCTAGGCAGCTGATACAGTGTATATTCCCAAAAGATAAAATAGTCATATTTTGCCTTCCAAGATATGTGCTATAATATTTTTGAGTTGATATTTTAAATAGGTTGAGCATGGAATTTAAATATTGCCTAATTTTACCAGGTGCACTATATTTTCCATATTGGAATAAATATAAGATATTAAAGGGTTGTGAATCGGCAGATAATCAGAGGTACTGTACAATCTAGTCAAATGCTTTGATAATCCTTTTCTTTGTTTAAGATCCAATAATTCTTTTTCTGAGTTACATCATGTTTTAGACATGTTCTTTCTAAAGTGGGTTTTGCCATTTTAACTAAAGAATCCTTTTTTTTCTATTGCTCCTATAATACACCAAAATTATGGCATAATACTTTGAAATGTTTACAGTTATTACAAAGTTTTCCCAAGAATTTCTTAAAGGGTTTCTTTTATCAAAGAGCATTTACTTGCAAACATGTTTGCATGTCTAGACTTGTTGGGGGATAACATAGATGGTTTGCAGATAAAAAGATCCTGAGACTAACTTAGAAGCACAAGATCAAATATCACATGTTCTCACTTACAAGTGGGAGCTAAACAGTGAGTACACATAAATGTAAAGGTGGAGATAATAGACACTGAAAACTCTGAAAGCGGGGAAGGTAGGGAGGAGTGAGGGTTGAAAATTACCTATTAGGTATAATGATGTTCAATATTTGGATTATAGGTAGACTAGAAACCCAATCCCCACCATTACACATGTAATACATGTAACAAACAAGACTGTGCACTCCCTATATCTAAAATAAAAAATAAAAATAAATAGAAAGACATCAAACGATACCAACACTAAAAGAAAAAATCCTTAGTGATGAAATTCAGTGGTTTCCAACATTGTCTTCACTGAGACAAGCGCTAAGGATGATCATGGTTTGCTTCAGACACTCTCATCAGCACACTCTGATTTGAGAAATGACAAAGGGTTTTGCAGGGAAGTAAAGTGTATAGAACTACAGACTTAAAAAAAATTGGTGTTATCTTTTTCCTTTTAGAAACATATACATAAATAAAATAAGTAAGAAATATTCAGTTAAGAAAAGTATAATATATGAGAGCTGTAACTTATAATCATCCAACTATTAAGGGTACATCAATGCTATTATGTGAGACAAAGTAGCCTATGCATTAGAGCAATTCCATCTTTATCATCCGAAACTACTTCATATGCTCCATCTCAAAAGCAAGTGGAAGTACTAATGACTTATTTTGATGTTATAATTGTACATTTTAAAAGAAACTTATTTGTAAATTTTGGTAATTTAATTATTATTAATATTAGGTTGGACTACTTGTGACACATTGCCCACTTACTCATGACCTAACAATGTGTCATAACATTGGGACTATAAATTGTCAAAATAGCTTGGCCTTGCTTGTTTATAGAGGTAAAACTGAGACCCCAAAAGTGATTGGTTAAAAACTTCATAGTGTACTAGTAACAGAATGGGAAGTAGGGAGGGAAGGAAGTAAATATAAAGAGTGCATTCTATGTGCCTGGTAGTGCCTCTAGTCATTTGTATACATTCTTCCAAATTTTCACAACTCTTCAAGGTAGAGGTAATTTTTTTTTATTGTACAGAGGAAAATAATAATGGATTTTCAGAGAGTTTAACAGCTTGTTTAATAATACGGAACAAATAAGTCACCAGTATGGATTCAATACAGGCCTAAATTTCCTATTACTGTTCTGTGCTTAAGGATAAAACTCATATTTTTACTTCAGTTGTGTGCTATAAGTCATATTAATTTTTCCCTTTTTATTTATTTATTTTTTATTCCAACAGGGTTTTGGGGAATAGGTAGTGTTTGGTTACATGGATAAGTTCTTTAGTGGTGATTTCTGAGATTTGGGTGCACCCATCACCCGAGCAGTGTACACTGTACCCAATATGCAGTCTTTTATCTTTTGCCATTCCCACCCTTACCCCTGAGTCTCCAAAGTCCAGTCTATTATTCTCATGTCTTTGTGCACTCATAGCTTAGCTTCCACATATGAGTGAGAAAATACAATGTTAGGTTTTCCATTCCTGAGTTTGTTCACTTAGAATAAGTCTCCAATTCCATCCAAGTTGCTGCTAATACCACTATTTTGTTCCTTTTTGTGGCTTAGTAGTAGTCCATGGTGTATATATATATATATACATACACACACAATTTCTTTATATATATATGTATATATATACACACACACACACAATTTTTTTTATCTACTCATTGATTGATGGGCATTTGGGCTATTTTCATATTTTTTGCCATTTCAAAATGTGCTGCTATAAATATGTGTGTGCAAGTATCTTTTTTTGTATAATGACTTCTTTTCCTCTGGCTAGATACCTAGTAGTGGAATTGCTGGATCAAACAGTAGATCTACTTTTAGTTCTTTAAAGAATTTCCACACTGTTTCCCATAGTGGTTGTACTAGTTTACATTCCCACCAACAATGTAAAAGTGTTCCGTTTTAGCTATATCTGTGCCAGCATCTATTTTGATTATGGCCATTCTTGTAGGAGTGAGGTGGTATTACACTGCAGTTTTGATTTGCATCTCCCTGATCATTAGTGATGTTGAGCATTTTTCCATGTGTTTGTTGGCCATTTGTATATCTTGTTTTGACAATTGTCTATTCATGTCCTTAGCCCACTTTTTGATGGGATTGCTTCTTTTTATCTTGCTGATTTGTTTCAGTTCTTTGTAGATTCCGGATATTAGTCCTTTGTTGGATGTATAGATTGCGAAGGTTTTCTCTCACTCTGTGGGTTTTCTGTTAACTCTGCTGATTATTTCTTTTGCTGTGCAGAAGCTTTTTAGTTTAAGTCCTATTTATTTATCTTTATTTTTGTTGCATCTGCTTTTGGATTCTAAGTCATGAAGTCTTTGCCTAAGACAATGTATAGAGGGGTTCTTCCAATGTTATCTTCTAGAATCTTTATGGTTTCAGGTCTTAGATTTAAGTGTTTGATCCATTTTGAATTGATTTTTGTATAAGGTGAGAGATGAGGATCCAGTTTCAATCTTCTACATGTGGCTTGCCGATTATCCCAACACCATTTGTTGAATAGGTTGTCCTTTCCCCACTTTAAGTTTTTGTTTGCTTTGTTGAAGATCAGTTGGCGCTAAGTATTTGGGTTTATTTCTGGGTTTTCTATTCTTTTCCGTTGGTCTGTGTGCCTATTTTTATACCAGTACCATGCTATTTTGGTGACTATGGTCTTATAGTATTGCCTGAAGTCAGGTAATGTGATGCCTACAGATTTGTTCTTTTTGCTTAGTCTTGCTTTGGATATATGGGCTCTTTTTTGGTTCCATATGACTTCTAGAATTGTTTTTCCTAGTTCTGTGAAGAATGATGGTGGTATTTTGATGGGAATTGCGCTGAATTTCTAGATTGATTTTGGCAGTATGGTCATTTTCACAATATTGATTCTACCCATCCATGAGCATGGGATATGTTTCCATTTGTTTATGTCATCTATGATTTCTTTCAGCAGTATTTTGTAGTTTTCCTTGTAGTGGTCTTTCACCTCCTTGGTTAGGTATATTCCTAAATATATATATATTTTTTGCAGCTGTTGTGAAAGGGGTTGAGTTCTTGATTTGATTCTCATCTTGTCGCTGTTGGTGTAGCAGACCTACTGATTTGTGTACCTTGATTTTGTATCCTGAAACTTTGCTGAATTCATTATTCAGTACTAGGAGCTTTTTGCATGAGTCTTTAGGGTTTTCTAGGTATATGATCATATCATCTGCAAACAGCAACAGTTTGACTTCATCTTTACTGATTTGGATGCCCTTTATTTCTTTCTCTTTGTCTGATTGTTCTGGCTAGGACTTCCAATAGTATGTTAATAGAAGTGGTGAAAGTGGGCACCCTTGTCTTGTTCCAGTTCTCACAGAAAATGCTTTCAACTTTTCCCCATTCAATATAACATTGGCTGTGAGTTTGTCATAGATATTACTAGCTTTTATTACCTTAAGGTGTGTCCCATGTATGCCAATTTTGCTGAGGGCTTTAATCAAAAGTGGTGTTGGATTTTGTCAAATGCTTTCCTGCATCTATTGAGATGATTATGTAATTTTTGTTTTTAATTCTGTTTATGTAGTGTATCACATTTATTGCCTTGCAGATGTTAAACTATCCTTGCATCCCTGTTGAAACCCACTTGATCATGGTGAATTATCTTTTTGATATGCTGTTGGATTTGTTTCACTAGTATTTTGTTGAGGATTTTTACCTCTATATTCATCAGGGATATTGGTCTGTAGTCTTCTTTTTTTGTTATGTTCTTTTCTGGTTTTGGTATTAAGGTGATACTGGCTTCATAGAATGATTTAGGGAGGATTCCCTCTTTCTTTATCTTTTGAAATGGTTTCCATAGGATTGGTACCAATTCTTCTTTGAATGTTGATAGAATTCAGCTGTGAATCCATCTGGTACTATTTTTTTTGTTGTTGGCATTTTTTTGGTTACCATTTCAATCTCACTGCTTTTTACTGGTCTGTTCAGAGATTCTGTATCTTTCTGGTTTAATTTAGGAGGGTTGTATGTTTCCAGGAATTTATCCATCTCCTCTAGGTTTTCTAGTTTGTGCACATAAAGGTGTTCATAGTAGCCTTGAATAATCTTTTGTATTACTTTGTTACCATTTGTAATATCTCCTTTTTTGTTTCTAATTGAGCTTATTTGGATCTTCTCTCTTCTTTTCTTGGTTAATCTTGCTAATGGTCTATCAATAGTGCTTTTCTTTTCAAAGAACCAGCTTTTTGTTTCATATATCTTTTGTATTTTTTTGGTTTCAATTTCATTTAGCTCTGCACTGGTCTTTGTTATTTCTTTTCTTCTGCTGGGTTTAGGTTTGGATTGTTCTTGTTTCTCTAGTTCCATGAGGTTTGACCTTTGATAGTCTATGTGTGCTCTTTTAGATGTTTCGATGTAGGCATTTAATGCTATGAACTTTTCTCTTAGCACCATTTTTGCTGTATCCCAGAGGTTTTGATAGGTTGTGTCACTATTATTATTCAGTTCAAAGAATTTTTAAATTTATGTCTTGATTTCATTGTTGACCCAAGTATCACTCAGGAGCAGGTTATTTAATTTCCATGTATTTGTATGGTTTTGAAGGTTCCCTTTGGAGTTGGTTTCCAATTATATTCCACTGTGGTCTGAGAGAATACTTGATATAATTTCAATTTTCTTAAATTTACTGAGACTTGTTTTGTGGCCTATCACATGGTCTATCTTGGAAAGTGTTTCATGTGCTGATGAGTAGAACGTATATTCTGCAGCTGTTGAGTAGAATGTTCTGTAAATATCTGTTAAATCCACTTGTTGAAGGGTGTAGTTTAAGTCCATTTTTCATTGTATTGTTTTTATATAGGTCCTCTGAGATTTATGCTTTAAGGAAGTTCTATTTTGGTGTATTTTGAGGATTTGTTTCAAGATTTTGAGCTCCTTTTAGCAGTTTTTGTAGTGCTAGCTTGGTAGTGGTGAATTCTCTAAGCACTTGTTTGTCTGGAAAAGACCATTTTTCCTTCATTTATGCAGCTTAGTTTCTCTGGATACAAATTTCTTGGCTGATAATTATTTTGTTTAAGGTGCCTAAAAATAGGACCCCAATCCTTTCTAGTTTATAGGGTTTCTGCTGAGAAATCTGCTGTTTGTCTGGTAGGTTTTCCTTTATAGGTTACTGGATCCTTTTGCCTCACTGCTTTTAAGATTGTTTCCTTTATTTTGACTTTAGATAACCTGATGACTATGTGCCTAGGTGTCAATCTTTTTGTGATAAATTTCCAAGGTGTTCTTTGAGCTACTTTTATTGGATGTCTAGATCACTAGCAAGGGCAGGGAATATTTCCTAGATTATTCCCTCAAATATGTTTTGCAAACTTTTAGATTCTCTTCTTCCCTAGGAACACCAATTATTCTTAGGGTTGGATGTTTCACATAGTTCCGAACTTCTTGGAGTTCTTCTTCATTTTTTTTAAAAACTCTTTTTTCTTTGTCTCTGTTGGATTAGGTTAATTTGAAAGACTTTTCTTTGAGCTCTGAAGATCTTTCTTCTGCTTGTTTGATTCTATTGCTGAGACTTTCCAGTGCATTTTGTATTTCTCTGTGTCCTTGATTTCCAGAAGTTGTAATTGTTTTTTATTTATGCTATCTATTTCACTGAAGAAATTTGCTTTCTAATCCTGCATCATGTTTTTGATTTCTTTAAGTTGGATTTCACCTTTTTCTGGTGCCTCCTTGATTAGCTTAATAATTGACCTTCTGAATTCTTTTTCTGGCAATTCAGAGATTTCATCTTGGTTTGGGTTCATTGCTGGTGAGCTGATATGATCTTTTGCAGGTGTTAACAAATCTTGTTTTGTCATATTACTAAAATTGTTTTTCTGGTTCCTTGTCACTTGGGTAGACTATGTCAGAGGGAATATCTGGAATTCAAGGGCTGCTGCTCAGGTTCTTTTCTATCACAGGGTGCTCTCTTGATGTAGTGTTATCCCCCTTCCCCTAGACATGGGGCTTCCTGAGAGCCTAACTTTAGTGACTGTTTTTGATATTCTGTGTCTAGCCACCCAGCAGAGCTCCCAGGCTCCGGGCTGGTACTGGGGAGTGTCTGTGAAGAGTCCTGTGATGTGATCCATCTTCAGGTCTTGCAGCCATGATATCCACACCTTCCCCAGTGGAGGTAGCAAGGGAGTGAAGTGAATTCTGTGAGGGCCCTTGGTTGTATTTTTGTTTAGTGCACTGGTGTTGTGTTGGTTGGCCTCCAGCCAGGAGGTGGCACTTTCAAAACTGCCTCCCTATAGGGAGGACGCAAAGTTGCTCTAGGGACCCCTGGTTAAGTATTCAGGTCTCTCAGGCAGTGGACAGGGCTATAGAGCTTCCGAAAGATTATGACCTTTGTCTTTGGCTACCAGGGTAGGTAGAGAAAGACCACCAGGTGGGGGCAGGGTTAGGGGTGTCTGAACTCAGCCTCTCCTTGGGTGAGGCTTGCTGTGGCTGCTGTGGGGGATGGGAGTGTGATTCCCAGTCCAGTGGAGTTATATTCCTGGAGGGATTATGGCTGCCTCTGCTGAGTTATACAGGTTGCCAGGAAAGTGGGGAAAAGCCGGCAGTCACAGGCCTCACCCTGCTCTCACACAGCCTGCAGTCCTAAAGACTGGTCTCACTTTCACTGTGTTCCCCAAACAGCACCGAATCGATTTTCAGGCAGCCGGAGACCAGGACTAAGAACTTGCCCCAGACCACGAGCCTCCCCATTGAGAAAGCAAGTGGACTCACAGTTTTTCAGCATCTCAGGGAGCCTGCATTGGTGATTCAGTTCCTTCAAAGGGTCTGTGGATTCTCTTGGCTTTCCTGGTTATGCTCCTGCCGTAGTTTTTGGAGAAGTTCATGATGTGAATCTCCACATGCTGCTCTGTCTGTCCAAGCGGAAGCTGCAAGCTAGTCCTGCCTCCTATCTGCCATCTTAATCCCCAACTTTCCTTTTTTTAAAAAAAGTTATAAAAAGGCAAATATGTGCCCTGTTTTGGTATATTCAGGATGTATTCCTGCACACATATACTTACATTTATCTCCATAATTTGTTCTGTATTTTGCTGATTATCTTCAGAGTAAAATGTCACTTTTCTTAAGTGTTTAGATCAACTACTGACAACTATTGACAAAAAAATACTTGGCCTGACCAAAAAGGGTCAGAAATGTTCTTCCCATGCAGCCATATTGGTCAAATCACTTAACGTAATTGATCATATCTCCAGACATGCCTAGTTGACAGTTTATTTCTTTCCTATTAAAACTAAATTGTCATTTTTTGGACTATGTTATAATGATCTTAATTTAGTAATTGAAAACTGATTATCGAGGTAATTTAAATTGCCAATAATGAATCGCATAAGGTTTAAGCGAAATCTTTAAAAACCTAATACCTTACCTACATTGATATAATCCATGAAACAATTACCCAAAAATACATATTTTTCCAATGCAGACAGTTTTAATAATAAACCTGAATTGTAACTACAGTGATAATAGATTTCTTTCTTCTGTCGTATCACCATATGTTCAGGCATTAATCAATTTATTTTGGAGAAGATGAATGGCAAGCTATAAAATTTCCAGGTCAGTATTGGCTTAATTATATTGTGTTTCAACAAAAACAAGAGTTGTGGTCAGAGGTGTTAGACTAATTTTGACCATGCTTATTTCATTTATAAAACTTCCTTTGCGCTATTAGCATCCAAATTTTATTGCCACAAATAGCGATATCTTATTATTTCATAAAGAATTCATATTTCATCTGGAAGTCTGAATTTATCTACTTAGTTACTTTTACTATTTGAATCCAACAATTTTGGTTTCTTATGAATGTGTTATATCTATCAGTCGAATCTAGTCTAATCTGATCTATGAATCTACTTGTAAATAATTATTGATTTGCTAAAATAATCCAGTTTTTCCTTTTTAAAATTCACTTTAGAAAGTTTAGTGTATTTGAAAGCTTAAGAGGCTGCAGTTTATCTCACTGTAGAATGGAGGAGAAATTACAGTGTAATAGAAAATTTAAATTTTCCTTAGTAATTATGTTGATACTGCAGAGTTAGCAGAAATAATGTTTTAAGCTAATTTAAATTCTAAGTCTAGATTCCAGAGACCATACCAGTTATAGATTTAAATGTTTTGAATGATCAAAAATAAATAAAATTTGCATTCTTTTTTTTTCTTTAGAATAAAACTGTAGCTAACATTAACATTGTTTTGTTGTAAGTAAGGAAGAAAGATTTTTCTAACTGCTGGTATTTAATTTCCTATATGGTGTTCCATAGCTACTTCGAATCCTTTGTAGGTTTGTCTAATTAGAAAGAAGAAAGGAAGAAAAGGGAAAATACATAAATGTGCTATAACAGAACTTCTCACACACTGACTTGATAGTCTACAGGAGTGTTTTCAGAAACAGCTCTGTAGGCTGGTGAAGGAAGCAGAATTGGGAGAGGGAGATACCGTTCTGTGATGCAGTTGCTGCAGAGTTCTCACATACACAACATTATTCACTAGAGTCCAGTAGGAAGACTTTCTTGCCATAAGTCAGCCTTGGCTCTTTTTCAGAATCTCTAACATAAACATCCTATTGGGGACAATTCAGCAATTCCCTTGTCCTCCTTTTCAGCAAAGGCCCTAAGTGGCTGTTGATTTCTTGGCTGGGAATCTTCTTAGATCTTTCTGATCTCTGCATCAGGGCCTATTCTTTCCTCCTCTCCTTACAGAATGCTGGCCGATCCCGCTTATACTGGAAAGGTATCTGAATATGACTGCTGCTCACCTGATGAAATGTTGGCACTCTCTATCTCTATGTTCTACTAGATTTTCTGCTGCTGGGGCTCACACATGAATGGAAACATTAGTAGGGTATGAAATGAACAAGGAACATGACACTCTTATGCTTTCAAGCCTGCTTCACTGTCACCTGGCCTTTTGCGAGTCCTGGCCTTCCTACAGTGAGCCAGATTCTTTGTGGTGTTAGCTTACACCCCCAGCTTGAAGCAGTATTCAGATTTATTCTGATAGCTCCAGATGTAGCCCACAACATTAAAACAATGGGAATATTATGTGGACTGATGAAGCTATTTGTCTACATATAGCTTAAGTTGTAAGAAACAGCTCCAACCCTCACATTTTTAAGACAAAATTTGACCAGTGCAAAGTTTGGGTGTCATATATAAAACTGGGTTAAGTTTTGTGAATTTTTTAATAGTTTAAATCTAGTGCAACTCTAGCCAATTTTAACTTAGTGGAGCTTTGGCCTTTATTTCTGAATTATACCATACACAATTTTTCATACATGGAGCGTTCACAACTGTATTGAATATTAATCACTCATTGGATTCAACATGCTATAATTCTAAGCCAACATAAGAGAACTACTTGGATTCATTAAGTCATTTTGCTTGTTATTGTCCTGATTTCTGTTCACTATATCATTCATAGAAAAAAAAGGAAGGACATGTTTGTTGATTTCTTTCTCTGTTTTATTCCCTGATGATTGATTCTATCTCTCTTAACTTTTATTTTATGTTTAGGCTGAATCCACCACGTAAAGAAAAGGAAGTAAGTTCAAAACAAAAGAAAATGCCCATATTTCCCAACCAGAAAATCAGTAAAGGAAAAAAATCACTTCCATAATAATAAAGATACATTTTAGAAGACCAAAATATCTCTTATGTGTAAAATTAAAATTATTTGGTTGAATTTACATGAAAAAAATGGAGATTCCATCACAAAGCATTTCCTTTTAACTCTAGATGGTGAGACTTTAAGCTTCTGAAGGATATAAAAAACTCAGTCAAACCAGCTTAAGTTTAAAAAGCCATATTGTTGAAGTCTTAAAAACATTAATATACTTTGCCAGAATTATAGCCTGATTTTATTCACTCAACATTTAATGAGATATACATGGAGATATATATACATATATATATATATACATAGATATATATACATATATATATACATATATATATGTATATGCCATGAAATTATAAATGGTGTGTTCTCTTAAAAAATTTACAGTCATTGAGGAAGATGCACAGCTTTAAAAGAAGAGTTAAAACATGGTATAATATGGAATATAATAGATATTTTTCACATGGTGCCGTGGAAGTACAGACAAGAGTCTTCTAAATCAGTGTGATGAATCAGAAAAGAGCTTACATATGAGATGACAGTTGGTGAATTTTCAAGACTATACAATGTTGCCTGGGTAAAAGCAAGTGGCAAAGAGCATGCACAGTCACTAAATGAATGAAGAGATAAAAGGATGGGCTCTGAGTAATGACTGTGACTCTGCACTCAACAGCTCTCACTGCAGAGCTCTTCTGTAGCTATATGGTCACTCTGTGTGAGTCCCTCCAGCTAAACTCTACCTAAGTTTTGGATTCTGTTTTTGGCCATGTAGAAACCAAGGACTTATAAGGCAATGGTTTGGCTGCAAAATTCTGGTTACTTGTTAGGAGTTAAGTATCATCTCAGCTTTTATATTGGCATTTCTTCTACAGCATCATAAATCTACTTTCTCAGACACTACCACAGAGGTTCCCAAACCCTGGGCCTGTTAGGAACTGGGCTGCACAGCAAGAGGTGAGTGGCAGGCCAGTGAGCACTGCTGCCTGAACTCTGCCTCCTGTCAGATCAGTGGTGGCATTAGATTCTTATAGGAGCATGAACCCTATTGTGAACTGTGTATGTGAGGGATCTAGGTTGCCTGCTCCTTATGAGAATCTAACTAATGTCTGATGATGTGAGTGTCTACCCCCTCCATTCATGGAAAAATTGACTTCCATGAAACCGGTCTCTGTGCCAAAAAGGTTGGGGACTGCTGCTCTACCACTCTCCACACTGCTTCCTGCAAATTGAGGTTTTAGGCCATGCAAAGTGAGGATCCTGTTCTTAGAAAAGAGAAAAAATTAATATAAAAATATATTCTAATGTGTAACAGTGTTTCAATGGAATAGACTGTTTTAAACACTTTAAACAGTTGTTTACATACTATTCCTTATTTTCTTCAAGATATAGATGCAAAATCATTGTCTTTCTTAGTTTATCTGTACTGTTATAACAAATACCTGAGACTGTGTAATTTATAAAGAAATTTATTTCCTCATGGTTCTGGAAACAGTGAAGTCCAAGATCAAAGTGGCTGCAGGTTAGTGTCTGGTGAGGGCTCCAGCCTCTGCTTCCAAGATGAAACTTGGAACTGCCTTGAAAGCAGTGTCCTCACATCGCAGAAGAGGGGAAGAGAAAGAACCTACTCCTTCAAGCCCTTTTTTAATGGCTCTAATCTCATCCATGATGACTCTGCTTTCATGACTTAATAACTCCCTAAAGTCTCCACATCTTGGTAAAATCACATTGGTGATTAAGTTCTATCATATGAATTTTGGGAGACACATTCATACCATAAAACTGTCTTTATTTTTAAAAAAATATACCCACTCACTTTTGTACATTCGGATAAGAGTCTACCTTATGCCCATTATCTGATTTGTTTCTCTTTTCTTCATTCACGTTTCAAGCACACATTCTACAGTCTCTCTGAGTTCTGTCAAAATTTCAGTAAATCTTGAGAGTTGAGAATTCCTTGCCATGTTACTGTTGTGTTATAGAAAAAAATTATCTTTCGTCTTTTTTCTTGTCTTTCATGATCTTCCCCTCCCTCTTTATGTTTTTCTTCTTTTACTTTTCCCTTTTCTTCTCTCTTTTATTGATTCATGAGTTTATCTTTGTTTTTATGATTCTTTTTCACCATTTCTTCTTCCCTTTCTTATATTTTTCCTTCCTTTATTCTTTATTGAGAATGTATTATTATGGGCACAGTGTCTTGTAAACTGCACAAAGATGATAACACATGGTTTTTACTGTCTTTATCAACTCATATTTTTGAGTGGTAAGACTTTTTCTTTAAACCAATAGCCTTCCTAGGAATTAAACAGAAACTAAAATTAAGTCAAAAGAAAACTAACATTTCGATCAAGACAATAAATACTGTGAACAATATTATTTTGAATAACATAATACTAGATGCTTTCTAGAAAAACCAAATTATTTGCATTCATTTTTATATTTTATCTATATATGCTAATGGTTTACATTTATTTTAAAAATCTGTATTTGGTGACCAACTCTTTCTTTGATATTCTATGGACTACTTAAAATCAAGTGTCTGAGGGCAGTGCCCCACCCTGGATCACTATAGCAACTGTGACATGGTTAGTACCCTCACTGGCACACCTTACTACATGAGTCCTCAATTATTCTCAAACAAACACTAGAGCTATAAGTCTGATGTTTGGACTCTGGGATGCTGTGTTTGTGAAATGGTCACCCAAAGCATACTTTCAATGTAAAAATACCAATTCTTTAGTTTATGAAATTATTGAAGAAAAGCTGCCAGAGATACCAATAGATTATAGCCCAGAGCTGGCAGAACTGATAATAACAGTGCAGAACGGAAGTCCTGAAGAAAGACCCTCTGTGAGGAGCATCCCAAAACAGTCTAATGTAAAGCACCAAATCTTGTTTTTGAAGGCTACAAAGACAAAGTTTTCCAAAAATAACATTAAAAGTGATTACTCTAAATCCAAATCTGTTGTTATAGTGGTTTCTAGAAAGACAGAATGAAATCATGAGTGACCCACCCCCAATCACACTGTTCAAGGGCTGTGGGATGTATGTAATGAATGAAGAAAAATGTTTGTTCGAAGCAAAAGCCATAGTCATGGGTCCCTTGAAGTTACCTGCCAGTCTGAAAGGCCATGCCTAGAAACCATGCATGAGTAATACTGTGTGGTCACTAGCCACAATCAGGAGGGTAAATATTGACATCTTACCTGCAGAAAGGAGAGACTCAATGAACTAAGTGGCTTAGTTCAGAAGAATCAACCAAGACACTTAGATGCCTTTAGTGACCTAGGAGATAAAAACAGTATTTCTTCTTATGGGCTGCAGAATAATACTGAGTCCAGCAATCTACCTAAAAACCTGACTACCACCTGGTCTTTGGACAATGTCACCAAGGAAAGAAATGAACCAGTGAAGCCTCTGCAGCCCCTAAACAAAGACCAAAAGCCAAGGACCAAATGAATGATAAGCTCAAGATAAATGGAATCATAGGATAAAAAAAATTAAAAGATCTAACGCTACTAAAAGTTAAGCTTAATGGATTTGTGTCAAATCCATTTTCTATTTTGTCTTTTCATATAAAATAGACACCTAAGAGTAGAATCACTCATATGAAATTACCTAGAAATTTTTAATTCCTGTTTTCTAATATAATAGATTATCAAGAACTGTGAAGGGTCTAAGATTTTACCTTACCTGCAAGCTTAAATAGTCTTACAGTTTCATCAGTAGGTACTAGACTCCTGGGTCAGAGAGAAAGGACAGTTTCCTGATCACAGAAATAGCAGTAGTCTGAGTATCAGCAATATTCCATATCAGAATCTTTTCTAGAAAGCTAGGTCAAGGGGAGAAGGGCTACCCTTTTGGAGTTTTACAGAAAGAAAAGTTTCAGTGGCTATTATTGATGGCCAGCTCCTTGAAAAGACCACTGAAATAATAAATTGATTTAGCAAAGTTTATTATTCTGCAGTAAGAAAGACCATCTTCTTGAAAGAATTTTATCGTATCTTGGAAAGAGGGAGATTAAAGACATGTAATTATAAGCCTTTGGCATATGGCTTTAGGTGTGTCTTTTAATAATGGCGGTTGTTGGAATTGGACAATGTGCAAGATGTAATAGTTTAGGATTAGTTGACACATCAAGGTGAGGGTTTTAAAGTAAGTCTTGATAATTAGTCATTTGATAAACAAGTAATTTGGCCTTTTGAGTTGTATATTGTCCACAGGAAGACTCATTTACACTGATAAACAATCTATTATTTTGAGAGGAAGCTAGTTGAACTGTGTATTAGTTGCAACTTTATCTTATTGGGAAAGAATTTCCTGCATGAGTAAAGTCATATGCTTGATCTTATTGATTAGATAATAGACAATAGGCAATGGTGGGAACAGGTTGTGTTTCACACAGTTAATCAAAGGCACCAAGAACATGTAGTATTATAAAGAATTTGGTCTCTGTCCTGAGTTCTTGGCATGGAGCTCCTAAAATCCTTACAATTTCATGAAGTATAAGAATGTCTTTGTTATGCTGATATGGTGCAACACATGATGGGCCCCTAGATAGCTTCGAAATGGGGGCTGGCCATCAGAAAGGCCAGCCTGACCTCAAGAGAGGAAAGGGGGATTGAAAATTATGTTTAATCACATGGCCAATGATTTAATCAGTCTCGCTTAAAAACATGAAACTCTAATAAAAACTCTGAATGCCGAAGTTCAGGGGAGCTGCTTGGTTGGCAAATAGATGTGCTGTGAGGGTGATGTGCCCTGACTCCATGGGAGATGTCATAGAGGCTCTGTATCCCCTGCCAGACCTTGCCATTTCAATATCTTTGTCTAGTCCTCTTATGTATGTCATGGGGACTTCCTGAATTAATAACCAATTGGTCAGAAGTGCAGGTGACTTGAGGATCCCCAAAGTCTAGCAGCTGGCATCTACAGTGAGAGCAATCCTGTGCAAAATTCAGCCCTTAATCCTGTGGAGTCTGATGATAACTTAGTGTTGTAACTGAAATGCAATATGCCCAATTGATGTGAGACCATTTGGTGTGGAAACAGAGTGGTGTACATTGAACAAGTACACAATCTCCTTAGATTAAATTGGCAGGAAATTTCCAATTATCTTTGTTGGGCAGACATAGGAAGCAGTAACTGAGAAATATATTCTTAGTAAAAATTGGAAAAATAAAGAAAAACAATCTAAATCCTTCTCTCTTCTTAATTGATTCCTTTTAAAAATAAAAAATAAAAATAATTAAAATCTACTTTGTTTTCTTAAGAGTTATACTATTTTTCTGTGTTTTGGATTTTTGTTTTTGGTGGACTTGCCTCTTCATTTATTTCAGGCTCTTAATAATAACTAATAAACTTTCCAGCGGCATCAAGCTTTAATTTTTTTAAAACTTAGGATGTATTTTAAGTATAACAGAAAAATTCATAATTGACATAATTTCCCCACGTACTTTGCTGCTGAAAGGAGAGAGGAAGAGATGTATGTTCAAAATTCCTAGCAGAATTCTGTCAGTAGCTTCAATCACTGGAGGAATTTTACTCCTTTTTATACCTAGAGCTAAATAAAGAAGTAATTCCCTAGATAATTGATATAAAATAATACTGAAATTGCCAGAGGTGAAATGTTTAAATTTCATACTTAGCTGCTGAAAACATGTCAATGACATTTGAGGGTTTTTTCTACTTTATTTTTGTTTCTGTAGAAAGAAATGCCAGCTATCAAAGATAGCAAGAAGAATAGAAGATAAACAACCAATTTCTTTGCTTCAATCTCAGCAAACATATAGAAATTGAAGAAGATTTTATACTTATTGTTGTCATTAGCACAAAAATCTCAGAAAACATAGTATAAAAGCATTTTTCTTTATTGACTCTTGTGAATGTGTATCTCAATATGTAAAAGTGTTTGAAACAGAGATCTAAGTTATTTTCTAGATTAGAACAGGAGTTATAAATAACCTGCTTACTGTTGCCAGAATTATTTGTATCAAAGAAAGTCTTCTCTAGAAAATTCTGTCATGTGTTTGTAGCTTAATATACCTTTATCAGAACTGCTTTGTATTACAAGAGAAATGTGCAAGTTTAAGTTTGTTCAAACAAAGAAGACCTACACATGGGTAAGAAATATCAACAAATATAAACTTATTAGATTTACAAAGGTTAGTCATTTTTCAAGTGTGAAAATATAAAATATGTAGAAGTATAAATCATTTTTTACATTCATCGATGACTTTTCCTGATTCAGTCATTATATTGCAGTTTGCAAAATGTTATTTTTCTGATTGTCTCATTTATTTTTAATTTGCTACCTGACATTCTTTTCCAAAGTAGAGGCTTTCTTTCTCCTTTTCTTAATTTTTTGGTCACTTTTTCTTTTTTAAATAGTCATGCATTTAAAAAGGTATTATAATACATTACTATCATTAATTATTGTGGTGCTCAAATTTTCCTCATTTTGTGTCCCAATCATTTTAACACCACACCTAGGCAACTACTGTTCTTTTTGTTGCTATTTGCTTTGCACTGCCTAGAATTTATGTGACTAGAATTATGTAGCATGTACTTTACAAAAATCTGGCTGATTTTACTCAGCATATTTTGAGATTCGTTCATGTAATATGTATCAATAGAACATTCCTTTTTATTGTTTTGTATTTTTAAAGTTAGATATCCCAGAGTTTGTTTATCCACTTAACTGATAGTAGATATTTTGGTTGCTTCTCAATTTTGGCTATTACAAGTAAAGCTGCTGTAAACATTCATATGTATCTTTGTATGAAAATATTTTAAAATTTCTCTTGGGTAACTATCTAGACGTAGAATAGCTGGATCATATGGTGGGTGTATTTTTAACTATTTAAGAAACTGCCAAAATGCTCTACAGAGTCATCCCACCATTTTGCAGTCTCACCAGCTGCAAACAAGAGTTTCAATTCCTTCACATCCTTTCCAACACTTGGTATGTTCAGGGGTTCAAATTTTGGCCATTTTAATAGGTTTGTATTTGTAATCTCATTGTGATTTTAAATTGCATTATCTTAGTGACTAATGTTATTGAGGATTTTTAAAAATTCTCTTGTCATGTATATTTTCTTTAGTTAAATGTTTACTAAAATATTTTGCCCATATTTTTAGTGGATTATGTTTTTTAATTATTGAGATTTAGAGTTATTTATATATTCTGAGTAAAATTCCCCTATCAGATACATGATTTGTAAATATTTTATTTCATTAGTTAAGCTGCTTTTTAAAATTATTTTAATAGTATTTTTAATCTTTAATAGTCTTTTGGCCAGGCACAGTGGCACATGCTTGTAATCCCAGCACTTTGCAAGGCTGAGGTGGAGGACTGCTTGAGTCCAGGAGTTGGGGATCAGCCTGGGCAATATAGTGAGACCTCATCTTTACCAAAAAAAAGAAAAAGTTGGCTGGATGTAGTGGTACACACCTGTAGTCCCAGCTACTTGGGAAGCTAAGGTGGGAGGATTGTAGAAGATGGAGGCTGCAGTGAGCTGAGATTGTGCCACTGCACTCCAGTCCCGTCTCAAAAAATTTTTAAAAAGCCTTTTGAAGTGCAGAAGTTTTAAGTTTTGATGAAGTAAAAATTATAAATGTGTTATGATATAGTTTGGCTGTGTCCCCACCCAGATCTCATCTTGAATTGTAACTTCCACAATTCTCACATGCCATGGGAGGAAACTGGCGGGAGGTGGTTGAATCATGGGGGCGGCTCTTTCCTGTGTTGTTCCTGTGATGGTGAGTGAGTCTCTGAGATCTGATGTTTTTTAAAAATGGGAGTTCCCCTGAACAAGCTCGCTCTCTATGCCTGCCGCCATCCACATAAGACATAATTTGCTCCTCCTTGCCTTCCACCATGATTTTGAAGCCTCCCCAGCCATGTGGAACTGTGAGTCCAATTAAACCTCTTTCTTTTGTAAATTGCCCAGTCTTGGGTATGTCTTTATCAGCAGCATGAAAATGGACTAACACATGTTCTTTTATAAATTGTTCTTTTTGTATAGTAAGTAATAAAACCTTGTTTAACTCAGTCACCTAAATTTTCTCCTATGCTGTATTCTAGAAGTTTTTATACTTCTTATAGATTTTACATTTAAATGCATAATCTATTTTGAATTAATTTTTTATACAGTGTGAGATATGGATCAAAGTTTGTTTATTCCATATGGAAATTAAATTTTTCCAGTACTCTTTTTGAAAAGACTGTCCTTTTCCAATTAATTGTGCCTTTGCATCTTTGTTGAAAGTCATTGTCCATACACGTGTGAACTTATTTCTGAGCACTTTTTGTTTCATTGATCTACATGTTTATCTTGTGTGATGCCAATAGCATCATCTTGATTACTATGGCTTTATCATGAATCTTCATATCATGTGTAGTGTCAATTCTCCTATTTTGGCTTTTTATTCAAGGTTGTTTTGAGTATTTTAGATTATTTGCATTTCCATATAAATTTTAGAATCAGCTTGTAAGTTTCTACAGCCTTGCTAGGATTTTGATTGGGATTGTGTTGAATCTATAAACTGGGGAGAATACACATCTCAATAATATTGAATCTTTCATTTCATCTAAATTGGTCAATTTGTTGCCACAAATATGTTCACAATGTTTTCTTATTATTCTTTAAATATTCATAGAATTTATAGTGGTGCTACCTCTCTCATTTTTTATGTTGGTAACTTGTGTCTTCTCTTTCATTGTTTTTTTTTCTGATCAGTCTGGCTAGAATGTAAATTTTCTTTCCTCTTCTTTTTTAAATTATACTTTAAATTCTGAGGTACATATGCATAACATGCAGGTTTGTTACATAGGTATACATGTGCCGTGCTGGTTTCTTGCACCCATCAACTCGTCATTTACATTAGCTATTTCTCCTAATGCTATCCCTCCCCCAGCCCCCCACCCTCTGACAGGCCCCAGCGTGTGATGCTCCCCTCCCTGTGTCCATGTGTTCTCATTGTTCAGCTGTCACTTATGAGTGAGAACATGCGGTGTTTGGTTTTCTGTTCCTGTGTTACTTTGCTGAGAATGATGGTTTCCAGTTTCATCCATGTCCCTGCAAAGGACATGAACTCATCCTTTTTTATGACTGCATAGTATTCCATGATGTATATGTGCCACATTTTCTTAATCCAGTCTATCATTGATGGGCATTTGGGTTGGTTCCAAGACTTTGCTATTGTGAACAGTGCTGCAATAATCATACGTGTGCATCTGTCCTTGCAGTAGAATGATTTATAATCCTTTGGGTATATACCCAGTAATGGGATTGCTGGGTCAAATGGTATTTCTTATTCTAGGTCCTTGAGGAATCACCACACTGTCTTCCACAATGGTTGAACTAATTTACACTCCTACCAACAGTGTAAAAGCATTCCTATTTCTCCACATCCTCTCCAGTATCTGTTGTTTCCTGACTTTTTAATGATTGCCATTCTAACTGGTGTGAGACGGTATCTCATTGTGGTTTTGATTTGCATTTCTCTAATGACCAGTGATGATGAGCATTTTTTCGTAAGTTTGTTGGCTGCATAAATGTCTTCAATTGAGAGGTGTCTGCTCATATCCTTCACCCATTTTTTGATGAAGTTGTTTGTTTTTTTCTTGTAAATTTGTTTAAGTTCTTTGTAGATTCTGGATATTAGCCTTTGTTAGGTGGATAGATTGCAAAAGTTTTCTCCCAATCTCTAGGTTGCCTGTTCACTCTGATGATAGTTTCTTTTGCTGTGCAGAAGCTCTTCAGTTTAATTAGATCCCATTTGTCTATTTTGGTTTTTGTTGCCATTGCTTTTGGTGTTTTAGACATGAAGTCCTTGCCCATGCCTATGTCTTGAATGGTATTGCCTAGGTTTTGTTCTAAGGTTTTTATGGTTTTACGTCTTACATTTAAGTCTTTAATCCATCTTGAGTTAATTTTTGTGTAAGGTTTAAGGAAGGGATCCAGTTTCAGTTTTCTGCATATGGCTAGCCAGTTTTCCCATCACCATTTATTAAATAGGGAATCCTTTCCCCATTGCTTGTATTTATCAGGTTTGTCAAACATCAGATGGTTGTAGATGTGTGGTGTTATTTCTGGGGCCTCTGTTCTGTTCCATTGGTCTATATATCTGTTTTGGTACCAGTACCATGCTGTTTTGAGTTTTGGGTTTTGGGTTTCATTGACTTGTTTCGTGATTTCTAGATAATTGATTTCTGCACAGATACTTATTTTTTTCCTTCTCCTCTTCCTGCTTTGGAAGCTAATGTCATTGACAAGATCACTTTTATTTTCAAGTATAAATATTAAGTAGGTTAAATTAAATGTTAAGTACTATTTTAAGGGCATCCCATACATTTTGATATGTTATATTAGTTTCTAGGGTTTCTGTAACAAAGTACCACATGCTGCATCACTTAACACAACAGTAATTTATTCTCTCACAGTTCTGGAGGCTAGAAGTCCAGAGTCGAAATGTCACCAAAATGTTCTCCTGCAGTCACTGGGCAGAATCTTTCCTTGTCCTTTCTTAGTTTCTGGTGGTGGTAACAATCCTTGGTATTCCTTAGCTTGGTGGTTTATCATTCTAATTTCTGTCTCTGTCATCAGTTGGTATTCTCTCTGTGTGTGTCTTTTCTCCTTTTCTTGCAAAGGCACCAACCAAACTGGGTTAAGAGCCTTCCCTATCCAGTATGACCTTATCTTAACTTAAGTGATTATACCTGTAATGATCCTATTTTCAAATAAAGTCACATTTTGGTGTACTAAGGGTAAGAACATAATTTGGGGTGAGGGCACAATTTAACCCATAACAATTGCACTTCTATTTTTATTCTTTTTAAAACACACTTTCATTTTTATTCTGTTTAAAATACACTCGAATTTGTTCTTTTAATTTTTTTAGGCCTATGAATTATTTAGAAAGTGATTTTTTTTGTTTTCAAATATTAGGAATTTGTTCAACTTAATTATTTGTTGGTATGTTTGAGATAAATTCCTGTGGCTTTTGTATGTCTGAAAATAATCTTTATTTTGACTTCGAAAATAATCTTTTATTTTCATTGATATTTTCAAAGATATTATCTCTCAGGTATAGATTTTTAAGTTGACAGTTTTCTCTTCCTTTAGTACTTTAAATATATTACTCTCCTGTCTTTTCACTTGCATTGTTTCCAACAAAAAATATGCTCTTATCTTGATGTCTCTTCATCTGAACATAGTGTTTGCTTTTACTTTGGCTGCTTTTAAGACTTTCTGTTTATCACCGGCTTTTAGCAATTTTATTATGATGTATTCTTATGCAGTTTTCCTCACATTTTTTGTGTTCAGGGTTCATTGAACTTTTTAGACTGTGGATTTATAGTTTTCATCAAATTTGGATAGTTTTTGAGGTTATTTATTAAAATATTTGTTCTTTTTCCTCCTCTTTCTCTTTTCCATGGAAGACTCTAAATACACATATGTTCGGCTGCTTGAAGTTGTCTCACAGCTACCAATGGTTTTTTAAAAATTCATTTTCTTTTTTTCTCTATGTTTCATATTTGGATAGTTTCTATTATTATATCTTCAAGTTCATTTTTTCTCCAGTATCTTCATCTTTAGATGTTTGATTTGAGTTAAAAAAGATATCTTCCATGTGTCTACTCAATTTTCTGGACATATGGAATATAGTAACAATAACATTTTAAATGTATGTGTCTGCTAATTCTAACATCTTTTTCAGTTCTGGGTCAGTTTAATATTGATTGCTCTATTGCTTTACAATGAATCACATTTTCCTGCTTTTTGTCTGACTGGCAATTTTTGATTGGTTGATGGATATTATGCATTTTCCTTTTTTGGGTCCGGTGCACTTTTGTTTCCTATAAATATTCTTGAGTTTTTTTGAGCATGCAGTCAAGTTACTTGAAAGCAGATTGATCCTTTGAGTTTTTGCTTCTTGGATGTGTTAAGAGGGCTGGAAAAGTACTCCAGAGATGAGATCCTTCTGTGTATCCTATCCAATGCCTGTAAACAAAGAGGTTTCCCAGATTGCTGGGTGAGATGAGGTCCTCTTACCATCCCTGTGTGAGAAGCAGATGCTGTTAACACTGCCCTTTTGGGTGTTTTCCCCCCTACTTTGGGTAGTCTTCTCACTTATAGCACTGATCGCTACTTGTGGGGCACATTCTGCAGTTCTCTGGGTTTCGTCCTGTGAGCTCTCTCCTCTCTGGTACTCTTTCCTAGAAACTCTAACTTCGTTCTTCATCTCTCTGGAGTCTCATCTCTGTGTCCTCAACTCAGGGAGCCTCTGGGCTCCATCTGAGTTTTTCATCACTCATTTTGGATCTGTAAACTCTCAAGGTGGTAAACTGGGGTAATATTAGGATTTACCTTTGTTGCCTGATGTTGTGTCTTTCAAATGGCTTTCTCATTATTTTTGTCTTTTTTTGTTTGTATCAAGGAAGAGATTAAATCTAGTTTCTATTACTCCATTTTGGTTCAGAGTAAACATCCTCAATAACTTTTTGAGGAAGGTTACGAGAAAATCAAAAATTTGGTATTTTGCAAATCTGAAAATGGCTTATTTTCTCTATTTATATGTTGATGGACTGAATGGGTAGATAATTTTAGTTTAAGTCTTTCAATTCTTAAATTTTTTTATTGTTCTTTCAGGTCTCTAAATGTTTCCATCTGTTTTTATTGTTCAGAGGCTATCACTACTATAAAAAGTAAGCTTCTTTCCTTGAATAGCCTGCTACCCCCAAAGAGGTATTTGCTTTTTGTTTGTTTATTTTAGAGTCTATCTTCCATGTTTGAAGCTTCTCTCAGATATCTGGCAATCTCTGTATGCCTGTGATTAAGAGTGGAAGAATAAAAGACTGAATGGAGACTGTGATCATGTGGATCTGATTTGTTGACTTTGAGCTTCACTGCAGAATAATCTGGTGGTGGGGGCATTTTGGGGGCACTAACTTTAGAACTTTCTTTTTGGACTAATCAAGTTCCTTACAGTAGAGCTTTTAGATCTATTTAAGGGAAGGTAAGAGTCCACTTTTTTTGGCATTATGGAAGCTAAGTGAGGAAGAAGTTGGTGTGTTTCTTTTCATATAGTCATTTATGGTACCTATGCCCTCAACGGTGCCTGGCATTCGCAAATTACATATTCTTTGTATTAGAGCAAGGGCACTATTTTTAATGGCCACCAAAACACATCAAGTCCTAATCCCTGGAACCTGAAAATATTACCTTATAAGAAATAAGGGTCTTTGCAGATCTAACTAAGAATCTTGACATGGTAGGACTGTATTGCATTATTTGGGTGAGATCTCTTGTACCCTTGTGAAAGAGAGGCAGAGGGAGATTTGACATGCACAGGAAAGGAGACGGTGTGACTATACAGGCAGAGTTTGGAGAGCCACAGCCATTTGAGAAAGCTAGAAGAAGTCAGGGAGGGACTCTCTCATGGAGGAAATGAGGTCCTGCCAACACCTTGCATTTGATTCAGTGAAACTGATTTTAGAGTTCTGACCTCTAGAACTGAGAGAGAATACATTTTTGAAGTTTGAAACCCCCATTTGTGGTGACTTCTTTTACTACAACCACAGGAAATGAAAGTATCCTCTTTTATTTATTTATTTATTTATTTTTTTAATCATTTCTAGAAAATAAGCTTCCAGCATTCTACACGTGTGCTGGTAGGGCACTTGCTCAGCAACATGGAATCAAGTAGAGGATCCTGAGATCTGCTTGTTTCTCAAAAAGCTTTTCTCTGGGCCTCTTTATTTTATCTCCTGTCTCCCATAAACCCTCATTATAAAGTCACCTGTTGCTGTTAGTTCCTATGCCTTTTGAGTATTCTCTGACATAAATTAGATTTTACCCTAAGTTTCCCATAACTACTAGTGGGAGGAAATAGCCGTTAGTCAATCTCTCTCTTTCTCTCTCTGTGTGTGTGTGTGTGTCTGTGTGTGTCATTCAACTCTCACAATGCAGTGTTATCTTTATTCTTATTCTTTGTGTCTTTGTGGGTTTAAATCTTTTAAAAAATACTTTACTATAGTTTAAGTAGACTGTCAGATAATATTGCAATTAGATGCATGTGCTCATTCTGCTATATAGAAACAGAGACAGTATTGTTCACTCTTAACTACTAGCATTATTCTAAATATTCTAAGGATAATAAGATTTCCTCAAAATGTAGACTTTGTCAAACTTAAATAGCAACTAGATCTTTGCCTCTTTCTCCAGTTGGAAATAAAAAAAGTCATCATCACTGAAATTAGGTTTGTCACTTTTTGGAAAAACTCAATTCTCACATTCTTTTTGAATAGAAGCACATTCAAAGAAGATTGATTATTTTGAAGATTTTCAATTTATTATCATTTTGAAGGTGATTTGGTTTATAGAGTTCTATAATGTAAGAATTAAAAACTCATAAGGCTATTGAGAATCAGCAGCTTGTAGTTCTTTAAAGCATTAGTCTGTTATATCTGATATTCACTTTGTAGCTCATATCCCTGCTTAATCAATTTAGCTCCATTGTGTTCCAGAACAGCTACACTAAATACTGTATTGTTGGTCCTACCAATGACTTTTCATAATGTGAACTTGAAATGCTCCCTCTTTATGTGAATCAGTATCTTTGGAATTTTTCATTTAAAAATAAAGCTTATTCATTGCGTGCTAGCTTTGGATAAAACGTGCTCTACACTAATCTGCAGTGCTGAGTCCGGCTCCAGTGCAATCCTAATCAAGTCTACAAAGTTTTGGCATTCTTTGGAGGGATAGCCACTTAAGAAAGGATCCAGTAATATATTGCAAACTCCTCCATTTTAAATATTTCATTTCTTGCTTTGGGACCAGCTGCAAGCAACCAAAATAAGATTGCTTTTAAGAGTGGAAATTTGTAACTCTTTAAGCCATGCAATTTTAGTTTAGTTTTGACTGATCTTGAAGAAAAGTGTTTAAACTTTTCTTTGATGCAAGGTTTCATTTGGAAAGTTCCAGACATGCACCAGTGAGCCTAAATGGATTTGCTACTTTGTTTTCTGGGAGCAGTTTGGTTATTTTCATTGAAATGATGGTGGCATTTTTTTACCCTGTTGGTTATTTTTGCTTAGTTATTGCCAGGTACCCAAAAGATGAGGCCTTTAAAAATTCCATGATAATGTATGCTCATCATGCAGGTGATTTATTTCTCTAATTTTCACTCCAATTCAGAGTATGTAAGACTGTTTTGTTGTGACATTAATGGAAGAAAATGACTCCTACCTTCTTTGTGAGTCTACTTATGGAAAGGACATTGTATTCCTCTTTTTAATTAAAAAAAGTAAACTGGTCTTTCAAAACAAATCTGAATCAAGTATAATTTTATAATAAAACAGAGAAGCTGTAAGGGAGACTTTATGTTTGGTTCTTAAAACTATAATAAGATACAATAAGCAAATACTATCTTTCCCTGAACACTTGTTTCATTAAACTTTTTGAGGGTAAGAGAGAGTAAAGAATCAGAACAAAGAAAAAAAGAAATGTGGGAGTGGAGTTATTTTTTGAAGATCTGCCATGAGTTTCCTGGCTTAGCTAGTGGGAGATGTCAAACAATAAACTGAAATAAATGAACACTGAAACCAAATAAGAACCACAGCTTACACAGGGATATGTTGTTCAGTTTTTCTTGTTAAGCCAGAGCAAATATATTGACATGCACACAGACATGCATATACAACTTTTCAAAGTGACTCTCCCTAATACTGGAAATTTTTGGCTTCTGACCAATTTAAGGAGAGGTTAGCCAAAGACTAAAGCTTTACTAAGACCACCCAAAATTTCGGACTCCACCCCTTCTTTGAATCAGTGCCACTGTCATACAAATGGAGAAAAGGAAAGAGGGAACAGTGGGCAGATGGGGGAGAGGAAGGAAAAAAGGAGACAGAAAAGAAAATGCAACTTTTAATCGGAGGAAATAAAATCTTCCTTCCTTTCCTTCCTTTCCTTCTTTTCCTTCGCTTCCTTCCTTCCTTCCTTCTTTCCTTCCTTCCTTCCTTCCTTCCTTCCTTCCTCCCTTCCTTCCTCTCTCTCTCTCTTTCTTCTTTCTTTCTTCTTTTTGAGTGGATGAAAAGATACAAAACAGTTACATCATTCACTTAGCGTTGATTTTTGTTTGTTTGCTCCTTTTAGCTAGAAGTACACATTGTAATTTTCTGTAAGACTCATGTTGCAAACTGCAACGGGTGTTTTTGGATCTTTTTTAGATTTTAGTTTAAAGTATGTACAATATTTTGAGAATATCTATCTGTTCTAGATTATTCTAGTTCCAATATTAGCTCTAAACTTATACTGTAATATTTTGCATGGCAGGGAACTACAGAAATTAGTTCTTTGATGTCTTAAAGTTTTATGGAAAATTTTCACCACTTTAATGAATCTTTTTGTTTGGAGGCCTTTGGGTCAAGATGTTGGGTCCTGCTGAGACCGAACTGGACTAAGATACTTTAACAGATTCCCACAAATGTTTGTGAAAATCAGTCAAGTGATTATATGCCTATCAGCAAAACATTCTTAACTGTCCTTCTCAAGGTAATGCTTTGCCGTAAGTCTTCTTAGACTTTTTTTTTTTTAAGTAAATGTGAGCACACTGGCAGAGATGGTGAGCAGTTCCAAGTGTGTGTAGGAACTCAAAGTTATCTTTTTAACTAGCTATGAAATGGAGAATGACCAGTTTTACTTCAGTGCATCAGAAAATATTCCAGATCAAGGCAGATCAAATTTAAGAAAAAGAGATTAAAGGAAGCAATTAAATGAGACACAATGTGAAGAAAGTATAATGGAATGTCAGAAAGAAAGGCATGGTCAGGGGGAAGACAGACTTAAATGTGAAGATTTGGAAAAGAGAACTGGTTGACTATTTGCTCTGGAAGCCATGTGCTATCAACTGCTGGGTTAAAGGGGAATGGGTGGAAGTTGCCAGACTACTGACAATAAGAAAACAATTGAACAGAATGATCATGTCCTGCATTGGTTCTCTTACAGATCCCTGTATGCCTGCTTCCAGGCTTTTTACACTGCTGTGTGCATAGAATTGGTTTATTCACTTCTTGTGACTATTGCTCACTTCATGTAAACATTCTCCTAGTGGGTTAAACATTTCTGGAAGCAATTATGTTTCTCAGAAGTAACTCTGTGCTTTCCAGTTAAAATGCCATGAAAAATGTTGCCAATCGTAAAAGTCAGACATTATTTTCTATTACTGTGAAGCCTCCTTAAAATTTTCATGAAGAAATCACTGTCAGTGACCGAGGGTCTTGGAAACTTCAACATGTATACGTCTAAATAGCTATCTGCTTATCTCTTGAAATATATGCATGCAAGTATTTTTAGATGCTAATATTCTGATTTAAGTACTCAAAAATTTGGCCTATAATACTGTTCATAAATTCATGTTTTGATATCCTGAACTTGGGATAAAAATTGAGAAAATTTTTATTCTTTTTAAGCAAATAAAGTTCAAATTAGAATGTTCTACAAACAAGTAACATTTCAAGTCTCCATTTCTCAAAATTAAAAGAGAAAAATTCACTACTTTGAAGATCTATCACTTTAAATTTTGCATCTTGCAGCTACTCAGTTAAGTTCAAAATTTTAATCCTCAATTCATTGACAATGCAAATTATTTGCCAGCATTTGGAAGTCAAACAGGGTGAGAGAGGAGAGCCTTTACATATTCCAGGTTTAATATCTAAGCACCAGATGGAAACAATTCTACAATGAAAGAAAGAAATCTGTTAGGATATTTTGGAGATCTGTTCAGTTCAGCAGCACGTCACTGGTTATGGAGGCCAATTTCTCAGAGGACTTATTTGAATTGCAGATATTGAAGTAGTGTTCTAATTTAACCCAGAAAATGCTGAATTTTAAAGTAAGTTAAGTTTTAACCTTCCTTAGATAAAAAGTACCCATTTTGCTTTCACTAATGACTCATTTGTATACTTGAAACAAAGAATTTTGAGGTAGATAGACAAAGAGAAAAAGAGTAATTTTTATGTGCAATTGAAAGAGTAACAAAAAGTTTCATTGTACAACCATGACCATTCAAGGAAATTGTAAAATTGTCTGCATTTATTTTAGCTATGAATATCCAAGACAGTTTATACCATTTAATGTTGAAGAATTAGGAACAATTAGCAATAAAAATAAAAAAAATTAGCCTATGGATTTTTTGAAGGGTAATTTTTAAGGAAATCTAAACAGAAACAAAGGGCAACAAAATCTGCTTGGTAAAATACTGGCTGGTTGAGCTTCGACAAAGAAAGACTGAGGAACTACTGGGATACTAAGCAATAAATCTCTGAGGGGGCCTCTTTCATATTCATACCTGTATTTTCTGGCAAAATAAGTGTCAAAATTTGCAACCATATGACAGCAAAATTATGTATTACATGGTGTGTTATAGATTTTGGGTGAAATCCAACTGAAATACTTTCATAAGAACTTGACATGATAAACAAAACAGATTGCTATTCCAAACTGCAGTTTGTTTAAAACAAAAAACAAAATACTGCTATTATAATAGATGATTAGACTGTCAATCCTCCCCACCCCCATTGCTAGATTTTTATTTCACAAGGAATTGTGAGAGGACTTATTACTTTTTATGTTATTATCCATATGCAATATTCCGAGGCCTTAAAACAAATGAGAATGGAACTAATAGAAAGTAGGCAGTGAGTTGCAGCTTGTTCATATATTTTGGTTAGGATGAATAGGTGGAGTCCCTGTGGTGAGCAAAGGGAAAAGAATATTCAGTCTTCAAACCTCTGACTTGGTCCCAATGTTTCTGGTATGTATTTGAGCAGAGAGATATAAAGAAGCAAAGGGGAAATGGAAAGGAGTTTAAAAGCAGCAAAGAAGAACAGAATGAAAAGTGGGAGGGAATGATCATGAGGAGATTCTATTCTCTTGAGTTATCTATAAGATTGAATTCTTTGTTTCTGTAGGAGGAACATTGGCCGGTGACCCTTGGTGTCTTCTTAAGTCATGTTTTTGAGATATTCAACCTATCTCCATAGTATTAAATCAAGAGGATACTATGAGACTAAGTAGAAAACATATTTCATGGTGCCGAGATTGTCTCTGAACAACTTAAGAGGCCGAGAGGAGTAATTTAAACTTCCTTAAATGGACTTTACCTGTAGATTGCATACTTTGTATTGATAAAGAAGACAGGACAACTCTCTCAAATAATTTGTGGTTGCTCTGAAGAGGTAGAACTAAAACTGCCAAAGAATGACTGGTCCATGAATCAAGAAACCTGCATTCAAATCCCATATCTCCAACTAACTGTATAAGCTAATCATATCTGGTTTTGTTTTTCTTAGCACTGCAGTTTTCTAGTTCATAAAATAAGGAGTTTGGTTTGGTGATCTCTAAGGTCTATTCAAGCTCTGAAAACTAATGTTTTTGGATTTGCTTTATTCTAAGAACTCAAACACTGGCTCTTGTTCAGTGTCCTGAGAACATGTCATAAATATCTGACAAAGACCTACAGACCTATGAACATTTGAATCTTTGATGTTCTCCCTACTTCCCACTATCTTTCATATCCCTGTTCCATAGAATTGTAGAACTCTTTGTCTTACAAATTTAACATTCAGAAAACATCAACTGGATGTTTATATTATTTGACCTGTTTATTGACTTTATTATTGAACATAGTCAGTTTAAGAGTTAAAGAAAGAGGAAAGAAACATGAAATGTGGCTGGCAGTTAAAGACAGGTTTTCTTTTTCCTTTTTTTAAATTATACTTTAAGTTCTAGGGTACGTATGCACAACATGCAGGTTTGTTACATATGTATACATGTGCCATGTTGGTGTGATGCACCCATTAACTCATCATTTACATTAGGTATATCTCCTAATGCTATCCCTCCCGCCTCCCCCGACCCTACGACAGTCCCGGTGTGTGATGTTCCCCATCCTATGTCCTTTATTTTGGCACTATTCACAATAGCAAAGACTTGGAACCAACCCAAGTGTCCATCAATGATAGACTGGATTAAGAAAATGTGGCACATATACACCATGGAATACTATGCAGCCATAAAAAAGGATGAGTTCATTTACTTTGTAAGGATGTGGAAGAAGCTGGAAACCATCATTCTGAGCAAACTATCACAAGGACAGAAAACCAACCACCGCATGTTCTCACTCATAGGTGGGAATTGAGCAATGAGAACACTAAGACAGGTTTTCTTTAGTTAAAACCTGAGAGGCACTCCTGGCTGATATCAGTCAGGAGAGTTTTCTCTTACAGACTAAGAGTATATATTGGTCTTAGGGAGGGGGGGCTTATTACAACTTGGAATATTTATGTGTTGGGGAAGTTTATGACAGGGTTGGAATCTCTTTGCGAGGAGGGGAGGTTATCTTGGGGCAGACATCCTTCTGGCCTGGAGTGGTGTTTATCTCGGGGCTAGCATGTCCCTGGTTGTGGAGGAGTTTGGAATGTTTCTGGTTGGAGATGTTATTTGTGGTTTATGGTCATGCTGACCTTAGCCATTAGGCTGATACCCTTTGGATTTAGGTGGTTTTTATTAAGGTGAACTTTAGAATGAGGGACTTGTCCAAGATGATGATGCTCCTGCTCTGTCAGTCAGTTCTTCTGGATTCACAAGTGATACTTTTACGAAGCAGTTTCTAGAAGTGTTTGATGGAGTGGAGGACTTGGTTCCCTAAGACTGGTGATATTCAGAATGTTGAAAAGTGGGGTCCTGGTTATTAAGGTAGGGAGAGAGGAGCAGGGTTTGTAATGACCAATCTTACATACTGCCAGAAATTGTATTTTAAAAACTGAATGGTTCCTGAGAACCACTTGCGTGTCTGCTCTGCAGATGTAATCTTCACACTGTAAGTTCAGAGAATTAGTTCTTAATTCTGATTTCACATCAAAGTCATGATGATAGTTCTTCCCAGTGAAGTGGGAAGGCCTAATTAGCAAGGATAGTCATGCTCACTCGGGCTGTGCCCTAGCCTTCCACTCTGACTGCCTCTGGGTCCCTCAGATCTAATTTTCCCTCTTTAGGCCTTCAACCTGAAGCTTGGAATTGAATTTGGGACAAAAAGGTGCCTCAGGAGTGTACACAGACCCATTAAACTAGTCCCAGGTGGTCCTCAGCAAATTGCAGCCAACAACCAGTAGGGCAGCTCCTCGGTTGCTTCTCTATCATAAGCACAATGCTAAGGTGAAGCTGTTGACTCCTGACAAGGTGCGGGGGGCAGTGGGAGGAACCCTTAAATGCAGGGAAGGGGAAGGTGGCTGGGGGGAAATAGGCTCTTGCCCTATGCAAATTGATTCCTTTAACAGGGGACAGAAAACTCTCAATTGTTACATCCTCTTAGTTTCTAAGAATGGACACATACCACATTGTTCTGAATTATACTCCTGATGACTGAGCCAAATGCTCATTCTACCCAGTCATATTATCTCTGTGGTTTGCAACAACACCCTTAGCATTGTATATAAAGAAGAGATAGGAGCTATGACCTCTGCAAAGGAAAAAAAAATCCATAAGAAAGATTGAAGGTCTTGGCTGACACCCGAATGGGCTGTCAGGGATTGAGGGCTGGCCCAGGAAGCTTCAGGTAATGCAGAGATGTACCCTTGGCCAGATACTTTCAGTTGCCCCAGGACCTTATTTTGATCCCACATGATAACTAGACTTCTGTGAAGGGAGACTGGATTGGAACAAAGCCAATATTCTCGATACCTGGGGGTGATGGGGACAAGAGGGTGCGTTGTGAAAGTCCTCCCCAACAAATCTATCCTCTGCAGCCATGCCATTTGTTCTTAACTGGCTGCTACAGGCCTAGCGCTTTATCTGTTTTCAGAAAAAAAAACTGAGGACAAGAAGCCTCGAAATGAAAGTGAAAGAGGTCCACTTTTACTTACCCTTTTGCAGATCTCAGATGACCCCCAGAAATGACACAGGATTCTTTTGGTGCTCCTTTGCCAGCAGGAAAGCTCTGTGGCTAGTGGTGCCTTTGCTCAGGCTTTGCTTGGCACTGGGTTTTCTGCTAGGCTTACTCCTCTCACTCAGCCCAGTGATTGCACTCAGCTTGTGCTATGGGCCTGGATCCAGTGCCTGCCAACTCTGTGCTCAGTCCATGACTGGTCCGGGTGTGCTGTCTTGAATCATTTCTGCTTGGGTGCCAGTGTCTGGACAAGGAGGCTGCAGTGGCTTCTGAAAACTCAGAGATGCCAGCAACTGTGGAGCCCAAGGGGTGTTACAGTTGCTTGGGGAGTCCTGAGGTCTGAGCCCTCAAGGAGTGATACATCTCTCTCTTCTTTCCACTGCCTGCAGCACAGTGAATGGGGGTGGGAGGGCAGCAAGTTTCAGCTCATTTGTTTTACAGCTTGTTCAGTCCTGCTGCCCACATTCCAGCTCATAGCTTCTTGGCTGGCCTGGCCCCATTGCCACTGCTTCCTGTTACATGAAGCAACAGCCTGGTGCCAGCAGAGGGTTGGAGGGCTACAGTGTTACAGCATTTTTTGCACCTGCCATTTGGTGGGTACTGGGTTCTTGTCCCATGTCCAAGAAGAATGAGGTTACATGGACAACTGGAGAATAAGCAAGGCAGAGAAGAGACAACAGAACAGCTCTTGACACAAGAGGGGACCTGAAGTGGGTAGCCCCTACCTGAAAGCATGTAGTCCCAATATGTGGCTGAGTCCAGGGTTTTTATGGGATCAGAATGGGGGAGTGTGTGCTGATTGGTCCATAAGTGGGCCTGGACAAAGCACCATTAAATTGGCTAAAAGGCACTGAGGAAGTTCTCACTCTGGTTGTGGACGCTGGTAACTCAGTTTTCAGGCTTTAAGCTGTGCTTGGTTTGAAGGTCTAGTTTTACTGGGGACTCACCCCTGTCTGCCTAGAAATGTGTCTGCCTTCTGCTGCTATCACCAGTACTCACTTTGTTCTGTATTACTAAAGTATAAACTTGCACAATCTTTCTGCGCTGAATCATAGAATCGAGAAATTTTTGGAATGGAACACATCTTTTTGTTGATCTTTGTCAACTTCTTACTTAGAGATATCTACAACATGGTAAAATGATTATCAGCTTTAGAATAGGAATAGTGTATTTTCTAGCTTCTTTGCCTTCTAGCCATTGATCTGGGTTTTTTTTTGGGGGGGGGTAAACAGATGTATTTTATTTATTAATTAAAATATTGTTTTATATTTTATTGAGATATAATTCACACATAAAATTCACCCTTTTGCAGTGTATATTCACAGGGTTGTGCAAGCATCATCAGTATCTAATTTTAGAATATTTTTATCATCCCTTCGCTAATTAGCAAGAAATCAAATTATAGCTACAACAAGATATCATCTTATTCTAGTCAGAATGGTTACTATTAAAAAGTCAAAAAATAATAGATGTTGGTGAGTATGTGGAGATAAGGGAACTCTTATATGTTGTTGGTGGGAATATAAATTAGTTCAACCTCTATAGAAAACAGTATGAAGATTTCTCAAAGAACTAAATACAAAGCTACCATTGGATTCAGCAATTGCAATACTGGGTATATACTCAAGAGAAAATAAGTAATGATATCAAAAAGATACTTGCACTTGTATGTTTATTGTGGCACTATTCACAATAGCAAAGATATGGAATCAATCTATGTGTCTATCAACAGATGATTGGATAAAAAATGTGGTATATATACACAATGGAATACTACTCATCCATTAAAAAAATTACGTCATTTGCAGCAACATGGATAGGACTGGAGGTCATTTCCTTAAGTGAAACAAGTCAGATATAGAAAGACAAATATTGCATGTTCTCACTTATAAGTGGGAGTTAAATAATGTGTATACATGGACGTAGAGTGGGGGATGATAGACAATGGTGCCTTGGAAGGGTGAAAGGGTAAGAGAAGGGTGGATGATGAGAAATTACCTAATGGATACAATGTACATTATTTGGGTGATGAATACCCTGAAAGCCTTGACTTCACCACAACATAATTTATGCATGTAATAAAATTGAACTTGTACCTCATACAGTTTTTTTAAAAGAATATTTTTATCATCCCAAAGGAAAGCTCATGCCCTTTAGCAATTCTCTCCATTCTCCCATACCTCCTAGGTCCTGGCAACCACTGAATGACTTTTTGTCTTTATGGATTTACCTACTCTACCTTGTATATAAAAGGATTCATACAATATGTGGCCTTTTTGTTTCTGGCCTCTTTTACTTAGCATAATGTTTTAAAGGTCATCCATGTTATAACATGTATTACATTTCATTTCTTTTCATTGCTGAATAATATTTCATTGTATGGATCTGACACATTTTATTTATCCATTCATCAGTTGATGGACATTTGGATTGTTTCCACTTGTGGTCTATTATGAATAATGCTGCTATGACATTTCTCTGCAAGATTTTGTGTAGACATGTGCTTTTAATTCTCTTGATTATATACTTAGGAGTGAAACTGCTTGATCAAATGGTAACTTTGTGTTTAACTTTTTTTAAGGAGCTGACACATTGTTTTCAAAAGTGGCTGCATAATTTAAAATTTCCACCAGCATTGTATGAAGGTTTCAATTATCCTCACTAATTCTTGTCACTGTCTGTCCTTTTGATTATAACCATCTTAGTATGTGCAAATTTGTATCTCATTGTTGTTTTAATTTGCATTTCCCTAATGATTAATGATGTTAAGTATCTTTTCATGTGCTTATTGACCACTTGTATATTGCAGAAATAGCTATTGAAATTCTTTGTCTATTTTTAAATTGGGTTATTTGTCTTTTTGTTGTTGAGTTACAAGAATTCTTTAAATATTCTGGATACAAATCTCCTATCAGATATACAATTTGCAAATAATGCTCCCATTCTGTGGGTTTTTTCACTTTCTTCATGTTTTCCTTTGAAATGCAAAAATACTTTGATAAAGTGTAATTTTATCTGTTTATTATTGCTTTTGGTTTCATAACTAGAAAATCATTGCCTAATTCAAGGTCACAAAGATTTACTACTATGTTGACTTCTAAGAGTTTTATAGTTTTAACTCTCATACTTCATACTCTGCTCTTCTTAAAAAAATTAATGCTTATATATTGTGTGAGATAGGAGCCCAATTTCATTCTTGTGCATTATATCCAGTTGTCTTAGTGTCTTTTTTTAAAGATGTATTTTTGCTCATTGAACTTCTTTGGTACCCTTGTGAAAATCAATTCACCATAAATAGAAGGGTGCATTTTTGGATTCAAAATTTCATTCCATTGACCTGTATGTCTGTCCTTATGCAAGTACCATACTATATTGATTATGGGCACTTTGTATTAAGTTTGGAAATTGGAAATGGGAGTCCTCCAACTTTGTCCTTCCTTTTAGAGATTGTTTTAGCTATTCTGGGTCCCTTGCATCCATGTGAATCTTAAGATCTTTTTGCCAATTTCTAAAAAAGGCAGCTGACACTTTCATAAGAATTGCATTGAATCTATAGATCAATTTGGGGAGTATTGCTATTGCAACAGTACTAAGTCTTCCAATCCATACATTAATGCCCTTCCATTTATTCCTTTTTAAGTTTATTTCAAGTATTATTTTTATTTCAAATAGGTTTTTGGGGAACAGGTGGTGTCTGGTTATGTAAACAAGTTCTTTAGTGGTGATTTCTGAGATTTTGGTGCACTCATCATCCAAGCAGTGTACACTGCACCCAATGTGTAGTCTTTTATCCCTCACCCCCTCTCCCTTCCTGAGTCCCCAAAGTCCATTGTATCTTTCATATGCCTTTGCATCCTCATAGCTTAGCTCCCACATACAAGTGAGAACATATGATGTTTAGTTTTCCATTCCTGAGTTAATTCACTTAGAATAATGGTCTCCAACTATATCCAGGTTGCTGCAAATGCCATTATTTTATTCCATTATATGACTGAGTAGTATTCCATGATATATACATACCACATTTTCTTTACCACTTGTTGATCGATGGGCATTTGGGCTGGTTCCATATTTTTGCAATTGTGAATGTGCTGTCACAAACAGGTGTGTGCAAGTGTCTTGTTGATATCATGACTTCTTTTCCTCTGAGTAGATACCCAGTAGTAGAATTGCTGTATCAAGTGGTAGATCTATTTTTAGTTCTTCAGGGGCTTTCCATACTGTATTCCATAGTGGTTGTGCTAGTTTACATTCCCAACAGCAGTGTAAAAGTGTTTGCTTTTCACCACATCTATACCAAAATTTACAATTTTTGAATTTTAAATTATGGCCATTCTTGTAGGAGTAAGGTGGTATGGTATGGCAATGTGGTTTTGATTTGCATTTTCCTGAAAATTAGTGATGTTGAGCATTTTTTATATGTATATGACCATTGTATATGGCCAAAATTGAGAATTATCTATTCATGTCAATTGCCCACTTTTTGATGGGATTGTTTGTTTTTTTTCTTTCTGATTCGTTTGAGTTCTTTGTAGATTCTGGAATTAGTTCTTTGTCAGATGCACAGTTTGCAAAGAATTTTTCCCACTCTGTGGGTTGTCTGTTTACTCTGAGGATTATTTCTTTTGCTGTGAAGAAGATTTTTAGTTTAAGCTCCTTCTATTTATCTTTGTTTTTGTTGCATTTGCTTTTGTGTTCTAAGTCAGGAAGTCTTTGCCTAAGCCAATGTATAGAAGGGTTCTTCCAATGTTATCTTCTAGAATCTTTATGGTTTGAGGTCTTAGATTTAAGTGTTTGATCCATCTTGAGTTGATTTTGCATAAGGTGAGAGATGAGGATCCAGTTTCATTCTCTACATGTGGCTTGCCAATTATCCCAGCACCATTTGTTGAATAGGGTGTCCTTTCCCCACTTTATGTTTTTGTTTGCTTTGTCAAAGATTGGTTGGCTATATGTATTTTGCTTTATTTCTGTCCTCTCTATCCTGTTCCATTGGTCTTTGTGCCTACTTTTATACCAGTACCTTGCTGTTTTGGTGACTATGGCATTACATTATAGTTTGAAGTCATGTAATGTGATGCCTCCGGACTTGTTCTTTTTGCTTACTCTTTGAGTATGTGAACTCTTTTTTGGTTCCATGTGAATTTTAGGATTGCTTTTTCTAGTTGTGTGAAGAATGATGATGGTATTTTTATGAGAATTGCATTGAATTTCTAGATTGCTTTTGACAGTATGATCATTTTCACAATATTGATTCTACCCATCCATGAACATGGGATATGTTTCCATTTGTTTGTGTCATCTATGAATTCTTTCAGCAGTGTTTTGTAGTTTTCCTTGTAGTGGTCTTTCACCTCTTTGGTTAGATGTATTCTTAAGTTTTTTTTTCTTTTTTCTTTTTTTTTTGCAACTACTGTAAAAGATGTTGAGTTATTAATTTTGAAGCAGGATATTTCTCTGACCCCTTCATGGGCCTCATGACAGGAGTGCCTCACTTACTCATCCCACAGTTCTCAACCCCTCACAAGAGGGAGTATGCAGGTGAGTGGGTGCAGAAACCAGGGTGAGTGCTTTTGGGCACCAATAGGAGAAAAACTCATGGCACCATCTTGAAGGGTGCTCACAACCCCTGAAGCCCCAGAATGACTGTTACAGTGGACTTTTAGCTTTGCCATCTGTGGATGGCTTTAGTGTTAACAGCTCAATGGAGGGTCAGTGTGACAGCCTTTTGCACCACATTTGTGGCTCTGAGCTCTTTTCTGGCATCCAGGAAACATGAGGTTGCATGAATGAATTGAAGATGGTAAATGCAGGGGATTATATTGCTGATGAAAGTCACTCTTAGTGGGATGGGAGTTGAAAAGGGGACAGGGTGGGGAGGCAATCCTCCCTTGAAGTCTGACCATCCCTGGCCAGACTCCTCTCTGAAGTGACACCATCAAGCTCTCTCTTTAAAGTTAAGCTGCTTCTCTCCGACATGCAACCATAGTCTCTGACGTCCAGCTGCTTCTCCTCTTTTGTTGGCTGAGCCTGGGATTTTTATCTGTACAGGATGGGGGTGGGACAGAACATGAGTGGTTTTGGAAAAGGCAACATTAGAGCAGGAAAACAATGATATAAGTTCTCACTTTGGGTCATGGTGTCAGGCTTTTTGGTGACAGGGGGTGTTGTTTTAGGCAGAACAGCAGTCAGATTCCTCCCAGAGGTCCCCAGCAAAAGGGAACCATTGTCTGAGGCTCCGGTTGTTTGATAGCTTGGAGTTTGATGGCCTCTAGGCAAGAAAAAACAAGTTTTACAAAGTTAAGTATGTGTGGATCAAATATGTGTATTACACAAAGAGGAGTTAAAAGGAAAGAATTTTGTGCCAAAGATTACAGAAATAAGTGAAATATACTAATCATTCTGAAATCACCATTTTTAACCTGTGGTATACAATAGAACGAAGGTAACAACAGCAAGCATAGGCAAGACTATAAAGAGAATATACCTGAAAGGCTAATTATTAACACTTTTTAAAAAATTATTAACTTGAGATCTCTGATCTCTTCACATTGTTACTTTCGGTGGTCTTCTGGGTTGATGGAGGTAACTCTGTGAGCTTTCCAGGCCTTTACTTGGGTATAATAAATCCAAGAACATATTCCAGTGACTTTCAGTGCTGTAGGAGTGGAAACAAGTACAGCGTAAAGTCCCTTCCAATCTGGGTTTATAGAGGGAGGAAGGGAAGGAAGTACCTTCATCAGTACTAGGTCCCCTGGGTTGAATAGAAGTGGCCCAAATTCATGGGATTGGGCCTCTGACAGTTGCTCCAGTTCCTGTTGGAAATGGGCCAAAGATCAGAGATTTATTTGTCTAGCAAATCAGAGATTTATTTGTCTAGCAAGAAATCATTGGTGAGAAAAGGCTGTCCATACATCATTTCAAAAGGACTCAAACCTAGCTTTAAAGGGCTGTTTTAAATATGTAGTAGAGCTATGGTGAGAAGGTTAGTCTAGGGAAGATTAGTCTGAGGGAGATAGTTTTCTGAGGTGCCTTTTTTATAATATCATTTGTCTTTTCTATCTTTCCTGAGCATCGTGGTCTCCAAGCACAATGAAGATGGTAGTGTATTCCTAGTGCCTTTGTGACCCCCCCTGGGTCACAGCTGCCTTGAATGAGAGGCCATTATCTCTCTGAAGTTGCTTAGGCAGGCCAGGGCAAGGAATTATCTCATTAATCAGTACTTTTACCACCTTGGAGGCTTTCTTTGTCCCACATGGAAATGGCTCTACCCAGTTAGTGAAGGTATCTGTTCATTCTAGAAGGTACTGGATGCCCCTTACCTTTGACATATGGGTGAAATCCATTTGCTAGTTTTCCCTCAGCCTGCTGTCCTTTGAGTTCCTGGGTGCAGAAGTGGTCAGCTGAAGGGATGATTTTTAAGGCAAATCTTGCAAGCATTAACAACCTGTTTAACTATTTGTGTCAGGTTTTTACCTGAGAACAATCTCTGAACCATTTGAAAGGTTTTATCTTTACCCAGGTGAAAGGCCTGGTGAAGGCTTTTAAGAACTTTCCATTGTTTGGCAGCCAGTAGATGAAGCTTGGCATCCTCCAATTGTGGCCATCCTGAGGACTGAAAGATGTAACCCCAAGAGGTGCCCCATTCTATTTCCATAGGAGAATACTGAAGTTTTATTTCTCCTATGAGGCCCTCCCAGACCAGTGGGGCTTCAAGTGGATCAGAAATCTGAGGCCCTCTCTCTGCTGACTTAGCTGCTTAGTCTTCCAACCTATTTCCCTCAGTTACTTTATCCATTCCTTTTGGGGGCCTTCACATTGTGTTACTGCTACTTCCTATGGGATGAAAACTGAGGATGATAGTCAATTAATTTCCTGTTGGTATTTAATGGGAGACCCATTAGCTGTGAGAAAGTTTCTCTCTTTCCAGATAGCAGCATGGGCATGGAGGTCTAGGAAAGGATACTTAGAATCAGCGTAAATGTTAACTGCTTTCCCTTTGCTTAATTTGAGTGCCCTCGTGAGGGCAATGAGCTCAGCTAGTTGAGCTCTTGTTCCCGAGGAGAGAGACGAGCTCTCAAAAATATCAGTCAGAATAACTATAGCATACCATGCTTTATGGATCTCTTGTTTTACAAAAGAATTTCCACTCATAAAGAGAATTTTGTCTGGGTTCTCTAAGGGGGTTTCCTAGAGGCCCTCTCTGGCTGGATACTACTATCTGTTCACAGTCATGTTCAAGCTCTCAGCTTCCCCTGGGAGGAAGGTGGCTGAATTTAGGGATGGACAGGTCCTTGTTTGGACTGCAGATCCCTCTAATAGCAGAGCTTGATACCTGAGGAGGCAGTTATTCATTAGCCAGAGACTCCCCTTAGAAAACCAAAGTCCTGCCACATTATGCAGAGTATAGATGGTTAAGTTATTCCCTATGGTTAACTCAGTAACCTCTGGTAACCAGAAAGGCTACTGCTGCAACTGCCTGGAGGCAAGCCAGCTCTCCTTTGGCTACAAAATCAAGCTCCTTACCTAGGTAGCCTACAGGTTTCTGGGCTGGACCCCAGATGTGGGTTAGAACTCCCAAGGCCATTCCCTTTCCTTCTGAGGTATAAAGATTAAACATCTTCCCTATGGGAAGACTAAGGAGTATTGCCTTAAGCAAGGCTTGTTTCAGTTGGTCAAAGGCTTTTCTAGCCTCTGGTTCCCAAATTAGTGAGTTTTAGCTATCCAAATCTCCTTTATTAGGTGATATAAGGGATGAGCTATTCACTGTACCCAGGTATCCATAGTCTGCAGAATCCTGTAATGCCTAAGAATCCCCTCAGTTGCTTGAGTGTTTTGGGGAAAGGAAAGGAGGAAATGGGATTAATCCTTTCTTTGCTCAATGCCCTGGTCCACTCTGCCAAGACCAGACCTAGGTACTTCACTTAAGTCTGACAGAGCTGAGCTTTAGATTTTGAAACCTTGTATTCTCTGTTAGCCAGGAAATTAAGAAGAGCCTTACTGCCCTCCTGAGAGATTTCCTCAGTTGAAGTTCAGAGAAGTATGTCATCTACATACTGTAAAACTTTCACCTGAGGATAAAGTAACTCAGAGGGTTCTCTTGACAATGCCTGTCCAAACACGTGGGGGCCATCTCAGAGTCCCTGAGGTAACATCATTCAGGTTAACTGGGTGGTTTATTTGGAGGGATCCTCAAATGCAAACAAATATTGGGAGTTGGGGTGCAATGGTAGGCAGAAGAAGGCATCCTTTAGGTCTGGGACTGTGAACTATTTAGTTTCCTTAGGTATTTGAGCTAGTAGGGAATGTGGATTGGGAACCACCAGGTGAATTGGAACCACAGCCTCATTAACGAGGTGGAGGTACTGAACTAGTCTCCATTCCCAACTGGGTTTTTGTGCCCTGAATATTGGGGTATTAAAGGGCTGTTCCAGGGTTTGAGGAGGCCTTGCAACCTTAAGTTATCAATAATGGCTTCTAGTCCTTTCTTAACTTCTGGTTTCAGGGGCTATTGTTTCTGGTTAGGAAAGGAGGTGAGAGCCTTAAGGTGGACCCAGCCGGTATGGTGGTTGTGGCTCAGCCAATTTTCCCTTGAATTGCCCAAACTTCTGGGTTAATATTAGTCTCCACTAGGGAGAGAGAAAGAGTTTGTCCTGTGGCCATCAGGATGGTGGTCCCCATATGGGTCAGAATATTCCTACCCAACAGAGGAGTTGGTGCTTTCAGGGATAATTAGAAAGGCATGGGTGAACAAGAGGTCTCCTGAACTACAATTAACGGGTTGGGAAGAATATTGGATTAAAGGACTTCCTGAGACACCCCTCACTAGTTATGCTAAGAGAGTAGAGGGAGCTCAGATTGGAGAGGAGAACTGAGAGACCAGCCATGGTGTGCAGAGGGAGATCCACTTTTCTCTATTCAGTTTCCAAAATTATCTGGAGCTCCTGGATGGTAGTGGTGGTCTGGACCACTGGAGCTGGAAAGAGGAACCCTGGGAGCCATCAGTCCTGCTGGACCATTTGGGCGATTGGCTCTGAACCCAGTTACCAGTGTCCCTGGTGACAGTCCACCTTCCAGTGGTCCCCTTTGCAGATTGGACAGGGTCAAGGTGGGTTCCTCATGCTGCCTGGGGAATTCTTCCTAAAATTTCCTGGCTTACCACATCTGTAGCAGTTAAGAGGTGCACCTCAGGGATTCTGGGTTTGTGGGCTTGCATGGTGGCCATTGAAGCCTCTGCCTCTTTCCTGTGTCTCCTCTCTCTCTCTTGGGTTTCCCTATCTCTATTATAAAAGATGGAAGTGGTCAATTTCAGGAGGTTCTCTAAAGTACTATCTGGTCTCAGGGCCCATTTCTGCAGCTTCCTCCTGATATCAGGGGATACCTGAGTAATCCACTTATTTTTTAGTAATACATGGATTTTTAAATACATTTAGGGATTAAGTGTCCCTCAACTGAATCAGGAGATAGAGAGGTGTGCTTTATCAAAGCCCTTCTTAGCCTTTCCAGAAAGGATTGAGCTTTGTATCACATATAGTGTCAGGGAAGGGGTCAAACTTTATCCAACTGGAAGAGAAACAGTACCATTGGATGACCCTAAATGGGATCCCAATGATGAGATGGGAGAATGGAAGAGGAGACACTTTCAGGTGTGCATAATGGAGGACTAGAATTAAGCCTCTCAATTATACCAAGCTATCCATGATAGACCAGGGATTTGATGAGAATCAGCAGGGCCCTCACTGGGCACCTGCCCTCTTCTACCCAGAATTTCCCTGCCTCCTGTCCCTATCAGTTGATTCTCAGCTTGGTTGCCCTTGGTGTATAGCAGTGCTACTGATTTATGTACATTGATTTTGTATCCTGAAACTTTCATTTATCAGACCTAGGAGCTCTTTGGATGAGTCTTTGGGGTTTTCTAGTTATATGATAATATCATTGGTGAACAGCAACAGTTTGACTTCATCTTTACCGATTTGGATACCCTTTATTTTTCTCTTCTCTGATTGCCTTGGGTAGGACTTCCAATACTATGTTGAATAGAAGTGGTGAAAGTGGGCATTCTTGGCTTGTCGAAGTTCTCAGGGGAATGCTTTTAACACTATCACATTCAGTATAATGTTGGCTGTGAGTCTGTCATAGATATCTGTTATTACTTTAAGGTATGTCCCTTCTACACCAGTTTTACTGAGAGTTTTAATCATAAAGCAATGTTGGATTTTATCAAATGCTTTTCTGAATCTATTGAGATGATCATGTGATTTTTCTTTTTGATTCTGTTTATGTGGTGTATCATGTTTATTGATTTAGGTATATTAAACCATCTTTGAATCGCTGGTATGAAACCAACTTGATCATGGTGGATTATCTTTTTGATATGCTGTTGGATTTGGTTAGCTAATATTTTGTTGAGAATTTTTGCATTAACATTCATCAGAGACGTTTGTCTCTAGTTTTCTTTTTTTGTTATGTTATTTCCTGGTTTTGGTAGTAGGGTGACACTGGCTCCATAACATAATTAGGGAGAGTCCCTCTTTCTCTATCGTTTGAAATAGTTTCAATAGGATTGGTATCAAATCTTTGAATGTCTGATAGAATTCAGCTGTGAATCCATCTGGTCCTAGATTTTTTTTTTGTTGGCAATTTTTAAATTACCATTTCAATCTTGCTATTTGTTTTTGGTCTGTTCAGAGTTTCTATTCCTGTTTTAATCTAGGAGGGTTTTATATTTCTAGGAATTTATCCATTTCCTCTAGGTTTTTCAGTTCATGCACATAAAAGTGTTTATAGTAGCCTTGAATGATCTTTTGTATTTCTGTGGTATTTTCTGTTTTGTTTCTAATTGAGCTTATTTGGATCTTCTCTCTTCTTGTCTTGGTTAATCTCACTAATGTTCTATTAGTTTTGTTTATCTTTTCAATGAACCAGGTTTTTCTTTCATTTATCTTTTGTATTTATTTTTGTTTCAGTTTCATTTAGTTCTGCTCTGATCTTTGTTATTTCTTTTCTTCTGTAGGGTTTGGGTTTGGGTTTGGCTTGTTCTTGTTTCTATAGTTCCTCAAGGCATGACCTTAGATGGCATATGTGTGTTCTTTCAGACTTTTTGATGTAGACATTTAATGCTATGAACTTTCCTTTTAGCACCTCTTTTGCTCTATCCCTGAGGTTTTGTTAGGTTGTGTCATTATTATCATTCAGTTCAAACAAATTTTTAATTTCTGTCTTGATTGTATTGTTGACCCAAGGATCATTTAGGAGCAGACTATTTAATTTCCTTGTATTTGCATGTTTTTGAGGGTTCCCTTTGGAGTTGATTTCCAATTTTATTCCACTGTGGTCTGAAAGAGTTCTTGGTATAATTTTGATTTTCTTAAATTTATTGAGACTTGTTTTGTGGTGTATCGTATGGTCTATCTTGGAGAATGTTCTGTGTGCTAATGAATAGAATGTATATTCTGCAATCATTGGGTATACAATGTTCTATAAATATCTGTTAAGTCCATTTGTTGAAGGATATAGTTTAAGTCCATTGTTTCTTTGTTGACTTTCTGTCTTGATGAGAGTTCAGTCAGTGGGGTACTAAAGTCCCCACTATTATTATATGCTATCTATCTCATTTCTTGGGTCTAGTAGTAATTGTTTTTCACATTTGGAATCTCCACTGTAAGGTGCATATATATTTAGAATTATGATATTTTTCTGTTGGACTAGTCCTGTTATCATTACATAATATACATCTTTGTCTTTTTAACTACTCTTTCTTTAAAGTCTGTTTTGTCTAATATAAGAATAGATACTTCTGTTGGCTCTTGGTGTTCATTTGCATGGAATATATTTTTCTACCCTTTAACCTTAAGTTTATGTAAATCCTTTTATGTTAGGTGAGTTTCTTGAAGACAGCAGAATCTTGCTTGGTGAATTTTTATCCATTCTGCCATTCTGTATCTCTTAAGTTGAGCGATTAGACCATTTATATTCAATGTTGGTATTGAGATGTGAGGTACTTTTCTATTCATCATGCCATTTGTTGCCTGAATACCTTGTTTTTTTTTTTTTTTTTTTATTGTGTTATTGTTTTACAGGCCCTGTGAGATTTGTGCTTTAAGAACCTTAAGAAGTTTCTATTTTGGTGTATTTTGAGAATTTGTTTCAAAATTTGGAACCCCTTTTAGTAATTCTTTTAGTATTCATTTGGCAGTGACAAATGCTGTCAGCATTTGTTTGTTTGAAAAAGACTTTATCTTTTACTCATTAATGAAGCTTAATTTTGCTGGATACAATATTCTTGGCTGATAATTTTTTTTTTTAAAGGAGGATAAAGATAGGACCCCAATCACTTCTAGCTTGTAGGGTTTCTGCTAAAAAATCTGTTGTTTGTCTGATAGGTTTTCCTTTACAGGCTACCTGATGCTTTTGCCTCACAGCTCTCAAGATTGTTTCTTTTGTTTTGACTTTAGATTACCTGATGACTATGTACCTAGGTAAAGATCTCTTTGTGATGAATTCCCCAGGTGTTCTTTGAGCTTCTTGTACTTGTATGTCTAGATCTCTAGAAAGGCCAGGGAAGTATTCCTTGATTATTCTCTCAAATATGTTTTCCAAATTTTTAGATTTATCATCTTTCTCATGAGCACCAATTATTTAGGTTTGGTTGTTTAACATAATCCCAAACTTCTTGGAGGCTTTGTTCATGTTTTTCAAACTTTTTTTCTTTGTCTTTGTTGGATTAGGTTAATTTGAATGCTTTGTCTTTGAGCTCTTAAGTTCTTTCTTCAGAGAGGTAATATGGGGAGATTATGGCTTCCTCTGCTGCATCATACAGGTCACCAGAGAAGTGGGGGAATGCCAGCAGTGATCTGCCTCTCCCAGCTCTTATGTAGCCAGAAAAGCTCACTTTCACCATGCCCCAACAACAGCACCGAGTTTACATCCAGACGGCCAGTGAGCAGGGCTGAGTTATTGTCCCAGACTACAAACCTCCCCACTGAGAAAGCAAGCTGGGCTTTCAGGCCTTTTCCATCCCTGCCTGCCATGTCTTTTGTGCTTGTACCTGCTCTTCACATTCACCGCCCCCACCCCCCACCAATTCTGCCCTGGAAATTTCGTGCTAGTTCAAAATTATTAAAGAGTTCACCGGGAAGTTTTCTGCTTCCTGTGGTCCTTCCCCAGGTCTACTGGCAGTCCTCCCAAAGGAACCCTGTGAGATGAAGTCAGAAATAGCTTCCCTGGGGACCAAGAGTCCTGTTGGACCAGCTCTTCTCACTGCTTCTTCTGCTTTTATATTTCACTTGGCTCTCTAAATTTGTTTCAGCTTTAGGTAAGGTTAAGTCTTTCTCCTGTGATCTTGATTTTCAGGTTCCCCAGGGAGAATCTGTGTTCAGATGTGGGCTTTCTCCCTCTCACACTTTGGGCGCTGAGTTTTTCAACTGTCTCACATCACAGAATTTGCAGCAGGAAGCTGCTTCTTTCAAAAGGTCTGTAATCTTTTGTTTGTTTGTTTGTTTTCCCAGTATGTTCCTGCAGTATGTCTTGGAGCAAAAGTTCATAATGTGAGTCTCCACATGTGGTTCTGTTAATCTGAGTGGGAGCTACAAGTGAGTCCTGCCTCCTGTCTTCCATATGTTTTCTCAGTTATGTTGTATAGTTTCTGGTGTACAAATGATCCATGTTTTTTGTTAAATTTATTCCTATTTTATTCTGATACTTTTGTAAATATAATTGTTTTCTTAATTTCTTATTCAGATTATATATTAGTGATGTACAAAAGTACAATTAATCTTTGTATATTGAGCTTGTATTCTGCAACTTTGCTATACTTACTAGTTTTAATAATTTTTTGCGTCAATTTCTTAGCATTTTCTAAATGCAAGATCCTGAATAGGGATGATTTTATTTCTATTTCTTGATTTTAGAAGGAAAGCATTCAATCTTTCACAATTAGATATAATTTTAGCTGTTGTTATTTTGTAGATGGCCTTTATGCAGTTGAAAAAGTTTCCTTCTGTTTCTAGTTTAATGAGTGTTTTTATCACAAAGCAATGTTACATTATGTCAGAGGATTTTACTTTATCTATAGAAATGATCATGTGCTTTTAGTTTTCATCGTGTTAATACGGTGTATCACATTAGTTGATTTTCATATATTAGGGCAAATTTGTACCGTTGAGCTAAATCCCAGTTAGTCATGGTATATAACTTTTTTTAAGTGTCACTTTGGTTTGCTGGCATTTGAAGATTTTGCATTAATGTTCATAAGAAACATTGGTCTGTGGGTTTCTTTGTTGTTGTGATTTCTTTGGTTTAGTATTATGGTAATACTGGTCAAATAAAATAAAATGGGAAGTGTTTTCTCATCTTTTTTTTTTGGAAGAGTTTGTGGAGATCTACTCAGATTTCTGTTTCTTTTAGAATCAATTTTGCATCTTTTCAGAAATTTGTCCATTTCGTCTAGGTTATCAAATTTTTTTTAGCTTACAATTGTTCAAATCATTCTCTTATAATCTTTAAAAATAAAAGTTCTATAAGTTTGGCAGTGAAGTCCCTTTTTCACTCCTGATTTTAATAACTTGAATCTTCTATTTTTCTCATGGTCACTCTAGCTAAAGGTTTGCCAGTGTTGACTTTTTCTTTTTTTTTTTTTTTTTCCAAGACAGAGTTTCATTGTATCACCCAGGCTGGAGTGCAGTGGTGCAATCTTGGCTCACTGCAACCTCCGCCTCCCTGGTTCAAGCGATTCTCCTGCTTTAGCCTTCCCAATAGCTGGGATTACAGGCATGTGCCACCACGCCCAGCTAATTTTTGTATTTTAGTAGAGATGGGGTTTCACCATGTTGGCCAGGTTGATCTTGAACTCCTGGCCTCAAGTGATCCACCCACTTTTGCCTGCCAAAGTGTTGGGATTACAGGCATGAGCCACCACACCCAGCCAACGTTGGCTTTTTCAAAAAAGCAAATATGATTTTGTTTATTTTTAAAGTTGTTTTTTGTATTATCTATTTTACTTGTTTCTGCTTGCATCTTTATTATTTCCTTCCTTCTGCTTGCTTTGGTTTTAGTTTACTCTTTTTTATATATATTTTTTTTGGTTTCCTATGGTAGAAGACTGTTATTGATTTAAGAACTTTTCTTTATAACACAGGCATTTACAACTGTAAATTTTCCTCTAAGGACTACTTTAGCAGCATTTGTAAATTTTGGTGATGTTTTGTTTTTGTTTTCATTCATCTCAGAATATTTGTAATTTGCCTGAGATTTCTTCTTTGACCCTTCTTTTACAAGGATGTTGTTTAATTTCTACATATTTGTGAATTTCCCAAATTTATTTTGGTAGGTGGTTTCTAATTTCATTCCATCATGGTTGAGAAACACACTTTGTGTGATTTTAATCATTTTATATTTATTGAGGCTTGATTATGACCTAACATGTGGTTTATAACAGAGAATGTTCCATGCACATTTAAGTAGAATGTGTATTCTGCCGTTGTTGGGCAATATTCTATATATTTCTGTTAGATATAGTTGGTTTACAGTATTGTTCAAGCATCTGTTTCCTGGCTGATATTTTGCCTAGTTTTTCTACCCATTACTGAAAGTGAGGTATTAAAGTCATAAATTGTTTTGTTGAATTGTTCATTTCTCCATTCAATACTGGTTTTTTTTTTTGCTTCATGTATTTGAGGTGCTTTCATTAGTGCATACATGTTTTTAATTGCTTTGTCTTCCAGATGGCTTGCCTGTTTATCATTACAATATGCCCATTTTTGTCTCTGGTTTCACTTTTTCTTTTACAGTCTATTTTATTTATTTTTTTGGGTTATGATTTCTTTGGACTGGTATTATGGTAATACTGGTCAAATAAACTGGGAAGTGTTTCTCATCTTTTTTTTGGAAGAGTGTGTGAATGATTTATGTTGATATAGCTACTTGAGTTCTCTTTTGTGTACTATTTGCATGATATACACTGTTTCATCCTTTAATTTCAATTTATATGTCTTTGAATCTAATGTGTGTCTCTTGTAGATAGTATATAATTAGATCATTTTTGCTTTTATTTGTTTTGTCAGTCTCTGTCCTTTGAATGAAGTGTTTCATCCATTTGCATTTAATGCTTTTACTGGAAAGGTTGGATTTATGTTCACCATGTTGGTATTGGTTTGTGTTTCATGTCTTTTTTGTTCCTCGATTCCTCCATTGCTGCCTTATTTTTTAAAAATAGACATTTTCTAGTATATCACTTCAATTTCCTTATTGCCTCTTTTACTATATTTTAAAAGATATTTTGTTATTAGTTGCCCTAGAGCTTATATTTAATAATTATAACTTTCAAATACCCAGTTTGGATTAATACAAACTTCATTTCAAAATTGTACAAAAATTTTGTTTCACTAGGCCAGGCGACATGGCTCACACCTATAATCCCAGCACTTTGGGAGGATGAGGCGGGCAGATCACAAGGTCGGGAGATCGAGACCATCCTGGGTAACACAGTGAAACTCCCTCTCTACTAAAAATACAAAAAATTGGCCAGGTGTGGTGGCACGCGCCTGTACTCCCAGCTACTTGGGAGGCTGAGGCAGGAAAATCGCTTGGACCTGGTAGGCAGAGGTTGCAGTGAGCTGAGATCTCACCACTGCACTCCAGCCTGGGTGACAGAGTGAGACTCCAACTCAAAAAAAAAAAAAAAAAAAATTTGTTTCACTATAGCTCCATTTCCTGACACTTTTTTTGTGCTATTATTGTCATAAAATTATAAAAATACATTATCAAGCTTGAGTATTTAGAAATATCTTAAAGCTTTAGTTTCCTCACCGGGAAAAATGGAGAGATAATGACAGTTACGATCTGCAAGTGCTATTGTTAATACTAAATGACACAATCAATGTGATCCTATCATAGCATAAGTGCTGGTCCTAGTAAGGACTCAAAAAATGTTTTATAAAGTTGATGAAGAGGGCAGATAATTAACTGGCCACTCTAATACCCTAAGGAAAGGAAAATTTTTACCTAACAGGGAGTTCTTTTTTTTTTTTTTTCTCCATTCTTAAATAGCCTCGTGTTAACAATCTTCTTCATATCCTTGTCTGGGATTTTCTACATGTTGATTCCAGACTAATATCCTGGCACCCTATAAATGAAGTTTTTCCGCCCCTTCTACTTGGAAATTATTTATTTGGCTTCTCTAAACCTCTTATTTTAAACACTAGTTATGCAGTTAGTGTTTATGAGCTCTTTTGCATGGATGTTATACAGTCTTCTTCTCAAAAATGCCTTTGCAATGGATGTTATCTTTGGCCTTCTTCTGATCATTTTTTCCCTATATTAATCACAATTTTTATTGTTTTCTATAAATATGAAGCCTAAAATCAGTCCTATTAAAATATGAATTAAATTATGAATTAATTATAGATTAAATTTAATTAAAAGTTGCTTATAGGATTTTATGGCCCTCCAACTCCATTTGAAATTATATATAATAGGCAGTTAATAGAGCATGCTTCAAAGCAACCTTTGCAATTCCATGTGCTTATTCGTTCTCTGTACCTACTTTATCCCATCAATTAAAAACACACCTCGGTGGTCTTTACAATTTGGCATGATTTTGCAGTGGCTGGTACCGGTTGTTCCTTTCCATGTTTAGTGCTTCCTTCAGGCGCTCTTTTAGGGCAGGCCTGGTGCTGACAAAATCTCTCAGCATTTGCTTGTCTGTATTTACAAGAAAAAAAACAAACAACCAATCAAAAAGTGGGTGAAGGACATGAACAGACACTTCTCAAAAGAAGATATTTATGCAGCCAAAAAACACATGAAAAAATGCTCACCATCAACTGGCCATCAGAGAAATGCAAATCAAAACCACAATGAGATACCATCTCACACCAGTTAGAATGGCAATCATTAAAAAGTCAGGAAACAACAGGTGCTGGAGAGGATGTGGAGAAATAGGAATACTTTTACACTGTTGGTGAGACTGTAAACTAGTTCAACCCTTGTGGAAGTCAGTGTGGCGATTCCTCAGGGATCTAGAACTAGAAATACCATTTGACCCAGCCATCCCATTACTGGGTATATACCCAAAGGACTATAAATCATGCTGCTATAAAGACACATGCACACGTATGTTTATTGTGGCACTATTCACAATAGCAAAGACTTGGAACCAACCCAAATGTCCAACAATGATAGACTGGATTAAGAAAATGTGGCACATATACACCATGGAATCCTATGCAGCCATAAAAAATGATGAGTTCATGTCCTTTGTAGGGACATGGATGAAATTGGAAATCATCATTCTCAGTAAACTATCGCAAGAACAAAAAACCAAACACCACATATTCTCACTCATAGGTAGGAATTGAACAATGAGAACACATGGACACAGGAAGGGGAACATCACACTCTGGGGACTGTTGTGGGGAGGGGGGAGGGATGGCATTGGGAGATATACCTAATGCTAAATGACGAGTTAATGGGTGCAGCACACCAGCATGGCACATGTATACATATGTAACTAACTGGCACATTGTGCACATGTACCGTAAAACTTAAAGTATAATAATAATAATAAAAACAAGCAAGAAGTCCTCAGTGAACATTGAAGATGTGTTGTGAGAATCCTGTGAGAAAGCCATATATACTACACATTCATATTAAAATAAGAGAGTACATTGAGGTGTAAAATTTATTAGTCACCTCTCTTCTTCTGTAGACATAACTCATATTAATCCTGTTTGAAAGTTATTACTTTTATTTTTTGTGGTGTTTTGGACCAAAAAATACTTCCCCCATTTTCTTTTTTAGACATGCAAGTCTTTACTGAAAAGCTCCTAATGCCTTCCCCTTTACAAATAGAAAAGCTGTTTATATCCAATTATGTATCAGGAGTCAAAAGCTCAGAGTTTCACATACAAGTGGAACTCTACATCCTGCCCTCCACTTATACCCTCTCTACGACATCTCGTCCATGGTTTATAGGAATCCTGGAATCGTAGAAATTCAACCACTATTGATGGTTTTCCTCACCTCATCCTCAAGTCTCAGAGACAACAATGGTGCCATGTGTTCATTATCTGAAAGTTGATATATCTGACAATCATGCATACTCAGAGAACAGTGAAGAAATCCTGCACTTTAGCTTCACCAGGTAGTGAATTTGTTCACCACATCTTAAAATCATTGAGAGAAGGGACCATAGTTGAGTCCCCAGAGGCTAGATAACTGTCTGACCTCCTCCAAATTTAAGAAATTATTGATAATGAAACCAAGAACAAAGAGGTGTAAATAAAAAACATAAAACCCACCAGACAAAAACAAATCTACCACAATTAGAATTGGCTAAGAATAAGGGAAGGAATCTGACAGACCATCTTTTGTAAGATTGTAAGACAACCTTTTAGTTACCCTTGCTTAATAAAATAGAGGCAGTGTGCTATAAAGAAAAGAGCACAGTCTTCCTTTGAAAAATGTCTTTAGATTTCAACCTCACCATTGTCTAGCTGAACATGAACATAGTAATACAGTCCATAAGGGCTAGAAGTTATTATTAATAAAAAGGAATAATGATAATCTCTAGGAAAAGCCCCAGTAGTTTTTGATTTTTAAAATCTTACATGACAGAATTCTAAATTTATTTCTTCAGTGGAGTTTCCTAAAATCATTGTATGTCATAATATACCACTGCTTTTATAAGATGGGCATTTCAAGTGAATACAGAACTTGAAAGCTAGCAGACAGTACATAGTAGCCAACATGATAGTAAGCACTAGATCAAACTAAAGCAATTATAAATATATACATATCTGTGAGATAAGACTCCTGATATATTCAGCTTCTGGAATACCTCATTAGTGAAATCTAGATCCATCATGTTCTAAAACTGACAAGTGCTCTAGAGGCCATCTATTTCATGAGGTGCACCACACCAACAGAAACAAATTTGGGCAGAGCAACACCATATACCTGATGCTGTTTTTCTGGTTTGCTTACTCTGGGCAGTATAACTTTGAACAGCCATTGGAAAGTGGATAAATATTTGTAACTTTTCTTTTTTATTTCTTTTCTGACTTTTTTTTTTTTTAGTGTCAGGGTCTTGCTCTGGAGTGGACTTTAACGGTAGCAAGAGAAATCCTACATTGTGTGATGTGATGGATGATAGACAATGGATACTTGGAAAGGCGAAGGGATGAAAGGAGGGTGGATGATGAGAGATTACTTAATGGATACAATGTACACTATTTGGGTGATGGATACAGTAAAAGCTCTAACTTCACCACTACATAATCTACCCATGTAAGAAAATTGCACTTGTACCCTATAAATTTCTACAAATAATTTTTAAAAAGGAAATCCTACATTATGTGATGAAGCCTAATTGTAAACAAGTATAATTAATAATCTTGGAGCTCTAATAAAATTTGTATTTCATCTTATAAAGAGACACAATTTTCTCAAACTTTGAATCTGGTTTTGTTTGAATACCTGTTCCCTTTGTTCTCCTGATTCACTTTTTCATTCTATAGTGTTCTTGTCCCACTGCCTTCTGTAGTTCGATGTCATATTTGTGTACCTGTCTTCTAATTCTCACCCTCTATTAATAGGCTTGCATCAAGTACAGCTTTTATCACTCAATAGTTAGAGATCATTGACTTTTCCTCTCGGGTTGCTAGAATTCTTGCTATTTTTATGCATTATCAAAGTGAATTCATTCTCTTATGCAAACTGCATACTGACACTTAAAATTTCTGCCCCAAAGTATTTCATGCCACTTCTATTTGTATTTCTTGGTGAATGCCAGTCACATGGTCACACCTCATCTAAAGGAGCAAGAAAGTAGAAAGCACGCCCTAGAGTCTTTCCATATTTGGTACTCATATAACAATGATTTCATGATGGTCAACGATATTGGCTTTTTGTAGTGCGTGGTTGTGTCTTGACTTCTCTGTTTAGTTGCTGTGGATAGTTGAAAGCTTTGCTTAGAAAACTTTCAACTCATCCGGCCTGGTGCGGTGGCTCACGCCTGTAATCCCAGTACTTTGGGAGGCCGAGGCGGGCAGATCATGAGGTTAGGAGATCGAGACCATCCTGGCTAACATGATGAAACCCTGTCTCTACTAAAAATACAAAAAATTAGCCGGGCGTGGTGGCGGGCGCCTGTAGTCCCAGCTACTCGGGAGGCTGAGGCGGGAGAATGGCGTGAACCCGGGAGGCAGAGCTTGCAGTGAGCAGAAATTGTGCCACTGCACTCCAGCCTGGGCGACAGAGCGAGACTCCATCTCAAAAAAACAAAAACAAAAACAGAAAGATCCACTCATCCTTGAATGTAGTGTGCAAGCCAGCCTATCATTCGCTTGTTTCCCTGCCAGACACAGCCACAGCATGTTATTTGAAGATGTACATCACTGCTTCCTTAAGCCATTGTTTCAGCAAAGTACTGCTCTCCTTTAACTCACTGCTCAAACAACAGGTGGCTATTTAGCTCTAATCCTTTATAAGGCCACTTCAGTTAAGAGGTGTGTGAGTTATGTCATGATAAATTTTCTTTCAAGTTCCCGTCTTGTCATTGTTGCTGACTTAATTACTAATATTGGGTGATCTTGAATATGTTGTTTACTGTCACTAGGCTTTAGATGTCTTATCTGCTATGAAAGTTGTAATTTTTTTTCTGTATACGGTTCTAACTCTTCGTTGTGCCACTTCACTCCATGGCCCCCACTAGTCTCGCCATAGAAATCATGAGCACTTTCCCTCAGGAAGAAAGATCAATATTCAGAGAGATTCTCTTCACCATATTGCCAGGAGCACATATGCCTCATAACAATAACAGATTAGAAAATATAATATGAAATGAGTGTAACCTTAATTAAAATGCCTTCCTGTTGCTAATTCTATAGTCAAAATGCAAAATATTTTTTTCCTTTGTGTCTTTTTCACCTTTATTTTTTAAATTTATTTTTTATTATTATACTTTAAGTTTTAGGGTACATGTGCACAATGTACAGGTTAGTTACATATGTATACATGTGCCTTGCTGGTGCGCTGCACCCACTAACTCATCATCTAGCATTAGGTATATCTCCCAATGCCATCCCTCCAGCCTCCCCCCACCCCAAACAGTCCCCAGAGTGTGATTTTCCCCTTCCTGTGTCCATGTGTTCTCATTGTTCAATTCCCACCTATGAGTGAGAATATGCGGTGTTTGGTTTTTTGTTCTTGCGATAGTTTATTGAGAATGATGATTTCCAATTTCATCCATGTCCCTACAAAGGACGTGAACTCATCATTTTTTATGGCTGCATAGTATCCCGTGGTGTATATGTGCCACATTTTCTTAATCCAGTCTATCATTGTTGGACATTTGGGTTGGTTCCAAGTCTTTGCTATTGTGAATAGTGCTGCAATAAACATACATGTGCATGTGTCTTTAAAGCAGCATGATTTATAGTCCTTTGGGTATATACCCAGTAATGGGATGGCTGGGTCAAATGGTATTTCTAGTTCTAGATCCCTGAGGAATCACCACACTGACTTCCACAAGGGTTGAACTAGTTTACAGTCTCACCAACAGTGTAAAAGTATTCCTATTTCTCCACATCCTCTCCAGCACCTGTTGTTTCCTGACTTTTTAATGATTGCCATTCTAACTGGTGTGAGATGGTATCTCATTGTGGTTTTGATTTGCATTTCTCTGATGGCCAGTGATGGTGAGCATTTTTTCATGTGTTTTTCGGCTGCATAAATGTCTTCTTTTGAGAATTGTCTGTTCATGTCCTTTGGCCACTTTTTGATGGGGTTGTTTTTTTTTTTCTTGTAAATTTGTTTGAGTTCATTCTAGATTCTGGATATTAGCCCTTTGTCAGATGAGTAAGTTGCGAAAATTTTCTCCCATTTTGTAGGTTGCCTGTTCACTCTGATGGTAGTTTATTTTGCTGTGTAGAAGCTCTTTAGTTTAATTAGATCCCATTTGTCAATTTTGTCTTTTGTTGCCATTGCTTTTGGTGTTTCAGACATGAAGTCCTTGCCCATACCTATGTCCTGAATGGTAATGCCTAGGTTTTCTTCTTGGGTTTTTATGGTTTTAGGTCTAACGTTTAAGTCTTTAATCCATCTTGAATTGATTTTTGTATAAGGTGTAAGGAAGGGATCTAGTTTCAGCTTTCTCCATATGGCTAGCCAGTTTTCCCAGCACCATTTATTAAATAGGGAATCCTTTCCCCATTGCTTGTTTTTCTCAGGTTTGTCAAAGATCAGATAGTTGTAGATATGCTGCGTTATTTCTGAGGGCTCTGTTCTGTTCCATTGATCTATATCTCTATTTTGGTACCAGTACCATGCTGTTTTGGTTACTGTAGCCTTGTAGTATAGTTTGAAGTCAGGTAGTGTGATGCCTCCAGCTTTGTTCTTTTGGCTTAGGATTGACTTGGTGATGCAGGCTCTTTTTTGGTTCCATATGAACTTTAAAGTAGTTTTTTCCAATTCTGTGATGAAAGTCATTGGTAGCTTGATGGGGATGGCATTGAATCTGTAAATTACCTTGGGCAGTATGGCCATTTTCACGATATTGATTCTTCCTACCCATGAGCATGGAATGTTCTTCCATTTGTTTGTATCCTCTTTTATTTCATTGAGCAGTGGTTTGTAGTTCTCCTTGAAGAGGTCCTTCATGTCCCTTGTAAGTTGGATTCCTAAGTATTTTATTCTCTTTGAAGCAATTGTGAATGGGAGTTCACTCATGATTTGGCTCTCTGTTTGTCTGTTGTTTGTGTATAAGAATGCTTGTGATTTTCGTACATTGATTTTGTATCCTGAGACTGCTGAAGTTGCTTATCAGCTTAAGGAGATTTTGGCCTGAGACAATGGGGTTTTCTAGATATACAATCATGTCGTCTGCAAACAGGGACAATTTGACTTCCTCTTTTCCTTATTGAATACCCTTTATTTCTTTCTCCTGCCTAATTGCCCTGGCCAGAACTTCCAACACTATGTTGAATAGGAGTGGTGAGAGAGGGCATCCCTGTCTTGTGCCAGTTTTCAAAGGGAATGCTTCCAGTTTTTGCCCATTCGGTATGATATTGGCTGTGGGTTTGTCATAGATAGCTCTTATTATTTTGAAGTACGTCCCATTAATACCTAATTTATTGAGAGTTTTTAGCATGAAGGGTTGTTGAATTTTGTCAAAGGCCTTTTCTGCATCTATTGAGATAATCATGTGGTTTTTGTCTTTGGTTCTGTTTATATGCTGGATTACATTTATTGATTTGCATATAGTGAACCAGCCTTGCATCCCAGGGATGAAGCCCACTTGATCATGGTGGATAAGCTTTTTGATGTGCTGCTGGATTCATTTTGCCAGTATTTTATTGAGGATTTTTGCATCAATGTTCATCAAGGATATTTGTCTTTTTTGGTTGTGTCTCTGCCCGGCTTTGGTATCAGGATGATGCTGGTCTCATAAAATGAGTTAGGGAGGATTCCCTCTTTTTCTATTGATTGGAATAGTTTCAGAAGGAATGATTCCAGTTCCTCCTTGTACCTATGGTAGAATTCGGCTGTGAATCCATCTGGTCCTGGACTCTTTTTGGTTGGTAAGCTATTGATTATTGCCACAATTTCAGATCCTATTATTGGGCTATTCAGAGATTCAACTTCTTCCTGGTTTAGTCTTGGGAGGGTGTATGTGTCAAGGAATTTATCCATTTATTCTTGATTTTCTAGTTTATTTGCATAGAGGTGTTTATAGTATTCTCTGATGGTAGTTTGTATTTCTGTGGGATCGGTGGTGATATCCCCTTTATCATTTTTTATTGCATCTATTTGATTCTTCTTTTTTTCTTTATTAGTCTTGCTAGCGGTCTATCAATTTTGTTGATCCTTTCAAAAAACCAGCTCCTGGATTCATTAATTTTTGAAGGGTTTTTTGTGTCTCTATTTCCTTCAGTTCTGCTCTGATTTTAGTTATTTCTTGCCTTCTGCTAGCTTTTGAATGTGTTTTGCTCTTGCTTTTCTAGTTCTTTGAATTGTGATGTTAGGGTGTCAATTTTGGATCTTTCCTGCTTTCTCTTGTGGGCATTTAGTGCTATAAATTTCCCTCTACACACTGCTTTGAATGTGTCCCAGAGTTTCTGGTATGTTGTGTCTTTGTTCTCATTGGTTTCAAAGAACATCTTTATTTCTGCCTTCATTTCGTTATGTACCCAGTAGTCATTCAGGAGCAGGTTGTTCAGTTTCTATGTAGTTGATCAGTTTTGAGTGAGATTCTTAATCCTGAGTTCTAGTTTGATTGCACTGTGGTCTGAGAGATAGTTTGTTATAATTTCTGTTCTTTTACATTTGCTGAGGAGAGCTTTACTTCCAAGTATGTGGTTAATTTTGGAATAGGTGTGGTGTGGTGCTGAAAAAAATGTATATTCTGTTGATTTGGGGTGGAGAGTTCTGTAGATGTCTATTAGGTCCACTTGGTGCAGGGCTGAGTTCAATTCCTGGGTATTCTTGTTGACTTTCTGTCTCGTTGATCTGTGTAATGTTGACAGTGGGGTGTTAAAGTCTCCCATTATGATTGTGTGGGAGTCTAAGTCTCTTTGTAGGTCTCTAAGGACTTGCTTTATGAATCTGGGTGCTCCTGTATTGGGTGCATATATATTTAGGATAGTTAGCTCTTCTTGTTGAATTGATCCCTTTACCATTATGTAATGGCCTTCTTTGTCTCTTTTGATCTTTGTTGGTTTAAAGTCTATTTTATCCGAGACTAGGATTGCAACCCCTGCCTTTTTTTGTTTTCCATTTGCTTGATAGATCTTCCTCCATCCTTTTATTTTAGCCTATGTGTGTCTCTGCACGTGAGATGTGTCTCCTGAATACAGCACACTGATGGGTCTTGACTCTTTATCCAATTTGCCAGTCTGTGTCTTTTAATTGGAGCATTTAGTCCATTTACATTTAAAGTTAATATTGTTATGTGTGAATTTAATCCTGTCACTATGATGTTAGCTGGTGATTTTGCTCGTTAGTTGATGCAGTTTCTTCCTAGTCTTGATGGTCTTTACATTTTGGCATGATTTTGCAGTGGCTGGTACCGGTGGTTCCTTTCCATGTTTAGCTCTTCCTTCAGGAGCTCTTTTAGGGCAGGCCTGGTGGTGACAAAATCTCTCAGCATTTGCTTATCTGTAAAGTATTTTATTTCTCCTTCACTTATGAAGCTTAGTTTGGCTGGATATGAAATTCTGGGTTGAAAATTCTTTCCTTTAAGAATGTTGAATATTGGCCCCCACTCTCTTCTGGCTTGTAGGGTTTCTGCCGAGAGATCCGCTGTTAGTCTGATGGGCTTCCCTTTGAGGGTAACCCGACCTTTCTCTCTGGCTGTCCTTAACATTTTTTCCTTCATTTCAACTTTGGTGAATCTGACAATTATGTGTCTTGGAGTTGCTCTTCTTGAGTAATATCTTTGTGGCGTTCTCTGTATTTCCTGAATCTGAACGTTGGCCTGTCTTGATAGGTTGGGGAAGTTCTCCTGGATAATATCCTGCAGAGTGTTTTCCAACTTGGTTCCATTCTCCCCGTCACTTTCAGGTACACCAATCAGACGTAGATTTGGTCTTTTCACATAGTCCCATATTTCTTGGAGGCTTTGCTCATTTCTTTTTATTCTTTTTTCTCTAAACTTCCTTCTCGCTTCATTTCATTCATTTCATCTTCCACCACTGATACCCTTTCTTCCAGTTGGTTGCATCAGCTCCTGAGGCTTCTGCATTCTTCACGTAGTTCTCGAGCCTTGGTTTTCAGCTCCATCAGCTCCTTTAAGCACTTCTCTGTATTGGTTATTCTAGTTATACATTCTTCTAAATTTTTTTCAAAGTTTTCAACTTCTTTGCCTTTGGTTTGAATGTCCTCCCATAGCTCGGAGTAATTTGATCGTCTGAAGTCTTCTTCTCTCAGCTCGTCAAAGTCATTCTCCATCCAGCTTTGTTCCGTTGCTGGTGAGGAGCTGTGTTCCTTTGGAGGAGGAGAGGCGCTCTGCTTTTTAAAGTTTCCAGTTTTTCTGCTTTGTTTTTTCCCCATCTTGGTGGTTTTATCTACTTTTGGTCTTTGATGATGGTGATGTACAGATGGGTTTTTGGTGTGGATGTCCTTTCTGTTTGTTAGTTTTCCTTCTAACAGACAGGACCTTCAGCTGCAGGTCTGTTGGAGTACCCGGCCGTGTGAGGTGTCAGTCTGCCCCTACTGGGGGGTGCCTCCCAGTTAGGCTGCTCGGGGGTCAGGGGTCAGGGACCCACTTGAGGAGGCAGTCTGCCCGTTCTCAGATCTCCAGCTGCGTGCTGGGAGAACCACTGCTCTCTTCAAAGCTCGGATGGAAATGCAGAAATCACCCGTCTTCTGCGTCGCTCACACTGAGAACTGTAGACCGGAGCTGTTCCTATTCGGCCATCTTGGCTCTTCCCTCCTTTTTGCAAAATGCAAAATTAATAGGATTTTTTTTGGTTCACTTTGAATGATCTTTGGACTCTTTCCAAACTATTTCTTCTTCTTCTTCTTTTTTGGTTGGGGTGGAGGGGACACACTGATGATGATGAATGAGATTAGACTTGCTAAAGTAGAAATATTTACATTTCCTAAGAAGCTTCGTGTTTCCCTCAATATTGGATGTGACATATTCTCCCTGTAATATATTCAGGTGGAATTGAATTCAGTCTTAGAGTGTATTTATTTTTACATTCATTACACAAGCTTTAAATGATTTTGGCATCTAAATGAGCGCATTTTTATCTCACTAAATTGGAAAAAAAAGAATTCCTAAAAACTGTTACCTCTTCTGCTTGATTTGAAATTGTACCTTTCAGAAGATCAGTTGATCTTAAGTTCATATTATCAGTGGACTGTCCCAGAAATAGCTAGTTGAATTTTGCTGGGAATCCATCTCCTAGTTGACTTACTTACTAATAACTATTTTTATATGAGTTTAAATGTTTATAGAAATTGAAGGTTTTTTTTAATGGAACAAAGATTATACAAAAGTGAAAACACTTTAAATTATAATATACTTAAATATATTATTTATATCATATTTATTAATGTTTAAAATGCTTTGACATTTTGATGATTTTTCTAAAAAAGTCTAAGTGAACAATATTTATATCCATATATTCATGTTTAGACAAGAAATACTTGGAGGTTGGCTATCTTTTAGTCTGAAATTTTCTGTGCTTATTTTTTTAGGAATCAATTCAAAATGTTCATTATTTCAGATGTGGCAATTCTGTAACAGTTATTTTTAAAATGATTCCAGCTGGTTTATGTCAGAGTTCTCAGTATCAATTTTCTCTGTTCTTTTAGGAGTAGTTTTGAGCTCTTTTAGTTACCTATTGCTGTATTATAAACCACTCCAAAACTTAGAAACTTAAAATAACTGTTTTATTACTCATGATTCTGTGGGTGAGGAATTCAGGCAGTGCTCAGAGGGGACGGCTTGTCTCTGTTTCACCTGGTATTGGCTGAAAAAGTTCAACTGGGGCCAAGGGATCCAAGATGGTCTACTGGTGGTGAATGCTGGTAGGGTCTTTTGGTCCTCCTCCATGTGTCTTGGCTCTCTTCACATGGTTGCTCATTATTCAGTTGTCTTGCCTGTGTTTCTTTATGTAAAAGATAAAATTCTGCAGAAACTAAGAAAAATATTGCAAGACCTCTTAGAAAAATATTGCAAGACCTCTTAAGACGTAGACCCATAACTGCATAGGGTCACTTCCACCACATTCTACTGGTCAAGCAAGTCGCAAGGATATCCTAGATTGAAGGAAGGTAGAAACAGACTGTACCCCTTGCTGGGATGGGTGGCATGGTCCTATTGCAAAGGCACACATGGGAAAGGAGGTATCGTTGTAGGCATTTTGGAAAACAATATACCACAAACGGAAATGAATAAATTCCATGTCTAAGGCTACAACTTTATGTTCTTCTGCCCAAATTATAACCTAACAGTTTACTGTATGAAAATCTCTATCTTTGTATTTCTGTTTGGAAGCTGTTGAATGTCTCGATAAATATAATTGGGGAGTTCAACATCCTGTGTTTCAAATCTTTGGTAGTTTGATGTGGTTTGGAGTATGCCTCACAGAACGAATGAGTGTGGGAACACTATCAGCAGTGTCAGAGCATTCATTCTTCATACATGTCTTGAGGACTCACAATGGTCAAGTATAGTCCCAGGCACTGGATATACACATAAAGATAAATGAGAACTGGTTGTTATTCTATAGTATTTGACCTATTGGTCACAACTCTTCACTTCCTTGTCATGATAATATGCACTCACAGCCTCCTCTGGGGCTGCACCCTGATGTTGTGTTTGTTCATATGATTTGCTTTGCCAAAACAATGTTAGCAGATGTGATGAAAGCAGTTGTACAAAATGTGCTTGTGCAGTGCAGGTTGATTTATTGATTGTTCCTCCGTCACCATAAGTAGAACTGTGCCCCAGAAGTAATACACATAGAGATCTAAGCAAGGACTCATGCCCACTCTGACCCACAGCTTGATGAAGAATAGGCCAAAAAGGCAGCCTAGATCAGGCAACTATTGGGTTATTCTTCTACACTCAAAAGCTACCTGAAACCAGTCATGGTGATCCATGTCTGCAGTTCTAGCTACTCCAGAGGCCAAGGCAGGAGCATCAGTTTGCTCAGGATGTGAAGAATATAATGTCCCATAATTGTCCCCATGAGTAACCACTGCAGTCCAGCCTAGGTGCATAGAGAGGCTGTCACTTAAAAAACAAAAAACCTTCCTGAAACAATATTCTGTCTTGTAAGGAAGAATGACATATAAACTGTTAATTGTACCGTAATACCATATGTGCAGCAATAAAGATCTTTATAAAGGGGCATCATTTTGCCTGGGAGTAGGTATATGTGGTTTTTAGTAGGGCAATAAAGAAGATGTCTTAGAAGGTGACACAAAGATGAGTCTTAAAGAATAAATGAAAGGATATCTAAGACTTTACAAAGGAGGAGGAAATATTTTAAGCCCAACTCAGTGTGAGCAAAGGCATAAGGATAAGTTCCAACATGGTGTGAAGAAAATTATATAAGCAGTTTATTGTTCTTTGAAATGTAATAAGTGAGAGAGTCCTGCTTTACCAAGAGACAGAAACCTTTAATTTGACTTTACAATGGATTCTAGTTCCAAGAGATTTCTAGGCTGATAATAACTAGGATTGACATAAACTTTGTTGCTCTGGCTAAATATTTTAGAGTGCACGCTCTACTAAAATTAATATGAGCACAGACAGTTCCATTGTTTCTGCCTTTACAAATAATGAAATTACACTTCAGTCAAAGATTTCAGTTGCACAGCCGAAAAAGGGCACAGACAATAATTGGAGACATGATTTAAAAAAGGAAAATTGTTAATTGAAAATTAACAAGAAGTAATATTATACTGCATGGTATTTCATATAAAAATTAGAGGTCGTTCTCCTTTCAAATGGTAGCTGTACATCTAAAATAAGTTTATAAATTAAACTATGTTGTATATAATTATAAAGATGTTCCAACAGGAAATTATTTTTAGAAATATGGATGTTTCATAAGTATAATTTTCATATTTTACGTAAAGTTAAAATTCAGTCAGTGACTCCTATTTTACTCTGAATTTTAGGACTTAAAGCGTCTTTCAATGTCTTTTATTCTTAATTCAGACCTTATTTAGTTTTCTGGTTATGACCTTTGCTAGCTGTGAGAGCTTACATAAATTTCCAAACCTCTCTGAACCTCAATATCTTCATCAGTAAAATGAAGAAATCATTGACTGTATATAAAGCTCTCACGGTAATGAAATGAGATCTTACAGAGACAAGTGCCCAGCTCACAATGTGACACATGGCAAATACCCAGTAAATATTAGCTACTTACTATTATTTTCAGAATGACAGTAACAACATCACTAATAATTACTATTGGTACTTAGTCTCATAGTTGAAGAAACAAGAGCCTTGGAGAACTTAAGAATTTGGGCAATGATGTCTGCTTAGTAGCTTCAGAACCTGAAAAACATTTTGGTCAGTGAGTTTCACACTGGTGCCTTTCTCTGCGTAAGGCTGCTCCTCTTACTGAGTTTTTAAGAAGTTCATAATGGAAGTGAGAAGTGATTCTGGAAACCACTGTACCAGTGAAGCTGCCTTGAAACAGAAAGGACATGAATTACTAAATGTAAACATAAAAAAGGTGGGCGATTGTCCTCAAATATGTGTGTCATCAAATGCAAACATTTTAATTTGAATAATTGCATTAAGATAAGCTTTTGTTTCTGGGAATTCTCCATTTGTGATAAGCAACTTTGCTTGTAGTTTCAAAGCTTGTAGTCAAATTCCAACAGAGGAGGTAGAAAGTTTTTATGTGAAACTATAAGACCATTAACTAAAGTTAAACAAAAAGGCTGCTATTTCGTTTAGAGTGTATAACTGATGGCACTTTCAATTTTATCCAAATGACTGCACACAGCCCTACTACAATTTCATTATGAAGGTAAAATTAGAAAAGCTAAACATTAAATCTTCTAAGAAAATATAATTTGATTTAATGTCATTAAAAGCCAGTGCAAAATAGAGGAGAATATGAAGCTGACTTAACTGCTTCTGTGCTGAATAGAACAACAGCCCTTATACCATTCCCCTGCATGCTCCCAGCTATACCTGTAGAAGCTCAGTTTTACTCATTAGCTCAGTCATTTCATGGTCTACCATTTGAGGAACACACATGTATTCTATTAGCAGTAATGAATTAATGGGGGATGTGTGGTAATATGATAGCAAAATTCAGTAAAAATTCTATTTGAACTTCATTCTGTGGGATACGAACATAACCCACAAAGGAATACTCTGATCTGCAGTGAAGAATAATTTGCCTACTGCTCTGGTTTGCAATTAATGAAAAGTCCTCAGGAAATCCCAATTTCTGATTAAAGAGAGTTGATTATGATTAATGTATCCAAATTAACTGCTAAAAAAGAAGCCACCTCACAATGATCTACATTGTTCCTCCAATTTTGAATTCCTAAGGCTATTCCTATCTGTTTCCTTTTCTCTAACCCTTAAAGATGTATATTTTGTTTTTAACTTTTGGGTTTTGGTTAGCCAGACAATATGTGTCATTTGTTTCCATATGTAGAAAATATTCAAGGGCCTATGAATTCTCTTTTCTCCCCTCTCTAACCTTCTGTAAAAATAGTATCATTGGTGTTTGCACCAAGTTGCCATAAAACCAGGATGTCAACCTCGAATGCACCTGATTCATGCTTACAAGCACAGCCTCACTCCAGAGTCTTTACTCTTAGCTGTTGTCCTGTGCTGTTTCCCATGGCACTTGGGTGAAGTTTGAGGAGAACCAAAGACATATTTTCAGGCAAATAGGGCATGGAAGGCTACTTATTTCATTTTTCAATTTGGTTTCCTTAGGTAAGTAAGTAAATACATTCTTGCAGACCAAATTTTTGTAGCATTGTACATTTTTGCATTTTTCAGAGTATTTACAAATGCTTTTGTGGGGAATTTGGATATCACCAGATGCCATTTTAAAGTGGAAGTCTCTCATGCATAGTACAGTCGACCTTCAGTATACGCAGGGCAGTGGTACCAGGACGTCCACAAATACCCAAACCTATGCATGGTGAAGCCTCACACTTGGCCCTGTGGAATCTGTATATATAAAAATTTGGCTTTCTGTATGCGCAGGTTTTACATCCCACGAAGGCTGTATTTTCCATCTGTGTTTGGTTGAAAAAAAATTCCATGTCTAATTGGACGCACCCAGTTAAAACCCATGTTGCTTAAGGGTAACCTGTATTTATGTCAGAAAGTTTCTCCTTCTATCAGAATCATATATGTAGTTTAAAAGCAGCCAGAAATTATTGTAATATGTGAGCTACAATAGTTAGAGTAACAGTTAGTCAAAAAATTAATGTTTAATTCAGCTAGGTTGCACAATATAATTCAGTTAGTTTACACAATACCTTTTCTCCTACAGGAATTTATTTCCATACTTCTCTTATACATATTTTGGTTTTTATTTTTTTAAGGATTTATTTTATTTTCTTTTTTCTTACTATACTTTAAGTTCTAGGGTACATGTGCACAACGTGCAGTTTGTTACACATGTATACATGTGCCATGTTGGTGTGCTGCACCCATTAACTCATCATTTACATTAGGTATTTCTCCTAATGCTATCCCTCCCCCAGCCCCCTACCCCATGACAGGCCCCGGTGTGTGTTGTTCCCCACCCTGTGTCCAAGTGTTCTCATTGTTCAATTCCCACCTGTGAGTGAGAACACATAGTGTTTGGTTTTCTGTCCTTGTGATAGTTTGCTCAGAATGATGGTTTCCAGCTTCATCCATGTCCCTGCAAAGGACATGAACTCATCCTTTTTTTATGGCTGCATAGTATTCCATGGTGTATATGTGCCACATTTTCTTAATCCAGTCTATCATTGATGGATATTTGGGTTGGTTCCAAGTCTTTGCTATTGTGAATAATGCCACGATAAACATACATGTGCATGTGTCTTTATAGCAGCATGATTTGTAATCCTTTGGGTATATATCCAGTAATGTGATGGCTGGGTCAAATGGTATTTCTGGTTCTAGGTCCTTGAGGAATCACCACACTGACTTCCACAATGGTTGAACTAGTTTACACTCCTGCCAACAGTGTAAAAGTGTTCCTATTTCTCCAAATCCTCTCCAGCACCTGTTGTTTCCTGACTTTTTAATGATCGCCATTCTAATTGGTGTGAGATGGTATCTCATGTGGTATTGATTTACATTTCTCTGATGGCCAGTGATGATGAACATTTTTTCATGTGTCTGTTGGCTGCATAAAGGTCTTCTTTTTGAGAAGTGTCTGTTCATTTCCTTTGCCCACTTTTTGATGGGGCTGTTTGATTTTTTCTTGTAAATTTGTTTCAGTTCTTTGTAGATTCTGGATATTAGCCCCTTGTCAGATGGGTAGATTGCAAAAATTTTCTCCCATTCTTTAGGTTGCCTGTTCACTCTGATGGTTAGTTTATTTTGCTGTGCAGAAGCTCTTCAGTTTAATTAGATCCCATTTGTCTATTTTGGCTTTCGTTGCCATTGCTTTTAGTGTTTTAGTCATGAAGTCCTAGCCCATGCCTATGTCCTGAATGGTAATGCCTAGGTTTTCTTCTAGGGATTTTATGTTTTTAGGTCTAATATTTGAATCTTTAATCCATCTTGAATTAATTTTTGTATAAGGTTTAAGGAAGGGATCCAGTTTCAGCTTTCTACATATGGCTATCCAGTTTTCCCAGCACCATTTATTAAATAGGGAATCCTTTCCCCATTTCTTGTTTTTGTCAGGTTTGTCAAAGATCAGATGATTGTAGACATGTGGTTTTATTTCTGAGGGCTCTGTGCTGTTCTGTTGGTCTATATCTCTGTTTTGGTACCAGTACCACACTGTTTTGGTTACTGTAGCCTTGTAGTATAGTTTGAAGTCAGGTAGTGTGATGCCTCCAGCTTTGTTCTTTTGGCTTAGGATTGACTTGGCAATGCAGGCTCTTTTTTGGTTCCATATGAACTTTAAAGTAGTTTTTTTTCCAATTCTTTGAAGAAAGACATTGGTAGCTTGATGGGGACGGCATTGAATCTATAAATTACCTTGGGCAGTATGGCCATTTTCATGATATTGATTCTTCCTATCCATGAGCATGGAATGTTCTTCCATTTGTTTGTGTCCTCTTTCATTTTGTTAAGCTGTGGTTTGTAGTTCTCCTTGAAGAGGTCCTTCACATCCTTTGTAAGTTGGATTCCTAGGTATTTTATTCCCTTTGAAGCAATTGTGAATGGGAGTTCACTCATGATTTGGCTCTCTGTTTGTCTGTTATTGGTGTATAGGAATGCTTGTGATTTTTGCACATTGATTTTGTATCCTGAGACTTTGCTAAAGTTGCTTATCAGCTGAAGGAGATTTGGGCTGAGACAATGGGGTTTTCTAAATATACAATCATGTTATCTGCAAACAGGGACAACTTGACTTCCTCTTTTCCTAACTGAATACCGTTTATTTCTTTCTCCTGCCTGATTGCCCTGGCCAGAACTTCCAATACTATGTTGAACAGGAGTGGTGAGAGAGGGCATCCCTGTCTTGTGCCAGTTTTCAAAGGGAATGCTTCCAGTTTTTGCCCATTTAGTATGCTGTTGGCTGTGGGTTTGTCATAAATAGCTCTTATTATTTTGAGATACATCCCATCAATACCTAGATTATTGAGAGTTTTTAGCATGAAGCATTGTTGAATTTTGTCAAAGGCCTTTTCACCATCTATTGAGATAATCATGTGGTTTTTGTTTTTGTTCAGTTTTTATGACAGATTACATTTATTGATTTGTGTATGTTAAACCAGCCTTGCATCACAGGGATGAAGCCAACGTGATCGTGCTGGATAAGCTTTTTGATGTGCTGCTAGATTCTGTTTGCCAGTATTTTATTGAGGATTTTTGCATCGATGTTCATCAGGGATACTGGTCTGAAATTCTCTTTTTTTGTTGTGTCTCTGCCAGGCTTTGGTATCAGGATGATGCTGGCCTCATAAAATGAGTTAGGAAGGATTCCCTCTTTTTCTATTGATTGGAATAGTTTCAGAAGGAATGGTAACAGCTCCTCTTTGTACCCCTGGTAGTATTTGGCTGTGAATCCATCAGGTCCTGGGCTTTTTTTGATTGATTGATAGGCTATTAATTATTGCCTGAATTTCAGAGCCTGTTATTGGTCTATTCAGAGATTCAACTTCTTCCTAGTTTATTCTTGGGAGGGTGTATGTGTCTAGGAATTTATCCATTTCTTCTAGATTTTCTAGTTTATTTGTGTAGAGGTGTTTATAGTATTCTCTGATGGTAGTTTGTATTTCTGTGGGATTGGTGGTGATATCCCCTTTATCATTTCTGATTGCCTGTATTTGATTCTTCTCTCTTTTTTTCTTTATTAGTCTTGCTAGTGGTCTATCAATTTTGTTGATCCTTTCACAAAACCAGCTCCTGGATTCATTAATTTTTTGAAGGGTTTTTTGTGTCTCTATTTCCTCCAGTTCTGCTCTGATCTTAGTTATTTCTTGCTTTCTGCTAGCTTTTGAATGTGTTTGCTCTTGCTTCTCCAGTTCTTTTAATTGTGATGTTAGGGTGCTGATTTTAGATCTTTCCTGCTTTCTCTTGTTGGCATTTAGTGCTACAAATTTCCCTCTACATGCTGCTTTAAATGTGTCTCAGAGATTCTGGTACGTTGTGTCTTTGTTCTCATTGGTTTCAAAGGACTTTTTTATTTCTGCCTTCTTTTTGTTATTACCCAGTAGTCATTCAGGAGCAGGTTGTTCAGTTTCTATGTACTTGTGTGGTTTTGAATGAGTTTCTTAATCCTGAGTTCTAATTTGATTGCACTATCGTCTGAGAGAGAGTTCTTTGTGATTTCTTTTCTTTTACATTTGCTGAGGAGTGCTTTGCTTCCAACGAGTGCTTTGCTTCAATTTTAAAGTAAGTGTGATGTGGTGCTGAGAAGAATGAATATTCCATTGATTTTGGGTGGAGAGTTCAGTAGATGTCTATTAGGTCTGCTTGGTGCAGAGCTGAGTTCAAGTCCTGGATATCCTTGTTAACCTTCTGTCTTGTTATCTGTCTAATATTGACAGTGGGGTGTTAAAGTCTCCCATTATGATTGTGTGGGAGTCTAAGTCTCTTTGTAGGTCTCTAAGGACTTGCTTTATGAATCTGGGTGCTCCTGTATTGGGTGCATATAATATTTAGGATAGTTAGCTCTTCTTGTTGAATTGATCCCTTTACCATTATGCAATGGCCTTCTTTGTCTCTTTTGATCTTTACTGGTTTAAAGCCTATTTTATCAGCGGCTAGGATTGTAACCCCTGCTTTTTTTTGCTTTCCATTTTCTTGGTAGATCTTCCTCCATCCTTTTATTTTGAGCCTATGTGTGTCTCTGCATGTGAGATGTGTCTCCTGAATACAGCACACTGATGGGTCTTGACTCTTTATCCAATTTGCCAGTCTGTGTCTTTTAACTGTGGCATTTAGCCCATTTACATTTAAGGTTAATATTGTTATGTGTGAATTTGATCTTGTCACTATGATGTTAGCTGGTTATTTTGCCTGTTAGTTGATGCAGTTTCTTCCTAGCATTGGTGGTATTTACAGTTTGGCATGTTTTTGCAGTGGCTGGTACCGGTTGTTCCTTTCCATGTTTAGTGCTTCCTTCAGGAGCTCTTGTAAGGCAGGCCTGGTGGTGACAAATCTCTCAGCATTTGCTTATCTGTAAAGAATTTTATTTCTCCTTCACTAATGAAGCTTAGTTTGGCTGGATATGAAATTCTGGGTTGAAAATTCTTTTCTTTAAGAATGTTGAATATTGGCCCCCACTCTCTTCTGGCTTGTAGAATTTGTGCTGAGAGATCTGCTGTTAGTCTGATGGGCTTTCCTTTGTGGGTAACCCGCCCTTTCTCTGTGGCTGCCCTTAACATTTTTTCCTTCATTTAACCTTGGTGCATCTGACAATTATGTGTCTTGTGGTTGTTCTTCTCGAGGAGTATCTTTGTGGTGTTGTCTGTATTTCCTGAATTTGAATGTTGGCCTGCCTTGCTAGGTTGGGGAAGTTCTCCTGGATAATATCCTCAAGAGTGTTTTCCAACTTGGTTCCATTCTCCCTGTTACTTTCAGGTACACCCATCAAATGTAGATTTGGTCTTTTCACATAGTCCCATATTTCTTGGAGGCTTTGTTTGTTTCTTTTTACTGTTTTTTCTCTAAACTTCTCACTTTATTTCATTAATTTGATCTTCAGTCACTGATACCCTTTCTTCCTCTTGATCCCATTGGCTAGTGATGCTTGTGCATGCGTCACGAAGTTGTTGTGCCATGGTTTTCAGCTCCGTCAGGTCATTTAAGTTCTTCTTTACACTGTTTATTCTAGTTAGCCATTTGTCTAATCTTTTTTCAAGTTTTTAGCTTCCTTGCAATGGTTTCAAATATCCTCCTTTAGCTTGGAGAAGCTTGTTATTACCAACCTAAGAAGAGCTAACTATCTTAAATATATATGCACCCAACATAGGAGCACCCATATTGGTAAATCAATTTCTTGGAGATCTTCAGAGAGACTTAGACTCACACAATAAAAGTGGGTGAATTTAACACCCCACTGTCAATATTAGATCATTGAGACAGAAATGTAAGAAAGATATTCAGGACCTGAACTCAGCTTTGGATTAAAATAAACCTGATAAATATCTACCAAACTCTCCACCCCAGAACAACTGAAAATACATTTTTCTCATTGCCACATATTACTTACTCTAAAATTAATCGCATAATGAGAATTACACCATTACTCAGCAAATGCAAAAGAGCTGAAATCACAACAGACAGTCTTTCAGACCACAGCACAATTAAATTAGTACTTAAGACTAAGACATTAACTCAAAACCGTATGATTACATGGAAATTGAATAACCTGCTCCTGAATAACGTTTGGGAAAATAATGAAATTAAGGCAGAAAGCAAGAAGTTATTTGAAACTAATGAGAAAAAAAGATACAACCTACCAGAATCTCTGGGACACAGCTAAGGCAGTGTTAAGATGAAAATTTATAGCATTAAGTGCCCACATCAAAAAATTAGAAAGATCTTAACAACCCAACATCATATCTAAAAGAACTAGAGAACAAAGAGTAAACAAATTTCAAACTTAGCAGAAGACAAGAAGTAACCAAAATCAGAGCTGAACTGGAGGAGATAGAGACATGAAAGACCATTCAAAACCCCAACAAATTCAGGAGGTGTTTTCTTTTTTTTTGAATAAATAAGTGAAAGAGTTAGACCACCAGCTAGACTAATAAAGAAGAGGGGAAGATTCAAATAAACACAATCAGAAATGATAAGGGAGATATTGCTACTGACCCCACAGAAATACAAACAACCATCGGAGAATATTATAAATACCTCTATAGACACAAACTAGAAAATCTAGAAGAAATGAATAAATTCACGGGCACATACACCTTCCCAATACTGAACCAGGTAGAAATGGAATTCCTGAACAGACCAAAAGTGTGTTTTCAAATTGAGGTAGTAATAAATAGCCTACTAACCTTAAAAAGCTCAGGGTAAGACAGATTCACAGCTGAAATTTACCAGAAGTGCAAAGAAGAGCTGATACCATCTCTACTGAAACTATTCCAAAGAAGTGAAGAAGAGGACTCATCCATAACTCATTCTATGAGATCAGCATCATCCTGGTACCAACCTGGCAGAGATACAACAAAATAAGAAAACTTCAGGCCAATATCCTTGATGAACATCAATTCAAAAAATCCAAAAAAATACTGGCAAACCAAATTCAGCATCAAAAAGTGTATTCACTATGAGTAAGTAGGATTCATCCCCTAGATGCTAGGTTGGTTCATCATATGCAAATCAATAAATGTGATTCATCACGTAAACAAAGGCAAAAAACTAAGACAAAAACCACATGATTATCTCAATAGATGCAGAAAAGTGTTTTGATAAAATTTAACATTCCTTCATTTTAAAAACTCTCAATAAACTAGGTAGTGATGGATCATACCTCAAAATAATGAGAGTCATCTGTGACAAACCCACAACCAGCACCATACTGACTGGGCAAATGCTGGAAGAACTCCCCTTGAAAGCCAGCACAAGACAAGGATGCCCTCTTTTACCACTCCTATTCAACATAGTATTGGAACTTCTGGCCAGGCAGTCAGCAAGAGAAAGAAATAAAAGGCAGTCAAACAGGAAGAGAGGCAGTCAAATTATTTCTGTTTGCAGATGACATAATCCTATATGTAGAAAACCCTGTAGTCTTGGCCCAAAAGCCTCTTAAGGTGATAAACAACTTCAGCAAAATCTCAAGATACAAAATCAATGTGCAAAATCACTAACATTCCTATACACCAACAACAGTTAAGCCAAGAGCCAAATCACGAACAAACTCGCATTCACAATTGCCACAAAAATAATAAAATACTTAGGAATACAGTGAACAGGAGAGGTGAACTACAAACCACTGCTTGAAGAAATCAGAGACGATACAAACAAATGGAAAAACATTCCATGCTCATGCATGGGAAGAATCAATAGCATTAAAATGACCATACTATCCAAAGCAATTTATACGTTCAATGGTACTTCCATTAAACTACCATTGACAGTCTTCACAGAACTAGAAAAAAACTATTTTAAAATTCATATGGAACCAAAAGAGAGCCTGAATAGCCAATGCATCTGATATGGTTTGGCTGTGTCCCCACCAAAATCTCACCTTGAATTCCCACGTATTGTGGGAGGGACCTGGTGGGAGGTAATTGAATCACAGGGGCAGGTCTTTCCTGTGCTGTTCTCATGACAGTGAATAAGTCTCATGAGATCTGACAATTATATAAGGAGGTGTTTCCCTGCACAACCTTCTTCTCTTGTCTGCCACCATGTGAGACATGCCTTTCACCCTCCACCATGATTGTGAGGCCTCCCCAGCTACATGGAATTGTAAGTCCATTAAATTGCTTTCTTTTGAAAATTGCCCAGTCTCAGGTATGGCTTTATCAGCAGCATGAAAACAGACTAATATAGCATCCTAAGCTAAAAGAACAAAGCTGGAGGCATCACTCTACCCAACTTCAAACTAAAATTCAGCAAAGAATTCATCAGGTCCCAGGCTTTTCTTTGCTGTGATACAGTCTTTTATGGTTTAAATCTGTTATTTGTTATTGGTCTATTTATGTGTTTTTTTTGTTTTGTTTTGTTTTTTGAGATGGAGTTTTACTCTGTTGCCCAGGCTGGAGTGCAGTGGTGCAAATTCAGCTCACTACAGTCTCTGCCTCCTACATGAAAGAGATTCTCCTGCCTCCGCCTCTTGAGTAGCTGGGATTACAATTGCATGTCACCATGCTTGTCTAATTTTTTGTGTGTGTTTTTACTAGAGATGGGGTTTCACTATGTTGGCCAGGCTGGTCTCAAACTCTGGCCCTCAAGTGATCCACCTACCTTGGTCTCGCAAAAGTGCTGGGATTACAGGCATGAGCCACCGTGCCCAGCCTCTATTTATGCTTCAAATTTCTTCATGGCTTACTCTTGGTAGGCAGACATCTATGTCTAAGAATTTCTCTATCTATTCTAGATTCTCTGTATTTTGCTCTGACTTTATTTATTTGGGCCATCTCTGTTCTTAATTTGTCTGCTAAAGGCTTGTCAGTTTTATCTTTTCAAAAAACCAATATTTTATTGCATTGGCCTTTTGTATTGTTTTTTCATTTCAATTTCATTTATTTCTGATTGATCTTTATTATTTGCTTTCTTCTACAAATTTGGGGTTTAATTTGCTCTTGCTTTTCTAGTTCTTTAAGATGCACCATTAGATAGTTAATTTGAAGTTTTTATACTTTTTTGATGTAGGCACTTATAGGCTTAAAATTTACTCTTTGCACCCTAAAACTTAAAGTATAATAAAAAAAAATTACTCTTTGTACTTCTGTTGCTGTATGCCACACATTTTGATATGTTGTGCTTCCATTGTTATTTGCTTAAAAACGTTTTAAAATTTTCTGTTTATTTATTCATTAACCCACTGGTCATTCAGAAACATATTGTGTAATTTCTATATTTTGGTATAGTCTCCAAAATCCCCCTTGTTATTGACCTCTAGATTGACTCTTTTGTGGGCAAAGAAGATACTTGATGTAACTTCAATTTTTTTGAAATTTTTAAGACTTGTTTTGTGGCATAACCTATGGTCTAGCCTCAAGAATGATCAATGTGCTGAGGAGAAGAATGTGTATTCTGCTGCCATTGGTTGAAATGTTCTGTGCATATCTATGAGGTCCATTTGGTTTACAGTGCAGATTAGGTCCAATATTTCTTTGTTGATTTTGTGTCTGGATAATCTGTCCATTGTTGAAAGTGTGGTGTTGAAACTTCTAGCTATTATTGTATTTGGGTCTCTCTCTCTCTTTAGCTCTAATCCAATTAGCATTATATATCTAGGTGCTTCCGTATTGTGTGCGTATTATATTTACAATTGTATATATTCTTGTTGAATTGGCCACTTATCATTATATAATGACCTTCTTTGTCTCTTTTTATGGTTTTTGTCTTGAAACATATTGTGTTCCATGTAAGTATAATGACCCTTGCTCTTTTTTGGTTTCCATTTGCATGTGATATCTTTTTCTGTTTATTTTCAGTCTACGTGTGTCTTTATAGGTGAAGTTTGTTTCTTGTTGCCAACATATCATCAGGCATTTTTTTTAAAAAATTCATTCAGCCACTCTAAGTCTTTTGATTGGAGAGTTTAGTCCATTTACATTCAATATTATTATTTATAAGTAAGAATTTAACTCTGCCATTTTGTTATTTGTTTTCTGCTTGCTTTGTGATCTTTTCTTTCTTCTTTCCTTATTTTCTGTCTTCCTGTTAGTGAAAGCGATTTTTGCTGGTGGTTTTAATGTCTTGCTTTTTATATTTTGTGTATCTGTTGTATGTTTTTTAATTTGAGATTACCCTGAGACTTGTGAATAATATCTTATCACTCATTATTTTAAACTAATGATGACACTGATTACAGGAACAAACAAACAAAGAAAAAAACTAACAAAAATAAAAACTCCACACTTCAGCTTTATCTCCTGGGTTTTTAAACTTTTGATTGTTTCTATTTATATCTTATTGTACTGCCTATGCCTTGAAACATTGTTGTAGTTATTATTTTTGATTGGTTCACATTTTAGTCTTTCTACTCAACATATAAGTAGTTTACACACCAGAATTACAGTGTTATGTTATTCTTCGTTTTTTGTGTACTTTCTATTACCAGTGAGTTTTGAACCTTCAGATGATTTCTTATTGCTCATTAATATCCTTTTTTTTCTGGATGAAGAATTCCCTTTAACATTGCTTATAGAACAGGTCTGGCATTGATTAAATCCTTCAGGTTTTTGTCTGGGAGAGTTTTTATTTCTCCTTCATGTTTGAAGAATATTTTTGCTGGTTGTACTATTCTAGGATAGGTTTTTTAATTCCTTCAGCTCTTTAACTATGTCATACCACTCTCTCCCAGCATGTAAAGTTTCCACTGAAAAGCCTGCTGGTAGATTTATTGGATCTCCTTTGTATGTTGTTTCTTTTATCTTGCTACTTTTAGGATCTTTTCTTTATTCTTGACCTCTGGGAGTTTAATTATCACATGTCTTGATGTAGTCTTATTTTGGTAAAATCTGCTTTGTGTTCTATAACTTTCTTGTACTTTAATATTGATATCTTTTTCTAGGTTTGAGATGTTTTCTGTTATTATCCCTTTGAATAAACTTTCTACCCTGATCTCTCTCTCTCTATCTCCTCTTTAAGACCAATAACTTTTACATTTGCCCTTTTGAGGCTGTTTTCTAGATCATGTAGTTGTGTTTCATTCTTCTTTTTTTTTTGGCCTTCTCTGACTGGGCATTTCCAAATAGCCCATCTTCAAGACCACTAATTCTTTATTCTGCTTGATCAATTCTGTTCTTGAGAGACTTTGATGCATTCTTCAGTATGTCAATTACATTTTTCTGCTTCAGAATCTTTGCTTGGTTCTTATTAGTTATTTCCATTTCATTGTTAAATTTATCTGATAGGATTCTGAATTATTTCTCTGTGTTATTTTAGATATCATTGAGTTTCCTCAAAGCAGCTATTATCAGCTGGGTGCAGTGGCTCACACCTGTATTCCCAGCACTTTGGGAGGCCGAGGCAGGTAGATCACCTGAGGTCGGGAGTTCGAGACTAGCCTGACCAACATGGAGAAACCTCATCTCTACTAAAAATACAAAATTAGCCAGGCGTGATGGCACATGCCTGTAATCCCATGTACTCAGGAGGCTGAGGCAGGAGAATCACATGAACCCGGGAGGTGGAGATTGCGGTGAGCTGAGATCGCACCATTGCACTCCAGCCTGGGCAACAAGAGCAAAACTCTGTTTCCAAAAAAAAAAAAAAAAAAAAAAAAAAGCCAAAAAAACAAACAAAAAACAGCTATTTTGAATTCTCTGTCTGAAAGATCACATATCTCTCTCTCTCCAGAATTGGTGATGGTTGCCTTATTTAGTTTGTTTGGTGAGATCATATTTTCTCGAACGGCCTTGATGCCTTTGGATGCCTATCAATGTCTGGGGAGTTAGTAGTATTTATTGTAGTCTTTGCTGTACCAGTCCTTCTTTGGAAAGCTTTCCAGGTGTTTTGATGGGAATTGAACGTCTTGATCTATGTTTTCGGCCACCGGAGTCATTTCTGCATTAGAGGGCACTCCAAGCCCAATAATGCTATAGTTCTTGCAGAGTCATAAAATCCTACCTGGCATGCCAAAGCTGTCACAAACACAAAAATTAAGTATCTCAAGAAGAAATGTAAATAATGTTTTATGTTTATTCATTAATTTTCTATTTTTAAAAATGCTTTGGAGAAGCATCATTAAGATACTCCTCAAATGCTGAGGACTGCCAGAAGCAGCTAATATATACCCTGAAGACATGACTCATCACCCAATAAGGTGCTTGCTATTCTGTCCCCAGAATGCCATTATTTCTCAAATTTTAAAAGTCAATCTGGTATTGAAGAATACTTCTCAAATAGTAGCCACAAATAAATAAATAACTCCACTACTAGAATTAATGCAATGATAATAAATAATGGGTAATTTAAAGTCTACTTTGTAATGTGCTCACTGAATCTGTGTTTCATCTGTGACCAAAACAAACTAGAAATGTTTACTTAACGTAGCCACCTATTTTTCCCTTGTGCTTATCTTGTTTTATTTCAAGAGGGGAAATGTCAATGAGTAAACATGTAGCCTCATTAGCAAGACCTTATAACTTAATTTTATTTTATTTTTTGTTTTGTTTTTTCTTTATTGTGACTTAACTTATTAAGAGGAAATGAAGGCAACATTTATCTTCCTTAGTTTCTTCACCTGTAAAAATGAGAATGATGTTTCCGCAATATTAGATGTTATTGTCATCATCATCAATGTCATCATGATTGCCTTTACCTAAGTTCTTCACAAAGCATACCTGGAACACAGGGTTAAGGACAAATGCTTTATTCTAGTGTTTGACCCCAGAGATTAAACGAGAGTGACAGGGAAAGGAAGCAGAAACAGGAAAGAGGCAATGCAAAGATGTCTTCTTTAGTTGGCTACTGATAGAGGTGATTGGTTTCTTAAATTTTATAGGACTACCTGAGAAACAATATAATCTACACCTTGCAATCTCATGTAGGCAAGGTTTGGGTGGGGAGCATACATCTACTGGCTTCTGTCCTTGATTGCTTACTGTGTGCCCACATGGGGAGTTAACTCTTATTTACCCTCAGGTTGTGAAAATATGGACATCAAGCAGATCCCAGTGGGATCCTACCTGGAAAAGTCCAGAGTAAGGAGGGAGGAGGCACACAACACAGACCTGAGACAAAGTGTGGTCAAAAGTTACCTACAGGATGCTGGACATAGCTTATGCAGGACCGTTGTCCAGGTGCTGGAATAAAAGCCAGATGAAGCTAAAAGAATTCTACATGGTGCCTTAAAAGTAGTTGCTATACCTGTCATTATAATCATATGTAGTCATTCTTTACCTCTAGTTACCAGGGATTACCATTATTTCCAAAAAAAAAAAAAAAGTCACAGCAGATGATGGTCAAGTTGGTGTAAGTAAGGTTTTTTAGTAAAAGAAAGGCATAAGAAGTTTATTAGTTTTACACGTGCATGAGGATCTTTAATACTCCCTTTAACAAAACAAATTACTTTCTGTTATACACTCTTTGCTTTTATTGACATTTGGATAATCCTGTCCATTCCTGATTCTCAGGTTGATCTTACTATATGTTTTGTCTTCTTACTCAGAGCCACCATTTTTTTGCAAGAATCTTTTATGTCACTATTCAAACATTTTTTCTTCTTGATCTCTCTTTGTCCACAATGCCTCTGATATACAGTTGGTTCCACCTACTGCCACCTAATTGCTTTTACTGAAAGATAAATTTCATTCTGTCACTTTACTGCTCAAAACTCCACTTCTAGGTAAAAAAAATATAAGACCATCCTGAATCTGGCCTTAAGCAATGGAGTATATCTTTTTTTCTCTGGAAAACTCATAAAATTTCCCAAAATAGAATATTTTCTGTCTGTTTCACATGACTATTTTTTTTTTTAGCGAAATCCTAAGTTATTTCTCCTCCAGACACCTCAGAAATGCTGTGTTCACAAAACAGGTATGGTTTTTTTTTCTAGGCTGACTTTTGCTCTCCACTCTATAAAAATATAGATTGAGCACTTATCATAGATACCATTTATGTAGCAATCACAGACATACTGATTTATGACATATGTCTTATTACTACCTGTGCTATTATTTGAATAGTTGCTCTTATATTGAAAATTAATAAATTTAAGCCATTTCTTCTTCATGGGCAGGACCTATGACTTTCTTTTCTTAGTGCCTCCCACAACATGACAGTGTCTGGGTGTCTAATTTGATATTTCTTATGTCAGTGAATTCTAGGGTTTCTCAAACATGGCACCATTGACATTTGTGCTGGATAATTATTTGTTGTAGGGGGCTATCTTGTGCATTATAAGATATTTAGCAACACCCTTGGTCTCTATGTATGAGATTCCAGTAGTGCTAACATCCTGACCCGTGTTATCACAGCAAAAATGTCTTTAGACATTGTCAACTGCCCCTAGAGGGAGGGGGATGATTCACCCCTCATTTACAACCAGAGGCTTACATGAACAAAGGGTGAAATTCAGCATTTAGTGAAAGTTTAGTCTAAGAGAATCAGTATTTATTTCATTTAGATGTTAATTGACTCTACTTCTCTTGGTCAGACTTTATCAGGGTGCAAATGCTTCTTCTCTCTTCTATCCTCTACACAGGATTGAATATTTTTATTTTTATGCTTTCTTCACATCCGTTTTTCCCCTGGATCACCTACGTTTTCTTCATCAAGCTATATTTCATCCTGATTAAAACTCTATCACCTGCACGGAGTTGTTCACTAATAGCTACTGTTAGAGACAGATTAGAAGGGAATGGAAAACCCATTTCTAGTAGTATGTGTTAGATTGTCATTCCACATATCTAATCACCAAGTTCTAGCAGTTTTATTACCTAAATATCTTTCAAATCTTTTGACTTTACTCCATCCCTGTTTCAGTCCACCATCATGTCTCACTGAGATTGGTATCCTACTTGTTGGCTCTGTTACTTTCATATGGATGCAAAAATCAGGTAAATTTATTGGAAAAGGAAAGATGTCAAGGAGACTTGTCTTAAAACTGCATTTGCTTAAACTTTCATGTGTATTTTAAGTTAAAGGTAAAAAAATAGAGCTCTCATAAAGGTTTTGACCCAAAATTTACGAATCAAGAGAATGTCAATTGTCTGTTGACAATTGTCCAAGGTTGTTATTACGGGTAGTATAGTAATAGCAGTAATAACACAGGTAATTGTAGAAGTAGCTTTGTTTGAGGTGAATAGTGGGAGTGAGAGTTGATGAAAACCAACAACTTGTTATCACTATGGTTGCCCAGTCTTCCAGCAGCCATTTGGATATTCACACTCATCCTCATCATTGATTCTTCATCCCTCAGTTATGAGCTTGTGGAGGGATTAGGGAAGACTGGACTAAAAAGGTCATTTTGTCTATGACATGCATACACACACACACACACACACGAATGAAAGATGTTATGACACAACTTTAAATTATGTCATATTTGTGTTTTATTACTAGAGGCAATGGCTTGTGGTGCCCTGTGAATTTTTCCATGTGTTCTATAATATATTTAGCATAGCACTATTTTATGCCATTGATCTTTTTGTATGTGCATTAAAGTGTTGATAGTGTACATGGAAATACTTAAAATATATCTCAAGTTTTATGAAAAATTTTGGCAATTTTTTATTTTAAAAATACTCATATACTGTTAACATGAGTGGGCATTCTAGGAAATGGTTGCACAAAAGAGGTTGTTAGAGATTTTTAAAATAAAGACACACTTGCATGACACCATGGTGATAGTTCTGATATTTTCATATCTCTGAAATCATAATGTGCCCCCATCTCTAGTTTCTTTTATCTGTCTTTCCTGTAATTGTTGTTCAATCTTTCCAAGCTGTTTTATCCATGATGTTCCCTAAAGCACAGCACCATATGACAGCTTGCATACAGGTAGTTTATTTTGGGAAATGATCCCAAGAAACAGTACTAGGGACTGGAAAGTGAAGCAGGGGAAGGGAGAAAACCAATCCCAGGGTGCTTTATTCATCTAATCACTACTGTGGACAACTGGAGCTCAGTCCTACCAGATACCCTTGGGGTCCTGTGTCAAATGAAACTCAGAACTGTCCAGCTTAGAGATGACTGAGGGTAGTGTTTATTCACTACTCTCCTTCTTTTTCCATTGGTCAAGGATTGTCCTTGTAGTGTTAGCTTCCTCACTCCTTTGATTTGTGCGTGAGTCAGAATGGCTTAGCAGGTTCTTAAAGGAGTCCCATGAGGTGGTGGCAAAAAAGCCTCAGGGATGAAAATGAGAGATACAGGAGGCAGCTGAAGCAGCTGCTGTCAGTTTACAAATGCATGGACCTGATTTTATAGCAATGTCTGCAGTAAAAAGATGGGTTGTAAGAGTGTGAGATGGGGCCCTATGGGTATCTATTACATAGGTGTTAGTGACGATCATGATCTTCTTCATAATGTCAAAGGAGTAAATAGATTGACCATTGTCATTTAAACTTGGAAAGTACTTACTTTGCATGACTTGATGGTCTCTAATGAGAAAAATATTGACTACACTGCCCACAGTACTGGATTTATGAATTTTTACAAATATAAAACTTAATATTAAATGTTCATTAGATAATCAGCACTTTAATAATCTGGCATTGCTTGGAGCTCTACTAAGTAAAGTATGCAGTATAGGAAACCTCTCCAAACAGAAAATAATAGAGAGTTCCACTTTCACTTAATTTGTGGCGGATAAGGAAAGACCATTTCACTTGCTCTGGCAATGAGACAATGTTGGCTAAATATACAAGTCATGTTTTCCTTAAAACTATCAAAAATTATGGATGCAAAAGTGTCTACATGCAGTAAAGTGCAGCGAGGGGATTACCCTTTCTGATATGAGCAGAGAGTGGGAGCTACATTCACCTCTGAACATACTTATTGCGTCTGGGCGCCTGGGCAGTCAGAATAACACACTTGACATGGGCAGAAACACTTCTGTGAGAAGGAAAATCCAGCCAGATTTTTATTGGCTGCACATGGGCTGGGATGGTGGCTAGAAACATGCAGGAGTTTCAGATGTGTAGTGAATTCTTCCCGCCCACCAATTCTTCTCCATAGGACTTCTGCTGAATAAATGGTGGCATGGGAGCCCAAGGACTAGACTGAAAAGCAAAGAGAAATCTCAGTCTTGCAATGCTTAGATCTCAACGTCCTGCTGGAGAAAGGGTCTTGATCTCATACTCAAGACATTTGAAACCAGGCAAAACTATCTAAAGCAACTACTCATTCCTAACCCAGCTTTAGTCTTGGTTAGATCAAAGAGCTCTTCCCTCATCCTGGATTTCTGACAGGATAAAAAACAAGCCCTTTATAGAGGAAAATATTACTTACTCCAGTGTCTAAGATCATTTGACTAAACATGAGACAGGCACAAAAGCAGGAATATGAGACTCACAATCAAGAGGAAAACCTCAATAAAAAGAGACTTACAGGTGACCCAGATGTTGGATTTAGCAAACAAGAAATTTAAAATAATAATTACAAACACGTTGAAGAATTCAGAGGAAAATAAGTATAATAAGTAAAATAAGATGGAGGATTACATTAGAAAAATGCAAACTCTGAAAAAGAACCAAATGGAAATTCTAGAAATGAAAAATACCATATCTGAAGAAACTGAAGTAGGTCAGGCCTCTCTTGACCCACTGAGAGTCCTTACACATTGGTGATACGATTGTTTTTGTTTTCTCTGTTTCAAATACTTTAACCCAGCTTCCACACTTGGATAACGATGCCCTGTTATATTTGACCTCTTCTTACCTCTTCATGTCTTCATTCATACTTCTGACCTCAACCATAATAAAGCAAGTTTTGAAGGGATGACCCTATGCCACAAATACTGTGGCCTGCACAATTCAAGGGAGGACCTCATGGGCTCTGGTACTGTCCTCAGAGATGTACAGTATAGCAGCCCAGACTTTAGATTTCATAAAATGTCTCTTTTTGATATGTATGGTGCTAATGACTTTTCTTCATCTGGACTTTGTCACCCCTTCACCTGGACTTTGTCACCCCTTCACCTGGTCAATTCTTATTTATATTTTAGGTGACTTATATGTCACTTCCTCCAGGAAATTTTAACCCTTTAAGTCAGAATTAAATATTTATCTATGTTCTTATATGCCTCACATGCCCCCATCATAGTTCTTAGCACCTTGCTTGTGTAAATGCTTGCTAATCTGTCTTTTCCAGCAGCCCCTAAACTCTGTGAATACACAAAAGAGAAATCTCTGTTTACTGTCATAGGTGAAGCATTTGGCACATTATCTGACAGATCATAGGGGAATTAATAAATGCTTCCTAAATAAATGTATGAATGAATCTTATGATCACATTTGGAACACTGCAATTCACAGACGAAATTATGTGATAGATCAGAGAAATTTACAGGTTGTATATTTTTCCCCCTATAGTACATTTCAAATTGATATGATGAAATAATATGGGATCATAGACAATTACAGCTAGGATTTTGGAAATAAACAGGGGCAACATAGGATTTCACGGAAGGGAAATTTCAACCCAACCCCTTCCAAAGTTAATGTGTTGTTAAGATTGTATACTCTGAAAGAAATAATTCTCGAGTCTAAGTTTTCTGATTTCTAGTGTAACGGTCTTGAGCTATGATTGGTATCAGGTTGTGCAATCTACAGTTCTCAGGAGGAAGAATGCACAGTGGCTTTGTTGTCTACTCCTTCAGATGAGAGACTGCACAGACCTGGAGGCAGAGGAACAATATCGAGAATGAAGGAAACAAATATGAGTAGAGCAGTTTTGCTTTCATTTTCATTTGCACCTGAATTTTTCAGTGTCTTTAGCGGAGGAAACAAAAAAAATTATGGTTTATTAAAGACAAGGAGGTTTTAAAACAATATATTAGACACTAAAATCTTTAGTTGTTATCAGTTAGTAGTAAAGCACTAGCCTTTTTTTTTTTTTTTTTTTTTTGATAAGAGTTTCTCTCTGTTGCCCAGGCTGGGGTGCAGTGACGCGATCTCAGCTCACTGCAACCTCTGCTTCCCAGGTTCAAGTGATCCTTTTGCCTCAGCCTCCCAAGTAGCTGAGACTACAGGCATATGCCCCAATGCCATGCTAATTGTTTTTGTATTTTTAGTAGAGACGGGATTTCACCATGTTGGCCAGGCTGCTCTTGAACTCCTGACCTTGTGATCCACCCACCTCGGCCTCCCAAAGTGCTGAGATTACAGACCTGAGCCACCGCACTCAGCTGGCACTAGTCTTTACTTTTACACTGTATTTACTTTCTCTTCACATTCCCTCCCTCCCTCCCTCCCTCCTTTCCTTCCTTGCTTCCTCTCTCACATTTTCCTTGTGCAGCTATGTCAGCTATGTGTGTTGTGAGTTAGCATTATCCATTTTCAGAAACACTGAACTTTATGTTTAAAACATGTTTCCTTTGTTTAAAATTGTTGCTTAATTTTGTTTTTCTTCAAAGACTTTGCTCCTGTGGACTCCTGTTATTCTAATAATTTGCTACAGTGTAGTCTAGAGACAATGTAACTTAATGTAAAATTTCCCTTATTGTTTAGGTTGGTGCTTTTCAAAATTTTAAATTTCTCTCTTTCTCTCTCTCTTTTTGAGACAGGGTCTGACTCCATCACCCAGGCTGGAGTACAGTGGCATGATCATTGCACACTGTAGCTTCGACCTCCTGGACTCAGGTGATCCTCCTGCCTCAGCCTCCCGAGTAGCCAGGAACACAAGTACACACAACTATACCTGGCTTGCTTTCTTGCTTCCTTCCTTCCTTCCTTCCTTCTGCACACAACTATACCTGGCTAACTTTCTCTTTTCTTTTCTTTCTTCTTTCTTCATCTTACTACATTCCCCAGGCTGGTCTCAGACTACAATCCCAAAGTGCTGGGATTGTAGGCATGAGCCACTACACCTGCCCATAATTTAATTTGTATTTCTATCAATAAGTATATTTGAGCAACCATGCACCCCACAATATAAAGATAATTATCTATACATCAGTAATATGTACCTTGTTAGTCTAAATATTAATAAAGCTTAATCACCAAATTTTGGATAAAAATTATTAGAAGTTCTAATACATTCTTCACATATCCCCATGACCCCTCTTGCATGTATTCTGGGGTGCATGTACCCCAGTTTGGTGCCCACTGGCAGAAAAATAACTCTATTTATAAGCTGGTGTGCTTTTACTACTGACACTTTAATTGTTAATTTTTACTCTGATGAATACTATGCCTAAGGTCATAAGGAAAATTCCCATATAATTACCCTCTTCTCACTTCTTTGTTTTGTTTGTTTGCTTGTTAGTTTTATTTAAAATTTTATTTAGATTCAGAGGGTACAAGTGCAGGTTTGTTACCTGGGTATATTGTGTGATGCTGAGGCTTGGGGTATGATTGATCCTGTCACCCAGGTAGTGAGCATAGTACCCCATAGGTAGTTTTACAACCTTTGCTCCCCTTCCTCCTCCTCCCTTTAGTAGTCCCCAGTGTTTATTGTTATCAGCTTTACTTCCATGAGTAATCAATATTTAGCTCCCACTTCTAAGTGAGAACATATGGTATTTGGTTTTCTGTTCCTGCGTTAATTCCTTAGGATAACGGTGACTACTTGCATCCACATTGCTGCCAGGGACATAATTTCACTTTTTAATAGCTACATAGTATTCCATGGTGGATATGTACCACATTTTCTTTATCCAATCCACTGATGATGGGCACCTAGGTTGATTCCATATTCTTGCCATTGTGAATAGTGTTGTGTTAAATATATGAAGGCATGTGTCTTTTTGGTACGATGGTTTATTTTCCTTTGGGTATATACCTAGTAATGTGACTGCTGGGTTGAATTGTGGTTCTGTATTTAGTTCTTTGAGAAATCTCTGAATGGCTTTCCACAATGGCTGAACTAATGTACAGTTCCACCAGCAGGGTATAAGCATTCCTTTTCCCCCAAAGCCTCACCAGAACCTGTTTATTTTTTATTTTTTATTTTTTTTTTTTTGAGATGGAGTCTCACTGTGTCGCCCAGGCTGGAGTGCAGTGGCGCGATCTCGGCTCACTACAAGCTCTGCCTCCTGGGTTCACGCCTTTCTCCTGCCTCAGCCTCCCGAGTGGCTGGGACTACAGGTGCCCGCCACCACACCCGGCTAACTTTTTTGTATTTTTAGTAGAGACAGGGTTTCACTGTGTTAGCCAGGATGGTCTCGATCTCCTGACCTTGTGATCCGCCTGCCTCGGCCTCCCAAAGTACTGGGATTATGATAGGTGTGAGATGGTATCTCATCGTGGTTTTTATTTGTATTTCCTAGGTATTTTATATTTTTGTGTGGCTACTATAAGTGGGATTGCATTCATGACTTGTCTTTCAGCTTGAACATTATTACTGTAGAGAGATACTGCTGATTTTTGTACGTTGGTTTTATATCTTGAAACTTTACTGAGGTCATTTTTTAGTTCTAGGAGCCTTTTGGTCGAGCCTTTAGGGCTTTCCAAGTATAGAATTATATAATCAGTGAAGAGAAATAATTTGACTTCTTCTATTGCTATTTGAATGCCTTTTATTTCTCTTACTTGATTGCTTGGGGTAGGCCTTCCAGTACTGTATTGAAGAGGAGTGGTAACAGTAGGCAAACTTGTCTTGTTCCAGTTCTCAAGATAAATGGTTCCAATCAGTATAATTTTGGCTATGGCTTTGTTATAGGTGACCCTTATTATTTTGAGGTGTTTTTTCAATGCCTAGTTGAGGGATTTTTTTTAATCATAAAGGGATGTTGAATTTTATCAAAAGCATTTTCTGCATCTGTTAAGATGATCATATGGTTTTTGTTTTTAATTCTCTTTATGTGGTTAATTGCATTTATCAATTTGTATGCATTGAACCAAACTTGCATCCCAAGAAAGAAGCCTACCTGATCATGGTGAATTAACTTTTTGATGCGCAGCTGGATTTGGGTTGCTAGTATTTTGTAGTGGATTTTTGCATTTGTGTTCCTCAGAAATATTGGCCTGTAGTTTTCCTTTATCATTGTATTTTTCTTGCCAGATTTTGGTGTCAGGATGATGCTGGATTAATGGAATGAGTTATGGAGGAGTCTCTCCTCAATTTTTTGAATTACAGTAAGATTGGTATAAGCTCTTCTTTGTGCGTCTTGTAGAATTTGCCTGTGAATCCATCTGGTATAGGACTTCTTTTTGGTTGGTAGGTTTTTCTTTTTATTACTGATTCAATTTTGGAACTCATTATAGTTCTGTTTAGGATTTCAACTTCTTCCTGATTCAATCTTGGAAGATTGTGTGTGTCCAGAAGTTTATCCATTTCCTGTAGATTTTCTAATTTGTGTGCATAGAAGTATTCATAGTAGTTTCTAAGGCACTTTTGTAATTCTGCGGGATCGGTTGTGATGTAATCTTTGTCATTTCTGATTATACTTATTTTGATCTTCTCTCTTTTTTTCTTTTTAAATCTATCTAGTGGTCTATCAATCAATCTTCTTTATCCTTTCAAGGAATCAAGTTTTGTTTTCATTGATGCTTTGTATGGATTTTTGGGTCTCAATTTTGTTCAGTTCTGCTCTGATTTTAATTATTTCTTTTCTTATGCTAGCTTTGGAGTTAGTTTGTTCTCGTTTTCCTAGTTCCTCTAGATGTGATTTAGATTGTTAATTTGAGATCTTTCTAACTTCTTGATCTAGATATTTATTGCTATAAACTTTCCTCTTAACACTGCTTTTGTTACATCCCGGAGATTTTGATATGTTGCATTTCTGTTTTCATTAATTTCCAATAATTTTTTTGATTTCTGCCTTAAATTTGTTGTTTATCCAAAAGTCATTTATGAGCAAGCTGTTTAATTTCCATGTGATTGTGTGATTTTGAGGTGTCTTCCTGGTATTGATTTCTATTTTTATTCCACTGTGTTCCAAGAATGTGCTTGATATAATTTTGATTTTTTTGAATTTACTGAGACTTGTTTTATGGCCAAGCATGTATTCTATTTTAGAGTGTGTTCTGTGTGTCAATGGGAAGAATGTATATTCTGTGGTTGTTGGGTGTAGTGTTCTGCAGATGTCTATTAGGTCCAATTGGCCAAGTGTTGAATTTAAGTCCAGAATTTCTTTGTGAGTTTTCTGCCTTGATGATCTAACGCTGCTAATGGGGTGTAGAAGCCCCCCAGCTATTATTGTGGGGTTGTCTAATTTTTTTGTAGGTCTTTAAGTACTTGTTTATGAATCTGGGTGCTCCAATGTTGGGTATTTATATACTTAGGATAATTAAGACTTGTTGAATTGAACCCTTTATGTGATGTAATGCCTATCTTTGTTCTTTTTTTTTTTCTTTCTTTTTTTGTTTAAATTCTGTTTTATCTGATATAAGAATAGTGATGCTTGGCCCTTGTTGTTTTTGTTTTCTGTTTGCATGATAGATCTTTCTCCATTTCTTGATGTTTTTTTGCCTATGGGTATCCTTGTATGTGAGAAGGATATCTTGAAGACTGCAGATTGTTGGGTCTTGGTCTTTTCTTTTCTTTTTTTCTTTTCTTTTTTATTTTGACAGAGTCTCACCCTGTCACCCAGGCTGGAGTGCAATGACGCGATCTCTGCTCACTGCAACCTCCACCTCCTGGGTTCAAATGATTCCCTTGCCTCAGCCTCCCAAGTAGCTGGGATTACAGGTGCCCACCACCATGCCCAGCTAATTTTTGTATTTTTAGTAGAGATGGGGTTTTACCATGTTGGCCAGGCTAGTCCCGAACTCCTGACCTCGTGATCTGCCCACCTCTGCTTCCCAAAGTGATGGGTTTACAGGCATAAGCCACCATGCCCAGCTCAGGTCTTGGTTTTTTAAAAATCTAACTTGCCACTCTGTGCCTTTTAAGTGGGGTGTTGAGATCATTTGCATTCAAGGTTAATATTGATATGTGAGGTTTTCATCCTGTCATGATGTTGTTAGCTGGTTGCTTTGTAATCTCAATTGTGTAGTTTCTTTATATAATTGGTGGGCTATATTACTTAAATGTAATTTTGTGGTAGCAGGTGTTCTTTTGTTTTCATGTTTAGAACTCCCTTAGAATCTCTTGTAAGGCCGGTCTAGCAGTAATAGATTCCCTTAGTGACTGCTTGTCTGGAAGATTTTATTTCTCCTTTGCTTATGAAGCTTAGTTTGGAAGAATATAAAATTGATTAGAATTTCATTTAAAAAGTGCTTAAAATAGGCCCCCAATCTCTTCAGGCTTGTAAAATTTCAGCTGAGAAGTCTGATGTTAGCCTGATAGGGTTTTCTTTGTAAGTGACCTGACTTTTCTCTAGTTACCTTCAAGATTTTTTTCTTTCATGTTCACCCTAGAGAGTCTGATGACTATGTGTCTTGGGGATAGTCATCTTGTAAGTATCTTTCAAGGGTTCCCTGAATTTCTTGACTTTGCATGTTGACCCCTCTGGTGAGATTAGGGGAATTTTTATGAATTATATCCTAAAATATGTTTTCCAAGTTGCTTACTCTCCCTCCTTCTCTCTCAGGAATGCCACTGACTCGTAGGTTTTTCTCTGTTTACATAATCTCATATTTCTTGAAGATTTTATTTTTAAATTCACTTTTCTTGATTTTTGTCTAGGTTGATTTGAATAACCAGTTTTTGAGCTCTCAAATTGTTTCTTTGGTCTAGCCTGGTGTTAAGGTCTCCAGTTATATTTTTAAATTCTTGTAGTGAATTTTTCAATTCCAGAAGTTCAGTTTGGTTCTTTCATAAAAAGGCTGTGTTACCTTTTAACTCCTGGATTATTTCATTGGTTTCCTTAAACTGAATTTCAACTTTCTCTGGAATCTCACTGAGCTTCCTTGCCATCCAGGTTCTAAATTATATTTCTGTCATTTCAGACCTCTCAATCTGCTTAGGATCCATTGCTAGGGACCTAGTGCAATCCTTTAGCGGTAAGGAAACACTCTGACCTTCTGAATTGCTAGAATTCTTGCACTGATTTCTTCTCATCTGAGGGGCTGGTGCTTCCTGTTACTTTTAAATTGCTATTGTTTGGATGGGTTTTTTTGTTTTTATATTCTTTTTTCCCTTGAGAGTTTGACTGTGGTATATGTCGTGTACCATTAGTTGGCTTCATTTCTGGATGTTCTTTGTGCTTTCAGAGTGCCAAGGCTCTGCATGAGTTCCTTAATTGTGGTTAGTTTCCTGCACTGGGTTTCATAGGCATTGCAAAGTGAAGGAATTTGTTTTTATTTGGTGGTGTAATTCAGGTTATGATACAATAGATGGTGCTTAAGAGTAAGGTCTAGCAGATAGGCTCTGCCATACACCTGTTTTGTATTTCAGTGCATATAGAGCAGTCTTCTGGGGAAGGAGAGATAGAGGGGCAAGAAATGACCGTTTCACCAAGGTCATTCTTGGGCCTTAGGGGAGCCCTCTGCAATCAGTGGCACCATGCCTGTGTTTCCTCAGCCTCAAGGGGGGACCCTGGCAGGTTGCACTCCCTCCTCCCTTAGGGGTGGCCTGAACTGAAGATTAGGTCACTAAGAGATCTGTAGCTCCCCAGAGACCCACTGGTCTAAGCTGGGCAGTCAGAGAAGGTTGTAGGATATGTCTGTGGGTGATCTGGTGATGCAGTTGGTCAAAGGTGAAGGATCCGCTGGCAAGACTGTGATGCCACAGGTGTGCAGCTGGTGTGGTGCGCATGGCCTGGGATTTTTAACCAGCAGGTGGCCTTGGGGCCTCCCCAGCTTGTGTTCCCCTGACCCAGTTTCCCTCTGCTGTCTGCCCCAGGAGTAGGCCTGAACAGCTAGATTTGTCTGAAGCCTTCTTCACCCAGATCACTGGGCTATTCCAGGTGTTCCATGCCATGGGGCTGCCTTGGGCAAAAGCTGTGGCTGCCCAACAGGCTACACACTTCCTGCACCAGTCTTGCTGAGGGAGGGATGCTCAGCTCCCATGCCTGAACATAAACCTGTGCCTCACTGTTTTCTGTGTTCTGAGAGTAGAGGCTCCTCCCCTGCTCAAGCTCTAGCCACAGATCTCAGCTCAATACCTGTGGGTGGTATACTCAAACCTAGGGGTTTGGGAATTGGGCCACAGCTTTTTCCTCTGGCCCCTCAGGGTCAAGCACCAGTTGTACTTGGGGTGCTGAACTAATCCCAGGTTGCCAGCAAAACACTCAGATGGGAAGTGGAGGCTGTTCTGTGTTCACTCTCTTGTGGGAGTGGCCGGACCCGTGGCCTTGGAAGGGGCTGGCAGACAAGGGGCAGCACAGGGATCAGATGCTTTCCGGTCCCAGAGGAAAGACAATCCTGCTCTCTCCTGGCCTGACAGTCAGCAGTTGTTATAGTCACTTGGATCCAGATGGGGAGCCTTGGGGGATGAATGCCTGGGTGATGTTTTGCTGCAGCTGTACCATGCGCTATAACACCTTCTGAGCTCCACACAGTTTTGAGCTCTTCTTCTTCTTACTTTCCAGGCAGTTTCCCCTGCCAATTCAAATGTCTATGGAGTCATGGGATCTTTTGTAGCTAGGATCCCAGAGGTCCATGATGGGAGTGTGGTGCCCTGGACTTCCTTCACTTAACCCTTCCTTAGGACTTGTTCAGGACCAGGAGCCAGTCTGACACTCGGTGACTCAGTGTAGGCTTCCCAGCTTTCTCTGTCTTCAACCTCAGTTTCTGCATCCCCCCTTTATTGATGTTCAGTATTTTCTCTCAAAAGATCTGTTCAAAATATGATGGTTTACTTCATATTCTGCTTTCTTTCAATGGGAGAGGTATTTCCTAGCTGCATCTAGTTGGCCATCTGGTCCTTTCCCCCCATTCTAACTTTTTTATTGCTTATTGAAATACTTGATGTAACTCACCCAATGATTCTAGAATCAAGGTGAAATTATATGAAGGGTTTGAGTAAAATCTCATTTTATCATTCTGAGTTGCTTCAAAATACATTCACAATTTTTGTTACACAACCATGAACCAATTAGAAATGGCAGAACTTTTTAAATGTTCACAATGATATTTTAGAACCTCTAATTCAATTAATACCATTTGGGATTCACAGCAACATACAGCCTCTCTTGATAGACACATATTTGTGGTTGGGAGGAGTGGAAATATTCCAGCATAATGATTTTCAGATCTGTAGCACCCATCACTCAAGAATTCTAAAAAAAGAGATACAAAAGGATAATTACTATGACACGTGTTTCAAATTTGAAAGACAATTAGCTGGAAACCTCAAACTTTCCTTTCTTATTCAACACACACAATAAAAACACTGTTTCATATTGGATAAGCATTTTATAACTTATGAAGTACATGAATATTCATCATTTCATTTGATGTTTATAACAATCCTGTGAACTAGCTAGGGATAATTTTGTGGAAAGAAAGGAAAGAATTGATAAGGAAGAGATAAATGGCTTACAGGCAATACAACAAATTTGTATGGAACACACTAAGGACAGGTCGCTAGTGCTCTGAGATTGTCTTTCTTTAATAATTTTTTATTGTTTTGTGGCTCTTCAATATTAGTGTGATTTCTTTGCATATTTATGTAAATAAATTTTCGCAATGTTAATTAAAATCCTGACAACTTTCTTAACATAAGAACACTCTATGTAACACAAGTGGAATAAATATTATTCGTAAATCTGGCTCCCCAGCTGATTCTCCATTGTGAGGATGAAAAAATTGAAAGGAAACTCACACACTATTGTTCCACTGAATTCTCTTATTCCTAACATGACTAAGGTTACACTTATTTGCTTATCCAGTTCTTAAAACTCTTTTGAAATGACGACTTTGTGCAGCTGTGCTTAATAATCTGTTTGTATTTTATAATAATAGAATATAAAGTTAAATGTACCAATTTAGAAATTTTTTCAATAGAATCATGACTTTTATATATATATATAAAATTTAAAGTGTGAAATTGAATAGGAAAATCTTACATTACTGAAAACTCAAGATAGTTTTCTAGCTGACATTTAAACTTGCCTGTCCTTGCAAGGTAGGAGCTTCTGTAAAACAACATTCCCAATTCACTGTCTATCTCAAACATAGTATCCAGTGTCTGATCACTAGAAAGAATGTTATTTACTATTGCTTTTAGAATTGCTTTAATTCTTAAGAAAGTATTTTAATCTTTAGTAATAATCTATTATTTTATATGTCATGATCTAAGATGTTTATTTGCCTTGCATATGTTTTCCTTTATCAGGTATATGAAGTAATTTAAATTCTCCTTTCTTCAATACTTATTGTAGAAATGATAATAAAATTGAATCTTTTTTTCAGGATGCCTAAAATAAATATGTTTTGTTAACTCTTTTAATGAGCTTTTATTTATTATCCAGTAATGGTGAGAGTGATAAAAATATATAGTAAATGCTAGTGCAGTTCATAGATATAAAAATTATGTTTAAGGAAGAGCCTTCTTATAGATTGATTTGGGAAGAAGCTGAATTTTGGCAAAATCTATAAATGTTGCTAGAATTTTCTTAAGTCAAAATTGATGAGCAACAACGTCAGGCAAAAACATGAAAATGAGAAAGAGTGGATGAGTCAGGGATAAGAAGTAGTTTCTTTTTCTCTTCTAAATAATATTTAAACTTCTTAAAATAAGCCTAACTATCCAACTCTAGTTTTCTAACCACACTTTCGCAAAGTTCCCTCGTTTTTTTTTTTTTTTTTGAAATGGAGTTTCGCTCTTGATGGAGTGCAATGGCACCATCTTGGCTCACTGCAACCTTCACTTCCCGGGTTCAAGTGATTCTCCTGCCTCAGCCTCCTTACAGGCCGTGAGCCACCGCGGCCGACCCACAAAGTTCCTTTGTATTATCTTTATAAACTATTCATTATGGAAAACATCAGTCTTAATTCTCTAAGGGAAGAAAATATGAATTGTTCCCATTATGAGGGACGGCTGCAAAGCCCCCCAAATCTGTGTTCCTCTGCAAAGCTGGGAATTGTTCCCATTGTGAGTAATGTCCATTCTTCTTAATTGTCTCCTAGACGCCTTAGGGCCATGAGTTTTTGAACATCCTGGTCAGTTGGTTATAAATGTCGGATTAACTTTCAGATATCATCCCTAGAAGCTAAAACCATGTGTTATATTTTAGAGGTCATTTTTCTATATAGTACCATGTTAGTCTGTTAAAGTTCTGCAATTATCTCTTTTGACAAGAGATCCTGAAACTGTTGAATACTATGTATTATACTTCTTTTGACAGAAACTAAGTTTTTAAATCACAAACACATTTCCACTATTAAAAATATAAAAAGAACCAGATGTATTGTCTGGATTTTATTGGATAAATGTGAACAACAGTTTTACAGTGTTCTGGTTCATGGGGTAGAAGTACATTCCTGAGCGTTATTATCCACTAGCCACAATAGGGATCTTCAGGACACAGAGGAATCAGTCGGTGGGGTGCCCTTGAGAGGTGGAAGGCATCCTTGCTGAAGCTTCGACCAGGAGAATTAGTGTTTAGAGAAGAGTTTGAAGTTGTATATATTTCCTTTTTGGGTTTAGGTAACATTAGGTGACTGGGGTAGGAGAATTGGAGAAAGGCAGATTGATAGGTCCTCATTGTCTCTGAGCTGCTGCCATCGAAAGAATGTTGAGAGAAAGATCGGAAAGAGCCTAGCCCAAGGATGCATTTTCCTCTTTATTTTCTGTGTGGCCTATCACAGGCAGGCCCCCAAAATGGCATATCTCATTTCATCACCCATGAAATGTGGTTAGTAGTAACTCACTTAACATGGTTGTGATGTACATTAAGCAGAAAGTATACTTGTAATCATTGGTAAACTATACTGCACTGGCCTTCCATGCATGCAATCCACCTCATTTGAATTCATCTGTGTTACTCTGTTTTATGTGATTTATGATTAAATTTAAAATGTACATCTGGGTAAGGCAGGTGGTGAGGAGGAATTGAAGGGAGGCTTTGATTCTGTTTTCCAGACCTCAACCTGAAGGATGAGGAAAGCTTTGGTTACTGTGGTCCACTTTTCTTTCTTTTTGGTTGAAGTCCAGATTTGCAAAACAGTGTCTCCAATGAGTTTTTGTGGAATTCATTTAGGGTCAGGGTGACCTTGTTCTGAGATAGGTTCTGACATATTCCATTTGACACCGTTTCCTTTGCTAAGCAATCTTTCACCTGCCAAGAAAAGCTCTGCTTCCACACCAAAGCAGGACCTCGAGTTTCAAACTGAGGGGATGACAGTCAGCAGCTTCCACCAAGACAAACCTGTGTCTGCTTTGCAGGAGCTTGTCAAGAATCCTGGTGACTAAGGACTGGTTTGAAAATAACCGGTATTGTCCACGGGCTGATCATAGGAGTTGGTCTTTGGTGAGTTTCAATGACTTTGAAGTTCCTGATGGGCGTGGCTTTGCCTTCATTGGAGCAAAACCAGTCAAAACATATGAGCAAGGGGCATGTGAAAAATAGAAAGCAAAGGAAAACAGGTTAATGTGTAAAACATCCTTGGGGGAAAAAGCACTTTTTATCTTTCATAGCATGTAAAAACATTTTCCACTTGGCACATTGAGTTTCTTTAAAAATAGCACAGAATGTGATATAAAATGAGAAAAGAAACAGGAAAGTGCTCCAACAGGTTTTCAGAGAGTTATAAATTGAATTTCACCTGTATGCTGAATCTGAAAAAAGTTGTCCTAGAGTTTTATTTTTAAAGTAGAGCTTTTTGCTAATGAAAAGTCATTATAATTGTTTGTCTTAACTTTTTTTTTTTTAACAAACTTCAAATAAAGTTTTGGCAGGAAGAAGCAGTTGTTCCACGTTATTATTCTGTTTCTCAGAATGCATTGTTTTTCTGTTAGAAAAATGTCAACAAAAACACTTTTATTAGTTGAGATCAGCAAAGCTGAGTCCAAAAAGAGAGTTAGCGAAGGGAGACAGGGGTGGGGCCACTTTATAGGATTTGGGTAGGTAAAGGAAAATTACAGTCAAAGGGGGATTGTTCTCTGGTGGGCAGGAGTGGGGGTTGCAAGGTGCTTAGTAGGGGAGCTTTTTGAGCCAGGATGAGCCAGGAAAAGGATTTTTACAAGGTAATGTCATCACTTAAGGCAAGGACTGGCCATTTTCACTTCTTTTGTGGTGGAATGTCATCAGTTAAGGCGGGGCAGGGCATTTTCACTTCTTTTGTGATTCTTCAGTTACTTCAGGCCATCTGGGCATATATACCTGCAAGTCACAGGGGCTGCGATGGCTTAGCTTGGGCTCAGAGGCCTGACATTCCTGCCTTCTTATATTAATAAGAAAAATAAAACAAAATAGTGTTGAAGTGTTGGGGTGGTGAAAATTTTTGGGGGTGGTATGGAGAGAGAGAATGGGTGATGTCTCTCAGGGTTGCTTCAAGCGGGATTAGGGGCGGCGTGGGAACCTAGAGTGCGAGAGATGAAGCTGAAGGAAGATTTTGTGGTAAGGGGTGACATTGTGGGATTGTTAGAAGAAACATTTGTCATTTAGAATTATTGGTGATGGTCTGGATGTGGTTTTGTATGAATTGAAAAACTAAACGGAATAAGAGAAGGAGAAAAACAGGTATTAAAGGTCTAAGAATTGGGAGGACCTAGGACATCTAATTAGAGAGTGCCTAAGGGGATTCAGCATAGTCCTGCCAGCAAAGATTATTTATTTACTTTAAGAGTTAAGAGTGGCGGTTTGGGGATAGCACCAGGAGATATCAGCTGTGATGGCTTGGAGAAACAGTGTAAATCAGCAGTGTAAACAAGAGCAGGGCATGTATGAGTAGTTGAGAATGGTGAATAGGAGTATGAGTAGACAGAAGATAGTAGGGATGACAAGTTTTTTGGGGCACAGTCCAAGTTGGTCCGGTGTCTGGAATGAGACCGGGGCCTAATATAAAGGAGCGTCTCTACGGGAGCTCAAATGGTCTGTACCTTGTAGCATTCTGAGGACAGGCCTGAATTCTGAGAAGGGCAAGTGGTAAAAGTATTGTCTAGTCCTTTTTAAGTTGGTGGCTGAGCTTGGTGAGGTGTTTTTAAAAGACTATTAGTCTGTTCTACTTTTCCTGAAGACTGAGGACTGTAAGGGATATAAAGGTTTCACTGAATACTAAGAGCCTGAAAAAATGCTTGGCTGATTTGACTAATAAAGGCTGGTCTGCTATCGGACTGTATAGAGGTGGGAAGGCCAAACCGAGGAATTATGTCTGACAGAAGGGAAGAAATGACCGCAGTGGCCTTCTCAGACCCTGTAGGAAAGGCCTCTACCTATCCAGTGAAAGTGTCTACCTAGGCTAAGAGATATTTTAGTTTTCTGACTTGGGGCATGTGAGTAAAGTCAATTTGCCAGTCTTGGGCAGGGGCAAATCCTCAAGCTTGATGTGTAGGAAAGAGAGGGGGCCTGAACAATCCCTGAGGGGTAGTAGAATAGCAAATGGAACACTGAGAAGTGATTTCCTTGAGGATAGATTTCCAGGATGGAAAGGAAATGAGAGGTTCTACAAGAAGGGTTAGCGGCTTGTAACCTACATGGAAGAGGTTATGAAATGACGACAGAATAGAATGGGCCTGTGGGGCTGGAAGGAGATATTTTCCTTGGTCTAAGAACCATTTGCCTTGTGTGGGAAGAGATTGATAGGTGGAAGTTTCAGCGGGAGAGTAGGTGGGAGTGACTGATGTGAAGGAGAAAAACTGGCCATGAGGGACAGAAGGTGGAAAGCTAGCTGCTTGTCTAGCCACCTTATCAGCATAAGCATTGCCTAGAGCAATGGGATCTAACCCCTTTTGATGGCCTTTGCAGTGAATGACTTCAGCTTCCTTTGGAAGTAAAGCGGCCTTGAGCAGAGTTTTTATTAAAGAGGCATTAATGATGGAGGACCCTTGCTAGTGAGGAAACCTCTTTCAGCCTATATAATAGCATGGTGGTGCAGGATATGAAAGGCATATTTAGAGTCAGTATAAATATTGACGCATTGTCCTTTTGCAACAGTGAGTAAGGGCCTGAGTTAAGGCAACTAGTTTGGCTTGCTAAGAGGTAGTGGAGGGGGGCAGAGTGGTAGCCTCAATAACAGATGTGGAAGATACTATTGCATAGCCTGCCTTTGCTGGTGAGTGGCGATTAGGCCTGGTGGAACTGCCATCAATAAACCAAGTGTGATCAGGGTGAGAAACAGGGAAGAAGGAAATGTGGGGAAATGGGGTGAACATCAGGTGGATCAGAGACATACAGTCATGAGGGTCAGGTGTGGTATCCGGAATAATGTGGGAGGCCAGATTGAAGTCTGAGCCAGGAACAATGGTAATTGTGGGAGACTCAACAAAGAGTGAGTACGGCTGAAGGAGCCGGGGAGCAGAAAGTATATGCATCAGGTGTGAGGAAGAGAATAGATTTTGGAAGTTATGAGAACTGTAGAGAGTGAGTTGAGCATAGTTTGTGATTTTTAGGGCCTCTAAAAGTATTAAAGCAGTGGCAGCCACTGCACGCAGACATGAGGGCTAGGCTAAAAGAGTAAGGTCAAGTTGTTTGGGCAGAAAGGCTACAGGGTGTGGTCCCGGCTCTTGTGTAAGAATTCTGACCACACTAACCATGCCTAGGAAGGAAAGGAGTTGTTGTGTTTTAGAAGGGATTGGGGTTTGGGAGATTAGCCGGACATGGTCAGCAGGGAGAGCACATGTGTTTTTATGATGTCAAGAGAGGTAACAGATGAGGAAGAAATTTGGGCTTGACTGAAATAATAGGGGCCATCTGTGAAGACTTGCATCAGTACAGCCCAGGTCATTTGCTGAGCCTGATGGGTGTCAGGGTCGGTCCAAGAGAAAGTGAAGAGAGGCTGGGATGAAGGGTGCAAAGGAATAGTAAAGAAAGCATGTTTGAGATCTAGAACAGAATAATGGATTGTGGAGGGATGTATTGAGAATAGGAGAGTATATGGGTTTGGCACCACGGGGTGGATAGGCAAAACAATTTTGTTGATAAGGCGCAGATCTTGAACTAACCTGTAAGCCACGTCTGGTTTTAGGACAGGTGAAATGGGGGAATTGTAAGGGGAGTTTATAGGTTTTAGAAGCCCATGCTGTAGCAGGCGAGTGATAACAGGCTTTAATCCTTTTAAAGCTTGCTGTGGGATGGGATATTGGCATTGAGTGGGGTAAGGGTGATTAGGTTTTAATGGGATGGTAAGGGGCATGTGATCAGTTGCCAGGGAAGGAGTAGACATGTCCCATACTTGTGGGTTAAGGTGGGGGGAAATGAGAGGAAGACGGAAAGGAGGCTTTGGTTTGGGAAGAAGGGTGGCAATGAGATGCAGCTGTAGTCCAGGAATAGTCAGGGAAGCAGATAACTTAGTTAAAATGTCTTGGCCTAATAAGGGAACTGGGCAGGTGGGGATAACTAAAAAAGAGTGCATAAACGAATGTTTTCTAAGTTGGCACCAGAGTTGGGGAGTTTTAAGAGGTTTAGAAGCCTGGCTGTCAATACCCACAACAGTTATGGAGGCAAGGGAAACAGGCCCTTGAAAAGAAGGTAATGTGGAGTGGGTAGCCTCCGTATTGACTAAGAAGGGGATGGACTTACCCTCCACTGTGAGAGTTATCTAGGGCATCTGTGATGGTCCTGTAGGCTTCTGAGGCAATCAGGCAGTGTCAGTCTTCAGCTGCTAAGCTGAGAAGATCAGGGAAGGAGTCAGTCAGGGAGCCTTGGGCCAGAGTTCCAGGGGCTCTGGAAGTGGCTGCCAGGTGAGTTGAACAGTCCTATTTTCAGTGGCATCCCACACAGATGGGACATGGCTTAGGAGGAATCCCAGGCTGTGGGCATTCCTTGGCCCAGTGGCCAGATTTCCAGCCCTTGTAGCAAGCTCCTGGGGGAGGAGGTTCTGGAGGAACCCCTGGCAGCTGCGGTTCAGGTGTTTGGAGTTCTTGTGTGCTGGAGTTGTGGCTGGGGTTTGTCTCACAGTGGAGGCAAGGAATTGCAACTCAGAAATACATTGCTACTTGGCTGCCTCTACTCTATTATTGTACACCTTGAACGTGAGGTTAATTAAGTCCTGTTGTGGGGTCTGAGGGCCAGAATTTAATTTTTGGAGCTTTATTTCATGTCAGGAGCAGACTGGGTAATAAAATAAAATGCATATTGAGAATAAGACAGCCTTCTGACCTTTCAGGGTCTGGGGCTGTAAAGCGTCTCAGGGTTGCGGCCAAACGAATTATGAACTGGGCTGGGTTTTTATATTTGATGAAAAAGATCCTAAACGCGAACTGATTTTGGGAGAGGTCAGATAAAGAAAAAGGAGCATTAACCTTGACTATGCCTTTAGCTCCAGCCACCTTTTTAAGAGGAAATTGCTGGGCTGGTGGGGGAAGGCTAGTCGCTGAATGAAACTGTAAGCTGGACCAGGTGTGAGGAGGCGAGGTGATAAAAGGATTGTAGGGTTGGGGAGCAGAGGCTAAGGAAGAATTGGGACCTGGCTCGGCCTGGCGATGAGGGGAGAGGTCAGATGGGTCTGTAGAAAAGGAAGATTAGAAAGACTCAGCAACGCTTGGGGTTGGGACTGAGGGGACAGGTGGGAGGGAAAGAAGGAGGATCTGGGATGAGTCACATTGGGAACAGAGACTAGGGAGGCAACAAAGTATAAAAGAATGCCTGGACATCAGGCACCTCAGACCGTTTGCCCATTTTATGACAATTGTTATTTAGATCTTGTAGGATGGATAAATGGAAAGTGCCATTTTCTGGCTATTTGGAACCACTGTTGAGTTTATATTGGGGTCAAGCAGCATTGCAGAAGAAGATAAGGCATTTAGGTTTTAGGTCAGGTGTGAGTTGAAGAGGTTTTAAGTTCTTGAGAACACAGGCTAAGGGAGAAGAAGGAGGAATGGAGGGTGGAAGGTTGCCCATAGTGAAGGAGGCAAGCCCAGAGAAAAGAGAGACTAGAGACATGGAGGGAAGGGGTTTGGGAGTTCTTACCCTCCAGAAAAGCGGGAAAGGGGTTGGGGCATGGAAATAAGGGGTTGGGGTACAGAGATAAGAGGTCAGGGTGCAGAAATAAGGGGTAGGGGTGCAGAGATAAGAGGTTGGACCATGGAAATAAGGGATCGGGGCACAGAGATAAGAGGTCGGGGCATGGAAATAAGGGATCAGGGTGCAGAGATAAGATCCTGGGGCACAGAAATAAGGGATCAGGGGGTTCTTGCCCCTAGAAAAGCAGAGAAAGGGTAGAGACACAGAGAGAAGGGGTTGGGGGGTTCTTGCCCCCAGAAAAGCGGTACTTGCCGCTAAGGGTAAAGGACCAAGGCAGGCATCCCTGCGTGGTCGGACACCTCTGAAATGGGGGTGAATAATCAGAGAGGCATCCCTGCAATGATTAAACACCAAGGGAAGGCTGCCTTCTTGAGTCTGTGACTGGTGCCAGAGTTTTGGGTCCACAGATAAAATGTGTCTCCTTTGTCTCTACCAGAAAATGAAAGGAATTGAAATTAAGAGAAGGGAGAGATTGAAGGGTGGCACCAAGATTGAAAGGAGAAAGTGGTTGAAGGATAGTGAGAGAGGTTGGAGAAGAGAGTAAGAAGAGGCCGCTTACCCGATTTAAAATTGGTGAGATGTTCCTTGGGCTGGTGGGTCTGAGGACCCGTGGTCATAGGTGGATCTTTTTCATGGAGCAAAGAGCAGGAGGACAGGGGATTGATCTCCCAAGGGAGGTCCCCCGATCTGAGTCACGGCACCAAATTTCATGTGCGTCCATGTGAAGAGACCACCAAACAGGCTTTGTGTGAGCAATAAAGCTTTTAATCACCTGGGTGCAGGCAGGCTGAGTCCAAAAAGAGAGTCAGCGAAGGGAGATAGGGGTGGGGCCATTTTATAGGATTTGGGTAGGTAAAGGAAAATTACAGTCAACAGGGGGTTGTTCTCTGATGGGCAGGAGTGGGGGTTGGAAGGTGCTCAGTAGGGGAGCTTTTTGAGCCAGGATGAGCCAGGAAAAGGACTTTTACAAGGTAATGTCATCACTTAAGGCAAGGACCAGCCATTTTCACTTCTTTTGTGGTGGCATATCATCAGTTAAGGTGGGGCAGGGCATTTTCACTTCTTTTGTGATTCTTCAGTTACTTCAGGCCATCTGGGCATATATACCTGCAAGTCACCTGGGATGCGATGGCTTAGCTTGGGCTCAGAGGCCTGACACCTCTCTTGCCACCTTTGTAACAATTTGTTTTCTTTGCTCTTTTTTAGTTATTATGACAGCAAATTTTAATAGAGTTAAAAAAGCTTCTTGTTAGATGAAACATGAGACATAAACAAAAGTGGAGAGAGAGAACAGTAGCATGAATTCGAACCATCTACCTGCAAAGGTCCACTCATGGCTAATCCATTTGCATTTGTAGTTGTCCCCTCTACGTCCCTCTATTGAATTGTTTTGAAACTATCACCAGGTATAATATTATTCACTGTGTAATTATTTTAGTATAAAAGATAAAAGCAATTTAAAAATGTAACCACAGGCGTGGTGTGGTGGGTCACACCTGTAATCCCAGGAATTTGAGAAGCCGAGGCGGGAGGATTGCTTGAGCCCAGGAATCTGAGACCAGCCCGGGCAACATGGCAAAACCAGCTGCTCGGAAGGCTGAGACAGGAGGATTATCTTGGCCCACGAAGTTGAGGCTGCAGTGAGTCATGATCACACCACTGTACGCCAGCCTGGGTGACAGAGTGAGACCCTGTCTCAAAATAAATAGATAAATAAATACATAAACAAACAAATAAATAAATAAGTGTAACCACAGCAGAATTGTCACACCTAAAATATTGTGTCTTTAATATAATCAAACATCCATTCAGTGTGCAAATTTCCCCAAATGTCTTGTAATTTTTAAATTGGTTTGTTTAAATCATTATTCAGACAGTATTCACACATTTTGTGGAGAAGCATATTGCCATGTCCTTTATGTCTTTTAACCTTTAGGTTTGCTTGCTGTCTTTCTCTCTCTCTTCTCTCTCTGTTTTTCTCTTATAGTTTATTTTCTGAAGACTAGGTCACTTTGTCCTCTGGAGTTTGCCGCACCCTGAATAATGTTAACTGTGTGCCTGTTGGGTCACATAAGTTCTTCTGTCTCGTATAATTTATGAGCCTTTGTGGTTATATCTAGTGGCTTGATTGTATCCAGGTTTGATTTTCTTCAGAGGTGGTGTTGGATACTTATTGGAAGGCACGTGATTCTTATAGTCTCTTTGGTTTTGAGCAGCCATTGATGATTATTTCTTAGACTCATTAGAGATGGGGAGTCTTCTAATTCTTTCAATTCTCTTTATTTCTGGATATTGAAAGTACAGCTATCAAAATTTTCCATTGTTTCTGCGTAGTCTCAGAAAAAAAAAAAAGGAATCAACGATAGCTTTGAGAATTGGGCCAGAGCAACTGGAAGGATGGGGTTACCATTGGCTGAGATGGGAAATATCTTATCAGCGTACGAACATGCTACTATTTCTCTTGAGTGTACTCTCTCATCCTACTACTATTCCATTTTTTTTCTTTTTATAGCAAAACTGCTGGGAACAGTTGTCTACATTTTCTGTACCCAATTTCTCCCTAGTGGTCTCTCTTGACTCCTCACCAATCAGCCTTTCACTAGCCTATCCAGAGTCAGGAATCCATCAGTTCACTTTGCTAAATCCTTGTAAAGTGCGTGCTCCTCATTTGTTTTGACATAACTGTAGCATTTGACATGTTGATTACTCTCTTCTCCTGAAACACTTTACTGACTTGAATTTCAATGGCCACATTCACCTATTCTCCTCCTACCTGAATGGCTGCTCTCTGTCTTTGTTGCTGGCTCCTCCTTATCTTCCCCAAATTAGGTTCAGCTCAACCCTCTCTCCCAGACTCCAGACTTCTATCTATCTCCACTAGGATAATTAATAGACCTCTAAAAGTTAACAAATTCAAATCAGAGATCCAGATAATTCCCTGCTAAGCCTATTTTGCAATGCTTTCTACTTCATTGAATCATCTGTTCTTCATGTCGGAAATCTTGTAGTCATTCTTTAACTCTCATTTTTTCTCGCCCCCCACAATCCAGATTTTTATTAAATATTGTCAGCGCACCCTCAAAAATACATCTAGAACCCTTTCGCTTCTTGCCACTCCCACAATACCATGCTCCTCATGCCACCATCAGCACTTTGCTGGATTATTGCAATAGTACTTCATGGTCTCCCTAATTTTGCATTCACCCCTTTTACAGTTTAGTCACAACAAAGCAGCTGGAGTTATTCTGTTAAATACAGATAGAATCTCTCCATTGTTTAAAATTTGTCTCTCATCTCACGTAGAATAAAAGCCAAAATGCGCTTACTATGGGTTGGCCCTCAGTTTCATCTCTGACCTCATCTCTTGCCACCCTCTGTTCGTCTTGCTCCACCCTTTCCACTGTGGTATTCTTGCTTTTTCTTTAGTACACCAGTCACACTTACGCCTCTGGGCCTTTGCACTTACTTCGCTCCTCCCATAAGCCTGCAATTATGTTTCCTTAGATAAGTCAATTTCTTCCTTCTGATCATTGCTAAAATGTCACCTTTTAGAAAGGTCTTTCCTGATCTTACTATCTAAAATGTCAAACCTTCTTCCCAATTCTTCTTATTCCCTTTTCCTACTTTATATTTGTAAACTTTTGCTCTTGAAAGACAGGTCCCAAATGACCGTGGCCAAGCCAGCTTATCTCCCTCTTATTGGCAATTACTAGGCAGAATGTACTGAGAATGCAATATCCTGAGATAAAGAGAAAATGTCTGGAACAACTTGAGCTATGTCTTCCTCTTCCCAGAACAGGATATTCTGCAATGCTTGGGTCAGTGAGCCAAGAAATGCCCAGGGTACAAAACCCAGAGCATAGTGCTTTCAAGGTTGCTCAGCTGTGGTGTGATAAAGGGCATTTACAGAGGAGACTCCATTTGTCCTGGGCAGGTTTTCCTGACCCTTGAGGGACTGGCTTACCATGCATCCTGGCTTCTGTTTGTCTTTGCTACCTATCTGGGAATATTAAAGTTGGTTTGCTTGACTTGTGGTGTGAGTGTTCTGTTTCACCAGACCAGATTCAGGAACCTTTGAACTTATCACTCTCTAGTATAGCACGTATTTTATGTATTTACATTGCTTATTTTTGGAGTGCAAACTCTACAAGGAAGGGGTATTTTTCAATTTTTTTTTTTTTTTTTTTTTTACTTCTTTCTCCCCAGCACTTAGGCCAGTACTCTCAGTATTCTCAGGTAGTAAATAATCAATACATATTTGTTAAAAAATGAATGAAGATGAGTAGTCACTTATGTCAAGTAGAACAGAGAAAAATGAGTGCTTAGATTTTATGAGATAGTAGTCAGAGGTGACTTTGGCAAGATCACGTATAGTGGCATGGCAGGGAAAATGCCAGTTGGAATGGGTTGAGGAGATAGATTATATGTGAAGGGGAGGAGAGAAATTGTGTTGTAACTAGAGGGAGCATTTGTCAGAAAGGACCGACTATGGCATGCTGGTATGCCTTGAGAATATTCCCATAGAAAGGGAGAAGATGATGCAGGAAGGGGAAGTTTGAAGTCTGTGTAGTCAAGAACAGTCACAAGTATTGAGGTTGGTCCTAGATTTCATAAGGGAGGTTTCATCAGTTATAAAAGATAGAGTAGGTTATTTGGTACAGATGGTGGGAAAGTTAATAGAATTTTGTGGTGACAAAATGAAACCTGAAGTCCACATTTGATCGTCTCTTTTTCTCAGTTTTGAGGAAAACTTATCACAGCTGAGATGAGAGTACTGTGCTGAGTGTTTAACCACACTTGTGAGAAGAGTTGGATTATAGATAAAGGGAAGACATGCATACAAAAACAGACTACCATTATTCTATTGTGAGTGCCCCCTTTTATTGAATAAGTACACAGATGTTTACTGAGTGTCTATGATTTGCAAGGCATCTCACTGGAAGGGTAGAGTAACAAGAGATTAAAGTTCTAAGATCATATTTATTTTATTTTCCAGATCATCAGAAGAAAAGTGGGTTAAATTGGCCAAACTTGCCCGCTCCCATCCACTGTCTGTCTTCCAATCCCTGAATCCCAAGATAAATAACAATCAACTTTCACTGTACTTTACTTTTGTGTGTGCAAATCTGGCATTGTAATAAGGCTTGAATCTCTTGAGAAAATGGCAGGTAAATATGAGCAGAGAAGAGCACTTCACCATCCTGTGTTTTCAAAATTTGCTCTAATTATTTTATTGGCTTTCTCATATTTATATAGAAAAATAAGAGCAATGTCAAGCCAAGGCCTCCAAAGCAACAGGGTATAATATACATATATAAACAATTCCCTTTTTGTGTAATTTTCTATCCTTCCACAGGTTTTAATTCAAATAATTCATAGACTTGGCACCCACCTAGACACTGGAAACTAGCTTAACAAGAAACATTCAACTAGTTAAAAATAATGAACTTTTGTATTTTAAAATAGGAAAAGAGAAATTTACATGATTCTAACAGAAATTTCTCTTATTTTTAGTGATGTGCCTTTCCTGACCCATTAGCTCACAAGTCAAATCAATATGCTCCTCAATTTTATTATTTTTATTATGACATAGCAAAAAAATAAAAGCCCAAATGAGAAAAAGAATGCCCTGAAGAACTCAACTAACACAAGTTCAGAGGACTGGGAAACTAGATAAATAATTAAGAGACTGGCTTTGAACTATGCTGGTTGTTGAGAAGTTTCTGGGTCACTTAATAGGAATTAACAAGCTTTTAGGGTCAAATAATAGATTTAAGAGCTAAAATGTGTGGAATTTCAGCTTGCTCCTTGGCCTTGGTTTCTTTCTGTGAATAATGTGTAAATCCACGAATTGAAGAATGACTAGGGATACACTTTGCAACTGACAAAAAATGGTGAGAAAAAATAAACGAGATTAGATTTTATAAGGAAGGAAAACAATTAGGAGTTAAAAATTAGAATAGGAGCCAAAATATATGAAGGAACTTTCACAACAATTAGGAAAGAATGTATGCTAAAAACTGACAAAGAATAAGAACAGGCAATTTATGAAACTGAATTATCAATGGCTAATTCTGAAAAAAAAAAAAAAAAAAAAAAAAAAAAACCCATAATCTATAATCTAGCTGTTATGAACTGATGCTCCAGTATAAGGTAGCTAGAATTCCTTTCTTTCTCTCCAGTTAATTATTTGGGACCTCCAACCTGCTATTATTGGTGCCAATAAATGTTTTTTTCTTGAGATTTCTTCATCCCAAATTGTCCAAGAACCCTTCAGGTTTACTCAATCCAGGAGCATAAATCCTGCTTTCAAAAACCAGATGGGTTTGATTTGCATTTCCCTGATGATTAGTAATGTTGAGCAGGAGCATATTTTCATATATCTGTTGGCCACTTGTACTGTTTTTTTTTTTTTTTTTGAGACAAGGTATCACTCTGTCACCTAGGCTGGAGTGTGGTAGCATGATCACGGTTCACTGCAGCCTCAGAGCCTCCTTGGCTCAAGTGATCTTATCACCTTAGCCTCATGAGTAGCTCAGACTACAGGCACACACCACCATGCCTCACTAATTTTTGTATATTCTGTAGAGATGGCTTCTTCATGATGCCCAGGCTTGCACTTCTTTGGAGACATTAATAAAAACCACAATGAGATATCCCCTCACATATGTTAGAATAGCTATAATAAAAACAAAATAAAAGATAAGTGTTGACAAGGATGTGGAGTAATTGGAACACTTTTACACTGTTGTTGGAAATGTAAAATGGTGCAGCCTCTATGAAAAATAGTACAGACTTCTTTTTTAAATATTAAAAAAGTAGAACTACCATATGATCTAGCAATTTCACTTCTGGGTATTTAAAAGAATTGGAATAGAGATGATGAGGAAATATTTACACTCCGAAGTTCACTACAGCACTGCTCACAATAACCAAGATGTGGAAATAAGTTAAATGTTTATCACTGATGAATGGATGAAGAAAATGTGGCATGAACATACAATGAAATATTATTCCACCTTAAAAAAGAAGGAAGTCCTGCAATACGTGACAACAGGGATGAACTTTGACATCATGCTAAGTGGAATAAACCAGCTGCAGAAGGACAAATATTGCATGATTCTACTTACATGAGGCATATAAAATAGTTAAATTCATCAAAGCAGAGAGTAAAATGATGGTTTCCAGGGGACGAGAGGAGGAAGGAATAGGGAGCTGCTAATCAATGGGTGTAAGGTGTCAGTTATGCAAGATAAATAGATTCTAGAGATCTGTTGTATAACACTGTTCCTGTAATTAGCAATATTGTGCCCTTAAAACTGTGTTAGGAAGATAGATCTTGAGTTAAATGTTCTTATCACAATAAAAAATTAAAGGGTAGGTGGGAAGGAATTGGTAATCTGCTCCATTCACTGGTACTATCCTTGCTCAGGTCGCTGTCTGAAGTTGCTGTTAAAGACTGGCCATGTTCCTTCTGATGTATGCACATGAGTTTCTTGCTGTTCTACATCCCTCATAAATTTTATTATGCCTTTTATTTGGGCTGCAAAAGAATGTGTACTTCTGTTCTAATTCAGAGGCTCAGATGGAGATGGAGTTTCCCCCTTGTTGCCCAGGCTGGAGTGCAATGGCACAATCTCGGCTCACTGCAACCTCTGTCTCCCAGGTTCAAGTGATTCTCCTGCCTCAGCCTCCCAAGTATCTGGGATCACAGGCGCCTGCCACCAAGCCTGGCTAATTTGTATTTTTAGTAGAGACGGAGTTTTGCCATGTTAGACAGGCTGGTCTCAAACTCCTGACCTCAGGTGATCCACCCACCCCGGCCTCCCAAAGTGCTGGGATTACAGGTGTGAGCTGCCATGCCTGGCCTACTTTTTGTGTTCTTAAAAGAACATGCAGTTTTTTCAATAATTGGGAGATCCTTGATATAAATAATTCTGAAAATGCAACTTTTTATTCATAAACTCAAAGGGATAGTAAATAATAGCATAGGATGCATCCAGAGTTTGCACAGGTTAATTCTGACACACAGATTTTGATCTTTTAAAATTGTTGTTAATGGATTGGTGATTTTTATTCTTAAGTAATATTAATTTGGATAACACTAATCAAAACATCCAAAAGCATGCTACTGGAATACCTTTAAATCAGAGCTTAGACTGCCAGCGTCCTGTGATATGGGGAGGATGTATAGTCATTCTCTGGGGATTTTAATAATCTAGACTATTTTCCCAACAATTAGAATTAAAAAAGGAACATAGAGCCACCTTCTGGTTTATTGTTATTCACTTGAATTTATAACATCAAGCTGAGTAGAAAAGCCTCCTTTGATGCATCACAGTTGGAAAGCAGGAGCTTTTCTTGCATATACTATGTCAGAAGCCCTGAATGGATTTCCATCCCAGAAATGTGGATGCCTGTGACTCTGATGGTTGAGAGTTCTCTAAGGCTGTTTTAAAAGAGGCCATCGACTTTCTTAAAAGGCGTGTATATTCAAAAGAACAATACATTTTGTTTTTCATCTCCTCCAGCAATAGGGTATTTTTAAAGTTAATTCACACATTCATTCCATTTAGCCTACTTGATTTGATTTTTTTTCAGACTTGACTGCTACATCTAATACCTGGGGCACAGGCTAATTAAGTGAAACGTTTGGATGGAATTGTAGGGACTGTGCAAATTATTTTCCCCCCTTAAATGTCAAATGAATGTAGTTTTAGATTGGTAAACTAAGTAAATAGCAAATATATAATAAAGTTAATATAAGTATGATGCTATTCTGAATAGACAGGAGGAGAAGGCAGAAAGCAGAAACAAACTCCAATATCACAGATTACACTATTGTGGGACCTGTTAGCGGAGGGGCAAATGGCTTACAAAGCGCAATGATTCCTGGGGCATTAATAGGTTTTATTTCATTCCAGTGGCCTTAATTTTCAAGGTAAGTTAAGAGTCTAGGAAGAGAGGAGTATAAATTGCATGATTTTAATGGGTCTATCAGTGGTGATCTTATTAAAAAATATTTGCTGAAAAAAGAAACTTCATTTATTTAGAAATTTTTTTAAAAAACTTTTAAGTTCAGGGGTACAAGTGCAGATTTGTTACAAGTACAGGTTTGTTCTACAGATTATTTCATCACCCCAGTATTAAGCCTAGTACCTATTGGTCATTTTAACTGATGCTCTCCCTCCTCCCACCTTCCATTCTCCGAAAGTCTCCAGTGTGTTTATTTAGAAAATGCTTTTAAAAAATATTTATTTATTTATCTTCATTTTATGGTATGGAGCAGAGAGTCCATAATGAGAACACTTTATGGGAAGTTCCAACACCTAGCCCTAATGCCAAGACTGAGAATCTGATAGCATAGCTATTAAAAATTAAGTCCTCTGAAAGACTTCCATTTCTGCTAACAGAAATGCCCAAGGCAGCCGGACACTGTGTCTCCCTTTCTGTTTTAATGTAGTTGCATCAATTCTGCTATTCTGTTATGAAGCAAGCACCTAAAATGACATTTACAAAGCAGGCAAAATAAAAACAGAAGAAAAACTAGAACTATTACATGCAAAAATCTTCACCCATCCTAAGACACTATAGGTAATGTTGAAAGAGCTCTGGGAAAATTTAAAATCTGGCTGCTCAAAGTATGGTTCTTTTTTTCCCCACTTTTAAGTTCAGGGGTACCTGTGTAGGATGTGCAGGTTCATTACATAGATAAAGATGTGCCATGGCAGTTTGCCTCACAGATCATCCCATTACCTAGGTATTAAGCCCAGCATCCATTAGCTATTCTTCCGGATGCTCTCCCTCCTCCAACCTCCGACCCTCCAACAGGGCCCAGTGTGCTTTGTCTCTCTCTCCCATGTGTCCATGTGTTCTCATTATTCAGCTCCAACTTATAAATGAGAACACATATTTGGTTTTGTGTTCCTGCATTAGTTTCCTGAGGATAATGGCTTCCAGCTCCACCCATGTCCCTGCAAAGGACATGATCTTGTTTCTTTTTATGGCTGCATAGTATTCCATGGTGTGTTCTTTATCCAGTCTATCACTGGAGGGTGTTTAGATTGGTTCTAGGTCTTTGCTATTGTGAATAGTGCTGCAATGAACATACACATGCATGTATCTTTATAATAGGATTATTTATATTCCTTTGGGTATATATACAGTAATGGGATTGCTGGGTCAAATGGTATTTCTGCTTCTAGATCTTTGAGGAATTGTCTTCCATAATGTTTGAACTAATTTCCTGTCCTACCAACAGTACATAAGCATTCCTTTTTCTGACAACCTCATGAGCATCTGTAATTTTTTGACTTTTTAATAATAGCCATTCTGATTGGTGAGAAATGATATCTCACTGTGGTTTTTATTTGCATTTCTCTAATGATTAGTGACGTTGAGCTTTTTTTTTCAATGTTTTTTTGTCCATATATATGTCTTCTTTTGGGAAGTGTCCACTTATGTCCATTGCCCACTTTTTAATGAGGTGGTTGTTGTTGTTTTTTTTTTTTTTTTTTTCCTGTAAATTTGCTTAAGTTTGCTGTAGATGCTGGATGTTAGACCTTTGTCAGATGAATAGATTGTAAAAATTTTCTCCTATTCTATAGGTTGTCTGTCCACTTTGATGATAGTTTCTTTTGCTGTGGAGAAGCTCTTTAGTTCAATTAGATCCCATTTGTCAATTTTAGCTTTTGTTGCAATTGCTTTAGGCATTTTTGTCATAAAATCTTTGTCTGTGCCTATGTCCTGAATGGTATTGCCTAGATTGTCTTGTAGAATTTTTATAGTTTTGGGTTTCACGTTTAAGTCTTTAATCCATCTTGAGTTAATTTTTGAATAAGGTATAAGGAAGGGGTTTGGGTTCAAAATTTTTTTTTGCATCTGGCCAGCCAGTTCTCCCAGCACCATTTATTTAATAGAAAATCCTTTTCCCATTGCTTGTTTTTGTCAGGTTTGTTGAAGATCAGATGGTTGTAGGTGTGTGATCTTATTTCTGAGTTCTCTATTCTGTTCCATTGGTCTATGTGTCTGTTTCTGTACCAGTGCCATGCTATTTTGGTCACTGTAGCCTTGTAGTATAGTTTGAAGTCAGGTAGTGTGATGACTCCAGCTTTGTTCTTTTTTCTTAGGATTGTCTTTGCTATTTGGGCTCTTTTTTGGTTCCATATGAATTTTAAAACAGTTTTTTTTTTTCTAATTCTGTGAAGAATGTCAATGGTAGTTTAATGGGAATAGCATTGAACCTATAAATTACTTTGGGAAGTATGGCCATTTCAATGATATTGATTCCTTCTATCCATGAGTGATATGGTTTGGCTGTGTCCCTGCCCAAATCTCAACTTGAATTGTGTCTCCCAGAATTCCCATGTGTTGTAGGAGGCATACAGGAGGAGGTAATTGAATCATGGGGGCTGGTCTTTCCTGTGCTATTCTCATTATGGTGAATAAGCCTCACAAGATCTGATGAGTTTATCAGGGGTATCCGCTTTTGTTTCTCCCACAATTTTCTCTTGCCGCTGCCATGTAAGAAGTGACTTTTGCCTCCCACCATGATTCTGAGGCCTCCCCAGCCATGTGGAACTGTTAGTCCAATTAAACCCCTTTTTGTTCTCAGTTTTGGGCATGTCTTTATAAGCAGTGTGTAACGAACTAATACAGTAAGTTGGTACAAGTAGAGTGGGGAGTTGCTGAAAAGATACCTGAAAATGTGGAAGTGACTTTGGAACTGGGTAACAGGCAGAGGTTGGAACAGTTTGGAGGGCTAAGAAGAAGACAGGAAAATATGGGAAAGTTTGGAACTTCCTAGAGACTTCTTGAATGGCTTTGCCCAAAATGCTGATAGCGATATGGACATTAAGGTTCAGGCCGAGGTGGTGTCAGATGGAGATGAGGAACTTGTTGGGAACTGGAGCAAAGATGACTCTTGTTATGTTTTAGCAAAGAGACTGGCAGCATTTTACCTCTGCCCTAGAGATTTGTGAAACTTTGAACTTCAGAGAGATGATTTAGGGTATCTGGTGGAATAAATTTCTTAAGCAGCAAGTCATTCAAGAGGTGACTTGAGTACTGTTAAAGGCATTCAATTTTATAACAGGTGCAGAGTGTAAAAGTTCAGAAAATTTGTAGCCTGACAATGTGATAGAAAAGAAAAACCAATTTTCTGGGGAGAAATTCAAGCTGGCTGCAGAAATCTACATAAGTAACAAGGAGACTAATGTTAATCCCCAAGACCATGGTGAAAATTTCTCCAGGCCATGTCAGAGACCTTCATGGCAGCTCTTCTCATCAGAGGCCTGGATGCCCAGGAGGAAAAAGTGGTTTTGTGGGCCAGACCCAGGGTCCCCATGCTGTGTGCCGCCTAGGGAGTTGGTGCCCTGTGTTCCAGCCACTCTAGCTGTGGCTGAAAGGAGCCAACATAGAGCTCAGGCTGTGGCTTCAGAGGGTGGAAGTCCCAAGCCTCAGAAGTTTCCATGTGGTATTCAGCCTGCGGGTACACAGAAGTCAAGAATTGAGGTTTGGGACCTCCACCTAGATTTTAGAAAGTGTATGGAAATGCCTGGATGCCCAGGCAAAAGTTGGCTGCAGGGGTGGGGTCCTCATGGAGAGCCTCTGCTAGAGCAGCACAGAAGGGAAGTGTGTGATCAGAGCCCCTACACAGAGTCACTACTGGGGCACTGCCTAGTGGAGCCATGAGAAGAGGGCCACCATCTTCCAGACCCCAGAATGGTAGATCCACTGGTAGCTTGAACCGTGCATCTGGAAAAGCTGCAGACACTCAATGCCAGCTTGTGAAAGGAGCCAGGAGGGAGTCTGTACCCTGTGAAGCCACAGGGGTGGAGCTGCCCCAGACTATGGGAATTCACTTCTTGCATCGGTGTAATCTGGATTTGAGACATAGAATCAAAGGAGATCATTTTGGAGCTTTAAAATTTGACTGCCCTGCTGGATTTTGGACCTGTATGGGCCCTGTAACTTCTTTGTTTTGGCCAATTTCTCCCATTTGGAATGACTGAATTTACCCAATACCTGTACCTCCATTGTATCTAGAAAATAACTAGCTTGCTTTTGATTTTACAGGATCATAAGTGGAAGGGACTTGCCTTGTCTCAGATGAGACTTTGGACTTGTGTACTTTTGGGTTAATGCTGAAGTGAGTTAAGAATTTGGGGGACTGTTGGGAATTCATAATTGGTTTTGACATGTGAGGACATGATGATATGGTTTGGCTGTGTCACCTCCCCCTGCCCCAATCTCAACTCAGATTGTATCTCCCAGAATTCCCATGTGTTGTGGGAGGGACCCAGGAGGAGATAGTGGAATCATGGGGTCTGGTCTTTCCTGTATTATTCTCGTGATAGTGAATAAGTCTCACAAGCTCTGATGGGTTTATCAGGGGTTTCTGCTTTTGCTTCTTCCTCATTTTTCTCTTGCCGTTGCCATGTAAGAAGTGCCTTTCACCTCCCACCATGATTCTGAGGACTCCCCAGCCATGTGGAACTGTAATTCCAATTAAACCTATTTTTGTTCCCAGTCTTACGTATGTCTTTATCAGTAGCGTGAAAACGAACTAATACAATCAGCATGGAATGTTTTTCTCTGCTTGTGTCCTCTCTGATTTCCTTGAGCAGTGGTTTGTAGTTCTCCTTGAAAAGGTCCTTCACTTCCCTTGTTAGCTGTATTCCTAGGTACTTTTTTTCTTTTTGTGGCAATTGTGAAAGGGAGTTCATTCATGATTTGTCTCTCTGCTTGCTTGTTGTTGGTATATAGGAATGCCAGTGATTTTTGCATTTGAGTTTGTACCCTGAGACTTTGCTAAAGTTGCTTATCAGCTTAAGAAGCTTTTGGGGTGAAATGATGGGGTTTTCTAGATGTAGGATTATGTCATCTGCAAACAGACTTCCTCTCTTTCTATTTGAATGCTCTTTATTTCTTTCTCTTGCCTGATTGCCCTAGGCAGAACTTTCCTATGTTTCCTATGTTGAATAGGAGTGGTGAGAGAGGACATACTTGTCTTGTGCTGGTTTTCAAGGGGAATGCTTCCATCTTTTGCCCACTTGGTATGATATTGGCTATGGGTTTGTCATATTTGTCATATATGGCTCTTATGATTTTGAGGTATTTTCCTTCAATACCTAGTCTGTTGAGAGTTTTTAACATGAAAGAATACTGAATCAGATCAAAAGCCTTTTCTGCATCTGTTGAAATAATTAGTGGTTTTTGTCTTACTTCTGTTTATATGTGATGAATCACATTTATTGATTTGCATATGTTGAACCAACCTTGCATCCCAGGGAGGAAGCCTACTTGATTGTGATGGATAAGCTTTTTGATGTGCTGCTGGATTTGGTTTTCCAGTATTTTATTGAAGATTTTTGCATCAATGTTCATCGAGGATATTGGCGTGAAGTTTATTTTTTTCTTTCTTTTTTTTTCTGTATGTCTGTCAGGCTTTTGTATCAGTATGATGGTACCCTCATGAAATAAGTTAGGGAGGAGTCTCTCCTTTTCAATTTCTTTGGTATAGTTTCAGTAGAAATGGTACCAGCTCTTCTTTGTACCTGTGGTAGAATTCAGCTGTGAATTCATCTGGTCCTGGGCTTTTTATGGTTGGTAGGCTATTTATTACTGCCTCAGTTTCAGAGCTCATTATTGGTCTACTCAGGGATTCAATTTCTTCCTGGTTCAGTCTTGGGAGGGTGTATGTGTCTAGAAATGTATCCTTTTTAATATATATTTTCTAGTTTACGTGCATAGAAGTGTTTGTATTATTCTCTGATGGTTGTTTGTATTTCTGTGGGGTAAGTGGTAAAACACTCCTGATCATTTCTGATTGTGTTTGATTCTTCCTTCATTTTTTCTTTATTAGTGTAGCTAGCAGTCTATTTTATTAATTTTTTCAAAAAATCTGTTCCTGAATTTGTTGATTTTTTGAAGGGTTTTTGTGTCTTTATCTTCTTCAGTTCCACTCTAATCTTGGTTATTTCTTGTCTTCTGCTAGCTTTGGAATTCATTTGGTCTAGGTTCTCTAGTTCTTTTAGTTGTGATGTTAGATTTTTAACTTAAGATCTTTCTAGCTTTTTGATATAGGCATTTAGTGCTACAAATTTCCCTATTTATCATGCTTTAGCTGTGTCCCAGGAATTCTGGTACATTGTATCTTTGTTCTCACTGGTTTCAAAGAACTTCTTGGTTTCTACCTTAATTTCATTTTTCACCTAAGAGTCATTCAGGAGCAGGTTGTTTGATTTTTATGTAGTTGTGTGGTTTTGAGTGAGTTTCTTAATATTGGGTTCTAATTTGATTGTGCTGTGGTCTGAGAGCCTGTTTGTTATGACTTCAGTTCTTTTGCAGTTGCTGAAGAATGTTTTACTTCCAATTCTGTGATCAATTTTAGAGTAAGTGCCATGTGGAGATGAGAACAATGTACATTCTGTTGCTTTTGGGTGAAGAGTTCTACAGATATCTGTCAGGTCCACTTGATTCAGAGCTGAGTAAGGCACTGAATATCTTTGTTAATTTTCTGTCTCTATAATGAGTTTAATATTGTCAGTGGGGTGTTAAAGTCTCCCATTCTTAACTGTGTGTGAGTCTAAGCCTCTTTGAAAGTCTCTAAGAACCTGCTTTTTGAATCTGGTTGTTCCTGTATTGGGTGCATGTATTTTCAGGCTAGTTAGCTCTTCTTGTTGAAATGACCCCTTTACCATTGTGTAATGCCCTTCTTTGTCTTTTTTGATCGTTGTTGGTTTAAAGTGTGTTTTGTCAAAAACTAGGATTGCAACCTCTGCTTTTTTCTGTTTTCCATTTGCTTGGTAAATTTTTCTCCATTCCTTTACTTTGAGCCTATGTGTATCATTGCTTGTGAGATGGGTCTCTTGTGAGATGGGACCCTTTTTAAGTGGCCTGGCCTTTCTTTCTGGCAGCCATTAACATTTTTTCTTCCATTTTGACCTTGGAGCGTCTGATTATTACGTGTTTTGGAGATGATCTTCTTGTGGAGTATCTTACTGAAGTTCTCTGCATTTCCTGAATTTGAATGTTGGCCTGTCTAGCCAGGTTGGGGAAGTTCTCATGGATGATATCCTGAAGTAATTTTTTCAAATTGGTTCCATTCTCTGTCTCTTTCAGGTATCCCAGTCAGTCATAGGTTCAGTCTCTTTATATAATTCCATATTTCTCAGAGGTTTTCTTTCATTCCTTTTCATTCTTTTTTTCTCTATTCTTGTCTGCTTGTCTTATTTCAGAAAGATAGTCTTCAAGCTCTGAAATTCTTTCCTTCACTTGGGCTATTCTGCTATGAATATTTGTGATTGCATTGTGAAGTTCCTGTAGTGTGTTTCTCAGGTCTAACAGGTTGGTGTTTCTCTCTAAACTGGCTATTTTGACTGTCAACTCCTGTATTGTTTTATTATGATTCTTATCTTCTTTGCATTGGATTACAACATGCTGCTTTAGCTCAGCCAAGTTCATTATTACTCACCCTCTGAATTCTACTTCTATCATTTCAGCCATCTCAGCCTCAGCCCAGTTCTGAGCCCTTGCTTCAGAGGTGTTGCAGTCATCTGGAAGAGAAGGGGCCCTCTGGATTTTTGAGTTTTTGGTGTTTTTGTGCTGATTCTTTCTTATCTTTATGGGCTTATCTACCTTTGATCTTTGGGGATGCTAACCTTTTAATGGAGTTTTGTGGGGTCTTTTTTGTTGCTGTTGTTTTCTGTTTGCTTATTTTTCTTTAAATATGCCACTCTTCTGTAGGGCTGCTGAAGCTTGCTTGGGGTCCACTCTGGACCCTAATTGCCTTGGTTTTTCCCATATCTAGAGGTATCACCAGTGAAGCTTGGGAAACAGAAAAGATGACAGCCTGCTCCTTCCTCTGGAAGCTTCACCCAGCGGGGTATTGACCAGTTGCCAGCCCAAATGTGCCAGTAGGAGGTAGCTGGAGACCCGTTTGGAGGTCTCACCCTGTCAGGAGGAACAGGATCAGGTGCTCACTTAAAGGAGCAGTCTGGGTGCTTTTTGGTAGAGCAGGTATGCTGTGTTAGTGATCCTTTCAGACTCTGTTCACTATGGGCTCTTCAGGGCCCACAGGCTGGATTGACTGAGATGCCCGAACAGCCACCATGGCAGACTGCCCCACCCATGGGACACTTTGTCCCAGAAGAAAATTAGAGCTCTGTTGGCCATAGAATATGGAAAGGGGTGGCTCAAGGCCCCCAGCTGGGAAGACCTGAACCATGAGGAGGAATGGATTAAAGTTCTGCTTAAAGAAGATATCTGTCCGTGATCTGGCAAAGTGGCTGTGCTGCTCTGGGGGTAGCCTTTCTTGGCTGGATTGTTTGGACTTTCCAAAGCCAGTTGAAATGGCTGAGTCAACCAAAGAGTGGTGATCATGGCTTGCTCCTCCTCCAGGGGCTCCACCCCATGGAGAGATCAGAGCTGTGTTCATAGGAAACTGGCTGGGATAGTTGAAGCCCTGGCAGGGAGGTCCTGCCCAGTGAGGAGGAATGGATCAGGGTCCCATTTGAAGAAGTAGTCTGGCCATGATCTGGTAAAGCAGCTGTGCTGCCTTGGCAGGGACCCTTCCTTGACCGGGCCATTTGCACTCTCCAAAACTGGCAGGCTGGAACAGCTGAGTTGACTGGACTATAGACATGGCAGCCACTCCTCCCCTGGAGGACTGGAACTCTGTCCTGTCTCAGGCAGGCTCTACCCTGTTGCCATTGGCTCACTGGAATTCCAAACCAGTGAGTCTTATCTTGTGAGGTGCCATGGAAGTGGGGCCTGCAGAATGACACTGCTTGGCTCCTTGGATTCATTCCCCTTCCTAGGGGTCTGTACAGACCTCCTGTTTTGCCTGAGTTGCAGACATGTTTGTTGGAAATCCCAGGGCCAGAGTATGGAAAGCTCCTGGGTCTCTGTGTGTGACTGAGCAGCTGCTCTGCTGAGACTACACAGTTCTATGTGTCAGACCCAAGGTCCTGGTGGTGTGGGCTCACGAGGGGATCTCCTGATCTGAAGGTTGCAAAGATCTGTGGGAGAAGCATGGTTTCCCAAGTTGGGTCACACAATCACTCATCACTTCCCTTTGCTGGGGGTGGGGGTTCCCTTGGCACTGTGTTGCTCCCTGGTGGGCCTTTGCCCCACCTTGCTTTTCTTCATTCTCCATGGGCCGAGTTGTTTGCCTAATCAGTCCCAATGCAAGAATCTGGATATTTCAGTTGAAGGTGCTGTATTCACTCACCCCTTTTGTTCCTCTTTGTGAGTGCCATGGACTGCATATTCTTCTAATCAGCCATCTTATGGCCAACTCCTAGAAAATTCTTTATGTTCTCTTTATCTTTCATTATTTTTTGTCTTATAAAGATCAGGTTATTTGGTAAAGTGATGGGGAGAGATTTGTTGCTGTGTTTTCCTTTAAACCCCACAATGGTTTCTCCCAATGAAAGCTTATCTAGAGGTCTAGCTTATTGCATGGAATTTCAACAGTTGGAGCAATGGTATAGGAAAAAGATCTGGACTGCTATCTGATTGGCATCCTTGATCCAATCTTGGATCTTGTTGGGCCTTAATACAACTTTAGAGCCCTCCTGGCCTCTACGAGAATCTGGTTTTAACCACTGATTTGAAGTATAAAGCAACACAGCATTGCTCTCAGAAGTAAATCCATATATCATCCAACTGACCACTACCACTTTAAAAACTTCACTAAAAATCTATAAGCTTACTATGGTCAGCTTTCAGGGGTTTATAATTTCTATCAAGAAAATATTTTAATTTCAACATTTCCAGTAAGATGATTGTACTCTCATCTGTTGGAGGCAAATTTAACATAGTATTACCTATAATTAAGGTCATGAAAGATTTATTTGGGCACTTACACACAGAGTTTCTTATTTTAATGTGAGAAAAAATAATCTGTGGTTTGGTATCAAGGAACCAAGCTTACGGAGTACAGGTAAGATGAGAAATAGGAGACTTTTTTTTTTTTTTAATTTATGGAAACAGGCAGATTATCTAGTGTTTTAAGTCCTGGCAAGACAAAGGAAGCTTTGAGACTTGCACCATGCAGTTATTACAAGAAACATTGAACATTTAGAACTAAGCTATGCTCAGGAAAGGACAGCAAAAATGTAACTGAATTCCTCACAGGTTTTGATCTTAATGAAAACCAATTCTGCATCAATTATCTTATGCTCAAACCAGTCAGATGGTAGGGGTACACGGTCTTATGTAATTCGTGAGGCCCAGTAAAAATGAAAATGTGAGGCCTCTTGTTCAAAATTCAGGAAAAAAATCCTGCTAAATGTGTTAAAATTTGTTTTTTTTCTTCACTTCATGTTTCTCTGTGAGTTATTTATTTTTATTTGCTATTTAATGTCAAAGTAAAAATAAAATAAAATTTTAAATCATTAACATAATTTTTACTGTTAATCTTTGTCTCATACAATGACAGTTTTAATACAAATTTCAGAGAATCTAATTGTGAATCAACAATATCACATAATTCAGATTTGGTAGAATGTATATGCAAATATATTTTCTGAAACAGTGCAAACACTACCCTAAACTAATGCAACTGTATTCATATCACTTTTTGATATGCACACATTCTAATACTTTCTACTTTCAGCCTACTGATAATTAAGGAAGGACTGAAAGGAAAAAGAACCCTGGTTGCTCTATTGAATTAGTCCATTTTCACTTGCTGATAAAGACATACCCGAGACTGGGAACAAAAAGAGGTTTAATTGGACTTACAGTTCCACATGGCTGAGGAGGCTTCAGAATCATGGCAGGAGGTGAAAGGCACTTCTTACATGGTGGCGGCAAGAGAAAATGAGGAAGAAGCAAAAGTGGAAACACCTGATAAACCCATTGGATCTCGTGAGACTTATTCACTGTCATGAAACTAGGATGGAAAGACTGGCCCCCATTGTTCAATGACCTCCTCCTGGGTCCCTCCCACAACACGTGGGAGTTCTGGGAGATATAATTTGACTTGAGATTTGGGTGGGGACACAGCCAACCATATCACCTTTCTTTCCCTTTCCTTCTATATTATCATTTTCAACATGAGTGGCTGGTTAACATAGGAAAGCAATGTAAGTAAGAAAAGATATGGTAGGATTTGCTGTGTAATTTCTATCTCTTATATTGCCTTCTTTCTGTATTTGAAACAAGTTCTTGTTTGAACTGGAAGGGTGGCCTGTCTGAGCTATCAACATCCACATTTATTCAGTCATATAGGTAACGAGCTTATCTTGTACTCTCTTTAAATTTTGCTGAACTCCTGTACATTGTGAGTACACCAGAATTCTCTGCTCAGGGCCATTTTGCAAATGGCAAAGGGATCTAAGTAGTTATTATAATTATTGTTGTTATTGTTTGTTTATAGAATTCCTCCACCTTGGATTGGCCATGTCCTCAGATATTTCTCTTCTTGGGCACATTGTCCATGCCTTCTGTTTCTCTTCTTCTCAGCACTACCTATTTTATTCATCATGTCCAGTGTTTCTCCTCCTAGTTGACTTACTGGTAAAACAAGAGATCAGAATCAATGGGAGAAGAAGACATTTAGGAGGTGGTAAATGCAGCTTTCCCAGAAATACCACTTTCCATCCTCCTACCTTTCTGTTTTGTCTTTTTGTGAAACTTACCACTTAGTCATATTTAGGTTTTTCCATCCTGTTTAGAGATTTTTCATCACCTAGAGAACACAGTGATCCTCTAGACATATGGCTCTAGTGGTTGTGATTAAACTTTGTGTTTTCTCAAGATTTTAGATTGTAATACTTTTTGGATTAACCTTTTGTAGGCTTGATAAGGTCACCCAAAAATGTCCATATTCTAATCCTTGGAACCTGTTGCAAAGCAGATCACTCTACACTGGTTACTGCTTCAGTCCACTGCATCTTGGAATGCAGTTTCTGCTGCATACATGAATCTGAGGAGAAAGAACACACACACAACACAGTGAATGAAGCAACTTTATTCCTCACATATCGGCAGCAAGGGACAGTAGAAGCCTGGGCTTCATGGAGTTCATCCAAGGCTCAGGAAAGCTACCTAGTGTGGAATCTCATCTGTGTGTGGCCCATGTTGCACTGTAGCTGAGGGTTCTGGAAAAGCAGCCTGTCCTGGGCTTTATCCTTCATGAATTTGAGTTACTGGGCTTAAAGTATTGTAGGACATCTTGTTCTAGAAAGAATAGGAACAGGTCCCAGGCTGTTCTGGTCAGTTCCTCCTTATCTCAGGAAGTTAAATTTTGAAGGGGACAAATAAACAAACCTTAGCACAAACTAATAGGATAATTATGGTCCTCATATAGATTATTTCTAGGTTACTTTTACTAACCTGGTCTAATAGAGTTAATTAAAATTAATTTCATTGGGTCATTTAAACAAAATTCAAAATACAGTGATGATGGAAATAGGAATTTATTTTGGTCTGTTACCTAATTTTAGCATATTTGATTATAAACTATGACTAGAAGATGTGTATGATACAAAGAAGAATGTTTGACCTCATGGGGTTTATAATCTACTAGTGAAATGAAACAAATACACAAATAACTGCAAATCAAGGCAAAATGTAAGTTCAGAGAGAGATACAAAGTGATATTGGAGCTTAATGTATAAAAGCAATATATTCCAGATGACAGGATGGAAGGTCATCAGAGTGGGCACCATTATATAGCCTTTACTTGTGTTGAATTAGGGAATGGGAAAGGTAGGTGGAGACAGCAGGAGTAGTGAAGGAAAAGGATGTTTTATTGAGAGAAGTAATATAAACTAAAAAATGGTGGCAAAATAAAACAGGTATTTTTTTTTTTAATTTAGGAAGAGGGGAAGAGACTGGTTTGCTTGAAATATGTGAAAAAAGGCCTAAAAGGAGATAGGATGGAAAGGTAGACACCAGTTCAAAGTTTAGAGAACACTGAATGCCATGTTTAGAAGTTTTGGACTTGGGTCTACAGGCAAAGAAGTCTGATGTGTTTGAAGAGCTAAGAGTATTTGTAGCATAAGTAGAGATTTTTGAAAGGAGGGGTTAAAAAATTTCAGGATGAGCAACTTTTATGTCTCCGATATATTGAGGGGAATGGATTTTCTGAGAGTGAAGGAAATTGAGTGGTAGAAAATCTAAAAGAAGAGGAAAGCTGAACAATTACAGCTGCAAGTCTAAAAGGGAATTAGCTAGAATTATTATTATTATTATTATTATTATTTTTTTTTTTTTTTTTTTTTTTTTTTTTTTTTGAGACAGAGTCTCGCTCTGTCGCCCAGGCCGGACTGCGGACTGCAGTGGCGCAATCTCGGCTCACTGCAAGCTCCGCTTCCCGGGTTCATGCCATTCTCCTGCCTCAGCCTCCCGAGTAGCTGGGACTACAGGCGCCCGCCACCGCGCCCGGCTAATTTTTTGTATTTTTAGTAGAGACGGGGTTTCATCTTGTTAGCCAGGATGGTCTCGATCTCCTGACCTCATGATCCACCCGCCTCAGCCTCCCAAAGTGCTGGGATTACAGGCGTGAGCCACCGCGCCCGGCCAGCTAGAATTATTTTTTAAGGTGGTTTGCAAAGATGAATAATGAGGGAACATATACTTGATAAAATATTAAAACATGAAGCAAGGCTGAAATAACTAAAACATCATGAATTTGCAACATGACCTGGCTGACTGATAAGTGGATCAAAATACATAGTTCAGAAATAGATTTGAGTAAATTGGAAAAGTTAGCATATGATGGGGAGAATATTATGAATCAGCAGAAGAAAGGATGATTTTTTTAATATACAATGTTGGATCAACTTTGTAAAACTGCTAAAATTTTACAATTGTTAAAAACCTGGCTAAACTTGTAAAACAATCCAATGTTTTTCTTATTCCATGTATCAAAAATTGCAGATGACTGTTTTCAAGCTAGAACATCGGTCTTCACACTCCGACTGGAATTATAGGGGTCTCCTGGGTTTCTAGCTTGTAAATGTCAGATGGTGGGACTTCTTAGCTTCTGTAATTGCCTGAACTGATTCTCTGTAATAAATCTCGTTTTATTTATACTTATATATTTCACTTGTCCTGTTTCTCTGGAGAAACCTAACTAATACAGATGTTGCTATTAAAAGAACCCCAAAATTATAAAAATATAGTAAATAAAAATAATGGTTATTTTGCTAATTCTTGAGGTGGTTCTTTGTAAGCACAAAAAAGTCATAACTTAGAGAAAAAGACTAATAGATATGAATCTCATATATATATATAATATATAGGTAGAAAGAGAGAGAATTATAGAAAGACATTAACCAAAATGTTAATAATAATTCTCTCTAGATATTCAAATTTGGAGTAATTTCCTTCCTCATTTGTATACTTCTCTATATTTTTTTTTTACAGGAAATGAAATTCTTATGAGTAAACTAACTTTTAATTTTAATAAAAGGTAAATTAAAAAGTGATTATGAATTAGAGGTGTTTAAATTATAAGAAATTTGGGTAAAATGAAGTGAATTTGTCACTGCTTTGACAGCCTATGGGTCAAAGTGGAGAAAAAGGTTGTGACATCTACTAAATATTAAGAGATAAATAAAGTGGGTGGTAGAGGGGCTTCTAAGATGCTGGTGAGAAACTGGTTAAAGGGACAACACGTGGGCTTCAGGGCAGACTAGGAGGCAAAGAAGTGTGGACAGACAGATTGGCTATGGAAGAAATAGTGCTTGAGAGGACAAATGACACTGGATTCCTTAGGATGGACCTGATGGCAGGTTAAGGGAAATTCTGAGTTCTGGATTTCAGAAGTTAAAACATTGAGAGTAATGGGATTCAGAGTAGAAAGAATTAATGTTTCCTTTAAGGAGTTGAAGTAAGTTTGCCAAATGAATGTCATCTGAGTTGTGCAGAGTAAGCAACAGTCACCCAATATTTTCCTAGAGGGTATTATTTGAAGGAAAAACTAACAATGGTCTTAAGTGTTAAGAATTGGAACACTATGTTTTATATATTTGTTAATACTAACAATATTATTACATTTATTTATTTAATTGACTAGCAGATGTGTGAGCTTAACAGGGTAAACTAATTATTTTCCACAACTCACAATCTTTAGTCACCCCCAAGTCTTTTTACTGATACAAAATATTTTACATGTTTATGGGGGTACATGTATTTTTTATGTACATAAAATGTATAATGACTGAGTCAGAGCCTTTGGGGGTATCCACCACCTTGAGCATTTATCATTTCTATGTGTTGGTAACATTTCAAGTTCTCTCCTCTATCTACTTTGAAACATATACTATATTGTTGCTAACTATAGTCACCCTATTCTGCTATTGCATATTGTAGGTTGTTTCATCTATCTAACTTTATGTTTGTACCCACTAATCAACCTCTTTGTTTCCTGCTCCCACCCACATACTCTTCCCAGACTCTCATATTTATCATTCTGTCTTTGTAGTGACATAATTGCTTTTAAAGGTAATGACATTAATAAAATGTAAACCATTACACAAAGCCTGTATTTACACAATTTGGACAATCTCAGTTCAATATACCAAACTGTCCTTAAATTTTGTGTTGTATTATACTATCTTTTCCATTTTATATTTTAAAAATAGCATTTAACTTTTCTTCGGGACTCATACTGGCAATATTGTTTTTGTCAGCAGAAATATTTATGCAGTTAAGAAAAGACATTTTTTTTAAGTTACACAGTCTTGGCATGTGTAAATATATTTAAAATTGATTAGCTTTAATGTGATCAGCATTATCCCTTGTGTTAGATGACCTCTAAGAGTTATATGAGTTGAAATATAGTTCTTTGATTAATAAAGGATTCAATGAAAAAAATATGAATTGAATTTTGAATTTGTTTTTACATCTGTAATAGAGAAGAAATGAATCCTACAAAAATTAATAACCTTTCTCTGTTGATAGTTCAGCATCTCCAGCAACCCCTCATAAAACTCAATTTTTATACTTAGGAATCTTTATCTTCTGACGTTGGCTTTCATTACATTTTATGTGATTGCCTATTTACAACCTATATTCAAATATTATCCTCTCTTAAAGGTGAGAAGTCAGTCTTATCATCTTCTTTTATGCACATATGAAATTAAAGCTTGACGAGGTTAACTGATTAAAACAAGGATACATACAAAATTGTAAATACTTATGTGCTTAGTGTTAAAGTGCAATATAGGTTCATTTTGCAGAACCACATTTTGAAAATGCGTAGCACATAAATGAAAATATAGTTTTTCCTAATTCCATTGAATCAAGATCCTTAACAATAGGTCAGATGAAAAATAAGCAACAGCACTCTAAAGGCAAATCATTATATTGACATAATTTCTTCATGTTGATAAGGACTAAATTTTATAATTTTTGATATCAGTTAGTTTTTTACTTGGAATTCTCTTAAAAATATTTAATGATAATTGAAACAGCATTGTGTTAGTCTATTTGTGTTATTATAAAGGAATATCTGAGACTGGATAATTTATTTTAAAAAGTGGTTTATTTGGCTCATAGTTCTGTAGGCTGTACAGGAAGCATGGTGCTGGATCTGTTCCTGGTGAGGGCCTCAGGAAGCTTCCACTCGTGGTGGAAGGCAAAAGGGGAGCTGGTGTATCACACAGCAAGAGCAGGAGCAAGAGAGAGAGAAGTGGGAGGTCCCAGACTATTTTAAACAACTAGATCTCTTGTGAACTGAGGGAGAACTCACTTATCACCAAGGACACGGTGCTAAGCCAGGATCCAAACATCTCCCACCAGGACCCATCTCCAGCACCAGGAATCACATTTCAACATGAGTTTTGCAGGAAACAACCATCCGAACCGTATCAAGCATATTCTGGAAAAATGGAAACAGCTAATTGGAACAGCATAGGCAATGTTCTACATTTTCCAGTTAACTATTTTTATTAAAATCCTGAAATAAACTGGAATCAAAGAAGATTTTGTATAGTAGTTAGAAAAATTTCTCATACTTGAAACTCTAAATTCTGCACATAGGATTCCTAATATTGGTCAGTCTTACTTTTGCTTGCAAATTATTTCCAACTTGTAAATCTTTTTTTTTTTTTATTAATTATACTTTTAAGTTTTAGGGTACATGTGCACAATATGCAGGTTTGTTACATATGTATACATGTGCCATGCTGGTGTGCTGCACCCACTAACTCATCATCTAGCATTAGGTATATATCCCAATGCTATCCCTCCCCGCTCCACCCACCCCACAACAGTCCCCAGAGTGTGATGTTCCCCTTCCTGTGTCCATGTGATCTCATTGTTCAATTCCCACCTATGAGTGAGACTATGCGGTGTTTGGTTTTTTGTCCTTGTGATAGTTTGCTGTGAATGATGGTTTCCAGCTTCATCCATGTCCCTACAAAGGACATGAACTCATCATTTTTTATGGCTGCATAGTATCCCATGGTGTATATGTGCCACATTTTCTTAATCCAGTCTATCATTGTTGGACATTTGGGTTGGTTCCAAGTCTTTGCTATCGTGAATAATGCCGCAAAAAACATATGTGTGCATGTGTCTTTATAGCAGCATGATTTATAGTCCTTTGGGTATATACCCAGTAATGGGATGGCTGGGTCAAATGGTATTTCTAGTTCTAGATCCCTGAGGAATCGCCACACTGACTTCCACAAGGGTGAACTAGTTTACAGTCCCACCAACAGTGTAAACGTGTTCCTATTTCTCCACATCCTCTCCAGCACCTGTTGTTTCCTGACTTTTTAATGATTGCCATTCTAACTGGTGTGAGATGGTATCTCATTGTGGTTTTGATTTGCATTTCTCTGATGGCCAGTGATGATGAGCATTTTTTCATGTGTTTTTTGGCTGCATAAATGTCTTCTTTTGAGAAGTGTCTGTTCATGTCCTTTGCCCACTTTTTGATGGGGTAGTTTGTTTTTGTCTTGTAAATTTGTTTGAGTTCATTGTAGATTCTGGATATTAGCCTTTTGTAAGATGAGTAGGTTGTGAAAATTTTCTCCCATTTTGTAGGTTGCCTGTTCACTCTGATGGTAGTTTCTTTTGCTGTGCAGAAGCTCTTTATTTAATTAGATCCCATTTGTCAATTTTGGCTTTTGTTGCCATTGCTTTTGGTGTTTTAGACATGAAGTCCTTGCCCATGCCTATGTCCTGAATGGTAATGCCTAGGTTTTCTTCTAGGGTTTTTATGGTTTTAGGTCTAACATTTAAGTCTTTAATCCATCTTGAATTGATTTTTGTATAAGGAGTAAGGAAGGGATCCAGTTTCAGCTTTCTCCATATGGCTAACCAGTTTTCCCAGCACCATTTATTAAATAGGGAATCTTTTCCCCATTGCTTGTTTTTCTCAGGTTTGTCAAAGATCAGATAGTTGTAGATATGTGGTGTTATTTGAGGGCTCTGTTCTGTTCCATTGATCTATATCTCTGTTTTGGTACCAGTACCATGCTGTTTTGGTTACTGTAGCCTTGTAGTATAGTTTGAAGTCAGGTAGTGTGATGCCTCCAGCTTTGTTCTTTTGGCTTAGGATTGACTTGGCGATGCGGGCTCTTTTTTGGTTCCATATGAAGTTTAAAGTAGTTTTTTCCAATTCTGTGAAGAAAGGCATTGGTAGCTTGATGAGGATGGCATTGAATCTATAAATTACCTTGGGCAGTATGGCCTTTTCATGATATTGATTCTTCCTACCCATGAGCATGGAATGTTCTTCCATTTGTTTGTATCCTCTTTTATTTCATTGAGCAGTGGTTTGTAGTTCTCCTTGAAGAGGTCCTTCCCATCCCTTGTAAGTTGGATTCCTAGGTATTTTATTCTCTTTGAAGCAATTGTGAATGGGAGTTCACTCATGATTTGGTTCTCTGTTTGTCTGTTGTTGGTGTATAAGAATGCTTGTGATTTTCGTACATTGATTTTGTATCCTGAGACTTTGCTGAAGTTGCTTATCAGCTTAAGGAGATTTTGGGCTGAGACAATCGGGTTTTCTAGATATACAATCACGTCGTCTGCAAACAGGGACAATTTGACTTCCTCTTTTCCTAATTGAATACCCTTTATTTCCTTCTCCTGCCTAATTGCCCTGGCCAGAACTTCCAACACTATGTTGAATAGGAGTGGTGAGAGAGGGCATCCCTGTCTTGTGCCAGTTTTCAAAGGGAATGCTTCCAGTTTTTGCCCATTCGGTATGATATTGGCTGTGAGTTTGTCATAGATAGCTCTTATTATTTTGAGATACGTCCCATCAATACCTAATTTATTGAGAGTTTTTAGCATGAAGGGTTGTTGAATTTTGTCAAAGGCTTTTTCTGCATCTATTGAGATAATCATGTGGTTTTTGTCTTTGGCTCTGTTTATATGCTGGATTACATTTATTGATTTGCGTATATTGAACCAGCCTTGCATCCCAGGGATGAAGCCCACTTGATCATGGTGGATAAGCTTTTGGATGTGCTGCTGGATTCATTTTGCCAGTATTTTATTGAGGATTTTTGCATCAATATTCATCAAGGATATTGGTCTAAAATTCTCTTTTTTTGTTGTGTCTCTGCCTGGCTTTGGTATCAGAATGATGCTGGCCTCATAAAATGGGCTAGGGAGGATTCCCTCTTTTTCTATTGATTGGAATAGTTTCAGAAGGAATGGTACAATTCCTCCTTGTACCTCTGGTAGAATTCGGCTGTGAATCCATCTGGTCCTGGACTCTTTTTGGTTGGTAAGCTATTGATTGTTGCCTCAATTTCAGATCCTGTTATTGGTCTATTCAGCGATTCAACTTCTTCCTGGTTTAGTCTTGGGAGAGTGTATGTGTCGAGGAATTTATCCATTTCTTCTAGATTTTCTGGTTTATTTGCGTAGAGGTGTTTGTAGTATTCTCTGATGGTAGTTTGTATTTCTGTGGGATCGGTGGTGATATCCCCTTTATCATTTTTTATTGCATCTATTTGTTTCTTCTCTCTTTTTTTCTTTATTAGTCTTGCTAGCGGTCTATCAATTTTATTGATCCTTTCAAAAAACCAGCTCCTGGATTCATTAATTTTTTGAAGGGTTTTTTGTGTCTCTATTTCCTTCAGTTCTGCTCTGATTTTAGTTATTTCTTGCCTTCTGCTAGCTTTTGAATGTGTTTGCTCTTGCTTTTCTAATTCTTTTAATTGTGATGTCTGTTAGGGTGTCAATTTTGGATCTTTCCTGCTTTTTCTTGTGGGCATTTAGTGCTATAAATTTCCCTCTACAGACTGCATTGAATGTGTCCCAGAGATGCTGGTATGTTGTGTCTTTGTTCTCATTGGTTTCAAAGAACATCTTTATTTCTGCCTTCATTTCGTTATGTACCCAGTAGTCATTCAGGAGCAGGTTGTTCAGTTTCCATGTAGTTGAGCCGTTTTGAGTGAGATTCTTAATCCTGAGTTCTAGTTTGATTGCACTGTGGTCTGAGAGATAGTTTGTTATAATTTCTGTTCTTTTACATTTGCTGAGGAGAGCTTTACTTCCAAGTATGTGGTCAATTTTGGAATAGGTGTGGTGTGGTGCTGAAAAAAATGTATATTCTGTTGATTTGGGGTGGCGAGTTCTGTAGATGTCTATTAGGTCCGCTTGGTGCAGAGCTGAGTTCAATTCCTGGGCATCCTTGTTGACTTTCTGTGTCGTTGATCTGTCTAATGTTGACAGTGGGTTGTTAAAGTCTCCCATTATTAATGTGTGGGAGTCTAAGTCTCTTTGTAGGTCACTCAGGACTTGCTTTATGAATCTGGGTGCTCCTGTATTGGGTGCATATATATTTAGTATAGTTAGCTCTTCTTGTTGAATTGATCCCTTTACCATTATGTAATGGCCTTCTTTGTCTCTTTTGATCTTTGTTGGTTTAAAGTCTGTTGTATCCGAGACTAGGATTGCAACCCCTGCCTTTTTTGTTTTCCATTTGCTTGGTAGATCTTCCTCCATCCTTTTATTTTGAGCCTATGTGTGTCTCTGCACGTGAGATGGGTTTCCTGAATACAGCACACTGATGGGTCTTGACTATCCAATTTGCCAATCTGTTTCTTTTAATTGGAGCATTTAGTCCATTTACATTTAAAGTTAATATTGTTATGTGTGAATTTGATCCTGTCATGATGATGTTAGCTGGTTATTTTGCTCGTTAGTTGATGCAGTTTCTTCCTAGTCTCGATGGTCTTTACATTTTGGCATGATTTTGCAGTGGCTGGTACCGGTTGTTCCTTTCCATATTTAGCACTTCCTTCAGGAGCTCTTTTAGGGCAGGCCTGGTGGTGACAAAGTCTCTCAGCATTTGCTTGTCTGTAAAGTATTTTATTTATCCTTCGCTTATGAAGCTTAGTTTGGCTGGATATGAAATTCTGGGTTGAAAATTCTTTTCTTTAAGAATGTTGAATATTGGCCCCCACTCTCTTCTGGCTTGTAGGGTTTCTGCCGAGAGATCCGCTGTTAGTCTGATGGGTTCCCTTTGAGGGTAACCCGACCTTTCTCTCTGGCTGTCCTTAACATTTTTTCCTTCATTTCAACTTTGGTGAATCTGACAATTATGTGTCTTGGAGTTGCTCTTCTTGAGGGGTATCTTTGTGGCATTCTCTGTATTTCCTGAATCTGAACATTGGCCTGCCTTGCTAGATTGGGGAAGTTCTCCTGGATAATATCCTGCAGTGTGTTTTCCAACTTGGTTCCATTCTCCCCATCACTTTCAGGTACACCAATCAGACGTAGATTTGGTCTTTTCACATAGTTCCATATTTCTTGGAGGCTTTGCTCATTTCTTTTTATTCTTTTTTCTCTAAACTTCCCTTCTCACTTCATTTCATTCATTTCATCTTCCATTGCTGATACCCTTTCTTCCAGTTGATTGCATCAGCTCCTGAGGCTTCTGCATTCTTCACGTAGTTCTGGAGCCTTGGTTTTCAGCTCCATCAGCTCCTTTAAGCACTTCTCTGTATTGGTTATTCTAGTTATACATTCTTCTAAATTTTTTTCAAAGTTTTGAACTTCTTTGCCTTTGGTTTGAATGTCCTCCCATAGCTCGGAGTAATTTGATCGTCTGAAGCCTTCTTCTCTCAGCTCGTCAAAGTCATTCTCCATCCAGCTTTGTTCCGTTGCTGGTGAGGAACTGCATTCCTGTGGAGGAGGAGAGGCGCTCTGCTTTTTAGAGTTTCCAGTTTTTCTGTTCTGTTTTTTCCCCATCTTTGTAGTTTTATCTACTTTTGGTCTTTGATGATGGTGATATACAGATGGGTTTTTGGTGTGGATGTCCTTTCTGTTTGTTAGTTTTCCTTCTAACAGACAGGACCCTCAGCTGCAGGTCTGTTGGAATAACCTGCCGTGTGAGGTGTCAGTGTGCCCCTGCTGGGGGTGCCTCCCAGTTAGGCTGCTCGGGGGTCAGGGACCCACTTGAGGAGGCAGTCTGCCCATTCTCAGATCTCCAGCTGCGTGCTGGGAGAACCACTGCTCTCTTCAAAGCTGTCAGACAGGGACATTTCAGTCTGCGGAAGTTACTGCTGTCTTTTTGTTTGTCTTTGCCCTGCCCCCAGAGGTGGAGCCTACAGAGGCAGGCAGGACTCCTTGAGCTGTGGTGGGCTCCACCCAGTTCGAGCTTCCTGGCTGCTTTGTTTACCTAATCAAGCCTGGGCAATGGCGGGGGTCCCTCCCCCAGCCTCACTGCCGCCTTGCAGTTTGATCTCAGACTGCTGTGCTAGCAGTCAGCGAGACTCCGTGGGCGTAGGACCCTCCGAGCCAGGTGTGGGGTATAATCTCGTGGTGTGCCGTTTTTTAAGCCCATCGGAAAAGCTCAGTATTCGGGTGGGAGTGACCCGATTTTCCAGGTGCTGTCCGTCACCCCTTTCTTTGACTCGGAAAGGGAACCTTCTGACCCCTTGCACTTCCCAAGTGAGGCAATGACTTGCCCTGCTTTGGCTCGTGCACGGTGCCCTGCACCCACTGACCTGCACCCACTGTCTGGCACTCTCTAGTGAGATGAACCCAGTACCTCAGATGGAAATGCAGAAATCACCCATCTTCTGCGTCGCTCACGCTGGGAGCTGTAGACCGGAGCTGTTCCTATTCGGCCATCTTGGCTCCTCCCCCCTCCAACTTGTAAATCTTAACTGCAAAGACACACTGACCGATTTGTGATGGTTCATTCACTGTGACAGGCTGAACTGTGTCCCCTGAAAATTCATTTGATGAAGTCCCAACCCCCAGTACCTCAGAATGTAACCATATTTGGAGATACGGCCTTCAAAGAGATAATTAATGTTAAATGAGTTCATATGGGTGCTTTCCAATCCAATATTCTAATGAGAAAGAGACACCAGGGATGAACATGCACTGAGTAAAGGCCATGTAAAAACATGGCAAGAAGATAGCCATTTGTAAGCCAAGAGGAGAAGTCTCAAGAGAAACCAAACATGCTGACATTGTAGTCTTAGATTTCCACCTTCCAGAACTGTGAGAAATTAATTTCTGTTGTTTATGCCAACCAGTCTGTGATATTTTATGTCAGTTCTAGTCGACTAATACATTCACTAACCAATGGTGACTTCCAAAATATTCTCTAAGACTGAAACTTCAAGTTCTGTAAATGAATTAGTGCCTTGCCTTGCCATGTCTCTGCACTAAGGTAAATGAAAGGTTGACTTTTCTGGACCCCCTGTGGATGCAGGGCCTGTGCTACCAATTCTGGAATGTTTAATTGGTTGTGTAGGAATCTGTAGAATTATTTTCCCCCATCCAGGTGATTGTGGGAACATGAGGTAGGATATTTCCCTGACTTACTGAATACTTTTATCCACAAATTTTTATGCTATGAAGCTATCAAGATTGGGAAGGTGGGAGTTTATTTGTAACCATAGCATAATGTAATGTATTCTTGCTGTTACAATTGTATGTTAAATTTGTTAAAAGTGAGTGACAGTTGACTAATACTGTCCTGCAATTAAGGAAGACATACAAAAAAATCAGGTATTGGCTAATGGATACATGACCAGCAAAAACATTCCAATACTTTGTTTTTGCAAATTGATGCTAAATCTGCAGATAATTTCATCATTCCTATTCATCTCCATAGGACAACGTTAAAAACATTTTATCCATATCAAGGGAAGGATATTTAAAGGCCTAGAGCTGGCAAATGTGACTCTTCACTGTTTATAGAACAGGTTTGGCAAGATTCCTAAACATCACCATTTATAAAATCATAAAAACCCTCTATTCAATATGAAACAAAGCCAAAGTTCATTTGCACAGTTTTGCTGCTGTAATTGAAACCACTTAGGGCTGTTTATTGTTCTAAGACCAGAAACAATAAAGACAGCATAAACAAGAAACTGACCCAGTGTGATGCTATCGGATGAATCAAAGAAAAACAACTAAGTTTTTACATACACAGTTGAGCTCATTCTCTCCCTGACTGTGATTAACTTGCCAACATGAAGCTTTATATCATCTTTTTTGAAATTGGGATGAGGGAAAGGGCAAGTCTACAGCAGTTATAAAGATAGCTCTGTCTCAGTATGTTTCTCTTCTCTCTTTCTCTTTTAAAATTTACATGTTACAACATAAATCTGACTAGGGAGAAAATGAAGCTAGTATTTTAGTACAGCCAGTCTTTCCATACTTTATAAAGAAAAGACAAAATGTTTTTTTCTTTACTAACAAAGTTTGGTTAAGAAATTGAATGTGTCTTACATAAAGACAATACATTTGAAGCAAACCCAATAAAGGCCAAAAGTTAAAATAAAGTGAACTGATTCACAAATATTCAAACTCTTAGAAGACACCAGCAAACTGGAACAGGGCTTGCAAATTCAGAAAGTAATGGAAAGCAACCGAGTGGTTTTCGTCATTCTAAGAAGACCTTGGGTCGTTCCTTCTGCTGTGTTTGGTTTTCAGTTTCAACCCTGTTGGTTGAATGAGTATGTGAATGAGATTCAGGTAAAAGAAACAAGATGGCAAAAGGAGGTTGCAGAGTGAATCCAGTTAGCCACCCAGACACCACTGAAGGGCTGCTTGGATAAAGCCATCAGCTACATCCATCAATAGCCAGACATTCGACATCAGGTGTGAGGACACTGGAGTTAGATTCAGGAGAGAGGAGACAAGGGTTCTGCTAGCTACAACTTCAGATGGAACAGTATCCAGCTGTGTGGGGCCCTGATTGGAGCATCCACCCATCATTACACAACAGTGAAGTCTTGGGGGAAGGTGAGTGACAGGCTCCTCCTCCATCTTGGTATGTTATTTCTTTGCTTTATTTGATATATGTAGAGTATGGTTGGGAAATTACTGAATGTCTAGAATTTAGAGGCTGGGTTTACCTGAAAGATGATGTTTTCTTATGGAAGAGAGTAAGATAATTCTTCAATTCTTCGTCCTTCCTCCTTCCTCCTCCCTCCTTGCCCTCCTCCCTTCTTTCACTGGCGTCCGTGTGAAGAGACCACCAAACAGGCTTTGTGTGAGCAACAAGGCTGTTTATTTCACCTGGGTGCAGGCGGGCTGAGTCCAAAAAGAGAGTCAGCAAAGGGAGACAAGGGTGGGGCCGTCTTATAAGTTTGGGGAGGTAAAGGAAAATTACAGTCAAAGGGGGTTGTTCTCTGGCGGGCAGGGGTGGGGGTCACAAGGTGCTCGTTGGGGAGCTTTTGAGCCGGGATGAGCCAGGAGAAGGAATTTCACAAGGTAATGTCATCAGTTAAGGCAAGGACCGGCCATTTTCACTTCTTTTGTGGTGGAATGTCATCAGTTAAGGCATGAACAGGCCATTTAAATATCACTTGTTTTGTGATTCTTCAGTTACTTCAGGCCATCTGGATGTATACCTGCAGGTCACAGGGGATATGATGGCTTAGCTTGGGCTCAGAGGCCTGACATCTTCTTCCTCCTCCTCCTCCTCCTTCTTCTTCCTCTTGCTCTTCTTTTCTTCTTATAATTCTTCTCCTTCCCCTCCTCCTCCTCCTTTTTCTTCTTCCTCTTCTTTTCTTCTTCTTTTTCTTCCTCATCCTCTTGCTATTCTTCTTCTGCTGCTATTTTCTCCAGACATCCAGTGGAAGATGGATTCATAGATGATAGATTCATATTCATTATGTAAGAGCAACAAACTTTTGCACAATTCGAGTTATATTATGTACATTATTGCTTGCTGTACAAATACTTATGATACCTGCTATAAACAAGGCACTGGGCTAAGGAATTTTTATTTTTAACATTTTAACTTTTCAGTACATAATTTATTATGGCTGTATGTTGCCCTTTTCACTAATTAAGTACAAATTTACTTAATAATTTTAAATACATTTGTTTATTAAGGTTTAGTTTAACATGAAAAGTATAGTCTGCCATCTATTTGGGAATATGGCTTATCTGTAGTGGTTTTATTAGAATTATATGTTTTCAATTCTTGTTTTATCTTCATTACTGTGCTCCTGGGCAGAGTACCCATTTGACTGCTCTCTTTCTGTCTCTCCCTTTTAAATCTACCACACCTATTTTGGTGCCTACAGTATGACAAAATCATAGGTATATAATAAAAATTTGGAGAATAAATTATTATGTGATTTTCTAGAGTGTTCAACTTGAAAAAAATTGCAGGTAACTTTTAATCCTGAATATACTCTATAATTCAGATTTATCTGTTTAAAAATATATATATATATTTTTAACAACAGACTGGTAATGTTGATTGTAGAAAATCAGGAAGATACAGACAAGCAAAAGATAAGTAAGTGGATATGTAAGTGTCCAATCCATGTTGTCCCCTAACTTCCACTTATTCTTATGGTAACAAGAGATACATACAATAGTAGCTGATAATAGCTAAGATATAACTATCCTTGGAAATACTTGTGTTGTAAAAAGCAGCTCTCAGGTCAAAATATCTCAAAGATCCCATGAAATAACAATGCAGAATGGCAGGCTGTTCAATTCATATTTTAGGTTGGGTTTAAGTTGTAAGAGAGGCTAGAATGTATACTGAGTTACATTGCCATAGCACACACAAAAATTATTTCAGTACAATCTCTCTTGACTCTGATTTAATTTCTGATTTTTCATAAATATGCTCATTTTATGAATAAAGGAAGTAACAGTTTAGATTTAATCTAATGAATCAGTTTGCTATAGAGAGACAATATGGTAGAGTAGTTAAGAATAGGCTCTGGAACGAGAAAATCTGAGTTCCAGGTCTAGTTCTGCTACGTAACTAGATGAATAAACACAGGTAAATTGCTTAACTTCTCCATACCTGTCGCTCATCAGCCTAAAATACTAGGCTGTACCTTATAAAGCTGTTGTGAGGATTGAATATGTTAATAAATGTTAAGAGCTCAGAGCAGCAACTGCACAGGGCAGCTAATACTGGTGAATCTAATCACTTCAGATTTGGAAACAATCTTGGAGGAGAAGGATTCAGAGGAGAGTAATATAAATCATTTATGAAGTGGAAGTGATTTTATAAGAGAAAATAAAGGGTATAAAATATGCATAATCTGGCCAAAGAAAAGAGAGGAGAACATAACATTTGAAAAATTTAGAGAGCAAAGAAAATTATTTAACATGGTATGAAGTAGTAAAACTATAATGAATAAGACAGTCTAAAAAGAAAAAACATTTTGGCTAAACATCAGGAAAGCAAAAAAGATATACTTATTAGTAATGAGAATGATGTAATTTTGAAACACTTCCAAGAAATCTGAGTGAAGTCTTGCTTGCAAAAGCATTTTAACACTCTAGTGTATAAGATACTGTAAAATGTCACCGTCCTGTTCAGCTTGAAAAGCAAACTAGAGCAGCTTGCAATACAACAAATACAAGCTCAGTCTTCTTCCTGCTGTGTCAGCAGAGAAAATAGTTCATTGGTAGGTGTTTCAGATTTTTGTGATATTTATGTCTTCAGGACCCAAATCTTTAGTTCATAACAGGAATATAAATGCTTAAATAAAGCAAAAAATGAAAATGCATTTTATTTCTAGGCAATATTTAAGTACTTTTAATTTCATAGGTCACAAGAAAGCCAGATTACCATTCTTTGTTTTTGAGGGTTATTGTGGAACTCATTCCCCTGAGCCAGCTTGCATCCTGACTTTCCTTCACCTTTGTTGGTCTGGCCTGGTCTACCCAAGTTTATGTTGAGTGTACATCATGGGAAGGACCATTCAAGCCTTCTTCTTGGAAACTTGATCTTCTTTCATATTGTTAGAAAAGCTGAAGCTACATTACCATGCCACATGAGAAAAATCAATAACAACACCAGTGACCCAAGTTGATATAGATAGATAGATAGATAGATATATCTATATATCTGTTTCTCTCTCTCTCTCTCTCTCTCTCTCTCTCTCTCTCTCTATATATATATATATATATATATATATATATATATATATATATATATATATATATATATATATATATATATATATATATATATATATATATATATGGTTTCTAGAAAAAGAGAATAGAGAAAAACATATATGATTTCTAACATGTAATCAGGTGAAAAGGCAAAATACAAAAATGCACAAGAACTGAAAATACAATATACAACTCATTTCCTTGCTATAATAATTTTTTAAAAGTGATTTGATTACCTCTTTAGAAGTATTCATAGGATTTGCCTTTAATACTCAGGGATACAATATTTTAGATTTTGTTTGCTTTTCTTCCTAGACTATACTATAGTAGAAATTCTAACAGAGATAATGTAAACCAATTACCAGTTTGGAACTATCAAAAGAAAAAACTAGATGGTAGAATGCTAGTCTTCAGATGGTTTCATTGAGTGCAGTTAAATAAGAGTATCTTACATTTTTATAGCTTTTTAACTTTCAAATGATTTCACATATATTTTCTCACTTGATCAGTTTTAATTTATCATTTAAAGAAATCATTCAGGGAGGGAGGGTCAATCCACAGTTAAGAAATATATATATTGATTTATTTCTACATGGCTTTTATATACAGAGATTTCTGTGTTTAGACAACCAGAAAAATATTAAGAGAAGAATTAGCAATTTAACAAATCATATTTCCATTAATGCTTATATTTACAAAGCTAATTTATTAAGGCTTTTAGCCACTTGAAATTAGATCCCAAGAGATATTATTTTATATTTATAAATCTTGACTTTTCACTGTAAGTTTTCACTGTAAGTGACTTTTCACTATAAGTACCTTAACTTATAGGTACTAAAACCCGATCAGAGACAAAGCCCAATTGTACATTGTAATTAATAAAGAAAATCCAGTCTACAAAAATAAAATCAATTTTTTTAGAAATTGATTTTAGTTATATCATGGTTTTATGCATAAAAATAAAAACAAAAACTTAAACAAAAATGACTGAATCTAGTCCGTGTGGAATTGTACTTGGTAAATAAAACAACTATTACTTTTAATGACATTGATAATATTGAAATTAAGACAATAGTTTACTCAAACAATTGTCTGAAGATAATAATATGCATTTTATATAGAATTTTAAGCAATAAATTTGCTAATTGGTCATCCCTGCCATGGTTATTTCATGTTTGCTTTACAAATATATTATATATCTATGTTAGTCTGTTTTTTATTGCTGTTAACAGAATATCCAAGGCTGGGTAATTTATTAAAAAAAAAAGAAGATTATTTGGCTTATGATTCTGGTGGCTGAAAAGTCCAAGAATGGACAGCTGCATCTGGTGAGGGCCTCATACTGCTTTCACTCATGGCAGAAAGCAGAAGGTGAGCTGGTGTGTGCAGAGGCCATATGGTGAGAGAGGAAGCAAGAGAGAGAGAAGCCAAGAAAGCCATACTGTTTTTAAACAACCCACTCTCATTGGAACCAATCCATTTTCTTGAGAGGGAGAACTCCTTCATCCCTGAGGAAGGGCATTAGTCTGTTCACGAGAGACCTGCCCCCATGACCCAAACACCTTCCATTTTATCCCACTTCCAACACTGCCACATTGGGGACCAAATTTTCGACATGAGGTTTTGGCCAAGCCATATTAAAATCATAGCAATGTGGAAATTGCATGATACTAAAAAGTGGTTCTATAGCATTGGAACACTCTTTTTGCCTTCCATTCTGGAGTTAGTCTTTTAATTTTAATTCTTAAACAAAGGGATGTTACTCGGGCACTAAAATTTTCTGTTGAATACAGGGCAGTAAATCTTCATTGAAACAGCTTATTTAGATAATGTCAAACAGAATGGTTTTCTTCATTTTCTTCAAGCACTTCAGTGTTATAATCTCTCCTAAGACCAGCCACTTACAGCACAGATCTTATCTTGCTCTGCAATAATTGAGGGCAGTAAAGGGTGGGATGGCAGGGAGTGATTTACTCCTTGATCTTGCCTGAGGTGGGAATCAGAGAAGAGCTGACATTTGGCCTGCATCTGGAAGGAAGAGGGGGACTTAGTTCTGCAAGACAAAGAGGGAAAGAAATACTAGGTGTAAAGGCATACAGATGTGGATTTGAGAGAAAGCAGAGTGTTTGGGGTCGTACATTGCCAAATAAGTAATTTGAAAACTCTAGGCCCATATGGTGTGTAAAGCTGTGTGGGCTTGCTGGGGCAGTGGGTGGCAGCAGAGGAACAGACCACTGGAGTTCAGAATTTAATTTAAATAAAAGTGTGTGTGTGTGTGCGCGTGTGTCTGTGTGTGTGCGTGTGTCTGTGTGTGTGCATGTGCATGCATGTGTGTGATTTCTGTATGCATATAGGTGATGGGGTTCAGGACATGCTACCTTCAAACCTTTTAAAGTAAGGAATTTGAGAAAACCAAAGAAGTAGGAAAAGTCTTCTTTGATTTTTTGCTGCCCTTCTCCCTCAAAGCAGGTAATAAATCCTAGGGAGAATTTTCTGACCTTCCCCTGAAGCAGGTCATAAGATCTTCATTTGAGAGATGCCCTCCCTATACCTGGAGGAAAGGAACATCCTTATATCTGAAGACACAGGGACACAGAGAAGGGACACAGAGAAGGATATGAACAAACAGGACTTGCTAAGTTCCCCCGGTTTATTACCATTAGCTCATAGCCCCTTTGTCCGACTCTACATCTTCGTGACTATCTGCTTCATCAAACTTAGCATTAAAAAAAGATAGAGGTACGCTTGGGAGGTCAAAGCAGGCAGATTACTTGAGCTCAGGAGTTCAAGACCATCCTGGGCATTGTACAAAAAATTAGCTGGGTGTGGGGGTATGTGCCTATAGTCCCATCTACTCGGGAGGCTGAGCCCAGGAAATCAAGGTTTCAATGAGCTACAATCATGCCACTGCACTGCAGCTTGGGTAACATAAGAAGAATGTATCAAAAAGAAAAAAATACACAGGTAAACTCATTTTTCTGGGTCTTCATTTCCTTAATAAGGAAAACTTATATTAGTTTCTTTTAAAACTTACATTAAATACATTTGTATGGTTTTCTCCTGATATTCTGTCTTTTATAATAGGGGCTTCAGCCATACATCTAGTGATGAATGAGGAAATATATTTCTTGTCCTCTACATAGGTATTACACTGGGCACTGAGGACACAGAGAAGAATAAGAGGGCTTTACCCTCAAGAATCCTGCAAGTCTACCAGCCACAAATTGCATCCTGCTCACATCAAGCCACTTGGTGTGTCCTGACAGATTGGATGGGAGCGCTCCCAGATAAAAAGTGGTAGGAGTTAGTACAAAACCATCAAAACTTTGGAGGACATAAGGTCATTGAGCTCATTTCCCCACTGGTAAAGCAACATTCCTATTCTCTTTTACCTTGTAAGGTTGTTGTGAGGATAATATAAGATGGTTGATGTAAAGGGTTATGAAACTCTAAAAAAACTGTTCAGATATAGTGAATTAGGGTGCAGCTCAGAGGTAGGGCATTCAGTGCAAAAAGTGACAGTTAACCACAGTTAACATCTTCATTGTAGTGGATAGACATTTGAAAACCAAGTCAAACAGCGACTTCTATAGCTCCATCAGGTCATTGAGAAAATAGCCTGCACTATCTGGAACCAAAAGTGTCCAGATTATGAAGAAATACTGTTTTAATAAGTTATCTCTCTTCAGTATTTGGATAACATTTTGAGGGCCCTCTATCTTTGTTAAACTCGGTGGATAAAGAATTGAGAATCACATTCCTGTATTGTATGAGGAATTTCACTTTATCAACATCTGACATAACTTCAGAAAATGCTGATGGTTTTGAAACAGTTTGTTGCTCAGTAAGTCACCCATCGCTAAAAGCATTAGAGACCCTTATCAAATAAAAATTGATTAAACTTACAACTTCCCAGAAAGGCTATTAATGCAGATTAATCAGTTTCTGGGAGATTAGAGTTAGAGAGTTTTGATATAAAACATGCACTAAAATTAGCAGAATGCCATGTTAGGGAAGAGCAAAGGAAAAATGACATTTCAAACGTTCTATCTGATCATTTCGTCTTTATTTAGTGTGCAGCTATAGGATGCATGCTTTAAACAACGATGTTAAAATACCATGAATATTGTTTTAAAAACTAATTTTCTAGTGAGCATAGATCTGTAATTTTATTCTTTAAGATGCAAAACTTTGGTTATCTTCAAATAAGCTAAACTCTATATATTGAAGATTGCTACAATTGTCACTGGGCTAAGAAATCGATGCCCGTAAATACTGCACTCCTATTTGTTTCTACATCTTGTTTTATATTATACTTTTTGGAGAAGTTACCAACTACCCAAAAAATGAAGGGTAAGATTCCTCTGCTACCCTACTAGAAACTTCAGAATCAGATTAACAAATTCTTCAAATATTGATAATTTTAAAAAATTGTATTTAAAAAATATATTGGTGACTTTAGAAAATAATTAATAATTTTATTAAATTAAATAAGTACAGTCACAAATATAAAATACTGTCTCATTTCGGCCATTGAAGAGAGCTTAACATTTTCTCCATTAAGCTCGTGTAAATATCTTGTTAGGTTATCTGTACATACTTTATAGTTTGTATTGCTATTGTGAAGGTTTTCTCATTTTTTATAACATTTTTTCACTGGTTAGTGTTCTGATGAGGAGCAGCATTTCTCAACAGCCTTGTAATTAATGTTTTGGCTTGGATAATTCTTCATTATAGGAGGCTGTCCTGTGCATTGTAAGATATTTAGCAGCATCTCTGGTCTCTACTCACTAGATGGCTATAGCACCCACCTCTCACACCGCCCAACTGTGATAACGAGAATGTTTTCATATTTTGTCAAATGTCTGCTAGCAGGAAAAATCATCCCCATTTTGATAATCATTGGCGTTGAGGAACAGTTTTTGTTGTTGTTGTTATTGTTTTGCGTATTAATCTTATATTCGACAAACTTGATGAACACATTTAATAGTTCTAAGGGTTTGAGGATTCTTTTGGTTGTGCAAAAATTATTTACCAACTGCATATAGAGATATTTTTACTCCTTGTTTTCCAACCACTACACCTTAAGATTTTTAATTTTTATTTTTTATTGAGACAGGGCCTTGCTCTGTTGCCCAACGTGGAGTGCAGTGGTGCGATCATAGCTCACTGTAACCTCAAACTCCTGGGCTCAAGCAATCCTCCTGCCTCAGACTCCCAAAGTGCTGGGATTACAGGTGTCAGCCAGAGTGCCTGGACTTTTTTCCCTTATATTATTGCTTTAACTAGAATCTCATGTTCGCTCTAGAAATATAGTAGCAGTTCTGAGCATCCTTGTCTAATCGCAAACCTAGTTTCTTCATTAAGTAGGACACCTGCTGCAGTATCATAGTTTTCATTAAAGCAGGGAAACTATCTGCTTTCAGTTTAGTATGAGTTTTTCCCCTTTTCTCAAAATCATATGTAGGCTTTGAATGTTATTTTATGTATATATATTTTTGCATTTATTCAGAAGATTGTGTTTTTTTCTCTTTTATTTCTGTGGTAAATTGAATTGCACAGATGAGATTAAATCATCTTTGCATGATTGAAAAAATTTCTCCATGAGCATCATTATATCTGTATCTCTAAACATTACATTTTTTTGGATTTGGACTAGCTTTCTTTTTGTATCTTACTTCATATTTAGTTTATTTATCAAGATTATAGCAACTTCATAAACTAGTTGGCAAATTCATTTTCCTACTTTCTTATAAAAGTTTATTAAAGTTTATCTGTCTTATCTATTTATTTTTCTTGTAATGTTTTCTGCTTAGTACTTGTATATCTCAGATATCTTTTATCATCCTCTACCACCCACTTTTTTCTGGAACTGTCTGACATATTCACAAGAAAAGTGAATCTGCTTGGTAGAAAAGAGGTTACGGAGGCCATAGTTTGTTCTCTTCCAAGTTATTTTAATGTATTTGGAGGCCTTGTTTAGAGCAAAAAGCTTCTGGCATTGCAAGCTGGACCAACTACTTTTCATTTACTGATTTCAGCATCTTTGATGTTGAAAGCATAGTACGTGAACGATGGATCCAGTCATGTCAGATCTACTGTCCTTTTCCTTGGTAATCACTCTTGTGTTCATGGTCTAGGGGTATTTCCCTTTTGGTATTTGATTTTATAAACATTTTACTACATTTTGCTATTTTGGCTTTATTTCCTCAGATGACAGGAAGATTCTGGAGTTCTGATTCATTTCATAATTTTGCTCAAAATGTTTATTTGTTTATTTGTATTATTGTGGGTAAGGGCAGTTATCAGACACATTTTCTTAATCCTTGTTGGTCCTAGAGTGATTTTTCTTGTCACAAGACTAGATTGGGGTCATGTCCAGATCTACCTTCTGAGAGCTCAGGCTTTCTGGCTGGAACCTGAGCCAGACCAAGCTTCTTCTGTTCTGGAATGCAACTGCTGTGCTCCTAAAACACAAACCAGTTTTATAATTTTTAGTGATTTCCATGACAGTGAGTGAGTAATTCTCATCCCCAAACTCAATAGTAATGCAAGGACCGTTTCATGATTAGGTTTCTAAGATTTGTAATGGAGGATGAATTTGGACCTCAAGCTTTATAGGTGAGAAATTAGAGGGCATTAACATGCTAAGTTATCTGCTTCAGGGGCAGCACACAAGTAACCAAAATGCAAAATGATTGATATTTTACCAGCACAGCAGTCACACTATAATGAAAGAAGCTTGGTCTGGCTCAGGATCAGAAGGTAGATCTGGACATGACCCCCATGTAGTCCCTATCAGGCCAAACTCTTAAGTTATTTTCACAGTTCCCTCATCTCCTGACACACTACCCAGCACCCACCCCCAACTCCTGCCAAGATATAGGGCTATTGGTAGCACCTGTGTTCATTTGGCAGGTTAAGCCATGGATGTAGGTGATCATTGCCTCCTCTCCCACGTTTTTGGATACATGTAGCAGTTCACTTTTGTGGTTTGCTAAAGATTTATTATAATATATATGTATTAGCTCTTGGCCACTCTAGTCTAGGTCTTCTGGTTTCTTATTTCCTCGGGTTGGTTAAATTACACTTCTTCCTAAAGTCCAGTGGCTTTTCTGTGAGTAGCCGAGTAGAGAAATAAATAAGTTCAAAGACAAATTAACATCTTATAGTAAGAGTGAAAACAGAGACTGTGTCTTTTGTGTGTTCTGCTCATGTCCTTCATGTTACTTCTTAGAAGAAGCCCTTTATGTATTATTTACTTAAGTATTATCGCCTCAGTATCCTCTTTCAATGTCACCAAAATAAAGAAGCTCAAGTTGGTGATGTTAAGAAATTTTGCCATCACCATCAGGTGATCTAAAACTGTTTCTGTGTGGAAAGTATTCACTAGCTCAAGACCAGGAAAGGAACCCAAAGACTCTTATTCTAGTAAGACTATAGGATCAGAACATATGGAAATTTCTTTAATTGGATTCACAGACTCTGAGGGGAGAAGAAAAAAGTAATTTGAAGGAGGTCAACCTGGGAGAAAATCAGCTTCCTGGTTAATGGGAATGAGTTTACCATGTAATGAACATACTAAATACAGGAAATAAACCCTGATAAATGACTATCTGGAGTGAGTAATCTCAGCTATGTCTCATGGTATTCAAGAGAAACAACAATTTCTTGAATGCAGAAAGTTCCTCGTTTATGATTCTGTTCCTTAAATCTGTGAAGTTATAGTTTAGATGGGACCTGTGGTAGCCGTAAAGTGTATATACCACATAAAGAGGCATCTACTTAGGGTGATGGAATACAATGTTGAATTTGAAGAGCATGGATTCTGCAATTCTATATCTAATCTTTCTCTTGCAGATCCTATTTGTAGGAATCAAGTATAGGAAAAAAAGAAAGCTATTTTGCACTTTTGTTACTTGTGTGCTTCCCCTGGAGCAGGTAACTTAGCATGTTATTTGGGAAAGATTCCTTATCCTCTGACTTATGCCATTCCCACTTCGGTGTAGTTTACTATTCTTTATTTCTATGTCTCAGAATCCATTTCATCATGAAATGAAGTCCTCAATGTTCATTCCACTTGTCTTTAGTTTTGTGTCTACAACTTTTCTAAGGGTCAATCTTATTCAACTAGCTTCACTGATTTTGGAATTTCTGGTCCATAGAAGTTATAAGTTATAAATTGAAAGAGAATGGACAGAACAAGAAGGTGCACTATAGCAGTAAGATGTAACATCTCATGATGATGATTGATAGCATGGGAAGAGATAAAAAAATGACAAAGAGTAGATTTAAAGTTAAAAGCTTAGGAGCTTGGCTGCTTATGTATGATTAAGCAAGCTTCCAGAAGTCTTATAGCATCTCTGTCACAGAGCATGAAAATAACTTAGGTTCATAGCAATAACCATAATTCATCAAGAATAAATTAAATAATGCCCAATGTGTTTCAACACAGAATGTAAGAAGTGCTGTTTATTTCACAAATATTTTATTTAAAAATAATGTAAAAGATATGCATTCAAAAATTTAAAGATGATGGTTTCAATCATCTTAAAAACTAGCATGAATTTATTTTGAATGATGGATTAAAGATTACTGTTTTATTTTTAACCATTTCTTAAATTGGCATTAGAAACATTTATTACACTTCCTTTTGCAAAATTTATGTTCATGTTATTTCAAACATTCCTGAGAAACCATTTAAAAACCATATATGTTAAGTATTTTCAAAAGAAAGCCATATGTCTTGAAACAGCAGATGTAGAGATTCAGGAATTAGAGCCCCATTCTTTACACATAAATTGCTCTGTGCCTTTGGACAATAGAAAATTCAACTTTTAAAATTAGCGTATTAAAACAGTGAATTGGGGAAACATATTGTATTACCAGCTAAAATCAAAATTGTTCTAAAAAAATCTTAAAAACTGGCCTAATGAAGACGTTAGGTACTAGTACAGTTAGAGGATGGAATTTAGTCTTATTTATCCTCCGTTATTCGTTGAATATCACCTATAAGCAAGAAAGACAACATAGTAAAGCAGAAAGAGCCATGAATTTGAGGTGGGGTGACTAACATTCAGGCCCTTTCATTTACTGCTGGCTGAGTGATATTAGGTAGTGTACTTAACCTGTACCTGTTTCTCTTGGTACATTGGGGATAGTAAGTTGACTCTACAGTTTTTTAGGTTTCCAGATATTTCTGTTTATGTTATTTCATTTATTTCTTTTTTCAGTTACTTCTTAGAAGAAGCCCTTTATGTATTGTTTATTTAAGTATTATCACCTCAGTATCCTCTTTCAATGTCACCAAAATAAGGAAGCTCAAGTTGGTGGTGTTAAGAAATTTCGCCATAAAAGTCATAGGGCTGATATTGTGGATGGCATCCTAGATAGATTTGCTGACTCAAAATCCCATGCTCATTTCCCTTCTCCAAAGCATCTAATTTCCTATGGAATGTGAGAATAACATTAAAAGAAGTACATGAAAACTGACTAGACATTTATTATCTATTTTCTGAGCATTTAGCCTTGATTTCTATTGACTTTCACCTCATGAGATCATGCTCAAGATTCTACATTTAAAAAAATGTTCTGCCTATAGTTTGTAGGAAATGGGGTTGCAAGAGAGAAAAGAAGCTGGGTACGTGGGGTTTGTTATACTAGTCTCTACTTATTACATGGTTGACAACTTTATAATACAAAGTAGAGAAAAAAAACATTGTGAAAGGGTTATGGAATGGGATGCCTGTGTCCCCCTATCCCCAAATTTATATGTTGAAGCCTTAACCTCTAATAAGATGTTATTTGGAGGTAGGGTCATTAGAAGGTAATTAGGTTTAAATGAGGTAATGAGGGCAGGGTTCCCATGATGGGATTGGGGTCCTTATAATAAGAAGAAGAGAAGGGAGGGATCCACCCTCCCTCTCCCCCCTGCCCACTCCATCTTGTAAGAATACAGAAAGAAGCAGCCATCTGCAAGCCAGGAAGAGGGCAAATGCTGGCACTGATCTAAGATTTGCAGCCTCCATAACTGTGAGAAATAACTTTTTTTTTGTTTAAACTGCGCAGACTACAGTATTTTGTAATGGAAGCCTGAGATGACTTAAGGAAAAAGACAGCAAAACCTTTACACATGCCACGGTTCTCTCTCTCTTTCCTTGGCTTCTCAGCTAAACTTGCAAGAACAACTGTATCGCTGCCTCATTCTCCATTCTCTGGGCGTGCCACTGTGGTCCATCATCTACCTCCTCTAGACCTTTGAAACTGCAAAAAGGTCACCAATAAACTATTGAAAAACTAAGAAAAAACCATAATTCTTACTTCACTTGATATTTTCTTGGGATGTATTATTGTTACCCAATGTTGAGGCACACAATATTTTCTGAATAAATCAATATTTTTCTCTTGAATTTTATGACAAGAAATGAAAACTATTCTGTTTTTTTCTTTTCAGCCCTACTAGTTGACTCCTGCACTGCTTTTGCCTTTTGTGTAAATCTCCCTCATACATCCACATTTGGTTCTCTTCCTTTTCAGCCTTCACATAGTCTCTGAATGATCTCAAGCTTGTCTAAAATTTCCACCATTCATAGCTTCCATTTCCACAAATAGCTAATGATTTCCAAATGTGTGCTCTCCTTTCTAGATTTTGATTCTAAACTGTAGCCTAGCTACTGGATATCTCCATCTGTGTATCCTCACGAAACTCAAACTCAACATGTCTGTGAAGTTTCTAAAATATGTCCACATATTTTTGACATTCCTCCCTTCAAGAGTTGAAGCTTAATGTCATACCCTTTGAGTGTGAGCTGGACTTAGCAACTTGCTTCTAATGAATGGAATATAGCAGAAGGGATGTGTGACTTCTGGCTAAGTCATGGCAGGCATAGTCACTTCCTTTTTGCTCTCCCTTGGATCACTAGCTTGAGGTAAGCTAGCTGCCATGTTGTTAGTACTCACCAATAACCCTATGGAGAGATTCATGAGGTAAGGAGCAGGCCTCCAGCCACGGTCACATGGGTGAATGTCTTAGTCCATTTGTGTTGTTATAAAGAAATACCTGAGGCTGGGTAATGTATAAAGAAAAGAGTTTTATTCAGCTCACATTTCTGCAGGCTGAACAAGAAGCGTGGCACCAGTATCTTCTTCCAGTAAGAGCCTCAGGTTGCTACAACTCATGGTAAAAGGCAAAGGGGAGCTAGCACGTGCAGGGATCACTTGCCAAGAGAAGAAGAAAGAGAGAGAAGGGGAAGGTGACAGGCTCTTTTAAATAACTAGCTCTTGCAGGAACTAATAGAGTTAGAAATCACTCACCACTCCCTCAGAGAGGGTGTTAATCTATTCATGAGGGATCTGCTCCCATAACCCAAACACGTACCAATAGGCCCCAACTCCAACATTGGTGATCAAATGTCAACATGAGATTTGCAAGGTACAAGCATCCAAATCATAGCAGTGAGTTTGGAAGCAGATTCTTCAGTTCCAGCCAATCCTTCAGATGCCTATAGTCCTGACCAGTATCTTGATTGCAACCTCATGAGTGGCTCAGACCCAGAATCACCCAGGAAAGTACTCCTAAATTTCTGACCCACAGAAACTGTGAGATAATAAATGTTCACTGTCTTAAGTCATGTTCTGAGATGATTATGCAACAATAAATAGCTACATGGTGTTTAAAACTGAACTAATTATTATTTTTATATCACACACTTGTGTTTTTTTTCCTCTGATTCTGTAGATCCCCAAACCAGAAATATCCATTTTGTTCACCTTTCTTTTTCTCCTCTTCCTCCTCCTCCTCCTCTGCCTCCTCTGCCTCCTCCTCCTCATCTTCTTCTTCTTCTTCTTCCCCCTCCCCCTTCCCTCCCCCTCCCCCTCCCCTTCCCCTTCCCCTTCTCCTTCCCCTTCTTCTTCTTTTTTTTTTTTTGAGATGGAGTTTCGCTCTTGTTGCCCAGGCTGGAGTGCAATGGCAGGATCTTGGCTCACTGCAACCTCCGCCTCCTGGGTTCCAGAGATTCTCCTGCCACAGCCTCCTAAGTCACTGGGATTACAGGCACACACCACCACGCCTGCCTAATTTTGTATTTTAGTAGAAACGGGGTTTTACCATGTTGGCCAGGCTGGTCTCAAATTCCCGATCTAAGGTGCTCCACCCACCTCAGACTCCCAAAATGCTAGAATTACAGGCATGAGCCACCACATCTGGCCAGCCTTTCTTGAGTAGTCAGCATGTTTTGTTGATTTAACATTCATAATATCTTCCTCTTCTCTGATGCTCTATGACTTAATACCACATTCTAAGCCCTCATCTTTGGTTATTTGTCTTCTAGACCTTTTCAACATCGATCCCTCTTGCTGTATTTTTATTCTTTACCAAAATAGTCTACATGTTGGTCTTTCAGGACTCTTATCTAAAATTTAATATGTTTACTTCCTTGCTAGAAATTATCTTCTATCCCCATTTTCATAATGTATAATGGTCCCCAAACACTATGAACAATTTTTCATGTTCACGTGTAATATTAAAGTAAAACATTGGGCTGGGCGCGATGGCTCAGGCTGGTAATCCTAGCACTTTGGGAGGCCGAGGTGGGTGGATCACTTGAGGTCAGGAGTTCAAGACCAGCCTATCCAACATGGTGAAACCCTGTCTCTACTAAAAATACAAAAATTAGCTGGGAGCATACCTGTAATCCCAGCTACTCAGGAGGCTGAGGCAGGAGAATAGCTTGAATTCAGGAGGTGGAGGTTGCAGTGAACCAAGATGATGCCACTGCACTCCAGCCTGGGTGACAGAGCAAGACTCCATCTCAAATAAATAAATAAATAAATAATAAAAATAAAAAAATAAAACATTGTGGGGGAAGTCAGAGCTGAGTGAAGCATGTGACTTTATTCAGGAAAATATAACCTCCTAAGTAAGGCAAAATGTGTGTTTTATGTATTTAAATAGCTATAATAGAAATGAATATCATTTTGGTGGAATAACCATGAATATGATTCAGAGTATAAGAATTTCCAATTAAGATGATTGAAAAGGCTTCATGTGGGAAGTAACATGAGCTGAATGTCATAGCTGGGAATTTTTAGACCAGGGAAAATATTCCATGCAGTAGGAATGATCAAATATGTCTTGGGGTTTAAAAGAAAGTTGAAGCTTTCAATTGGGCTGATGCACAGCATTGGTGGAACAGTGGGAAATAAGTTTAGAAGCATAAATGGGGCTAAGCCTGGAAAACTTTTAATACTAGGCTGAGAAATTCAGGTGAGAATCGAGAACCATAGAAATTTGTGCAGAAGGAAATGGCTCGATCAGAACTGTGAGTTAAGAAGACTGATTTGCAGGCAGTAAGTAGATTGTGAAGAGCAAACCTGGATATAATAAGCCTGACAAGGGACATATTACATCAGTCCAGGCAAGAAGCAAAGAGAGTCTGAGACATGGTGAAAGTAGTGGGAATAGAAGCGGGAAAACGATGCTGGAGCTGGTACTTAGAAGATATTGGCAACTAATTGAATATGAAAAGGGAAGAAGAAAAAGAAAGAGGCAAATCATATTTGAAAGTTTTGAATATGTGCTATTTGAAGAAATTAAAGAAGTTATGAGATGTTGGATGGATAAGTAAGGTCTTAATCTGACTTTATATATACTAGTTCTGGGAGGAGGAGGGGAAAGAAACTACTGTTTGAGGCAACAGTAAAATGACCAAGATGGGATAAAATGAACCAGTGTAAAAATAGCTCATTTAAAAATAAGCTAATCTAATTATATTATAATAGAGTAAACTTGAAATCCAAAATGCTTATTCTTTCTATTTCCAATTCTCTCACATTCAACTGACTTCCTCCCCAATTATCCTAGTTGCAGTTATTATTGCTATTTGCCAAATGGAAAGACGTGACTAAGGCAGTCTAAAACTAGGCCACAACTGAACTTCCAAATGCCACAGGTACATGGGCAAGCCCAGGCCAGATTAGCAAAGGCTGGTACAGACCAGCAACTGCTCATAAGAATTGTAAGCTAAATAACTGGTTGTTGTTTAAATTACTTAATGCTGAGATAGACAACCAGTTCTGTCACCTTATGATATGGTTTGTCCGTATCCCCCCACCAAATCTCATGTTGAATTGCAGTTCCCACAATCCCCATGTGTCGTGGGAGGGACCTGATGGGAGGTAAATGAATCATGGGGGCAATTACCCCCATGCTATTCTCATGATAATGAGTGAGTTCTCAGGAGATCTGAGAGTTTATATAAAGGGCTTTTCCCCCTTTGCTTGGCACTTCCGCTTCCTGCCGCCCTGTGAAGAGGGTGCCTTTCTTTCCCTTCGCCTTCTACCAGGATTGTTAAGTTTCCTGAAGCCTTCCCAGCCACGTGGAACTGTGAGTCAATTAAATCTCTTTCCTTTATAAATAACCCAGTCTCAGGTATTTCCTTATAGCAATGTGAGAACGGAATAATACACTTTATTTCTTCTTGTATTATACGATTTCCCTAATTTTACACATTAGATTGCCCAAAGGGCATGTACTATCTTATATGTGTCTTAATCATTTTTATATGAGTGCCTATTCTGGTACATTCCAATCAATACTCACTGAAGTTAATCCTAATGTTATCAGAAAATGTTGGCATCTCTTCCCCAAACTTGAATAAAATAAAAAAGAAATATTTGAAAACCTAGGTAGCTAAGTAGATAGGTAAATGAGGCTTGCGTAGTCTTTGTCAAAATGTGACTGATGGCTGATGGATGCTGACTGGCACTTGTTGTCACCTATATTTTTTCAAAATGATCCTCATTTATCAGAGTTTGAGCTAATATATGTTTCCATTTCAAAATCATATTTCACTTCCTAGTCCAATTTTCCACAGATTTACCTTTTGGCTCTTATGTAAAGTAAAAGTTTTCCAAAAGGCACAGCACTATATTTAATAGCTATTGCTAAGCAGAGGCAACCAGAACATTGCTGAAATCAAATTAATTGGCCAGAGGAGACTGAGCCTGGAAGCATTTTAGATTAAAACTGGTTTCTTTTTTTCACTGCTGTCTGGAACAATATATTTCAAATAAAACTGCTTTACGTAAAGGTTCTGTTGCAATTCAATGCTCTAGAGATTTTTCTCTCCTTACAAAACACCTAGTGTGTTTTTCCAATAAAAAACAATGACTTGGGATCCTTTTTATCTCCTTCTACGTTAACTTCCCATATTTCCCATGATGAAATTAAAAATAGCTCACCTGTTTTATGCATTGTGCTAGGAGTGCCTTTATAAAAGTACATTTTAAAGGTTTATAATTATGTGCATATATTTTAATATATGAGTCTATAGGTACTAAGACATTTGAGAGATGAGAGAAAGCAAAGGAAAAAACAACCAAAGGAATACATACTTGTTAAAATCTACTTGAGTTCTATTGAAGAGCTGTTGTTTCAGAAACTGCACTGGAGAAGGTAAATGTTCACTTTTGAAATAATTGAAAACCTGAAGTTAAGAGAAGATGCTTCCAAGATTGCATACATATCTATGAGGTTGAAGCTTTATGAATGTGTTTATATTATTTTGATTTTTTTTTCTGTAAGAATAGTAAAGCCTGTAAATGTAGGAAATGAGAGACATATTCCTTAAATGACTGTCCCATAGCTCTGAAAAATGGTAAGACACAGGGTTAGCTCTTCTCTTTAAGCTAGGCATTAGTTTATTTGGGTCCTACTGGATATACTTTGAGATATATTTGTGTTCTATTTTTCCCTAATCCTTCTGAAGATTGGCTGACATAGAACTTCAATTTTACATTTTTTCCCAAAAACAGGTTTGATATGTGATTCTGAGGGAATGAGGTAATGAGAAGGGAAAAAATATTTATCATAATAGGAAATTGAAAGAAAACTGTTTTTTTTTTCTTTCTTAAGAGGTGGGGTTTCCCTATGTTGCCCAGGCTGGACTCAAACTCAAAATCCTCCAACCTCAGCCTCCCAAACAGCTGGGACTACAGGCATGGCCACCATACCCAGCTACAAAGTTTTATTAAAAAGCATATATATATATATATATATATATATATATGTATATATATATACACACATATATATGTGTATATATATATATATATACACACACGTATATATGTGTGTATATATATATAGAGAGAGAGTAGTTCAAGTCTCCTCTTTCAGTTCAGTTAATGGAAGAAGTCTCAGTTAATGGAAGTAGTCTTCTGAAACATAAGAGATATAAAAAGAAAACATTTAGTGAAAATAAGGTTGAGATTTCATTTTGACAGTTGTAGGAATTCGTCAGGGTGAAAATAACTGTTAAAAAAAGGACCTGGATCGGAGTCATAGAAACATAGTTAAAACAAATGTGGTATCTTTATGTGTTTTTTCTTAAAAACCACTTTGCTTGTAATGCTAGAAAGAAAAGGCTTGGTATAGAGAAGGCTGTAATCGGAATTCAAAACACAGTTAAAGTTCATGAACACAGATCTTATTAATAGATTTGCAGACATTAGATTAGGACTTGGGTTAAATTTAACTTTAGAATTTTCCCCTATATATATATTTTTAAAAAATAAAACTAATAGAAAATTAAAAGAATAATATTATAAATACCTGTAGAAACTTTACTTATGTTAACAATTCACCAGTTGTTAACACTTTGCCATCTCTCTCCATGTCTTTTTTCAAGAAATTCTTTGCAAAGTACATTGGTAATATCAACACTTGGTCCTTTAGTATTTTAGTAGGTAGCCATGATATAATCACAAATGCATGATCGAACTCAGAAAATTTAATATTGATACAGTAATATCTGATATATAATTTATACTCGTATTTACTCAGTTGAGCCCACAATGTTCTTTTTAGCTATTTTTATGTTCAATTCAGGATCTGATTAATGATCTCATAGTATATTTGTCATTTTTAAAAACATCTTTAATTTAGGACAGTCTCTTTACACTTTGTTTTCATGATTCTGATATTTTTAAATAATCCAGGCTGGTTGTCTTACAAGCTCACTCACAATCCAGATTTGTCAAATTGCTTCCTATGATCAGACTCAAGTTAAACATTTTGTCAAGAATAATACAGATGTACTTCCCATTGCATTAAATTAGAAAGCTAATGAAGTCTGTTTTTTTTTTCCTTCTCTTATTGGTGATGTCAAGTTTGATCTCTCGGTTAAGGTAGTATCTACAACACCCCCCCATTGTAAAGGTGTTTTCTTCCCCTTTGTCATTAATGTGTATTCTGTATGTTGATACTTTGTAATGTATGTGAAATCCTGATCCTCAACAAATTATCAGCTAAAGGTTTTTGCAACTATTGATAACTAAATCAATTCATACATTGATGTTTGAAAATGATCTAGTTCTTTTAATTTGGTCATTTCACATTAAGGAACTGGCATTATTCTACAAAAAAGAGCTTCCATCCACTCTTCTTTTCAGGACACCGATGGATATACTAAACGTATTCAGAATATATTTAGTCAAATTATTTTCTCATTCAATATTTGAAAACTCACTGTCATCATTATTCTTTTTGATATTTACATTAGCCAAAAATTAACTAGTGAGCCTCTTTCAAACTGGTTCCTGCATCTTTTAGACATGTCCTCATCAGTACTTAATCCTTCTGCAATGGAGGGCGGCCTTTGCCACTCAGATCTCCACTTTAAGACTAAAGGATTTATTCCTCAGTTATCCCAAAGGTTGAGGGTTAAAATTTCTTAGCTGTCTACCCATTTGGAAACTTGTCCTCGATGGACAGTAGCTGCCTCATTCAAGATCATACCCCTTCTCTGGGATTGGGTTCCCTGTGGGAGAGGTGGTAGCTTGCAACCAATGACTGGTTAATCATGGCATATTAAAGGCTTGACCCCTTTCTTTAATTCTGAAGATATTTGCCAGCTTCAGAGCATCCTGTAAATTTGGCTGAGGGCTTGTTGTGATTTCACACACCACCTCAATTTGCTTTTGTTTCCTTCTCCCACAGTTGTTGATCCCAAGAGCATTTCTTAATGAACCCTCAATTTTCTAAATGTCATCTGAGCCTACTTACTACAGAAGTAGGCCTGACAGTTGATCTGAGAATGGTCTGAAAATGGAGAGGTTAAATGAGATTTTGAAGCTGGATCACCCATTATTCAGTGGACAATGAGGTAGAGAACAAAGATTCTGTGACACAAGATGGAAATTATAAAGCTTTCATCATAGGTAAACTGGGATGCTATACTGGTAGAAGGAAATGCAATATTAGGTACGGGGTATTAATCTTTAGAGGTAAATGAGGCAAGTAGTTATTATAAGGGCAATGGTATTGGACAGTACTTGCTGGGGGCAATTAATGCTGTGGGAAGCAAAAATGAAAGACTGAAAAAGATTAACCATCAATAAAAGGCTAAATGTGAAAGCCAAAGGAACTCTTTGGAAACACAAAGAGAGATTCCTATTTCTTGCAGCTGGAGGACAGAAAAGGCTGAGGATCAGGCTCAGGAACTAAGGACAGCAGACCTCCAGAGAAAGTAAAATTCCCCAACTAGTTAGGTCTGCCATGACAAGAGTAGGGCCCTGGCTGCAATAAATGAGACCCAAAGTTATTGGATGAAGACACTTGTTTGATGCATTTGAAAATCTGGTCCCCTCAGATTTCCTGGACCCTTTGAGCCTGCAGAAGTGCCCACCACTCCTTTAAGAGTAGCCTGGCTTGAAGGTGACACAGAGGCACTACCGCGTAAGACAGCAGATGTCCCCCTCAGCATTTGTGTCTACCGTATGTCCTGGCCACTAAGACAATTAACTAAAGTTAAGCCAAATAACTAAGTGTATTATTGCACTAGTGGAGACCTGAGATACAAGACCTAGCTCAGATGTACTGGAAAGAGAATGTAAAATACATGGGATAGGATATTGGGATTACATTCTCAGGATGGAAGATTAAGAGGGGTGGGAAATAAAGCCAGAAAAGGGAAAATTTATGGATATGCTTTTTCAGGATACAGCATTTAACACACTGTCAAGAACACTAACATATGGTGCTAACATGCCCTTGGAATGTCTTTGGGAGGCTTGGAAAACTCAATGGCTCACAAACCTTTAGTAAAGTTTTGTTAAACAGTATTCTCAGTGTTTACTTTCAGAAGTACTGAGACTGCACTGAATCCATGTTTGAGATAGAGTTATGTTGAAAGAAGTCATAGTTTGGAGGAGATGTCTATGATAAGACAGTAAATCAAAACCACAGCACAATTGTGAGATATGTAAGCATCCTCTGGAAATTCTTGAAAATACTAAGATAGAGAAACATGATTCCAAATGGATTTTTCTTATAGTCATTCAGGGTGGGGATTCAGATGCTTTAACTGAGTAAAAAATATTATCTGATACACAGCCTCTCATGCTGAAGAACAGAGACAGAGAATTGGGGAAGATACTCAGATTGTACCAATTTGTAAAACAGAACGAATTAGTGGCCTCTGATTAAATGGAGTTAGGGGAGGAAAGTTGCATCTTCTCAACACCAGCCCCTCCCTAGGAAAGAATATACCCCCTGAAGTCCCTGGGGAGAAGGGATTGAAACCTCTGGGCTGGAGGACATCTAAGATTCTTTCCAATTTTACAATTACACAAAGATGAAACAATATTCTGTGTCACACACTTTAGTGGTGTGAGTGGGCTTTCTTAATTGTAGCCAAATCATTGGGGTTTGACTTACAATTTAATGTAATTTCTAGTATGCCATAGAGAATTTGTAGGAGAAACTAACTCATCAATTTAAATTAGATAAGGCATAAGAGTGCCTTAGTGGCTCCAAAACTCCATTGTCCCTTTATGACAATATAGCATAATTCTGAGATTTTACCTATAAGATGTAAAGGATCATCTAACTGGTAGGAAGACTATGCTGTAGCCTACATCATAGACACTATTAAAATAATGAGAAAATATGAGAATCAAAGTACTAAAAATTTTAAAAAATAAATCAGAAAATTCTCCTGGAGAAAAAGGTATTTCCTCTAAAAGTGCTTTGTATGTAATGGGCTGCATTCCCCCAAATTCATATATTAAAATCCTAACCTCCAACATGCAATATTAAGAGTTACGGCCTTTGGGAGGTAATTAGGTCATGAGAGCAGAGCCCTCATTAATGGGATTAGTGGCCTAATATAAAGGACCCCAGAGAGCTTTCAAGCCCTCTTTTCACCATGTGAGAATACAACAGTTAGGCAAAGGTCTGCAACCCAGAAGAGGCCACTCTTCAGAAACCAATCACGCTGTACCCTGTTCTTGGACTTCCAGCCTCCAGAACTGCGTGAAATAAATGAAATAAATTTCCATTATTTATAAGCCATTCCATCGATGGCATTTTGTTATCACAGCCTGATTTGACTAAAAACAATGTGCCTTATCAAGATTAAATTTAAAGCTAACTTTGGAATGAAACAAATTGGCTTTGATATACATTTAATAGATGTGCAGGAAAATAGGTTTTGATGGGAGAAAACAAGTAACATATTACGTATTCGAGCATTTACAGCAATGTAAAACCAAAAAGTTTAACTGAAATTTCTACAAGTCTCATGAGGGAAGACTTGCTTGGGGTAGGAAAGTGAAGATGCTGCAAAACATAAAATCAATAGATACTGGGCTTTTCAAAGTATATGTGGGGAAGGCCTGACTTGACAATTATGTTCAGACAAACACCTCCTATTTGTTACTAATGCAGACAGGCATTCCAGCCTATAGAAGAATCATAAAGAAAGTTAAAAATATATTACTTAAAGGAAAGATGTGTATGATGCTTACAAGTACTTTTTTTGGAAATAATAATATATATTGATCATTTGTTAATGCTCAGCATTCCTTGGAAGGCATTTGAGCTTCACTGAAAAATAAGAAAAATCCAAGTGAGAGGTTATAATCTGTCTCACTGCCTGGTTGGATTAAACCAGGCACAATACTATAAGGTCGTTGGCTCCAAACCAGAATTTTTCAAGATTAAGGTTGATGGCGCTTTTATATCCAGCCAAAATGTATTATCTCTAGAAACAATATGTATGCCTTCCTCCGTTATGGAAATTCTACATGATCCTGGATATGGTACTTCATAGAAAGAACTGAATTCATTTCTTCATCATTACCCCGATGTGGCAAACTGATTTAGAGGAAAAGCGTTTCTCTACTAACTGAAAAGAGGTAAGAGTCAAGGAGCTGATACCCTGTGTAAAGGCACAGAAACATAAAAAGCAAAGGTTTTGAGTTATGGGTAAGAACACTAATAGCCCACAGTCCTGTCTATGTGAGAACCTCACACCTAGAGATTTGACTAAATAGCAGCCCCATGTAGAGACGGGATACTCCCCCAACACACATACACATACGCACGTAGAACTCTCTTCCTTCTCTCCAAGACAGAATGAATGGGATGCGAAACAGACCCATGAATGTAGGTTGGTCAGCATGAGCTTGTATACCCACTGAACTAGGAATTTGAACAAGGAGACAGAGAAAATTTGGCTAGTATTTTCTACATTTCTCTGAAAGTAGTGGAGGATTTAGGTTTGTGAAAAATGAATAATTGTACTTGGGAGAAAGGGCGAAATCAAAGGTATAGAGCTTGAAATGTGTGTAGAAATTCAGGGCCAAAGAAAGGGGAAAGAAAAGAAGAAATACAAAAAAAAGGCTGAGGTGATTTGAGCAGGGAATTTTATATGGCAGTGACTGAAAGAAACATAAGGCCTCACAGAATATATGGGATTGTTAACTGAAGAGTATAAATTCTGGCCAATTAATCAATAATCCAAGATCTCTCGAAACCATAAGGCAAGGGATTGTTATCATCAGAGCAGGATGCATGGAACCTAACACAGAAGTGATGTGCAGGTGAGGTCAGGGCAGAAGTACTTGTGGGAGAAGTTCCTAGGGGAAGGACAGGGGTCTGGCCAGGAAAACTCACCCCACAAAACAGAATCATAATTTGATACTGTTATTGTTACCATCTTGTTATGTCATTTCATCTTGTTATTCCTTCTTCTTGACTTTATTCTACTCTGCCATATTCCCTTTCTGTCTCCTATCCCACTGTACATCTTGCCACTGATACTCTGTGATTACTGTCGCAAAATTTCTTGAATAATGACTCCTCTCTCCTAAATCGCTGTCTTTCTAGCCTCACTACTTAAGTTTTCTGAAGTAATAGATTTTTTTTTACTAAGAATATATTTTACTCTGAAGTATGAGAGGTGGTACTTTTTCCAGGATATAGAAGCTTTATTAATTTTCAGAAATCATTAAACTATAAAAATGTTATTTAAAAAATTTTACTTTAAGTTCTGAGGTACGTGTACAGAATGTGCAGGTTTGTTACATAGGTAAACATGTGCCATGGTGGTTTGCTGCACCTATCAACCCATCACCTAGGTATTAAGCCAAGCGTGCATTACCTATTTTTCCTAATGCCCTCCCTCCCCCTACCCCACCTCCTGACAGGCCCCAGTGTGTTTTGTTCTCCTTCCTGTGTCCATGTATTCTCATTGTTCAGTTCCCACTTATACATGAGAACACGTGGTGTTTGGTTTTCTGTTCCTGTGTTAGTTTGCTGGGCATAATGGCTTCAAGCTCCATCTACGTCCCTGCAAAGCACATTATCTCATTCCTTTTTATGGCTGCATAGTATTCCATGGTGTATAGGTACCACATTTTCTTTATCCAGTCTATCATTGATGGGCATTTGGGTTGATTCTATGTCTTTGCTATTGTGAATAGGGCTTCAAGGAACAGACATGTGCATGTATCTTTGTAATAGAATGATTTATATTCCTTTGGGTATATACCCAGTAATGGGATTGCTGGGTCAAATGGTATTTCTGGTTCTAGATCTTTGAGGAATTGCCACGCCATCTTCCACAATGGTTGAACTAATTTGCATTCTTTCCTACCAACAGTTTAAAAGCATTCGTAATTCTTCACAACTTTGCCAGCACCTGTTGTTTCTTGACTTTTTAATAATCGTCATTCTGATTGGCGTGAGATGGTATTTCATTGTGGTTTTGATTTTCATTTCTCTAATGATCAGTGATGTTGAGCTTTTTTTCATATGTTTGTTGGCTGCATAAATGCCATGTCTTTTTTGAGAAGTGTCTATTCATGTCCTTTGCCAAGTTTTTAACGTTTTTTTTAAATTTGTTTAAATTCCTTGTAGATTATGGATATTAGACCTTTGTCAGATGGATAGATTGCAAAAATTAGAAAGGTCAATTCTATTTTCCAAGACTGTTTTGGCACTGCTTGTATTTCTCCTTCATGAACATGCTTAATAACTTTGCTGCTTCATATATCATTAGATTGAAGAATATTGAAGAATATAAGCATCTGCCTTCAATAAGTACATACTAATATCAGAGAATCCCAAACATAATGATGAAAGTAATAATAAAATAAAGAAAAGAAGGATATGTTTAATTCTTAGAAATCTCACTCTTTGATACATATATCAGTGAGTCTTAGCATTTTGGAGAGATTCCTTTAATGACTCCTCTTCAGGTTTATTTAAGCATCAGGTGTCAAATGATGATTTTCCAGCTCATAAGAGACAAAGACCCTAAAGTCCAAAATGCTGAGGGATGAGTAAACAATAATAGAAAATAAAGACAAAAGAACTGATATCATCATAAAATTAAACTGGAAATACAGAAAGGGTTTATCAGAATTTTATATATTCACAATTTTTCAGCACTTCTTTTGGGTAAGTTCAGGAGCAAACTATATTCTCTTTCGTTATCAACTAGAAAGGCTTGTTTTACTTTGGTGGCTATTGTGCATGGGGATGAAGCTGATTTTTCATGCTGGTGTGGGGAGGAGAGGGATTTTTGTGAGATTAAGAGAAGGTTATTTACAGTGTTCTCTTCATATATATTACAAAACAGTAGACATGAGCTCTCCTTTCTCGATGATCTTACCAGTAAACTACAATTAAAAGATGGGTGTCGTTAATTGGCGCCTCACCAGTCAGAATAGTCCAGTTATTGTCATTTTGACCCCTTACCACACCTCATATCTACCATATAACTCTGGCGACCTTCAATTCTGCTTCTAAGTGGGTCTCCCCTGTGGAATTGTACATGAGTTTTTGATTTCAGAAGTTACAGGGCAGAGAAGAGATTGCATTTAGCAGAGGTGTTACCAGATTAGTGGTCACTGGGCCCTCACAAAAGCTTAAACCTGTATCACCAATGTGTGAGGTTGCACAAGATTGATTTTGTCGCATTTACATCTTTTTTTTTCCTTCTTTGCACCCTCTGGTTTTGTCTTCGCACTATTAGAAATGCTCTTATTATTATCATTTTCTTGTTCACGCATTTTTCACCGTCTACACCAATCCTTATCCTTCGCTTTTGTCAAAACTCATCTCAAAGTTGATTTCTTACAAGGGGTTATTCATAAGTAGCCTGGCTTGATATTTTTGATAACTTTACTGCTACAAAATTCTAAAATGAAATTTGAGCTAGATTAAGCTATACTGATTGTATTAAGTTTGCTTACATGGTATTCCCTCATGTGTACTTCAGTTGTTGTTTCAGTGTAGGTTCCTGTGTGTATAAATAGTTTCGAGAATCCCTGAAGTGAGGAACGGTGTCATGGATTTCTTATACTTCCTTGTGTCTCCAAACTGTCCTTTCCTCAATAAAGAAACATTGCTAGCTTACTGCCCAGGACCAGGATATAGCAGCCTCTTCACAGAGAGGTCTTTTAATAGGACAAAGGTGCTTTGGAGAACCGGAAGTTTTCAGGGGATTCCCCTAAGTGTCTCCTTCAGTCCCAAATTTGTTCCTCCCGAATGCCACTTTTCAGGCTCACCTGACTGTATCATCTTCCAGCCATTGAGGACATCTTGCAAATTCTAAGCTCCTCTTGTTGTTTTTTCTGCCTTTGCTTCAATAGCAGAGCACACACACTCCCAGTGATTTCCATAATATGACAGTTTGTGAATGTTAATATTACTCAAATTAAAATGCCTGTTTCTTTGTGTCTAATCCTTACTGATCTCCTGCTGAGTCCTACAACTGGGCTGTGAAAAGTCCCCCAAATTGTGCAGCTGTTTAATAGCTCTCACTTATTCATTGCAGCACTCATAAATGACAGATCACAGAAAATCAGAAACTCAAATGTCAAAACAGACTGAAAATTTCATCAAAATCCAAAAAGCCAGGATTGTTCTGACTTTTTTTCTCTTAATTGCACCAATACAGAAACAGCTCGATTTACCTTGGCCATCATCAAAATGCAAATGATCATGAACTTGAAAACCTTAAAGGGAGATTTTCCAAAACTGGCTAATGGGAATAGGGGAGGCTGTGAGAATGAACTAAATACTTCTTAATCATCTATTACTATACATCAGCCACGGTAGTAAGGACTTTTATATAATTGTCTAAGTATATTAAATCAAATCTCCCTGTAGCTAAAACTTGTTTTTTTCTGCTTCCCACCCTGGGCCTTCTCTTTTCCTGAGACAGTAACCAAAACAATGTACTGAAAAGAAGGCTTAGGAATAAAGAAGATTTTAGTTCACCACCTGTGGGCTATCAAAGACAATTGATAATGACGGTACAGTCACATAAAACAACCCTCAAGGTAAAGTTAATGAACCTAAAGATCTAATGTACAAATGAGGACTATAGTTAATAATAGAGTATTGTATTTGGGATTTTTGCTAAGCGATTAGATTATAGTTGCTCTTGCCATGGGTGGGTGGGGGGAAATGAATACTTATGTGAGATAATGTTAATTTGCTTCACTCTAATAACTATTTTACTATCTATATGTATCTCATAACATCATGTTTTATACATTAAGTGTACACAACAAAATTCATTCAAACGAAGATAAAGTTAATGACTGACAATTGTTTAAGAGGAAATATAACACATAATTTTAGAGACATTCTCACTTCATAAATAATATTTTATATATATGATTTATTTTGTAGAATTCTCTTTAATACAAAAGTAATCAACAAATTTGCAGATACTGTGAAGCAAAATATAATAAATTCAAAAATATTTGTATTCCTTCAACAGACAGCTATGTTCAGCAACGTATAGGCAGCTGTTGCTGCATAACATCTGCTCTAACATTGGGAGGTTTAAAATATGAATCATTTAAATCACTCACATGTCTACCAGCCAGCTTAGGGTGAGCAGATCTAGGCTAGACTTAGCTGGGTTTGCTTCCAGACCTCAAGTCTGTGGGTTAGATGGACTTTTCCCCATGTTTTCCATTCTCCTTGGGGCAGTGGGCTAGTCAGAGCATGATCTTCGTGCACTGGCAGAGGGGAAAGAGAGCAAGTAGCCATCAGGCAAGCACAATTCATGTTTTCACACTCCTTCTGCTAACATTCCGTAGGTCACAGTTAATCATATGGCTAATCCTAAAATCAGTGGGACAGTGAAATATACTATATTCCCGGAGGGAAGAAGCAGAGAAGTGAAGATGTCCTGAACAATAATTTATGATGTTCCTTCTTCTAGGCTTTTCTCCATCTTATAAACAGTATGAATATATAGTGCAAAGTATTTCTTGGATTCAGTAACTTAGCTAAATGCTCTTGCCAGTCTCCTGGCCTTTTCTCATGCAGTTCCCTCTGCCTGAAATGTCCTTCTAGCTTTCTGACCAAATCCTACCTATATTTTAAAATTTCCTCAGCATCATCTCCTCTAGGAAGATTGGACTAAATGCATATCCTCACTTTTTATGTAGTTCTTGGCATATTAGTTTGGAATTCTCTGCTTATATTTGTCTCCTGTGGTAGATAATAAGCTTCTCTAGAATAAGTTGTAGGTCTTAATTCTAGACACTTTGTAAGGTTTTGTTGAACTGGAATGCACGCACATGTCCTATGTATGTTCTTTCCTTACCTGGTTGTCACCTATAGCTGTTTTCGAAGTGATTTAAGAAAACATATATACATTATTGGACTAATAATGAAAACAATACCTCCCATCTGCGCAGGGTGTTAGAGCCTATAAGGTGCATCCATATTCACATAATTTGAAACAAGAAACCTCTCCCTGTCCCCAGTTCCTATATTTTTACTAATCTTTTTCATTATCCTCTATTAAATCTGGCCTCTGACCTCATTGTTCCTGCCTATCCTCTGTCCTAGTCTTTGATTCTTATATTAATAAGTGATGCTGGAGAAATTACAAAACCATGAACAGTCTTTAAATTTTTAATCTTGGTTGCATTCTGAAAGAAAGTCATTTGGTAATCTTTCATCTTGTCAATGATCTATTCATCTCATCTGCTACTGTAATTCTGTACAGTAATTTGATCTCCTAACTAATGTCCCAACCCATTTTTTTCCCCAAATACTTACTTGGAGAAAATAATTGTAGGAATTATCTGTTTTGTCCTTATCAGAAGAATGTATTCAGTTGCTTGTACACACAATGTTCTTTGCCCTGGTGCTTTGGCACTTTTACTTCCTTGACCTGGAGTCCTGACACCTCTCCTCCCTCTCAGAAGCAATTCATTCATAATTACTTCATCCACATTCTCCTTAGATATATATTTTGAAAACATGAATGTCAAATCCATAAATTATAATTATTTGTTTATATGTCACCAATTAGAAAATGAGCTCCTGGGATGTGACCATTTTAGGACCTGTGGCCCCTGTCATTCTGTAGTTTTCTGACCACTCCACAGCAGCTCTGTACCTATTGCCCCAACTGGGATGTGGTTTGGAGTGAGATGAGGTGTGAATCTCTTTCCTCAGCTTTGGGTGCATGGCAAGAGGGTGAGATAGAAAGTAAGGACAGACATGGAGAAACATGCCCATTTGGACTTTGAAGGCAAGGGAGTTAGAGTCAAAGTTGAGATTAAGGGATCATGAGTTGCAAAATACAGACACAGATTATGGTAAGGTAGGGTCTACTGGATTATCCTGCAGGCTCTTGGTGAATATTTGAAGGTTGTTACTCATCTGTGGGGTACTAGATGTCTCTGATCTAGAGTGTATACACATACCACACTTACCTATTATAAGGCTCAGTTAGAATGTACAAATGAGTAGAGTGCATAATAAATACTTAACTGACCGAGGAAATTGGGTATGACAGGTATTATTATTGTTTTTTTAAATACATAGAATTATACTTTACTCAAGGGCTCAAGTCAAGGATATGGAAAGCACCCAGATTCAAACTCAAGTCTTCTTTATTTAAGCAAGTTTCATAACATTTGTAACCAGTTTTTGAATTTATTTCAGAGAAAACCTTTATCAATTAGGTGCAACTCTCTCCCGTCCTTCCCACACACTTTATACTCTTTTCACAAACATCCTATGACTTTCTTCAATATTCCTTTGTAGGCATATTTCAAGAAAGGCAAGGTAAATTTATGAAAAATTCCAGAGTGTCACAAAGCTATAATGGGCACAAAAGTAAATAGCTACATACCCTGAACTGTATCCATCTCTTGCTTTAGAACACATTTGAAATTTGATAAAATCCAACATCCCTTCATGAACAAAGCCCTCACAAAACCAATCATCAAAGGAACATATCCGAAAATAAGAAGACCCATCTATGAAAAACCTACAACCAACATCATACCAAATGGGAAAAGCTGGAAGCATTCCCCTGAAGAACTGAAACAAGACAAGGATGCCCACTCTCACCACTCCCATTCAACATAGTACTCAGAGTCCTAGCTAAAGCCCTCAGAAAAGAGAAAGAAATAAAATGCATCCAAGTAAGAAAAGAAGAGACCAAACTATCTTTGCTGACATATAATTCTATACCTAGAAAATCATAAAGACTCCACCAAAAGGCTACTGGAAGTGATGAACAATTGCAGTAAAGTTTCAGAACACAAAAATCAATGTACAAAAATCAGTAGCATTTCTATACATCAGTAATGTTCGAGATGAGAGCCAAATCAAGAATACAATCCCATTTACAATAGCTACCAAAAACGTAAGCAAATATCCAGGAATACATCTAACCCAGGAGGTGAAGGATCTCTACAAAGGGACTACAAGACACTGCTAAAACAAATCCTAGATGATTCAGACAAATGAGAAAAAAGTTTCAGGATATAAAAGCAAAGTACAAAAATCAGTAGCATTTCTATACACCAATGGTGTTCAAGCTAAGAGTCAAATCAAGAATGCAATCCTATTTACAATAGCCACAAAAAACTAAGTTACCTAGGAATACATCTAACCAAGAAGGTGAAAGATGTCTGTAAGGAGAATATTATACAAAACACCGCTGAAAGACACCACAGAGTACACAAATAAATGGAAAAATATTCTATGCTCATGAATTAGAAAAGTCAATGTTATTAAAATGGACATATGGCCTAAAGCAGTCTACAGATTCAACACTATTCCTATCAAACTTCCAAGGTCATATTTTACAGAATTAGAAAAAAACTATTTTAAATTTTATAGGAACCAAAGAGGAGCCCAAATAGATAAAGCAATCTGAAGCAAAAAGAACAAAGCTGGAAGCATCACATTATCTGATTTCACACTATTTTTATGAAGCTACAGTAACTAAAACAACATGGTACTGATACAAAAACAGACACATAGACCAATGGAACAAAACAGGAAAAGCAGAAATAAAGCTGCACACCCACAGTCATCTGATCTTCAGCAAAGTTGATGAAAACAAGCAATAGAGAAAGGATTCCCTGTTCAATAAATGGTGCAGGGATAATGAGCTAGCCATGCAGAAGAATGAAACTGGACCCCTACCTTTCACCATATATAAAAATTAACTTAGGATGGATTAAAGATTTAAGTATAAGACCTCAAACTATAGGAATTCTAAAAAAAAATCCTAGGAAACTCCATTCTGGACATTAGCCCTGGGAAATAATTTATGACTAGGAATAATTAATTCCAAAGCAATTGCAACAAAACAAAAATTGACAAGAAGGACCTAATTAAAGTAAAGAACTTCTGTACAGCAAAAGATACTATCAACACAGTAAGCAGCCTATAAAATGGGAAAAATATTCATAAGCTATGGTTCTGACAAAATCTAATATCCAGAATCCATAAGGAACATAAACAATTCAATAAGCAAAAACCAAATCACTTCATTAAAAATGAGCACAAAATGAGCAGATGCTTCTCAAAAGATGACATACAAGCAGCCCACAAACATGAAAAAATGCTCAACATCAATAATTATCAAAGAAATGCATATAAAAACCACAATGAGACACTATCTCACATCAGTCAGAATGGCTATTATTAAAAAGACAAAAAAATATGGCCGGGCACAGTGGCTCACACCTGTAATCCCAGTACCTTGGGAGGCTGGGGCAGGAGGATCACTTGAGGTCAGGAGTTTGAGACCAGCCTGGCCAACATGGCAAAACCCCGTCTCTACTAAAAATACAAAAATTAGCCAGGTGTGTTGGTACGTGCCTGTAATCCCAGCTACTTGGGAGGCTGAGGCAGGAGAATCACTTGAACCCGGGAGGCGGAGGTTGCAGTGAGGCAAGATCATGCCACTGCACTCCAGTCTGGGCGACAGAGGAAGACGGTGTCTCAAAAAAAAAAAAAAAAAAAAAAGAAAAGAAAAGAAAAGTCAAAAAATAGCAGATGCTGGTGAGGCTGTGGAGAAAAGGGAATGCTTATACACTGTTGGTGGGACTGTAAATTATTTCAGCCACTTTGGAATGCTGTTTGGAGATTTCTCAAAGAATTTAAAACAAAACTACCATTTGACCCAACAATCCCATTACTGGGTATATATTTAAAGGAAAATAAATCATTCTATCAAAAAGACACATGCCCTTATATGTTCATTGCAGCACTATTCACAATAGAAAAGACATAATGTAGGTGCCCATCAACAGTGGATTGGATAAAGACAATGTGGACATAGACACCATGGAATGCTACTTAGCCATAAAAACGATCAAATTCACGTCCTTTGTAGAGACATGGATTCAGTTGGGGCCATTGTTCTAAGCAAATTAACACAGGAACAGAAATACCTGATGTTCTCCCTTGTAAGTAGGAGATAAACGCTGAGTACTCATGGACATAAAGAGGTAGCAACAGACACTGAGGACTGCTAGAAGGGGCAGAGGAGGAAGGGGCAAGTATTGAAAAACTACCTACTGGGTACTCTGCTCGGGACCGCATTCATACCTGAAACCTCAGCATCATGCCATATACCCATATAGCACACTTGCATGTGTACCCACTGAATCTAAAAAAACAAAAAAAGTTAACATTATAAAAAAAGTTAAAAAAAGAAATTTTAAATTCATTTGAAGTGTTCAACACCAAGGTATTTTTTGTTTTATCTACTTGCTTTCTCCCAAGAGGATCTTTTCTATCTGCATTATTTACCTTTTATTTTTCTGATACCAATTAAAATTTTTTTTTCAGTATCTTCATTAGGAATGATTTTTAATTTACCCAATTTTCTGAGTAGGTGTCATGACATAGTTTGACTTATGTTAAATTTTAAGAAAGAGAAATTAACCTCCATGTTATTTCTTCAAATTTTCCCTTTTGCCTAAAATGCTATGTCAACCTGAAACATTTGAGAAAATTCCACTTAATCTTTAAAACCATTTCAAACGACCTCTCCTCCTTCCACTCGAGTAATCGTTGCTTCTTTTGTTCAAAACACCAGGTCAGTACTCTTTCTGTTGCATTCAATGAAATGTCATGTTTATCTGTCTCTCGTGTAGAACAGGCTTTCCTGCGGAACATCCTGTCATGGCTGTGTTTAGCCGGCCCTTATGGCATGTATGCTAAGTAAACAAATGAGGGCTGAAGTCTCAAAGGGATTATTAAGAAAATAGGTGCAAAAGGGAGGAATATTCATGAAATTCAACGAACATTCATAGTGAGTGTATAGGCCATATGTTTCCACAAGCCATAGTTGTTAGGAGTCTGGGAAAAATAAAAACAATTGGAATAAAGACATTGGTTTTCTTCCTGAGGTGATCACCTGCTGATTGCACCATTCTGGAAAAATGAGCAAAAACATCAATTTTGAGTTAATGTGGTGAAGGTAGAGGTGGAGAACGATGCTCATTTCAGTCACTAAAGCTGGCAGTGAGTACGATCTGGGCACAGGGCAGAAAATCACCCTGAATTACCTGAAAATTTATTATTAACGAAGCCCCACATAAGGCCTAGGTGAATTCAATAGGAAGTACATTTCAAATAGATGCACTTATCTATTCATCTGCCTCAATCTAACTTACAATTTGCAATTATAAACATTTCATTAATCAGTTAACGAGGCATATTTACAAGGCACATTAATTCACAGGTTACAACAGTAAATAATTTTAAAGGCAAACTTGTTATTTTAGCAAGGAAAAACTAATGCTGTTTATTTCAGTGCTCAGTTTTTACATTAAAGTGTTGGATGGAGAATTAGGTTTAAAATGTAAATCAAACAGCATGCTAACAAATGCTTTAGTTTATTGCTAATAGTTTAAAGAAGTGAATTGTTGACTGAGTCTGGATGACATATAGATGCAACATAAATGTAGATAGATGCAACATGAATGTCTATATTTAAAAAATACACAAGCCATAGAAGAATATAATTAAAGTTAATCTTTCATGTTAGCATATTAGCTTCCTGTCTTTGTCATCTCTGTGAAATGTGATCATAATAGCTTCACTAATCCCAAGAGTCAAGTTTAAAAACACATAATTGAGAGAAAGGATGTAATTTTTAAGTTCTCAGAAGCATTTACAATCAACTATTCTATAATAGTTCAGTAACTAAATAAGAAACTGAAAAGATACTGTAATTTGGGAAAGATAATGTAATCCTGGTTTCCTGCATCTGTGAATTTTAGGTCTAAATTGTGTGACTGATGGCGAATAATTATCCCAAGCAAATTTCAATTTAATCACAGATAAGCTTTCTTCTCTTGGTCTAAAAGTCTCCTTATATCAGGGTAAGTTTGAATCTTTGGATTGATATGAGTTTCCTGTTCAAGTTCTTATTTATTAGATTGAACCAAAAGTAAGAAGCCACTTAGATGGTTTCTACTGTTAAGTTCTCTTTCTTTTACCTTTTTCTGCCTTTCTGAGCCAAAATGGAGTTCTCAGTCATTCTTTTACTTAACCTGACATCGACCATCTCATTAAGTGTGAAAATATCAGAAGCACAATCAATGTTTGCTGAAACTCCCATGTCCTAACAGATAATCCAAAACCTCATGGTTCAATAGCAAATCTTACCTGATAATCACAACCCTACTATCATTTTAAAGAGTGCCAGAAACATGTAAATCTGACTTTATGTTTTCTGTCTAGCAGTGTTGCATATGATTAGCGTCTAGTGCCTGGAGCTTTAGCAAAAAGTATTGATTATCTTTCAGATAATGCCGTGGGTAGTAAAATGTTGAATGTTGCTGCAGGTAAAATGTGTCCTGTCAAATAATCATCAGCAGCCAATTCACGTGTGTATTTGAGGAGATAATTCACATTTGGCAAGTCATAAACCAACAGAGAGAGACATTAACATTAATTTGAGTATTCTTATTAGTTCTGAATACTTGTCACACATACTCTTGGAAACACCTTGGCTTTGGATATTTATTCACATTAATATTATTATATACATTCTCTTAGTTAAAAACTACTTGAAAGGTAATTATCATTTCCATACCGTTTAATTTCTCACCTATGAAGGAAAATGGTCAACTTTAAAAATCACCCTGAATATATTATCTAGTCCAAATAGTAGCTACTGAAAAATGCTTAGATATTATGTCAGAGGCCTCAAGCTTCAGTGGGAAGTCTGTGGGAAAATGACCCTCATTCAAGTCTGGATTTGGCAGTGAACAGCTTGAGACTGCAAGCATGTCTCTGCCTCTCTGCATTTCAGTCATTACAAAGTGAGGAGTCTGCTCTAGATTATATCTAAAGTCATTTTGACACAGGATTCTTTTGGTGCCTCTTCACCAGCCAGAACTCTTCACAGCCAGCAGAACCAAGGGGAACAGATCTCGCTGCATAACCCCGAGGCAGAGTGCTGTCTACACGCCCTTGTAATTCAGAGCTTGGCTGGTGCATGAGTAATAACCCAAATTACCAAAACACTGCTTTAAGAGATTTATAATTTCAGTCTGGGATTTTGCTTTAGAAGAGTTTTCAGCTCTTTGCCACTTTTTCTTACTCTCATTTTATCTTTTTCTCCTTTTAAGTTTAGTTATTGTTTTTAGATATTTGATACCAAATGATTTAAATTAAACTTAATTTATGGTAACTGATAGAATTTTCAATTTTAGAAAATGAAAGGCCGCTGAGTAAATGCCACCTCACTTCCCTCCCCACAGCCACCCACACAAACCTATTTATCCAGCACAAAGCCCCATTAATACATTCTGATAATGGCTACAAAGAAGTAAGAGATTTTTCCAAATAAAACTCCCCTTTGTTCTTTTAGGCCTCTTTAAATAGTCAAAATATGTGTCATTAAGTTAATCTTTAAAGTGCCTCTTTAAATGACTAACAATTCTCATTTCGACTGTTATGGCATAAAATGTAAATTCAATTATATATAAAGAAATAGTCTTCTTCCTTTGTACCTGATAATGATAAAGTCATAAGCTGCCTTAAATTTATCTCTCTGCTTAGCCATTTCCAACATAGTTTATTGTAGGTATTAAGTGCTATTTAATGAAATTACACATAAAATTAAGTAAGTGTTCAGTTCTGCTGAGGTGAAACGGTAGCAATTCAGACCTTAACTCAAAAACCTCTTGAAAACATTATGGTTCCAACTTAGTTCTGGTAATGTGAGTCAATTGTGTAGCTACCTGAATACTTCACCCCTGCCCATCACTCTCCACATTCCTGCATCATAAAAGCAGAGACTAAAGGCACAACATTGACTTTCTGAGAGTAAAAATGTCTCAAATATGAGAACTAGATACTTTTTTGTTTAGTTTATTCACATATTCTTTCCCTGATGTAATACATGGATCCTGTTTATGTTTTGCTTAATTTAGGCAGAAAAAGGTCACTAAGAAATAGGTTGCCATAATTGAGTCAGCCAGGGCTGAAGAACAGTAATCACTTTAATGACTAATTAAAGTTCAATTCCTGAAACATATCAAGTAATTTAACAGAAAAAGTGAGAAGGAATCTAATGGCTTGAAAATTAGAATTTGCTGATTTTGAAAGTTTTTTTTTTTTTTTCTGGAACTGGAAATTGATAGCATCAGGAGGCAGACAAATTTCTAGGCAGACAGGGCAGGTCCCTGGTGAAACCAGACCTTCTAGCCAAAGACAGCTTAAAGCCTAAAAACTGAGCTGCCAGAGTCCACAACTGGAGTGAGAGCTTCCTTAATGCCTTTTAGCCAACTGAATGGTGCTTTTTCCAGGCCATGGACCAATCAACACACACTTCCCCCTTCTGAGCCCATAAAAACCCCAGACTCAGTGACACATTGAGACTACCCACCTTTGGGTAGGGACTATGCACTTCAGGTCCCATCTTGTATCAAGAGCTGTTCTGTTGCTCAAGAAAACCCTCCTCTGCCTTGCTCACTCTCTGGTTGTCCACATAATCTCATTCTCCTTGGACATGAGACAAGAACCCAGGACCCACTGAACAGTGGGTGCAAAAGGTGCTGTAACACTGTAGTTCTCATGCCTTCCACCAATACTGGGTGGCTGCACCACATATATGATGGGAAGCAGTGGTGGGGCTGGGCCAGTCCAGGAGCCATGGGCTGTAGCTGGGTTGCACTGAACGAGCTGAAACACAAATGAACTGAAACGTCCCTCCTGCTCGTGGCACTGTGGGCAGCAGGAAGGAGAGACAGCGGTAATGCCCCTTTTGGACTCAGACCTCAGGACTCCCCAGGCAAGAGCCATAACACCCCTTGGGGTTCTGCAGTTGCTGGCATCTCCTAGTTTTGGGGCACTGCTGCATCCTCCTCATCCAGACGCCAGCATCCAAGGTGAAAGATGGTCACAGCATGCCCAGGCCAGCCGCAGGCTGAGCACAGAACCATGGCAGGTGCAGAATCCCAGCCAGTGGCACAAGCTGAGTGCAGCCAGCCAGGCTGAGTGGGTGGAGCAAGCCCAGCAGTGAGCCAGGAGCCAAGCAAGGCCCAGGCAGGGGCACCACTCTCTGAGAGAGACCCGGAGCAATCTTCAAGGAAATTCAAAAGGGAAACAATTGGTAGATTGGTAAGGTGACAAGGAAAAAGAAAGGATGAAGGGAGAGAGGTAAGGAACAATCTGCATAGCACAGAGAAGACCTGAAGGAAGAGAGAAAAGTTAAGATGTATGGCATAAGTGGGAGAAAAAAGTGATTTAAACTCTTTCACAATCTTGACATCTCTACATCCCAGAAGATTTAGAATAGAAAAGCAACCGTGGGAACTTCTGAGTTAAGCAATTTCTTTCCTGAAAGAATTTACCAATCTTGCAAATCAGAAGATCAGGATTGTTTGAAATCATCATTATTATTATTTTTGGCAATGTGGGATCCTACTACGAGTTGTTTATGTTTTATAAATACTATTTCCAATCTGACAGGTTTTGACTACTTCTATTTAGTCAAAACTACATTGTTAAAACATTGTGAACCTCTATAAGGGATTCGAAATAAAATTATTTGTCATTTCAATGAGGATTTTAGTACTGGTTGTGCATTATTAAATATGCAACGTTAACATCTGAATTTAAACTTCTGAATTAAGACTAATGCTTTGTTTCAAAGCAATGTAATAATGCAACATTCATACTCTCCTGGCTGGAAATTGGTAAAATATTAATACACTTAGTAAATTTTACCTTTGAAAAGCCATTCCTTTTACTATGGCTTAGATATGGTTTGTTTGTTCCTTCCAAATCTCTTTTTGAAATTTGATCCCCAATGGGATACAATTTGGAGGTGGGGCCTAATGGGAGGTGTTTGTATCATACAGCCAGATCCCTTATGAATAGATTAATGTGTTCCCACAGGGCTAAGTGAGTTCTTTCTCTATTAGTTCTCTTGCGAATTGGTTGATAGAAAGAACCAGCACCTCCTTCCTTCTCTTCTTTCCTCCCTTGTCACATGATCTTTACACCCTTCACCTTCCATTATGACTAGAAGCAGCTCGAGGCCCCCACCAGATGCTGTGGCCCAGTACTTAACCTTCCAGCCATCCAGAATTGCGAGCCAAATAAACTTTTCATCTTTATAAATTACCCAGCCTCAAGTATTCCTTTATAGCAACAAAAAATGGAATAAGATGCCTTTCTTTACAGCATTGCTAATTCGATGGGAACAAAAAATTGGGTAAGAAAAAGTTTTAAATACTAAGACAATTTTCATCAAAAGCCACAAAGCACTTTAAAAGTACCCACTGCACTAAGAACACCCATTATACTAATTAGAGATTATTTAAATTTATTTTTCAAATAGTTATGTAAGGGTCTTACTGGGTCCTCTGTTAGCCCAATTGAATTAGTGAATATATAAAAATAGGCAATATTTGCTACCCTTTGAGTAGGTCATTGTGGCAAGTACTGTTAGTTGCTTATCCAATATATACTTTCCTCTTCTTATGTGAACAAATCCTGGATTTTATATGATGCAACAATATCTTCAGGTGTATATTCTCTTTTCCAGCTTCCTTTGCAGCTAGGTTTGACCATGTGACATTTATAGTTCTAATGGTTTGAATGGTTATATGTAACCAATAAAATCAAAGTGAATGTTTCCTAGGGATTCTGGGAAAGCTTTATCTTTCTTGATGAAAGGACAGAGTGTCTAGTACTGCTTTTCACATTTCTTCTACATTATAATATTGATGCAATATCTGAAGTTGTAGCATGAACTGGAGCTTGCAACCATGCAGTAACAAACATGAAGATGAAAGTCAGCACTGTTATAATGGTGGAGTGAGAGAATGGAAAGATATGAGGTCCTGATGGCATCTCAGAACAGTCAAACTAATGCTAGAAAATGCCAATCTTTTGACTTCTCGTTTTTTGAGAAAAAATAATTCTGTTTGGCCGGGTGCAGTGGCTTACAATGTAATCCCAGCATTTTGGGAGGCTGAGGTGGGTGGATCATGAGGTCAGGAGATGGAGACCATCCTGGCTAACACGGTGAAACCCTGTCTCTACTAAAAATACAAAAAATTAGCCGGGTATGGTGGCGGGTGCCTGTAGTCCCAGCTACTTGGGAGGCTGAGGCAGGAGAATGGCGTGAACCCAGGAGGTGGAGCTTGCAGTGAGCCGAGATCTCGCCACTGCACTCCAGCCTGGGCGACAGAGGGAGACTCTTCTCAAGAAAAAACAAAAAAACAAAAAAAAAAAAAGAAAAAGAAAAATTAATTCTGTTTGTTAAAATCACTCTTAGGCATTTTGTCACTTGTAGTCAAAATCCACCCATAAGTGGAAAAATAACGAAAAATGAGGAAAGAAAAGGCAAAACAGTAAAAGAAAAGATAGAAAAGATATGACTGTGAGACAGAAAAGTAGCAGGAGGTTCTCTTGAAAGAAAAATAAAGGGTAAATTTAAAAAGAAATTTAATAGTCAACTTGAAAATGAATACAATTTTTATTCTTAACCATCTGCATTCATCTGTGTGCCATAATTTATTCAAATGTTTTTAAATGCCTGTGAAATAACAGTTAACACTGTTTTATAAAGATGTGGTCATTTAATTTTGGGAAGAAGGTGGTGAAGCTTGGAGGAGTAAACACAATCTGAATTAGTGAATGTGAATTTCCACGGGATAGGTCTGTTCACTCTGTGGACATTCTCTTCTGGGTTTTCTGAGACAAAACACATTTTTTTTCCAACTTGTCAAAGTGGATTGTAAGCATAAAAAGAAAAATAATTAAATTGTATTTATTTGTTGATGGACATTAGTTTTTATGCTTACAACATTTATAATTTTTTTAAATGGCAAGATACATATTCATGTTTGAAAAGGCATGAACATCATCAATCTTGTCAATTTCTTTCAGAAAAAATAAATTTTCTTCTAATACTTTCTTCCCCATACATCCCTCTCCTTCACCACCCAGAGAAACGTACTCTGAAAACTCTTTCACTTGATCATAGCCAAAAAGGCTAAGTAATTGAAAACTCTTGCAATGAATATATATATAATATTAATTTATTGCCAAAACACAGATATTTATCTTTTTAAATGTACTCATCCTCTCACTACTCAGAGGAATTCACTATTAATATTTTACTTACAGTTCTTTCAATTGTGTATCTATTTGACTGTTCTCATCCTCACCAAATTGTATCCTACAGATATGTCATAGGGTTTATTATAACTTTGAATCGTGATTATGTGCTTAGAGAAGTATATTTCCACAGACTAAGTGGCGTTTTTTTGGGAAACATTGTATTGAAGAGCCCATCACACCCCAGCAAATAAGTAGAAGGGAGAGGGAGATATATAGGGATGAATGTTAAATGCAGAAGCCATGAATAATTGAAAGTTGCTGATAGTAAACAAGGTTAGAAGTCACTAATCTAGAATAGGGCTTGCAAACTGATAGCTTTTTGGCCACATCTGGCCTGCAGATGTTTTTAGTTTGGTTCACAGAACGTTATATTTAAAAATGGAGTTAGGGGCCAACATTGATAAATGGATAGATTTCAATACAAAACCTGAACTGACATTTTGGAGAATCCAGAAGAATTGGCAAATCAAGGACCACAGTCCTACTTGGAAAATATTGGCTGGAGCCAGCAGTGGATACTCAGTGACATGGGTTATGTGTTCTCTGGTCTCTTCACTGCTTCACATCCAATCTGGGTTTGAATTTACAAACACTAGAGGGCAGTCTAAATGGTGATTTCTTCATAATTTATTAATGATTGTTTTTTGAAAGCATACCTCTCACTGAACCCACAACTACATAGGACAGAGCAGGGATCACAGTTTTTCTTCTTTTTGATCTTCTTGACTTGTTGACTTATATTACAGATTCTCTTAATTACTTGATGATTGGCTATAATCTTTGATAGATAGAAAATTTTAGTTTAAAATATTTTAGCATAGAATGTGGTAAATTGAAAATGTATTTTAAAATATCATATTTCCTAAAGAATAACGTAACAGCAGTAGTAAGTTACAGCTTCCATCAAGTTTTCATATGCATTAATTGAACCACTGAGAGGCCATTGGTTTGATTTCAGAAATGAAAAATGAAACGATTTTCATTTAAACAAAAACTCCAGTGTTTTATATTCAACCTGCCAGAAGAACAGGTCTTTCTTTCACACTAGTCCTATATGGATGGTAGGGGTAAAGAGGAAGACAGAAGTGCTATTAAATTCGTAATTTGTAAGCAATATAGCAGTGGTGACCTTTGTATCAAATGCTACATCTAGTTCTTTTGAGATGAAGATCATATTCCTGAGTAAATAAAACTATTCATCAGAATGAACTATAGAGTTTAAGTACTGCTTTATAACATCCAAACAAAGGAGGAATACAGGATATAAGACAAAGAATGCCCTATGGAGCCTTAGAAATTAAAAAACAATCTCATAGGAATAACGGTTTTTAAAATCCACATATGGATAATGATTTGGAATAGTTGGAAACTTTCTCATGTCTTATGGCCCTCTCGGTACCTTCTAAAGTTTCATGCCCTCATAGTGGAGAAAGAGAGAACTAAGGGCAAAAGGGATTTCCTTTGCATTCAAATCACCCATTTTAAATGCATACAATATGTTTTCCATTTCCCATTTTGTGAAATCTGCTTTTTTCAGCTGTCTTTTTCTTTTAAGGAGAAAACTAAAGGGGCTCTCTTTGGGACCACTGACCTTGACTTATCAGTTATCTAGGTTTCTGCTGAGTACCATTTGTTTCTCACTCATACCAGATAAAGCATTAGAGTTTAATGGGGACAGGAAGATACGGGTTGAGGGGGGGCAGGAGATAAGAGAGCTCGCAAGAGCCATTTTTAGGTGGTAGAATGGAGCTGGATGTTATGTCTTCTTGGGACAACATGTCACTCAGAAATGACACGTTGCTTCCTTCTTACGTGCTAACAGAGGTTTGAATCTAAAGGCCAGGCCTTCAGGAATTCGTTGATTTATCCAAGGCACTTTGCCAAATGTAATGGCTTTCACCCAATCAACCTTAGCAGGTCTGTATTCCTCAAGCACAAGTTATTGTAAAGAAGCAAAACAGACAATGCAGCCTAACAGTCAAGGATTTTAAACAAAATACCTAAAAATATTTGTTAAAATATAGTGGGGAATTTATTATTTTCAAATTAGTTTTATATAGATATATATCTTAGAGGAAAATATCATAAGCAAGATTTCAAGAAATACACTTTGTAGGTATGGATTGATTTCTTTATGCTTTTTCCAGCATTTTAAGTTAATATTAATTTCCTCTCCACAAAGTTTATTTCCAAAGCTAAATGATTACAGTTTTAAGTCACCCTCAACTTTTGTTGTTTAGAAGACTTTAGCTTCATACAATCAGGCATCTTCACCAACATATGGACAACCGAAAGCAAGCTGAGTACTTTTTCAAGCAAAAACATAACGAGGAAAGAGGTCACAATTAGTCTCTCAGCCCACACCATTTTAATAAGCCAGCTACACCGTTTGGATATTTAAGCGATACATTTGTTATTCAGTTAGCTTTATGAGACAGACAAGACTTTAACTTCTTCATCAGTAAACCCTAGCTATGTCTATCCTCCTGCCCTGTGGTAAGATTCCAAACGTCAACAATAATTGTTTCTTAAAAAAATCAGGACAAAATCAGGACATAAAATCATCAGATGAGATCATAGATGTAGTCTCTCATTCCAGCTTCACTGATAGTTATGAGATACCAGTTGGAATAGAGGAGAGGTTGAGGAGTGGGGAACAGGAGAGAGAGAGAGAGAGAGAGAGAGAGATTTACTGGAAGGGAATTGATAATCAAGTCCACCACTAGGGTTTGAAGTCCTCCAGGTAAATATTTTTGGGAGGCACCTGTCTAGATAATGATTTGGAATGGTTGACAACTTTCTTATGTCTTATGGCCCTCTCTGTGGAGGGCCATAAGTTTCATGCCCTCATAGTGGAGAAAGAGAGAACTAAGGGCAATTTGATTACAAATTTATTAAAAAATGTATGGTTCCACATGAAGAATAGTGATTTGTTAATGATGATTTAAAATAGAAGTAGGGAAGGGTACTTATTTTTTAAAAATATTGTTCCTTCAGTGCACATGAAGTTTTGTTACAGGGTTGAGGCACTAACTCTTTAGCTTCAGGTCTAGGATCCATCTCTTCCTGTTCTTCATTGTCAAATGCATCATTCTTGAATAACCTCATTTCTTCCTCCATGAGGAAAAGAAAGCAATGCTGATGTAGAGAGGACAGAGATCAGTCTGTTCTGAAGAACTTAAAGACTTAATTAACCTGACCTCAAATACATACCGTTATTGTCATGAATTAATCAAAAAGAAATTTTAAGCACTGTTGAAAGAGATTAACATTGACCAAGGTTTATGTCCGTTCATCAGCCCTTTAACATTAGAGCTTTATTATCAAGACTACTTTTCTTAAGTCCATGCAAACCAGGCCCCTTCCCTGGTCTGAGATTAACAAAGTTTTATGCCTTTGTGTGTCATTTTCACATTTTCTAAGCCCTTCTCCCATATCTGAGAATTCAGTGCATTTTATGTGAAGCATCTGAGTCTGAACTGAGCCCCAGTTCTCTTCCGGGGGGACACTTTTCAATATTCTACTCAGTGGGTGAGGTTGACCAGATGTCACAAGGAGCTCTGAGCTCTGTTCCTATGGAGTTGTCCCTGATCCCCATTCCAGGTCCTAGTTCCAGGAGCCCAGACTGGCAAGAAGATCATGCTCACTGGCCAGAGTGATGGGTTTTTTGTTGGTGGTGGTGGTGGTCTATTTGTTTGCATGGTTGCATAAGACTGGACAGCTGTGTTAGTGTTTACACACTGAATTTGAGTGACCCTCATGCACATTGTGGACTGCAGGAAGACTTTAAGGCTGTGGGCCGCCCATGCTCATTACCACCCCTTAGGCTTAAGCAACAGTGTGGGCTAACACAATGGCTCACGAACATATCTGTTCCGACAATAGTGCGGTCTCCAGTCTCTCGCACTCATACACAGAGGTAACAAGCAGGCATCATTTACTCTGTGCAGACCGACCACTGACATTCACAGCGGTTACCCCAATCCTTCTGAGCCTCCATGCTGCATGTCAGGTAATCCTCCAGAAATGGCCTCAGCTCCTGTCTCCTTCTACGTCCTCTGAGGACTTTAAGACTATTTTCTCCTTAACACTAATGCTTCACTGATGTCATACTCTCCTGGGTTGGTCTTAACACATGGTTGACAACGGACAGATATTCTTTGTACAAAATGAGGTCATTCTTATCACCCCACATAGAGACTTGTCTATCCTTTCTGCTTTTGGCAATATGTAGAAGTGAGCGGGTGAAAATATGTTGATATGTGACTGCAATATTGAATTCCAAATGGCAAATATAACATGACCAGAAAGCAAATTACCATTTAGTTTCTTGCATCCTCTGGGTAAGACTTGCACTTATGGTCATCATCAACAAAGCATAGTAGAACTTTTGAGAGAGACAATGAGTGCGGATATTTATCGGCAGCATGATGGATGATATAGCACCATGAGTAATGATATAATCAGCAGTAAGTAAGTAGTTTAAGCATGTTCTTACTTATCAGTGGGAGCTAAACATTGAGTACACATGGACACAGAGAAGGGAACAACAAACAACGGAGCCTACTTCAGGGTAAAGTGTAGGAGGGGGGTGAGGACCAAAAAACTACCTATCAGGCACTACGTCTATTAGCTAGGTAGTGAAATAATCTGTGCACCAAACCTCCGTGACATACAATTTGCCTATATAAAAAACCTGCACATGTACCCCTAAACCCTAAAATAAAAGTTAAAGACAAATAATAAAAAATAAAAGTAACGTAAAGATATTGCTTCAGTACAAACAGGTTCCAAAGAACAGTAACATCATGAGTAATAATAGCATTAACAGTTAATGTGTTAAAGGGATTAGCAAGCTCTGTCCCCTCTACATCAAGTGACCACAGCTACTGCTACTCAGTGAAGATTTCTCACCAGTATTGAAACATAACAAGGGACAAAAGTCCTCCCAGAAGCTGATATCTCCCCTTTATCCCAAGAATGTAGTACTAAAAACATGGTTGGATATGATGGCAAAATTGTGAACTTAGAAGACAATTTCTGCCAGCATTTCTCTCCTATTGAGGCTTCCCTTTCATAATCTCATTAGATTTCGCTTCTTTTCCTCATTCTCCTGCTCCCTTTATTCCTCTTCCCAGTACCTGAGTGATATATATTTGCTCCAAAGTTGTAAAATGAAGTTAAGTAGAAACTGCAAATATATTTTTCTTATGAAACCTCGACAGAGGGCAATTGGCAGTGGTACAAGAGAAAGTCTAGGGATTTGTTAAGAATTCAGAAATGTAAGCCATGATCCAGAGTTTCATATTAAATAGATCCAAGGGAGGTACCAAAAATCTTCAGTTTGAAAAACTACCCCCACTGATTTTCATGGAGGTGGTGTGAGAAACAATCTAATTAATGTTACAGGAAGTCATGGCCAGGCATGGTGGCTCATGCCTGTAATCCCAGCACTTTGGGAGGCCGAGGCAGGCAGATCACAAGGTCAGGAGTTCAAGACTGGCCTGGACAATATGGTGAAACCCTGTCTGTCCTAAAAATAATAATAATAATAAAAAAATTAGCCAGGCATGGTGGTGCACACCTGTAATTCCAGTTACTCGGGATGCTGAGGCATGAGAATTGCTTAAACCTGGGAGACAGAGGTTGCAGTGAACTGAGATCGTGCCACTGCACTCCAGCCTGGGCAACAGAGTGACACTCTATCTCAAAAAAAAAAAAAAAAAAAGTGATGATTGTATAAGTCTTTTTATTTATTTATTTTTAATTTTTATTTTTTTATTATACTTTTAAGTTCTAGGGTACATGTGCACAACGTGCAGGTTTGTTAAATAGTATACATGTGCCATGTTGGTTTGCTGCATCCATTAACTCGTCATTTACATTAGGTATTTCTCTTAATGCTATCCCTCCCTCTGCCCCCAACCCCATGACAGGCCTGGTGTGTGATATTCCCCTCCCTGTGTCCAAGTGTTCTCATTGTTCAATTCCCACCTACGAGTGAGAATATGCAGTGTTTGGTTTTCTATCCTTGTGATAGTTTGCTCAGAATGATGATTTCCAGCTTCATCCATGTCCCTGCAATGGACATGGACTCATCCTTTTTTATGGCTGCATAGTATTCCATGGTGTATACATGCCACATTTTCTAAATCCAGTCTATCATTGATGGGCATTTGGGTTGGTTCCAAGTCTTTGCTATTGTGAGTAGTGCCGCAATAAACATACGTGTACATGTGTCTTTATAGTAGCATTATCTATAATCCTTTGGGTATATACCCAGTAATGGGATCACTGGGTCAAATGGTATTTCTAGTTCAAGATCCTTGAGGAATCGCTACACTGTCTTCCAAAATGGTTGAACTAATTTACACTCCCACTGACAGTGTAAAAACATTCCTATTTCTCCACATCCTCTCCAGCATCTGTTGTTTCCTGACTTTTTAATGATCACCATTCTAACTGGTATGAAATGGTATCTCATTGTGGTTTTGATTTGCATTTCTCTCATGACCAGTGATGATGAGCATTTTTTCATGTGTCTGTTGGCTGCATAAATGTCTTCTTTTGAGAAGTGTCTGTTCATATCCTTTGCCCACTTTTTGATGGGATTGTTTGCTTTTTTCTTGAAAATTTGTTTAAGTTCTTTGTAGATTCTGGATATTAGCCCTTTGTCAGATGGGTAGATTGCAGAAATTTTCTCCTATTCTGTAGGTTGCCTGTTCACTCTGATGGTGGTTTCTTTTGCTGTGCAGAAGCTCTTTAGTTTAATTAGATCCCATTTGTCTGTTTTGGCTTTTGTTGCCATTGCTTTTGGTATTTTAGTCATGAAGCACTTGCCCATGTCTATGTACTGAATGGTATTGCCTAGGTTTTCTTCTAGGGCTTTTATAGTTTCAGGTCTAACATTTAAGTCTTTAATCCATGTTGAATTAATTTTTGTGTAAAGTGTAAGGAAGGGATCCAGTTTCAGCTTTCTACATATGGCTAGCCAGTTTTCCCAGCACCATTTATTAAATAGGGAATTCTTTCCCCATTTCTTGTTTTTGTCAGGTTTGTCAAAGATCAGATGGCTGTAGATGTGTGGTGTTATTTCTGAGTCCTCTGTTCTGTTTCATTGGTCTACATATCTGTTTTGGTACCAGTACCATGCTGTTTTGATTACAGTAGCCTTGTAGTGTAGTTTAAGTCAGGTAGCATGATGCCTCCAGCTTTGTTCTTTTTGCTTAGGATTGACTTGGCTATGCAGGCTCTTTTTTGGTCCATATGAACTTTAAAGTAGTTTTTTCCTATTCTGTGAAGAAAGACATTGGTAGCTTGATGAGGATGGCATTGAATCTATAAATTACCTTGGGCAGTATGGCCATTTTCGCGATATTGATTGTTCCTATCCATGAGCATGGAATGTTTTTCCATTTGTTTGTGTCCTCTTTTATTTGGTTGAGCAGTGGTTTTCAGTTCTCCTTGAAGACATCCTTCACATCCCTTGTAAGTTGGATTCCTAGGTATTATTCTCTCTGTAGCAATTGTGAATTGGAGTTCACTCATGATTTGGCTCTCTGTTTGTCTGTTATGGTGTATAGGAATGGTTGTGATTTTTGCACAATGATTTTGTATCCTGAGACTTTGCTGAAGTTGCTTATCAGCTTAAGGAGATTTTGGGCTGAGATGATGGGGTTTTCTAAATATACAATCATGTCATCTGCAAATAGGGACAATTTGACTTACTCTTTTCCTAATTGAATACCCTTTATTTCTTTCTCCTGCCTGATTGCCCTGGCCAGAGCTTCCAACACTATATTGAATAGGAGTGGTGAAAAAGGGCATCCCTGTCTTGTGCCAGTTTTCAATGGGAATGTTTCCAGTTTTTGCCCATTCAGTATGATATAGACTGTGGGTTTGTCATAAATAGTCTTTATTATTTTGAGATCTGTCCCATCAATACTTAGTTTATTGAGAGTGTTTAGCATGAAGGGCTGTTGAATTTTGTAAAAGGCCTTTTCTGTATCTATTGAGATAATCTTGTGGTTTTTGTTGTTGATTCTGTTTATGTGATGCATTACGTTTATTGATTTGTGTATGTTGAACAAGCCTTGCATCCCAGGGATGAAGCCAATTTGAATGTGGTGGATAAGCTTTTTGATGTGCTGCTGGATTCGGTTTGCCAGTATTTTATTGAGGATTTTTGCATCGATGTTCATCAGGGATATTGGTCTAAAATTCTCTTTTTTTGTTGTGTCTCTGCCAGGCTTTGGTATCAGGATGATGCTGGCCTCATAAAATGAGTTAGGGAGGATTCCCTCTTTTTCTATTGATTGGAATAGTTTCAGAAGGAATGGTACCAGCTCCTCTTTGTACCTCTGGTGGAATTTGCCTGTGAATCTATCTGGTCCTGGACGTTTTTTGGTTGGTAGGCTATTAATTATTGCCTCAATTTCAGAGCCTGTTATTTGTCTATTCAGAGATTCAACTTCTTCCTGTTTTAGTCTTGGGAGGGTATATGTGTCTAGGAATTCATCCGTTTATTCTAGATTTTCTAGTTTATTTGTGTAGAGGTGTTTATAGTATTCTCTGATGGTAATTTGTATTTCTGTGGGATTGGTGGTGATATCCCCTCTATCATTTTTTATTGCGTCTATTTGATTCTTCTCTCTTTTCTTCTTTATTAGTCTTGCTAGCGGCCTATCAATTTTGTTGATATTTTCAAAAAACCAGCTCCTGGATTCATTGATTATTTGAAGGGTTTTTTGTGTCTCTATCTCCTTCAGTTCTGCTCTGATTTTAGTTATTTCTTGCCTTCTGCTAGCTTTTGAATGTGTTTGCTCTTGCTTCTCTAGTTCTTTTAATTGTGATGTTAGGGTGTTGATTTTAGATCTTTCCTGCTTTCTCTTGTGGGCATTTAGTGCTATAAATTTCCCTCTACACACTGCTTTAAATGTGTCCCAGAGATTCTGGTATGTTATGTCTTCGTTCTCATTGGTTTCAAAGAACATCTTTACTTGTGCCTTCATTTTGTTATCTACCGAATAGTCATTCAGGAGCAGGTTGTTAGTTTCCACGTAGTTGTGCAGTTTTGAGTGAGTTTCTTAATTCTGAGTTCTAATTTGATTGCACTTTGGTCTGAGAGACAGTTTGTTGTGATTTCTGTTCTTTTACATTTGCTGAGGAGTGCTTTAGTTGAAGCTATGTGGTCAATTTTGGAATAAGTGAGATGTGGTGCTGAGAAGAATGTATATTCTGTTGATTTAGGGTGGAGAGTTCTGTAAATGTCTATCAGTTCTGCTTGGTGCAGAGCTGAGTTCATGTCCTGGATGTCCTTGTTAACCTTCTGTCTCATTGATCTGTCTAATATTGATGTTAAAGTCTCAGATTATTATTGTGTGGGAGTCTAAGTCTCTTTGTAGGTCTCTAAGAACTTGCCTTACGAATCTGGGTGCTCCTGTATTGGGTGCATATATATTTAGGATAGTTAGCTCTTCTTGTTGAATTGATCCCTTTACCATTATGTAATGGCCTTCTTTTCTCTTTTGATCTTTGTTGGTTTAACGTCTGTTTAATCAGAGACTAGGATTGCAACCCCTGCTTTTTTTTTGCTTTCCATTTGCTTGGTAGATCTTCCTCTATCCCTTTATTTTGAGCCTATGTGTGTCTTCGCATGTGAGATGGGTCTCCTGAATACAGCACACTGATGGGTCTTGACTCTTTATCCAATTTGCCATTCTGTGTCTTTTAATTGGGGCATTTAGCCCATTTACATTTAAGGTTAATATTGTTATGTGTGAATTTGATCCTGTCATTACGATGATCCTGGTTATTTTGCCTGTTAATTGATGCAGTTTCCTCCTAACATTGATGGTTTTTACAATTTGTGTTTTTTTTTTTTTTTTTCAGTGACTGGTACTGGTTGTTCCTTTCCATGTTTAGTTCTTCCTTCAGGAGCTCTTGTAAGAGAGACCTGGTGGTGACAAAATCTCTCAGCATTTGCTTGTCTGTAAAGTATTTTATTTCTCCTTCACTTGTGAAGGTTAGTTTGGCTTCATATGAAATTCTGGGTTGAAAATTCTTTTCTTTAAGAATGTTGAATATTGGCCCCCACTCTCTTCGGCTTCTAGGATTTCTGCAGAGAGATCTGCTGTTAGTCTGATGGGCTTCCCTTTGTGGGTAACCCGACCTTTCTCTCTGGCTGCCCTTAACATTTTTTCCTTCATTTCAACCTTGGTGAATCTGACAATTATGTGTCTTGTGGTTGCTCTTCTCGAGGAGTATCTGTGGTGTTCTCTGTATTTCCTGAATTTGAATGTCGGCCTGCCTTGCTAGGTTGGGGAAGTTGTCCTGGATAATATCCTGAAGAGTGTTTTCCAACTTGGTTTCATTCTCCTCCTCACTTTCAGGTATACCAATCAAATGTAGATTTGGTCTTTTCACATAGTCCCATATTTCTTTTTTACTCTTTTTTCTCTAAACTTCTCTTCTCGCTTTATTTCGTTAATTTGATCTTCAATCACTGATACCCTTTCTTCCACTTGATCGAATCGGCTATTGAAGCTTGTGCATGTGTAACGTAGTTCTCGTGCCATGGTTTTCAGCTCTATCAGGTCATTTAAGATCTTCTCTACACTGTTTATTCTAGTTAGCCATTCATCTAATCTTTTTTCAAGGTTTTTAGCTACCTTGCGATGTGTTGAAACTTCCTCCTTTATCTTGGAGAAGTTTGCTATTACCGACCTTCTGAAGCCTACTTCTGTCAACTCATCAAAGTCATTCTCCATCCAGCTTTGTTCCATTGCTGGCGAGGAGCTGTGATCCTTTGGAGGAGAAGAGGTGCTCTGGTTTTTAGAACTTTCAGCTTTTCTGCTCTGGTTTCTCCCCATCTTTGTGGTTTTATTTATCTTTGGTCTTTGATGTTGGTGACCTACAGATGGGGTTTTGGTGTGGATGTCCTTTTTGCTGATGTTGATGCTATTCCTTTCTGTTTCTTAGTTTTCCTTCTAACAGTCAGGTCCTTCAGCTGCAGGTCTGTTGGAGTTTGCTGCAGACCCTGTTTGCCATGGTATCACCAGTGGAGGCTGTAGAACAGCAAATATTGCAGAACAGCAAATATTGCTGCCTGATCCTTCCTCTGGAAGCTTTGTAGTGGGGCACCCACCTGTATGAGGTGTCAGTTGGTCCCTGCTGGGAGGTGTCTCCCAGTTAGGCTACACAGGGGTCAAGGACCCACTTGAGGAGGCAGTCTGTCTGTTCTCAGAGCTCAAACAACATGCTAGGAGAATCACTGCTCTCTTCAGAGCTGTCAGACAGAGACGTTTAAGTCTGCAGAAGTTTCTGCTGCCTTTTGTTCAGCTATGCCCTGCCCCCAGAGGTGGAGTCTATAGAGGCAGCCAGTCTTGCTGCACTGCGGTGGGCTCTGCCCAGTTCGAGCTTCCCGACACTTTATGTACTGAAGCTTCAGCAATGGTGTTTGCCCCTCCTCCTGCTGGGTTGCTGCCTTGCAGGTCAATCTCAGACTGCTGCATTAGCAGTGAGCAAGTCTCCCTGAGCATGGGACTCACTGAGCCATGTGTGGGATATAATCTCCTGGTGTGCCGTTTGCCAAGACCATTGGAAAAGCCCAGTATTTGAGCAAGAGTGTCCCATTTTTCCAGGTACAGTCTGTCACGGCTTCCCTTGGGTAGGAAAGGGAAATCCCCCAACCCGTTGCACTTCCCGGGTGAGGCGATGCCCCACCCTGCTTCAGCTCACCCTCTGTGGGCTGCACCCACTGTCCAACCAGTCCCAATGAGATGAACCAGGTACCTCAGTTGGAAATGCAGAAATCAGCTGTCTTCTGCATTGATCACGCTGGGAGCTGCAGACTGGAGCTGTTCCTATTCCAATTGTATAAGTCTCAAGAGGCTGTTTCAAATTACTACATGTATATTAACAGTGGCCTCATAAGGAAAATACCCAATATTTTGACATAGCACTTTAGTACTGGGGGATAATCAGACTGGATAATATGAGAAATGGGGAATTTTAACTGAGGAATAATCAGCCTAGATAATATAAGAAATAAATGGCCAGTGGAAGAATTATTCTTAGCTATAATGAAAAATTTGGTGCCATTTAAATCATAAATGTGTAAGCATTAGTCTTGTAATTTGTTGATAATATTGAACACAATTTAAAATATAAATTTTCTTGTAATTTGAAGTGTGTACTCTTTATTTTTTGTGGTCTGCACATTTTCTTTCAAGCACAAATCTTGTGTGGCCAAAACTCTCAATGCCCCCAAAGTTCTGATGACATGCACTATGGTTAACTTGAACCACTTTTAATTCCTCATCCAATGTTTCTATGTATTTTTTTTTTTAAATAAAAATAGTCTTCACACATGTGCCCATGTTTTGACTAGTGGAAGACAAACCTCTCTCTGCCTCAGTGATTTCTTTAGTGTTACTCAAAATATACATAGAGCAAGGAGTGGCAGGATAGAGGTAACCCAAATCAGTTCATTTGGTTTCTGGGACACATGCAGGTGCCAATCAAATGGACTTTGCAACATCATTGGATGGATAAAAGAGTTTAAAATTAATTTCAATGATATGAAGCTAATGACTGAATGTTTGTGTTCCCCTAAAATTTATATGTTGAAATTCTAACACCCAAGGTGATGGTACCAGGAGTTTGGGCGGTGATTAGGTCATGAGGGTGCAGCCTTCACAAATGGGATTAGTGCCCTTATGAAAGAGACCCCAAAAAACTACCTCACTCTTTTTATTTTTTTATTTTTATTTTTTGTGACAGAGTCTCACTGTGTTGCCTAGCCTGGATCGCAGTGACATGATCTCAGCTCACTGCAGCCTCCACCTCCTGAGTTCAAGTAATTCTCCTGCCCCAGCCTCCTCAGTAGCTGGGATTACAGGCACCCACCACCACACCCAGCTAATTTTTGTATTTTTAATAGAGATGGGGTTTCACCATGTTGGCCAGGCTGGTCTCGAACTCCTGACCTCAAGTGATCCACCTGCCTTGGCCTCCCAAAGTGCTGGGATTACAGGCGTGAGCCACTGTGCCTGGGCTCCCTCCCTCTGTCTTCTATGTGAGGACACAGTAAGAAGACAGCCATCTATGAACTAAGAAGGGGGTTCTCACCAGGCACTGAATCAGCCAGTACCTTGATCTTGGACTCCCAGTCTTCAGAATCATGAGAAATAAAACTTGTTGTTTAAGCCATCCAGTCTGTGGTATTTTTGTTGTAGTAGCCCAAATGGACTAAGACATATAGCATTGATTTATTTTGAAATTTCCTTTAAAAAATAAAATCCATCAGAAATAATTTGCTGTTATTTATATCCCTTCCCTGTCTAGACCAGATATTGTGTTGTATTCTCACCTTATTTTACCATAAAAGGGTCCTCCCATCCCACTAAGTCTTTTGCTGTAACAGCCAAACTTCACTTCTGTTCCCAGCAGTCAGGAAGACTTTGGCTCCTAGGTTTTTGTTTTGTTGGTTGGTTTGCAGCGCCCTAGCTCTGTGGATGTTTAACCAACACAAATCTTTTTAAGTACTTACAGCAGCACTTGTACATGACTAATAGTTCAGGTCCATTCAGTGTTACATTTAAATTGCCCAGTGTAAAATTCAAAATGGGTGCTTAGGAGGTTTCAAACTCTGATAAATGTTGGGGAATGTGGTGTTTTTAATGCCTTAACTGCTGTCATGCTGCTGTGCAGAGTCACCACGTGGCACATTCCCAGGTTTTGAACCCACCTGTGAGTCAAGAGTCAGAGGAAAGATTTCAGAAAATAAGGACTTCTGTGCACAGAATTCAGTTATTGCTTGGGAAAATAAATGTAATTTATATTCATGTGTTGTACAATCTAATTACCTATAAGGTAATAATGTCTGGAAAATATTCAGAGAAAGGCATAAAATAAAAAGTTCAGGGAAGCCTCAAGGAATAACTTGATGGAGAAGAAAAAGAGGCCTGAACTAAAACTTTATAATGTGGATGAATATCTAGATACTCTTTAATATTACTCTGATCCATTCTATTCTATTCTATTCTATTCTATTCTATTCTATTCTATTCTATTCTATTCTATTCTATTCTATTCTATTCTATTCTATTCGTAAATGCTGGCCAAAATTAGTGTCATGATTCGCCAATAATTATTTCTGCACAGTATGAACACACTGTTCTAAGACTAAAGTCTCTACAGGGAAATCATGGGACATAACATTAGAGGCTTAGGAAAGAGATGAGAATAGGCCTTAAAAGACATTTTTAAAAAGCAGTTTAAGTAATTATTAGGCAATCATTAGAAAATAATGTAATAGTCACTGAAGGTCTTTGAGTTTATATAGAATTATCACTGCAAACTTTTAGACAGATCTATTGGCAAAGTGTAAGGCAGTATTGGAGAGTTTGTTAACATGCTGTAGGAATTAGTCCAAATAAGAAATCTCCATTAGAGTAGAAATGGAGAGTACAAAAAGGTGACATAGTAGAATCTGTACAAAACCTATTTGAATGGAAAGAGGTAAAGAGAGGAAGGAGTCAAACGGCATCAGCCCTTCTTGAGTGATTAGAATATTTGGATGTTATTATGGGCTGGATTGTGTTTCCTAGAATTCCTATGTCGAGGTTCTGACCCCCAGTATCCTATGAATGTGAGAGACAGGACCTTTAAAGAGGTAATTAGGTTAAATAGGCTTTCAGAGAGGGTCCTAATTCAATCTAACTGTTATTTTTATAAGAAGAGAAGATCAAGACACATACAGAGAGTGGAGAGTGGAGAGAGAACGGGGTGCCTGTGCACGTGTACCTAGAGATGACCACCTGAGAACGTGGCAAGAAGGTGGCCACCTGCAAACCTAGGAGGGAGTCCTCAGAGGACACTAACCTTGCCAGTGCCTTGATCTTGGACTTTTAGCCTCTAGAAATGTAAGAAAATGGTTTTTTTGTTGTTTAAACCACCCAGTATGTGGTATTTTGTTGTGGTATTTGGAGCAAACTAAGACAGATATATAATATTAACAGAGACAGAGACATTAAGAAAAGGGATACATTTGGGGTTAGGTGGTAGGGAGAAAGGAACATGTTCTGACTTTGGATCTATTGAGCCTGAAATATCAATGAGATAGGCAAAAAGGCAATGAGAAGAGAAACAAGTAAATGTGATTTTAAATTCGCTCAAAAACAAATAAAGTAAAAGTAAACAGCTTTTTTTGAGAAAGATAGATTGCTTTTCCCCCATATTTTTTGAAGGCTTCCATAAAATGCCACTTTCTGAGATGTGAGTTTTTCCTTTTGCAATTTTGTCAACTAGAGGCTTCAAATTTGTAATTCAGCTATACAATATGCTTTCATTAAAAATATTGGTTGAAGGCCAATAATACTGTGATGATTTAATTTAAAGTAACATTTTGCAGTTTTTATTAGTTATTAAGATATCTTTAGAGATGCGGCAGTAACAGCTCATACATAGTATGCATAAGGAACTGAAGGAGAAAATGAAATACTTGGTTAAAACCTGTGAAGGATATATAGCTTTTTGTGGCAGGCAATTCCATAGCTCATTTTAATTTTAGACCAGCTTTCCTTCTTTACCTGTATCTAACTATGAACAACAATAGCAACAATAAAACCACAGAGACCAAAATGCACAAAGAAATTTATTTAACTCTCTTTTTAAAAATTTTGTTTGAAATAAGTTTACATGTTATGAAAATTACAAGTCTGTTAAATATCTTTTATTCTGCTTGAAAGAATCAGTCTCAGTTTTAAACAAAAATCTTATATTTACTTTTCTTTTCCTTTTGTTTATCTAGAAAAAAAATTCTGTAGCATAGTATGCATAGTTCTGCTCATTGCTTTTTTCACTTAACGAGTCCTTAAGAGCTTTTTGTATTTGAAAATAGGGCTCTTCCTCAATTTTTACTCACAATTGAATAATGTTCCATTGTACGAGTTCCCATAATATCCTTAATCTGTCCTTTTTGGAGGATTTTTAGATTGTTTTCATTTATTTTTGCTATTGCCAACAGTGGTGCTGTAAATAGTTTTGAATATATATCAATATGGTAGGGAGAAGTTTAACCCTATAATTTTCAACCTCTAGGGCTATGTTGTATGCATGTTATATTGCATGGTACAAGGAATTGTGCAGATGAAATTATGGTCATGGATCGTCAAATAGGAAGATTACCTAGGTGGGCCTAACGTAATCACACAGGTTCTTAAAAGTGGAAGAGGAACTTTTGCAACTTGAGTTGACTGGAAGAGGTCAGTCAGAGTGACACAATATGGACACAGAGGCAGAAGAGATTTGAAACATGAGAGGAACTTGACCCATCTTTGTGGCTTTTAAGATAGAAGAAGTGAGTCAGAATTCAGGGACTCCAGGCAGGTAGCCTTTAGAAGCTGGTGACTCTTCTTAGCTGACAGTCAACAACAAATAAATCAATCAACGAATAATTGAATGAATGAATGGATATATAAATAAATGGGGTTCTTTTCCTTAGAACTGCAAGAGACTGAATTCTGCAGAATTTGAATAAGCAGAAGCTTCAGATTAAAGTACAGCCCTGTCAAAACCTTGAGAGATTCTAAACTAAAAAAAACAGCCAAACCCATCTGTCTTCTGACCTACAGAACTGTGAGATAATAAATGTGTATGCTGAAGTTTAAATTTGTGGCAATTTGTTACAGCAGTGATAGAAAACCAATACAAGTATGTTAACAATAGAAAACGAATACATGTGTACCTACATGGTAAATTTCTAAAGTGGAATTATTGGTTCAAAGAGTTTGTACAATGATAATTTTAGCAGATTTTTCAAAATTGCTCACAAAAAAGATAGAGCAAGTCATCCTCCCGTGATGAATGAGAGTCCAGATTTTTCCATTGTTATCAGGCTTTTGGATGTTTGTTACACAGATAGAAAGTGGTATCTCAATTGTCTTTTAATTCACATTTATCTTATTATAAGTAAAATTTTGCATCTTTCACATTTTAAAAATACCACTTTTATTTCTCTATATATGAACTTTTAGTTCATATCTTGTGTTCATTTTTTCAGTAAGATTGGCCAATGTATCTTGTTGATTTGTAAAGCTGTTTACATACTGTAGAAATTTGTCCTTTGTCTATAGGCTGCATCTTCCCCTCAATTGGACATTTGCCTTTGACTCTGTTCATGGTGGTATTTTAATTCATATTTTTTTATTTTAGTTTTTAAAGAGTCAAATGTATTTGTCTTTTATTTAATAGCTTACAGATTTGATGGTATGCTAAAAAGGTCTTTCCTTGTTTTAAACAGAAAATTTACTGATTGTTTAAAATTACTTTTTGGTTTTATTTTTGAAATTTAAATCCTTGATCTTCTCATAGAGTGAATGATAATTATTTTTTCTACTGATTTAGAATGGCACTTTAATCATGTTACAAATTCCCATTTGTATTTTGCATATTTCTCATCTTAGTCTGTTTCTTTCATGATTCTCTCTACTCATGCACTAACAACATACTTTAAATCATTTAACCTTTAAAATCTGTTTTAATATCTGGTAGTGCTATCTGCTACATTGTTCTTACTTTATTATTGTTCGTAATCTTTAGAATCACCTTGCTAATTAGAAAAATGTATGGCTAGTGATTAGCTTAGGGATAATATTTATCTTTATGATGTTGAGTCTTTTTATCCAAGAAGCAGACTTATACTTTTATTCATTCCAGTACACTTTAGTCTCCTAAATATAAATTTTCACATTTACTTAATTTTATTTTTAGATATTTATTGCCATCATAAATGGAATCTTCCATCATATCTTCTAACTAGTTGTTGCTTGTGAGTATAATGTTGTACGTGTGTATGTAGATACATATATTATATAATATGTATATTTGTTTTTCTGTATACTCTTTTCTCAGGCATTTAATAAACTTTCTGTTTTCCTATTGATTCTATTTAAGTGTAAAATTTGATAATTTTACTTCATTATAATGAAGTCATTAATATTATTAATGGTAATATTACCATAATTATCATTTATGTGATCGTTATAAATGAATGATAATATTACTTCCTTATTTTATTTTATTTTTTTGAGGCAAGGTCTGGCTCTATCACTCAGGCTGGAGCGCAGTGACGCGATCTCGGCTCACTGCAACCTCTGCCTCCCGGGCTCAAGCAATTCTCCCACCTCAGACTCCCTCTTGAGTAGCTGGAACAGGCACAGACCACCCTGCCTGGCTAAGTTTTTTTTCTTTTCTTTTCTTTCTTTTTTTTTTTTTTTTTTTTTTTTGAGATGGAGTGTCGCTCTGTCGCCCAGGCTGGAGTGCAGTGGCGCAATCTTGGCTCACTGCAAGCTCCACCTCCTGGGTTCACGCCATTCTCCTGCCTCAGCCTCCCGAGTAGCTGGGACTACAGGCGCCCGCCACCACGCCCAGCTAATTTTTTGTAGTTTTTGTAGAGACTGGGGTTCACCATGTTGTCCAGGCTGGTCTTGAACTCGTGAGCTCAAGTGCTTCTCCCGCCTCTGCCTCCCAAAGTGTTGGGATTACAGGTGTGAGCCACTGTACCTGGCCCTTTCTTTTAAATTGTAAATGTATAATATTGATGCTTGTCCAATTGTGTTCAGAAAGATTGAATAGCTATTGTAATAACTCTCAGTGTTTTAGAGTACTACTCAGCTACAAGTACTATCCTGAGAGCACCTTTTTCCTTTGGACACCATGACTTAGACAATTTGCTGTGCTCCTTTGTGGGTGACCTCAACAGAGGTTGTCTCTCCAAGCCTGGTTCCAAGTGCTTCTAGCTTTTTCCCTTTTATCATTTGTCTAAGTGACAGGCTCCATCTTGACTGCTGGGTAATTTAGCCTTTGTATGATATAATGATTTCCAAACTTGGGTATGTGTCAGAATTATACAAGGGACTTAATGAAAACAAATTAGGAAGCTTCAAAGAATATCCACTGAATCAGAAAATTGGGAGTAGAGTCTTTTTTAAAAGACATCCCAGGTAATTTTAATGCCATTACAAAAAAAATCTCATCCATCCAAGAGAGTGTTTCTCAGCCAACAACATTTTTTCCTCCCAGAGAGCATGGGCAATATCTGGAGGCATTTTTCGTTGTCTCAACTAGAGGTGGGGAGGGCTACTGGCTTCTAGCATGTAGAAGTCAGGGGTGCTGTTAAACATTTTGCAAGGCAGAGAACAGCCTCCATAACAAAGAATTTTCTGACCCAAATATTAATAGCAATAAGGTTGATAAACCTAGTCCAAGACGTGCACCTGCAAACCATCAAAATTATTCATCCATACTGACCATTGCAAGTAATATGTTGTTTAACGATTTAAAATAGTACAAGGTATATAAAGTTACAATACACTATGCCAAAACCATATGATCTGATCCTTGTTATGAGCTGAAGAATAGATAGGTTTTCAATGAAATTGTAAGAATTAGAACTTTTATTTTGGTAGACACTATGACCCTATAGTCAAAATCTTTTCTCCCTAACAACAGGACTTCAGTTTAGTTGAGGGTAACAATGTACCTCCATTGTGAAACAGATCTACAGAATGAGATATAAGTGGAAATACTGGTGGTGCTTCCATCAAAGCTCAAGACAGCCAGGTTAAGTTGGCACATACCTTCTGTCTTTTGTCTTCCCATCTTCCTGCCTGGGACATTGATGTAATGTTCAGGATGGACATGCGTCTTGTGACTATGAGGTGACAATGATGTTAATGACATCTGAGTGGAAAGAAGATGAAGCCTAGATTCCTGAACACATTCAGACCTGCCACAGCAACCTAGCTCTGAACTCCCTTCAAGTAAGACAAGTAAACACCTTAATTTGTCATTTTTTTCCAGCTGAATGTAATTCCTTACTATGCAGTTTTCATAATTAAGATACATAATGTGAATAGAGTTAATCATTATTTTGAAGACATTATAAAGTGTTAAAATGTCACTTATAGTAGTAAAAGATTATGATCTTAAGAAATGACACTATTTTTTAATAAGTAAGGAAAATAACGTTAAGTGCTTGGGGCTTGAAAGTGAGATTTTCAAGGCATGGCTTGAAAACAAGGCATGAGTTAGCAAGTGATAAGGATTACAAAAATATCGCTGAATTCCTCTACATGAAAAATTAGCTTGAAATTGTGTGTAGGGGGAGTGAGCTCAGGTTATAGTGGTACATGAGACTGGCTGAAAAAATTTTAAGAGTGGGGATATGTCATATTTAATTTTAAGGTATTTGCATGACTTTGATATAGAACTCTGACACCAAAACATTCAATAATATCTACTATATACTTTGTATTTGTGGGTGTTTTTGTTTATTATTATTTAAGTAAAATTCAAGAAAAAAGAGGCCAAATTTCATATCTAGATTGGCAGAAAGAAAAGAAACAAAAATTGTTGAATGGGAGCTGAAAATCCCATCAGCAATTCAGCAGAAATGAGAACGGAGGAGGTATATGGGAGTTTGAAGAGAGAGGAAGAGAAGAGAGTGGGCTTGGAGAAAGAATGCCAAAGCAAGGCAGAGAATGCTGGAAAAGGAGCATGTCGGAAAGAGAAAAGGCTGGGAATAGAGTGTCAGAGAAAGAGGGGTATAGATGCACTCATAATAGGCTAAAGGAGTTGATATCAGTGGAAATCAAGTGCGCCTGGATAAGAAAGCCAAAGGGAGAGGGGAAATTATGACACTTTATGCAAATATCTCAATGATTCTGGATATGTAAAACAGAGTCATGCTATAAGAGCTTTTATTTTATTCTTTAAAATACATTGTTGTTTTACTATAGTCACCATGATTTACAACAGATATCTTGAACTTATTCTCCCTTAAACGTTCAAAATTGTAACTGATTAAAATCATTTTTTATGTTTTGACCAACATCTATCCCTGTTTAACAGTGCTTAATTTTTCTCCTACTACATTTAATAAAAGATATGGAAGTCATTATGGGAGCAGAGGGTCTGAAAAAGTAAACTGCCTTCCCTTTGATTAAACTGTTGCTGAAAGAGAATAGAGAGAAAGAAAATCACTGGCCAGAGATAGGCAGCCATGAGAATTTTACCTTCAGGCCTGAGAAGAAGATGGTGTAAAATGTGAAACATGAGCTAGGATATAAAATCTATTAAAAATGAATGTTATGAATCAATAATAAAGATTTTCCAGGGCATTCGTTTTCTTAAGGTTGCTCAGAAAAAACACCTTTCCAAATAACAGGTTTAAAATTTTTGTTCTGCCTTAAACAAAAGTTACAATTTTGAACATTCATACCTAAGTGAGGAGCAGCCAGCCACCACCATCTGGTAACTTCAAGAAAACAAGAGTGTGACTCAAGTTTTTTTCTGTGTCTGTAGCAAAATCCTGATACCTGTTGTCACACCATCCAAGTTTGAATAAATATACCTAAGGGAGGGGAACTCTTATATGCCAAGTTTTTTTTAAAAAAGTTGTGAAACGACAAGGGAATGTCACAACTAGTATATACAGAGAGCAACTAGATGAATCTATTTTAGAAAATTAGATAGTATAGCCACAAACCAAGAATATGTGGTTTCTAAAACTTGTCCATCAATTAAAAAAGATACACTGTTTTATAAAAACCAAATTACATTTCTCACTAAGAAAGTTATGTATTTCTACTTTGAGTTTCATCCAAGTCTGTACACATGCTTTAAGTTAATTTTACAAAGCAAATGGAAATATGGAAAGGAAATTAGATAAAGTATCTTTTTACTGAGCAAAACCAAAATCAAACAAATGAGTAAATGCACACAGAAAAATCTACCCTCAGAGAATATTAAGTCAAAGAACTGTAGAAAAATACCCTGCATTCAAAAAAGAATTCCAAGAAAAAAAAATTATAAATTGAAATAACCAGGTATGCCTGTTTCTAAACTTTGGAGTGTTAGTTTTGGGGAACATAAATCTAATTATAGATTTTACTTCATGACACTTAATGCTCTTTATTTAAGAGAAACTAGCTGAAAAGTCAGATGTTGTTTCCACCTATGGCTACCTAATATAATTTTCCCGTAAAATTTTGCATCAGTGTTGTTTAGTTCAATGGGCACATTAGCCAAGGGAACAAGTTACTACAGACACCTATGAAATCACTATTTCCATAAATTTTGGATTCCAACTTATCCCATGAATGGGGCTTTAGATTTTGAAGGTGTCTAGATTATTTTAATATAATTGGCACTTGATTCTGTGTGGAAATTCAAATAAACATTTGACACTGGGAGAGGAGCTCAACTCTAGTTCCTGAGGCAGAAATGAGTTTGCCTTAATTTCTTCCTCTATATTAACTGCCTGTAGAGGGTTGAAGGACTAAAAATAAACAAATGAATTGCATCTTCTCATTATTTATTTAAATATAGGAAGTTATTAAAAAATTTAATATCATTAACCTGTCAAGTACAGTGTTCTTCATCAAAGAGAGTACTATTTGTAACAACAACTTTATGGATTAAAAGCAGTTATATGCACAAATTGCTGCAGGAAAAGAAAGATAATGAGAAAATGTGGAACCCCCTCAAAATAAATCAACAAAAAAGATAGGCAAAAAGATACGGCCAGGTATCTCAGACCTTTCAGAAATTAGCAATTTAGTAGCTTGATATTATGGGTAAAAGACAGGTGGTCAAGTATGTTCTAACCATTCTTTTCACCTAGGCATTATACCTGGCACGAGGTGAGCAAATGATTAAGGGACTTATTTCTCTTACTCTTGGTTTACTCGTTTACCCCACAGGTACTTTTTGAACATTTAGGGTTTTTTTTTTCCTTCTTGTTATTGTGTGACACATAGGTGACAGCAGAGAAAAGCTGAACCACATTCCTGTACTTCAGGAATTTTAAACATTAGTAGGTCAAATTTATACTGAAAAAATCAAGTGGAAGATTTGCAATAACCTGGTGATTTGGATCTTTAGAATTAGATAAGCTAAAACATTTGGGACAAAAATAAAGAATAGTCATTTTCTTGGCCAACTATTTTCTGAATGATCTAAGTGGAGGTGACATCAGCGAAGGAAGATGTAAAGGCAGGATTTCAAAATTGATAAAAATTAATAGCTATTTCCTCTTTGATGATGTCTTCATTTACAAAACAAAACAATACAAGCAATAATAAGTTATAGTGGACTTCAGAGTAGACATCGAAAGAAAGATTTCAGCTGTCACTCATTATTATTATTATTATTATCATTATTATTATTATTATTATTATTATTTTGAGACAGAGACATGCTCTGTCACCCAGGCTGGAGTGCAGTGGCACGATCTCAGCTCACTGCAACCTCCACCTCCTGGGTTCAAGCGATTCTCCTGCCTCAGCCTCCCGAGTAGCTGGGATTACAGGAATATGCCACCATGCCCGGCTAATTTTTGTATTTTCTGTATAGACGGGGTTTCACCATGTTGACCAGGCTGGTCTCAAACTCGTGACCTCAGTGATCCTCCTGCCTCGGCCTCCCAAAGTGCTGGGAGCCACCAAGCCTGGCCTATTATTTTTAATTGGATTAACATTGAGTTTACCATTAATGCCATTTTAGTGCCTATTTATTTGTAACATAAGACATTATAATTACACATTTCAAAAGGGAAATATCTAATAGTAGTTTTCCTGTGGAGATTTTATTTAATTTTAAAGTATAACTTAAGGAAAAAGTTTAAAAAGTCATTTTGAAGCTGTTTGGCTATTGCTGGTTTTGAATGAAAAAAGCTGATTTGGAGAAAATAGAGTATGTATCTTTGACCTCCAAGTTTTTCACTCCATAGTTTTGTTTTTCAGTCTTCTCCTGCGCTTAAGCATAGCAAAATATCTTTGATCTCACCTCCTATTATTCCATATATTTTGCTGCTATTAATATCCAGACTTTCCTAATCTGCTCGAGATCTATTCTCTTAAACCTTTGAAATCTTCCTGGACTGTCCAACTGTCACGTCTAAAGGCTGCCTGAAGCAAGTATTTGATTTTGGCTTATGTAGCTATTTATACATCCCATATTCAATTTGCCGTCATAGCCCCATAGCATGTCCTGGTTAATTCCCACTGTTATTCTTCAGTTGCTGACAATTCATTTTTTAACCATTCTCTGATTACTTTCAAGTTGATATTATTCAACTTGAGTCCTTTGATGTCTTGGAATTTTGGTCCTGTCCATTCATGTGTAGTTCCAAACATGGTATTAGGTGATTAACATGCTGATTGCAACCCTAGAGCAATAATGATCTCTTGGAAAATCCTTGCTTTAAACTTGGGACACAGTGAGTCTTCTTTATACTTTTTTTTTATACTCACAGAAACTAAGGCTATTTCTGAGATAATGTATTAAAATCAAAAGCACCAAGCAAGGAGTAACTCAGTCCAGAGAGGTTTTATTTATTTATTTTTTTAAAAAGAGGTCTGAGTTTAGATTTTTCAACTTTCATGTTTTAATCATCCATCCATCTTTCCTTCAATCGATCAATCAATCCATCTATCAAATATTACTGTGTCAGTCATTGTCCTAGATATTCTTGGGGAGATAATAATAATTTAGATATTCTCACTAACTTCATAGTGCTTGGAGTTTAATTAGCAGTATGGGTAAGCAGTCAGGAAATTTAGAAATGAGAGAGAGAGAGAGATGGTGGGGGGGAGAGAGAGAGAGAGAAAGAGAGAGAGAAGGAGAGGGTGTGGTAATATATAGAGAGGCAACTACTTGAGATTTGTGAATTTAGAGAAGGCATCCTGAAGGAAGGTCTATTTAGGCAAAACTCTGAAGTTAGATTGACAATGAGAGTTGGGTAGAGAAATATGCAGCAGCATAGACATTGGAGGAACTAAAAGCAGTTTAGCATAATGTGAAGTAGAAGGAGGGAAGGAAGGAGAAAAGTAGACTGGAGGGTTATCCAGGATCCTAATTATGAAAAGCCCTATATGCAAAATGATATCATTTAAACCTCAAACAAATAACGAAGAGGAGTTAATACAGTGCTTTGAATTGGGGAATGATGAGAGAGACTGAAGAACAGATTTGAAGGAAGAAGCAAGGAGGTGTGGAGACTGGTGTGAGGCTGTTGTGGGAAACTAGGCAAGCGATGATGGCTTAAATGAGAATGAAAATTATAGGACAGATAGAAATTGATGGATTTTTAAAAATTAACAGACAATTGAAAATAATTAAGGGATGATTTTATATTTGAAGTAAGGATGAACTGATTTTAACAACTATGCTATTGTCTTGAGTAAACAATAGGCATACCATATACTAACATATAGAATATAAGTGTATAAGCAGTTTTGAATGACAGGGATGATAGGATATTCTGGGACATGTTGATTTTGATATGTGAGTAGGGCTGTCAAGTGAAAATGCCATTGTAAGTAGGAAGACATCTTCTCACTCTCATGAAAGAGCTCTGGATGGGAGATAAAAATTTGGGATACATTAACATATAGTAGTTACTAAAGTGATAGGAATTAAGGTGGTCACATGGAGAGACTAACAGAGTAAAAAACTTGCTAAACTGCACTTTATGGACAATAATGTTTAAAGACAGAACAGGAATCTCTCTCTCTCTCTCTCTCTTCCCCCTCTTAGTTACACACACACACACACACACAAACACACACACACCCCCCAAGATGTGATGAATACAAAAGAAGCACGTGTTAAAAAAGGAAGGAATAAATAATGTGTCTAACACTTCTGAAAAGTAAAATAAGATAATGGGTGAGTGACCATTGATTTTGGCAATAGGTAGGCCATTATTGACCTTGGGAGTGAATTGGGGCAGAACCCAGATTATTATGGATTGAAGAATGAATGGAAAATGCCATTGTGAGAGAGAAATCTTTCAAGATTAGCTGTGAATGAATGACAAGAAAGAATTAGGGTAATTACTAGATTAGGTTGCAGGACTAAGATGGAGATGTAAGTACTTCATATTCTGACAAGCACTGGTATCACAGAAAACTGTAGTATTGTAGATTTTATAATAAATGAGTAAGGATGGCAAGTTCTTTTAGGCTGGATCGTCTTGGCACTGCATTTTTGTGGACATCATTAAGATCCCTAGAATGGCTCTCAGTTATATGGAGTCCAAAAATTGATCTTACTTATATTAAACTATATCATGGGCTTGTCAGAATATTGATTTTATTAATTGACTTTATTTTATTTATTTATTTATTATTTTTTGAGACAGAATTTCACTCTTGTGGCCCAGGCTGGAGTGCAATGGCGTGATCTCAGCTCACTGCAACTTCTACCTCTCGGATTCAAGTGATTCTCCTGCCTCAGCCTCCCAGGTAGCTGGGTTTACAGGTATGAGCCACCACACCCGGCTAATTTTTTGTATTTTTAGTAGAGATGTGGTTTTGCCATGTTCATCAGGTTGGTCTCGAACTCCTGACCTCAGGTGATCAACCTGCCTATGCCTCCCAAAGCTCTGGGATTACAGGCATGAGCCACTGAGCCTGGCTAATTGATTTTATTTTTTATAAAAGTTTTAAATTTACAGAAAGATGGAGCAGATAGTAGGGAGAATTTGCATATATCCTCCCTCTATGCTTCAATCTCACACACAGTTTTCCTTATTGCTAACATCGTACATTAGCACAGTTTGTTAAAATTAATGAACCAATATTGATATATTATTAACTGACGTCCATAATTTATTCTGATTTTTTTTTTAGTTTTTACCTAATGTTTATTTTCTACTCTAGGGTCCTGAGTCCTTAGTCCCCTTTTGGCTGTGATGATTTATCATGCTTTCCCTTTTTTTGATGACCTTGATAGTTTTGGGAAGTGCTGGTCAGATACATTGTTGGGGTGCCTTTCTATTAGAATTTCATGTTTTTCTCACTATTGGACTAGAGTTATGGTTTTTGTGGAGAAAGATCACAAAGGCAAAGTATAATTTTTAATCACATTACATCCAGGGTATGTACGATTTACAGCATTTATGAGTATTGATGTTGATTTTGATGGCTGATGTAGTGTTTGTCAGGTTTCTTCACTGTTTTTCTTACCCCTTTCTTCCATACTGTATTCTTTGGAAGAAAGTTACTATGTGCTTCCAAGACTTAAGGATCTGGGAGTTATGCTTCCCCTATTTTAGGGTGAAAGGTCTAAATAAGTTATTTGGAATTCTTCTGGATAGATTTGTTTCTTCTCTCCCATTTATTAGTTTATTTAATTATTTATATCCATAAGGACTTGTGGATATTTATTTTATCCAATACTATTTTATTTTGTTGCTCCAATTGCCCCATCTTTGGGCATTGGGAGCTCTTTCAGTTGGCTCCTGTGGCACTTTGACATACCCTAATCATTGTGAGTTTGTGTGTGTGTGCGTGTATGTGTGTATGTTTTGAGCACTGTGCTTCACCTATTCATTCCTCCCTCTCTTGCCTTCATGCCCTAACCTCTGGCAACCAGTGATATTTTTTGTCTCTATAGTTTGCCCTTGCCAGAATATGATATAATTGAAATCACACAACATGTAGCATTTTCAGGCTAGCTTCTGTTACTTGCAATATGCATTCACATGCATTTAAATGTAGCTTGCATTTAAGCATGACCTACCTTTTTGTGGCTTGAGAGATCATTTCCTTTTATCACTGAATCCTGTTCCACTATTTGGATGTCCTAGTTTGCTTATCCATTCACTTATTGAAAAACATCTTGGTTGGTTCCACTTTGGGTAGTTATAAGTAAAGCTGTTATAAACATTTGAGTACAGGTATTTTTGTGCACATAAGTTTTCAAGTGAATTGGGTAAATAACTAGGAGCCTGATCATATGGTAAGACTATGTTTAGCTTTGTAAGAATGTGCCAAACTGTCTTCCAAAGTGGCTGTACCATCTTGCATTCCCACCAGAAATGAATGAGAGTTTCTTTTGCTGTGCTTCATTGCCAGTATTTGTTATTGTCAAATTTTTGGATTTTAGTCACTCTAATAGGTGTATAGTGGTATCTCTTTGTTTAATTTGCAATTATTTAATGAAAAATGATGTTGCACATCTTTTCATATGGTTATTTGCCATTTGTATGTCTTTTTTGATGAGGTGTATGTTCAGGCCATTTGACCATTTTTTATTGGATTGTTTGAGTTCTTATTGTTTTTATTTTATTTTATTTTACTTTAAGTTCCAGGATGCATGTGCAGAATGTGCAGGTTTGTTGTATAGATATACATGTGCCATGGTGGTTTGCTGCACCTATTGACCCATAATCTGTGTTTTCTCCCCTTGCTCCCAACCCCCCAATAGGCCCTGGTGTGTGTTTTTTCCCACCATGTGTTCTCATTGTTTAATTTCCACCTATGAGTGAGAATATGCGATGTTTGGTTTTCTGTTCCTGTGTTAGTTTGCTTAGGATGATGGCTTCCAGCTTCATCCATGTCCCTGCAAAGGACATGATCTCATTCCTTTTTTGGCTGCATAGTATTCCATGGTATATATGTACCACATTTTCTTTATCCACTCTATCATTGATGGGCATTTGGGTCGGTTCCATGTCTTTACTATTGTAAATAGTGCTGCAATAAACATACATGTGCATGTGTCTTTATAGTAGAATGATTTATATTCCTTTGGGTATATACCCAGTAATGGGACTGCGGGTCAAATGGTATTTCTGGTTCTAGATTCTTGAGGAATCACCATGCTATCTTCCACGATGGTTGAACTAATTTACATTCCCACCAACAGTGTAAAAGTGTCCTTATTTCTCCACAGCCTCTCCAGCATCTATTGTTTCTTGACTTTTTAATAATTGCCACTCTGACTGGCATGAGATGGTATCTCATTGTGGATTTTGATTTGCATTTCTCTAATGACAGTGACGTTGAGCTTTTTTTTCATATGTGTTTTGGCCACGTAAATGCCTTCTTTTGAAAAGTGTCTGTTCATATCCTTTGCTCACTTTTCAATAGGGTTTTTTTTTTCTTGTAAATTTGTTTAAGTTCCTTGTAAATTCTGGATATTAGACCTTTGTCAGATGGGTAGATTGCAAAACTTTTCTCTCACTCTCTAGGTTGCCTGTTTGCTCTGATGATAGTTTCTTTTGCTGTGCAGAAGCTCTTTAATCCCATCCCATTTGTCAATATATTCAGGTTATTTGACCACTTTTTATTGAATTGTTTGAGTTCTTATTGTTGAGTTTTAAGAGTTCTTTTTATATTTTGAATACAAGCCCTCTATCAGATATGTGTTTTGTGATAATTTTCTCACAGTATGTGGCTTGTAATTTTATTCTATTAATAATGTCTTTCACAGAGCAGTTTTCAATTTTAACAAAGTCAACTTTGAATTTTTTCTGTAATTTATGCATTTGATATTGTATATAGAAACTCATCATCAAAGATTGTCATGATTTTCTCTTATATTATCTTCGAAAATTTTATAGTTTTGCATTTTACATTTAGTTTGCAATCTATTTTAAGGTAATTTTTGTGAAAGCAGTTAAGTTTCATATCTAGATTTTGTTTTCATATGGATGTCCAGTTGTTCCAGGACCATTTGTTGAAAAGACTATCTTTTTCTTCATGTAACTGATTTTGTTCCTTTGTCAAAGATCAGTTAGCTATGTTTTTTGGGTTCTTTATTCTAATCTACGTGTCTACTGCCAATATTATACTGTCTGGATTACAGTAGCTTATGCTTAGTCTTGATGTCAGATAGAGTTTGTTTGCTAATTTGTTCTCCTTCAACATAGTGTTGGGTATTCTGGGTCTTTCATCTTTTTCATATAAACTTTGGAATTAGTTTGTTGATATCTGCAAGGTAACTTGAAATTTTGATTGGGATTGCCTTAATCTAGTGATTAAGTATACATGAGTATGGAATATCTCTATTTTTTCAGATATTCCTTGGTGTTTTTGATGAAAGGTTTGTAGTTTTTCTTGTATAGATCCTGTATATATTTTATTAGATTTATGCCTGAGTGATTTATTGGCTTTGGTGCCAATGTAAATGGTATCATATTTTTCATTTAAAATTCCTATTGTTCATTGTTGGTATGTAGAAAAGCAAATGACTTTGTATATTAACCTTGTATCCTGCATTCTTACTATATTCATTTGCTTGCTCCTGGGGATTTTTGTTGATTCTTTGGAGTTTAATACATAGATAATTATGTAATCTCTAAACAGAGACAATTTTATTTCTTGTTTCACTGTCTGTATACATTTTACTTTTACTTTTTTTCTTTTTGTGTTAGCTAGGACTTCTAGCACAATGTTAAAGAGAAGCTGTTCCAAGTGGAAATGCATCTGGTTTCTCATCATTGAGTATGATGTTAGCTGTAGGTTCTTTATAGATGTTCTTTATCACGTTGAGAAAGTTCCCCTATCTTCCTAGTTTGCTGAGAGTTTTTACCATGAATTGATTTTGGATGCCAGGATGCATCAATCTTTTCTCTGAATCAACTGATGTAATCATATTTATTTTCTTCTGTAGCCTGTTTATATGATTGTTTACATTAATTGATTATGACACGTAGTGCCCATTTTATATACCTGTGATAAATCTTACTTAGTCATGGTGTGTGATTCATTTTATATATCATTGGATTTAATTTGCTAATAGTCTCTTGATTATTTTTGCATCTCTGCTAATGAAAGATATTGGTTTGTACTTTTCTTTCCCTAGAATAGTCTTTATCTGGTTTTGGTATTCATTTTTAATGGTGGTATTTCTAGTTTATGAATTGGTACTTTTAACAATGCAGTGGCTTCTATTTTATTCAATTAAATTCAATTTGATTTAATTCAGTTTGATTCAACTCAATACCATCATTAAATAATGTATAAGGCAGTCTGATATGTACTGAGGCAGATGCAGAGATAGATAAAACAGATTCCAGACTTCTTGAGTTTGGCAATCAGATTGAATATGTTTCCTTATAATACCAAACTCTAGATCATATTAGTTGGTAAAGAATGAAGAAAGTTCTTTAGAAGCCATTTAACAAAGCTTTGGTAGACAAATGAATTTACGTAGGTACCTTAGAATATTTGCTCTTATCGAGCATGGATTTTACCTATTTTTGTTTCTATTGTACCCCGGGCTAGAAAAGCTCCGTGTATATAGTAAATACTAAGGATATTTTTGGTGAACAAAGGAACATATTGTTGGCATATTTCTGGATGATGATCTGTAAGTGGTACTCTGAATCTGGGCATCTTTAACTGTCCTCAAAATGTTTTTAAGTGCTAAATTTAAGTGTTTTTCTTGATCATTTTATGTATAACTTTCATCACAACATGTTTTTCTTGTGACAACATTTTAATATCATTGCAGTTGCCAACTATGAAGATTTTTAAAATTATGTTTTGATATATTTTTATTGATTCTGAGAGGGGATATAAAGAAAATCATTTTATTACCAAATTGCTCTATTTCCTCATCACAAAAAGAGGTTCATTCTTATTTTGATGATGTTCTCACCTCAGCTCATACACAGTGCCGAGTCCTTTCCCTTCTCAGTGAAGTCACTTACAGAGAGCACAATCCAATCATTACGTGCACTACCTTAAGTTAAAAAAAAAATGCCTTTTCACTGACCTATGCTTTTTTTTCTCCCCAGAATTATGCCTCTACTGTTCTCTTAGTTTCTTTGCTGTACAATAAAGTAATTGGCTACATGTACCTATTGGGGACTTAAAATATGGCTAGTGCCACAAATTGTAACTATAATATTTTCCATATATTGGGTTAAATTAAATGTATTATTAAAATAAATCTTACCTGTTTGTTTTACTTTTTAAAATGTAGCTACCAAGAAATTTAAAATTACGTATGTGGCTCTTCACATATTTCTAATGAACAACATTGGAGACTCTTAAGGGTACGTGGAGCTGTTATTCATTTATCATTGGAAGTAAGCTAATTATGGCTTTTAAATTGCTCACAATGCATCTGGCGATATTTTTAGATGCCCAGAGAAGAGCACAAGCTGCTTGTCATTCCAACATTAATATATCCAACAGACTTTTCCAATAGTGGAAAGAATTGATAACAAATTAGTTGAACTTATTATTCATAAAAGAATATGATGCTGATGAGTCAAAAAAACGTATCTAGGAAATGTAGATGAATTGTTATTGGTCCCTAGGTAGGCAGTTTTGCCTCCTTTAACATGAGTATTATATAATGTTAGACTCTACTCCTAAGACTTCTGCTTTGGATCCTAGACCACATTCAAGTTAGTGTAGTTTTTCAGCTACTTTTTAAATAGAGGAGGCAGCTCTTGTTTTACTTTTTAATTATTCTCATTATTTGTACTAGTAACCCTTGAAACCTAGTAAATTATTTCTCTAGCCTTGATGTTTGTGCTTTCTACATTCTGTGGACCATCACACAATTTTCCAAAGTTGTTTTTTATCTCAGCAAGTTTCTTTTGTATAATTTATGCCTCATTTATATTTTCACATAAATAAAATACTCTCGCTCATTCATCATTTTGATTGCCTTCCTCTGAAACATTTTCTATGTTTAAACTATTCTGGATTAGAGAAACCTCACTACAGTCCCTTTCTTTCCTGAAAATAAGTGCAGATAATCTCCATTTCATGATCAGCCTGTATTCCAAAAGGACAAGCATCGTGTTGCAGCTTGAGTTTCCATCCCAAGGTCAGCTCACTAATTACATTGCATACAAAGTAGCATGCTGTGTCAATAATGCTACAAACCTAACACTGCATACTAAGAAGTTTCTATGAAAAATCAATCATGCATTTTCAATTTTGGGTGGCAGTAATTCATCTTCTTTTACTGTGATGGAATAACAGAAGTATCCTCCTCAACCCTCCTATCCTTTGGAAAGAGGAATGGAAAATCTTCCTAAATGAATTATTGTAGGTCCTATGGCCAATTTAGGGATTTGAGCACTGAGGAGATAGTGATAAAAATCTTACTTTTTGGTGTTCCTACTGTCCTTAATTTATTTTCTTTGCTTTTCTTTCTTTCTTCCTTTCTTTATCTTTCCTTCCCTGTCTCCCTTCCTTCCTTCCTTCCATTACTCACTTCTTTTATTCACAACCATTATCTATGGCTTAGAAGTAAAGTGTTTGTTCATTATACAAAAATACAGTGTTAACTATTTTCCTTTATTCTCCATTCCTAAAACAAACACAATCATATCTATCTATGTATTTTGGCTTTTATTGGCCATTTGTAGAGATGAGTGAATATTATTCTTTCCTATTTGACATTACTCTTTTGTTTCTACTTAGAGGTGCATATAGACGATGAAGATAATCTTAGTGCAAAAGGGACTTAGTGCGAAAGGGACTTAAAGAACATCAATCCACATTTCAGTGGAAAATCAGTCTCAGACCACACTCTTTATCTTATTAGAGGAGCTGTACCAAAGGCACTAGCTCTCAATGAAGAGAAGCTCTTTTTATGGAAGCCCGGGTAAGGGCTAGTGAGGACTGCCTATGTGAATGACCAGGACTGGCAGACGAGCTGGATAGAGATGGAACAGCTTCTAAGATTCTAACATTTCCTCTTTCTCATCTTTTTTTTTTCTCTTCTGTCATTGACTAATGGACAAGCTGACAAGTGGAGAGAAAATGGATCAATAAAAGGAAATTTTAGGTAGTTTGAAGTCAATGAGTAAAAGGAAGATTAAAAATTTTCTAGGTTTTTTTTCCTATTTTGGATGTATATTTACATTATCTCAGATTTATTTTCCTTGACAAGCTTTATATATGCTTTGTATAATCACTTTATCTTTTTTGAAAAGGTACTTTAGATATTCCATGGTTTATTCTCAGTTAAATCTGTGCTTATGGAATTCAACTTTATGGAAGTAATATTCATTGAGTTGCTATTACTACAGTAAGTACCATTTGAGAACCTGAAAGAAGGCTGAGATGTTTAAACTAGGGTCCTTGGAGTTCATAAGCTTGTAATTCATATTAAAAACCATGATTCTTCTTGGTACATTCACTTTATGTGAAAAAAAGTGACTCAAGGTCATTTACGATACATGAAAATAAACAAATTTAACAGATTTCTTTTCTACAGAACTTGATTGATTTCTTAACTTGATGTATGTATTGTAACGCTCAAAAAGGGAGATGCGGTATTCATTATTTAATGATATTATTAACCAGAGAATTCTTTTTTAAACATCACTTTCAAGAGTTATGACATTAGGAATACAGTATGAAAAATGCTAAAATATATTTCAGTTCAGTATCATTTTCCCATGTTTTAAGGCTGTACATGCTCTAAAATATAAATCTAAGAGCTCAGAGGAGAAGGAAGTTTTTAGTTTTTCATATTTATTCTGCTGAAATTTCATTAGCATTACTTATTTGAAATCAACCTAAGAATTCACTTGAAAAAAGGAATTCGGTAACAAAACAATATGTGATACTAACTTATCTAGCTACCGCCCTCATTTTTATAAGTGAGATACCTCAGGTCAACACATTTCTTGAAATAATTTGTTATAGATCTTATAACAAGTTAGAGGTCAGAACCTGAGTCCAGTGTTCTTTCATATTCCCCAAACTACAGTGAATATGTCCAGTAAAGCTTGGATATAACAAAAATGGCCTATAATACAGATCTATCTCACAGGCAACAGAACTTAGCTCTTCCCAACCTGCTACACAAGAGTATTTGCCTATTTATTTCATTCATATCATTTTCTCTCATGTTAAATTAAGGAGCTTCATCAAAATTTCATTCCTATGCAAATTTCTTCATTAGAATAATATTTATGCTATAATATTTTCCTTTTCTAATTAAATTGATTGTGCTAATGTATGTTAAGTAACTTTGGTTTTGCTACATATTTCTATTGTTCTCTATTTCTTATGGTTCCATTTCTCATTATTGGTTTAAAATTCTCATGTGTTGGCCATTGTGAGGGAATACTGTGATTACAGACCAGAGTGAATCACAATTATGTTTGAATTCTAACTCCACCATTTGCTAGGTGTGTGACCTTGGGCAGCTAAAAGCACTTCTTGTTAGCCAAAATTTTCTTGACAGAAGTATAATGTCACATCTGCTTACTTCATGAGTTACCAAGATGTTCACAGCTTGCTCTGTTCAGACCTAGGGCAAAGTTTTCTTTTTGCTTTTGCTCTTGAAGCTGTTCTTCATTTCCCTCCCTCCCTTCCTCCCTTCTTCCCTTCCCTTCCCTCCCCTCCCATCCCCTCCCCTTCCCTCCTTTCTTTCTTTCTTTCTTTCTTTCTTTCTTTCTTTCTTTCTTTCTTTCTTTCTTTCTTTCTTTCTTTCTTTCTTTCCCTCCTTCCTTCCTTCCTTCCTTCCTTCCTTCCTTCCTTCCTTCCTTCCTTCCTTCTTCCCTTTTGGTTGTAGCAAACAAAACCTCAAGTATCCTTTGGGGATGTCATTTCTCAACCTGCATTGGATTAGATGCAGTTTCTCCAGTGGCCAATCTATATTATGACTCAAAGTTTAAGACCATTTTTTGCTTTAAGGACAATAACTTTATGACAGTAGATTGGAAATCACAAATAAAATGGGCTGTGGAAACACAGAAATTTTAAGAAATGTTATTTTTTATAGTTGTCCCACATCGAGAGATGCCAGCTCTTTTGTTTTCTCACTATCTAGAAATCCGTATTAGATTTCTGCTACTAACTTTTATTTCTAAAGATAGCATTCATCAGATTACACCTCTCCTCTCTTTAATTTTACTCCAGGAATGAAATGGACGTTCTTACTCATCATACCATAAGCATCCAGGTGAATGATTGCTCACTTCTTTCATCTAATGAGGAATTGGCTTTCTTGAGAATCTCAATGCAGTGTACCTCCAACCTTAACAGACTGCTGTAAAACACCCTGACCATTCTTTAGTATAAGCACTGAAGAAGACAGTATGTTGACCACGAGGCACCTGGCCTGGCTCATAGTATGCCATCAAGAAATGCTAATTTTCTATTTCCTCTTTTTCAAAGAGTTATTTCAAGAAAGAAAGGAGAGGAGAGGATGTTACAAATTCCATGTAAATAAAATTTGTCACTAATTCTGTGAACTAATTGATATCATAATTTGATTCTCTTACCTCTTTTTAATCTCTCTATTAGTCCATTTTTATGCTGTGAATAAAGACATACCTGAGACTGGGCAATTTACAAAAGAAAGAGGTTTAATAGACTCTCAGTTCCACATGGCTGAAGAGGACTCACAATCATGGCAGAAGGTGAAAGGCACATTTCACATGGTGGCAGACAAGAGAATAGAACTTGTGCAGGGAAACTCCCCTTTATAAAACCATCAGATCTCATGAGACTTTATTCATCATCAGGAGAACAGCACAGGAAAGATGTGCCCCCATGATTCAATTACCTCCCACTGAGTCCTTCCTACAACACATGGGAATTGTGGGAGCTACAATTCAAGATGAGATTTGGGTGGGGACACAGCCAAACCATATCACTCACTTACTTTCCTCTAGTGTACTTCTGACTGTTCTGACTTAGGTTTAGCTACCTTACTCTTGGGATTTTCAGTCCTAGCATCTTCCCTTTATTTGTGCTTTTAATTCATTTTTTTGTTTTGATTTTTTTTTTCTGCTTCAGCTTCTCATTTAAATATGACTTTAACTCTCTTGTTTATATATTCATCCAAAATGTCACTTTGCCTAAAATGTCAATTTTTTGGTTTGTCTATCCACAATTTTGGTACATATACAAGCTCTCCACACTTTCTACCCTCTACTTCTCATTAAAGTAGTTCTTGAGTTTTATAAGCCAGAAACAACCAAATTGTTTCTGAACATCCAGGGATTTCTTTATCAATGCTCCATCACAGATTTTTTTCACAATTGGTCCCAGGATATTATGCCAAGCAGGTAGACAGAGAAAGTCCTAAAGAGCATAGTTATACCCAAATCCCTAATTAAGAAAAAGCTGAATAGACGTGTATATTAAAAATCAATGACGTAAAAATGACAAAGTTTGCATTTGAACACTTGTCTGTGTTCTGCTTTCGGGGAGTGTCCAAATACCCAAACTTCTGCTCATTTAGGAAGATATTCTGCCTTTAAAAAAATTTTAGACAGGAAAATTTTTGCTGCAGCTATTACAAATGTTGAAATGCAAGCCAAAATACTCAGGCCAATACCCATGCAAATATGCCATTTGCTATATGTATTGTTAGAATTTGGAGTAATTTCATCACTCATGACAGGTAACTCTCAAATGGCACTGTTTTTAAAATTTTCATTTGTTATTTTATTAAATCAGCCAAATAATATAGTTAAAATTGAGTGAATCAGTGAAATTATGAATAAAATGACTTTCATATTGTTAAAGTAGTTTGGCATTTTTAAATTCTAAATTTCTGCACTGCCATAGTAGCAGAGGGTATTGGCATTATAATATTTTCTTTTGTCTTTTGAGTTGTTGCTACTGTCAAAATAATGCCATTTTTAAGTTTGTCATGTAACTCTTGGTAAAATAATTAAGAAAATTATTCTTTAAATTAAGGATCCCATATAGCTTTAGCCTTACTAGATATTCATTTTATTACCTTTAGTTTGATTCATTGAAGTGTGGAAAGTAAGTGGAAGTAGGAGAAAAAAGTAAAGTGAAAGTAAAATATTTAAAGTAAGAGAAAATTTGTGAAAGTAAGAGAAAATGTTAAGGACCAATAGACTCTGGTCCCTCGGAGAGAAGTTGGCATTTTATATTAGAAACAGAAATCTGGCTCTCATTTTATTTGTTCTTAGAAACTTGAAAATATAGGCTAGGGCTACTGTAAGAGTCTTGATATTTTATAATTTGAATAAAAATCAAGATTATAAATGAAAGTATATCTGTGAGGTATCTGGGACTCTTCCAAGTCCAAAAAGGTGACCTAAGGACTAATGGTGAAGAGAGGGAAATAACAGATTGTGGTGAATCTACAATCGTTATGGAACTTCTGTTCTTTCCCGTGTCAAATTTCTATGTGTTGCACCACTTACTGTTCTTCAGTGTTTCCATCTACCATTAGAATTTCGTCCTATAGATAACCATCAGATTTCTATAAAGAAAAATACTAAGCTATTCCAGGTCAAACTAGGGATTTCTTTTCCATAATTTTTCCTTATTTTTGTTTCTTTTCATTTTATTTATTTATTTTAAATTTTATTTTAATTTCATGGGTACATGTGCAGGAAGTGCAGTTTTGTTATATAGGCAAATGTGTGTCACGGGAGTTTATCGCACAGATTATTTCATCACCCACGTATTAAGTCTAGTATCCATTACTTATTTTTCCCGATCCTCTACCTCCTCCTAACCTCTGCTCTTTGATAGGCCCCAATGTGTATTGTTTCCCTCTATGTGTCCATGTATTCTCATAATTTAGCCCACACTTATAAGTGAAAACATGCTGTATTTGGTTTTCTATTCCTGTGTTAGTTTGCTAAAGATAGTGGCCTCCAGCTCCATCCACATCCCTGTAAAAGACACGATCTTATTATTTTTTATGGCTGCATAGTATTTCATGGTATATAAGTACCACATTTTCTTTATCCAGCCTATCATTGGTGGGTATTTAGGTTGATTCCATGTCTTTGCTATAGTGAATAGTGCTGCAATGAACATACACATGCATGTGTCTTTATAATAAAAAGATTTCTATTCCTTTGGATATATATCCAGTAATGGGATTGTTGGGTTGAATGGTATTTCCAGCTTTAGGTCTTTGAGGAATCACCACACTGTCTTCTACAATGGTTGAACTAATTTACACTTCCACCAGCAGAGTATAAGTGTTCCTTTTTCTCCACAACCTTACCAGCATCTATTATTTTTTGACTTTTTATAATAGTAATAGCCATTCTGACAGGTGTGAGCTGGTATCTCATTGTGGTTTTAATTTGCATTTCTCTAATGATCAGTGATGTTGAGATTTTTTTCATCTGACTGTTGTCTGCAGGTATGTCTTCTTTTGAGAAGTGTCTGTTCATATATTTTCACCCACTTTTTAATGGTTTTGTTTGTTTATTTCTTGGAAATCTGTTTAAATTCCTTATAGATGCTGAGTATTAGACCATTGTCAGATGCATAGTTTGCAAAAATTTTCTCATATTCTGTAGGTTGTCTGTTTACTCTGTTGATAGTTTTGCTGTGCAAATGCTCCGTACTTTAATTAGATCCCATTTGTCAATTTTTGCTTTTGTTGCAATTGCTTTTGGTGTCTTTGTCATTAAATCTTTGCCTGTGCCTATGTCCTGAATGGTATTGGGTAGATTGTCTTCCAGGATATTTTATAGTTTTGAGTTTTACATGTAAGTCTTTAATCCATCTTGAGGTAATTTTTGTATATGGTGTAAGGAAGGGGTCCAATTTCCCTCCTCTGCATATGGCTAGCCAGTGATCCCAGCACCATTTATTTAATAGGAATTCTTTCCCCAGTGCTTGTCTTTGTCAGGTTTATCAAAGATCAGATAGTTGTAGGCATGCAGCCTTATTTCCTGGTTCTCTCTTCTTTTCTATTGGTTTATGTGTCTGTTTTTGTACCAGTAGCATGGTGTTTTGGTTACTGTATCCCTTTAGTGTAGTTTGAAGTCAGGTAGTGTGATGCCTCCAGCTTTGTTCTTTTTGCTTAGGATTACCTTGGCTTTTCAGGCTCTTTTTTGGTTCCATATGAATTTTAAAAGAGTTTTCTCTAGTTCTGTAATGAATGTCATTGGTAGTTTAACAGGAATAGCATTGAATATATAAATTGCTTTGGGCAGTATGGCCATTTTCATGATGTTGATTCTCCCTATCCATGAACATGAAATGTTTTTCCATTTGTTTGAGTCATCTCTGATTTCTTTGAACAGTGGTTTGAGGTTCTCCCTGTAGAGATTTTTCATCTCCCTAGTTAGCTTTATTCCTAGATATTTTATTATTTTTGCGGCAATTATGAATGGGAGTTCATTCATGATTTGGCTCTCTGCTTGCCTGTTGTTGGTGTATAGGAAGGGTAGTGATTTTCACATATTAATTTTGTATCCTGAGACTTTGCTGAAGTTGCTTTTCAATTTAAGAAGGCCTAGCCTTCTACCTGTCTTGGCTTTCAACATGTCTTTCTCACTAAGACTAATCATTTCTAGCTTTCGATGTAAAGTGGGAGACGTGACTTTTCTTTCACTTGAACAACTAGAAGCCATTGAGGGGTTATTAATTGGTTTAATTTCAATATTGTTGTGTCTCAGGAAATAGGGAGGCCCATGGAGAGGGAGAGAGATGGAGGAATGACTGATCAGAGAGGAAGTCAGTTAGAACACACACGACATTATTGTTTAAGTTTATCATCTTGTAGAGGTGTGGATGTGGCTCCCTCAAAACAATTACAATAGTAACATCAAAGATCACTGATTACAGATCACCATAACAGGGAGAAAAAATACAAAAAGCTTTCAAATATTATGAGAATTAAGAAAATGTGACACAGAGATGCAAAATGAGCACATGCTGTTGGAAAAATGACACCGATAGACTTGCTTGACACAGGGTTGCCACACACTTTCAATTTGTAAAAAAATGCAGTATCTGCAAAGTACAATAAGATAATTTATACTTGTAAGATGTAAAAGGGTCAGGACCACAACTAAATACTAAGATTAGTATTTCTGAAATTCTTCCTATTGCTTGTAATGTATATTTAACGCAGTAATATACACCCATCCAGAGCACAGAGTATTTTCAACTTCTTGGAGTAATTAGTTCTTTGCTTAACTTTATACTTTCTTCAAATATTAGGATCATCTAAATCCAATTTTTATGACATGGACTTTATCCATATTCTTCAAGTATATTTTTATTTTAGCTATATTTTCTGAAAAATTCTCACATTTTTAAATAAAAATATCTACATTTTTTATCCTTAAATGAAAATGAGCTCATTGTTCACTATGGATGCCTTTCTAGGAATACACTTTCCGGGGTTCCTTTTTTCCCTGAGATGTGAATTTCAGAGCTTCCAAAGACAAGATACATGTTTTAGTAAACAGGCAAAACCACGTAATTTTTAAAATACCATTCTTTATTAGGCTATTTTCTTCTAGGAGCAGTTATATGATTCACATTTAATTAGTGATTTTTAATATCTTTTCTTTTTTTTTTTTTTTGAGAACAGAATCTCACTCTGTTGCCCAGGCTGGAGTGCAGTGGCATGACCTTGGCTCACTGCAACCCTCTGACTCCTGGGTTCAAGAGATTCTTCTGCCTCAGCCTCCCAAGAAGCTGGGACTACAGGTGCATGCCACCACACCTGGCTAATTTTTGTATTTTTAGAAGAGACAGGGTTCCACCATATTGGCCAGGCTGGTCTCAAACTCCTGACCTTGTGATCCGCTCTTGACAGCCTCCCAAAGTGCTGGGATTACATGCATGAGCCACCGTGCCCAGCCTAGTGATTTTTTAATGAATAAATTCTCTTCCTTTTTTTCCAAGTGAAAATATCACTGTTCTGCCATCTCATTGAACTGAGTATGATTTTTTGGGGGGAGGGGGCAAATTTGTGATTTTTCTGTATGAGAAAGCTTAGTGTTAACCAAAAATTTAGAAATTTCAGAGTGTTTTCTCTTCTTCTTTTTTACCTAAAACTATATTTCCTGACTTTATCATGACTGATATCTGGGAAAAACAATTTGGTTCTATGATGATTAATCCCCTTTTAAGGCTATTTATAACACAGAAACTAATACAATTTTACATTCATATGAAACTTGTAATAGAAAATGTGAAAGTATGACACCAACAGTAAATCTCTCAGAATTGTATTTTAGCCCATGAATCATAAAGTTAAGCTACACCAAAAAAAAAGAAAGAAAGAAAAAAAAAAAAAGAGAAAGAGAAAGTAAAAAGCTTAATCATGAGAACTTTGTAGTTACAAAGACTAGCAAAATGAATTTGTTCACGGATCACTTCCTGGCAGTGCTGTCCAAATTAAAACTGTAAACCTTTTGAAGTCGAACTTTTTTTTAAGTGGTTAGTTTGAAGTTTTGGCAGTTGGTATGAAAATTCCCAGCGTACATGTGAATACTTGATGGATAATGACTATATATACTACAAGAACAGACATAAAGTATGACTCCATCTACATCTGTCATTTTAGATCATAATTAGTATAGTTCTACATTGTTTGAGTTACATGATATCATTTGGTTTTAAAGGAAACAAAATACTTCATCAGAAGAAAAATGTGTAAATGTTGAGTCAGCAGAGCCTTAAAGCAAATTTCCTGCACCTTAAGATCAAGATAATCTTGCAGAGACAAGTGTTTTAGAAACTTCTGAAGCTAAAATAAGAAAGGCAAGTGTCACATTGTTTCATGCAATTGAAATAAAAGTGAAGAGCCCTTGCTATAAACATTGTAGCAAAAAAATAAAAAAAAAAGACATCATGGTAAGATGCATCTATTTCATTACTGTCTCTTGTATACTAGCTACATTTGGAGCATAGAACACGTAGCATCAAAGAAGAGGTTAGAAACTACAGGAATTTGATTTTTAGAATTTCTTTGCAGTGCTTTTCATTTTCCTAAAGAGAAACAGACAATGTGTTTCCAAGGAATTCCTGACTCTCTTGAATGGTATTTGGTATGGATCCTCAAGTATGTCATCACTGCCCCTTGGTAAATAAATACCTCTTTTAAAGCAAAGGACAAACTTCTGCAGTCAGATAATCATACATTTTTCTGTCAATACTGATTTTGGTGTGGGTGTGAGGAGGGCTGAGAATGGCTGTGTTCTTTTGGATTCTCCCACACTTGGGGAATTTTTCCTTAGGCAACTTTGGATGGATCCATGCTGGGCCTTTGAGGATTGAGCTCAGAAGAGGAGATTGAAAAGCAATCTTTTTTCATCACCAAATGAAAATGCAAAGAGATATGTTTGTGGAACAGAATGTAATTAACCAAAGTGGAATTGGGCCAACTAAGCAGCATTAACAGGCTAAATGTGTCCCCAGTTCTTGGAGCCTTCCGAAGATGGGCTCATTCTTGACTGCATGAAGAAAAGCTAAAGCATCTACAAGAGTCTAAAATGGGTAAATGGAAGACTTGAAAGGAGAAAAACAGCTCAATTCTCTCACAAACTAAAGATGACAACTAAGGCTAGCCACCCCTTCCCCAAACTGAAAATCCATGTGACTAATTTTTATAAGCAGTCACTGGAATGTTCCTGCTGGGAATAGGACAGATAATATATGTAGCTGGCACTCTCACTCAGGAGGAACTATTGTTCCATTTGGGGAGTGGAAGCCAACTCCCTTCAAGACTTAAAGAAAAGCTAATTTAAGACATGGCTAAAAGCAACCGAAATGAGAAAGGGGAAAAAAATCTCAAGTTTCTGTGCAGTGTGCCAGCTGACCAAATGTAAAGTAAAACAAAACAATTAACCCCCAACCCCTGCGAAAAAGAAAAAAAAATCGAGAGAAAAAAAAGAATGAAGCATTTGTCATTGGACTTGCTCTGTGCTCATTTTGGCTTGCTTCAGATACTTTTCCAAGTTTAAATTGGAAAGTTTATGACTTTCAGGTGCAGAAATATTCTTTTCTAGGTGTCATTTCTGTCTATTTCTACCAAGCCTTTTTAATAAGAAATCAAAGAAATGGTCACTTAAGGAAAGAAAAAAGGATACAAATGATGGCTGACCCCCATGATAAAAGGTAGGACAAATACAGTACATTTGCCTAAAGGGGGAAATATTTCTTTGGTTACTAGAAAGAAATCTGCAAACAGTACCTTTTAAAATATATGGTATCTGGAACTCTACTTTTCAGCAAAAACACTAGAAACACTAGAATTAACAACTTGATTAATTAAAAAAAACTATTCACATAAAAATATCTTCAAGTTTTATATTTTACCAAATGAAACGTAAGCCTGCAATTTCCTTTTAGGTAAAAAGACAATATAAGTCTTGGAGATAAATTTGTATTTACATGCTTTTATAATTCAAAAGCAATTTTGGTTTTAGCATCAAACTCTTTCAAATTTTGACTCATCCTAAGAACAAACGCTTCAAGGCATTGTTTTAGTTTTTAACTCAAACACTTACGTGTGAAACTTGAAAGAGATCTTCACAGTGTTGTTTTCAAGGACATTTCATACGTGTAATATGGGCTGTGCAGAGAACACTAGGCTGAATGTTGAAACAATTGGATTTGAATCCCAGCTGAGAGTGGACAAATTGCATAGCCATCTAGAAAATGATGATATTTGACTTCTTATCTCACAAATTTATTTAAAAAAATGTAATACGTGTGAGAACATAGTAAAACCTATGTAGTAAAACCTAAAGTTTAAAATAGATAATATTTTCCTCAGAGTTTGCCCTTTACTCAATGCACTTGCTTTGTGTTATGCTCTTCTCTTCGACTCTTTATTTTTAGCTTATTTTTTTCAATTGTACTTAGATTTCATTGAAAATTTATTAAAGAAGAATTAAATGCATAGTGGTTTACATCATTCAGTTTTTTCTCTTCATTTATTTTTGTTAATAATTTCTGGAATTAATTTTAGAGACTTTGATTCAGATCAGGTGAGTAACTCTCCGAAACCACCCCCTGTTGACTTTACCACAATATAAAGAAATCATAGATAGAAATGGAGGCAAGGGAGGCCAATATGATTTTAAAGTGATTGCAACCACCTAACATTATCTATGAAAAAATGAACACTTATGCTTAAGTATGGGGAGATCAGAAGAGGTGGGGAAAAATGACACATGAAAAATGGGGGCAGGTCTAGTAAGAAAAGGGCAGTGACATGGGACTGTGGAATCAGAATCAAAGAACATTGTAGAATTATCTAGTAACACCCAGGATATGATACCTGAATCTTGTAAATAACATCTCTGATGAGAAATTTTTGTATTGATTTTTACCTTTCATTTGAGCCAGAGCTCTTGTTTGTAGAGCAGTACGTCTCAAATTTTAAAGTACATGTAAATCACCTAGAGACCTTTTAAAAAAATGCATAATCTAATCAAAAGCTCTGGGGTGGTGGTATGGTTAGTGAAAAGATTCAGTATTTCTGAAAGCTCTCAGTCAATGTCAAAGCTGTCTCTTCTCAGACAACAATCTGAGTAGCTAGGCTGAATGTCACTATAATTATTTTTTCCTTCACAAGTAACACTCCAAGAGTAATATTTATGTTGGGGAAATTGCAGTTATAAAAATTTTGTCTAAGAAAAGTTTCTGTTTTTGCATAGCTTTATTGAGGTGAAATTGATGCACAAGAAGGTAACATTTTAAAGCGCACAATTTGATTAGTTTTGACATATGTATACAACTATGAAATCATTATGACAATAAGGATAATAAACATTTCTATCAATCTCAAAGATTTCTTCATTCCCCTTTGTAATTTATCCCTTATTCTACCTACCCCCATTTCCATGAATCCACTAATCTGCTTTCTGTTATTTTAGATTATTTCATGTTTTCTAGAATCATATAATATGTACTCTTTTACTATGTAGCCCCTTTTACTTCTTTCATTAAGCATAATTATTTTAAGATTCATTCATTTGCCCATTACTTTGAAAATCAGGTTGTTTGCCTTATTATTCAGTTGCTTCTATCACTCTTTTTATTACTGAGTACTATTATATTGACTAGACATACCACAGTATGTGTATACATTCAGTTGCAAATAGATGTTTGTACAGTTACTAGTTTTGGGCTATAACATACTAAGCTGTGATAAGCATTCGTGAACATGCCTTTGTATTGGCATATTCTTGTATTTTTCTAGGTAAATACCTAGGTTGACCTAGGTTTAGAGTGACTGAGTTGTATAGAAGGTGTACATTTAGCTTTTAAAGACATTATCAAATAATTTTCAAAAGTGATTTACAATTTTTTTTTTCACATTCCCACCAGTAATATTTGTGAATTCTGGTGGCTTCTCCTCCCATTTTTCAGTTGGTATGAACAGTCTTTAATTTTAGCCATTTTAATGGGTTTAAAGTGCTGTCTATTGTGTTGTTAATTTGCATTTCCCTAATGACTAATGATTTTGAAAAGCTTTTCATATGTTGATTGGCCATTCATATATCTTCATTTGTGAAGTGTCTGTTCAAATCTTTGCCCATTTATGAAAATTGGGTTATTTATTGTTGAGCCACACAAGTTCTTTATATTTATTCCAGCTCAGGGGTTGGTATACCGTGTCTGTAAAGGATCAAACAGTGAATATTTTAGGCTTTATGGGCCATATGATTTCTGTTGCAGCTATTCAACTCTGGCCTTCTGTCATGAAAAGAGCTACATACAAGACATAAATAAATGAACATAACTTTACTTTCAAAAATGGCAGACCAGGTTTGCCCCATGCCTTGGTTGGCTGATTCCTGTTCTAGCTGGAAGTTCCTTAAAATATATTTTCCCTGTTTGTGGTTTGTCCTTCCATTTCCTTAATAATGTCCTACAAAAAACAAAGGTTTTACCTTTTTATAAAATCCAACACTATTGATATTTTCAATAGGCCATTGATATGGTTTGGCTGTGTCCCCACCCAAATCTCATCTTGAAGTCACACATGTTGTGGGAGGGACCCATTGAGAGGTAATTGACCCACAGGGGGCAGGTCTTTCCCTTGCTATTCTCATGATAGTGAATAAGTCTCATGAGATCAGACGGCTTTATGAGGCAGAGTTTCTTTGCACAAGCTTTTTCTCTGCCTGCCGCCCTCCACGTAAGATGTGACTTGCTCCTCCTTGTCTTCCGCCATGATTGTTAGGCCCCCCCAGCCATGTGAAACTGTAAGTACATTAAACCTCTTTCTTTTGTAAATTGCCCAGCCTCAGGTATGTTTTTATCCACAGTGTGAAAATGGACTAATAGAGTCATAATCTTCATGTTCTCTTTAGAAATCTTTGCCTAATCACAGATTTACTTGTAAATTATGTTTCTGAAGTAAGGGATGATTGATGTTTTCTCTTTTACCCCTAACTGGACATACAATTGTTCCAGAGTTATTGGTTGAAAGAGTATCCTTTTTGTGGAATTGCTTGGTCTCTTTGTCAAAATAAATTTACCATATGTGCATTTTTTTTTAACTTTCTTTCCAGTTCCACTGATCTGTATATGTTTATATAACTTGATATGAATCTAACACTAACTTGATTAATTGGGGGTTGAAAAATAAGTCTTCAAGTCAGAAAGTATAAGTCTTTCAACTTTGTTTTTGATTTTCAATCTTTAGCTATTTTAGCACTTTCGTATTTCCATATAATTTCATAATAAAGGCCTGTTGGGATTTTCACTGGGATTCATTGAATCTACAGCAGGAGTCAGTAATGTACAGTCCATGTGTCAAATTCACCCCAGAGTCTGTTCTTGTAGTGCTTTCAAGCTAAAAATAGCTATAATTACACTTTTAAGTGGTTGCAAAAAACAAACCTAAGCAAAAAACAAAGAATGTATAATAGAGACGATACATAGCTTGCAAAGCCTAAAATATTTACTATCTGGTTCCTCACAGAAAAAGTTTGCCAACCTTTGACCTTGGTCAACCTGGAAAGAATTTAACATTTTAACAATATTGGATCTTCTGATTACTGGCTGTGCTACATTTCTCCATTTATTTAAGGCTTCCTTTATTTTGAGGATAATATTTTGTAGATTTCAGTGTAGAAACCTTCCACAAGTTTTGTCAAATTTCAGTCTTACGTATTTAATATTTTTATGTTTTTGTAAATGGTATTGGGTTTTTTTTCTATTTCATTTTCTGGGCTTTTTTGCCACTATATTTAGTTTTGTAGTATTGAAATTGAGTCAAGTGATTTTGCTAAACTCATTCATTAGTTTTACTAGCTTTTTAAAAAAATAAAAAATTTTCTACCTAAATCTGCTTTTTTTATTATTATACTTTTTATTTACATTTTTCTTTATTGAATTTACTAGCATCTACAGCATAATGTTGCATAGTAGTAAGAGTGGACATACTTGCTTCCAATTCTGGTTTTCAATCTTAAGGAAAAAGCATTCAGTTTTTATCATTAAGCATGATGTTAGCTATTGACTGTTCTTAGATGCCATTTATTGGGCTGAGAAAGTTGTCTTCCATACTAGTTTCCTGCAACAGCTTTAACAAATTACCACAAAGTTGGTGTGTTAGCACAACTCAAAATTATTTTCTTGCACTTCTGGAAGCTAGAGATCTGAACTCAGATATACTGGGACAAAACCAAGGTGTCACCAGGGTCATGTGCCCTCCAGAAGCTCTAGGGAGAGAATCTATTTTCTTGCCTTTTCCAGCTTCTAGAGCTGCATTCCTTGTATTCCCTGGCTCTGGATTGGTCCTTCCATGCTCAAACGCTCATGCAGAGGTCATCATATCCCTTTCTTCTGACTAGAATCTCCCCCGTCTCCCTTTTATAAGAATGCCTGTGGCTGTTTTAGGACCCACATAGATAATCCAGGATGATTACCTCATATGAAGATTTAATCATACCTGCAGAGTCCCTCTTACCATATAAGGTAACACTCACAGCTTTCAGTGATTAGGAGTCAATTATTCAACCTACCACAATTTCAATTTGTATTCACTGAGTTTTAAAGTCATGAGTTGATATTAAATTTTGTAAAATGCTTTTCCACTTCTATTGAGAATATCTTTTCTTTCAGTTTGAGTCTGTGTTATGGTGAATTATGCTATTTGATTTTCCAGTGCTAAACAAAACTTATTTCTGAGATAAATCCCACTTAGTCATGATGTATTAGTCTTTTTAATATTGTTAAATTTCATTTTCTAAAATTAGGTTGACAATTTTAGATCTGTGTTCATGAGTGTCATTGTATATAGCTCATCAGAATGAGCTGAAATAAAAGCTTGTACTATTTTTCCTTAAATGTTGTTAGAATTCACCAATGAAGTCTTATATACCCTAGATTTTAATTACTGTGACAGTTGTGGTACAAATCCAATTTTTAGAGCGATAAAGGGCTATTTATGTTATCTAGTTTTTCAGGAATGAGTTTTGTTAGTTTATTTTTTAAAGTTCATTTCATCTAAGTTGTTGAAATGATTGGCATGCAATTATTTATAATATTCCTTTAATGTTTGTAGCCTCTGTAGTGAGTTTTCTTCTCTCATTTCTGATACTGGTAATATACATCTTCTCTCCTTTTATTCTGTCTAGAAGTTTATCCATTTTATTGATCTCAAATAAGCCACTTTTCTTTTAGTTGATTTTCTATGTCTGTTTCTCTCTCTCTCTATCTCTCTCTCTATACATATATGTGTGTGTGTGTGTGCATGTGTGTGTAGATAGTTTTATGTATACAAAGTGATACAGATTTATATAACTTTACTATTTCATCGATTTGTGTAATTTTCTTCTGCTTATTTTTAATATAATTTGCTCTTCTTTTTCTAATTACTCATTGTGGAAGCTTAGTACATAGATTGTAGACCCTTCTGCTTTTCTTATATGCACCTGTAAAATTATAAACATTTCTCTAAGAACTGCTTTAGTTGCATCCCCAAAATTTTGGCATAATATGCTTTCATTTTAGTTTAGTTCATATATTTTCTAATCTCCTTTTTCACATATTTTCTAATCTCTTTTGTGATTTCTTCTATGACCCATCAATTATTTACAGTTAGGTTGTTTCATTTCAATATATTTATGAAATTTATATATTTTGTTATTAATTTTTAATTTAATTCTGGCTAGATAACATATTTTGCATGTTTTAAAATCTTTTACATTTATTGAGATATGCTTCATGAGTCATAATATGCTCTGTTTTGGTGAATGTTAGAAGAGTATTCTAAAAGAATGTGTCTTTTGTTTTATTTTTCTTATTTGGAAATTTGATTTTGATCTTTTTTCCCCCATGTCTCTCCTTATTATGATTGTTTTCATTTATTTTCCTGGACATAATGAGCCTATTTATAATGACTGCTTTAATTTTCATGTCTATTATTTCTGTCATGTCTGTCATTCCTGTGTCTGTTGGTACTGATTGATTTTTCCCGTTTTTGTCTTATGCCTATTTTTTAATTGAAATTTTATATGTGACATTCTAGAGTATTTGCATTCTTTTTAGTAGTTTTGAACTTTATTCTGTAAAACAGTAAGTTGCTTGAAAAGAAGCCAATCCTTTCTAGGTGTGCTTGAAGCAATGCCCTTCTGAGGACTCTATTCAATGCCCCATGAAATAGGGAGCTTTTCACACTGCATGTGCTAATCATGCTCATGCTCATGACGAAGCCCCAAGGGGAGCCCTTTGCAGACCTCTGAGGTTCTTTCTTAGGTAGTTGCCTCTTTCCAGTATGCTGCCTGTGAATTCTAGATGCCTTGGCATCTCTGAACTCTGTACTTGTCTTCTCAATTCAGCAATATCATAGGCTCTCTATGCATTTCTTCTTCCTGTGCTCTAGCCTGGAAACATTTGTAGTTAGCAAGATGGGACAATTGTAGGGCTCACTTTATTTTTTTTCCTTTTCTCAGAGGTTATTCTTCTGTACTACCCATTGTCTAATATCTGAAAACCATTGATTATATTTTACTTTATTTTTTAGTTGTTTGTTGTTTAAAATGGGAGGGTAAATCTTAGCCCTATTACTCCTTCATGGCTGGAGGCAGAAGCAAAAACAGATTACTTCTTAATTGTATTCTTACTATAGACATATTGAGAGATGTGCCTTAGGTGGGCTAAACATTTAGAAAGTGTCAAGAGATTCATTATTTTGAATGCTATTGTGTATGCATACGATACCTTTAAGTCTTGTTGTGTGTTACCTGTTTGAAGAGACAGTAACCAAAGTTAAATCCAAATATCTGCATAGTGTCTACATCTGTGCAATAGAACATCACTGAAGAAAAATACAGAAGTAAGACAGCTATTCCTCCTTAAAATCCATAATCATTAACTCTATATGTATTAAGATGAAAGGCTAATATCAAGGTTATTAAAGAAAACAAAAGTTTTCATAACATAGAATAACTTGAAAAGTTGAACCCAATCTTTACCTTCATAACTGAACAGAGGAATACTTTTCTGAAGAGAATCCCATATACAGCTCTTTTCATACCTATACTTGTGTAGAAGATCATTAGTGCAGGAGATGTTTCTGTGTTTGTGGAAACCAGCTCAGGCACATAGAGCTGTGAAACAGACAGACAAGGGTTTATTTTGGCACATGGGATTCTGAGGACATCAGAACAATTAGAAAAAGAGGTAAGAACTGAATTGAACTGGCAGGCAACACTATTGCCTCCACTGGCAGAGATTTGCTAGAAATGTGAGATCAAAGCCCAGCTATTGGCCCAGGGGAAAGCCCCATGGAACTATTAACTAATGGAAAAAGAAATGGAAAATGGGCTATGTTAAAAACACATACACACAAAAAACAACAATTTTTTAAAATTTAAATCTGTTTTTATTCTTGTTGAGATTTTACCAAGATATCTAGATTGCATTCATTATTAATATATTAATTGGATTTCAAGTGGGATTGTCATTAATTTATACAAAATAAATGTACAGATGTGTATCATACTCCTTACTCCTTTCTTCTCTATGTCTGACATACTGACAGCTTGAGCATATAATAATGTTGAGAAATATACTCCTAGGAAATTCATAGGCATTTGACATCTATTTAAAACCAAACCAAACAAGACAAAACAAATACCTTATGGAAAGTAGAAATTAACTCTAGATTCAGACTGAAACAACATCAACAGTGACTTATATTCTTGCTTTTTTTTTAGATTACAGCATTTCATACCAACCTAATTTAACTAAATACAACTTCACACATTATAGTTATATTCTGGGCAGATAATAGAAAATAGTTATATTGTAAGTTCAAGGAACAGTGTTAATGTCTTATAAAATGCTACCTATTGAATATTGGGTTTTTAGCATCATCTTTGTCGTCTTCTGTTTCAATTTCTGTTGTTATATTAGATAAGATCTTTGATCACTGTGCAACTCAGGCAATATTGCTAAATTCTCTTGAGGCAAACGTTTATTAGAGACTTCAAGGAATTTTCATGGGTCAAGTAACACTAGGTTGGGCTCTGAGTGGAGCTGCAGTGGGAGTTCTGTTTTATTCAGTAAAAAAAGATATAAGCTATGTTTGGAAGTTCTCATCATCTGAGGAATTTTAATTTATTTATAATATGATGTCATTAGTCAGTATAATGTCTGGCAGATAATGCTGTTAGAACACAGCTCACCAATAACATAATTTCTGCTAAGTAAATGTGGTGCAGCTGCAAAATATTTAGTGTCTCCTTGTCCACAGTCAGTTACTGAGTCAGCAGAGGGTCAGAAATAGAAACAGAAAATTCAGTATCTTATATATCTTCAATATCTTTCAGCACACACAAAGAATATTCCATGAGATGAACAACACACAACACGCGGAGTCTTCGTGCCTCCCACTTGATTGCATTAGCTTCCCTTCATTGGTTTTTGCCCCAAGTTAATTTTAGTTATTAGATCTGTGAAAAACATGGCCATGTCCTTGGGGCCTCTGGACATGCACACTGAAACAAATCAATTATTTGAAATGCCACAGAATAAATACTATAAGAATAAGCTCCTTGGGAGAAGAAAGGTGTCATATAATTCAAAGCAATTTATAAATATCTGCTTTCAGACACAGTGTGAGACTGATCCAAACTTCTTTGAAGGGAGTTTAAACAGAGCTGTCGATATTATGATTACATTTTCTCTTGTATCGTGCCTAGAGTAATGTTCAGGCAGCAGAGTTCAAGTATTTTCTCTAATATTGGATGAACAGTGTAAAAATAATGTAATTACTTATAACGGGACATAATATAGAAAATTACTTTGACTCAGATAGCTATAGCTTGTAAAATAGAGATTTATTCCCACTGGGATGGTGGAATCTTTGTTGAGATTTCAATGCTGCTTTTTGACTATTGAAAAATATTTATAAAATACAATAAGATTCTAAAGATTTTAAAGTAAATGAATTTTAGATTATGTGAATATGATCAAAGTTCTAATCTATTACTACCAACATGCTGAATGCTAGAAAAGGAAATTCTGAAAGTTGAGATAATAGGAATTACAAAGAAGACTTTGATAAAAAATGCATATTAAATAAGTGGAGTAAAATATTGATATGTACATATAGATGTATATAAGATATGTAATACATGTATATGTATATAATAAATGTATATATGTACACACATACACAAACACATAGTCCTTCTTTTATATATATGTATATATACATATATAGATTTATACAATTTATTATATATTGTAATTATAAGAATTGGCTGATATGATTATAGAAGCTGGTAAGTCCAAAATCTACAGGATGGGCTGGTAGACTAGAGACAACCCAGGAAGAGTCAATGTTGCAGTTCAAGTTCGAAGGCCTCTAGTGGTAGAATTCCTTATTGTCAATGAAGGGCAGTCTTTTGTTCTATACAGGAGTTCACTGATTGGATGAAACTCCACCCCCCGCCCCCACCCCCGCCATCAGAGAAGGCAACCTACTTTACTCAAAGTCCACTGATTTAAATGTTAATCTCATTCAAAAACACCCTGATGGAAACATCCAGAATAATGTTTGATCATATATCTGAGCATCTTGGCCCAGCCAAGCTGGCACATAAAATTAAACATCAGACACTTGTGATGAATTTGAATGAAGGAATGGGGGAAGGGAAAATGTTGGGTTATGCAGAAATTGTTGCCCTTGAATGGAAGGAAAAAAATAGCAGTTTTAGGAATAGTGGAGTTGTCCGGCTATTGTAAACTGTTATGATGCACTGAAAAAAGAAAAGGACTAGTTTGTTTTTAGCTAATGATCAATTTAAGGCATACTGTTAAAACCAGAGGGGCTCTGTGGCAGCTTCTAAGGAGATTCTTATCTGCTACATTTCCAGACTTTCTGTTATAAAAATGAGGCCCAGCATCTAATTATTAAGTGTAGCTGAGAAATAATGAATGTCTAGCCTTGGCAGACTAGAAAATATAGACACAACTTTAAGCACTTCAGATATGTCTATTGATTTGGTGAATGTAATCTTCTTAATGCCAATCAATACAGATGATTAAATGCAACTTGCTTTCACATGGAAAAGACAACTATACAGATTCACTTGCCTCAGGTTTCTGTTAAGTCCTTTGCTTCTGATCACAGTTTTGATTGTGTTGACATCAGATAGAACACATTATTGGCTTTAACCAACGGGGCATAAAATGTATAGCTAAGTTTTTCCTCTTTCATTTCCTGGGAGATTAATGCAAAATAATTTTCCTAATGCTCCTCAGAAAATACATTAGAATTGAGTTTTAGTCACCTGTTATGGTAGCCAAGTCAACAACCTGTTCTTATATTTGCTTTTCTTCCTTCCCTGTCTCACTCACTAATTTTTTCATTCCTGATTAGTGAATTTACTTCCCAAATAAACTACCTGCATTCAAGCCTTAACCTGAAGCTTTGTTTTGAGAAATCTGGACTAAATATATCACTACAGGTCTAAATAATAAATACATCTATCTTGAGTAATGTTATTCTCCTCCATTTGAAAATAATGATTTTAGCATATTTTTTCTTCTTCTCTTCTGTTTTCTCTGCCACCTCGACAATTATGTTATTACAAATTCATTTTTGGTTTTCTATCTCACCTTAAAATATTTTTATTAGGAATTCCAATTTTAGAAAATTTCTATTAACTTTTCATTACGTAAAATTAAACCATGGTACTCTGAAAACTCTCTCCTCCTCTCCATTGTCCTTGTTTTTCCCTCCAGAACTCTTAAGGGATAGATGTTAGCTTTTTGAATCTAATCTTTATATAGCCTATGAATTTTCCCTCATGCTTTTCCTCTTTATCTTTTTTGATCTAATTTATAAGAGAATTTCTAGACTCTGTCTTTTAGACTCCTACTTAAGTCTTTAGTCATGCAATTTTTTTTTGTATTTAGTGATTTTCATTTTAACTGGAAATTATATTTTTTAAGAGAAAACTAATACAAACTTAGTTTATAGTTTCTTTATGCTCTTCTTTGTGTATTATCTAATCTCCACTCACTAACTGCATAATACTTAAGGCTGTCATATTTAGCAAATACAAATACAGGGCACCCAGTCAAATGTGAATTTCAGAGAAGCAACAGATTACTTTGCCCCTTCCTTGTCAATAAATTACCTTTACATAGGCATGTTTCATGCAATATTTGGGTCATACTTAGACTAAAAAAAGTAATCATTAGGCATCTGAAGTTCCAATCTAGATGGGTGTCCTGTATTGTATCTGGAAATCCTAAGATAGGACTTTAGACTCAGAAATACTCATTTGGTGATTTAATGGAAATTAATTTTTTATTAATAGTTTCTATGAACTCTTTGATTTCTTATTCTGTTATGTCTCTAGCAATCTCTTTTTATGAAGTCAGCATTCTCTTTACTTGACACAATCATGGATTTGAAATAAAATGATCTTCTCTTTTTGAATTATTGCATTTTTATTTAAAATCTGTTTGATTTATTCATTTTTCATCTCTTCCTACCTGTTGAATCTCTTTCAATGTTTGGTCCCTTTTTTTGACTGTTTAACAATCATGCATGCAGGGCTATTTTCATTAGGATAGGTAGCAGCATTGCTTTTTATTGGTTATTGTGTGTGTCTGTTTTACCAAAATGACCCTCTTTTAGAGTATATTGACAAAGAGTTGACACTTCTCACATGAGCTCCATGCATAATTTTATTTGATTAATGAATGAGTGCATCATTCAAAATATTTGAAGACCATCAGGTTTTATGTATAGAGTGAGAAGATCCAGTTTGATTTGGATGTGTTAATTTTGAGTAAACTGTGTCTGTGCTAAAAATTGAACTAATCAGCTGGAAATTAATCTGGAGTTTGGGTGAATTATTGCAGATCAAATAGAGATATTGAAATTACTTGTTTAACATTAATGAGCAATAAGAAATCATCTAAAGGTGGAAAACTCATTGGTAATAGTAAGTACACAGAACAACACAGAATATGATAATGCTGTAACTGTGGTGTGTAAGCTACTCTTATCCTAAGTAAAAAGAATAAACAATGAACTAATAATAAATAATTACTACAACAACTTTTCAAGGCACAGGCAGTATAATAAGATATAAGTAGAAATAACAAAAAGTTAAAAAGTAGGGGGACAAAGTTAAGATGTAGAGTTTTTATTAATTTTCTTTTTGTTTGTTTGTTTATGTAGTGTTAGGTTGTTATTGGGTTAAAATAATGGGCCACAAGGCAGTATTTGCAAACCTCATGGCAACCTTAAACCAAAAAACATAGAATAGAGACACAAAAAATGAAAAGAAAGAAACTAAATCAAACCATCTACACTAAAGGAAGACAAGAAGGAAAGAAAGAAGGAAGAGAAGGCAACTAAAAAAGAGAAAAAATAAATAACAAAATGGCAGGAGTAAGCTCTTACTTATCAATAACGACTTTAAATGTAAATGGACTAAACTCTCCAATCAAAAGACATAAGATGGCTGCATGGATGAAAAAAAATCAATCAGTCTGTTGCCTACAAGAAACATACTTCACCTATAAAGACACACATAGAATGAAAATAAAGGGATGAAAAAAGATATTCCATGCCAGCAAAAGCCAGAGAAAAGTAGCAGTAGCTGTACTTATATCAGACAAAATAGACTTCAAGACAAAAACTATAAGAAGAGTCAAAGAAGGTCACTATATAATAATAAAGAAATGAATTCAGCAAAAGGATATAACAATTTTAAATATATATGCACCCAATGCTAGACCATCAATATATAGAAAGGAAATATTATTAGAGCTAAAGAGATAGGCAGGCCCCAATAAAGTAATAGCTGGAGACTTCAACACCTCACTTCCAGCGTTGGACAGATTTTCTAGACAGAAAATCAACAAAGAAACATTAATCTGCACTGTAGACCAAATGCATCCAATAGATATTTAAAGAACATTTTATCCAAGAGCTACAGAGTACACACTTTTTTCCTCAGCACATGAATCATTCTCCAGAATAGACCATATGTTAGGTCACAAAACACATCTTAAAACATTAAAACATTTGAAATAATGTCAAGCATCTTCTCTAACCACAATTAAATAAAATTAGAAAGTAATACAAAGAGGGATTTTGGAAACTATAGAAACACATGGAAATCAAACAATAGGCTCTTGAGTGGCCAGTGGGTTGATGAAGAAATTAGAAGGAAATTGAAAAATTTCTTGAAACAAATGATAATGTAAACACAACATACAAAAACCTATGAGATACAGTAAAATCAGTACTAAGAGGGAAATTTATAGCTATAAGAAAAACTTCAAATGAACAATCTAACATTGCATCCTAAAGAACTAGAAAAGCAAGAGCAGACCAAACCCAAAATTAGTAGAAGAAAATAAATAATAAGGATCAGAGCAGAAATAAATGAAATTGAAATAAAAAATACAAAAGGTCAATGAAACAAAAAGTTGTTTTTTTTAAAAAACATTACACAAAATTACAAACTTTTAGCCAGAATAACTAAGAAAAAAAAGAGGAGATCCACATAAATAAAATCAGAAATGAAGAAGGAGACAGCTGATAATGCAGAACTCAAAGGCTCATTAAGGGGTACTACATGCAACTATATGCCAATAGATTGGAAAATCTAAAAGAAATAAAAACATTTCTAGGTACATACAACCTACCAAGATTGAACCAGGAAGAAATCCAAAACATGAAAATACGGATAACAAGTAATGAGATCGAAGCTGTCATAGAAAGTCTCCCAGTAAAGAACCTGATGGCCTCACTGTCAAATTCTACCAAACACTTAAAGAAGAACTAATACCAATCCTACTCAAACTATTCCAAAAAATAGAGGATGAGAGAATACTTTCAAACTTATTCTATGAGGCCAGTGTTACCCTGATACCAAAACCAAAGACACATCAAAAAAAGAAAACCGCAGGCCAGTATCTGTGATGAATATTGATGCAAGAATCCTCAACAAAATACTAGCAAACTGCATTCCACAAGACATTATAAAGGGCATTTATCCTGACCAACTAGGATTTATCCCTGGGATGCAAGGATGCTTCAACATATGCAAATCAATCAACATGATACATCATATCAACAGAATGAAGGCCAAAAACCTTATGATTTCCATTGTTTCTGAAAAGGCATTTGATAAAATTCAACATTCCTTCATGATAATAACCCTCAAAAAACTGGGAATAGAAGGAAGATACCTCAATACATTTAAGAACCACATACAACAGACCCACAGGTATTATCATACTAAATGGGAAAAAAAACTGAAAGCTTTTCCTCTGAGATCTGGAAAATGACAAGGAGGTCCACTTTCACCACCGTTATTCAACATACTACTGGAATTACTGGCTAGAGCAATCAGACAAGAGAAGGATATAAAGGGCATCCAAATTGGAAGGAAAGAAGTCAAATTAACCTTGTTTGCTCATGATATGATCTTATAATTAGGAAAACCTAAAGATTATAAGAAAACTGTTAGAACTGATAAACAAAGTCAGTGAAGTTGCAGGATACAAAATCAACATGCAAAACTCAGTAGCATTTCTATATGCCTACAGTGAATAATGTGAAAAAGAAATTAAAAAGTAATGACATCTATAATAGCCATGCATAAAATAAATACCTAAAAATTACCCAAAGAATGGAAAGATCGCTATAATGAAAACTATAAAAGACTAATGAAAGCAATGGAAAAATATTCCATGTTCATTTATTGGAAGACTCAATATTGTTAAAGTGTCTATACTACCCAAAGCAATGTACAGATTCAATGCAATCCCTATCCCAAAATACTAATATTATTCTTCAAAGAATTAGAAAAAAGATCATATAATTTATATAGCACCACGAAAGACTCAGAATAGCCAAAGCTATTTTAAACAAAAAGAACAAAACTGGAGCAATCACATTACTCGACTTCAGATCTTGCTACAGAGTTGTGGTAAACAAAACAGCATGGTATTGGCATAAAAACAGACACGTAGACCAATGGAACAGAACAGAGAACCCAGAAATAAATCCACACACCTATAGTGAACTCACTTTTGACATGGTGCCAAGAACATACACTAGGGAAAGGAGAGTCTCTTAAATAAATTGTGCTGGAAAAACTGGATATCCATATGCCGAAGAATGAAACTGGACCCCTATCTCTCACCGTACACAAAAGTCAAGTCAAACTAGATTAAAGACTTAAATCTAAGACCTCAAACTATGAAACTGCCACAAGAAAACATCGGGGAAAATCTACAGGATATTGGTCTGGGAAAACATTTCTTGAGCAATAACCCACAAACACAGGCAACCAGAATTGCCTGTTTATAAGTAGTAGACAAATGTGAAAAATTTATGGGTATTCCATCTTGGTTTTTAATGTCAGTGTTCACATGGTCAGGATCATAGACATCTATTGGAATTTCATATTAAAAAGAGCCAGGAAACAAATGTAGGTATGTATTTGCTGTCTGTAGATATGTTCTTGAAATTATGATTAGGAAACTAAATGAATCAGGGTTACATTGTTGCATTATTATACATTTATGCAATATTTTTGTTTGGTCAGTAGTAAAATGAATAAATTGATGCCCTTGGTGAGCAAAACAGTAATTTTAAGCAATTTAAGAAATATAAGAAATAAAACAAGTATGCCACAGAGATGTATTAACACATGTTTTCCAAAAGATTTTATGACTTCTAAATTTTTTGTGATTTATTCAAAAATCGTATTTCTTGGTTGAATACTTTGGGCTTATCTGAACATAATGGGGTTAAAGGTTTGTCTACCAAAAGTTATGCACGTTTTCATGGTTTAGCGTGATGGCTGTTCCCGGTGGAATTTTATCTCCTAGTTTCCCTTGAAGCTAGGTATGACCCTGTAAATAATTCTGGAATGTGAGAGGAAGTGATGTTTTCAAGTTCTAGGTACGACTTTTAAGAAGCAATGGTACCTGTCTCATACACCTAGAGCCAGGTAATAATGTTGAAGCCTTTAGGACAGAGCAGAGTCACAGTTTAGAAAAAGTTTGGGTCCCTAAATTATAGCATGAGGAAGAGTCTCCACCAACCAGGAGCACACACTTATGACTGAGAAATAAACTTCAATTGTATTAAACTGCTGAAATTTTGATTTTATTTATTACTTTACCTTACCTTACCCTAAATAATATAATATTCCTATTTGATACTTTACTCTTTTACTAGTGCCATCATGTCTTCTATAAGTAGTTACAAGTTAGAAATACTGTTATTAGAGAGGGATAAAAACAATTTTTATGTTATCTGATGCTTAAGTAATTTCCAAAAGACAGCATATCAGTTATAAACATACCAAATATTTTTAGAAAATTATTTTTGCCAATATTATGATCTGTGTTCATAGATTTCTGAGGATTATAAATTTCTTATTTTAGCAAAAACTGACTTGCAAAATGAACAAATATACTTTATAATAAATTTGGCCTTGCCAAGTAAGATAATTTTTTCTTATCTTTCAATACTATGGAATTCATTTTGAAAAAGATTAAGTGAATACCACAAACAGAGCTAACATTTTATTTTCCTTTCCCTCTTTTTTTTAAAATCTTGGTCAGTAGGGTGCAAATATTTATTGTTACATAGCAAGTAAAGTAAAAGAAAACTAAAATAGAAAAAGAGCCCATCGTTTAATAGTGTCAAGTATCATAGACCTTAAGTAGAGGAAACCATTTCAGGTTCTAGTAAGAAAAAAAGGGATTCATGTAACTTTCTCTGTGTGTGCACATGTGAATACACATGCACATGCTTGTTCAGAGACAGGAAATTATAAAAGGGGGTATAGTAGTAAGAAAAGAATGAGAGAATTCCATTTAGAGATTATTCACTGAATTCATCAGTTAACACATCTTTTATTCTTACTGTCTTTTTGGGGTATAAACCAAAATTTTGAAATCCCCTCACTATTTCTAGAGGTATGTATTGTAAAGCAGTGATATTTCTGGCATATCATCAATCATATGAAAACATTTTATGATAGAAACAAAATTCTAAACTTTCCAAGAATGATAGTTATATGCCTTTGATTTTACTAAAGCCAGTAAAAACCCTGAAACTGATGGAGAGCCACTGTAGAGATTCCACAAACAGGGACCTGTGGATATTGTACCATACTGAGATGGGAAGTTTCTGAAACAAGAAGGTATAGAGGGAACCAAAGGCAACCGGCCAAGCTAATAGGTTATTTCGTGCAAGTATTTGCTGAATAATGTCCATACATATGAAGAAGTACAAATACTTGATAAAAACTGATCTTGGTGTATATAGTAGCCAGTAATATTTAGTCTTTGGTCTACTTTCATATGTTATGTTTTCTGAACATGAGAGTAGAAATAAGGAGAAGGAAAAGTCACATTGCCTTGAACATAGTATGTTCTAAAAATAATTTTTAGATGAATATATAGTGAATCAAATTTTCAGCATGATGGGTTTGCAGTGCACCACACATCTAGGTAGAAGTTTTAGCTGTCTGGCTTTAAACTGGTCCGTTGAATATCTTAATAATCAGTCGGAATTAAATGAAGGGCATTTCAGCCATATAACATTCATTATTTTTATTACATTTTATTTTATCATGTTATGACATAATTTCTGTATGTGTATTTTTGTTCACCCTAAACTTGTACTCCACACTAGAGGGGCTAACTAGCTGAATGAATCAAAGAATGTGAGTTTTCCTGATCCTATGATGTAGATACCCTTATGTAATATCTCCAGCCGATCAGGCAAGTTCCAAAATAATATTGGGACTGTCTACCACTACCAAACTAAGCCTTTGAGATGAATACTTTTTTCCTCAAAATAGGAAATAAGAAAGTTTTTTTGTTCTTTGTATAGTTTTCATCTTTTGCTTATTTCTCAGAACTCTTTTAAGTTAGCTAATATTTGTAAATTTATTGACAAATAAGAGAAAAAGAATGTGCAAAGATTTCCTTAAATTAAAAATTTCAAATTTTTTTATCTTATTGTAAATTTCTTGAGGGTAAAAATTGTATTTTTTATATAAAAATATGCCAGTTTTCAATTTGTTATCTTTCTATTGTTTCAAGGTTATCTCCTGGGTCACATAAAAACACAATCCTGGTGTGGTTACGTCCATATCTCTTTCTCCACGTGTTGTCCTAAAAACTCTTGACTGTAAATGAGTGCATGTCAATCAGCAATCCAATCTAAGAAGTCATTTTGTAATCATTCTTTAAATAGGTAAAAAAGTAACCCACTGATTGTTCTATTAAGCTTTCACCCCCTTTCCCTAGAATTATCTAGCAGGATGCTGTTATGTCTCTCTCAGTGTAGGCACATTATGTCAATATGACTGATGGCAAACAACTTGCTTGGCACACTCAATGTTTGCTCTCTGTTTTCCCCACAGTCTTTGGCAGTTTGTTATCTTGAACTCCATTTGTCAGCTTTAAAATGGAGAAGTGCCAAAAGTATGCCTGATATCATTCATATATATATATTTTTTAATTTCAAAAAATGAAAAATGGGCAAATATGTGGAAGACCTAATGAGAACATGCCCTTAAAATCTTCATGGAAATCAAGAAAAAAGAAAGCCAATGAAGGCTGAAGTTGCCAAAATAGTTGTTTTCTTTTCTTAATATAATAAGTTGATTAAGGGAGAATATAATTTAAATGTTTAATATTTTTTAGAGGGATACTGCAATGCTTGCCTATCCAAGATTAATTAAAAATTAATGCAGCATGGACAATTATATTCGAGTAAGGTAGCTATTTTTGGTAACAGTTTGTTTTTTCATTGTTCAATACCAGAAGAGAGAAGAGCGAAATATATCACATTAGATTATCAGATTTCTAGGCAATGTCTTCTTATCTTTTGTAATGGTCAATTTAGTTCTAAAATTCAAAAGTATGTGATAGTTTTTTTTGTTTTTAACACAATAATTGCATTATTCTTACAGTGTTCCACAACATACTTTTACCTGGGTTTGGGGTGCATAGCAAGGGAATTAGTGTTAAGATCTTTATTATACTTATATATATATTCCACCCTTCTTTATACTACAACAAAACAAATATGTATTGTGCTGTTTGTTACAATTTGGAGGTAAGCAGTGAGACAGAGCTATATATTTCCATAGTAGTGGTAACTTTGTTTAGTCATTACAATTCAGGATTAGAGGGGTCTTAGAAACATGGGAGTTAATACTTATAGAGTTTACAGGGTGCTGAAACTTAACTACCTAAGTCATAATAAATGCATATATAAAATATAATGCTAATTTTGAAATTAATAATACAAAAAAAATTGAACCAGAGAGCAGAGTTCAGTAATCAGGATACTTTCTTTAAAGGTAAATCACATGCAAACCAAAAGATAACTAGAAAGTTGATGGTAGGAATAGAATCAGAGTGAGAGGTGTTGATCAGATGATTTTAATGACTAGTCTTTTGGAGCTATGGAAGTCTAATGAACTCATATCACCTTAGAGTCATAGTGGCCGTGAGTACTAGACAATTCCTTTTATAGTTCAGCACATCCTTTCCATTGAAAAGTGCTATAGATCAACTGATATTTCTTTATTGATGATTCACTTTCAATAATCATAACAATTGTCATCCTCCTTTTGATTAACAAATTATTTCTTGATCTATGACCAAGCTCTCACTGAGTTCTTTTAGAGTTTTAGTCTAAGAATTATTTGGCCTCTTTAATATGGTTCATAATGTCTTTGCTCTTATCTTTGTAGGCATAAGTAGTCTATCCTTTTATTAAATCTTGGAAAGGCACCTCATTACTGCGAGTATAATACTAGCTTCATATTTAATCTCTTATATGAGTTATTCTGCACCCCCTCATCAGTATGTTCTTTTTAAAATGCAAGTTTGACACCATATGTTCTCACTCATAAGTGGGAGTTGAACAATGAGAACACATGGACACTGGGAGAGGAACATCACACACTGGGGCCTGTTAGGTGGTGGGCGACAAGGGGAGGGAGAGCATTAGGAGAAATACCTAATGCATATGGGGTTTAAAACCTAGATGACAGGTTGATAGGTACAGCAAACCACCATGGCACATGTATACCTATGTAACAAACCTGCGGGTTCTGCACATGTGTCCCAGAACTTAAAGTAAAATAAAAAATAAAAATAAAAATAGAAAACAAGTTTAAATGTTTATGTCCCTTCAAGTTTGAGATTCTATTGTGTTCTCTATTGATGTGGTTCCTATATTGTCAGTAATTTCCTATTGTTTGTAGCAATGATAACAGGCACGTACCACTTCATATTGCCCTTATCTTAAAACTCTATTTCTTGCAAAGATTGAATGTGGTCTCAGAATTCTTGTCAATGTAGTTTACTAGATTTGGCATTTGAAATAAAACCAATAGGCCATCTCTGGCCTGTAGGACAAAGTATTGGTTTTTAACCTGACATCAACACAATTCACATTCTGCTCTTACTTTAACTTATACAATTAAATATGATGTTAGCTCCACTTTTTTTGTAGATGCTTTTTATCGGTTTGAGAAAAGTTCACTTTCATTCCTGATATGGAGAGTTTTATTTATTTTTGTCAGAAATGGGTGTTAGAATTTGTCAAAGGCTTTTTTTTTGCATTTATTGAGATGGTCACATGGCTTTCATTTTTTAAGTCTTTTAATACATTGATTTTTTTTGAAGATATAAAGCCAAACTTGCATTTATGAGAAAAACTCAACTTGGTCATGATGTATTATCATCTCAATGTATTGTAAAATTTGATTTGCTAAAATTTTGTTTAGAATATTTGTAGCTATTTTTATGAGGGATATGGTCTGTTGTTTTCTTTTCTTGTAATATATTTTGTTTTGGTATCAGAGTAATCCTTGCTTCATACAATGAGTATTTCATCCTCTTTAATTTTTTGGAAGAGTTAATGTGGACTTGGCATTATTTTCTTCATAAACGTTAGGTAGAATTCACCAGTGAAAATATTTGGATCTCTAGTTTTCTTTTGGGAAAGACTGTTAAATACAATTTCAATTTATATAATACATACAGCTGTCTGAGTTATCTATTTTCTCTTTATTGAGTTTGGTAATTTATGCCTTTTAAGGAAATTGTCTATTTTATCTAAGTTGTAAAATTTATGGGCATTAAGTTTTTAATAAAATTCCCTTATTAATTTTTAATACATATGAAATATGCCATGATATCACCTCACTCATTACTTTCTCTGCTATATTAAAGATAATTAAAAAATAAAATGTTGTAAGAATTAGTTTTTCTTCCACTGAAAGAATTGTTAAAATTGGGAAAGGCTTCAGAATTGTGAGAGAAAATGCAGAGTCAGACCTTGGAGAATGTCTCTAAGCAAGTTCAAAAATCATAGACCCACTTTCTCTCTGTTTCTGATAAGTTTGGGCTGAACAACACCTGTGCTTTGCTTTCTTGGGGTGGCCTGGTGTGAACCCACGCCCCCAGAGAAGCTTGTTGAATAGAAGGATATCAGTAGAGGGGTAAGCTCTCACAGATTTCTGCCCATCCAGTATGGTACATGAAAAAGCACAGCAAAGTTGCCTAGAGTCTAAGTGAGAGAGGTGAAAAAGGAATGGTGAGTAAGCTGGAAGACTTCACCTGGCATAATTGGTATGATGAAGACAGTGTATGACTGGCATCAACCTGGTGATCAAAGGGTAGACAATACACCAGAGGTCAGTGCCAGCCATCAAAGGTTGGTGAGGAATGTGCATCTTGATAGAGGTCAGTAGATGATGGAGGATTGCTGTAGACCAGGCTGGCCTTCTCCTCAATTTTAGAGGGATAAGTAAGCTGCCTGGAATTTAGATTATCCCTAGGTAGGATAAGTATATGAAATGAGACTGAGTATATCCTGAATTTTAGAGAATGGGAGTTCAAGAGTTGGTAAAGTTCAATTTTAAGGAGAAAAAGTTTAGATTATATCTGATCTGAGTTTTAGGGATGTGAAATTCACTTTCAGAGGACACAGAATTCAAGCAAACAAATGGTCATATTTTTGTCCGCATTTTACTCTGTCTCACAAAAGCATTTGAGACACTTCTTTAGCAGGGTCATTACACTTTTCCTGTAAAGTGCTAGGTGATAATATTTTAGACTTTGGCTGCCAAACAGTCTCTGTTGCAACTATTCAACTTTTCTGTTTTAGCATAAAACTGATTCTTAGCTCAGGAGCTGTCCAAAAACAGGTAGGGGTAGAAGGCTGGAGTGTGTGGGTGGGAGGACGGTCAGATTTGGCTGACAGTCCACAGTTCTGCTGATTCCTTTTTACTAGGATTCCACATTATATGCCCACATTTTTTCTTGTTCCTTCCTTTTCAGTCTCTTTGCTGGCTATTCTATCTCTACTACATTTCTCGTTGATATCAGCCCTCTTGCTTCTGCTTATAAAACTCTTCCCTAGCTGATGTCATTCATTCCTATAGACTTTTATTTTCTTAAATTCTACACTTTTTAGAATTTTGGTAGAGAGACAAATTAATTACAATCCCAAGTTTATAGCTATTTATCATTGTTAATTTATGTAAGGAACTGCAGTTTAAATTTTATTGTTAATTTCTTTTCCATTGTATTTCTGTCATCTATGGTCGTCATCTCCATTCTGCTGGCATTTCTAAATAAATGACCTTATCCTCTGGAAAGAATGACAGTTTTACATTTTCCTTTTCAATCTTTATAACACCTATGCATTTTCCTTTTTTTATAGGATTATCTGGGTACTGGGTTTGCCACTTACCGGTTGTATTAGTTGGGGTCTAATTGGTAGATAGAAAACACAAAGATTTTTTTTAATTTAAAGATAATTTTAAAAAGACACAATTAATATAAGAAATTATTAACAGGGTATTAGACTAACAGGAGATTGACTAGAAGTAAAGACACTAAAAAAAATAATAATAAGTAGAAGAATAGTAGGTATGGGAAACAACCACTTCCCCCTGGGTATGAAAAACAATATCCAAGGAATAAAAAAAATCAAATCTGGATGCCCCTTCCCATCCTGAGACAGTCTGGATTTCATTGGAGACAGTGCAGCAGTAGCTCACTGTATGGCAGAGATGTTCACAAGACTGCAAGGACACCCAAGGGGATTCCAGAAAAGTTCCAGGGAAAGTCATCCACCGGGAGGTGCCATGTTGGCAGCATTTACTGAGAAGCCACTCTCTGAGCTGCTGGGGGAAGCTGCTCTGGAGAGCTGCTGTACCTTGGAACTCACTGTGAAGCTGCCCCAAGGAAGTTCCCTAGAGAAGCCATGGATGAGGCGGTGCTGGGCTGGCTAGCAGGATTCTGTTGTGTAGCCACCCAAGAGGGCGCCTGGAGAAGCTGCTCATGGTAGGTCCCATGCTGGTGATCCTTTACCTAAAAGCCTTATAAGAGGAAGCTGGTAGCAGCTGTCCGTGGGGAATTGCCATGTGCTGCTGTCTGGTAGGTGTTGCTGGAGCCATGTGCTGCAGAAGCCACACATACTACAGGAGCCTGGTTCTGCAGAGGCTGTGCTGCATATGCTGCAGGGGCTTGTCTAGTGCAGCATACCAGAACCAGGATGAGAAACCCTTTCTCTTCCAGTGTGTCTTCTGCACCTTCTACTGACAAAGTTTAATACTGTGCAGCTGCAAAAGTAAAAATTTACAGAGTGTTATGGGCTGAATTGTGTCTCCCAAAATTTGCATGTGGAAGTTTCAACCCCCAGTACTCAGGATGGCACTGTGTCTGGAAATAAGATCTTTAAACAGGTAATTGAGGCTAGCTGAGTTCGTTAGAGTGACAGCTGATCCGATATGACTAATGTCCTTATAGGAAGAAATTAGGACACAGACATGTACAGAGAGAAGACCATGTAACGACACAGGGAGAAGACAGCCATCTGCAAGCCAAGGAGACAGGCCTCAATTAAACCAAGCCTGCCAACACCTTGATCTCAGACTTCTAGCCTCTAGAACAGAAAATAAATTCCTGTTGGTTAAGTTGCCCTGCTTGTGGTACTTTGTTATGGAAACTATAGAAAACTAATACCCAGGGTCTGTTTCTATCCTGAATACCATGCAATGGAGAGTAGATTTGAAGCTGAGACATTACAAATTGGTAACTGACACATTAGGTTTATAAGCCTGAGAAACTTTGAAAATCCCCTGAACCTGTTTTCTTATCTGTAAAAATGGGATTCTTGCCAAAATTGAAGGCTCTTTTCAAACTCTTAAGAATTATTTCCATTTTGTCTCTGGCTATCAACCTCTTGACAGGGACTTCCTTATTCACAGAAGCAGTGTCAGGTAGAGCTCAATCTCTGAAATCAGAAAAACCTGCTCATTTAACACTTACAGGCTCTGTGACCTTGGCCAAGTCACTTCTCTGGTCCTCACTTTCTTCATATGGAAATTGAGGGTTCTAATATTTACCTCATTGTGATGATGTGAGGATGAAATGAGAGAATATAAGTAGAAGACTTAGTTCTGTGCTTGATGCATAATTAGTGCTGGGCAAATTGCAGATATTATTTTTGTAATTTCAGTATCTAAAGGGATGACTCTCTCACATGGTATGTGAAACTTGTGTTTGTTAGAATGAACTGATGGGAGCCCTTCAATGGGAGAACTTCAGACATAACAACTGGCAGTGTGTGTGTGTGTGTGTGTGTGTGTGTGTGTGTGTGTGTGTGTGTTAGAGATAACAGTTTCAGACAGAGAAAGGATCTACCTGGTACCTTTCAAATCACAAAAATGTTTCTGCTTGCTTACAGTGAAGCAGTTGCAGATGATCGCCCAAGATCATTACTTTTCTATCATTAAAATAGAAGCTAGATGTCATTGAATAGTGAAGAAAGAAAGAAAATCTTAAAAGAAACACAGAAATAATTCAGAGTTCACTCAAAAGAGTGAGAAGCTGTAGAAAATGCAGTCATTTTAAATCCCTGAGAAAGGAACTAGCAACAAAGAGCAGGAAAACCACCAAGCCTCAACTTGTTTTCAGAAAATCCCTAATTAAATCACGAAATTGAAATCTGACAGACAAAACAAAATCTGATTTTAATGACTTTGTCAACCCCGCAGCCTTTGTTTTGGAGGGCAGTTTTAATATGGGCTTTCCCACTATTTTATATTTTAGAATCTTTCTTCTTATGATAACGCATCAGGAAACGATAAGTTTATTTTAAATCTTACATCTTAAACAAGGTCAAGCCAGGTCTTATGTCTTCAATAAAGTGACCGTTTTCAGCTGAACTTGTGTATTAGTGATGAGGCGTTAAGTAAACACAAGACTTTTCAACACCAGAGCAGGAAGAGAAAACACACAATTAGATATTGAGATTTCTAATGCTAAGTGAACAGAACCAAAATTTTTAAAATTAAAAATGTTGCTACTAATTTTTGCTCTCAAGGAGCAGGCAGTCACACACACGCACACAATTACAAGATTGACTGCTTAATATCCTCTTAACCACAGAAAGTGATTCTGTTTATGTTAGGAAAAAGAAGCCAAGTAGAAAGGTCATTATGTTGGGTCTGCAGCTTTCACTCCTAATATGTGACTCTCATTTATAAGTAGAGGGAAAAATCAATAATCCTTTTAAGTTGCCTTAGATTCCAAGTGGAAAATGCTTTCACCCCCTGCACTGTGGTGACTTAAAGCCACTGTGAGATATTATGCAATGTTGTTTCACCAAGAATCCCAACTTACTTCGGTAGCTTTTAATTGTGTTGTTGAGCTGTCTTGGCTTGTGAGTAAAATGAATGCTGTCACTGCTTTCTGAAAGTTTAACTCTTTTATTTATCAATCGTTCTTTGTCATCTTCTTGATAATTTATTTTGATTTTATAAAAGTTACCTGGAAGGCCAAAGTAGTTTAAGAAACACAGGTCTTGCAACCCAGAAGTGAAAACCTTCAAGCTTTTAATTTAGTTATGTTCATTTAATATTTACTAAGTACCAACCATACATAAGGTCTCATGCATGCATTAAGTGACAAGAAATGAGTAAGAAAATTTGTTTTCAAGAAGCTGTAGTTAAATAGGGAGAATGAGTTAAGAATACAAATGTCTGTAATTTGAAGTTCTATGTACATGTCATAGGAGAAGAAGAAGAAAACTTTGTTCTGAGTTCAATGATTCACTGGGTGTGGTAGCTAATGCCTATAATCCCAGCACTTTGGGAGGCTGAGGTAGGAGGATTGCTTGAGCCCAGGAGTTCAAGACCAGCCTGGGCAACAAAGTGGGACTCCTTCTCTATGAAAGAAAAGAAAAGAAAAGAGAAAAGAAAAGAAAGAGAAAACAAAGAAAAAAGAAAGAAAAAGAAAGAAAGAAAAAGAAAGAAAGAAAAGAGCCAGCCAGCCAGGTGTGGCAGCACATGCCTGTAGGCCTAGCTACATGGGAGGCTGAGGTGGGAGGATTGCTTGAGCCCAGGAGGTCAAGGCTGCAGTGAGCCGTGACTGCACCACTGCACTCCAGCCTGGACAACAGAGTGAGACTCTATGCACTCCAGCCTGGACAACAGAGTGAGACTCTATCAAAAAAAAAAAAAAGTGCAAAGATTCAAAGAAGCTGTGTTTATGTTAGGGGGAAGGAAAAAGGCTTCACAGGCCTTAAAGAAAGGTGTATATGTGAAACAAAGATGCAGATACATATGGGAGGAAGTGAATTCATGAGTCAAAGTGAAGATGGGATTAAAAACCAGACTGCCCCAAGCTGGAGCCCAAGCAATAGAAGCAGATGAATTTCAAAAGCAGTCACAGGTCCGGTTGTGAAGGGTTTCAAATATAGTATTTTCCTGCTAAAATTAGTAACATGATCAAGTCACAGGGCCAGAAGGAAGATTACTCTGGTGGTAGAGGAGGACTACTATGGCCAATAGGCATTGAGAAGAGAGAATAAGACCAAGATACAAAGTGTAATTTAGACATCAGATACTTTGCATATAAGAATATTGTATGTTGATTAGTTAAAGATGTAACTAGTCTCCCGGAACAAATAGTGAATTAACACCCTAAAGCATGGGTTCAGCTCCTGTTTCAGCTATGGAATATGTGGGCTTAGTAAGAATAAATAAATAAATAAGTGCCAGTTATGTCCTCCCTGTAACACTCACAGCAATTCTTTAAATAGGCATCAGTAACTTCATTCGACAGATTAGGAACCAAGGCACAGAGGATGTAGGTAACTTGCCAAATGTCAGAGAATTGGTAAGTAGCAGCGTTTTAGGATTTGAACAAAGTATTTCTGACTAAAGCCTGTGTTCCTCCAAACCTAGGTTTGAATTAATTCCTCCCTTGCGTTAGCTCCCTGACTTTTTCACATTCTTACCACCTCAGTTTCTTTATCAATAAAATGGGGATAATAACCACCAACCTGCTGGATCCTTATCAAAATTAAGTTAAAATGACTGTACTGTAGTTCAAGCTCCATAAACTTAGTTTTGAAAGAAGAAAGAAATTAAAGAGTTTATAAAAGAAGTTATACAAAACTTGTTTAAATAATGATACTTTCTTGTTTCCCGAGAAAAGTTTTACTATTTGCCAGTGATTAAAAAGGAACTGAATTTTTATTTTAATCCTTGTTACTGCTCTATAGCCCATCTCTAGTTCTTATTATTTATTCTCCCGGATTTTTTATAGTTTCTCTACTGCAGGCTATATGCTGTATATCAAGCAAAATCCTGTAATATCCCTAAACGTAAACATGTGAATGCTCTGAGCATGTGTAGTGTAAGCACTTCGTAATGACGTACACATTACATCAAGCAAAATCCTGTAATATCCCTAAACGTAAACATGTGAATGCTTCGAGCATGTGTAGTGTAAGCATGTGTAGTGTAAGTACTTCGTTAATATTGTATATTAAATATAACTCACTTTACTCTTTATAGTGAAAGATTAGGTGACACTGAATTGATTTTCCTTCTCACTTATTCGGTTTCCGTATGCTTTCAGAGTGCATATTTCCAGGTGGTTCTGGTAGAAAATTAGATAATACTATGGAGCAATGTATTAAATATATAAATATCAACATACATGTATTTTCAAAACGTAGTGTCCATAAAAAATAAAAAGGATTTTTATTAAAAACCCAATTTATACACACTAAAAATGTATGTGCAATCAAAACATGCATTTTGAAACGACACATACAAACAAAATCATGTTAAATCCATTAGAATATTTGTTTGTTGTAGGGGGAAGGGCATAGAATTTGGGAATATAATGGTGCTGTAGTTTGGATATTTGACCCTCCAAATCTCCTGTTGAAATTTGACCCTCAGTGTTGAAGTGGAGCCTAACTGCGAAGCATTTGAGTCATGGGGACAGATCCCTCATGAACAGATTAATGCCCTCCCTGGGGGAACTGAGTGAGTTCTCATTCCATTAGTTCCTATGAGAGCTGGTTATTAAAAAGAGTCTGGCACCTTCCTCTCATCTCTCTCTCATCTCTCTCTCTTGCTCCCTCTCTTAGTATGTGAACTCTGCACATACTGGCTCCCTTTCTGCTTCTGCCTGGAAGCAACCTGAAGCCTTCACCAGAAGTACACCATGCTTCTTCTACAGCCCACAGAACCAAAAGCCAAATAAACCTCATGTATATATCATATCATTTGTGTTGCCATAGAGGAATACCTGAAGATGTGTAATTTATATATTTGCGTATATATATAAAGATATGTAAAATAATATATAATATATATTATATAATATATCATATATTTATATTATATAATTTATATTATATTATATTATATATTATATAATATATACTATGATATAATATATAACATATAATAAAATTATATAATATTTATAATATATATAATATATTATATATATCATATAATTATATGATATATATAATATATTATATATTATATAACATATTATATACTATATAAGATTATGATTATAATTATATAATTATAATTATATAATTATATAATTACATGATTATAATTATATGATTATATAATTATGAATATTATAGTAATATATAATATATTATATATAGTAATATATAATATATTATATATAGTAATATATAATATATTATATATAGTAATATATAATATATTATATATAGTAATATATAATATATTATATATAATATATGTTATGTATAAAATATATTATATATATAAAATATATATAAAATATATTATATACATAAAATATATATAAAATATATATATAAAATATATTATATATAATATAGTATAAAATATAGTGTATTATATATAGTGTATTATATATACTATAGTATATATACTATAGTGTATTATATATACTATAGTATATATACTATAGTGTATTATATATACTATAGTATATATACTATAGTGTATTATATATACTATAGTATATATACTATAGTGTATTATATATACTATAGTGTATTATATATACTATAGTATATATACTATAGTATATTATATATACTATATAATATATACTATAGTATATTATATATACTATATAATATATACTATAGTATATTATATATACTATATAATATATACTATAGTATATTATATATACTATATAATATATACTATATAATATATAATTGTTGTAGGGGGAAGGGCATAGACTTTGGGAATATAATGGTGCTGTAGTTTGGATATTTGACCCTCCAAATCTCCTGTTGAAATTTGACCCTCAGTGTTTATATAATATATAAAATACATTATATTATATAATATATAAAATACATTATGTTATATAATATATAAAATACATTATGTTATATAATATATAAAATACATTATGTTATATAATATATAAAATACATTATGTTATATAATATGTAAAATACATTATGTTATATAATATATAAAATACATTATGTTATATAATATGTAAAATACATTATGTTATATAATATGTAAAATACATTATGTTATATAATATGTAAAATATATTATGTTATATAATATATAAAATATATTATGTTATATAATATGTAAAATAATATGTTATATAATATGTAAAATATGTTATGTAATATGTAAAATATATTATGTTATGTAATATGTAAGATATATTATGTTATGTAATATGTAAGATATATTATGTAATATGTAAGATATATTATGTTATGTAATATGTAAGATATATTATGTTATGTAATATGTAAGATATATTATGTTATGTAATATGTAAGATATATTATGTTATGTAAAATGTAAGATATATTATGTTATGTAATATGTAAGATATGTTATGTAATATGTAAAATATATTATGTTATGTAATATAAAATATATTATATTATATAATATATTTTATATATTATATAATATAATATATAAAGTATATTATATAATATAATATATAAAGTATATTATAGTATATAATATATAAAGTATATTATATAAAATATAAAGTATATTATATTATATAAAATATAGTATATTATAGAATATATGAAATATATTATATTATAGAATATATGAAATATATTATATTATAGAATATATGAAATATAGTATATTATAGAATATATGAAATATAGTATATTATGGAATATATGAAATATAGTATATTATGTAATATATGAAATATAGTATATTATGTAATGTATGAAATATATTATGTAATGTATGAAATATAGTATATTATGTAATGTATGAAATATAGTATATTATGTAATGTATGAAATATATATTATTTAATGCATGAAATATATTATATTATGTAATGCATGAAATATATTATATTATGTAATGTATGAAATATGTATTATGTAATGCATGAAATATATTATATTATGTAATGTATGAAATATATTATGTAATATGTGAAATATATATTATGTAATATGTGAAATATATATTATGTAATGTATGAAATATGTATTATGTAATGTATGAAATATATTATATTATGTAATGTATGAAATATATTATGTAATATGTGAAATATATATTATGTAATGTGAAATATATATTTTGTAATATGTACAATATATTATATTATGTAATATGTACAATATATTATGTTATGTAATATGTACAATATATTATAGTATGTAATATGTACAATATATTATATTATGTAATATGTACAATATATTATGTAATATGTACTATATATTTTATGTAATATATACAATATATTAAAATATATATAAAATAAGAATATACATAAAAATATATAAATTACCCATCTGCAGTTATTCTTCTGTGGCAACACAAATGATATACATAAGAGGTTTATTTGGCTCACAAAAAGACACTGCTGTGGGTCATGCACTGGCTATATAAAAATGGAGAAGACATAACCTATGCCTTCAAAATAATAGCAGTGTAGTGGAAAAAAACAGAGAGTTAAATCAAATGTTTAGGTTGAGAAATACCATAATAAAGGTATACACTAAGTGTTAGGGGAACAGAGAAGAGGAGATTCAGAATAAGACAACATTTTTGGATGAGAAGATACTTTACTATTATGATGTAGACTCAGTGTGAGACAGGATGCAAAGTTCCAGAATAATGTGTCTGTTTGAAGAAAGTTGCCAAACTCCTGCTTATGGCTATTGCAAAAATTAGAACTAGTAACTGAGTATTAAATTCTCCATTTTAAGATTTAATTTTCTAATAAATGCTTTTGTAGTTTCTAAAATATATAGCTATGTGATAAAACTGCCTATAAGACTTCCAGATCTGACCCACTTTCAAAGTACTTTTCTGTCATTTATTTCACTCCAATTTGCTGAGAAAATCAGTTGACTAGTGTGAAGTTAATTTTGTTTTTGATAAGGTTAAAATGACTTCTTTTTTGGGGGCTTTGAAATCCCTGGGAACTATTTTTCTAAACTCTGATTTAATCCATTTATATTTGGTCAGTGTTTGTGTTTCATCTTTTTGTTAAGTGATTTTAAACAAGAACTCATAATTTGTGCATATGTGTATTTATATATGATGTATATCAGCATATATCTCTTTTTTTCTTAAAAAGAAAATAGAAAGATTATGTTTGTATAGGCTGCTATTAACCCAATATGTGAGCATGATGTCAAAAATGTTTTTCCTTACAGATTCTACTAAAATGGCAAGACTTTCCTGAAATAACATTTAGTATTTGTTTTTAAAACAAACCCCTGGGTTTATTTTGTAAAAACTCATGAATTTTTTTATTCATCTCGTATCCTTTTGAGGGCTGCTCTATGCCAAAGGAAATAAGATTAAAGCAACACAGGAAGAGTTCTGGTTGGCAATAAGACACAATGGATATATCTTGCGTGGGATTTGAAAGGAGGAGTAGAAAAATCTACATGAGTACTCTTGGGGGAAAAGAGTAAGTTAAAATTCTTAAACTCTTTTCAAATGATAAGTCAGACCTTAAAAAATAGTCTAGTCCTCAAATTGATAATAACTTAAATTTAGCTCCAAAGCTTCTTTAGAAAAGGAAGAAATCTAACTCTTAAAAATCCATAAAGCCCAGTGGCAATACTAAAGCTGGTATTGACAAAACACTTAAATAGATCTATTCCCTGAATGTTTACTTTTGTGGTTCAGATAGTTTAAGATGTAGCGTACTCTGGGAATTTTCCTCTCTTTGCTTTAAGTATTAACAGTGCTTGAAATAAAATATGTTTATGATGAAACCTAAGAGAATAGATTTCTTTTGAACCCTCCCCTCTGCCCCCAGTGCCCCCAGTCACTGTCCTCAACTTCAGAATGCATCAAGGTTTAGAACTTGCTTTGATATCAATAGAAATGCTGCATTTTGCGAGATACATGGGCATAAAGTGGAGTTAAGTTTAGGAAAGATGAGTGCTAGTGCCAAGAATGGGTATCTAACTTTAAAAGTATCAAGGTACACAAATGACATGATACAAATATCTTCCCCAAAATAAATTCAAGACCCTTTAAGTCACATAGATTCACATTTTCTACCATCTCTCTGAAAACCTAATAACTAATAGTTTTGGATTTCCCTATCTGTCCATGGGTGCAAATTGGTGTTGCACTATTCAGGAATCTGTTTTGATAGGTCAGTTTATGTGAGCCAGTGGATTTTAATAACCGAAAAAATAAAACAAAAACGCTGTCAATAAAAACATAAAAATATTACATTGAAAAGTCTCTATGGCAGTTTGAAGACATTGTAGTCTCTTGAAACTGAATTAGCAAAAGAAGGCAGATGTTATTTGCAAATTTTTGTGGCTTTACAAGAAAATAAGTAGTAATGATGCTGGCTACCTTGAGTAAAGAACATTAAGAATACCTCTCTGTGTGTATGTGTACTTGTTTCAAGCAAAGTGTAAAATTCACACCTTCTCTAGAATGTCTGGATGGCCTGGCCAATGCCTGGCAAGTTTTCAAAGAATGTTTGGTGACATGCTGTACTTTTGTTTTGTATGCTGCTTCTTTTGTATGTGCCAAAGTTCAACTTTGGTCTTGGTGTTTGGCCATAAATATTTCCTCAGCCTTGGATTTGGCTTCAGCTATTGTGATAACCGAATGGTGAATGCCTACTACAGTGTCACTTTATTTAAAATTTCCAATAAATAATGATATCAATAAGCTTTTGATACCATAGATTATCATATATCCAATTTCAGAAACACAGAAAGTTATATTATTTGATTTTATATGCATTATAAATGAATAGAACATTCTAGATGTAAGTTGATGCGGAAAATTCCCTGAAATGTTTTCTATGTTGCAAATTCATCAATAAGTTGATATGTATAGATGTTATTTCAAAGGTAAAATACTTCAATAATGATCACTGTAAAATTGTGTGTTTATAGAGTGGTTAAGAATTTTAAGTAACTAAAGTAAGGGAACAGCACTTATAGCATTAAACCATTTCACAATATGTTTGATTTTTAATTATTTAATTTCAATTAGAACAGCAATTAGGACAGGAATCTTTCAAGGAAAAGTCTTACTTGTTAATATTTTACAGCTTGTGAAAATGAATTAATAAGCAGAATGTCCTAACAAAGCATATTTAATTAAACCTGAAAACAATACACGCCATACAAATTAATTTCTTACAGTTCTGAATCTATGGAGACTACACATTTAAATAAGTTTGTGAAAATTATTGCTGTAAACTGCCTAGCGTTTTCAGTACTGAAGATAAAGAATTTATGAGATTTGGCCAAGCTGTGGATTTTAGCTATGAAGTTCCGTAAGGAAACACAAGAACAAAAGTCTTCCAGAATTATATTCTGTCCTGTACTATGTCAATAGTAATATTGCTAAAAGTATTCTATTTATATACTATATATGGAATATAGAGAGGGGACTATTTTAAAAAGTTGGACAGCAAGATGAAATAATGATGAATTCTATGCTTCTGCCTTACTCATTGCTTAGAGATTCCTAAGTTTTACACAGTTGACATTACAGGGAGTCAGGCTGAAAATACATTTCTAGGCCCGGGACACCAAGAACAGTCACACTTCCCAGGCCTGAGGTGAAGTGGCACATTGCACCTGGATAACTATTACCTTGGCTGAGATAAGTAGCTCCACTTGCCAGAGCTGGACTGAGATAGCACCACCCGTTCTAGGGAAGCAGAGTAGAAGCTGAGCTGAGACACCCCACGCTACAGGCCAAACAACTGTAGAATCTTGCTTCCCTGAAGCTGGACTAGACCCCTAGCATCTGAGCTTCTGAGACACCCCCTGGGGGGCAAGAAGCAGCACAGCAATGACTCTATTCCCCGGGATGGAGTGGAATCATTGCTGTGTTGCTTCTTGCCTTTCCCACCTGGGCTCAAACAATAGCCATGCTCAGTCATTTTAGGGTGCTTGCTGCTGCTGCACCTGGCCTCAACAGTTTGGGATACTGCTAAGCCCCATCATCCTAAGGTCTAGATTCACCACTACATGATATCTCATCTGCAGGGACGCAAGTTGCCACTGAACCCTATTATCTCAGGCTCCTGAATTACAACTGTACCCTGCACTCCAGGCTTAAACCCACAGAACTCTCTTTCTCCCTTAGAGTCAGGCCAGGTCTGTGTTCTGCTATCCAGGGGTATAATCAGAGCTTCAACTACACCTCCTAGACCTGAGCTGCTACAGGGTGCATCAGAGTCAGATCCTTGTGCCGTGGGCACCCTACATCCAACTCTGACAGAGAAAGCCAACCTGCACCCTAAGATTTAGGTGCCACAATGGATTCACAAGACACTAAGCCTAGGGCCCTGGCTCCACAGCCACTCTGAGTACCTGCACCCAGAACTAGGACCATGGCAGCTGCTTGTAGGCCATATTAGATTTAATACTAAGAGAAATATCCCCATCTATCTCTCCATTATGGGGAATGCAGGTGGAGGTACAGAAAACCCCCAAATCCCACACCTCCAAAGATATTTACAATCTATGCCACCACTACTATTACCACAAATTTCTACCACATAGGCCACTGAGACACCCACAGTTATTACTAATGTTGAATTCAGCTACAGAATCTAAAAGACCACCCATGCACATAGCTGTATGTGCAGGAGCCACAATACCTTTCCCAAAAGTGTTTCTTAACAAAAGTCACTCTAGAAAATCTGAAAAAGGTGATTGTCCTATCAGATGCATAGACATCAACATAGAAACACAAGAAACATGAAAAAGCAAGGAAATATGACACAACCAAAGGAACATAATAATTCTATAGTATTAGATTCCAACAAAAAGGAAATCAACAAATTGCCATAAAAGGAATTCAAAATAGTGATATTCGGGAAACTCAAGGAAACCCAAGAAAATACAGACAGTTCCTAGGAAGACACTTCATGATATGAACATGAAATTCATCAAAGATATAGATATCGTAAAAGAAGAATCAAACAGATATACTGCAGCTGAAGAATCCAATGAATGAAATATTGTAAATACAATAGAGAGCTTTAACTGCAGATTTGATCAAGCAGGAGAAAGAATTTCTGAACTTGAAGATAGGTCATTTGAAATTATACACTTAGAGAAAATCAATATAAGAATGAAGAAGAGTCAAGAAGTCTACAAGATTTATGAAATGGCATTAAGCAAAGAAATACTTGTCTTATGGAATTTCCAGAAGGAAAATAGATTAAAAAGGCATAGAAAACTGCTTTAATAAAAAAAATGCTGAAAACTTTCTAAGTCTGGAAAGAGATATGGACATTCAGATCAAGCAAGCTCAAAAGTCCCCAAATGTGTTTAACCCAAAAAGGGCTTCTTTGAATCATGTGTTAGTCAAATTGTTAAAAGTCAAAGACTGAGAATTCTAAAAACTGCAAGAGAAAAGCATCAAGTTACATATAAGGGAATGCCCATTAAACTAACAGCAGATTTCTTAGCAGAAACCTTACTCACAAGCAGAGAATGAAATGGTATATTCAAAGTACTGAAAGAAAAAAGTCTGGCAGCCAAAACTACTATACTCAGCAAAGCTATTCTTCAGAAATGAGGGAGGAAGGAAGTCTTTCCCAAACAAGGAAAAACAAGAAATTAATCACCACTAGATCTGCCATACAAGAAACATTCAAGGGAGTCCTGTGTTTGAAAGTGAAAAGATCATCATCATCATCATGCAAATATGCAAAAGTATAAAACTCACTGGTATAGCAGATTCACAAAGGAGAGTGAGAAAAGAGTCAGATATTACCACTACAGAATACCACTCAGCTGCAATGATAAATAATAAAAGAGAAAGAAAGGAAACAAGGATATACAAAACAACCAGAAAACAATTAACAAAATGACAGGAGTAAGTCCTCACCTCGTAATAATAATGTTGAATGTGAACAGATTTAACTCTCCACCTGACTATACTGTATGCTGCCTTCAAGAAGCTTATTTCACTGTAAAAACACATATAGACAAAAAAAGAAAGAATGGGAAAAAAAATTCTGTGTAAATGGAAGCCAAAAATGAGAATGAGCAGGAGTAGCTATACTTAAAGAAACAGTCATTGATTAAAAAACCATAAACAAAGAAAGTCATTATATAAATATAAAGGGATCAATTCCACAAAAGGATATAACAATTGTAAATATTTATGCTCCCTATACTACTGCACCCAGATATATAAAACAAATATTATTAAATCTAAAGGGAGAGATAGACTCTAATGCAATATTAGTTGAAAACTTCAACACCCCACTCTAAGCATTGGACAAATCATCCATACAGTAAATCAACAAAGAAGCATTGGATTTAAACTGCATGGTAGAGCAAACGGACCTAACAGACTTTTACAGAACATTTTATTTAACAGCTGCAGTATAGACATTCTTTTCATTGATGCATAAAACATTCTCCAGGGTAAACCACAGATTAGGCTACAAAACAGGAACAGAACATAGAATTTAGAAATAAGTTTATGCATTTTAATCTCACTGTCTTTTGACACAGGTGCCAAGAACATGCACTGGGGAAAGGACATCCTCTTCAATACTCCATTAATGGCTGGGCCTGGTGGCTCATGCCTGTAATTCCAGCAGTTTGGGAGGCTGAGGTGGGCAGATCACAAGGTCAGGAGTTCGAGACCAGCCTGGCAAATATGGTGAAACCCTCTCTCTACTAAAAATACAAAAATTAGCTGGACGTGGTGGCACGCAGCTGTAGTCCCAGCTACTCAGGAGGCTGAGGCAGAAGAATCATTTGAACCTCAAAGGCAGAGGTTGCAGCGAGCAGAGATCGCACCACTGCACTCCAGCCTGGGTGACACAACAAGACTCCGTCTCAAAACAAAACAAAACAAAACAAAACAAAAAAACAACAAAAAAACCCTCCATTAATTTATTTACAACCTTTTGCCAGAACCACACTGTCTTGCTTATTGCAACTTTGTAGTGAATTTCAAACTAGGAAGAATGAGTGCACCAACTTTATTCTTTTTTTCAAGATTGCTTTGCCCATTCTAGGTCCTTTGCATTGCCACATAAATTTGAGGAGTATCCTGCCAATTTCTGCAAGAAGAAAAGTAGTTAAGATTTGGATAGGTATTGTGTTGAATCTGTGGATAAATTTGAGGAGTATTGCTATCTTAACCACATCAGGTCTTTCAATTTATGAATATAATGTCTTTTCATTTACTTATGTCTTCTTTACTTCATTTCAACAATGTTTGTTGTTTCCAATGTATAAGTCTTAACACATTTGTTAAAGTTATTTTTAAGTATTTTGTTCTTTTTTGAGGCAATTGTGAATGAAATTTTTCTTTAAATTTTATGTCTGGAGTGTTCACTGCTATTGGATAAATACAGTTGGTTTTTGTATATTGGTCCTGCAATTTAGCTAAAGTCACTGATTCGTTCGAATAGCTTTTCAGGCGTGTGTGGAACCCTTAGGACTTTATTCATTTAAGATTAAGTCACTTGTGAGTATACATAGTTTTACTTGTTCCTTCAAACCCAGATGGCTTATAGTACTTTTAATTGCATTATTACCTGATTTTTTTTGTTTGTTTTCTTCTTGGTCAGCTTTTTGTTTGACCAGCTAGTATTGGTGCCTCAGGCAGTTGTAGTATTAAATAATTGCCATGGCATTTTACAAAATTAATTTTAAAAAATCAGCCTGATATAAAAGTCTGGCAGAGACACAACAAAAATAGAAAACTTTAGGCCAATATTTCTTAAGAACATGCATGCAAATATCATCAACAAAATATTAGCAGACTGAAACCAGCAGCATATCAAAGCATAATACACCATGACCAAGTAGGCTTTATTCCTAGTATGCAAGGCTGGTTCAACATACACATATCAATAAATGTGATTCACCACATAAACAGAATTAAAAGCAAAAACCATATGACCTCTTCAACAGATGAAAAAAAGAGCTTTTGATAAAATCCAGCATTCCTCCATAATAAAATCTCTCAATAGGCTAGAAATCAAAGGAACATATCTCAAAATAATAAGAGCCATTTATGACAAACCCACAGTCAACATTATACTGAATGGGTAAAAGCACAAATAATTTCCCTTGAGAACTGGAACAACCATTCCTATTCAACTAAGTACTGGAAGTCCTTCTCAGAGCAATCAGGCAAGAGAAAGAATTAAAAGGGGTCCAACTAGGAAAAGAGAAAGTCAAACTATCTCTCTTCACTGATTATATGATTCTATACCTAGAATATCCAAAGAACTCTACCAAAAGGCTTTTAGAACTGATAAACAATTTTAGTAAACTTTCAGGATGCAAAATCAATGTACAAATATCAGTAGCATTTCTATTAATGAACAATATCCAAGCTGAGAATGAAATCAAGGACACAATCCCATTTACAATAGTCCCAAAGAAAATGAAATAAACAAATGGCAAAACATTCCATGCTCATGGATTGGAAGAATTGATATTGTAAAAATGACCATTCTCTCTAAGGAAATTTACAGATTCAACACTTCCTATCAAAGTACCAATGTCATTCATCGCAGAATTAGGAAAAAACTATTCTAAAATTTATATGGAAGCAATGAAGAGTCTAAGTAGCCAAAGTAATGTTAAGCAAAAAGGACAAAGCCAGATGCAGCATACTATTTAACTTCAAACTATACTATTCTACAGTAACCAAAACAGCATGGTAATGGTACAAAAAACAAACACATAGGCCCATGAAACAGAGTACAGAACTCAGAAATAAAGCCATACACCTACAACCATTTGATATTCAACAAGGCTGACAAAAACAAGCAATGGGGATAGGACTTCCCATTCAATAAATGGTTCTGGGACAACTGACTAGCCATATGCCCAATATTAAGGCTAGACCCCTACCTTTCATCATTTATAAAAATTAATGCAAAATAGATTAAAGTTTGAATTTAATACCTCAAACTATAAATATAATGGAACACAACCTAGGAGATACTCTTCTCAACATCAGCCTTGGCAAATAATTTTTGGCTAAGTGCCCAAAAGCCATTGCAACAAAAACAAAAATTGACAAGTGGAACCTAATAAAACTAAACAGCATTTGCACAGTTAAAAACCAACCAAACAAAAAAATGTATCAACAGAATAAACAGACAACCTACAGAATTGAAGAAGATATTCACAAACTATGCATCAGACAAAGGTTTAATATCAATATCAAGAATCTCTAGGAAACTTAAGTCAATAAGCAAAAAACGACAACAAGAACATCACTACAAATGGGCAAAGATAGTGCTGGGCAAACAGGATATCCATATGCAGAAGAATGAAACTAGACCCCTATCTCTCACCATCTACAAAAATAAAATAAAAATCGATTAAAGACTAAAATCTAAAACCTCAAACTATAAAACTACTAAAAGAAACATTGGGGAAAATCTCCAGGATATTGGTCTGGGCAAGAATTCCTTGAGTATTACCCTACAAGCACAGGCAACTAAAGCAGCAATGAACAAATAAGATCACATCAAGCTAAAAAGCTTTTGCTTAGAAAAATGAGCAACAAAGGGAAGAGCCAACTCACAGAATGAGAAAAAGTATTTGCAAATTATTCATCTGACAAGGGATTAATAACCAGTATATATAAGAAGCTCAAATAACTCTATAAGAAAAAATGTGCAAAATGTTTGAATAGCTATTTCTCAAAAGAAGACACACAAATGGCTAACAGATAAGAAAAGGTGCTTAATAACATTGACCATCAGAGAAACGCAAATCGAAAGCATTTTAGAAATGCTAATATCCAAAAGACAGTCAATAACAAATGCTAGTGAGGATGTGGAGAAAAGGGAAGCATTGCACACTGTTGGTGGGAAACTAAATTAATATAGTCACTGTAGAGAACAGTTTGAAGGTTCCTCAAAAACTAAAAATACAACTACCATATGATCCAGCAATCCTACTGCTGGGTATATACCCAAAAGAAAGGAAATAAGTATATTGAAGAGATAAATTCACACCTGTGTTTACTGCAGCACTGTTTACAATAACTAAGATTTGGGAGTAACCTAAGTGTCAAATTGTGGTAAATATGAACAATGTAGTATTATTCAGCAGTAAAAAATGACATCCAGTCATTTGCCACAGCATGGATGGAACTGGAGATTATTATGTTGAGTGAAATAAGCCAGGCACAGAAAGACAAACATCACATGTTATCACTAATTTGTGGGATTTAAAAATCAAATTAATTGAACTCATGGGCATAGAGAATAGGATGGTTACCAGAGGTGAGGAAAAAGGTAGTTGGAGGTTGGGGGGAGGCATGGTAAATGGGTACAAAAAAATGGAAAGAATGAATAAGACCTACTATTTGATAGCACAATAGGGTGATTATAGTCAATAATAACTTAATTGTATATGTTTTAATAACTTAAAGAATGTAATTAGATTGTTTGTAACTCAAAGAAGAAACGCATGTGGGATGGATACCCCATTCTCCATGATGTGCTTATTTCACATTGCATGCCTGTATCAAAACATCTCATGTACCCATAAATACATATACCTACTATGTACTCACAAAATTTTGACAAAAATTTGTTTAAAAGAGATATGTGGAAGAGTAGAAAGTAAAAGTTGTCTGCAAGCTTTTCTGGCATTTATTTTACAAACCCTTATGGCCTTAACAGAATTACAAACAGTGAGGAAGTAAAATAGAGTTTGAATTTTAAGATATATCAATAGTATTTTTGGGTTAAATTTTAATTTTGAACTTTCAGAATAGTTGTAAGAACAGTGCAAAGAACTCTACAAACTTTGTCCAGATTCCACAATTTTTAACATTGTACATTTTTCTTCTCTCTCTTTTTCTGTTTTGAGCTGTTTACAAGTTGCAGACATGACGGCCCAAATTCCTGAAATTTTCTGTTTCCTAAAAGCAAAGGAATTCTTCTTTATAACCCTAATACACCCAACAAAATAAGAAAATTAACGTTAATGCAATACTGTTGTCTAATTCCCAGAACTTCAGATTTTCCCAGTTTTCCTTATAGTGCCCATTATAGAGTAAAATAAATTGTTTCCCCTTTTCTTCATTTCTTTTTTGGTCAATGAACCAATTCAGGAGCACACATTGCATTTAAAGGCCATACCTCTTAGACTTTTGAAATCTTTCTTCATGTATCATGGCCTTGACTTTTAAAAAAGATACAGATTTTCTGTGGTGTTTTCTTATAATTTATTTTCAGTTATGCATGTTTTTGGCAGGAATACCACAAAAATAATGCACTGTTCTTAGTCCATCCTAATAGAAGGCATAAATATTTGGACTATTGATGATATCATTTACCATTTGTTTAAAATAATCTGTCAGATTTTCTTCATTTTAATGTTAATTAATAAGTATCTCAAACTTATTAAATAACAAGTAAATAAAAGTATTTTGTGGAAACATACTTTCAGACTATGTAAATAGCCTGTTCCTCATCAAATACTCATCTACTAATTTTAGCATCCATTGATAATCCTTTTCTGAATCAATGATTTCTAAGATTATTGCCAAGCGGTGCTTTTCTAATTCCATCCTCCCTTCTATATTTGTTAGTTGGCATTCTACTATAAGGCAGGAGCTTATTTTCTATTCCTACTTTATTCAAGAGGTTACAATATGTTATTATCATTATTTTGATGCTAAAATTTTTGCAGGTTTAATCAGTGGGTTCCCTTCAACTCAACTTTTTTTGTTCTTTTAAAATGTCCCCATTAATCTTTGAATAAGCTTTCTTACATTTTGCCATGATAGAATGCTCTAGATTTATCTCATTTGTTTTCTAACCCATGCCCTGAAATCAGCCATTTCTCAAAGAATCAGGTTTCTTTTATTGGAGAATGAATATAGAACCCAAAATCTGGGGACTTGGTTTGTGCTAATTACTGCCAGTGTGCCATTGCTTTCAGGACTCCTTACAGGATAGCTAGAAAATTATGTGTGTGCATATACAAACTCACATACACATATATCTATGTATCTATATTTATATTGAAAATCATTAAGTTCACACTGATACCTCAAATTTACTCCAGCCATTCTCCCTTAAGTATTTTTACCTTCTTTATTCAACAGTAGACACCCAATTTCTATTATTCTGAATTCACTCACTTATTTGCTAAATCTTCTTGTCTTCAACTAATTCGAAAATTTGAAGAGGTTTGTTGGTGTCAGTCTTGTAAAACATGCTGGTTATGGTGACCAAGTTCCTTCCTAGCTCCAAAGTCACTGACTCATACTACTGAGCAGTTGACTTTCCACAGGAAAGGGATTGAGAAGGAGCTAGCTAGAGCATTTTGAAGGGGCATTTTTCTTACCTACTAATATGGTTTCGATGTGTGTTTTCTCCAAATCTCATGTTGAAATGTGATCCCCAGTGTTGGAGGTGAGGCCTGGTGGAGATGTATGGATCGTGAAGGCATAGCCTTCATTAGTGGCTTGGGGCTCTTCCCCTGGTAATGAGTGAGTTCTCATTGTCAGTTCACAGATATTCACGTGAGAGTTAGTCATTTAAAATAGCCTGGCACCTACACGCTCTCTCTCTTGCCATGTGATGTGCCTGCTCCCACTTCCCCTTCCACCATGATTGTAAGCTTCCTGAGGACTCACTGGAAACAGATGCCAGCACCATGCTTCCTAACAGCCTTCAGAAGCGTGAGCTAAAACAAACCTCTTTTCTTTATGAATTGCCCAGTCTTGGGTGTTTCTTTATAGTAACACAAATTGACTAACAAAGAGACTCATAAAAGAAATTACCTTAGCAAGGAGGTAAAGTGGATGGTAAATCCTGAGTAGAGATGATCTTCTCTTTCCTAGTAAGTGCCTCTGTGGAGGGAGTAAGATAAACAAATCGTAAAGAGAACTGGCTGCATGGTGATTCTAGTAAGAAGAATCGAAGACAGCCGTTAAAAAAGTTACTGGAGCCTGGGCATGGTGGCTCACACCTATAATCCCAGCACTTTGGCAGGCTGAGGTGGGAGTATCACTTGAGCCCAGGAGTTTGAGACCAGCCTAGGGAACATAGTGAGACCCTGTCTCTACAAAACATTTTAAAAATTGGTTGTGCATGGTGGCATGTACCTGTGGTCCCAGCTACTCAGGAACCTGAGGCAGGAGAATAGCTTGAGCCCAGGAGATTGAGGCTCCAGTGAGTTGTGTTCACACCACTGCACTCCAGCCAGGGCAACAGAGGGTCATCTTTTCTTGCAGGATCTCAAAAAAAGAGAAGAGTTGCTGGGCCTCAGTCAAGGCATGGAAGCTAAAGGGAATTGACAGAACTGAAGCAGCCATGTAAAGAATAAGAGTTGTCTGTGAAGAAAAATGATTGATGTCCAGACAGTGCCCCCTCCCACAATACCTTGACATTAACTGAAGATACTGAAACCATGGAATGGTCTTGGGGATGGAAGAAAAAATAAGTGACTGAGGAAAAATCAACTTCAGCTCAGAAATAAAACTGAGCTTGTTACATACATACATATAAAACTTGTTACAGCAAATAAAGTGCTATTTCCTGAGCCCTCATGTTTATGGACTGAAATTCATAGCCACCACATATGGAAGTGGTATAAGAGAACCACACAAATATTTAAAAAGGGAATTAAATATTAATACATAATTTTCAATGCCCTTAACAACCATACAACTAGACTGTTATGGTAAACTACAGAGTTAATGAAATCATGACTTGTCATAGCCTGATGCAACTAGAAGACACTTTTTACCTCAAATTATTTTTACAAACATGATATAAAACTTCAAAACAACCTCTTTTTAAGATAGCTTTTCAATATGTATTCCAAATTTATATAATTAGATTATATAAAGACTTTTAATGACAGATTTTTTTTTTTTTTTTGCAATGATCTCTGCATTCATGACTTTACTTGCGCTTTGTAAGTCATAATCCTAAACTAAGTTCCCAGGTGGGAAGCATCATCTTTTGACATCACCTTGACAAATGCTCCATATTATGCACATCTACTCTGCCTCTGTCAACAATCAGGAAAAGGCATTGGATTATAGAATCTATTTTTGTCCAACAAGCTTCTCATTTGCTTTGCTTGTCACAGCAGGTTATCTTGGCCTTCTTTTTGCTGACTCTAACTTTTCCTTCTCATTCTGCATAATGCACACATGTCCCAGACTTTTAAGCAGTTACAGAACTTGAATCACAAAACAATATGAAAAATAGTGTGTTTGTATCCTATTGCTTTGACCTAACCTTGGTTGGTTCCCTGATCTATGTATCCTTGTTTGCCACAAACTCCTTTCCTTTCTTTACTTGTGTAATTTCCTCACCAGTGATGAAGTTTTGTGTGTCAGTGTTTTAACCGTCCTTAAAGGCCCTCCTTAAACCACATCTTCTGGGAGGACATTCCAAAATTTTCCCATGTGAGTTTCTATTTTTTAATTTTTTTTTCTTTCTTGGTTCTATCATTGCAATGTATACCACTGATATAGCATTTAACTCATTCTTTCTCTGGATTATAATTACTTGGGGAAAATACAACTAGGTAAATGCAAAGTAGCCTCAGAGAAAAAGTAGATATGGTTTTATAATATAAAACTTTGGAAAGAAGGACTGATGATGTTCAAATTTTTATTACAAATTCAGGGGTACATGTGCAGGTTTATTGCATGGGTGTATTGCATAATGCTGGCATTTGGGATTCTGGTGAACCCATCACCCAAAGAGTGAACATAGATACTCAATAGGTAGTTTTTCAACCCTTGTCCTCCTCTTTCTCTCCCCACTTTTAGAGCCCCCAGTGTCTATTATTTTCATCTTTATGTTCCTGTGTACCCACAGTTCAGCTTCCACTTACGAGAAAATGCAGTGTTTGATGTTCTGTTTCTGTGTTGATTCACTTAGGATAATGACCTCCAGCTGCATCCATGTTGCTGACAAGGACGTGATTTTTTTTAATGTCTGTGTAGTATTCCATGGTGCATATGTACCACATTTTCTTTATCCAATCCATCCGTTATGGACACTTAAGTTGATTCCATGAGCTGATCCACAAATTTAAGAGTTTAGAACAGAGGGCAGCCAGCTTTTTCTGTAAAGAATTAGATAGTAAATATTTTTGGCTTTGTGAGTCATTTCTGTTGCTACTATCAAACTTTACCATTGTAGTATGAATGCAGCCACAGACAATATATAAATGAAAGGGTGTGTTGTGCCATTCACAATAGAAAAGACATGGCATCTACCTAAGTGCCCATAAGGATGGAAACAGAGAGACACTAGGGATGCCTAAGGGGAAAGGGAGGGAGGGGGCAATGGTTGATAAACTATCTATTGGGTACTGTGTTCACTAATTGGGTGATGAGTTCAACTGAAGCCCAAACCTCAGCATTATGCAACATATCCATGTAACAAACCTATACATGTATCCTTTGAATCTAAGATTTAAACAAAAATATCAGGATGGAGTGTGGCTGTGTTTCAATGCAACTTTATACAAAAACAGGTAGTGAACAGAATTTAACCTATGGGCTGATTTGTTGACCCCTGAGCTTGAAAGTCATCATAATGAGGAAAAGAAAGTACTAGTTGACCTTTTTGTAAGTATGATTGCAATGTTGGTATAACCAGATTTTAATATTTTTCTATCATCTGAATCAATTTCCAGTTTCTCATTGAATATTTTCATTGTATGTGCTATAGATAACTCATATTCTCTATGCTAAAGCTAAATTAATTTCCTTACCCAGGACAAGGCTTCTCATCTATTAAATCAAAGATTACATAATATTACCAGCAATTTAGCTTCTAAATCCATGTTTCTTTATTTACTAATGCTCAATAAATATCTCAGTGCTCTCAATTCTAAATATCTATTAATTATTGTTCAAAGAGAATTCTCCATGGGTCTCTCATACCTGCACTTCTTTTAACCAGAGGCATTCACAGTTTTGTCCAGACTGTCTTTTCAAGGATGTATGTATAGCAAATAGCCTTGTAAGACAGAGACAGGGTCTTGCCCCTAGAACAGATGACAGGTTTGTTTGTTGTCAAGTATAATAAAGATAATGCCTTCCTCCAGGGCAAAGGTTGAGCAGGTTTTCAGGCAGCCCGTTATAAACAATTGGAGATTCCTAAGATTGGATTTCTCAGCTGTGACACACACTCATTGTGCTTACAGCATCCACCTGTGCCTGCCTCTGTCATGACCATGAGACTTAGAGGCCAGTGTTTACATTGAAGCTCTTGCTGCCCACTGTGCCAAAAGTAATAACACCCTTTTTTTCTAGCTGAGGAGTCTTATGTCTTCTGCCAGCATTCATGAAACAGTGGCAGGCTGCTTGTTGGCTTACAAGCAGGCTAAAATCTGAGACCCTTCTTAGTTTTAATTGTTTTTGCCAGCATCTATTGAATGGTGGTAAGTACTTTACATACATAATCCCATTTAAGTCTTACAACCCTGTGAGCTGGATGCTATTATTTCCCATATCCACTTTATTCCCTCTCACTGTAAAAGTAATTATTCCAAATTGGTGGCACGTGGCTGCTCATAGTTGTTAAGGGTCATAACTCGAACTCCTTCAACCAAGACATATTTTCTTTCCTTGGTCTAGTTTGCAAAAACTACCTAGGGAAGAGCTCTAATTAATCTAGCTTTCTTGGTATTTACCTACGGACAAATAAACTGTGAATGAATGTTGGAGTGGAGTGGGTACGAAGGTGATAGGAGAACATGAGAGTTTTTCTGCATTCAGTAATGCAGCAATCTAATTGAGTCATACCATCTCATTGTTCATTTGCTCTATAATTAAGAGGGAAAAATATGATTATTTGGAGATGAAGACATCAAGCCAACGTTAAACATGAGAATTGACTAGAGAAAACAAGATATTTGTTCATAATCTTGTGCAATGATAAGAGCAGTATTTGTGAAACCTAAAATGGTCATCAATAAATCAGCAACCAGGTTGGGTGCTGTGGCTCACGCCTGTAATCCCAGCACTTTGGGAGGCTGAGGCGGATGGATCATCTGAGGTCAGGAGTTTGAGACCACCCTGGCCAACATGCTGAAACCCCGTCTCTACTAAAAATACAAAAATTAGCTGGGCATGGTGGCATACCCCTGTAATCCCAGCTACTCGGGGGACTGAGGCACAAGAATAACTTGAACCCAGGAAGTGGAGGTTGCAGTGAGCCAAGATTATACCACTGCACTCCAGCCTAGGCGACAGAGCGAGACTCATCTCAAAAATAAATAAATAAATAACATAAAATAAATCAGCAATCAGCAAAGCCTAACATTTCCTTTGGAAGCTGATGAGGAAGGTGCCAAACACTTGGGCCTTGCACTAAAGACAAAATTGAATGAACTCCAGCCTACCTTTTAAACGTTGCTAAATGGCTACCTGCAAGTTCTTGTTTTAGCAGCCATCTTTAATTTTAAGTAGCATGAAAGCATTCTTAATTGTGAGGTTGTAGGAAAGCTCAGTCTTTCAGCATGGAGATACTTACCCTGCTCTAGGTCAGCTTTGCTAGACTTGATTTTGAAAGACAGGAAATCTCGCAGGGGCAGGTAGTAAAATACTGAAGGGCACATTAGAAAAAAATCCACGTTGTGAATTACAATTAAAGGGTAAAAAACAAAACAAAGCAGAAAAACTGGGTATATTAGTTTGCTAAGGCTCCTGTAATGAAATACCACAGACTGGATGGCTTAAAAAGGATAGATTTATTTTCCCACAGTTCTTGAGGCTAGATGTCCAAATCAAGGTGTTGGCAGGTTTAGTTTCTTCTGGGGCAACTCTCCTTGGCTTGGAGATGGCAGCCTTTTTGCTCGCAAACGGTAGCCTTTTCACTGTGCTTCCTCATTCTTGGTATTTCTGCTTATTCAAATTTATTGTTTTTTTCCGATTTTTGTAACAGCTTTATTGAGACGTAATTTAGATGCCATACAATTCACTCATTAATTAATTTTTTTACTTTATATTTAAGTTTTGTGGGTCCATAGTAGGTGCATATATTTATGGGGTACATGGGATACTTTGAAATAAGCATACAATGCATAACAGTCACATCAGGGTAAATAGGGTATCTATCACCTAAAGCATTTATTCTTTCTGTTACAAACCATCTAGTTATATTTAATTATTTTTAAATTTACAATAAATTATTGTTAAATACTAGATCTTTTTTTATCCTATATTTTTGTACCCATTGACTATCTGTCATTACCCCCTATCCTTCAACTACCCTTCCCAGCCTCTGGTAATCATCCTTCTACTCTCTGTCTCCATGAGTTCAATTATTTTAATTTTTAACTCCCACAAATAAATGAGAACATGGGAAGTTGTCTTTCTGTGTCTGGCTTATTTCACTTAATGTAATGATCTCTCCAGTTCCATCGATGTTGTTGCAAATGACTGGATGTCATTCGTTTTTATGGCTGAATAGTACTGCATTGTTTATATTTACCACATTTTTTTTATCCATGCATCTGTTGATGGACACTTAGGTTGCTACCAAATCTTGGCTATTGTGAATAGTGCTGCAATAAACATAGGTGTGCAGATATCTCTCTAATATACTGATTTCTTTTCTTTTGGGTGTACTTAACAGTGGGACTGCTGGATCATATGATAGTTGTATTTTTAGTTTTTGAGCAACCTCCAAATTGTTCTTTATAGTGGTTGTAATAATTTACATTCCCACTAACAGTGTATGAGGGTTCCCTTGTCTCCACATTCTTGCCAGAATTTGTTATTGCTTGACTATTGGATAAAAGCCATTTTAACTGGGATGAGACAATACCACATTGTAGTTTTGATGTGCATTACTCTGATGGCCAATGATGTTGAGCACCTTTTGATATACCTGTTTGCCCTTTGTGTGTCTTCTTTTAAGAAATGTCTATTCAAATCCTTTGCCCATATTTTAATTGGATTATTAGATTTTTTTCCTATAGAGCTGTTTGAGCTCCTTATGTATTCTGGTTATTAACCTTTGTCAGATGGATAGTTTGCAAATATATTTCCCATTTTGTGGGTTGACACTTCTCTTTGTTGATTGTTTCCTTTGCTGTGGAAGCTTTTTAGCTTGATGTCATCTCATTTGTCCATTTTTGGTTCGGAGGCCTGTGCTTGCGGGGTACTACTCGCAGCACGGTAATTTTTGCCCTGTGCAATGTTCTGAAGAGTTTTCCCAAAGTTTTATTTTAGTAGTTTTATAGTTTGAGGTTTTGGCAAGTCTTTAATAATCCATTTTCACTTGATTTTTGTATGTGGCAAGAGATAGAGGTCTAATTTGATTCTTCTCATTATAGATAATCATTTATCCCAGCAGCATTTATTGAAGAGGCTATTTTTTCCCCATTGTATATTCTTGGCAACTTTGTGAAAAATGAGTTTACTGTAGATGTATGAATTTGTTTCTGTGTTGTCTATTCTGTTTCCATTGTCTATGTGTCTGTTTTTATGTCAGTACCATTTTGCTTTGGTTACTGTAGTATTGTAGTATAATGTGAAGTCAGGCAGTGTGTTTCATCCAGTTTTGTTCCTTTTGTACAGGATAGTTTTGGTTATTCTGGGTATTTTGTGGTTCCATATAAATTTTTTGATTTTTTTTCTATTTCTGTGAAGAATGTTACTAGTGTTTTGTTGGGAATTGCATTGAACCTATAGATTGCTTTAGGTAATATAGACAATTTAACAATATTTATTCTTCCAATCTATGAAGATGAAATATCTTTCCACTTTTGTGTCCACTTCGATTTTTTTCATTAGTATTTTCATTTTCATGATAGAGACCTTTTCCTTTTTTGATTAACTTAATTCCTAGATATTTAATTTTATCTGTAGCTATTGTTAATGGGATTACTTTCTTGATTTATTTTTCAGATTGCTTACCTTTGACATATAAAAGTGCTACCTATTTTTGTATGTTGATTTTGTATCCTGCAACTTTGCAGAATATCTTAGTTCTAATCATTTTTTGGTGCAGTCTTTAGGCTTTTCCAATTATTAAATTATATCATCTGCAGACAAAGGTGATTGTACTCATTCCTTTCCAAGTTGCATGCCCTTTCTTTCTTTCTCCTGTCTGATTGCTCTAGCTGGGACTTCCAGTACTATGTTGAATAACAGTGGTGAAAGTGGTCATCCTTGTCGTGGTCCAGATCTTAAAGAAAATGTTTTCATGTTTTTCCCATCCAGTATTATTGTACCTATGGGCCTGTTATATATGGCTTTTATTGTGTTCCTTCTACCCCCAGATTTTTTAAGGATTTTTATCATGAAGGTATGTTGAATTTTATCAAATGCTTTTTCAGCATCAATTGGAATGATTCTATGGTTTTTGTCCTTTATTCTTTTGATATAATGTCTCACATTGAGTGATTTACATATTTTGAACCATCCTTGCATCCCTGGCATAAATCCTACTTGGTCTCCTTAAAAGATGAATGATCTTTTGAATGTATTACTGAATTTAGTTTACTTGTTGAGGATTTTTGCATCAATTTTCATCAGTGATATTGGCCTATAGGTTTTTGTTTGTTTTTTTGATGTGTCTTTGTCTGGTTTTGGTATCAGGGTAACACTGACCTAGTAGAATAAGTTTGGAAGTGTTCCTTCCTCTATTTTTTTAAATAGTTTGAGTAAGATTGGTATAAGTTATTTATTTATTTATTTATTTATTTTTATTTTTATTTTTATTTTTTTGAGACGGAGTCTCGCTCTGTGGCCCAGGCTGGAGTGCAGTGGCGCGATCTCGGCTCACTGCAAGCTCCGTCTCCCGGGTTCACACCATTCTCCTGCCTCAACCTCCCAAGTAGCTGGGACTACAAGTGCCTGCCACCATACCCGGCTAATTTTTTGTACATTTAGTAGAGATGGGATTTCACCACGTTAGCCAGGATGGTCTCCATCTCCTGACCTCATGATCCACCCGCCTCAGCCTCCCAAAGTACTGGGATTACAGGCGTGAGCCACCGCGCCCAGCAGTATAAGTTATTTAAATGTTTGGTAAAATTCAACAACAAAGCCACTGGGTGCTGAGCTTTTTATGCTGGGAGTATTTTTACTATGGATTCTGTCTCATTACTTGTTTTTGGTCTGTTCAAATTTGGGATTTCTTCATGGTTCAATCTTGGTAGGTCATGTGTGTCTAGGAATTTATCCATTTCTTCTAGGTTTTCCAGTTTATTGCCATATAGCTGCCATAGCAGCCATTCATTATTAGCCTTTTAATTTCTGTGGTATAATTTATAATGTTTCCTTTTTCATCTCCGATTTTTAAAATTTAGATCTTCTCTTTTTTTTTCTTAGTGTGGCTAAAGGTTTGTCAATTTTTTTTAGTTTTTTAAAAAAATTTTGCTTTGTTGGTCTTTTATATTGTTTTCTTTTTTTCAATTTCATTTGTTTCTGCTCCGATCTTTATTATTTTTTTCTTTTCTAATTTTAGGTTCAGTTTACTCTTGCTTTCCTAGTTCTTTAAGATACATCATAAAGTAGTTTATTTGAAACGTTTGCACCTTTTTGATATAGGTGCTTATAGCTATAAACTTCCTTCTTAGTACTGCTTGCATGTATCCTCTAGATTTTGGTATGTTATGTTTTCATTATTGTTTCAAGAAATTTTTCAATTTTCTTGTTAATTTCTTCAGAGAGCCACTAGTCATTTAGGAGAATATTGTTTAATTTACATGTGTTTGTATAGTTTCTAAGTTTCCTCTTGTTATTGACTTTCCAGTTTTACTAAATTGTGATCAGAGAAGATACTCATGTAATTTCACTTTTTTGAATTTTTAAAGATTTGTTGCCTAAAATATGGTCTATCCTTGAGAATGATCCATGTGCTGAGAAGAGGAATGTGTATTCCACAGTCATTGGATGAAATGTTCTGTAAACATCTATTAGGCCCATTTGGTCTATCATGCAGATTATGTTCCATATTTATTTTCTGATTTTCTGTCTGGATGATTTGTCCAATGCTGAAAGTAAGGTGTTGAGGTCTCCAGCTATTATTGTATTGGGGTCTATCTCTCTCTTTAGCTCTAATAATATTTGGTTTATACATCTAGGTGCTCCAGTGTTGAGTGCATATATATTTACAATTGTTATATCCTCTTGCTGAACTGATCACTTTATCACTATGTAATTAACTTCTTTTTCTCTTTTTATAGTTTTCATTTGATGTCTATTTTGTCTGATGTAAGTATAGCTACTCTTGTTCTTTTCTGGCATCTGTTTGCATGGGATATGTTTTTCCATTTCTTTATTTTCAGTTTGTGTGTTTCTTTATAGGTGAAGTATGTTTCTCATAGCAAACAGATCACTGGGTCTTGTTATTTCATCCATTCAGCCACTCTAAGTCTTTTGATTAGAGAGTTTAGTCCACTTAGATTGAATGTTATTATTGATAAGTAAGAAGTTACTCTTGCCATTTTGTTTTATTTTCTGATTGTTTTGTTGTCTTTTCTTTCTTCTTTACTCCCTTCCCATCTTCCTTTTATTTAAGATGATTTTTGCTAGTGGTATGTTTTAATTTCTTGCTTTTTATTTTTTGTATATCTATTGTATGTTCTTTTGTTTGGGGTCAGCATGAGGCTTGTGAAATAATATCATTTAATTCATTATTTTAAACAGATGACAACACTGATTGCATAAACAAACTTACAAACACAGAGAAAACCAACAATAACTCTACACTTTAACTTCATTCCCTTGCTTTTTGCCTTTTTATTGTTTCTATTTATGTCTCATTCTACTGTCTATGTCTTGAAATGTGGTTGCTGTTATTATTTTTGATAAGTTTGTCTTTTAGACTTTCTACTTAATACATAGTTTATACATCACAATTACAATGTTATAATATTCTATGTTTTTCTGTGTACTTACTATTACCAGTGAGTTTTGTACCTTCAGATGATTTCTTATTGCTCATCAGCATTCTTTTCTTTCAAGTGGAAGAACTTTTTTAGCATTTCTTGTACATCATCTCTGGTGTTGATGAAATCTCTCAGCTTTTGTTTGAGAAAGTCTTTATTTCTCCTTCATGTTTGAAGGATTTTTTTTTTATATTTCTTCCTCATGTTAACATCTTTATTTCTTCTTCATGTTTGAATGATACTTTCACTGGTTATATTACTCTAGGGCAAAAATTTGTTTCTTCGGTGCTTTAAATATGTCATGCCACTCTGTTCTGGCCTGTAAGGTTTCCACTGAAAAGTCTGCTGCCAGACATAGTGAAGCTTCATTGTATGTTATTTTTTTCTTTTCTCCTCCTGCTTTTAGGATCCTTTCTTTATTCTTGATGTTTGGGAGTTTGATTATTAAATTCCATTAGGTAGTCTTCTTTGTGTTAAGTCTGCTTGGTATTCTATAACTTTCTTGTACCTGAATATTGACATCTTTTTGTAGGTTTGGGAGGTTCTGTTATTATCCCTCTGAATAAACTTTCTACCTCATCTCCCTGTACTTTTTCTTTAAGACCAATTTCTCTTAGATTTGTCCTTTTGAGGCTATTTTCTAGATCTTGTAGGTGTGCATCCTTATTTTTTATTATTTTTTCCCTTTGTCTCTTCTTACTGTGTATTGTCAAATAGCCTGTCTCTAGCTCACTAATTCATTTTTGTTTTGATCAATTCTGCTGCTAAGAGACTCTGATGCATTCTTCAGTGTGTCAATCGCATTTTCAACCTCAAAATTTCTGCTCGATTCCTTTTAATTATTTCAATCTGTTTGTTAAAATTATCTGATAGGATTCTGAATTTCTCCTCTGTGTTAGCTTGAATTTTGTTGAGTTTCCTCAAAGCAGCTATTTTGAATTCTCTTTTTGAAAGGTCACATACATATCTCTTTCTGTCTAGGATTGGTCCCTGGTGCCTTATTTAGTTCATCTTGTGAGGTCATGTTTTCCTAAATGGTCTTATTGCTTATGGATGTTATTGCTGTCTACGCAGTAGGAGTTAAATATTTATTTTAGTCTTGACAGTCTGGGCTTGTTTGTATCCATTTTTCCTGGGAAGGTTTCCAGGTATTTGAAGTGACTTGGGTGTTGTCTAGATTTTTGGTCACTGCAGCCACATCTGTGAAGTATAACATTGATGGTCTATGATAATATCTAGAGGAATTCTGTGGATTACCAGGCACAGAACCGTGTTATCTTCCCTTACTTTCTCCCAAACAAATGTTGTCTCTCTGTCTCTGTGATGAGCTGCCTGGAGCTGATGGAAAGGTGGAACCAGCACACCTGTGGCCACCACCACTAGGACTGCATTGTGGGAGAACTGAAGCTAGCACAATAATGGGTCTTGCTCACAGCCTACAGGAACCACTCCCTGGCTACTGGTTATGTTTAGTCAAGGCCCGAGGGTTCTGCAATCTGCAGGTGGCAAAGCCAATCAGGCTTGTGGGCTTCCCTTCAAGGTGGCGAGTTACCCCCAGTTCCAGGTGGGTCTAAAGAAGCTATCTGGGAGCCAGTATCTGGGAGTTGGAAATCTTAGGGATCCACTTAGTGCTCTATTCTGTGGCTGAGCTGGCACCCAGGTCATGAGTCAATGTCCTGTCCACTCTTTCTCTCCTTTCTGCAAGCAGAGGAGTCTCTCACCATGGCCACCACTGCCCCAGGGCCATGGACAAGTACTGCTTGGCTACTGGTAATGTTCACTCAAGGCCCAAGGGCTCTTCTGTCAGCTTTGGTGAATGCTTCCAGGACTGGGACTCTCCCTTCAGGACACCAGGCTCCCCTTTGGCCCCAGGCAGGTCTAGAAATGCCATCTAAGAGCCAAGGCCTGCAATCAAATATCCCAAGAGCCTGCTTGGTGCTCTACTTCCTTGTAGCCAAACCATACTTAAGCTTCAAGACAGAATTCCCTTTACTCTCCCCTCTCCTTTACTCAAGCAGAAGGAGTCTCTTCCCAGAGCCACCACAGCTGGGAATGTGCTGGGTCACACCTGAAGTTAGCAGCTCTCTGAGTCTCACCCAAGGACCAAGGACCATAGCAAATACCTGGGTTCCACTGCTGATTATTCAGTGCCCAAGGGCTCTTTAGTCAGCAGGTTGTAAATCCTGCCAGAACTGGGTCCTTCCCTTCAAGGCAGTGGTTTACCTTTTGGCCCAAGGTGCCTAGAAATGTCATCTGGGAGCTAGGGTCTGGAATAGGGGCCTCAGGACTCTGCCCAGTGTCCTATTCTACTGTAGCTGAGATGGTATCCAAGTTGCAAGATGAAGTCCGCCTTATTCTCTTTCTTCTCAAGTGGAGGGAAGGAGTGTCTTCTGGAGCTGCAAGTTATACTACCTGTGGCTGGGGTGGAGTGATGTAAGCATTCTCTCAGCCACTCTGGCTGGTGTTCCATTAGGTCATGTGCTTCTCAAGTCCACTGGCTCTGTGCCCAGCATAGCACCAGGACTTGCCCAGTATTTGCAGTTCTTGTGGCCTAGACTACCATTCAATTTTATTTAGGACCATAGAACACTTTGTCGTGAGGTGGTGGGGCTTGCCTGAATTCGTCTTCTGACATCTGGGATGGACAATTCCCCACTGGCTAGGGCAGGTCTAAATGCTCCCTCCATAGGCACTGGCTGCGTTGTGCCTGGTATTGCTTTCTGGGGTAAGAGGACAGCAGTGAGTTCCAATGCAAAGTCCCACGGTCTCTGCACTCTTCCTCCCCCAGGAAAACAGATTTTCTTTCTGTGCCATGTGGCCACCACTAGAGGCTGTGGGAGTGGTAGTGTTGGCAATTCAAGACTGTCTTACCCCTCTTCCATGCTTCTTTCAGTAACAAGAAGTTTAAGTCAGGTACTGTGATCACTCACCTGATTTTTGGTTGTTCTGAGGGTGCTTTCTTGTGTGGATAGTTGTTTAATTTGGTGTTCCTGCAGGGTAGACAATCAGTGAAGGCTTCTATTAGGCCATCTTGCTCCATCTCCTTTCCGGAATTCATTGTTTCTATAAAGTCACAAGTCATATTAGATAAGGATTCACCCTAATGGCCTCATTTTAACATAATTACCTGTTTAAAGGCTCTATCTCCAGTTAGAGACACATTCTGAGGTACTGGGAGTGAGGGCTTCAATATATGAACTGTGGAGTGACACAATTCAGCCCATAACTCTTGGTTATTGTCATTCAGAAACAAAAAGAGACTCATTTTGGAAGACACCATTGTTGAGGAATATAGCATTACAACGTAAAAGCAGTAACCGTGTGCAGTTAATCACTTTTGTTGTTGAAAAAGGAGAAAATCTTATGGCCTCATTCAGCATAGTTTTTATTTTTATTCCTGTTTTGGATAATATCAGTGTTAATACTTATCTTTGAACACAGTAGACAGTGATGTTGATAGTACTTGCATTTCTAAACAGTTAAATTTTTTTCAATATCACTCTACAATTTCTGAACTTTATTTTCCAAAGGTAAAATAAAAACCTCAAACTTTGTAAAAGCTAGGTTTTAAATTTATGTAATTGTAAGATGATAATAATATTTGTTTTCTTAATGTCCTTAAGATTTTTCTTCCTAACATAAATTCATCTACTTTACATAGTAGGTGAATTTATTTTTTTCTTTTTTTCCAATTTTGCTTTCTGCTAAGGCTTGATAGTAACAATTAACCATGGGTGGAATATGTTCACTAGCATGTCCTTCTGTTTAATTTTAGTCAACCTCTTCATTCTTGCTCAATAAGGCTTCTAGTCATTGTGAATTTACACTTTTATATTCGCTATAAAACACATTTCCAGACTTGGTAAATACTTAACTTCTATTCTTCTGCTTTTGGTTACCATGGATGACCCTTTATTTCCTTTTTTTTTTTTTTTTTTTTTTTTTAGAAAATAAGGCTCTTGTATGAAAGTTTCCTCTGTCCTACATTGTCTCAAAAGTTTTCTACTTTCATCCACTTCTTCCTTTTCTTTCTTTTTTTTTCTTTGAGACAGTCTCGCTCTGTCGCCCAGGCTGGAGTGCAGTGGCGCAGTCTCAGCTCACTGCAACCTCCGCCTCCTGGGTTCACGCCATTCTCCTGCCTCAGCCTCCCGAGTAGCTGGGACTACAGGCCCCCGCCACCACGCCTGGCTAATTTTTTTGTATTTTTAGTAGGGATGGGGTTTCACTGTGTTAGCCAGGATGGTCTCGATTTCCTGACCTCGTGATCCACCCGCCCCGACCTCCCAAAGTGCTGGGATTACAGGCGTGAGCCACTGCGCCCGGCCTTTTCCTTTTCTTAAAAATATTTCTTCAAGGAAGATATTCTATTTTTTCCTTTCCTGGTTTTTCTCCCAATTATATACATAATTTGGTTTGTTTTTATTTTTTGCTTATTTGGGGAACTTGTTCTTTCATAAATTCACTTTCTTGCTTCTGCTCTTCAATCTTACTCTCCTAGAGGTTTCCTTCCATTTGGAAGCAATCAGACTTAATTCTTCTATATGTTGTATATCTATCCATCTATCTAACATCAATCTATAATGTGTATATTTATGATCGCAACAATTTTTGGGTACATTCTAATAAGTATAAACATATTTCCTTTAATTCACACATAAATTTCATGAAGAGTTGGTCTAGTGCTTTCTATTCTTTCCTACTTTATTTTTACCAATGTATAGGATTTCTGGTTCCAAAATAGCAGTGTAGAAGAAAGCTGACTTAACCTACCCACCATAGAAAACCAAAAACAAATATGCAGCACTGAGATTATCACTGCCAATGTCTTGGAACTAAAATATGAGGAAGACACAGTTCCCAGAGCCAAAGAGAAGTGAAAAAACTCTGAGCAGATGGAAAGAGAATTGGAATTCTATATCCTTGATGCCTCTCCCTTCAATCTGACTGTAACCAAGTGCATAGAAATTTCCCCTTGTTCACAATTTATACACAGAAAAAGGTGAAATCAAGGCTAACAGCCAGCTTCCCCATCACCTTGGGATCCCTGAAAGGAAGTCTATTCCAGTATCAATCTACAGGAAGCATTGCAAGTGCCTAAAGGGAGAAATATCTCTGAAGACAGCCAGAGACAAGGTGGGGTGATAAGACTATCATCCTCAACCCTGGAAACTCTGATAGGTAACTTGGCCAAAGTTGACACCAAATCAGAATGGCTGTTCAGCGGCACTATACTATAGGAGGTATGTTCTGCAGGTTCTTAGGGCACAAACTCCTAACCAGCATTCCCACACTATTGGGACATTCCCTTTGGAACCCCTCCCACTTAAGATGAGCAGCCCTCCGACTGTTTACTAGAGTTGAGGCCAACCTGGGCTTAAGGTGCCACCTAGTGCTAAAAAGGAGGCAGCAACCCAGCAGGAAAAAAAAAGATGAGAAAGCAAACCAGCAGCTAATTATAAAAACATCTAAGGAAACATGTCCAATAAAAACCAAAATAAGCCGACAGAGAAGACTGGATTCAACAACTAATCCTTTAGTGCAAAAACGGTGATGTACACACACACACACACACACATCAGCAAAGAGGGAATCATGATCTTCCCAATGGACAAAGCAAGAAACCAGTGACTGACCCTAGTGGCTGTGATGCGTGAACTCTCTGAACAAGCATTCAAAAAAGCAGATTTAAGGAAACACAGTGATCTCCAAGATAGCACAGAAAAGCAACTTAGAAATTTATCAGAGAAATTTAATATAGATTGTAATTTTTAAAAATCAAACATACATCTTAGAAGTGAGAAATACATTTGCTAAACTGAAAATCTCACTAGAGGCCCTCAACAGCACAATGGAACAAGCAGAGGAAAGAATCAGTGAGCTGAAAAACAGGCTAATTGAAAATACATGAAGAAGAAAAAAGAAATATGAATGAAAAGAAATGAAGATCACCTAAAGACATAGAACATTACCTTAAGATACCAACTCTAAGAATTATTGGTGTTCAAAAGGAAATTAAGCCAGAATAATGGATAGAAAGCATATTCAAAGAAATAATAGAAAAGTTTCCAATACTTGAGAAAGACCTAAATATCCAAGTACAGGAAGCTCAGAGAACACCAAACAGACATGGACAAAAAAGACTACCCCAAGGTATATAATAATTGAACTCTCAAATGTCAAGGCAAAGAAATTATCCTAAAAGCAGCAAGAAAAAAATAAGCAAATAACATATGAAGGAGTTCCAATTTATCTGGCAACAGACTTCTCAACAGAAACCATATGAGCCAGTAGGAAGTGGGATGACATTATCATAGTGCTTAAAGAAAAAAACCTGCCATGCAAGAATATTATATGCAGCAAATTTTTATATCAAATATGGAGAAATAAAGTTTTACTCAGATAAACAAAAGCCGAGAGACTTTACCACTACCAACATGTCTTATGAGAAATGCTAGAGGGAGTTCTTCAATCTGAAGAAAAAACAAAACAAAACAGTAATGTGCAAAAAAAAAAAAAAATTTGAAGGTATAAAACCCCTGGTAAACTTAAGTACATTGACAAACCCAGAATACTCTACTAATTATAATTATGGTGTACAACCCACTCATAACTAGTATGAAGCCCAAAAGACATATCTATGAAAAAACAATTATAGCTATAACAACCTATTAAGAGATATCTGATATAGAAACATGTAAATTGAGACAACATGAAGTCAAAATGTTGAGGGACAGAGATGAAGTTAATGCATACAGTTTTTTTTCACTTGTTCTTTGTTTCTATTATTTGTGGTCTAAGATAATTTGTCATAGATTTAAACTAATTTGTTAATCTTTAAGATATTCTTTGTAGGCCTTATGGAAACCACACACACACACACATACAAAACTATAAAAGACACACTAGAAATAAAAAGGCAACAAATAAAATCTTACTACCAGAGAATATTACTTATCACATAAGAAGGTAGTAGGAAAGGAAAAAAGAAACAGAAGAGTAACAAAACAACAGGAAAATAAGCAACAAAATGTCAATAGTAAGTTCTTACTTATCAATAATAATACTGAATTCAAATGGACTAAATTCTCCAGTTAAATGGCATTGAGTGGCAGAATGGGTAAAAAACAAAAACAAAAGCAAAAAAAAAAAAAAAACAAGACCCACCTATATGCTGCCTATAAGAAGCCCACTTTACCTATAAAGACACGCACAGACTGAGAGTGAAGAGGTGGAGAAAGATTGGTTTCCATGCAACCGGAAACCAAAAAAGAGCAGGAATAACTATTTGTAGATCAAATAAAATAAACTACAAGTCAAAGACTGTAAAAAGATACAAAGATATAAAGAATCCTACTCAATAATGATAAAGGGGTCAATTCAGTGAGAGAATATAACAATTGTAAATATATATGCACCTAACACCAGAGCACCCAAGTATATAAAGCAAGCATTAATAGATCTAAAGGGAGAGATAGAGTGCTATACAATAACAGTAAGAGACTTCAACACCCCATTCTCAGTTACAGACATATCACTCAGACAGAAAATCAACAAAGAAATATGAGTTAAAAACTTCACATATGACCAAAGAAGTCTAACCGACATTTACAGAATATTTCACCCAACAGCTACAGAATACACATTCTTTTCATCAGCACATGAAACATTCTCAAGAATAAATAATCTCTTAGACCACAAAATGAGTCTCAACAAGTAGAAATCATATTAGTGTCTTTTCTGACCACAGTGATAAAACCAGAGATCAGTGGAGAAGCAGAACCTTGGAAATTACACAAACGTGGAAATTTAAAAACACGCTCCTAGATGACTATTGGTCAAAAAAAAATACTAAGAAGGAAGTTCTAAAAAATTTTGAAACAAATGAAAATGGAAATATAACGTACCAAAATCTATGGGATACAGCAAAAGCAGTTCAGAGAGGAGAGTTTATAGCAATAAATGCCTATATAGAAAAAAGTAAAAATACTTAGAATGAACAACCAAATGATGCACGCTAAGGAAGTAGACAAGCAAGAACAAACCAAACACCTAATTAGTAGGAGAAATGAAATAATAAGGATTAGAGAAGAAATAAATGAGATTGAGACTAAAATAATACACAAGATCAAAATAAAAAGAAGTTGGATTTTTTGAAAAGATTAACAAAATTAACAAACCCTGAGGTAGACTAATAAAAAATGAGAAGACTGAAATAAATCAGAAATAAAAAACGACACATACCAACTGAGACAACAGAAATACAAAGAATCATTAAAAATTATTACAAATAATTATATGCCAAAAAATGGGAAAACCTAGAGAAAATGGATAAATTCCTGGACACATACAAGCACCCAAGATTGAACCACAAAGAAGCATGAAATTGCAACAATCCAATAATGAGTAACAATATCAAAGCTGTAATAAAAATTATTCTATCAAAGAGAATCCCTGGACCTGATAGATTCACTGCCAAATTCTACCAAATATTTAAAAAATAATTAATGCCATTTATCCTCAAAGTCTTCAAAAATATTGAAGAGAATGGAATACTTCCAAATTCATTCTACAAGGACAGGATTACTGTGATAACAAAATCAGACAAGGACACAACAATAGAGAAAACTACAGGCCAATATCACTTAGAAACAAGATGCAAAAATCCTCAACAAAATACTGGCAAATTAAATTCAACATCACATTAAAAAGATCATTCACCATTATCATGTGTGATTCATCCCAGGGATGCGAGGATAATTCAACAAACAAAAATCAATAAGTATGAAACACCACATTAACAGAACAAAACCCCAAAACCACATGATATTTCAATAGATGTTTAAAAAGTGTTCAGTAAAACTCAAATTCATAATAAATACCCTCAACAAACTGGGTGTAGAACGAATATATCTCAAAATAATAAAGGCCATGCATGACAAACCCACTACTAACATCATACTGAGTAAGGAAAAATTGAAAGCCTTTTCTGTAAAAGCAGGAACAAGACCAGGTTGTGCCCTTTCACCACTTTTCAATGTATTATCCAATATAAGACTGGAAGTCCTGGCCAGAGCAATCAGACAACTAAAAGACGTACAGGGCATCCAGATTGGAAAGGAAGAAATCAAATTAGCCTTGTTCACAGGCAACATGATCTTATACTTAGAAAAACTTAAATACTCTGTCAAAAAAAAGTTAGAACTAATAAGTTAATTTATAAAGTTGCAGCACTCAAAATCAACATATAAAAATCAGTAGCATTTATATACAGCAATAGCAAACAATCTGATAAGGAAATCAAGAAAGCAATCTCACTTAATATAGCTAAAAAGTATGTAAAATACCTAAGAATCAATTTAACTAAAGAAGTAAAAAATATATACAAGAAAAATAATAAAACACTAATACAAAAATTGAAGAAGACACATGAAAAATGGAAAGATATTCCATGCTCATGAATTGGAAGAACTAATATTGTTAAAATTATAATACTACCTGGTGCAATCTCTGTCAAAATACCAACAGCATTCTTCTTAGAACTAGAAAAAAATAATATTTATATGGAACCACAAAGACCCATGATAGCCAAAGTAATTCTGAGCAAAGAGAACAAAGCTGGAAGCATCACAATACTTGACTTCAAAACATACTACAAAGCTGTAGTGATGATATCAGCCTGATATTTGCATTAAAAACAAACACATAGACTAATGGAAAATAATAGAGATCCTAGATGTAAATCCAGGCATTTATAGTCAAGTCATCCACAACAAAGTCACCAAGAATATAAAATGGGGAAAGGACAGTCTCATCAATAAATGGTTATGAAGAAAACTGTATATCCATATGCAGAAGAATGAAACTAGACCCCTACCTCTCACCATATATGAAAATCAACTCAAAATAAATTAAAGACTTAAATCTAAAACCTGAAGCTACGAAACTACTAGAAGAAAACATAGGAGAAATGCTCCAGGACATAGGTATGGGCAAATTTTTTGTGTGTATAAGACCTCAAAAGCACAGGCAACCAAGAAAATAGACAAATGGGATTATATCAAGCTAAAAAGCTTCTGCCTAGCAAAAGAAACAAGCAACAGAGTGAAGAGACAACAAACAGGATGGGAGAAAATATCTGCAAACTATCCATGTGACAAGAAATTAACCAGAATATATGAGGACTCAAACTCAATAGCAAAACAAACAAACAAAAACCAAACAATCCAGTTAAAAATGGGCAAAGGGGCTGGGCACAGTGGCTCATGTCTGTAATCCCAGCACTTTGGGAGGCCAAGGTGGGTGGATCATTTGAGCCCAGGAGTTCCAGACTAGCCAAACACGGCAAAACCACCCTCTCTACTAAAAATAACAAAAATTAGCTGGTCGTGGTATTACACCTGTAGTCCCAGCTATTTGAGAGGCTGAGGCATGAGGATCACTTGAGTCTGGAGCAGATATTGTAGTGAGTTGAAATCGTGCCATTGAACTCAGCCTTGGTGACAGAGTGAGTTGGCATCTCAAAAAATTTCAAAAAAAAATAAAGCCAGGAAACAACAGATACTGGAGAGGATGTGGAGAAATAGGAACACTTTTACACTGTTATTGGGAGTGTAAATTAGTTTAACCATTGTGGAAGACAGTGGAATTAGATTCCTCAAGGATCTAGAACTAGAAATACCATTTGACCCAGCAATCTCATTACTGGGTATATATCCAAAGGATTATAAATCATTCTACTATAAAGACACATGCACAGGCATGTTTATTGCAGCACTATTCACAACAGCAAAGACTTTGAACCAACCCAAATGCCCATCAATGATAGACTGGATAAAGAAAATGTGCTATATATACACCATGGAATACTATGCAGCCATAAAAAAGGATGAGTTCATGTCCTTTGCAGGGACATGGATGAAGCTGGAAACCATTCTCAGCAAACTAACACAGGAGTAGAAAACCAAACACCGCATGTTCTCACTCATAAGTGGGAGTTGAACAATGAGAACACATGGAAACAGGGAGGGGAAAGTCACACAGAGGGCCTGTCGAGGGGTGGGGGCAAGGGGAGGGATAGCATTAAGTGAAATACCTAATGTAGATGATGGGTTGATGGGTGCAGCAAACCACCATGGCACATGTATACCTATGTAACAAACCTGCACGTTCTGCAGATGTATCCCAGAACTTGAAGTATAATAAATAAATAAAAATAGAAATAGAAATGGCCAAAGGATTTGAAAGGACATTTCTCCAAAAAAGACATACAAATGGCCAACTGGTATATGAAAAAATCCTCAATATCACTAATCATTAGAGAAATGCAAATCAAAACCACAATGAGATATCATCTTACCTCAGTTAAAATGGCTTTTATCAAAAAGAGAAAATAATAGATGGTGATGAGGATGTTGAGAAAGAAAATCTCTTGGACACTGTTGATGGGAATGTAAATTAGTGCCACTAGTATAAAAAACTTTACACAAATTCCTCAAAAAACTAAAAATACGTTTATCATACGATCCAGCAATCCCACTGCTGAGTGTACATCCAAAAGAAAGAAAATCTGGCCAGACGCAGAGGTTCACGCCTGTAATCCCAGCACTTTGAGAGGCTGAGGGGGCAGATCACTTGAGGCCAGGAGTTCGAGACCACCCTGGGCAACATGGCAAAAACCCTTTCTCTACTAAAAATACAAAAATTAGCTGGGCATGGTGGTGCGTGCCTGTAATCCCCACCACTCTGGAGGCTGAGGCACAAGAATCACTTGAACCCAGGAAGTGGAGGTTGCAGCAACCCCAGATGACAACACTGCACTCCAGTTTGGGCGACAGAGTGAGACTCTGTCATGGAAAAAAAAAATAAAAATAAAAAAGGAAGATCAATGTATCAAAGAAATGTCTGCACTCCCATGTTTATTGCAGCACTACTCACAATCACCAAGACATGGAATTAACTTTACTACCCAACAGAGAATGCATGAATAAAGTGTGATATACATTCACAGAGAAATATTATTCAGCCATAAAATGAATAAATTCCTGACATTTACGGCAACATGCATGGAACTAAATGTCATTATGTTAAATGAAATAAGCCACACATAGAAAGACAAATATCACATATTCTGACTCACATATGGGAGCTAAAAAAGTGAATCTCACAAAGACAGAGAGTAGACTGGTGATTACCTGACTCTAGGGTGAGTAAAGGAGTGGGGGTGGTGAATAGAGGTTGATTAACGGGTACAAATATACAGTTAAATGAAAGAAATGAGAGCTACTGTTCTGTAGATTAATCAATAGGGTGACTATAGTTAACAATAATCAAAATAGCACATTTCAAAATAGCTAGCAGTGAATAATTTGAATCTTTCTAACATAAAGAAAAGATAAATATTTAACATAATGGATATCCCAATTATGTTGATTTGATCTTTACACATATATGAATGTATAAATTATTACATGTGCCTTCAAGATATGTATGTCTATTATATTTCAATTAAAACAATTCACGAAGGTCTAAGAATAACGGCAATTAAATTCTAAACCCAAAAGATATTACCATTACCTAAGAATAAAATTCATGAAAAATCTTCTTGGGATGAGCTACTATATAAATAACTGACATACATAAATATTTATGTATGGAAATCATACATAAATATGTGACTGAAGAGTTCTTGGATATCCATTTTTAGTTAATGCGACTTAGGAAAATTTGGAATCTGATTTTAACATAGAAAATTGGACCTAAGTTAGTTGACCACTGTCAGAAGCACAAACCTATAGGTAGAAGGGTAGTCATTAGCTTAATGCCTAAAAAAGTGGAGCCTGAAGCACCAGGATTTGCTAGGATGTCTTTAACACGATCTAGGAAGGAGAGTAGCTAATTAGTAGATGACTGTTTTTTCAGGATTCAGTCTATTCCAAAGTTTTACATTTTTCTATAGCTTCTTATTCACTCCTGGGTAAAGTATAAATTTGTTAATATGTAAAAACCTTGGCATAATTTTGTCCCTGAGTACATGGCTATAGTTATTTTGATCCTACTGTGTATTTTAGATACATCCCAGACATACTGGGCTGATACATGCAATTTTCTATGCATTCCCTACTATTTCTGTAGATAATGTTTCTCCTGAATATGTTTCTCATGCTTCTTTCTTAGTTAACACCTACTAATCCTTAACACTGCACAAATAATCCCTGCTGAGAAATGTCCTTGATCCATTAGTCTGCCTAAGTACCCTCATTTTGAGATTTTATGAACTTTGTGCTTATCTCTGACGTAATATGTGTTATAGTGAATTATATTCTCTGTGTCTGCTTTCCCACTAGAGCTGTGAGCTTCTTGGAGACATAGACAATGTTTTAATCTTCTTTGTGTTTCCAATGCCAAGTATATGGCTTGGTATATAGAAATTCAAATTGATCGTGAAAAAATGAGTGAAGAATGTCACTATAGTAAAGATGAGTACATTAGGTTATTATAACTTATTAATAACCATTAAATTAATCTAATTAACGTTCTTGTGCTTTTGCTCTTTTCACCAAGCAAATTTCTGATTATAATTCCCTTTCCTGTGATAATTTGCCTTCTGGTAGAAAATAGTCTGCAGAATATTTAAGGCTCTTCTACCTTTGGCATTCATATTTCTTATTATAATGTGAATATTGAATTGCGATGCACTGGGTGGTTACATTTGTCCCTCTAGCTCTAGTCTCCATTTTTTTTTTTTTTTTTTTTTGCATTCTATTCTCTGCTCCAAGTGACTTACTTCAATGGGTTTTCTTATCTACTAGCTTCTTGTGTTGAGCCAATGGGAAGTTTCTGAAGTGGATAAGAGGGAGAGAGGATTGAAGATTCAGGATATTTTTTCTCCAGCTCCCTCTCTAGTGCCTCTGGCTCACTATGACCTTTAACTAAAAATTACCCATCTTTTCAAGGTGGTCTTGTTTATAACCCTCTCCACTTCCGGAGTCTGATAACAATTCTACTTCCTTCCCCCAAGTTTTATCCAGAGGTGGTAACCGGCCTGTTGTAATTAGGCCTGGAGTAAGGTGGTATCCCATTGTGCTTTCCCTTTATTCAATCCTCAAAATAATCTGAGTCTTGTTTGTGTGTTTCTTCCTGCGACTGTACTGAGGTTTAAGTTTGCTATGCTTGGTCTTGACTAATATAGTAATTGGTAAATGGCCCTAGGAAACTGATCCTCAAAATGGAATTCTAGAGAGAAATCACTCATACATGCAAAGAACACAGGGATAATAACGCATTGCTAAAGGGGATGGTGCATGGGTAATCCATGGCATAGTGTGGCATTATAATTAGCCAAATCAAATTACTAGATGGCACACGGAGGGAGAGCAAGTGGCTGTGGCACTTGGTAGCTATGAAAACAATAGTAATTATACAATGTTTTGGTTGGGGGGAGGGTCCCTGGATTTGGTTTATAGTCCTAGAGATGTGCACATAGGAAAAGCAAAAGTATGAGCTATGAACAACTACAAATTTCTGTGGAGAAGGCCCATTGGCAGTTTTGAAGGAATCCTTCATCTCACAGATTCACAGAGGATATAATACTAAAGACAAACAAGGGTTTACTGTAAACATCAATGAAATACTTAACCTTGCTAAGTATTTCACACTAAGATAAGGACATTGCTGGGGAAGGAATGGGACTTTTATCTATGGAATGAGAATATTTATATAGTAGGGACAAAAAGGTACTTATCTTGTTTTGCCTCAAGGCTGTGTTGTATTTGCTCACCTATCTGATATAGTCTTGGTCAGTGCTTCTCAAATTTTGACGTGCATATGAATTATCTGTGACTCCTATTAAACTGAAGATTCAGATTCAGTGGTGCTGGGGAGTGAGCAGAGCTGTGGCCTGACTATCATCTTAATCCTTTATACCAGGGTTGTCTAATCTTTTGGCTTCCCTGGGACACACTGGAAGAAGAATTGTCTTGGGTCATACATAAAATACACTAACACTAACAAAAGCTGCTGAGCTAAAAAAAAAAAAGAAAATCACAAAAAAAATCATGATGTTTTAAGAAAGTTTATGAATTTGTGTTGATCCGTATTCAAAGCTGTTCTGGGCCACATGTGGCCTGTGGGTCATGGGTTGGACAAGCTTGCTTTGTACTGAAGACATTATACTCACTGAAAATGGCAAACAGAAAGTAAAAACATAAATATCCTAGTAATATAGGTGCATTGCAGAAAATGGGAGATAAATGACTAAAAAGTTCTGTGGTATGCCACATCAGTGAAATTTTTGGTAAGATAGTCCTTCTGAAATATGAGTCAAGTTATGTTACCCAACACAGTGAAAGAAACACATAACTTAGTAGGCCTCTTTGGATTTTGGAACCAATATATACTGTATTTGGTCAACCTTCTCCAACTCATTTACTTATTTGGACAGGTGCCAGCATTGATTTGAGTCTTGAATAAGAAAAAGCTCTGCAACCAGACTGGTTTTGGTTCATGCCATATTGCCTTTTGGGTCTAATAACCTAGCACATCCACTCATTTTTGAAGCATTTGTGACAGACATGATTTTTGTATGAAACCCTTCCAAACCCAGATAAGAGCAATTACAGCTCAGATATCTACACTTAAGGAGTAATGTAATTCCCTTCTATTCTATCAACTATTTCCATTTGAAAAGTTTCTTCTGTCTTGCAAATGGGCTCTGATAGAAAGTGAATGCATGGCCTTGTAAAACCCCATGGCTATGTGAATCATACTGTTTAAGATGAATTGTATGTTACCTGCTTAACCCAACCATAAAATTGGATATGCATGACAGCATTACTTTATAAAATGGAAGTGGTATATATTAGACTGAGCTGAAGCTGCTCTGGGAGACATAAGTAAAAAGCACAAATGGATGGCTCAGTTTAACATGGTATCTGCTTCATTGCTTTGCCATTATGGAGAAGGAAAAAGAACGAACCTGGTTTGCTACTGGGTGTGATTGTTATACCAGCACTAGCTAGAATTGGACGGCAGCTCCCAAGAGGGTCTCTGAAAACAGTGGCTATCTATAGTGTGTGGCATGGTTCACTGCCAAGATTCAGTCCTCCAGGTCTGAAATATTCATTTCTTGGACTGCTGAGAGTCTTGGCAGCCAATGGTTCTCAGCTGCCTTCCTGTCCAGGACTTTCTTTAGGTTGAATAGTCTACCCACCTAAGGTCATGCCCTCTTCCTGGGGGCAGCCAAGTCCAATAATTGGTCAACAGAGAGGTATATGGGCCTGTCCCTGTGCCACAGTGTAGAGTGTCTCTGAACCATTCCAGCTCCAAATTCATCCATAGAATCAACTGATTTCTTGGTCGTGGCTGCATCACTACTCAAATTATCTTACTATCCAGTTGTGTGTCCATACTTCATAGCTGTTTATCTTGAGCATGTCCAAATAAACTTTTTGCACACAAATACCACATTTCTAAGGGTACAGGATCTGTGACAGTAGGTGTCAGGTGTTGTGAGAGCTGGGGTGCTGGTGGAGTGTAAGTTGAATACATTGTAAACGAAACAACTATGCTTACTAAGTTAGGTTTTTAACCAGCTGTGGAAGCAAACTTTTGTAGCTTTTTTTTTTTTTGAGATGGAGTTTTGTTCTTGTTGCCCAGGCTGGAGGGCAATGGCACAATCTTCGCTCACTGTAACCTCCACCTCCTGGGTTGAAGCGATTCTCCTGCCTCAGCCTCCCAAATAGCTGGGATTACAGGTGACTGCCACCAGGCCTGGCTAATTTTTGTATTTTTAGTAGAGACGGGGTTTTACCATGTTGGCCAGGCTGGTCTCGAACTCCTGACCTTGTGATCCACCCTCCTTGGCCCCCAAAAGTGCTGGGATTACAGGCCTGAGCTTGTAGCTATTTACTGGAGAAGTAAATGGTATTACTCAATTTTTTTTAAAAAAAAAAAAAACACTGATTACATTTCTATGCCCCTCCTTCAATTTTTTATGAAGAACATTAGTGACAGAAAATATTTCAGTATCCAGTGGAAAGTACAAGCAAATTAACATCACTACAATGATACAGTACCTTACGGTATTTGTATGCCCCATGTGTGGAGAATAAAACCTTTCTAAGTGAATGAAGGATGAGTGGATTCTAAAAGGAGAAAAATATGCTGTTCCAGGTAATTTCTGCTTTCCCATCAGATCTGTTCATCATTCCTCTCCACCATGATCTGTGTCTTGAGAGGCTGATCTATGTAGGTTTCATCAATGAGTTGTATGGATTTCATCAATTTGTTCTCTTGTTCTCTGGCTTATGGTTGGTTTCATCCAATGAGATCCACACAGAAAATATAAGGAAGAAGTGTAGGAGTTTGATTGATTGTTTTTTTCCCCTGGCTTCATCCCTGTGGGGTTCCTTTGGGCTGACTGTCTCTAAAAAAACTTCTTTCACTCAAGGCAGCTCTTAGGGCCCAGAGGTGTTAAGATCTCTGCCAATACTTAGTGTGTTCTTGTCATGTTTTTATACCCGTACTTTTATAAGTGTTGTTGGGTTTTTTTTTTTTGTTAAACTCTTGTTGAATTACCCTAATTTGAATGTATTTTCTATTGGGATCCTAACATACTTAAAGAACAAAAAACAAAAAAAAAAAAAAGAAGGAAAGAAAAAAAAAGCATTGCATTGCTTTTACGTAAGTCATCTGATCATCTGGCCTTAATAGGCAAGATTCATCTATTCATCTTCTGATCTTAACTCTACAACACAAATGTAAAATTTTGCAATCTGACTTGGTCTTCAATTTGGAATATAAGTATCTTTTTTTAATAGAAAACAATATCAGTCCTGCCACTAATATTTTTAGAGCCCTGGATATTATAATAAATGGAGGCCCACATGCTATATGTCTAATTATTAAAAAGAATGTGCATTGAGGTAACAAATATATTTTATTCTTTTGACAAAATACTTTCATAGCAGCATGTACACCTGTGATGTTTCATATCTGCAACTTGGCAAAATACCAAAGATGTGCAAACTTCTTTATTGTACATGTCTGGTTTTCTGGTGATGGGCAGTGATGTTTGGGTAAGAATGAAATGATGATATTCATAAATCATAAACTACATACTTATTTCATCACATTTATTTTTCTTATCTTTTTAAAGAAAATTAACTAGTTATACTTTTATAATTAAAATTTTCAAATAATTTGTGCACTATTAACAATAATGCCAAAATATTCAATTTTTTCTCATTGTTCTTATTTGAATTTGACTTATACTTTATTCTGCAAGTCAGTGGAAAATAGGATTGTTAAGTTTTTCAAGCTCAGATTTTAAAATAAGCCATAAATTTTGCATACTATGATCAAATATTGTAATGAGGTCACAACTGGTAATGTCATTTCAGAAAATACTAAACATATTTTAATCGCATAAATTTATGTCATGTATGTAATGCTCCTCATTATCTAAAAGTAATATCTAGATTCATAAAATGTTTATTAAATTCTTTCTTTAAAAATTTTAATTCTGGGATATTATAAAGAACACAGAAAATAGTAAAATCGAGACTATACCTAGATCTGTAATGGCCAGAACGTAATTTCTATTAATCTTGGTTTTGAGATTATTTATGTGTGTATTGTCTCCTTCACAGTCATGCAAAAATTCTCATTTTCCTATTCTGTCTCATATTATATTGGAATGCCATTTTGTTACATATTTCAAAGGCATTTTCTTTTGATATTAAAGAACATTCTCTCTAAAATTTTAAAACTGTAAACTTCAATCTTTTGTAAAAAGTAAAATTCACAAACTTGCATTTATTTGTTTTTGTAACTGGTTAAAATACTAGCTTTCAACAGTTCAAATCAAATAATTTTGAATGATACAAATTGAAAGTTATTATATTTCCTACCCAAAACCAAAATTTACTTCAGTCTGAGTCTCTGGTTATTTGTTCATTCATTCATTCATTCATTCAGAGATGGAGTCTTGCCCTGTTGCCCAGGCTGGCCTTCCACCTCAGCTTCCCAAGTAGCTGGGACTACAGACATGCACCACCATACCTGGCTAGAGCTTCTACTCTTGCTTTTTTTTTTTTTTTTTTTTGAGACAGTGTCACTCTGTTAGCCAGTCTGGAGTGCAATATCACAATCTTGGCTCACTGCAACCTGCCCCCACCCGAGTTCAAGCGATCCTCCTGCCTCAGCTTCCTGAGTAGCTGGGATTACAGGCGTGCACCACCGCACCCAGCTGATTTTTGTATTTTTAGTAGAGACGGAATGTCATCATGTTACCCAGGCTGGTCTTGAACTCCTGATCTCAAGTGATCCGCCTGACTCGGCCTTCCAAAGTGTTTTGCTTATCTTTTAAAGTGCATTTTTAAAATTTTGTATATCTTAACATCACTTAGCATTTTCATCATGCCTCAAAAAATTTTTAAACTTAGTATCTTTTTTCAAGATATTACATCTTTAGACAGATCCAAAAAACCATCATATATAGTATTTGAATTCTTACAAATTATTTTATCACTTCTTTGGGTCCAGTTGAGGCCTCTTGATAACAAATTCAAATTATGGGCTGCACATGACATGAAGAATGTCTCAGAAAGATCAGCCAAAATTCTACTTTGTAATCTTCCTTCTTAATCAATCATTCTAATAACATTATCATAGTGTTGTCCTTCATAATCTTTCTGGACAGAAAGATTTTAAGATTTTAAGCCTTGGAAAAGGCTTAAAAACAATATTTGTTTTTTTCAGTCCTTCACTGACGTCAAAACCATGCATTTTTTAAAAACACCAGGTATAAAAACAGTGAAATATTAATTTTAACATCCTTGTTTTCTTCCTCTGATAATTGAATTATCCACAGTTAATGTCATTTTCTGCTCGGATTTCTTCTCCTGTACAATCTAGTTGAACTAATAAATAGTATTTACTTATAATTTTTGTATAACATTTCTTCTCTCACTTTACTATCTATTAATAATTTGATTTTGATTTATCCATTCTGAGTAGTGATAATATTTTGTTATTTTTAATATATCTTATATTTTGGCTATTTTGGTCTCAATTTCAAAATGATTTCTACTAAACCAGAAAATTTGTGTTATTTTCTGTAATTACTGTGTTGTTTGTATCTTGTAAAGCACTATTATGATTGGCTAATTATTTGCCACATAATGTATTCTTTAAGAACATCACATTTTGTATTAGGATTTATTTATATTTATTTAATACTATTGTTCATTTGCTATCTATTCAGTTCCTTTCTTTCAGAGCAGTAATTAAATGTGTTTTTTTTTCCTGTGTAAGGGAAGTTTTATATTGTTTTAATTCGAAATCAAAATGTTTCCAGTAACAGCTTTTTACAGAGGTGATTTCAAAAATTGATTGTGAAATATGTAACAATAACCCAAACTGTAACCTCTGTACTTTTTTTTCTTTATGGGAATTAATTTTGGTGTATAGTTAAATACTAAATTTTCAACCATGTTCATTTCAATAGAAAATTTCAAACTTTTGAGTCAGGTTGTGTGTAGCTACAATCATTTCATACCGTGAGAGGAATGCCATAGCCATTTTCCAGAATTGTGATCTCGTAAACATAGAAAAATTGAGGTGTTGTTTTTCTTTTCTCAATTTCTTGTTTTCATGAATTTAACTTATCTTCTAAACAGCAGGCCAGAGTTGCATTTGTTGCAAATCTGATATAATTTTTTTTCTCAATTTTATTGTTTTGATCAGTAATCTATCTTTGTTGAAGTGTTAGAAATAATAGGAATTCATTTAACCTGTTTCAGTTTTGGACCTGATAAGAAAAATTGTATGATTCATCTCATTGCTTTGATCAGAAATTATAACTTTTAAATATAAAAAAGCTTCATAATGTTCTGTTTATATGTATATATATATAATGTTCTTTTTTTGTATAAATCATGCTCTACAGAAGTCTTCTTCCTTTAATTATCTTTTCTTTTTAAACATTTAGGCAATCATCCTCTTTGAAGATTTTCTATTTTATCTTTTCAGATTTTTAAAATGTTTGAAAGCTCTGCTTATTTTTTATATTTATATTAAGAAAGCAACTTGTATTCATTATCATTATTAAAGAGTTTAAAAATTAAATGTAATCATATACAAAATTTATTAAATTTAACTTTTTTTTAAACATAGAGACAGGGTCTTGCTAACTTGAACCTTGAACCCCTGGGCTCAAGTGGTGCTCCCACTTCAAGCATCCAAGTAACTGGGACTATAGGCCTGTGCCACTACACCTGGATGAAACTTAACATATTTTTATTAAAAATATTATAAACACATGTAAATATAAAAAAAATTATTTTTATATATGTTAAAATATATTTTTCTTCTAAAATAGTATATCTATTAAAATGTAAAGGAAAATTTATAGTTAATAAGTATGAACATTTTAATGATAAAATGTTTAAATAAAGCTAAATAATTTTGTTTTCATCTTTTGGCAAATTAAATTATATATAAATTTTTACTAAAAGAATTTGGAAAGGTGTATTATTATTAGCCATTCTAGTATTAGATATTCTAGCATTCAAATAGAATTTAGGTGAAAATGTTTAAAAAAAAAAGTGCTACTGTCCAAGCATATTAATTCTATACCTAGTTAGTTATATACAAATTTTAGAGCAATATAAATTGCAAAGTATAGTCAAATATTTTCCCCAGTAAGTATTACAATTGCTGCAAATACAGCATTAATTTCTAAGTACCTCACACCAATATGGAAGACAAAGAAAAAGAAGAAAATGGTTATTTGGCATTGCTGGGAAAACACATTTTGTAATGCAAGAGTTTACTGAATATGCATTATCTGAGGAAAAAAAATTGAAAAATTAATTAAATTGTCAATTTTTTTCTATGCAATGCCATTATTCAAATCCTCCTAGCATCCCATCCCTGTCTTTGCTAGTAGCACAAACCAGAGATCTTGACAACACTGAAATTCAATTGCCTATGTTTAGAGCACTGTCTCAGTCTGTTTTCTGCTGCTGCATCTGAGACTGGGTAATTTATAAAAAACAGAAATTTATTTCTCACAGTGATGGAGGTGGGGAAATTCAAGAGCAAGGGGCTGGCATCTGGTGTGGGTCTTCTTGCTCCATCCTCCCATGGTGTAAAGTGGAAGGGCAAGGGTGGTTAAATACCATGTCCTCACATGGAGAAAAACAGAAGAGAGAGAACCCATGCCCCACTCCTGAAAGTTCTTTTTTTTCTTTTTTCTTTCTTTTTTTTTTTTTTTTTTTTTTTTGAGACAGGGTCTCACTCTGTCACCAGGCTGGATTGCAAAGGCATGATCATGGCTCACTGCAGCCTCAATCTACCTAGCTCAAGTGATCCTCCCACCGCACCCTCCTAAGTAGCTGGGACTACAGGTATGCACCACCACACCTAACTAATTTATGCAAATCTTATTTATAGTGGCATTAAACTATTCATGAGGCCAGAACCCTTATGACCTAAACACTTCCTTTTAGGCCTCATCTCCTGACACTGTTGCATTGGGGAATACATTTTTAACATATGAATTTTGGGGGACATATTTAGCACATAGTGCCTTAATGAGAAATGTTTCCTGGGCTTATTAAAGACAATATTTGGGGGCTTTTTAGAGCTGAGGGCCGAATCCTGAGAGAAGGATATGCCCATATCTTCTTTTATAACAATGTAGTGTGTGAGTATGTTTGTGGTTTCAAGGGCTCTTTAGTGGTATAAGATGCCCCCTTCTCTGTATCTAAAGGTGGTACTCCCAATGATATGCTCCTTTCTAAATCCAGTGACATTTCTATGTATTTTATTTTCTTAGCCTTTCTGTTGTCAGCAATATTACATCGATTACCTCTGTATTCTTGAAAATCTCATTTTATCATGCTCTTTTCTACTGATCCTACTACCTACTTAATTTTTTTTTCTATAAACTCTTACTCCAAGCCAATGTTATACATGTTATACAATGTTATGCCTAACTTCTGTCCTAGGATCTTACTCCAAGCCAGTGTTATACATGTTCTACCTAACTTCTGTCCTTGACTCTTACTCCAAGCCAATGTTATACATGTTCTACCTAACTTCTGTCCTTGACTCTTACTCCAAGCCAATGTTATACATGTTCTGCCTAACTTCTGTCCTTGGCTCTTTGCTGTTTTTATATGCTCATATCTTCAACTATTATTTGTAAGAAGATCACACTCAAAGGTGTATCCTGAGCTTGAGTATTGTATTTCTAGTTGTCTGTTGAACATCTCTTCCTGGACATCACACAAGTCTCCCAAACATGGTACTTTCAGAATTTACTATATCAAGCTCCTCCACATATTTTTAATTGCTGTGAACTCTATATCTGTTAAAGACACCACAAATAGTCTTCTCACCCTGGCCAAACAACTTACTCTCATTGTTCTTCACTTAATTTCCTGATGTTGTTATCTTGCTTTCTTGATTTCTCTTGTTTCTGTCCCCTTTCTTCCATTGTCCTCTTTTCTTCATCTTGTACATATAGGCACTTAGTGATCATTTACTGATATTGGCTTTCTACCTAACCAGAACTTATTTTATATAATAACATGATAAAATGTTATAACATTGACATGCCTGGATAATTCAGTCTTTCATGGCATAACTTTTTGAAAATAATTCTTCTGGTACTTGTTGGATCACCAAACTTTTTTATATTACCACCATTGCTTTTTAAAATTCTTTCAAATATAACATCACAATATATTGTCAAATAATGAAATGTTTTATTAAGGCAAAACAAAAGTGCAAAATCGATACAATAAACACTGCAAATCAAATATTCTTAAAAGGTGTTATTAAGTTCTTTTACTGTAAGAGGTCAAATAGTAAAGATTTCAGGCTTTGTGAGCTATACAATCTGTCATAACTACTGAATCCTGCTGTTGTAGCACAAAAGCACCCATAGATAATACCCAAGTTAATGGCACAGTTACATTCCAGTAAAACTTTATTTACAAACATAAAATTTTAATTTTATGTAATTGCCATGAGTCACAGAATATTATTCTGCTTTTGATTTTTATAAACACTGGAAAGTGTAAAAATTATTCTTTAGCTTGAAGGCTATACAAAAATAGAAATATGCCCAGATTTGACCCATGGGCCATAGTTTGCCAATGCCTGCTATAAAAAATAAATTACTAAAATTCAAGACTCATTATTTTTGTGATTCTTGAAGAATACCAACAACTGAACATCAATAACATAACTTTACTTTCCCAAGTCATTACAGATTTATTGATTCAGAACAAAAATTTAGCACTGATTATGCCAATAGGTACTGGGTTAGTTTTTTTGGAAAATGCAAAAAGATACTAGCTGCTGTCTTTCCTGTTTTAGAGATCACACTCTATTAGAGGGGAAAGGCAATGATGTAAAACAGTATAAAACAAAATAGCGTGGGATAAATGCTACTATTATAGAAATTTTTAAAAAATCTATAGAGCTCCAAGGCAGTGGTTGATTCCGATCGAGAGGAAATAGAAATGTGTCCTGATGATGTTGCTTAAGGTGAGTCTCAAGAGTGGGTAAACCATGATGGACAGTGACAGCCTGGAATCAGGGAGGGAGGCTGTGTTTTTGATGAAGGAAATAATAAGCTGATGGAGGCTAGGGATGCAAGATGGCCTCGGTTGAGGGCAGGAGTTAGTGTTGGGCATACATATTTGGGGAGTTACAAGTTTGAAAACTTTGAGATGAGAACCTTAAAATCTGGTTAACCATTTAGCTTTTATTTTTTTCTGCAAGGAAATTCACTAAAGAAGATTAGGGAAAGAAAGATGTCAAAGATCCCATTTAAAGTTGAATTTCCTTTATGGCTGTGATTAATAAAGAATCTAATCTTATTCAGGCAATACTGGAAATTATGAAAATTGAGTTTAGATGTTGCTGTAAAATTGGTCCTTTAAAATCTATTCAAAACATTGTTTTTAAACAAAATGAAGACTGTTAATTGATCTAGAGTTTAAAATATTAATTCCTTTTTGTAGTTTTAAAATTTTGCTGAAAAACTAGAAAAACTTCTTGAATTTGTTTCACTATCTATCAAACCTCTCATAGCTGCAGTTAGGATATTTATGCCAATGTTATAATGTAATCAGTGCTACACTGAACAATCACTTAGTTTCTATCTGACTGTTTTAGTCTGCTCAGGCTGCCATAACACAATACTGTAGACTGGGTGGCTTAAATAACAGTAGTTTTTCTCACAATTCTGGAGGCTAAAAGTCCAAGATCAAGGTTATGAACAATTCAGTTTCTGGTGAGGACTTTCTTCCTGGCTTGTAGATGGTTGCTCTTGACTTTGGCCTTCTTCACTCCATGTGTTACGGGAAAGGGAAACGCAAACTCTCTGGTGTCTCTTCTGATAATATTAATCCTATTGGATTAGGGCTCCACCTGTACAGCCTCATTTACTCTTAACCACCTTCTCAAAGGCTCCGTTTTCAAATACAGCCACACTGGGGCTTAGGGCTTCAACCCATGAATTTGGGGGAAGGGTACAAGCATTCAACTGTTGATACTCACCATATTTTATACCTGCTATGTAGTAAATTCTTGGCTAGAATTCAATTTCTACTTTGTAGATCCCAAACTTTCCAAGTTCGGTTAAAAAATAACAATTCAAATTGATTGTGAATTGACTAAGTGCACACAGATAACTGTATGTGAATAAATAATTCTTCCCCTCTTCTTAATTGTATGGTGCATTTTTATCTCTTCTTTTAAATTTATATTACAAAAGAAAATTTGTCAATTTACACATATATGAGTCTAAGGACAAAACTGAAGGCCATGGAAAAGAAAATCATGACCGGAGGTAAAAACTGAATTGCATTATAGAATTTGAATGTCTCTTATTAATCCATGGCATTTCAGAATTACATGTAATGCTATTTTAGAGTAGTTGTTTGACAAGGGCATTAGGAAGAAACGACACTCCCTCCTGATTTAAATAACATTCTTGTTTCACATTTAAAATTTATATGTGCTTTTTAAATTCTTCTGAATAAAAATTGCAGCAACTTCTTTGACATTTAATTATTGCTTGTCTATTATATGCATTCTTGCAATGGTGCCCAGGTCAAGAGAATTAATGTACACACTTTTCAAAGAGATCTTATTGTTAATTTCTGAGGATTAGTAACAGAACAAAGATAAAGAATATTATTTTTATCTATCTGATATTAATTATACCAGCACACATTTCATAATTCCAGCCATATTATAAAATGTAATAGTGAATCCTTGATGACAATAAGTTGTTTTTTTAAATTTTTGCTGTCAATTAAAAAGAATCAATTCTTGTGTTTTTTTATTTTATTATTATTATACTTTAAGTTTTAGGGTACATGTGCACAATGTGCAGGTTAGTTACATATGTATACATGTGCTATGCTGGTGTGCTGCACCCATTAACTCGTCATTTAGCATTAGGTATATCTCCTAATGCTATCCCCCCTCCCCCCACCCCACAACAGTCCCCAGAGTGTGATGTTCCCCTTCCTGTGTCCATGTGTTCTCATTGTTCAATTCCCACCTATGAGTGAGAACATGCGGTGTTTGGTTTTTTGTCTTTGTGATAGTTCACTGAGAATGATGATTTCCAGTTTCATCCATGTCCCTACAAAGGACATGAACTCATCATTTTTATGGCTGCATAGTATTCCATGCTGTATATATGCCACATTTTCTTAATCCAGTCTATCATAGTTGGACATAATTCTTGTTTAAAAGAGGGAAAAGAAAAAAGGTAGAAAAGATAAATTCTTCCTTTAAAACATAATCTATGTATTTTTATCAGAAGTTCTCTCATTTTATTTAAATTTTGCTTACTGTCTATTTTCTATTCGGAAGAGAAAATTATTCCTTCGAAATGTTGACAATGGCTGGACATAAAGAAAAAACTAAGTTTCTTCAAGGACTCAAATGCGGGGATTGACATTTGATATTGTTGATATTAATCTGATTATTTGTTATTACCAAATAAAATCCGATGACTCTCTAGACACTTTTATTTATTTGGTCATTAAAAAATCTAAGTGGACTTTGTTGAAATCTCCAAATAAATAAGGAGCATGCTGCTGTTGATATCAGGTTTACATGATAAATATATAGTTGATAGCCAATAGCATTTGAAAATATACAGAGCTATATTTCAACAAAGGAAAGCTTTAATAATGTATCTATTTAATCACAGTTCTCAAATCATTAAATGTAGAGGAGAGGCAATAAACATAAGTTAAATAATAGGAAAATGAGAATAAGAGATTATTTTGAGAACTCTCTAAATTGTTAGGGGAAAAGTTTCTTAATGAGCTATTTTAATATTCAGATTCATTGAAGGTTTTTTTTGTTGGAGAAGTGATCTGAACTTCAAGCTCAAATCCATTATTCATGGATATTTTAAAAGACACAGTAAAGTTTATTTTCAAATGTTTTTCTAAAGTCTTAGAAGGTAATTTTTTTTGAAAATTTATTAGCTTTTTATTTATCATTCATATATTAATTTTATATGGGTCAAATTTCTTATAAATTAATGTCATTTTTAATATTCTCTATATGTTTTTAGTACTTTAGAGATTTTTCTGTAATTACATGTCTAATACATTTTACGTGTCTTTGAGCATAATATTCAAATTGCAAAATATTTTATAGGTTTTAGACATCTATACAACTTATCTTGCTTTATGAAATAATGTTCAATATTGATCAATAATGCAATCTAGCCCTAAAAGCCTTTATTACTTAGACATAAAAGAAAGAAAATAAATAAACATTCAACTCATGAATTTAAACTATTAATATTTAGGAGAAAGTGAGTAATAAAGATAATAAAAATATCCACAAAATGTCAAAGAGTAGAATTATAGAACTAAATAGTTATTTGTAAATAAGCAAATTCAAGAGTTGATTTTGTTTTAAGTCAGTTAAATACACAGTTGTAGTCAATAAAAAAAGGACAAAAGCAGTTCCACCACCCCCACTTCCAAATTTTGGAAAACGAGAGGACATGTATTAAAAACTAGAGAAGATAAATGTATACATTAGAAAATTTTTTGAAGGGGATGTGTTATGGAAAAATACACATTATTAAAATGAAGCCAGAAAAGAATAAAAACTAAATAGAACAATAACTATGGAAGAATATATGTATATGCTGTTTGTGTGTACACACACACAGGTTTCCAAATTGCTTTTCTAAAACTAGCATTAAACCTAATATCAAACCTTGCCAAACGCCATACAAATGAGAAAACAGCCTCAACAGTCATACTTACACATAATAGAATAACCCTAAATTCTTTCGACCTCAATTTCACTCGCGTCTGTATGAAGAGACCATCAAACAGGCTTTGTGTGAGCAATAAAGCTGTTTATTTCACCTGGGTGCAGGTGGGCTGAGACCAAAAAGAGAGTCAGCGAAGGGAGATAGGGGTGGGGCCCTTTTATAGGATTTGGTTAGGTAAAGGAAAAAGGGAGGTTGTTCTCTGGCAGGCAGGAGTGGGGGGTCACAAGGTGCTCAGTAGAGGAGCTTTTGAGCCAGGATGAGCGAGGAAAAGGAATTTCACAAGATAATGCCATCAGTTAAGGCAGGAACAGGCCATTTTCACTTCTTTTGTGGTGGAATGTCATCAGTTAAGGCAGGAACCAGCCATCTGGATGTGTACGTGCAGGTCACAGGGGATATGATGGCTTAGCTTGGGCTCAGAGGCCTAACATTCCTGTCTTCTTATGTTAATAAGAAAAATAAAACAAAATAATGGTAAAGTGTTGGGATAGTGAAAATTTTGGGTGATGGTATGGAGAGATAATGGGCGATGTTTCTCAGGGTTGCTTCGAGCGGGATTAGGGGAGGTGTGGGAACCTAGAGTGGGAGAGATGAAGCTGAAGGAAGATTTTGTGGTAAGGGGTGATATTGTGGGGTTGTTAGAAGAAACATTTGTCATGTAGAATTATTGGTGATGGTCTGGATACGGTTTTGTATGAATTGAAAAACTAAACGGAATAAGAGAAGGAGAAAAACAGGTATTAAAGGCCTAAGAATTGGGAAGACCCAGGACATCTAATTAGAGAGTGCCTAAGGGGATTCAGCATAGTCCTGCCAGCAAAGATTATTTATTGACTTCAAGAGTTAAAAGTGGCAGTTTGGCGATAGCACCAATATCAGCTGTGATGGCTTGGAGAAACAGTGTAAACCGGCAGTGTAAACAAGAGCAGGGCATGTATGAGTAGTTGAGAACTGTGAATAGGAGCATGACTAGACAGAAGATAGTAGGGATGACAAGTTTTTTGGGGCAGAGTCCAAGTTGGTCTGGTGTCTGGAATGAGACTGGGTCTTAATAAAAAGGAAGCGTCCATACAGGAGCTCAAATAGGCTGTACCCTGTAGCATTCTGAGGACAGGCCTAAATTCTGAGAAAAGAAAGAGGTAAAAATATTGTCCAGTCCTTTTTAAGTTGGTGGCTGAGCTTGGTGAGGTGTGTTTTTAAAAGACCATTAGTCCGTTCTACCTTTCCTGAAGACTGAGGACTGTAAGGGATATAAAGGTTTCACTGTATACCAAGAGCCTGAAAAACTGCTTGGCTGGATTGACTAATAAAGGCCGGTGTGCTATCGGATTGTATAGAGGTGGGAAGGCCAAACTGAGTAATTGTGTCTGACAGAAGGGAAGAAATGACTGTGGTGCCCTTCTCAGACCCTGTGGGAAAGGCCTCTAGCCGTCCAGTGAAAGTGTCTACCTAGACCAAGAGGTATTTTAGTTTCCTGACTCGGGGCATGTTGAGTAAAGCTAATTTGCCAGTCCTGGGTGGGGGCAAATCCCTGAGCTTGATGTGTAGGGAAGGGAGGGGGCCTGAATAATCCCTGAGGAGTAGTAGAATAGCAGATGGAACACTGAGAAGTTATTTCCTTGAGGATAGAGTTCCATGATGGAAAGGAAATGAGAGGTTATAAGAAGCAGGCTAGTGGCTTCTACTATAGCATAGCCTGCCTTTGCTGGTGTGTGGTGATTAGGCCTGGTGGAACTGCCATCAATAAACCAAGTGTGATCAGGGTGAGAAACAGGGAAGAAGGAAATGTGGGGAAATGGGGTGAATGTCAGGTGGATCAGAGAGATGCAGTCATGAGGGTCAGGTGTGGTATCAGGAATAATGTGGGAGGCCGGATTGAAGTCCGCACCAGGAACAATGGTAATTGTGGGAGACTCAACAAAGAGTGAGTACAGCTGAAGGAGCCGGGGAGCAGAAAGTATATGTGTCAGGTGTGAGGAAGAAAATGGATTTTGGAAATTATGAGAGCTGTAGAGAGTTGAGCATAGTTTGTGATTTTAAGAGCCTCTAAAAGCATTGGGGTGGCAGCAGCCGCCGCACGGAGACATGATGGCCAGCCTAAAACAGTAAGGTCAAGTTGTTTGGACAAAAAGACTACAGGATGCGATCCCGGTCCTTGTGTAAGAATTCTGACTACACAGCCCTGCACTTCGGCTGTGTGTAATGAAAAGGGTTGGGATGAGTCAGGGAGAGCTAGGGTGGGGGCAGTCTCTAAAGCTGTCTTCAAGGAATGGAAAGAGGAGTGGGGAAAGGATTTAGGAACTGTGGGGTCAGCTAGGTTTCCTTTTGTGAGTTTATATAATGGTTTTGTTAGGATGGCAAAACCAGGTATCCAAAGGCAAAAGTATCCAACCATGCCTAGGAAGGAAAGGAGTTGTTGTTTTGTACAAGGGATTGGGGTTTGGGAGATTAGCCAGACACGATCAGGAGAGAGAGGACATGTGTTTTCATGAGAATTATGCTGAGATAGGTAATATATGAGGAAGAAATTTGGGCTTGACTGAAGTAATGGGGGCTGTCTGTGAAGCTTTGCTGCAGTACAGCCTAGGTAATTTGCTGAGCTTGATGAATGTCAGGGTCAGTCCAGGTGAAAGCAAAGAGAGGCTGGGATGAAGGGTGCAAAGGAATAGTAAAGAAAGCATGTTTGAGATCCAGAACAGAATAATGGATTGTGGAGGGAGGTATTGAGGATAGGAGAGTATATGGGTTTGGCACCATGGGGTGGATAGGCAAAACAATTGGGTTGATAAGGCATAGATCCTGAACTAACTTGTAAGGCTTGTCTGGTTTTAGGACAGGTAAAATGTGGGAATTGTAAGGAGAGTTTATAGGCTTTAAAAGGCCATGCTGTAGCAGGCGAGTGATAACAGGCTTTAATCCTTTCAAAGCGTGCTGTGGGATGGGATATTGGCATTGAGCAGGGTAAGGGTGATAAGGTTTTAATGAGACGGTGAGGTGTACATGATCGGTTGCCCAGGAGGGAGTAGAGATATCTTTTACTTGTGGGTTAAGGTCGGGGGATACAAGAGGAGGACGAAAAGGAGGCTTTGGATTGGGAAGAAGGGCAGCAATGAGGTGTAGCTGTAGTCCAGAAATAGTCAGGGAAGCAGATAATTTAGTTGAAGTGTCTCGGCCTAATAAAGGAACTGGGCAGGTGGGGATAATTAAAAGGAGTGCTTAAAAGAGTATTGTCTAAGTTGGCACCAGAGTTGGGGAGTTTTAAGAGGTTGAGAAACCTGGCTGTCAATACCCACAACAGTTATGGAGGCAAGGGAAACAGGCCCTAGAAAAGAAGGTAATGTGGAGTGGGTAGCCTCTGTATTGGTTAAGAAGGGACGGACTTACCCTCCACTGTGAGAGTTACCTAAAGCTCGGCGTCCGTGATGGTCTACAGGGCTTCTGAGGCGATCGGGCAGTGTCAGTGTTCAGCCGCTAAGCTGAGAAGATCTGGGAAGGAGTCAGTCAGAGAGCCTTGGGCCAGAGTTCCAGGGGCCCTGGGAGTGGCTACCAGGTGAGTTGAACAGTCCAATTTCCAGTGGGGTCCCGCACAGATGGGACATGGCTTAGGAGGAATCCCAGGCTGCGGGCATTCCTTGGCCTGGTGGCCAGATTTCTGGCACTTGTAGCAAGCTCCTGGGGGAGGAGGTTCTGGAGCAATGCCTGGCCACTGCGGTTTAGGCGTTTGGAAGTTCTTGTGTGCTGGAGATGTGGCTGGGGTTTGTCTCACAGTGGAGGCAAGGAATTGCAACTCAGAAATATGTTGCTACTTGGTTGCCTCTACTCTATTATTGTACACCTTGAAGGTGGGGTTAGTTAAGTCCTCTTGTGGGGTTTGAGGTCTGGAATTCAATTTTTGGAGTTTTATTTAATGTCAGTAGCAGATTGGTTAATAAAATGTGTATTGAGAATAAGACGGCCTCTTGACCTTTTAGAGTCTAGGGCTGTAAAGCATCTCAGGGTTGCTGCCAAATGAGCCATGAACTGGGCTGGATTTTTATATTTGATGAAAAAGAGACTAAACGCTATCTGATTTGGGATAAAAAAAAAGGAGCATTAACCTTGACTATGCCTTTAGCTCCAGCCACCTTTTTAAGAGTAAATTGCTGGGCAGGTGGGAAAGGGCTAGTCACTGAACAAAACTGTAAGCCAGACAAGGGTGTGAGGAGGGGAGGTGATAAAAGGATTATAGGGTGGAGGAGCAGAGGCTGAGGAAGAATTGGGACCTAGCTCAGCCTGGTGAGGAGGGGAGAGGTCAGATGGGTCTGTAGAAAAGGATGATTAGAAAGACTCAGCGAAACTTGGGGTTGGGACTGAGGGGACAGGTGGGAGGGAAAGAAGGAAGATTTGGGATGAGTTGCATTGGGAACAGAGACTAGGGAGGGACTGATGTGTAAAAGAATGCCTGGACATCAGGCATCTCAGAGCCTTTGCCGATTCAAGTATTATTTAGATCTTGTAGGATGGAAAAATTGAAAATGCCATTTTCCAGATATTTGGAACTACTGTCGAGTTTGTATTGGGATCAAGTGGCATTGCAGAAGAAAATAAGATGCTTAGATTTTAGGTCAGGTGAGATTTGAAGAGGTTTTAAGTTCTTAAAAACACAGGCTAAGGGAGAAGAAGGAGGAATGGGAGGTGGAAGCTTGCCCATAGTGAAGGAGGCAAGTCCAGAGAAAAGGGAGTAGAGACACGGAGAAGGGGTGGGGGGTTCTTGCCCTCCAGAAAAGCAGAGAAGGGGTCAGGGTGCAGAAATAAGGGGTTGGGGCACAGAGATAAGAGGTCAGGGCTCAGAAATAAGGGATCAGGGTGCAGAGATAAGAGGTCGGGGCATGGAAATATGGGATCGGGGTGCAGAGATAAGAGGTTGGGGTTCCTGCCCCTCTCCCAGAAAAGCGGGACTTGCCGCTAAGGGTGAAGGACCAAGGCAGGCGTCCCTGCGTGGTCTGACACCTCTGAAATGTGGGTGAATAATCAGAGAGGTGTCCCTGCAATGATTAAACACCAAGGGAAGTCTGCCTTCCTGAGTCTGTGACCGGTGCCAGAGTTTTGGGTCCATGGATAAAATGTGTCTCATTTGTCTCTACCAGAAAATGAAAGGAGTTGACATTAAGAGAAGGGAGAGATTGAAGTGTGGCACCAAGATTGAAAGGAGAAAGAGGTTGAGGGATAGTGAGAGAGATTGGAGAAGAGGGTAAAAACAGGCCGCTTACCGGATTTAAAATTGGTGAGATGTTCCTTGGGCTGGCTGGTCTGAGGACCAGAGGTCGTAGGTGGATCTTTCTCATGGAGCAAAGAGCAGGAGGACAGGGGATTGATCTCCCAGGGGAGTTCACCTGATCCGAGTCACGGCACCAAATTTCATGCGCGTCCGTGTGAAGAGACCTCCAAGCAGGCTTTGTGTGAGCAATAAAGCTGTTTATTTCACCTGGGTGCAGGTGGGCTGAGTCCGAAAAGAGAGTCAAGGAAGGGAGATGGGGTGGGGCCCTTTTATAGGATTTGGGTAGGTAAAGGAAAAAGGGGGATTGTTCTCTGGCAGGCTGGAGTGGGGGTCACAAGGTGCTCAGTAGGGGAGATTTTGAGCCAGGATGAGCCAGGAGAAGGAATTTCACAAGATAATGCCATCAGTTAAGGCAGGAACAGGCCATTTTCATTTCTTTGGTGGTGGAATGTCATCAGTTAAGGCAGGAACCAGCCATCTGGATGTGTACGTGCAGGTCACAGGGGATATGATGGCTTAGCTTGGGCTCAGAGGCCTGACACTCAACATAAATTTTACTTTTAAAAGCATTTCCTGTGATAACTGGCTGTATCTATTTGTAAATATGTTTTTTAAAAAGCATTATCTCAAGTATGTAAAAATAAATGAGGCCGGGCGCAGTGGCTCATGCCTGTAATCCCAGCACTTTGGGAGGCCGTGGAGGGTGTATCACCTGAAGTAAGGAGTTCGAGACCAGCCTGGCCAACATGGTGAAACCCTCTCCCTACTAAAAATACACAAATTAGCCGGGCATGGTGGCAGGCGCCTGTAATCCCAGCTGCTTGGGAGGCTGAGGCATGAGAATTGCTTGAACCCCTGAGGTGGAGGTTGCAGTGAGCCGAGATTGTGTCACTGCACTCCAGCCTGGGGGATAGAGGAAGACTCTGTCTCCAAAAATAAATAAATAAATAAAAAGAAAAAAGAAAAAAATAAATAAGTATACAAACATTAAAGTACTTATACATGTAAACATTTAAAACACATGGAGCATATAAAGCATATAATGTACATATGCATATGTATGAGATATGAAAATATTAATATTTGATATCTGTGTAAGCTGGGATTATAGGTGATTTCACCTTTTATGTTTGCTTGAAATTCCTTGTACTTTTAATTTATTTCTGTTATTATTAGAAACATAAACAAATAATTCATACTTTAATTATGGTGTTCATCTTATAAGAAAATATATCACAGAGTGTTACATGATTTTTAGACAAGTACAGAAACAAAATTTATTGCACATGATTTGGATTTGACTTACTTGTTGTTTTGTTTTGCTTCTCTGAGAAAGATTCACGACTAGGTAGGCCTTTGGAAAACTTTGTGCTACTTGTGTGCCTCAGGGTTTCTGCAAGGGAGGATGGGAGTTGACCAAGGGTGACTGGAATTACCAGTCACCATAGGATAAGGATGCCAACACAGCAGGCCCTGATCACATCGCCCTCTGGCTGTTCACTGACAGTCACAACCGACAATCTGTTTTCAGCCATCACTAGGTGCTTGGAGAAAGAGTCACTAACAGCTCTTTGATTTCACCCTACTTTGCTCCTCACTATTTCCATTTTATAAGCCATTTTTTCAATTTTGTGGATATTACTGTTTTTTATTTAAATTGGTAATAATATATATGGTAAAATCAAAAGAAATCAAAAGTTAACACATGATATTGTGAAAAGCAAGTTTTCCTCCTAGCCCTGCCTCTGAATCCACCGTGTGTCATCCCAGAAGCGTGCATGCTTTCCAGTTTCATGTAGATCATTTCAGAGATACTTTCCGCTCATACAAGCATGGATGTATACACATTGCTGAGAAAACTAATGTTAGCTATATATTGGGGGTTTCCCATATTAGGTCATACAGAATTTCCCACCTTTTATTAATGACTGCCCATTATTTTATTGAACGTTTACACAGAATGTATTTAACTAGTATTTGATGAAGGACGTTTAGAAAAATGAACAGAGAATGTGAAAAGGCATCCAGTACCATTAAATATAGGAAAATAAGTCAAACACTGATAATGAGAGAAAATATACTGTGTTTGTATGGATATGCAAATGTGGGGAGGTTAACAGGTACTAACTCTTATGTATTGTTAGTGAAATATAAACAGGTAAAACATTTACAGAAGTTTTGACTGTAGTTAAGATTTTAAACAATCTTAACTTTTGATCTATTTTTAAGAGTAACTTAGAAATAAACTTACAAATATGTGCAAGGAATTTTGTAAACGATTCCTCAGAGTAGCACAGTTTACAAGACAAATGACTGAAACCATTTCAGTGGTTTTAAGGCTAGATTTGTGGACCAAATAACAAAGCAAGGAAAAGAGAGGGTGAAGAAAACAAGATGACATTCTAGTTAGTCACTTCTACTCTGTAAAAGCATTTCTGAAAAGAGGGCTTGGCAGGGAAAAACGTTGACAATGCAAAAGATACAATTTAGATTAGAATGCAGGAGAAATTTATTTCCTTGAAATCTATCATGAGCTGTCAAACATATATCAACTTCACTTGCATGGGGGTATGTGCCCTTGACTTTATTCCCATCCAGAAAACTGGAAAGTACTTCCACTGGATACCTTGCAGTCATATTGGTCACAATATTTAGGGAAAAAAGGAAGGTCACTAGAATAAGAAAAGCAATTTTCTATAAAAATTAAACCCTCACTTTTGTCATTGGTCTGGCATTGGCAAACCACCCAAATCCCAATGACTCCCACCAAGAAGCCTCATCTCAAAGCAGCTGCCTCCTTATTTTAGGAACCTGTGTTCTGCCAAAATAATCACTATCCTAGAATTCCCAAGGAATTTTGTTCCACCTTCTCTTCTTAGGACTTTTGTTACATAGTGCAATGCTAAACTTCTTAGGGTGACAATTTGCCCCTCTCTAAAATGAGGCCTAAATAAACACTAACTTCATTTTTCCAGATCTGATATTCTTTGGTTCAACCATCCTAAGTACTTTTAAAAGGATACAAGTCTTCAGGGATGGTGGCAGTGGCCAACATTCTAAAAGCAGGATCTGATAATTATATCTACTGTATAAACAGGGCCTAGCTGTACTGAAATATATATCCTAGTGATATTTAAAGCTATCAGTTTCAAAGTATTTTTTTAATTCAAGAATTTGTGTTCTGCATGTGTTCTCAATCATAACCAAACCAAATAAGATTACCCCAACTCACTTTCACTTCAGTTTAAACTCATTAGCTAAATATTGACCATTTTCATTTGGAAATCAGCCAACATCTGAAATAAATGACACACTTATAAAGCTGTTTCTGAGGGAAAGCAGTAGAATTTGGGCAAATTACACAGCAGATACCCACTACTTGAGAACCCAGAGCTAGTTCAGGAGATTTGATAGTGCAGTCTCATCTATTTTATGTATATCTCTGTATTTCATTTCCATGTTGGTTGTTTGCTGGCCAAACGTTAAATAGACAGCTAGGTTCAAACCAGCTTTCATTTGATTTTGTGATGTCCCTAGGCAATCTAATTATACTTTCATAGTTTCAGGCTTTGTAGACTGAAATTTCAGACAATTATTGATGTCATAATAGATCACCATTATGAAACGTTCTACGTCAAAGGCAGGACACAGTGTACAGAACACTGTATTAGAGAGAAATTCTCCTCACTCTTCGTGGTACTCACAAAAGAACTCAAAATGGGAATTAAATTGGCAGCACATATTTAGAAAGAAGATAAGACAGGATAAACAAATTTTTTATCTCTTCCCCCCATTGTTTTGAAATGAGTTCAAATTGAAGAATTAGTAAAATATAAAAGATAGAGCTTAGAGTTACTATAATAAATAACATTTATTTTTCATGAAAATCCTATGGATTAATAACATAGTCCTTTATTGCATTCCAGTCTTGAAAATTTACTGTTTTATTCTGGGAGGGATGTTTGCTGGCTCTGTATATTGTCTACAGTCTGGGATCCAAATTGATTTGGCTGCCTGAGTAGACACAATATGTGTCATCCCAATGTGTTGTGCTGATGGTGTATATGACTGTGTATATTTGACTCTTTGGATGCGTATGACATCTGAATACAGACATATAGCTGAGAAGCAGTGAGAAGACCACACTGAGTGCAGCAGACAGGTGCTGGATGGCCTTTGGGTGCTTCTCACTAATGTTGCAGTGAGTGTATTTAAATGTGAAAGGCAATGATAGATCTAACCATGAATCTTGACTATCCTTCAGTGCAAAAGCTCTTCTTTAACTAACACATTCTTTGAAGCTATGACAATTTCCACTTCCAATTATTTTGCTTATCTGTCTTCTTGCCTCTAAGAACTCTCTGCCTCTTCTTGGCTTCACATTCCTTCAAGTACTGGTTCAAATAGTACTTCCTTAATTCTTACTCTTAAATCTTCAGGCTCAGGAATCTTTCCTCTCTCAATAAAATACTACATTACACACCACTCATTTGTTATAAATTGCCATAATGAAATGTTACATTACAATCTTTCATCTATGTTACTTACACATTTGTGTGTGATTACACATGTATGCTCTTACATGTATGAATGAATATGTATGTGTTTATGTATCTGTGTCTCTGAAAAGGCTGTAAGTTGGCAGAGGGATTTCTACCTATTTCCCCAACTCCCTAACATTGCTACCTGGTATCCTGGAAGGAACAAGGCAAGGATCTGTAGCCCAAAATGAAAGATTCAACTATTCATGGTGTTACTTTCCAATTTTGCCTCAAATCTTGCAAAACGCTACATATCATCATTTATTCCACTGATATTTATTTAGTCCTTAGTTTGGACCAATCCTTGCCCTGGACTCTAAGGATATTGCCATGAATAAAACAGTAGTACCTATGGGATAATATGTTTAGTGTAATATATATTAATACAAATATCATTTTATTTCTCTCTCTCTAAATATTCTTCTAATATTTCTAGTACATTGAGCCAAGTGTATTAAATACAACACATATCAGTCAGTAATCATAGGATTTTGTGCTTGGTATTCTTAATATTCTAAAAGTATAAAATATGATCTTTATAATTAAGAGTTTACAATCATAAAAAAACAGAAATACATGAATAAAAAGTTAAATAATCATAGGTTAAAACTAAATTTTAATAAAATAACAAAATTATGATGATGACCATTTAATGATGACAGTTAGCACTTATTGAGCCTTTATCAAGTGCCAGGCAGTCTTATTTACACACATGATATTATTGATCTCTCACAAAAATGTTACAGATGTAAATACTGTTTTAATTCTATTTTTTTTCAGATGAGGAAACTTAAGCACAAAGAGGATAAATCAATTACTGAAGGAGCCCTTATATACTGAAGTTGGGTGTTCATAAAGTATATAGTTTTACTAACTATTACAGCCCCATTCTGGTGTTGCCTTGGGGAACAGCAGTGTAAGTAAACTTTCTGAGGCAGAACATTAAGTAGTACAACATCATTCATTTTTTCTAGGAGGAAAGATGGTTAGAGACTTCTAAGAAATGTGATTGGAAAACTGGTGACAAGGAGGTCTGAGGAAAAGTTTTGGGTGTGGAATATGAGGTATGAAAATATTGTATTCCATATGATTGCTTACTGGGGACACTCAGGGGACTCAATGACTCATTCTATGCATATCTGTCCCATGTGATTTTCCAAGGCCATAAACAGAATAACAATGGTGTTGATACATGGAAACTGCAACATGGACTTTCACTTACCACAGTCAATATGGTGGCAGCCATTCTGAGTCTCTGTCCTTCCAGCAGCAAAGAGCAAAACTGAATCTCTAATATGGCACTAATCTTGGAAGATCAGTGAGCCATCTGACATTAGGTTGATTACATAGGCCCTCTTCCGTCAAAGAAGAGGCAATTCTTTGTTTACACTGAAACAGACATTCATTTTACAGCAATGTGGCAATGGGCTTATGCTTATCCAACCAATTAACTTCACCATGTTACCCCATTGAATATTGAACTAAATTTTTGATAATTGAGTTATGGCACCAGTTTGGTGGCAATAGTTCATGAGGCTAAGGTAATGTTTTTCAGGGTGTCTTTGTTTTTTCTAGAATGCTTTTACTGGGATGTCTTTGTTTTTTCTCTCAAAGCCAGGTGTAATGGTTCCAGGGATCAAGAACTAAAAATTGAGTAATTTTTTTTTTTACTGCTATGTCTAGTGTTCCTCTAGTGGAAACATTTGTTTTCTATCTGCGTAACTGTGGGTTATATTAGTCTTGTTCCCAAGGAAGAAATACTTCTAATAGGGGACATAGCAATGGTTTCATTAAACAGGGAGTTAACATTGCCAAATTGGCCACCTGCCTTCCTCATGCCAGTGAATCAAGAGGTTTACTTTATGGGTGAGTGATTAATTATGACTGTCAAGGGAAACTTGGGTCACTATTACATAATAGAGGCAAGGAGGACTAAGTCTGAAATGCTGGAGATTTCCTGGAGATCCTATTACCATTTTTATGTCCTGTGATTAAATTCAACAGAATACTACAACTGAATCAGGCAAGTTGGCTACTAATCCAATCTTCTCAGAAATGAAAGTTTAAAATATATAATGCATTGTTGTTAACTATAGTCACCTTACTTTGCTATTAAACGTTAGAATTTATTTCTTCTCTCTAACTTTATGTTTGAACCCAATACCTGTATATTTGTTCCCCCCACCACTCCTCCTTTCCAGCTCTGGTATCTGTTCTATCATTCTACTCTCTACCTACATGAGATTAGCTTTTTTAGGTCTCACATATGCATGAGAACATATTTGTCTTTCTGTATCTGACTTATTTCACTTAACATAGTGACCTCCAATTTCATCACTGTTCCTGCAAATGATACAATTTCATTCTTTTTAATGGCTAAATACTATGCCATTGTGAATATATAGCACATTTAAAACAATCCATTCATCCACTGATGGACACTTAGGTTGATTCCATATCTGTTATTGTAAATAGTATTGCAATAAACATGGGGGTGCAGGTATCCCTTTGATGAACTGGTTTTATTTTATTTGAATAATATCCAGTAGTGGAATTGCCAGATCATGTGGTAGTTGCATTTTTACTTTTTTTTTTTTTTGAGAAATCTCCGTACTGTTTGCAAGAGTGGCTGTACAAATTTACATTCCCATGAAAAGTGCGTGAGTCCCATTTTCTCCATAACCTTGCGAGCATGTTTTTTTTTTGTCTTTTTAATAATGACCATTCTTTTTTTGAGATGTTGCTCTGCCACCCAGGCTGGAGAGCACTGCCTCCTGGGTTCAAGTGATTCTCCCGCCTCAGCCTCCTGAGTAGCTGGGATTTCAGGCGCTCGCCACCTCACCTGGCTAATTTTTTATTTTTATTTTTTTTTATTTTTAATTTTTTTAGTAAAGATGGGGTTTCACCATGTTGGTCAGGCTTGTCTTGAACTCCTGACCTCAAGTGATCCACACGCTTTGGCCTTCCAAAGTGCTGGGATTACAGGAATGAGCCACTGCTCCCAGCCAATAATGACCATTTTAACTGGGGTAAGATGATATCTCATTTTGGTTTTGATTTGCATTTCTTTGATAATTTGTGATGTTGAGCAATTTTCATAACTATTGGCCATTTGTGTGTCTTCTTTTGTGAAATGTCCTTTGCCCACCTTTAAATGGGATTGTTTGTTTTCTACTATTGAGTTGTTTGAGTTCCTTGTATATTCTGGATTATCAGTTCCTTGTTAGACAAACAGTTTGCAAATATTTTCTCTGATTCTGTGTGTTATCTCTTCATTTTGTTGATTGTTTTGTTTACTGTGCAGAAGCTTTTTATTTCAATATGGTCTTATTTGGATGCTTCTTTTTACATGTGCTTTTAAGTCCTTGGCCATAAAATCTTTGCCTAGAACAATGCCCTGAAGTACTTTCCCTACATTTTTTTCTTGTAGGTTTAGAGCTTTCAGTTTTATATTTAAGTCTTTAATCCATTTTGAGTTTATTTACATATACACTGAGAAATAGGAGTCTAGTTTCATTCTTCTGTATATGGATCCAGTTTTCCCTGCATGATATATTTAACAGGGTGTCCTTTCTTCGATTCATGTTCTTGGTACTTTTGTTGAAGACTAGTTGGCTGTAAATACGTGGATTTATTTCTAGGTTCTCTATTCCATTTCATTGTTCTATGTTCTGTTTTCATACCAATACCAGGTTCTTCAGTTACTATATCCTTGTAATATATTTTGAAGTCGGGTAGTGTGGTGCTTCCAGTTTTGTTCTTTTTGCTCAGGACGGCTTTGGCCATTTCAGATCTTTCTTAGTCCCACACAATCTTTAGGATGGTTTTATTTATTTCTCTGAAAAATGACAATGGTATTTTGATAGAGATTGCTTTGAATCTGTATATTTACTTGGGTAGTATGGTCATTTTAACAATATTAGTTTTTCCAATCCATAAACATAGGAAGGCCTTCCATCTGTGTGTCTTCTTCAATTTCTTTCATCGGTGTTTTGTAGCTTTCTTTGTAGTGATCTTTTACCTCCTTGGTTAAATTTATTCTTAGGTTTTCCTTTTTTGTAGCTATTACAAATAGAATTGCCTTCTTGATTTTTTTCAACTAGTTTATCGTTTATGTGTAGAAATGCTACTTATTTTGTATATTGATTTTGAATCCTGCAAGTTTACTCAATGTATTCATTAGATCTAAGAATTTTTTGGTGGAGTCCTCAGATTTTTCTAATTTATAAGATTATGTCATCTGCATAAAACAACTTTACTTCCTTCTTTGTGGTTTGGAGGTTTTTTATTTCTTTCTCTTGTCTGATTTCTCCAGCTAGAACTTCTAGTGCTACATTAAAAAAGTGTGGTGAAAGTGGACATTGTCTTGCTCCAGTTCTTACAGGAAAGGCTTTCCGTTCCTCCTCATTCAGTATGATATTAGCCGTGGGTTTTCAAATATGGCCTTTATTATGTTGAAATATGTTCCTTCTATGCCTAATTTGCTGAGAGTTTTCATCACAAAAGGATGCTGAAATTCTTCAAATGCTGTTTCTGCAACTAATGAGGTAATCATATAGTTTTTGTTCTTCATTCTGTTGATGTGATATATTATCTTTATTGATTTGCATATGTTGAGCCATCCTTGCATCCCTGATATAAATCTTTCCTCATCATAGTGTATCATCTTTTTGATATACTGTTGTATTAAGTTTGCTAATATTGTATTGAAGATTTTTATGTCTATGGTCATAAGAGATATTGGCCTGTAGTTTTCTTTTTTTGTTCCATCCTTGTCTGGTTTTAGTATCAGGGTAATGTTGGCCTTTTAGAATGAATTAGGGAGTGTTCCTTTCCCTCTCCAATTTTTTGAAACAGATTGAAGAGTATTGGTGTCAGTTTTTCTTTAATAGTTTGATAGAATTCAGCAGTGAAGCCATCTGGTCATTGGCTTTTCTTTGTTGTGAGACTTTTTATCACTGATTTAACCTCATTACTCATTATTGGTCTGTTCATGTTTTCTATTTTTTTCTGATTCAATCTTGCTAGGTTGTATATGTTCAGAAATTTATCCACTTCCTGTAGGCTTTCCAGTTAGGTAGTATAGTTGTTCATAGCAGTCTCTGATGATCTTTTGTATTTCTGTTGTTTCAATTGTAATGTCTTTGTATCTGATTTTATTTATTTGGGTCTTTTATCTTTTTGTCTTAGTTATTCTAGCTAGAGGTTTATCAGTTTAATTTATCTTTACAAAAAACAACTTTTGTTTCATTGATTTCTTGTAAATGTTTTTAGTCTCTGTTTTGTTTAGTTCTGCTCTGATATTTATTATTTCTTTCCTTATACTAATGTGGATTTGGTTCATTCTTGCTTTTCTGGTTCCTTGAAGTGAATCATTAGATTGTTTATTTGAATATTTCTACTTTTTTGATGTATGCATTTATTATTATAAACCTTTTTAGTACTGCTTTTGCTGTATCTCAGGTTTTGGTATTTTTTGTTTCAATTTTTATTTTTTTCAAGAAACATTTTGATTTCCTCTTAATTTCTTCATTGACTCAATGGTCATTCAGGGGCATGTTGTTTAATTTTTATGTATTGTATACTTTCCAAATTATTCTTGTTACTGATTTATAATTTTATTACATTATTAATTGATAAAATATTCATGTATTTGTATACTTTCCAAATTTTTTCTTCTTACTGATTTATAGTTTTATTACAATGTTATTTGAGAAAATACTTGACATAGTTTCTATTTTTTTAATTTATTAAGACTCTATTTGTGGCTTAACATGTCACCTATCCTGGACACTATTTTATGTACTAAATAGAAAGATGTATATTATGAAGCTGTTGGATGAAATGTACTCTGTCTATTAGGCCCTTTTAGTGACCTGGAAAAGAGGACTTGAAATGTTCCCAACACAAAGAAATAATAAACATTTAAAGTGATGATACCCTAAATACCCTGACTTGATCATTACAAATTCTATGCATGTAATAAAATATCCCATGTACCCCATAAATCCAAACAAATGTTTTGTATCAATTTAAGAACAACAGTGAAGATTTGGCTCACTCTGACAGACAAGAGACCACAACCAACTAGAGCTTTGTGAGAACTAAGGAAATATGGATCAGCAATGGCAGAAGAAAGTCATAAATATCAGCTACAACCATGTGACCAGTTGTAGAAAAGAGCATCATAATAGCTATGAATGTTACTTTATTATTTTCACATGGATATTTTTCTGGATACATTAACCATTTTCCTTATTTTCATACTATATGGCATGTTACATGTATATAGATGATTTAATTTCAATTTGATATCTCAGTGTCACTAGAAAGTGTTCAGGGTCTGAGTTTTTACCCTACTTGCAAGTTAACAGATTAGCCAGTTCCATAGATACTAGCAGAAGACATGACATGCCTGGGTCAGGGACAAAAGACAGTTTATTACTCACAACAATAGCACTAGCCTAAGTAACAGTATTGTGCCCCAATGTTATTCAAGCCCCAATTCTTACAGAATGATGTGATGTGATGAGAGCTATGTGTTGCCTGCCCATTGCATTGAAGACATTGCAGGAAGGTAATACTGATATTAGGAGTCCTAGATTGTATAGAGGAAAATCTTGGATTATACTCCCCTCTGGATAAAAACATTTTCTTTCTTACTCTAGAATAATAACTTCTATTTTTACTATCCTAAGAGGTAACAATTTCTGTCTTCCAAATGTCCTTGGAAAGACAGTACAAAGTAAAATAGCTGTTAATGTCTTTGGTGACATGCAGAAATATACAATACTTATGAAAATTTTCCCCAAGAAAAAATCAATATTTAAGTGATGGAATATTGAAAGGGAAGAAGATGTCAGCTAGAAGAAGAGTAAAACCATCCTAAGATCAATAAAGGACTTGTGTTTTCTTCTGCAGAAAAGTTTATAATGCAATTAGTTGGACAAAGGAGGTTGCACGGCACTTTTGGTGACTCAAATATTGTCTTTATTTGAATGATGGGTATATAATCGAGAGAAGTTCATATGTTTGAAAAGTAGACAAAAGGTTGATGGTGATGTATTTTTCTGTATCAGCTTAGGTTAAGCTGAAAGTACTTTTCTCCAAATGCTCTTCTGGTATGGTTCCTGGTTAGGGCAGGCTGCAAGAGAAATTTGCAAAAAATTCAGACGGCAGAAGTAAAGCAGAAGGTGGACCTTCTGAAATTCAGTGTAGGGCACTAGATATTGCTTCTGCTTTCTCATGTTTTTGTGCATCTACTAGCTCACCTTGTTGTTATGTGGCAGCAGCCAGGCTGAGAAGCCCTCCAGATCCTACTGGATCTTCCGTTTTGGAATTTTCACGTTCTGGAACAAGGGCATTAGCAACTCTGTGACAAAGGGCACTACATTCTCCTGTAGGTCCCTTAGGCCAGGTTAGAGGTTGTGAAAATCAGATTTGAGTTCTAATTTATCCTCATGAGTTCCAGTTTATCCTGATGAGTCCTAGTTTATTTCCACTCAATTCTACTCTATCCAGTGCAGCCCTCCTTCACAACTGCTGACTCTGACAACCAACAAGACTTCAGGTACAACAGCCTCTCCATGATCTTCCTCATCAGATCCCATAGTTGTGTAAAGGATTACCTCATAATAAATTCTTTATTCTATATCTCTCCTTGTCATCTGCTTCTGTGATCAAACACCAATGGATCCAAATTCCAAATTCATTTTAACCTAAATTCCTAAATTACTATTCACAGTAATATTTCTATTACTTTGTAACATTGAGTTCTCTATAATATTTGTGGATTTTTATCTTTAAATATTTATAACTGTATTACCATCTTTACAGCTTATAAATGGGAGACATTAATCATATTCTGAAATAATTTCATATGTTTTTCCATTGCTCCAAATACAAGAGGAATAAATAAATATTATTCCTTATAAATAAACTAGGCCCTACTGAGAAATAACTAATACAAACATAAATATATTATTGCTTGTAGAAAATCTGACTATACTAAAATACTAGAATTTTTTTTTCTTTTTGAGACAGAATTTCACTTTTGTTGCCCAGGCTAGTGTGCAATGGCACAATCTCGGCTCACTGCAACCTCCGCCTCCTGGGTTCAAGCGATTATCCTGCCTCAGCCTCTTGAGTAGCTGAGATTACAGGCATGCGCCACCACACCTGGCTAATTTTTTGCATTTTAGTAGAGATGGGGTTTCACCATGTTGGTCAGGCTGGTCTTCATCTCCTGACCTCAGGTAGTCTACCTGCCTTGGCCTCCCAAAGTGCTGGGATTACTAGCATGAGCCACTGTGCCCGGCTTAGAAAGAAATTAAGTGTGTCAGACTGTAAAAGAATAAAATAAGAGAGAAAAGAATAGAAAAGAGGAAAGAACACAAAATGAATTAGCAAGGTAAGGAAGAAAAAATTTTGTTTCCCCAAATCTAGAATTGATTGCCTTTCATTCTCTGGGAAAAATCTACATTGAATACACAGAGAAAAATCATTTTCTTTATCAGTCATTGACTACATTAAGTGCATAAGGATTTTTTGGTAAAGTTTACAGACTTACATCACTGGTCATTAAACTAGTTATTAACCACCATTTAATCACTTCTCATATGCTCTCAAGAATTTTCTATTATTTCAATACAAAGTTTCATAAAAATTAAAAGCTGTTAATAGAATAGTAATTCTTTTTTGCCTATTTTAGCACATTTATATGCAGCTTTTACATATTTGTCCCTAAAATTATATTTTAGTTTATGGAGCACCTTAAAGACAACCTCTTCAAAACAAAATTGCACAGATTTCAAGCTTCACGTATTCCACTGACTCAGCCCAAAAAGATGCCAATTCATTTCAGTTGAGATGAAAAAAAAAAACTTTGCAAAAATCACTAAGTAATAATGATTTTATAATAGATCTAGGTTAAATGGATCAATAAAACACAATAGCAGGGCAACTTCCTTCCCACCATCTACACAGAATCAGTATGCTAAAAAAAGAAAATAACAACAACAAAAAAGAAAAGCAACACCCATATGAATTTAAAGAGAAGGAATAACAAGAAGGGGATGGATGAGGAGAATTAGACTTAAGAAATAGGGAAAATACAGCCATGAGCATTAAGACTACTAAATTGTCTTCATTTATTCATATATGTAAAATGCTTCATTCTTCCTAAGTACCATCATGGGTTGAGGCTACTAATCAAAATAAAATTCATGCAAATATATGTACATGATTTGCAGATGAGCCATGGCCTCCAGGTTTCTGGAAAGTTGCCAGTATTGTCCTTGATAAAGCAAACTTCAGGCCGTTCCAAAGCTCTAAAATTGTCTTTTATTGTCTTTTCTTTGTTAAAGATGCAGAGGTCACAGTGTGAGGGGAAAGAATGAGGTAGGAGGGATATTAGCCCAGACATAATCTTTATAAGAGATATGTGCTGAAGTCTTTACACCCCATGATAATTCTGACACTGGGATATCTAATATTTTCAGACAAAGAAGGATCAATTCAGCACAAAATCTTTAGAAAAGTGTATGATCTTCTTTCATAGATTTAAAAAATATAGCTATTTTAGTGTGATTTTTAAAATTTTCTAAGTATAAAAATAATTTTATAATTTAAAATTTATCTCAAAAAATGTTTTATAGGATAATGTTATTAGTTAGAACCAGGTTATCTTCTTTTGGCTCAAATGGAGAAGAGATACTGCACAGTAACAATTGTGTATTATTGGTTCTATATTGTTCTGAATTATTTAAAGATCTTAAAGGTAGAAATGGTGTCTTAGAGAAATAGTGCAGTGTATTTCTTGGAGTATATAGTAACTAAATGGAAGTTAAAAAGGAATTATAAAGTTTATAAAAGTAAGAATTAAAAATTTATAAATATAGAGTACATTTATTATTCATTCATTCACCAAGTATCATTAAATACTATATTGAGATCAAATGCTAGACATGTAGAGAGAAATGTTATCTCCCCTCTTAAAGTATTAAAAATCCAGTAGAAAAGATAGATAAATCATCAAATTGTAGAGGTATGTAGTGAATGGCATAACAGGAGAGCTCAGGATGCTGTTGCTCTTCAAAGGAAGAGCAAACCATTTTATGTAGACTTATTACATGTATATGTTTTATAAATATATGTATATGTTATATGTACGTGTGTGTGCAATTCTCATGCAATTATGTATTCTCCAATGACATACTCTGTAAAGTCCCAAGATATGTGTGATGAATAGCAAGATAGAGACTCAGGGAAGCCAATGGTATAGTTCCTATACTTCTTGTACAAAGGTTGGAAGGTTTGAGGTCCTAGAAGAGCTAATGTTTCAATCTGAGTCCAAAAGCAGGAAAAACAGTTGAAGTGCCAGCTCAAAGATAGGCAGATAGGAGGAATTTTCTCTTATTCAAGGAAGGGTCAGCCTTTTTATTGCATTCAGACCTTGAACTGATTGGATAAGGGCCACCCACATTAGAAAGTGTAATCTCCTTTACTCCAATTCAAATGTTAATCTCATCCAGACACACCACAGATACACCCAGAATAATGTTTGAAAAAATATCTGGGCACTCTGTGGCTGAATCAAAATGAATGATCACACCTGTTTTTGAAACTAGGCGTATTTGTTGCTTTCTTTGGCCGATAGAATGTGGCAGATATGTCATTGTGCCAGTTCCATTCTGGGTTTTGATTTTAAGAACCTGGTATATTTCATGTTCTCTCTTGAAATTAGCTGCCATATAAGAAGGGACACTAGTCTGAAACCATGATGCTTGGAGGAAGCCCACACTAGCCAAATGGAGTGACACTAAACCATTTAGTAAAGTCTTATTTGTCCTTTTAGCCTCAGATCAGCCAGTCCAGCTTCCAAGCTCAATGCTGCTAAGTGAATGACCATACACAGAGCAGAGAACTACCAAGCTAAGCCTAATAAAGATGAGATATTTCAGAAATAATAAACTATGAGTGTTTTAAGCCACTATGATTGGGGATGGTTTTTTACATAGCAATGAATACTGAAATAGAAATGAAGACAGTCACCAAAATCTTCAGAGAGATGATACATTAAAATTAAATATTAAAGAACACATTGGCATTGTCTCAGCAGGCAAGGGGAACAAAACAGAGTGAATACTATGTTCACAAGGCATATAGGCAAGAATGAACACTGATATGGTTTGGCTTTATGTCCTCACCCAAATCTCTTCTCAAATTGTGATCACCAGGTGTCTAGGAAGGGCCCTTGTCAGAGGTGATTGGAACATGCATACAGTTTCCCCCATGCTGTTCTCATGATAATGAATGAGTTCTCACAAGATCTGATGGTTTTATACAGGGGTCTTCCCCCTTTGCCCTGGTCGGAGGTGATTGGAACATGCGGACAGTTTCCCCCATGCTGTTCTCATGATAATGAGTGAGTTCTCACAAGATCTGATGGTTTTATACAGGGGTCTTCCCCCTTTGCTTGCTCTGTCTCACCCGCCACCATGTAAGGTGTACCTTCTTCCCCTTCTGCCATGATTGTAAGTTTCCTGAGGCCTCCCCAGCCATGTGGAACTGTAAGTCAATTAAACTTCTTGTCTTTATAAATTACCCAGTCTCGGGCAGTTCTTTATAGCAATGTGAGAGTGGACTAATACAACATTTTGATAGCCACAAGTCATTTGGTATTGTTGAAGCACTCTGCTTATTTCCTTCAATAACTATGGAGCTTTTCATGTGTATAAGAGTCCAGTTTATATTCTGGGCACTCAACAGAAAACAAGTTTGTTTCCAATTTTGTGGAGCTTACATTCAAGCAGGGGTGAGAAACAAAGGTAAACAGCTGAATAAGAGAGTATCAAATAGTAATAGAAGCAGAAAAAACGAATAAGTTTCATGCGCATCCGTGTGAAGAGACTACCAAACCGGCTTTGTGTGAGCAATAAAGCTGTTTATTTCACCTGGGTGCAGGTGGGCTGAGTCCGAAAAGAGAGTCAGTGAAGGGAGATAGGGGTGGGGCTGTTTTATAAGATTTGGATAGGTAAAGGAAAAAGGGGGGTTCTTCTCTGGCGGGCAGGAGTGGGGGGGTCACAAGGTACTCAGTGGGGGAGCTTTTGAGCCAGGATGAGCGAGGAAAAGGAATTTCACAAGATAATGCCATCAGTTAAGGCAGGAACAGGCCATTTTCACTTCTTTTGTGGTCGAATGTCAGCAGTTAAGGCAGGAACCGGCCACCTGGATGTGTACGTGCAGGTCACAAGGGATATGAGGGCTTAGCTTGGGCTCAGAGGCCTGACATTCCTGTCTTCTTATGTTAATAAGAAAAATAAAATGAAATAGTGGTAAAATGTTGGGACGGCGAAAATTTTGGGGAATGGTATGGAGAGATAATGGGCGATGTTTCTCAGGGCTGCTTCGAGCGGGATTGGGGCAGCGTGGGAACCTAGAGTGGGAGAGATTAAACTGAAGGAAGATTTGTGGTAAGGGGTGATATTGTGGGGTTGTTAGAAGAAACATTTGTCATTTAGAATTATTGGTGATGGCCTGGATATGGTTTTGTATGAATTGAAAAACTAAACGGAATAAGATAAGGAGAAAAACAGGTACTAAAGGAATAAGAATTGGGAGGATCCAGGACATCTAATTAGAGAGTGCCTAAGGAGGTTCAGCATAGCCCTGCCAGCAAAGATTATTTATTTACTTTAAGAGTTAGAGTGGCGGTTTGGGGATAGCACCAGGAGATATCAGCTGTGATGGCTTGGAGAAACAGTGTAAACTGGCAGTGTAAACAAGAGCAGGGCATGTATGAGTAGTTGAGAACGGTGAATAGGAGTATGACTAGACAGAAGACAGTAGTGATGACAAGTTTTTTGGGGCACAATCCAAGTTGGTCTGGTGTCTGGAATGAGACGGGGGCCTAATAAAAAGGTGCATCTATACAGGAGCTTAAATGGGCTGTACTTTGTAGCATTCTGAGGACACACCTGAATTCTGAGAAGGGAAAGTGGTAAAAGTATTGTCTGTTCTTTTTTAAGTTGGTGGCTGAGCTTGGTGAGGTGTGTTTTTAAAAGACCTTTAGTCTGTTCTACTTTTCCTGAGGACTGAGGACTGTAAGGAATATAAAGATTTCACTGAATACTAAGAGCCTGAAAAACTGCTTGGCTGATTGACTAATAAAGGCTGGTCAGTTATCAGACTGTATAGCGGTGGGAAGGCTAAACTGAGGAATTATGTCTGACAGAAGGGAAGAAATGACTGCAGTGGCCTTCTCAGACCCTGTAGGAAAGGCTTCTACCTATCTAGTGAAAGTGTCTGCTTAGACTAAGAGGTGTTTTAGTTTTTGTGACTCGGGGCATGTTGAGTAAAGCTAATTTGCCAGTCCTGGGTGGGGTCAAATCCCTGAGCTTGATGTGTAGGGAAGGGAGGGGGCCTGAATAATCCCTGAGGGGTAGTAGAATAGCAGATGGAACACTGAGAAGTTATTTACTTGAGGACAGATTTCTATGATGGAAAGGAAATGAGAGGTTTTAAGACGCGGGCTAGTGGCTTGTACTATAGCATAGCCTGCCTTTGCTGGTGTGTGGTGATTAGGCCTGGTGGAACTACCATCAATAAACCAAGTGTGATCAGGGTGAGAAACAGGGAAGAAGGAAATGTGGGGAAATGGGGTGAATGTCAGGTGGATCAGAGAGATGCAGTCATGAGGGTCAGGTGTGGTATCAGGAATAATGTGGGAGGCCGGATTGAAGTTGGGCCAGGAACAATGGTAATTGTGGGAGACTCAACAAAGAGTGAGTACAGCTAAAGGAGCCAGGGAGCAGAAAGTATATGTGTCAGGTGTTTGGAAGAAAATGGATTTTGGAAATTATGAGAGCTGTAGAGAGTGAGTTGAGCACAGTTTGTGATTTTAAGGGCCTCTAAAAGTATTAGGGCGGCAGCAGCTGCTGCACGGAGACATGATGACCAACCTAAAACAGTAAGGTCAAGTTGTTTGGACAAAAAGGCTACAGGATGCGATCCCGGTCCTTGTGTAAGAATTCTGACTGCACAGCCCTGCACTTCGGCTGTGTGTAATGAAAACGATTGGCATGAGTTAGGGAGAGCTAGAGTGGGGGCAGTCTCTAAAGCTGTCTTCAAGGAATGGAAAGAGAACTGGGGAAAGGATTTAGGATCTATGGGGTCAGCTAGGTTTCCTTTTGTGAATTTATATAATGATTTTGTCAGGATGGCAAAACCAGGTATCCACAGGCGAAAGTATCCAACCATGCCTAGGAAGGAAAGGAGTTGTTGTTTTGTAGAAGGGATTGGGCTTTGGGAGATTAGCCGGACACTATCGGCAGGGAGAGCACGTGTATTTTTATGAAGAATTATGCTGAGGTAGGTAACAGTTGGAGAAGAAATTTGAGCTCTGGAGGGGGATACCTGATATCCTTTGGAGAATAAATGCTGAAGGGGCAGAAGTGTGTCTTGTGGAGAAGATTCAAAGGAGGGGCTACAAAGAAGAAGGTCATCAATATATTGAATAAAGTGAGAAGCGGAGGGGTAGAAAGAAAGTAAATCATGAGAAAGAGCTTGGCTGAAGTAATGAGGGCCGTCCTTGAAACCTTGTGGCAGCACAGCCCAGGTAAGCTGCTGGGACTGATGGGTGTCAGGGTGAGTCCAGGTGAAAGCAAAGAGAGGCTGGGATGAAGGGTGCAAAGGAATAGTAAAGAAAGCATGTTTGAGATCCAGAACAGAATAATGGATTGTGGAGGGAGGTATTGAGGATAGGAGAGTATATGGGTTTGGCACCATGGGGCGGATAGGCAAAACTATTTGGTTGATAAGGTGCAGGTCTTAAACTAACCTGTAAGGCTTTTCTGGTTTTAGGACAGGAAAAATGGGGGAATTGTAAGGAGAGTTTACAGGCTTTAAAAGGCCATGGTGTGGCAGGTGAGTGATAACAGGCTTTAATCCTTTCTAAGCATGCTGTGGGATGGGATATTGGCATTGAGCAGGGTAAGAGTGATTAGGTTTTAAAGAGATGGTAAGGGGTGCATGATTGGTCGCCAAGGAGGGAGTAGAGGTATCTTATACTTGTGGGTTAAGGTGGGGTAATACAAGAGGAGGATGCAAAGGAGGCTTTGGATTGGGAAGAAGGGCAGCAATGAGATATAGCTGTAGTCCAGGAATAGTTAGGGAAGCAGATAATTTAGTTAAAGTGTCTCGGCCTAATAAAGGAACTGGGCAGGTGGGGATAACTAAAAGGAGTGCTTAAAAGAGTATTGTCTAAGTTGGCACCAGTTTGGGGAGTTTTAAGAGGTTTAGAAGCCTGGCTGTCAGTTATGGAGGCAAGGGAAACAGGCCCTTGAAAAGAAGGTAATGTGGAGTGGGTAGCCTCTGTATTGATTAAGAAGGGGACGGACTTACCCTCCACTGTGAGAGTTACTTAAAGCTCGGTGTCCGTGATGGTCTACAGGGCTTCCGAGGTAATCAGGCAGTGTTAGTCTTCAGCCGCTAAGCCGAGAAGATCTGGGAAGGAGTCAGAGAGCCTTGGGCCAGAGTTCCAGGGGCCCTGGGAGTGGCTACCAGGTGAGTTGAACAGTCTGATTTCCACTGGGATCCCACACAGATGGGACATGGCTTAGGAGGAATCCCAGGCTGCGGGCATTCCTTGGCCTGGTGGCCAGATTTCTGGCACTTGTAGCAAGCTCCTGGGGGAGGCAGTTCTGGAGGAATGCCTGGCCACTGTGGTTTAGGCATTTGGAAGTTCTTGTGTGCTGGAGATGTGGCTGGGGTTTGTCTCACAGTGGAGGCAAGGAATTGCAACTCAGAAATATGTTGCTACTTGGCTGCCTCTATTATTGCACACCTTGAGGGCAAGGTTAATTAAGTCCTGTTGTGGGGTTTGAGGGCCGGAATTTAATTTTTGGAGTTTTATTTAATGTCAGGAGCAGATTGGGTAATAAAATGTGTATTAAGAATAAGACGGCCTCTTGACTTTTTAGGGTCTAGGGCTGTAAAGCATCTCAGGGTTGCTGCCAAATGAGCCATGAACTGGGCTGGGTTTTTATATTTGATGAAAAAGAGCCTAAACGCTATCTGATTTGGGATAAAGAAACAGGAGCATTAACCTTGACTATGCCTTTAGCTCCAGCCACCTTTTTAAGAGTAAACTGCTGGGCAGGTGGGGGAGGGCTAGTCACGGAAGGAAACTGTAACCTGGACAGAGTGTGAGGAGGGGAGGTGATAAAAGGATTATAGGGTGGAGGAGTGGAGGCTGAGGAAGAATTAGGACCTAGCTTGGCCTGGCTAGAAGGGGAGAGATCAGATGGGTCTGTAGAAAAGGAAGATTAGAAAGACTCAGCGACACTTGGGGTTGGGACTGAGGGGACAGGTGGAAGGGAAAGAAGGAAGATTTGGGATGAGTTGCATTGGGAACAGAGACTAGGGAGGGACTGATGTGTAAAAGAATGCCTGGACGTCAGGCACCTCAGACTATTTGGCTATTTTACAACAAGAATTATTTAGATCTTGTAGGATGGAAAAAATGGAAATGCCATTTTCTGGCTATTTGGAACCACTGTCAAGTTTGTATTGGGGTCAAGTGGCATTGTAGAAGAAAATAAGGCATTTAGGTTTTAGGTCAGGTGTGAGTTGAAGAGGTTTTAAGTTCTTGAGAACACTGGCTAAGAGAGAAGAAGCAGGAATGGAGGGTGGAAGGTTGCCTATAGTGACGGAAGCAAGCCCAGAGAAAAGAGAGAGTAGAGACATGGAGGGAAGGGGTTCAGGGGTTCTTACCCTCCAGAAAAGTGGGAAAGGGGTTGGGGTGTGGAAATAAGGGGTTGGGGTGCAGAGATAAGACTTTGGGGCACAGAAATAAGGATTGGGGTGCAGAGATAAGAGGTCGGGGCATGGAAATAAGGGATTGGGGTTTCTTGCCCCCTAGATAAATGGAACTTGCTGCTAAGGGTGAAGGAGAAGGGGTTGAGGGGTTCTTGCCCCTCCCCCAGAAAAGTGGAGAAGGGGTAGAGACACGGAGAGAAGGGGTTGGGGTACTTGCCCCTCCCCCAGAAAAACAGGACTTGCCACTAAGGGTGAAGGACCAAGGCAGGCATCCCTGCGTGGTCTGACACCTCTGAAACCTGGGTGAATAATCAGAGAGGCATCCCTGCAATGATTAAACACAAAGGGAAGGCTGCCATCCCTAGTCTGTGACCAGCACCGGAGTTTTGGGTCCACGGATAAAACGTGTCTCCTTTGTCTCTGCCAGAAAATGAAAGGAATTAAAATTAAGAGAAGGGAGAAATTGAAGTGTGGCGCCAAGATTGAAAGGAGAAAGAGGTTGAGGGACAGTGAGAGAGGTTGGAGAAGAGAGTTAAAAGAGGCCGCTTACTGGATTTGAAATTGGTGAGATGTTTCTTGGGCTCATCAGTCTGAGGACCTGAGGTTGTAGGTGGACCTTTCTCACGGAGCAAAGAGCAGGAGGACAGGGGATCGATCTCCGAAGGGAGGTCCCCCAATCTGAGTCACGGCAACAAATTTCATGCCCATCCATGTGAAGAGACCACCAAACAGGCTTTGTGTGAGCAATAAAGCTGTTTATTTCACCTGGGTGCAGGTGGGCTGAGTCTGAAAAGAGAGTCAGCAAAGGAAGATAGGGGTGGGGCCCTTTTATAGGATTTGGGTAGGTAAAGGAAAAAGGGGAGTTGTTCTCTGGTGGGCAGGACTGGGTGTCACAAGGTACTCAGTGGGGGAGTTTTTGAGCCAGGATGAGCCAGGAGAAGGAATTTCACAAGACAATGTCATCAGTTAAGGCAGGAACAGGCCATTTTCACTTCTTTGGTGGTGGAATGTCCTCAGTTAAGGCAGGAACCAGCCACCTGGATGTGTACATGCAGGTCACAGGGGATATGATGGCTTAGCTTGGGCTCAGAGGCCTGACAATAAGAATACTAGAAAAGCTCTGTATGTGTGCGTGTGTGTGTGTGAGATATTTTAAGAGTGGTCACAGATGCCTTACTGTAAAGATAACATACACCCACCACTTGAAGAATGAGAAAGAGCCAGTCTAGCAAAGAGTAGGAGGAGAAACAATCTAGACAAAGGAATGGCAAGGGCAAACATCCTCTGGTAGAAGAATTTGGCACATTCAAGGAAATGAGAGAATGTTAGCATTGCTTGAGCACAGTAACAAAGAGAGGAATGTGGCAAGATGCCATGAGAGGGGAAGAAGGGACTTGTTTATGCAATGCCTCTTAGGACATGGGAGGGATTTGGACTATTATCCTAATGAGTATCAGAAATACTGAAGTGTATTAATTTGCTATACCTGTTATAATAAATAACCACAACTTTAGTGGCTTAAAACAACACATGTTTTATTATCATGCAGTTCTTGACTTCAGAAGTCTGAAACTGGTCCCCTTGGGCTAAATCAAGGCATCATCAGGGTTGTATTCCTTTCTGAAGTCTCTTGGAGATAATCTATTTCCTTGCTTTTCCCAGCTTCTAGTGACCACCTACATTCCCTGGCTTATGGCTTCTTCCACCACCTTCAATGCCAGCAGCATAGCATGTTCAAATAGCTCTCTGAATTTGACTTATCCCCCACCTGTTATTAGATTGGCCCCACCCAGTAAGAAAATTTCCTCATTTTAAGGTCAGTTGATTAGCAACCTCAATTTCATTGACAACCTGAATTTCCCTTTGCCATATAACCTAACGTATTCACCAGTTGGAGATTAGGACATGGGCATCTTTGGGTGGAAAGGGCATTAGTCTGCCTACAATAGGTGGTAAAATCAGCACAGTAGGAGCCCTCATAGAAGACATGGCATGAGTGTAGGAATATGTTGATTTCCATATAGTCAGAAATTGTACCCATATTTTTATGTATGCATACAAATAACTCTAATGACAAACAACAAATCATTTTTACATATTAAAAATAAGAAATCCAAATAGGTAATTTTGGTTGCTGAGTAAAGGTTTTCATAAGGATATTATGCAAGGGCATTTAGCTTTCAAGTAGGCTAACAGAATAATCAGAGAAAAATCAGAGCATTTATAGTTCAAATTATTATTTGACCATGAAACATTTTGATATCATAATATTTGGGTTGGTTTCTTCAATAAAACAAAACCAGAATTTCCCGGGGTTTGTGTAGCAAAACACCCTCTCTCATTTAGAGCTTGTTTCAGGAAACAGGGATTTCATAAGGACTCTGTTGCTTTTCATTACCTTTGTAGAAATGCCTGATAAGAGAAAGCTTCTGCTTTTCAGGGCCCATCTCTAAATCATAAGCCATGTCTTAGAAAAGATTTAATAAAAAAAAAAAAGTAAGTCAGAAAGAGTGAAGTCAGACCCTAGTTGTAGTCCTAGTCCTCCCTAAGGCACAAATTTGACCACAAATTTGCTTTCCAATATTTTGATTCAGTAGTATTAATTTATGTATTTCTCCTTCAGAACTGTTTTCTTGCTTTGCAGTTTGATAAATATTCAAAGACATTCTTGTTACAATATTTAACATAGCTAGAATCATACAATATTAAGATTAGGGAATTTACTTTTATTTATTAGCTTTGCAGATCCCCTGGTGACATTTTTCAAGTCACATTTATTATATCATAAATACCTTTATTGTTTTCACCAGTTCCTGTATTCCAAAGAGTAGAACCAAGAACCATTCAATTTGCCTCTTTTGTGTTTTACCCTCAGTGCTTTTAACTATAGGAAAATTCCCCTCAAATCCAAATTTGAGATCCCTAAGTTTACCAATGTTTCTGATTTTCTAGAAAGTGATGTCTTGATTACATGTAAGGATAAGCTCAATGAGCTACAGAGTAGGTGGAGAGAAATGTCTTGAAATGATTTTGTAGGCATTATTTACACACTGTCCTTTTTATTTAACTGTGGACTTGTCTTAGTTAATTAAATAAGATTTGCCTTTAAATGTAATATTTCTTACATATTTTATCTGATTTTATCCTGGTAGGAAGTATGAGAAAAAATTTCATAAATATAGAGTACATCTGTTAATATAGGTTTTAATGCCAGTTTGAGCATTTTTGAATACATTTTGAACAGTTTTCCAGACAAAACCATCAATAAGCATTAATATTCTACGTAATTATCCATCTTTGCTTCATAGGGTTATAATTTTTTAATATTTCTCATAGAACACCTTTCTTGAATTCTGAATGGTGAGTTAGAGGAAATTATAAAAGTGTTTTATTCCAGTTTGTACAAATTTATTTTGCTGAAACAAGGGTTTTACATATATGATAAAAAGGAAAAAGACTTCCTCCAGATGACCATCAGAATTTTGAACATTATAAACAATACCATCAATATTTCAATTAAAAATACCAATTAAGCCACATGTGCTATCTCATTCCTGTAATCTCAGCACATTGGGAGGCAGAGGCAGGAGGAATGCTTGAGTTCAGGAGGTTGAGACTAGCCTGGGCAACAGAGGGAGACCCCGTCTCTCCAGAAAAGTCAAAATTAGCTGGGCATTGTGGTATCCATCTGTGGTCCCAGCTACTTGGGAGGCTAAACTGGGAGGATCCCTTGAGTCTGGGAAGTTGAAGCTGCAGTGAGCTACGATTATGTCACTGTACTCCAGCTTGGGTGATAGACTGAGACCCCGTCTCAAAACCAAAAACAAAAAACAACTGAAATCTTGTTATCAGTTTCATTTAGTCTCGCATAATTAATTTTTATCCCTTCAGAACCAAAGGCATCAATAAGCATGCAGGAAGCCATCCACTCCTGGACCATGGTGTTTTGGAAATTCTGATTTAGTCCTCTGGCATAGTCTGGCAGGTGGTAATGGCAGCTTACACCGGGACTCTTGTAAGCATTAATCTACTCCTTTAACTACCAAGAGCCTACAGTAGCTGATATAGTCCTTACTGAGATTATCATTCCTTAGAAGTTTCCTCCAAAAGATGTAATTTCTTTCCTATAGCTTATATAGCATGAGCTTTAAGGGCAATGTTGTGGTTGAGGGGAACATGTTTTATATGACATGACTGAATGCTCACTGTAAATTTTATAATAGTCACCAAAAATATAAGAACAGAGGAGATTAAAATTTCCTGTTGAGGCATAATCTATCATTTTTTAGAAAGGATCCAGTTAAAGTTTACCCTGTATATAAGAACATAATGTGAACACTAGGAACACTGAAAAACCTCCAGAGCTTTCGAGCCATTCAGTAGAATATGTGTTACATGTGCAGCCAGCTGAGAAGGGTATTAAAAACCTAAAGACAACATTTTAAAGAATCGATTTGTTCTAGCAATATCATGCCAGGCTTTGCACATGAACGTGAGAACACTTCAGTCTATCCTGAAACCGAATGACTGGAAATAAGTTCTTATTAACAGTATCTTACTTGTACATAATTGACCTATGGAAGTTGAGCTTCTCTTTTTGATTTGACAGCTCTTCCTATACTGTTGGTTTGACAAATAGAATGGCTCTCTTTCACAATTGTGGTGATCTAATAAACAATAGAAAATACCAAACCTATCTAATTATTTCTAGTCACTCCTCGTTAGAAGGAAAATGAGCAAATATTGCACAAAAGAGTAAGGATGTCAAATATATCTAAACAGTTTTATTATTTTAAATTTCATGCTTGAGTTTGGGAAACGCAATATCAAAAAGATTGGTGAGAGGACACTGATCACTATATCAAAATATGAGAATAAGTCATGGGTAAATTATTGTAGTCTTGAGTTCTATTAGAGTGATGGTATATTAAATAATAGAAGAAGGTAACATAAAACTACTTATTTCAGAAGTGAAACATTTTATTGTTTATTATCAAATAATTTATAAGTAGGATGAAAACAACAGGATTGCAGGAGAGAGAATTCTGATGGGTTAAGAAAACTCTGCAATCTGGGCTGATTACACAGAATAATCCATTAGCCTTTTTTACGAAATGGCTAAATACTTCCAGACCAATTTTAAATTATTAATCCTCTACTCTTTATCATACCAAGCTTTATTTGTCTAGTAATTTGGATATGTTTACATAACCTTATAAAAATGTATGATCAGATACTAAATTAAAGCTTTCAACTTTAGCTTGAAAATATTAACTTAACAGCATAAGATGATGCACATAACTTGCTGAAATTTTTACTTTAATTAGAGGGATTACTTGTTCATTAACTTAATTTAATACTAGCCCAAAGTCTTAAAGTCAATTAATAATCTTGGAAATTGCATTTAAATTGCCCCTACAGAACAACACAATCAAAATGGATATAAACTGTTTCTCAGAGAGATAACCTTTTATAATTTCACTAAGATAGAGTAGGCGGAGTATTAGTGATTAAGTTCACAGGATTTGCAACATAGGTTCCACTTCACAAGTTCTTTTAAAGGGTATTAATATTTATAATTCCATTCAGTTAAACACATACGTTTATATTCTCATAGCCTTACATAATTTATGGAAACAATAATAATCTTTCCCATAAACATAGCATAGGAAATTTAGCAAACTCTAATGATTAGATTAGCAATAAAAAATTATACTCAGGTCTTACATAAAATATGCTTGCTGTGATAGACTGCAAAAATGGCTGGACATTCTTCTGCCTTTTTATGCATCCTTCCCTTTGTAATGTTACTTTGCAGCTCCATTCGTCAGAAGGTGGAAACCTTTTCACTGTTTCTTGAATCTGGGCTTGGCCATGTGACTTGCTTTGGGCAAAGGGACATATCAAAAGTGACATAAGCAGTGGCTAAAAACCAAAATGAGACTTCTCTCTCTGATCTTGAGAACGTTGTAATCACTGAATGAGTCCAAATAAACCTGCTGGATGAAGAAACAGTTGGCAAAGTCATTGCCACTATCCAACTTACAGCAAGCCTACTGCCCGATACATGAATGAGGCTATCTGAAAACCCAGCACCAATGAATCTGGCTCAGAGAAGAACCAAGAACCAGCCAGGTGAACCGCTGAAGCATAAAAATAAATATTTACTGTCTAAAGCAAATTGTTGTTTAACACAACAGAAGTTAACTGATATAAAAACTAGTACCCGGTGTGGGGTGTTGCTATAACAAAACCTAAAACATCTAATAAAATACTAAAATACATAGTATTGGCTTTGGATGGAGGCTGAAAAAACAGTGAAGAAACTGTTAGTGAAGGTTGAGACAGTGGCAGACAAAGTTGTGCTATAGTGGAATATTTGGCAAAGCTTTCATCTGCAGAAACTTGGAAGATAGAAAATGTACCTAATGAACTTGTGCCTCTAAAAAGATTTGATGATAGATGCTGAGTGTGTCAACTGGCCCCTGTTAGCTGCATATAATAATATGGAAACAGACAGAATAAGTTTAAAAATGAACAGTTTTGTTTACAAGCAGATTTTAGAAGAAATAAAAAGAAGCCAGGAATTGCTGGGTCAAAAAATAAATTGTCTCCCACGTTGGTTAAAATTCACAAAGTAGGAAATGGCCTAGTATAAAGACAGACAAAGATGTGGCTGGTTATAAGATTCATTTTTAAAAAACCTCTAAAAGTTCTAAGGTGGACAGAAGAGTCCTCAGCAAGATAAATTGTCTCCTAATAATTCTAAGGGCATTTTTTTTTTCATAGCAGCCTACCACATCTAAAGTGGAGGAAGGCCTGTTTTGAAATGATTTAGATGTGAATTTTGGAAGTGGAGAATTTTAGAAATTACATACAATAGATGTAAATCAGATCCATAGGCAATCCATGAGTTTTTAAAGACCATTATACTAACAAATCACTGCCAGCTTGGACTAAAATCAATTACAAAAAGAAAGTTTTCTAGGCTTCCAACATTTTGGGGGCAGAAATCAGACTGAGAATCATGGCCGTTTCTAGTTCGAAGGATGAAAATCCTAGAGGTGGAGGCAAGAGATCCAGAGAAAAACAGACAGACAAATCACTCTCAAGGAGCCGAAATAGAACTCAATCAAGGAGCTTACACAGACTTAGAGCAGGGGATCCTTTTAACATGTACCTGGATGGATTTCAGAATTTGTTAGACCAATGGCTGCTCTATGCCTCCCATTCCTCATTTTTCTGATCAGAAGTATCTATTACAATTACTCTGCTCCCATCTCACCCTTGTATATTAGGTTGGTTGACCACTGGTAACTTACATTTTTAGTTTATAAGTCTCTGGATGAAGAGCAGCTGCATCCAATGGGTCATATTTATACCTATATTAGAAACAAATTATAAGAACCTGGACTTTGAACCAGATGACATAATTGAATGAGACTACTGAAATTCTGGAAGTAAGCATATTTTTCATTTAGGAGAATATAATTTGTGGCTGAAAACAGTCTGCAGTAGATTTTAAAAATTGCTACAAATGTTCCATCTCTTTATACATATCATTTTACAACCTGATTTTGTAGTTCCTTCCATCAACGGTTGGTCTATTTCGTGAATCTACCTGTTCTTTCTAGGCTTGGTCATGTGAATTACTTTGGTCAATGAGACATGAACAAATATGATACAAGCAGAGGCTTTAAAAGACTTGCATATTGGAGCTTGCCCTCATTTTCTGCACTTGGAATTCTGCAATTGCCATCATGTGAACAAGCCCTGGCTAGCCTCCTGGATGATTATAGCCAAATCACCTCCATCACTCAAGGTGACACTGAGTCAACTGCCTGAAGCCATCCTAGACCATCCAGCTTCAGCTGAAACAGCCCAGAAGAAGAATCATATGAAATAATAAATTATTGTTGTTTGAAAACTACTAACCGTTAGAGTGGTTTCTGACTCATCAGAAACTAACATATATTATGTTCTTCATGGCAATAAGGTGAAAGAAAAGATGCATAATTTCTTTAAGCCAAAATTCGAAAGCAACTTAATTCATTGAAAGATTTACTTTGTTCCCCTTCCTGTGTCCATGTGTTCTCATTGTTCAATTCCCACCTATGAGTGAGAATATGCGGTGTTTGGTTTTTTGTTCTTGCGATAGTTTACTGAGAATGATGATTTCCAATTTCATCCATGTCCCTACAAAGGACATGAACTCATCATTTTTTATGGCTGCATAGTATTCCATGGAAAAGAACGTTAAAAAAAAAGAAAGATTTACTTTGATTAAAGTAAATGTTACACAAATGAGATACTTATAATTCTTCTGTATTCATTTATCAAATATTAAATATTTTAAAGAAGATTTTATTTTATTTTATTTTAAGTTCCAGGATACATGTGCAGAATGTGCAGGTTTGTTACACAGGTAAACATGTGCCATGGTAGTTTGCTGCACCTATCAATCCGTCACCTAGGTATTAAGCCCTGCATGCATTAGCTATTTGTCCTGATGCTCTCTCTCCCTTTTCCCCTCTGACAGGCCCCTGTGTGTGATGTTCCCCTCCCTGTGTCCATGTGTTCTCATTGTTCAGCTCCCACTTATGAGTGAGAATATGCAGTGTTTGGTTTTCTGTTCCTGTGTTAGTTTGCTGAGGATGATGGATTCAAACGTAATCCATGCCCCTGCAAAGGATATGATCTCATTCCTACTTATGGCTGCATGGTATTCAATGGCATATATGTAACACATTTTCTTTATCCGGTCTATCATTGATGTGCATTTGGGTTGGATCCTTGTCTTTGCTATTGTGAATAGTGCCACAATAAACATAGATGTTTATTTATAATAGAATGATTTATATTCCTTTGGGCATATTCCCAGTAATGGTATTGCTGGGTCAAATTGTATTTCTGGTTCTAGATCCTTAAGGAATCACCATACTGTCTTCCACAATGGTTGAACTAATTTACATTCCCACCAACAGTGTAAAAGTGTTCCTATTTCTCCTATCTCTTGCCAGCATCTGTCATTTTTTGACTTTTTACTCATTCTGACTGGCGTGAGATGGTATCTCATTGTGGTTTTGATTTGCATTTCTCCAAGGTTCAGTGATGTTGAGCTTTTTTTCATATGTTTTTTGGACATATAAATATCTTCTTTTGAGAAGTTTCTGTTCATGCCCTTTGCCCACTTTTTGATAGGGTTGTTGTTTTTTTCTTGTAAATTTATTTAGGTTCCTTGTAAATTCTGGATATTAGACCTTTCTCAGATGGGTAGATTGCAAAATTTTTCTCCCATTCTCTAGGTTTCCTGTTTGCTCTGATGATAGTTTCTTTTGCTGTGCAGAAGCTCTTTGGTTTAATTAGATCCCATTTGTCAATTTTAGCTTTCGTTGCAATTGCTTCTGGTGATTTCATCATAAAATCTTTGCCCATGCCTTTGTCCTGAATGGTTTTGCCTAGATTTTGTTCTAGGGTTTTTATGGTTTTGGTTTTACATTTAAGTTTTTAATCCATCTTGAGTTAATTTTTGTATAAGGTGTAAGGAAGGGGTCCAGTTTAAGTTTTCTGCATATGGCTAGCCATTTCTCCCAGCACCATTTATTAAATAGGGAATCCTCTCCCCATTGCATGTTTTTCCCAGGTTTGTCAAAGATCCAAGGGTTGTAGATGTGTGGTCTTATTTCTGAGGTCTCTATTCTGTTTCACTGGTCTATATGTCTGTTTGGGTATCGGTTCCATTCTGTTTTGGTTACTGTTGCCTGTCAGCTTAAGCATAGTTTGAAGTCAGGTAGTGTGATGCCTCCTGCTTTGTTCTTTTTGCTTGGGATTGTCTTGGCTATACAGGCTCTTTTTTGATTCCACATGAATTTCAAAGTATTTTTTTTCTAATTCTGTGAAGAATGTCAATGGTAGTTTGATGGGAATAGCAATGAATCTATAAATTACTTTGGGCAGTATGGCCATTTTCACAATATTGATTCCTCCTATCCATAAGGATGGAATTTTTTTCCATTTGTTTGCATCCCATTTTATTTCCTTGAGCAGTGGTTTGTAGTTCTTCTTGAAGAGGTCCTTCATGTGCCTTGTTAGCTGTATTCCTATGTATTTTATTCTCTTTGTAGCAATTGTGAATGGGAGTTCACTCATGATTTGGCTCTCTATTATTGATGTATACGAATGCTTGTGATTTTTGCACATTGATTTTGTATCCTCAGACTTTGCTGAAGTTGCCTGTCAGATTAAGGAGCTTTTGGACTGAGACGATGATGAGGTTTTCTAGATATAGGATCATGTGTCTGCAGAGACATTTTGATTTCCTCTCCTATTTGAATACCCATTATTTATTTCTCTTGACCGATTGTTCTAGCCAGAACTTCCAACACTATGTTGAATAGGAGTGGTGAGAGAGGGCATCCTTGTCTTGTGCTGGTTTTTAAAGGGAATGCTTCCAGCTTTTGCTTATTCAGTATAATATTGGCTCTTATTATTTTGAGATATGTTCCATCAATACCTAGTTTATTGAGAGTTTTTAACATGAAGCAATGTTGAATTTTATGGAAGGCCTTTTCTGCATCTATTGACATAATCATGTGGTTTCTGTTATTGGTTCTGTTTCTGTGATGAATTATGTTTATTGATTTGCATATGTTGAACCAGCCTTGCATCCCAGGAATGAAACCGACTTGATCGTGGTGGATAAGCTTTTTGATGTGCTGCTGAATTTGGTTTGCCAGTATTTTATGGAGGATTTTCACATTGATGTTCATCAGCGATATTGGCTTGAAGTTTTCTTTTATGTTGTGTCTCTGCCACGTTTTGGTATCAGGATAATGCTCACCTCATAAAATGAGTTAGGGAGTAGTCCCTTCTTTTCAACTGTTTTGAATAGTTTCAGAAGGAATGGTACCAGCTCCTCTTTTTACCTCTGGTAGAATTTGGCTGTGAATCCGTCTGGTCCTGGGATTTTTTTTTGGTTGGTAGGCTATTAATTTCTGCCTCAATTTCAGAACTTGTTATTTTTCTATTCAGGGATTTGACTTATTCCTGGTTTAGTCTTGGGAGGGTGTGTGTGTTCAGGAATGTATCCATTTCTTCTAGATTTTCTAGTTTATTTGCATAGAGGTGTTTATTCTTTAATGTTTGTTTGTATTTCAGTGGGATCAGTGCTGATATCCCCTTCCTCATTTTTATTGTGTCTATTTGACTCTTCTCTCTTTTCTTCTTTATTAGTCTAGCTAGCAGTCTATCAATTTTATTAATTTTTTCAAAAAAACAGCTCCTAGATTCACTGATTTTTTAAGGGTTTTTTGTGTCTCTATCTCCTTCAGTTCCACTCCAATCTCAGTTATTTCTTCTCTTCCGCTAGCTTTTGGATTTGTTTGCTCTTGGTTCTCTAGTATTTTTAGTTGTGATGTTAAAGTGTCAATTTGAGATCTTTATAGCTTTCTGATGTGAGCATTTAGTGCCTTAAATTTCTCTCTTAACACTGCTTTAGCTGTATCCCAGAGATTCTGGTACATTGTGTCTTTGTTCTCATTGGTTTCAAAGAACTTCTTGATTTCTTCCTGAATTTCATTATTTACCCAGTATTCATTCAGGAGCAGATTGTTCAGTTTTGATGTAGTTGTGTGGTTTGGAGTCAATTTATTAATTTTGAGCTCTGATTTGATTGCACTGTGGTCTGAGAGATTGTTTGTTATGATTTCAGTTCTTTTGCATTTGCTGAGGAGTGTTTTACTTCCAATTATGTGATCAATTTTAGAATAAGTGCTATGTGGCACTGAGAAGAATGTGTATTGTGCTGTTTTGGAGTAGAGTGTTCTGTAGATATCTATCAGGTACACTTGATCCAGAGCTGAGCTCAAGTCCTGAATATCCTTGTTAATTTTCTGTCTCATTGATCTGTTTCATATTGACAGTGGGGTGTTGAAGTCTCCCACTATTAATGTGTGCGTGTCTAAGTCTCTTTGCAGGTCTCAAATAACTTTTTGTTTTTTAAATGAATCTGGATGTTCCTGTATTGGGTCCATATATATTTACAATAGTTAGCTCTTCTCGTTGAATTGATCCCTTTACCTTATGTAATGCACTTCTTTGTCTTTTTTGATCTTTGTTGGTTTAAGGTCTATTTTATCAGAGACTAGGATTGTAACCCCTGCCTTTTTTTTTTTTTTAACTTTCCATTCGCTTGGTAAATATTCCTCCATCTCTTTATTTTGAGCCTGTGTGTGTCTTTACAAGTGAGATGGGTCTTCTGAATATAGCACACTGATGGGTCTTGACTCTTTATCAAATTTTCCAGTCTGCATCTTTTAATTGGGACATCTAGCCCATTTACATTTAGGTTATGTGTGAATTTGATCCTGTCATCATGATGCTAGCTGGTTATTTTGCGCACTAGTTGATGCAGTTTCTTCATAGTATCTTTGTATTTTGATTTGTTTTTGCAGTTGCTGGAACTGGTTTTTCCTTTTCACATTGAGTGCTTCCTTCAGGGGCTCTTGCAAGGCAGGCCTGGTGGTGATGAATTCCCTCGGCATTTGCTTGTCTGAAAAGGATTTTATTTCTCCTTTGCTTATGAAGCTTAGTTTGGCCAGATATGAAATTCTGGGTTGAAAACTCTTTTCTTTAAGAATGTTTCATATTGGCCCCCACTCTCTTCTGGCTTGTAGGGTTCCTGCCGAGAGATCCACTGTTAGTTTGATGGGCTTCCCTTTGTAAGTGACCTGGCCTTTCTCTCTGGCTGCCCTTAACATTTTTTTTTTTTTTTTCATTTCGACCTTGGACAATCAGATGATTATGTGTGTTGGGACTGATCCTCTCATGGAGTATTTTACTGGAGTTCTCTGTATTTCCTGAATTTGAATGTTGTCCTGTCTTTCTAGGTTGGGGAAGTTCTCCTGGAAGATATCCTGAAGTGTGTTTTCCAACTTGGTTCCATTCTCCCTGTCTCTTTCAGGTACTCTAATCAGTCATAGGTTCAGTCTTTTTACATAGTCCCATAATTCTCAGAGGTTTTGTTGGTTCCTTTTCATTCCCTTTTCTCTAATCTTGTCTGCCAGCCTTATCTCAGCAAGATAGTCTTGAAGCTCTGATATTCTTTCTTTCGTTTGATCGATTCAGCTACTGATACTTGTATATGTTTCACAAAGTTCTCGTAGTGTGTTTTTCAGCTCCATCAGGTCATTTATGTTCTTCTCTAAACTGGTTATTCTAGTTAGCAGCTCCTTTAACCTTGTATCATGGTTCTTAGTTTCTTTGCATTGGGTTAGAACATGCACCTTTACCTCAGCGAAGTTTGTTACTACCCACCTTCTGAAGTCTACTTCTGTCAATTCATCCATCTTATCCTCCATCCAGCTCTGTGCCCTTGCTGGAGACGTGTTTCTGTCATTTGGAGGAGAAAAGGCACTCTGGCCATTTGGGTTTTCAGCATTTATTCATCAATTCTTTCTCTTCTTCATGAGTTTGTCTAGTTTTGATTTCTGAAGCCGCTGACCTTTGGATGAGGTTTTTATGGGGACTTTTTTTATTGATGCTGTTGTTGCTTTCTGTTTGCTTATTTTTCTTTCACTTGTCAGGTTCCTCTTCTGTAGGGCTTCTGTGGTTTGCTGGGGGTTCACTTTAGGCCCTATTCATCTGGGTTGCTTCTGCACCTGGATATGTCACCCAAGCATGCTGGAGAACAGCAAAACACCCTGCTCCTTCCTCTGGGATCTCCGACCTCGAGAGGCACCAACCTGATACCAGTAAGAAGGCTCCTGTATAGGGTATCTGGTTACCCCTGTTGGGGGATCTCACTCAGTTGGGGGTCATGGGAACCAGAACCCATTTAACAAAGCACTTTGGCTGTCCCTTGGTGAAGAGGGTGTGCTGCTGTGTGAAGCCCACTTGTCTGGGCTGCCTGGGTTCCTCAAAGAAGCTTCCATTAGCTCATTTAATGACTATTAAAAGAGTTATAGCCAAATGACTATTTCAAAAAATTATTTCTTTCTTTTTTTTTTTTTTTTTTTTTTTTTTTTTGAGACGGAGTCTCTCTTTGTCGCCCAAGCTGGAGTGGAGTGGTGCGACCTCTGCTCACTGCAAGCTCCGCCTCCCAAGTTCACATGATTCTCCTGCCTCAGCCTCCCGAGTAGCCGGGACTACAGGCACCCGCTACCACGCTTGGCTAATTTTTTGTATTTTTGGTAGAGACAGGGTTTCACCGTATTAGCCAGGATGGTCTTGATCTCCTGGCCTTGTGATCTGCCCGCCTTGGCCTCCCAAAGTGCTAGGATATAGGCGTGAGCCACGGCACCTGGCCTCAAAACATTATTTCATGCTTAGCAATCAAACTTTATCATCATAGTTCGATTTTTCTTAAAGTGCAGAGAAGAACTTTTTTTCTTTAAGTAACAACACATTCAAAGCAAAAAAAAAATTAACTTATCTTTTTTAAATGAAATAAACTAGACAACATAGTATATTAGTCTCCTTCTGAGAAAGACAAAAGTATAACAATTAGGTTTTTTTCAATAAATATTTAACATTTGTACAATGAAATAATCTTATCAGACTTTTGGTCAAGCTAGGAGACTTATATGTCATCCTTTCCCTCCAAAATATTTTATTTTTCCTAGCATTAAGCTGTGGACACTTAGAATGCATTAAGCTAAAAAAAAAATGGGGTAAGGAGTTTATCACTAAAACGTACTTTTTTTCTTTTTTTTTTAGTTACAAGAGGGAAAGATCTATACACTTTATAGGTTTCTTGAGTAGTATAATAATAATAGTAATAAAAGAAGCTCATGAAGCTTTGTACAATTAAGCAGATCATTCCCTTTCCTTTTACCTTCTTACGCCATTATGCTTTCAGGTTCCTTTAAACAAATGCTAACATCAAAGAAAGGCTCATTTTTCTATAAGCCATACCTAACCCAGTTCTCTTCCTTTGACTATTGACAAATCTTTCTACTTTTTGATAATAAATCTGCCTGTTTTAATTAAATATCCTTAGAGTATATGGAAATGAAATTCCTATGATTTATAACATTTTAATAATACTTCCAAAAGAAAATGGCATCAGGAAATACACAAAGACAATACAATTACAGCCCTTGGATTATACGAATCTAAATTCCTTCATTTTGTAAAGGTGACAGAGAGACTTTCTTAGTAACAAGCAATGGCATACAGAAAACAATGATAGCATTAGACGGCTTAAGATGGATTGACTCCCGGAAAAGAGAGAAAGGTAGTAATCAAAAATGTTTTCCATTTTCTTGACTTAAGCAACTTAGAGGAAATCGTAGCTGTTATTAATGGTAAGAAAAACATTAAAAAGGAAAAGACTTAGGAAAAGAGAAACATCAAGAGTCAGTTTTGGACATGTCACATTTTACGTGCTTGTGGTACCTCAAGGTGGAGACATCAAATAGGGAGATGGATACATGAGTCTGTATCCAGAAGAAAGTTCAGGGCTGGATATACACATTTGGTAGATGTAATAATGCTAAGGGGGTAGATGAGATCATTCAGGGAGAGAGTGTAGGCGGAGACCATAATAAGGCTTAAGACTGAGCCCTAAAAAATATATAAAATATTTTTCGGTTGATCCACATATTTTTCAGGATACATGTGATAATTGAATACATTCATATACTTTGTGAAGATCAAATCAGTGTAATTGAGATATCTATAACGTTAAATATTTGTCTTTTTTCTATGCTAGAAACATCCAAATTATTCTTTTTTAGCAGTTTTGAAATATACAACATTATTGTAAACTGTAGTCAGTCTACTGATCTAACACTAGGTTATATTTCTTGTATCAAGCTGTATATTTGTACTCATTAATCAACTTATTTTTATTAGCCCCTTTTCGCTACCCTTCACAGCTTCTGATAACCACCAATCTAATATCTAGCTTCACTTTTTAGCTCCCACACATGAGTGAAAACATGATATTTTTCTTTCTGTGCCTGGCTTTTTTCACTTAACATAATGACCTCTGGTTCCATCCATGTTGCTGCAAATGACAGGATTTTATTTTTTGTGGCTGAAAAATATTCCATTGCTTATATATACTACAGTTCTTTATCCATTTATTCACTGATGGACACAAGTTGATTTCATATTTTGACTATTGTGAATAGTGCTGTAATTAACATGAAAGTGCAGATATCTCTTCAATATATTGACTTCCTTTCTTTTATGCTCATGAGTGGAATTGCTAGATCATATGGAGCTCTATTTTAAGCTTTTTAAGAAACCGCCACAGGAATTTTCATAGCGGCTGTACTAATTTACATTCCTACCAATAGTGTATTAGAGTTCTCCTTCCTCCACATCCTTGCCAGCATCTGTTATTCCTTCTTTTTAATAAAAGCATTTTAACTAGGGTAAGGTGATATCTCATTTTGGTTTTGATTTGCATTTCTCTGATATAGTTAGTGATGTTGAGCATATTTCCATATATCTGTTGACCACTTGTGTGTCATCTTTTGAGAAATATCTATTCAGATATTTCCCCCATTTTTCAAGTGGGTAATTATTATTATCATTATTTTTGCTACTGAGTTGTTTGAACTCCACATATATTCTGGTTATTAATCCCTTGTCAGATGGATAGTTTGCAAATAATATCTCTGATACTGCAGGTTGTCCCTTTGTTGATTGCTTCCTTAGCTGTGCAGAAGCTTTTCAGTTTTACATAAATAGATAAAAAGTTTGTCTTTTTTTGCTTTGGTTGCCTATGCTTACACAAAAAATTTTGCCTAGACCAATGTCTTGGAGTGTTTCCGCAATGTTTTCTTCTAGTAATTTCAAAGTTTCAAGGCCTAGAGTTAAATCTTTAGTTAATTTTTGAGTTGATTTTTGTATATAGTGAGAGATAGAGGTCTACCTTTGTTTTTCTACGTATGGTTATCCAGTTTTCCCAACACCATTCATTAAAGAGACTGTCCTTTCCTCATTGCATGTTTTTGGTGTCTTTGTTGAAGATGAGGTGGCTGGAAATGCATGGATTAATATCTGGATTCTCTCTTCTGTTTCATTGTTCTGTGTGTCTGCTTTTATGCCAATACCATGCTGATTTAGTTACTACAGATTTGTAGTATTTTTTGGTGTCCAGTGGTGTAATGTCTTCAGTTTTGCTTTTTTGTTGTTATTGCTCAGGATTGCTTTGCCTATTCATAGTCTTTGTGGTTCCATATAAATTTTAGGATTGCTTTTTCTACGTCTGTGAAGAATGTCATTGGTATTTTGATAGGCATTGCATTGAATCTGTAAATTTTCTTGGGTAGTGTTATCATTTTAATAATATTAATATTTCTAATTCATAAGTACAGAATATCTTTTCATTTTTGTATGTCTTCTTAAATTTATTTCATCAGTGTTTTACAGTTTTGCTTGTTATCCTTCATTTCTTTGGTTAAGTTGATTCCTAACATTCTATATTCCTTGTAGCTGTTTAAAGTTGGATTTCTTTCTTGATTTTTCTTTAGATTACTCACTATTGGCATGTATAAATGCTGCTGATTTTTTATGTTAATTTTGTATCTTGCAATTTTACTGAATTCATTTATCAGTTCTAACAACTATTTGGTAGAGTCTTTAGGTTTTCCTAAATGTAAGATCATGTCATCTACAAACAAGGCTAATATGACTTTTTCTTTCCAATTCAAATGCCCTTTATTTCTTCCTCCTGCCTAATTGTTCTGGCTAGGACTTCCAGTATTATTTTGAATAAAAGTGGTGAAAGTGGGCATCTTTATCTTGCTCCAGATTTTAGAGTAAAGCCTTTCAATTTTTTTCAGTTAAGTATGTTGTTAGCTGTGGGTCTGTCATATATGACCTTTATCATTTTGTAGTATGTTCCTTCTATACTCAGTTTTGTTAGGATTTTTGCCATAAGATGTTGAATTTTATCAAATGCTTTTTCAGAACCTGTTGAAATGATCATGTGGTTTTATTTTTGGTTCTGTGTTTGTTGAGCCATCCTTGGCATCCCTGGGATAAAGCCCACTTGTTCCTGGTTAATGAATTTTTTTTAATGTCTCTCCATTGGCTGAGTTATAGAGCAGAGCTTTCAGAGCTGGGAATGATAGTCCCACCTTCCACCTTTGTCTCTGTCTGTCCTCAGGCATATTTCACCCTTCAGGCACTTGCCATGCTTTCTTTGGTTTGAAGCAGGGACAGGTCTCCTGCCAAGGAACCCAAGTTGGTGGGGAAGCTAGTTGTCCACCTTAATCTCCCTTTTTCAAATGTAAAAACCATGAGTCAGGAAGAAGCTTTCTGTGCACTTAGTGCTGGGCAGATTGGGAAGAAAGGTGTTGTGGAGATGAAAGTCTAATTCTCTTACCATCTACTCAAAGTTTTTTCATGTCTCTGTTGGTCCAGGCACTGTTGCCTTATCATATTTGAGTTGTGGGATACTGCTGGTGATAATTTCAGCACTATATATTTGTTTTTGGTTTTCTGTTGTAGAAAGTGAAGCCAGGTTGCTTCTATGCTGCCATTTTGGAAGCAGAAGTCTCTCCCTAATCAATAATTTGACATAAACTCACAGAAGGCCACGTATTTACGTGCTTCTATATTGGTATTTATAACACTGACTTACTTTAAGGAATTCTAGAAGAGATAAGAAATATGTACTAGGATCAGTTAATAATGTTTATCACAATAGTAAAAAAAACTGGAATAATTTACCTAAGTTGAAGAATAATTTGTAAATTATAAACATCCTTATGATACGTTGCAATTCACAGTGTAAAAATCCCATTGAAGAATAATTTTTTAATGGAAAGCCATTGACAGTCTGTTAATAAGAGGGAGAAGCAGACTATAAAATATTAAAGTATAATAGAATATTATTTAAAAATAAACGTATGTAAAATGGAAAGGACTAGAAGTATACGTCAAAATATTTAGAGTTGTTATTTTTGACAGTGGGACTATAGCTACTTACAGATATTTCAGTGTTTTTTCATTTTTTTGTTGTTTTGTGGCAAAGGTTCACTATATTGTGCAACTCATGCTTGAAAAAAATGTTATATAAAGAGTTAAAATCTGTGACCAAGAAAAGACCCTCATGCAGTAGTGAAATTTATCTTATATCTACAAATCCCATATTTCAATGTTTAACCATGCTTTCACATGATTAAATTGTACATAAATGTATTCTTTTCTTATTTTCCTACAGAATATTTCAGTACAGAAAGCAATTTTATAATCTAAGTTGGATTACTTCTCGTCTTTATTGCTAATTTAAATCATATTTCTCGAAGTTAAAGAAGCATATTGTTTCAGGAAAATTAGATGCTTTCCCTCGGTATTATGGCATGCTTAAAATATATTCTAATATTGCAGTGAGAATCATTATGGAGTTTCTCTATATAGCACTGAAAGGAAAAACAATTAAAACTGCTTTAGGGTATCAATAATTCATGAGGGAAATGTCTATTCCTACTAGACTACATCTTTAAAAAATCCAAGTGAGACAAGAGGGAGCCTACTGAATTCTTCCCAAGAGAGCTCTCCCCTCTACTTTATGAGGGAGTTCATTTCAAGCTGCCCTTGGGCTTCTAAAACAGCTATACATCTTCCTATTCTTCATCTGCCTTCTCCAGCAACTTACAAGAAGGCTTTCGCAAGAAATGAGGCTTTCACAAGAAGACCCTTGTCAAGTAAGTAAATAAACTCCTAGGGAATACCTTCTGCATCTTTCTGATTAACCAGCAGAACACCTAGCATGATGCCCTCTCCACAGAAAGATCCAGTAGACAGCCATTTAGACATCCATCCCCACCCATGTTTTAGATATTTCATCCTTCCAGCCCTGCTTCTTAAATCTCCCACCCGCTTGAAACCTGGGGTTTCCTAAATGATTTCCAGGCCTGCTGCCATACTCCATTTTTAATAGGAATCTCTAAAGTGAGCTATAATTTGAGAATACGTAATCAAGGACACTGTGGGATTCTCAGCTTTAGGCAATATGTTCTGTCAGATAGAAGAAAGCTCTGGCAAACAGCAGACCCAGATTCTTGCACCAGCTGTGCTCCCAACTTACTCTATAATTTCAATCAAGTCATTCTAATGGCTATTGTCTGTCTGTTTCACTGGTGGAATCTACAGAAGTCTTAGCCTTCCTGACTCCTTAACAATGATCATGTGAGGATCAATGAGATGAAGTCTGCAGAGATATGTTGTCCCCTTGGGGAAAGACACTTTGAAAATAAAGGTATTAGAGAAAATCTCTGGTATGGCTTTCAAGAGCTCAGATCCCCAAGTCTCATGTTGTATGCACGTTTTCTGGCAATTAGGTCATTATTCTTTTTCTCCTGTAATGAAAGAAATACAAAAAAAGAAAATCCACCAAAATACTACTCCTTTTGAAACTGAATGAAGAAAGCAAACTTTCATTTTATTCCTTTCATGGATGATGTATTTTCTGAGTATAAGCATATTGCATATAGCACAAGTTGGCAGGCTTATTCCCAAATACACTTCCATCTGGTGACCGGACCTCAGTTTTACATGCTCAATTGCACATTGTTTAATTGCCTGTCTCTGCCAGTAGCATAAATATATTATATATTAATAAGTTCCTGTATATGTTAGTACATACATATAAACATGTATTGACTCCCCTTGTATTGAATTTTTGTGTGCAAATTTGAAAAAACCATGGTCCTGTCTATGCATTTTAACAGAAATAAACCCCCTCAAGGTTTCTGTTTAAAATCATGCCCACAGGCATAGACTGAGGGGTATGCCTGCTATGATTTCACCTTCACATACTTCAAAAGAATGTGTGCATGTTTGTGTTTGGGGAATGGTGGATATAGGGAAAGAGGGGTTAGGAAGAAAATCCTTTGTGAATGCGAAATATTCCCTGTGTATTCTTCAGAATCAAAATATCTGAACTCAGTGCTTTCATGTGGTTCTTCAATTTAAAATGCTGCCTTCAACTATATTTTATCATGACCTGATTTGATACTATCCAGTCTTCAAATACCCTGAGAAATACTTTACTCATGCATCAATCTCTCAAAAAATGGGTAAATTGCTCTTAACTCCACATTAAGGCTAAAGAAAAGCTTTTGAAGAAGTAGCAAAGTATTGAAAAATGGGATTTAGCATAAAACTGCCTTCCAAATAAACCACCAAAATGCCTATTGTGATGATCTGTGATGAGGGAACCTGCTGGCTGTGTGGTACTCACATGAGAGATTCCAGCAGCTCCTTCTGAGTTGGGGAGATAATTGCTTTAGTAGAATTCATAAACTCACAAGCTCGATTCACCCAGCAAAAAAAATCCTAAATAAATATCATTGGAAAATAAAATCTTTATTTGCAGCATGGAGAACCACTAGCCTGAAGACTGTCAGTTTTGAAATCTGAAGTAGTGTATTACCCTGCAGGGCCCGATCCATGCCAGCTAAAACAGATGTAGCATATTTGTTTCTGGAGTATGCTCTGCTGGGGGAGAAGACATCTCTTTTTTTCCCTTTCTGATTTCAAGACTGAAGGTTAAGAAAAATAAAACTTGTTTTTGGATTGATATTTGTTATATTTCAATATTGAATAAATGTCCATGACTATTTTATAGGTGCCTGAAAATAAGGTAAGATATTAACAGAGAAACAGTTTTGTGGGCCATACTGTGATATTAGCACTTTCTGCTATAGCAAAGTGGCATTAGTTTTATATGAGCAGTTATAATGAAAATTTAATGTAGTTAAAAAGAATTAACTCTGCACAGTGAGCATTCAACTTACCATAAATTTCTTAGCCAGAAAACAAACCCTACACATCAAAGTAACTGTGAAACTCACATTTGTTCATAAACTATGAAATGAAATTCATTGCTTAATATTTCAAAGCTTTTACAGTTAATACATTTAAAAACTGAATAGTAGTGATATTCTTTATGTAAATTTGTGTCTCCTAAGAAAGGAAGAAGAAGAGAAAGAAAGAAAACAGAAAGAAGAAGAGAAAATAATTGCCACAAGTTAAATAAATAAATAAAAACTCTACCCCTCAAACCAAATCAGGACTAAATTATATACATTTAGATATAATTTAAATTCTTTAAAAATTTTATGTAAATTTTATTAATAGGGCATATTAGGTCTAAAAGATGATGTAACTTTGGATCTAATTTCCCCTTCTTGTTAGAAAAACTTCCAGTAATTTGTTTTACAGGTAAAAGCTTCTTAACTTTTGTCATCTATTATTTCTTGCCACAATGATGGAAATAAATCAGTACTTGAAGGAAGACATTTTGACTGAAATAATGTAAGAGAGTCCAAAGTAACATAATTTATCTCAAAGAAAATGAACACCAGGGATATTCTATTCTAGAAGCCTAAGAGAAAAGTGTGTCACACTCTCTCAGGATTTATGCTAGGCCAGAGAAGCTGGAAGTTAATAGCCACTGAGATACCATGCAATTCTTACTAGATCGTGTGTTACAGTAAAATGAGTGGCGATCTTGGAATCAAAAATGATTTTTTACTTGTTAGTTTCAAAGATGAGCATCTACCTCTTTACCTATTTTAAAAGAAAAACTTGAAGTTGATGTCTGGGTTTCATATTTTTCTTTCAAAAGGTACTTTCTTAGCATAATGTATACTTCTGATGAAGCTGACACTTGCTGTTGAAAAGGAAGATAATGTCTTAGAATTAAAATATAAGAATTGCTTTTCAGCAAGAAAAGAGGGACGTGACTGATGGTCAGTTCCTAAGGGTTTCCACACCCTACTTTGGTTTTAATGTCTAGATTTTTCTAACACACAAGTACATCCAGAGATCATCTCCCTAAATTGCCTTGCAATCAGCTGAAGGGCCTTGTGACCCTCAGAAAATAGAGGAGATGGTGAACTTTGTAATCATAAGTTAGGAAAGATCAAGCAAACAATTTAAAAAGTTTATAGCATCTGTCCAGTAAGACAGGAAGTGTTGCACAATGATATCCTATAATGATGAGGCTGATTTATGGAAGCTGTTGTGTAAGTTCAAGTGCTTTCAGTATGCAGTACATCAAGCAATGCAATAGAAGTGGCTGGTGGTGCCTCTTCTGAATACTTAGCAATTTCTTTTACTGGTTGATAAAGGTTCCACTGCTTAGATCTTGGGTAACTGGAGCCGCCTTGCTCCCAACCTTGGGCATCCAGGTGACTTCTGTGGGGATAAAGTCCTTTCTTATCTAAAAAGTGGGGTAGATGTGGTATAGTTTATGTTCCAGAGTTCCACACAAGGTCAGTCTGGAGCTAGACTTCACCTAAACCATATCGCTACTTAGCTTCTTTCTCTTTCCTTCTCCTTCTTTCCTTACTCTCTTACACATTTTTCCTAGGAGCATTCCCATAAAAAGAAAAATCCCTTGCACAAGAATTTCCATGATAAGAAGTGCTTCCAGGGCACCCTCTCTATGACAGATGACAGAGAAATTGGCCAAGTTCTCCATGTACCAAACAAAAGGAAGAGTTTTCTAACTTCACAGTCCTATACAACCCAGCCATATGATGTTTGAACTGGAAGTGACAATAAAAATCTGTTTATTGATTAAGGAAACTAAGGCCCCCAAATGACTTGTACATCACTCAGCAATTTAGTAAGAGATTCAGGACTAGCGCTGCTATACCCCATCTCCCTGTCTGGTGCTCCTTTTGCTTCAATATCATGAGAACATTTAAAAAATTCTTCTCTTTTTGTGACTTCAGTTGTCATCAAATTTTCTGTGTAGTCACCTACCTGTGAAAACGATTCTTCCTTAATGAAAGACTCAAACATGTCAGCTCAGTGATAAAAAAAATTTCCAAGTTATAATGAAGCTCTGACCTGGGCCACTTTTGTAATAGTAAAAATATTAAAAACAAAATAAAATCTAAGATTTATTTAGAATTTACGAAAACCTGGACCCTTTGCTAATTGTTTGCATGTATTACACCATGTAATTCTTTCAACAGGATTAATACAGCAGATACCATTATAATATCCACTTTAGTAATAGGAAAGTCAAGGCTCAGAGATGAAAATAGACATGCAGCGATTGCATATGAAAGCCAGGGTCAAGGCCATATCTGACTTACTCATATTTCCTTCATGACCCGCAGATTACGTTGCCTCTCTGTGGACTCCTGGCTGCACATTCTCCCATAAGCAGTCTTGGTGACCCATTGGAACATGCCCTTTCAGCTACTGTCATTCATGAAAGTTTTTTTGTTAATGAGACTAACAGAAAAAATGGCAAGAAACTATTTTTTTAAAGGATTTTCCTTTGTACAAAATAATTCAAAAGAAAAATTTGCCTCTTGATATATATTTTTTAAACTTTTTAATTGGATATTGGCAAGTTATAACTGTAAGGTAAAAACATAAGGTAAAAAATGATGCTGTGATATATGTATACAATGTGGAATGATTGGCTCAAGCTAATTAATATCCATCACCTCAAACACTATCATTGATTCCTCCCATCTAGTTGAAACATTATATTCTTTGATCATCGTCTTCCCTTTCCCCACCCTCAGCCTCTGGTAACCATCATTCTACTTTCTGCTTCTGCGAGTTCCGTATTTTTAGCTTCCACATAGAAGTGAGGACATACAAATTTGTCTTTCTGAATTTGAACTTTTCTTAAGTTAAACTAATACATATTATTTTGGCACTGATCTCAAAGTGTTATTCTACTTACTGATTTATTATTCTATTTATTGGGGAAGTACACAATCCCTTGAATATTTCAGAACTATAGGAGTTATATTACATTGTGGTGAGCTAACGTGTTTGCCTCTGTCTTGCAGTGTCCCTGGGTTGTGGCCAATTTTAATTTGGAGCTATGTATGATTTGATAATCCTTTCTAAATGACAATGCAAACACAAATTCATGACTATAAAATATGACATTATCCATTTGATAGGTAAGAGGGACTACGTTTGAGTTGAAAAGGAAGTCATTTACCATGGTTCCATTAAGAGGGACTCACCTCAGGGTGGACACTACCTTTGCCAGAGAAATATTTTGATCATTTAATTGAATTTTCTCTTAACTGGAATATCAACTCATGTTTTGTGATCTTTTTATAACAGGGACTCATTTTATTAACAGTTTGGCAATATACAAATATGTTCTTATTTTAAATTAATAACTAAATTAATAAATGTCACAAAATTGGTATTTATAAATTATGCAAAAATAAACCATGGTTTCTTTATTCACTCTAATGGTAAACACAAGATTAAAGGCTTATATGTCTATGATCTGCTTTTCTTTTCTTTCTTCCTTTTTTTTTAAGATGGAGTCTTACCCTGTCACCCAGGCTGGAGTGCAATGACATGATCTTGGCTCACTGCAACCTCCTCCTCCTGGGTTCAAGTGATTCTCATGCCTCAGCCTCCCAAGTAGCTGGAATTACAGGTGCACATCACCATGCCCAGTTTTTTTGTGTTTTTAGTAGAGACGGGATTTCACCATTTTAACCAGGCTGGTCTCGAACTCCTGACCTCAGGTGATTCACCCACCTTGGCCTCCCAAAGTGCTGGGATTACAGGCCTGAGCCACTATGCCTGGCTTGATTTACTTTTTGTCCCAGTTTTGACTCAGCAGGTTATGATCCACTGCAAACTACTAAAATTTGCATTTTCTTTTCCCTGAATGAGTCTTAACATTTTATAGCTTTTAACTGTCCAATTATCCTAACATTTTATTTTTGGTCTAGAGGAAAAGAACCAAAACCATTTTTTTTCTATTTTTTTAAACTAGCCATAGTGATTGCCATCCTATTGTAACAGTTGGCTGATGTTTTGGTCTACTTTTGCATTATCCTGCAGGTATCCTTGTGGTTGATCTCCATGCACACTCAAACACCCCAACTCTCCAACACAACCCACTTCCATGTGGTTGGCCTTATACTGGGGAAAGGGGAAGGCACAGAAGTTCAATAGGGGATCCCTGGGATGACATTCTAGCAGGAATAAATATATCAAATAGTTTTGCTAGTCTCATGAGGAGTAGAAAAATAGACAAAATATCAAAGTAACATCATCAGTCCCAAAGGTTATGAAAAATTAGTCATGGCCAGTAGTGCAAAAAGAAAAATCGAGAGAGTGAATTCTGAAGGAAAATACATCTTACCCACATGATATCTATATTGACCAGTGTTTGTGAATGAATTTTCTCTAGCGCAACTGTTGTGCGAAGGCTTAAGATCATTTCTACAGGAATCATATTCCAAGTAAATTCAGCCATGCTAAATGCAGTTTCAGCCAGCAACACCAGATAAACATTTGCTGTTAGAAAGAATGTCAACACCCCATCAACCACCATATATACTATTCGGCATTGACTCAGCCAAGTCTCCAATTTATCTGTATCATTTGTTATAACCTTAGTTTTAATTTTGCCATGTCTTCCATTCCAATGTATCTAATGTTAGACTATTTAAGAGATATTTACCCAGGAAAGTTTAATCACAGTACACTAGAAAAGATGCTCTTTCCTGATAATGAGGAGAACTGGACTTTTCCCTCCATTTTGACACAGCTAGCTATCACTTTGGGACAAATCACAACTTTATCGAGCTTCAGCTTTCTCATCTGTAAAATATGTGCACTGAAATTATAACTCTACCATTCTGTTATGATAGGTATCTGAGAGATTTCACTTCTATAGCAATTACATCGTGAGAGCACTGGCCCTATAAAGCCAAGAAGGAATGAAAAGAGGCTAAGACAAAAAATAGTGAGTTAAAATGTAAAGGATACCTTCTACCCCCCAAAAAGAAGATACAGTTTCCTTGGTACCCTGGCCATGTTCTTATGGGTTTTCTCAGTAGCTTATGAGCATATTCTTGACTTTTTGATATTTTAACTTCATAGTCTTCTTTAAACATTATCCCCTGAACCTTGAAGGTTACAGACACTATAGTGCTAATGGCAATGTCCTTGAAAGATCAAAAAAAGTAATTCTTGAGGTACTGTTATTTGAGGTCCCTGTAACTAATTTCAAATTAAATGAGCATCAAGAGAAAAGAGTTACTCCTGAAATATTGTGCTCTCATTTGACTTTGTTTTTTTTTTTGTTTTTTCTTTTTTAAAATTCTTTTTCTCGGGAAGCATATTGTCTATGTTTGTGTCAGGGTTGCCCTCATTATGCCCAACCACTTTTCAACTACACTTGGCTGAGGCTTACTCTAGAATAACACAGTTCTAAAGTTATCTGTTTGCATATGGTTGATTCAGGAGGGATTCAAAGGATAAATTTATTGTGTTTCTAAGAAAGACAACCCTTTTCCCCCCAAACCTAAACATATATATATTTTTCTGAATGCACCCTCAAAATCAGTGTCTTTCTCAATCTAATATTATATTGGAAGAGGAAGCATTGTTTAGACACATAGTTATGTACTACTGACTGTTGCTATAAAAATGAAGTTTAATCTGCACAATTTCCATTGCTTTTCCTTTGAAATCTGGTGTTTATTGCAACAGAACTTCAGATTTTGTAACATGATAGTCTGAAAGACAGGCCAACACAGGCAGCTCTTTGGAAACAAGAGACCTGGTACTTCCAACAGCCAAAAAGCTGGCCAAACATCAGGAACAAGGGAAAGACACATCAGGTAGGTTCTGCTGATTTCCCAGGCCTCTTTTAATTATTTTATAGAGGATTTCTTTTGACAAATTATTGACACTATTTTGTTCTTATGGTTCATCTGTGTTTCTGCTAACCCTATTCACCTGGAAGAGACTTTGGCCACCTGGATGTGGTTTTTGTTTCTGTGAGAAAGGAATTTTGTGTCCTTGACATGTCCCTAGTATAAATAAATGTTTAATAAGGAAAGCATGGATCAAGATGCTATATGTTTCCAGGTCAGTTTAGGAAAACTACTATGAGTTATTTAGTGCGTACAATTAAGCATGAAAGCATGAAAAATGTATTTATTAAAAAATATTTATGGGACACTCCAGAATAACTTGATAGTTAGTTTGGGACAATCACATGACCCTCTGCACATAACATGGTCATCCTTGGGTTAAAAAAGACAACTAAATTCAAATTTACACACTATATACTAGTGTGAATTTTAAGAGATCTTGATAAGCTTATTTCATTATTTAAAAAACTAGGAATTTAAGATATAGATCCGAAATTTGCAGCAAACTATAACAAAAGACAAGCTAAAGGATAAGTCAACTCAAGGAATAATGTTTAAACTGCATATAAGTTTTCTATTTTTCACTCTTAACTCCACTGACAATTTCTATGCCATAATTAGTCCCCAAATATTATTAAGTGTCTTATCTGGCCAGTGAGTTTTGTTTTTCTTCTGAATTTTAAAGTTGAACAGCCAGTGAGGTATTTTCTCATAAGTTAAATCAAATTATCCATATTAGTGTTGGTACTAAAAAGTATCATTTTACTTATTTTATACATAAATAAAGACAAAAATCGTAGTTCAATATTGGGTGTAATTTAGGTACTTATTTCTATATACCTGTTCTTATATACCTGTTCTTAGGAGGGATCCTCTTAGGTTATAATGAAGTTCTGTGTCTCCAAGATCTATACATGAAATAATTGTGCTTTCTGGAAAGTACACATTTGGTGACAATGGTCACCAGTCTTCTCTGTCATTAAAATTTGTATTTTCTTACCTGGAGTAGCAAGATATTATTGTTGCCCTTAACTCTTTTCTTGAGCTGTAATAAATTTCTTCACTACTTGGTCTTAAAAAGCATGGAGGATTTAAAGCTAACTTGTGTCTTTGTCATTGTCTGTGAATTATAGTCTTTATTTAAAGGATCACCATCTAAAGCACCCCTGGTTTTTTTTAAAGCCCCCTTTTAAAATTTTACCACTGTAACTAGGAAATTACTGATAAATCAGTCTTGTTCACACAGAATATTATTTAAATGCTTTTTATTACAAGGTAGAAATATTCTGGAATGAATAATAATATGTAAAATGTAATGAGTATTTAGTGAAAATCTCTGTAGAGTTGTTGTATTATCAGTATAATGCATAGTCAGAGAGTTTGTTTATATTTCGTATTTCTCAATCTGAGACACCATAATTATTTCAATCTTCAAATGTTCAGTCTTTGTTAACACAGCATTAGACATTTGAGACCGGTGTGAAAACAAGGCGCCCTGCACCTGAAGAGGACTCTGGTCTAATAATGTGTTTGATCACTTAGCTTGGATAAATAGTCAGGTTATATTTCATGCTAGAAAAACCTTGGAAAATGAGGGTAGAAGCTATAATTAGGTTTTACTTGGATGCATGCATTGTGCAATTATTAAAAAATGAGCTAGGCAAAGGATATTATATTCTTAGCTTTATATTCTAAATATCAATATTAGACATTTATCATCAGACCTTTTAAAAGCCTCTGCTTTTAAAACGGACATGGTGATAGATGACTTAAACTCAGACAACAACAGACTCTAAAAGCAAGATAAACCACAAGGAATTACTTCCTTTTAGTTTAAGAAAACTTGGACCTCTTAACAAATCAGTAGGTGATATGTTGTAATGATTTTGTATTAATATACTCTTTCTGCCACTTGAACTGGTTGCATCATCCATACATCAAGCAAATAAATAAGTTTCTCTAAAGACAGGTTGCTCAATAACATCTTATTAATGGAGAATGAGCCAACTCTTCAGTAATTTGGAATATCTATTAGAGATTGCTCAGAAATAAATATAACCTTGACCAGATATATTACACATAAACAGTATAATTTACGGCAATACAATGAAAGCAGGCCCATTCTAAACCTAGGCCTTTTATTACTCATAACCTGATACTGTGAACATTTGTTCTTTAGTAAACTCTGCTACAAATCATCAGAGTGATTATTATATAACAGAAGATTCTCTGGCTGATATTCTTATACTTTCCACATCAGAAACATGAGGAAATTCTACATGGTAAAAACAGCAACAACCAAAAAATACTTAAAGTCAACAAACCAGGAAAAGACATCTCTGAATATAGGAATGCCAAACCTTTAACACAATAAAACACAGATTATATTTCAGAAGGCTATATTATATGTGTATACCAACATCAATATGTCCAGAGTAGCTGCACAGAGTTCCATATTTTAGTCTTTATAAGTTCCCCTCCTCACCCTACTCAGTAGGCACTTTGTGTCTAGAAACTTCTGTGTCAACGGTTTTCCCTCTCTCTGGAATTCATCAGGACAGAAGTGATTGGTGTGGTGGAAGAGGGTTGTGGTAAGAGTGAAGTTATATGAAAGTAGGATGGAGGTTAGCAAGTAGTTAAAGTCCAGAAAGGCAATAAGGTGTTAAGGAAGAACTTTTCCATTTTACAGGTCTGAGCAAGCAGGAAATCAACTCTACAAACTTTGAAACTTGGTAAATATGAAAACATTCTCAATACCATTTGTCATTTAATAAATACAAATTATACTATTTTACTGCTTGCATCTAGAAGTTTGTCAAAGATCTCGTCTTAATTATTCATTGTGTCGGCGAAGATGTAATAACAACAACAACAAAACTCCAAGCAGTTCACATATTATTTGTGAAGGTTTAAATTGGCATAATTCTTTAAAAGAGGAATTTGTCAATATCTACCAAAATTAAAAAGGTGCATAGCTTTTGACCCAACAATTCCACTTCTAAGACTTTATGTTATGCCTAAGTGTGTTAATAGGCAAGATAATAAGTATATCCAGCTATTCAGTGAGTAACTGTTTTGCAAGGGTCAGAAAACTGAAAATAATGTAAAGCCCCTTCACAGACAATAGAGTATACATATTCAGTCATATAAAAGAATAAGGTAAATTTTTATATACTGATATATGAAGAACTCCCAGATTTGCTATTAAATAATAATATAGTTCAGTGTAAATATAGATAGTATTCTATCATTTGTGTAAAAACTGGAAAATAAAATAGTAAGATTATTCTGAATTTTAAAACATTTGAATGTATTAACTATTCAAGAATAAAATAAAACTTCAAGAAAAATGTGAATGTGAAATATTATCATTCTTTAAAATATGTTAGCTTTTCTTCGTCTGAGAACCCAAATTCACTGTTCTGTCTTCCTCTTTCAAAACCACTGTCTCTACTCTCTGAGAGTGAGTGGGGTTAAGAGATGAGACATGACTCAACATTTCTTTCACTTTCTTATGATAAAGAATTCAACTTTAAACTAACATTACTGATTGGCCTCTGGGTCTGTGTACATCAACATAACATTTATTAAGGTGATTTGTTAAACTACACATAAACACTGCTCCTTTTTTCTCTCTAAGCAATACTTTTTGAGAAAGGTTTAAACATTTATTGTTATTCTTAATTAGGGTTAAACAAAGAGATTTGTTAAAAAACAATTTTCTATCCCATTTAACAAAGGACCATTAAAAATGGTATTGTTACACTACTTTAAGATCTGGATACTATGACATGTATTAGTAATCATGAAATGCCTTTAGGCTGAGTTTAGAAAGTATTTTCTCCAACTGCACCCCAATCTGTTAATCTTTTCTTCATCAAATGCCAGCTTTTGTTATCAGGTAAGCCTACATTAGTATTGCCTTTCAATAGCCACCATTGAGACTTGGGTAAATGTGTTGATTTTCTTATCTTCTCCATTGATGCTTCTGCCTACTGCCTAAAGCCTAGGAGGAGTAGAAGAGAAGGGAGTGTGGATATTTACAGCATAGCTTTCGTTCAAGTTTTTTAAAACTGAAATCTTTATTGTTACTCAAGGATGGAAAGAAATCTGACTCAAATAAGAAAACAGAATGGAGGTAGATGGTGTACATAGTAGAACTGTCTGAAGCAGAGAAGCATAATGGGATTGCTCAGCTGGTTAGTTAAAGAATCCATTATTAGTTTGCAATGTTATTAATTCCCAGGATATCTTCATACATAAATACAAAAGAAATCCCCACACTTCAAAGCTAAATACAAATCATTGTTATTATACACTTTAATTGTCAGCAGATAAACTAAACTATATATTATAAAATAATGAACATATTAGCTGATATATCTGAAAGCTTTTGTTAAGCCCTAATGTGATCTACAAGTGCTAATTATGTTTTTATCCTAATAACTAAAATCATTGTTACTGCAGTCAGTGGTTTAGTAACATTTATTTAGCTTTTCCTTTGTGTTAGAGCCCTATTCTAGGAGGTAGGGGTAAAACGGTAGAAATAGTCCCCTGAAAAGCTCGTAAAAACACTCACATGCATATTCATATGTATACTTATACAGACACACACACACTTATAGAAACTTATTGACCAACATCCACGAACAGAGTAAGTTGCAGACTGAGATGCAGTAAAAGAGTGATAAATGTCAGAAGACAATAAGAAGAAAATTTTTCTGTGAGGTGTTAACTTTTGAACCACGTTTTGAAGAAGGGTGGACATTAAAAAAAAAAAAAAAAAAGAAAAGGAAAGCAGGTAATCCAGGAAACTAAATGGCAACTTCATTAATGGGTAGAAAATGTAAAAAGCTATGGAACTTTGAACTTGGCTGATGAGAAAATATCAAAATAAAATTAGTTGTATGAGACATCAGTCTAGTCATCTTTTTAAAAATTCTAGAAGATAACATTGGAAAAAACCCTTCCAGACATTGGCTTAGGCAAGGACTTCATGACCAAGAACCCAAAAGCAAACGCAACAAAAACAAAGATAAATAGGTGGGACTTAATTAAACTAAAAAGTTTCTTCACAGCAAAAGAAATAATCCGCAGATTTAACAGACAACCCACAGAGTGGGAGAAAATCTTCACAATCTATACATCTGACCAAGGACTAATATATCCAGAATCTACAAAGAACTCAAACAAATTAGCAAGAAAAAACAGTCCCATCAAAAAGTGGGCTAAGAACATGAATAGATAATTCTCAAAAGAAGATATAAAAATGGCCAACAAACATATGAAAAAGTGCTCAACATCACTAATGATCAAGAAAATGCAAATCAAAACCACAATGCGACACCGTACTCCTACAAGAATGGCCATAACTGAAAAATTAAAAAAAAAAAGTAGATGTTAGCATGGATATGGTGAAAAGGGAACACTTTTACACTGTTGGTGGGAATGTAAACTAGTATAATACAACCACTATGGAAAACAGAATGGAGATTCCTTAAAGAACTAAAAGTAGATCCACCATTTGCTCCAGCAATCCCACTACTAGGTATCTTCCCAAAGGAAAATACGTCATTAAACAAAAAAGATACTTGGACGTACATGTTTATAGCAGCACAATTTGCAATTGCAAAAATATGGTACAAGACCAAGGTCTCACTCTTGTCACCTAGATGGGAGTGCAGTGGCATGATCCCGGTTCACTGCAACCTCAACTTCCCGGGTTCAGGCTATCCTCTCACCTCAACTTCCCAAGTAGCTAGGATTACAGGTGTGTGCCACCACTCCCAGCTAGTTTTTTGTATTTTTAGTAGAGACGGGGTTCGCCATATTGTCCAGGCTGGTCTCAAACTCCTAGGCTCAAACATTCAGCCTGCCTCAGCCTCCCAAAGTGCTGGGATTACAGGCATGAGCCACAGCACCTAGCCCTTAAGTCTTTCTAAGGATCATTAATTTTCAGTGATATTTGTATATGGTTTATTTCACAAAGCCTATTTACATTTTTTCCTTTTCTTGACTTATGGTGCATTTCTGCCCTTTATTACCCAATTTAATTTTTATTTATTCTAAGTTTTCATTATAGGCCATATGGGAGTAGATCACTTTATACATTTTCTTATCCTCTTTATATTGAAAAACAAATAATGAGAATACTTCTATATTTGAAAAGTTTGCTTTTTATGCTCTAGTGGTATCAGGATTTGTTGTTTGAAAAAAAGTCATTTTTTACACAACCATAAGGTTAAAAAATAATTTTTTTTTTTTTTTTTTTTTGAGTGGGAGTCTTGTGCTCTGTCCCCCAGGCTGGAGTGCAGTGGTGCGATCTCGGCTCACTGCAAGCTCCGCCTCTCGGGTTCACGCCATTCTCCTGCCTCAGCCTCCCAAGTAGCTGGGGTTACAGGTGCCCGCCACGACGCCCGGCTAATTTTTTGTATTTTCAGTAGAGACGGGGTTTCACCGTGTTAATCAGGATGGTCTCGATCTCCCAACCTCATGATCCACCCGCCTCAGCCTCCCAAAGTGCTGGGATTACGGGCGTGAGCCACCGCACTCGGCCAAAAATAAATATTTTTACAAGAGATCATTTGCTAACAGAACAATTATTTTCAAAATAGCCCTCTATTGTGAACTTGTACTTAAAATTTCATTAAGAATAAAAAGGACAACAAAAGCCAGGGATGTGAGAGGGATAGAGAAACAATAAACAATTACACAGGATGAACAAAAACTACACAAAAGGGATGCTTATCCATATTTAGTTCTGTGTGTGATACATAGCTACACAGCTTTCCTTTAAAATCATTCTACCATTTATGAAGTTGCTAGGATTTCATGATCCAAGCTAAAAAGACGGATTTAATTTTTCTGCACTAAAACTATGAAAAACATATTTTTGTTTGTAACCATTACAATTATTTGCAGTCTGGTGATCTTGCTAAATTTATGTGTTTTGAACAAAATTGCTCCTTTATGTTTACTGCATATCAAGTTTAATCTGTTTCTTTTCCCTCCTCCCCGCACTTTCCAAGCCTAGTCTTGCTGCAGAGGTTCTACTTCAATATCTTTCAGAATGTAGCCCTAGACTTGAATTTTCCCTTATTTAGCAGAATCTTTTTATACAGATTTGTTTTAGTCCTTAGATTTAATTATGACTGAATTTTCAAGTTAGGCCCATATTTGAAACCATGTAGGCAGACTTTGTTAAATGAGTGAATTTCCACTGGGTCCTGTTGTTAAGTACACATAATACCACACAGGAGAAAATCAGGCTAATTGTAAATGGGCAACCTACTTAATTGTTTCATTAAAAAGCATACAGATTACATTTACACTATAGCTAGTCTTGTTTGTTTTTTTATTTTGCAAAAGTAATTACGGCCCCTATTCGATAATAGACATTAAAGTTTTTTTTTTCCACGGTTAAAGTATTTTTCTTTAAAACTTCTTCCTTCGTGGATCTTACCGATAAACACCACAGTTTCTCATATTTAATAGTAAGTATTTTCTTCTTAACATTCGATTCAACTGAATGTTGTTAAATGGTTATTAGAACTCTTTTAAATGTGATTTTCAAAGATACTATTTTTTTGAATAAATTTTATCATGTCTGAAATCTGTTTTATCTCTAACTTTCTAATTATTTTTAATGGGAAATATTCAATTTATAAAATTTAACTATTCATATCTACATTTTAAAATATAGATAAATATAATTAAGATACACATACACGGGTTCAAGTCTTTGGTTTTCTATTAACTACTTTTACAAACTTTGTATGAATTATTTTATCTTTTCTAGTATTGGTTTCATGTACAGTGATATGGATATTAGAATGCCTACATTATAAAGTAGTTGCAAAAATACCTAGCTTAAGAACTTCTCTTAGGGACCGTCATAAAGAATAGTTTCAGCAATGATTAGCTTTTTACTCCACTTCCTTTACTTATGCTTATTCCATGTTATGTCACCTGATATAAATATTTTGTGCTCCTCAATGTTCCTCAGTGGTAGCATGTAGCACTGAGTAGAGTCAGTCTTGTAAGAGCTAATTGTAATTGATTCCATTGTATCAAATAATGTCAAACTGTGCTTATAGCTAATCTGTCTAAAATGCCTCCGAAACTCAAATTGACATTTGTGAATAGTCCCAGACTTAGCATTGCAAAAATGTTGAGCTCTACAAGCTCCCTGAAGACCTTTAGAACATCTGAAACTAAATGCTTCATGTAAGTAGCAGAAAAATTCTTCCACAGAATAGGTGAGTAGGGAGCACTGGCTTCTTTACAGATTTAAGGTTTTGTCAAATCGAGTTTGAGGAAGATAAGACAGGGAGAAGACCAGAGAATTTCAATGCCTACTTTGTATTTAACAGACGAAGAGAGTGAAAGTGCAGAGATCATGTGATTAAAATGAGTATGATAATTTATCAAATATTTTCACACATTTTTCCTTTGAACCTCATAGAACTGTCATATAGTCAACCAATAGATATCTATATTTTCCTCTACAGATGAGGTAAGTCTCAGAATGGCTTAATGATTTATTGAATATTACTCACTGATAAGGCTCTCTATTATTCCATGCTTCCTTATACAATTTAGAAAATTCTATTATAACATGTTTTCTTTATCAAGTTTCTGTTCCCATACTCTGTCACTTTTTGCCTCTCAGTTGTTTCTTATTGGTACTTTCCTGAAGGATTTAAAAAAATATTCTAACTTTTCTATTTCCTTACTGAAAAGACATTTACATAACTTTACTGAAGAGATCATTTTACTCACTGTAAGAATATTGCAAAGAGCTCAGGTGGCTAATATCAACATTAACTAGTGTTCAATCATCATATGTTTACTGGAGATCTGTTTTTGACTATAGCCTCTCCCAAACTTGATACTTGTGATATCATGTTACAAGAATATAAAACATTTTAAAATATATTTTCTATTGAGTTAACCTATTGACCAAGTATTTGGTATAAAAAAAAAAAAGCTTGAGGTGATAATCAGTAAAATGATGACTAGAAAGTAGCAGACACTCCTTCCCTCACAGAGACACTATGTTAGTCATAATATATGGACCAGAATACTTTAGTGAGAAGTCTAGAGAGCAGTTGAAAATCTGCAATACCCAGACCATTATAAAACCAAGAACGGGTCCCAGCAAAAGGACAAGAAAGATCTACCACATTTGGTGCACAATTTGTGCCTGTGCCCTTTCTCTTATGTGGCACAGTAGGAAGCAACCCTGAGGAGACCTCCCATACTAGCGCTGGACCCTCAGGTTAGAAACAAATGACTAGACCTTGCACTCAATGTTCTGGCTTTTCTGGAGGATGGTAAAGAGACTGATTTCTATCTTATATGACTTGGAGCACTGACAGGACCAGTGTCAGAGTTTGGAAGCTGCTGAAGACAGAGATGTGCAGCATATTACAGTTGCAGTTCTGCAGACAGATGCCAGGAAGAGCAATAGATTGGAAAAAGTTTAAGAGGTCCTAGCTCCTCTAGTTGGGCTGATTGGAGTAGGTCTTCCACTGCAGGAAGCCAGGATGCAAAGACTGGGTGAGTTGATCATTTTTACAGATGCTCAAATCTCATCAAAAAATTATAAATCTTTCAAGGAAACAAACATAGCCAAATCAAAGGAACAAAATAAAACTCCAGAAATGGACCCTAAGAAAACAGGTATCTATGAGCTTCCTGACAAAGAGTTTAAAATAACTCTCATGAAGATGCTTAAATTAAAAAGAACATAGACGCTAATTTTATTTAATTGAAATGAAAACAAAATGAAAATATCTTGTTTCAGGAAAACAAAGCATGAGCAAAATGTGAATATCAACAAAGAAATAGAAACTACAAAAAGAATCCAAAATTCTGGAGCTAAAAATACAGTAACTAAATGAAAAAATTAATCAGAGTTTTCAACAGCAGAAAAAAAATAAGTGCCTTTCAAGACAGGTCATTTGAAATCATTGAGTCAGAGAAGCAAAAAGAAAGAACAGTGAAGAAAAATGAAGAGAACTCAAGGGACTCATGGTTATGGACACCATCAAGCAGATCAACATATGCATTATGAAAATCCCAGAAGGAAAAGAGAAAGAGAAAAAGGCAGAGGGCTTATTTGAAGGAACAACATGAAAACTCTACAAATATCAGGAAAGAAATGAACATACAGATTTAAGAAGTTCAAAGATAAATTCAAAGAGAACCACAACAAGACACATAAATCAAACTACCTAAAGTCAACAACAAAGAGAATCTTAGAAGCAGCAAGAGAAAATGATTAATCACATACAAGGGATCTTCCATAAGATTAATGGCAGATTTTTCAGCAGAAACTTTGCAAGCCAGAAAGAAGATAAAGATATATTTAAAATGCTGATGAAGAAAAAAAAGTCAACCAAGACTATGTATCTAGAAAAATGTTCTTCCACAGTAAAGAAGAAATTAAGATTTTAAACAAAAGTTGAGAAAGTTTATTATTATTAGATCTGTTCTACAAGAAATGCCAAAGGGAGTCAGTCCTTCAAGTGAAAAATAAAAGGATAGTAGATAGCAACATGAAACATATGAAAATATAAGGTTGCCTGGTAAAGGTAAATACATGGACAAATATATTAACTAACCTGTACTATTGTAAATTTGGTATATGGATTTGAATGTAAAAAACATTAAAAAAAATTTACCTCTATGTTAATGTGTATACAGCATATAAAGACATAACTTGTGACATCAATAACATAAAGTGTGGAGGGTTAGACCATAAAGGAGTAGAGTTATTTTACGTGATTAAAGGTAGGATGTTTTTGGTTTAAAGTAGAATGCTATAACTTTAAGATATTTTATGTAATTGTGGGTATGGACTTTCAAATGTGCAAGATAAAAAGCTCTGAAAATCTGTGTAACAAAAATGTAAATATGCTCAACACATTTGTCCAACCTGGCGACAGAATGAGACCCTGTCTCAGAAAAAAAAAAAAAAAAAAAAAAAAAAAAAAGTTAAGATGTTAAATTTTATGTTTTTAAAATATAATTTAAAAAATAAACTAAAAACAAAACAAAAATACTAAACTTCCTTGTTTTCTACATGCAAACTTTTAACTGTATTATTTTCATTATAGAAAAGTTATTTCATTCAGCTATCTAAAAATAGTAGACTCAAATTATATTTTATAACAAATAAAATATGGGGTAATTTGAAATAATTAAGGAAGTACATATACTTTTAATTTGGCCATATATCTTCATATGATTACATCTAATAAGATAATTCTCCAGGACATGATATGCATGTAGACAGGTGTGGACTAGCTCCTCTGTTTCTGGGCATGTATGAGTAATTGGCTACAAAGTGAGTATCTTATTTTCTCTTTTTCGTTAGTTATACCTTAGTGCCAAGAATAACTGACTGGGTCTGGGAGCTCAGTATTTTAAAACTTATTTTTACATATGTAAACATTAGAGATACTTGAAAAATATTACAGAAGAGAATAACATAAGCAATACTTGTGTAGCCAAGGAAGAGGTGGAAATGTTTACTTTTTCATCTTGGTATTTTTTCTGGCACAGGAATTAAGGATTATGGCCTATTTGGATGTATATAAAAGCTTCTTAATTCCTTTTCTATCAGTTGGTGAAATCATGTATTCTTCTGTTCTCCATTTTCATCTTCTGAGTTACTGTCAAGCATTAGCAAAAGATTCCTGAAAAATGAATTCTGCAGCAATCTCTTCTTTCTGTATGTTCTAGGAATTACCCTGATCATAATTTTTTCTTATACTGGCATGTATCTTTCAGAAAAATCCTACCTTTTCCCTCCCATCCTTTAAAATGTACATTTTTACATTACATAGAAAATAAATTTCAACTCCCACTTACGTGAACACTCCCCAGTTTCTGGGTATATATGATGAAGATTTATAATGCCAGATACAAATGTTATTGTTAGAAAATAAGAGAGAATTTTAGGTTTTAATGGCATAATTTAATACATGTGCATTAGTAGTCTATTCATTTTTAAATATAAGATCTTTATCACGCTGCCTGAATCCATTTTCTGTGATTTAAAATTTATGTGATTTCCCAGCTAGACATTATAAATTTTCCTTCATTATCTAATGGCCTAAAGAAGTGAATGTGAAAAAAAAATACACATCCAACCAGTATCTTATAATTGGTTATAGGCAAGAGAACTGGAGTTCACTGAATGTCTGCTACATGAAAGACTTCTTATTCAAATGTTACTTACTTAAATCACAGAAAATCTCTATGAGGTTTATCATCCCCCAAAAGAAAATGTCAATCAAAGAGGGTACATATCTAATAGTGGCCAGACATATCCTTAGAGTCAAGGTTTTTCTGACTGTTTTTGAATTCCAAGAAAATCATTATCTTACCTGGCAATCCAAGTGTAGAATTTTTACATCCCAATAATAATAGCTGAAACCTCTTCCCTTCCCTTCCTTTTCCTTTTCTTACCTTCCCTTCCTTCCTCCCTCCCTACTTCCCTCCTTCCCTTCCTTCCTTTGTTTCTTCTTTATTTTGGCCTCCAGAGGAACCAGCTAAATATTTTTATTGCCTAATTTGTAGCTGTTTTTCAAAATTTATATTGTTTCTACTATGGCTTTATTCTTCATCTGCCTCAGGCTGCCATGCTACTTTTGACAAAATTTCTATGCCTAGACCCTCACGTTGTTTAAGACTGGAGCAATAACAGAATTCAGATATGGGTAACAATTGGAAGAACACCTAACCCACCTTTATTCTTATGCTTAGGCTGGTTAGCAATACAACACGAGAGCACAATAAGGGAATTTGAACTTGGAATTTCAAAAAGTGATGTCCAGAGACACTAGCAACTTATGTAGCTATCATCTACAAAGAGAAAGAGAACATGCAGACCAGAGAAGTTAGGCTGTCTCTTTGCATAAGAGAGCTTCAAAAGTCGTATTTTGATCAGATGTTTGCTTTGTTATTTTACATGGGTCAGAGGGACGTGTAGCAGTCCTCCACACAGCACCTTTTACAATTTTCAAGATTCAATATACTTCCTCACATTTTAGAAAAATGACTGCATCTTCCTCACATACTATCTTGGCTTAACATTAAATCCCAGTGTATATGAGTCTTAATCAGATCTATTTCAGGCATTTTCCAGCTAGTTGCTCCAGAATACTCTATAGTGATTTAACCAGGGTATTGTTTTAATAGATCAATTGTTCTCAACTTAAACTGTGTAGTATCCCGGTATTGTCTTTGCAAGGGTCAATGAACCTGAGCCCTTATCATTACTCTGGAAATTTGAATGTTTACTAAGTACTCAGTAAAATCGAGTCTACTCCAAGATTCATAAATTTTCCTTATATATTTTTCTTCTGCTATAATTCTCAATCGATTAGATAATGATCTTATCTTTCATTATACATTTTAAATAAATTATCATATAGGCAATATATGCTAACGTAAAAAATCAAGACACTCACACACCCCTCCAGTTTATAGTCCAATCTGAATTTGAGTGTCATCTATGAATCCCAATTCCATCCAACACGGATCCTTCTCTTTATTTTTTCTTCTGTGCTTCAGGACAGTCTACAAATATAATATTAAATCTTCTCTCTATAGTCTGTTCCAGAAATACACAATACAATTAAATTACTCTCTGACCTAATATATCCAGACTATTCTATGGATTGTTCTTTGTATTGCTCACCTATAATCTTTTGAAATAATCTTTAGCTTCTTAATTTTTAAGACATTAACCCTTGGGAAAACTACTTCTCCAAAATTGGATATGCTACTCTGTATTTTCCAATCACTCATAGGTTTGCCATGTCTCATATCTCCTGAGCTAATAAACAAGGCCTATGAAATGGAATCCTTCCCAAGATAGGTTCTTCAAGCTTACTCCACTATTCCAAGCTCAATTCATATAAACTTTGCAATTGATCCCTTCCCAAGATCAGGCAGTGTTAGAATAAGAGTAATGCACAATGGCCTCAATTATTTCTTTCATAACTTGGACCTGCATTAGAAGAGAGAGAAAAATGAGAAGCATCATGTCAGCTTGTATATTGAGTTCTTACCTCGGGCCAGCCATTCCTCAATTCTCAAAAGAATGAGCATGCTAAAGTAGAAAAGATTAAAACCTGATCATTTAATGGACAAGTCCCTTTAGGGCATAGATATTTTATAAATAGTAAATATATTTTGAAGTACATCACATATGGTATGTTAATATACAACATATTTTATAAATCATAAATATTTATAAATATTATATAAGACAGTCTCAATAATAAGTATAGAAAATCAGGAAAGGGGCCAGGATATTCTTTATGGCCACAAGCTCCCAGCTTCTGTCTTCTTACCCTCCCTGATGTAGGGTTACATTGGCAGCTCTTTGCAAATGGAGCAAACGTACTAAAGACTTTTATTCTAACATTCACCCTACAGGTGAAAGTGGGGATGACATCAGGCAATGTTAGGTTAAGCCTTCATTACTTATTGTGTGGGAGTCAATCATAATATTGGTTTGAAGGTTGGCCTAAGGCCTTTTAGATAAATTTATTTCCTTCGGTACTATTTTCAGGCACTGTTCTAACAAATTTAATACTTAACATACTAAGGCAGATATTCTCATTATCTTCATTGTACAGGTAGAATTAATACACAGAAAAGTAATTTGCTTAAGGCCACAGACCTAGAAGTAGTGGAGCCAGGATTCAAATACAAGCAGCAAGCAGGGTATAGCCCAGTGGTAGAGCATTTGACTACAAATGCAGGAAGCATGATTGCAGAACTTGGACTCTTAAACATTGCATTTTACCTCCTCTAATAATATATATTGATGTATTCTGTTCTCAGTGTACGAACTTCTTATACTTTTGGCGGTCATAACTAACTTTATGCAAATCTGTGGAATTAAAGCTATACAATTTTCAAAGTTGATAAATCAGTAATGTAGATGCTTTAAACAAGACAAATTGTAATTGATAATGCAAGTATCAATGAATGGGGTAGTATTAAAGAAAAGAATTTGAGGCCTTTGACACATTATACAGGCAAAGAACAAGAAAGAGGAAGATACTGTATGTTGATAATATATAAGTATACATTATATAGTATATAAAAATATATCTAAATATTTATATATTATATAATATATAAAATATATCTAAATATTTATATATTATGTATACTTATATGAAATATATAAATAAAAATATAAAATCATATTTTCTAGAAAAGTCATATTAGAAATCTGTCTTTCCCTTTTTTCTTGTAATGTGCTGTCGGCTGAACAGAGTTTTGGCTCATCAGTCTACTGAATACAAAGTGTCTTCAGTTTGAGTCTTGTCTTTGTTACCTGTCTAGGAGTCTGGTCCCACTACAGAGAAGTAGAATTTACTCTCCAGCACAGGTCTAATGGCGTACGTGACAAGTTCATAGTGGACTGGCAGCTATAACTTTAAGCCCTGTGGGGTCTCTTGATCTCACTGTGTTTAGTGCAAGAAAGAAAAAGAAGACCAGAAGGATTTGTATGTCTCTATGTTTCCATTTTGTCACCAGACACATTTTTACAAAAGGATGAGGCATAATGGAGACAAAAAACAAATGGTTCGGATGAACTCAGAATGCAATGTCTATGTCCACTGCGCTCTAACTCCTCCTCCTCCCAAGACGTGACTTTGCCATACTTTCTCACCAAGGCATTTATTTTTTCACAAGCAAGTGTTTACCTTCTTAAATGTCACATACGGGTCACTAGAAAATAGAGAAGGCAAGGGGAAAAACAGAAAAAGGTAGGAGACCAATTATCTACTTTGAAATTTTCCTCTGGACACCTACTCTTCAGAGACTAGAACTTTCGTGGTTCTGTTACAGTGCTGACCTGTTCATTTTGGCAGCTGTTAGATATTTTTCTGGCTATATAAAAGTCATTCATCCTTTTGAATCCTTAACCACAGCAGTTTGAATCAAGGGAATAAGAGCTAGGGAAACTGATGGGCAAATGAATAGGTGATACCACAGAGGGAAAATCTTAGAACTCTAGGAGGTCCAGTTTGGTAAACAATGATCACCTTCTTACTTCTACCAGAATAGTTGAGCACCCACCATATATACAACTGTATCTGAAAATACATCTATGCAGGAGAAACACATTAAGTCCATTACAGCATCCTGTGGATAGTGGTCATGGACTATGAACATATTGGTACCTGGAAGGAGTCAGGAGAAGGCATAAAAGGGGATATATCAGTCAGAATTCTGAATTGAAATAGGGCTCACTCGGATCAAACTCTGGAGGCCTTTTACAGGGCAGTGTTAAGGGAACCAAGAGGTACTCAGGGACTAACAACAGTGGGAGGCCATCACTGCCTTTAGTCCTAAACAGGCAAGCAAAGGAAACTGTTATTGAAGGGCAGTCAGAGCCAAAGACCTGGAGAAATGCTGCCTGGCAAGTTTACAGTTACAGAGGGACACAGCAAATCCCCAGACGTAGAACTGAACCACAGAGGGAGTGGGGGCAGAAATACCCTGGGTGCTCTCTGCTGGTACCCAGTCCACTCCCACCTTATGGCCTATCCTGGAATCAGAGGGCAACGATGCCCAGGGTTTGTAATTTGTGCTGTTAGCCTCTAGAGCAAAGCATAGGGTGGTGCAGGGCAGATAATGAATCTGGAAGGGACACGTGGAGAAAAATCAGTACAGGGAAGAGAATGAGAAAAGAATGAGAAGTGTATCAAAGAACATTTCTTACACTGTTATGATATAGTGGGTAGAAAGAAGCCCAAACCTCATAAGGAGCCTATGCCTACAAGGAGTTTTCTTCATTGTCTTTTCCTATTCTATCCTTGCCTTTGTGTGGTAACTACATTTCAGTTTTAGTTAATGTAACTCTTTTAAAGAAGCCCTCGTAGTCATGAAGCATTTTCAAGGCTCTTCATTATTCTCAGATGAAAAGAAAAAAATGTAGATGAATCCCTTGAAAAACATTAAATCAGTGATGTTATCTGTATTCAATCTCTAAGAAAGTTTTCAAGGATTGAAAGTTTTTAAGACTACTTTCATAAAGGTATGTCCTCAACAAAATAGCCACACAAAATATTTAAAGATTCTACCTGCTTTACGACTGAAGCATGCAGAGATTTTCTTGGAAACTTGATTCTCTTTGGATAATCTGCCTTTAAAGTTCAAAAGCAATTGCATAGTCACTAATATAATATTAATGATAAAGGGAGGGAGTCACCCATCTCTCTTGAGGATGAATGTTTTGAGTTTTAGTTTTCCAAACAAGCAGGTGGGTATACAGATGAGCTATTTTTGAAAAAAATAAATTTTAGATATCAAATGTCATGTCACTCTTAGTTTTCAAGCCATTAATTTAAAAAGTACTTTGGCCACTTTATAGCAACTATGAAATGTTATATTGCTTTCACATACTTTTAGCTATGTGGAGGGGGTCATTCTTAATACAAGTTATAGTGGGAAAAATTGTAACAATTATTTAAATAAATATAAAACTATAGTCTTTAAAATTTCAACTTACATTTTCAAGCATTCAAGACTATGCTCACTTTTTCTTCGTAAAGCAAAGCTAAGTTTATTAGACTAACTAAAATAAGAACACAACATAGAAAGATGCCTATTAGAGTTTCAAGAGGAGGAAGTAAGGAAATGATAGTTGTGGGTTTTGTGGCTTAAACAGAATGATTTTTTAAAATTGTGATTGTTTTATTTTTATATTTTAAAAATTGTGATTACTAGTTAGTTTCATAAATGTTTAATACTGAATTAGGTCTGTGAGACAAGTAATTGAGCAGGTTAAGAAAAAGGCACAAGTATCAGCTAGTGTCTCAGAAAGAAGGAGGTAGCACACTCAAATTAGGGTACTAGAAATGAGTTTAATAGACTATTTACAATTATTAGGAAACAATACTGGGTAAGTGATGACTTACGGTATAGATCTTAACGGCTACCAATATTTTAGGAAGCTTTTATTACTCCTGAGACCAAAGGGATGAGGAGAGGGAGCAGTTATTGAATGTCAGTGAGACTTGTAACTATAAGACAGGAACATCTGCAAACAAGTGTCTTTTGGTGAGTGGAAAACAACCTCAGCTAACCCTCAGTCAAACAAGGAGGGAGCTGAGGGAGTAAATACTCCTGTTTCTCTTTCCTTTAACCTCTCTTTTCTCCCATAGCTGAACCAACAAGAAATGCAGAGTAAGAGAGTCAGCATGGTGTGACGGATAGAGGCCAGTCTCTTGGCCACAGAATAGTGTAGAAAAAGCTGGAAAAGTGTAGGAAAATGATCTCTAGGGACAAATATAAAATGCAAATCATAAGATGGAAGCTTGGAAGCAAAAGAACTTATAGTATTTCCTAATAGTATCTCTAGAGTTAAAGTTTCTGCCTGAGAATCTCTCTCAAAGTGGAGGTCGCTATCAATATTTATTGCAAGGCAAAGAAGTAAGTGCTAAATTAATTTTTGAATTCAGTTCAGCCTGAGTTGCAGAGTTTTGACTTGAGCCCTACATTGAAGATAGCTATAGTTTTCCTTAGGTAGTGGTTATTTTATTTTTAAAAAAGCATAAAAAGAAATAAAATGTAGTAGTCAATATAGCTTGATGCTATGTTCAGTTCCAACTGGGCAACAGAGCTACACAATAATCCCAAACATTACTTTTGCAAAGAAATTGCCAAAAGGATTCCAGAAACTCAGACCAAGTAGTATTTGGAGGAGCCTTCATTATAAATAAATGATGGAAAAAAAGAAATACCAGCAGGAAAAGATGTTGGGAAATAAATTAGGAAAATATTTTTAAGTAAAATCTAAGCAGAGACTGAAAACAAAGAAAGGGTAATCCTTAATGAGAATCAAGTACAAATTAAGTGTCAGTATAAAGCATCAACTCATTTCTGATTTTCATTAGTTGTATGTTTGTTCAAGAAATCCTTGATTTGTCAAGCCATATGTCTGTGTGTGTGTGTGTGTGTATAGTTGTCTGCACACATATATGTATGTAACTATTATCGAGAACATAGTATAGCACCTGTCTGCTATAGTTTGAATATCCCCTGCAAAACTCAGGTTAAAATTTAATTACCATTGTTGATACTATTAAGAGGTGAGACCTTTAAGAGGTATAGCCCTCATGAATAGATTGACACTGTTATCACAGGAGTGGTTTAGTTATTGTGAGTTTCTATATAATGAGTTTCTATTAAGGATGAATTTGGTTTCTTGTTTCCTGTCTCACATGTTTATCATGTGATGCCTTCTGCCATGTTATGACACAGTAAGACGACCCTGACTAGATTCAGTCCCTCAATCTTGGACTTCTCAACCTTCAGAACCATATGCCAAATAAGCATCTATTATTTATAAATTACCCAGTCTGTGATATTCTACTATAGCAGCAACAAGTAGACTAAGACTCTGTCAACTGGCAATAACTAGTCATTAGTTTGTGTCTTTTGTTAAGTAAAACTTTTCTTTTTCATACAAACAAATGCAATATGAAACTATTTAATACAATTCAACAACGATGAATATTCTACATCCTCAATTTGCCATTCAGATATTATATATCTTATTGATAAGAAATAAAACTGTGCTACTCAGGAGGCTGAAGCAGGAGGATCACTTGAGACCAGGAATTTGAGTCTAGCCTGGTCAGCATAGCAAGACCCCATGTCTTAAAAAAAGGAAGAAGAAAAATAACGGCTGTGATAAACCGATGTTTTTTGTTTTTTGGTTTTTGTTTTTCTTTTCAGTTTTAAGGGCAGGGAAAGCTTTTTTTTTTTTTTTTTTTTTTTTTTTTTTTTTTTTAAAAAAAGGCCCATCTCTGTCTTGAAGCTGTGGAGGCAATTATGAAAAAAAGACTTAAAGTGGATGGTCCAGAAAATGTAAGAAATACTTTTGGAATTCAGAACAGCAGGAAGGATAAGGGGAAGAAAAGAGCCTAAGGAAGGAGCTTTGTGAGGTGGCAAATTATGACCTACAGGTTAAGTTGTGTTAGAGTTTGGAGTGTGCTGGGGGTGGGTGTCTGGGAGTTCAATGCATTCCAAAATGATGCTCCAAACATATCAATCTTAAGGAAACTAAAGAGTGACTGAGGATTTTCAAACAGAAGAAGACTGTTAACACTTTAGTAAGAGTAGCTGCATTAGGAAGAGAGTTATAGATTTGATCCAGGCCCTGCCTTGAACTCAGGTTTTTGCAGATTAATACACTTTCCTCATTATTGACTCTAAGGAAGCCTCTTCTAGGACATTGTTGAGAGGAGTAAATAAATTAACACACATGTAAACAATTAGCCTAGCATTTAGCATCTAGGTAGATATTCAACCCACAAATATTTTTGTTATGGAACTTTCTTTCTTTGAGACTGAGATCAGGACGGGGGAGAAAAAGGTTAAAAGAGTGGTAAAAAAGACGTTCCAGGTTAAGGAAAAGTATACTGGCAGTAAAATTTTTGTGAAGATACCAATGGGCAATTTTTTGCCCTGCTAGGATTCCCTGTAAACTCCACAGAGAGAAAAATTGTTACTTGCTTTATTTTCAACTTGTTAAGGCCCCAAGTCACTGGAGGACCAGCCTATGGTTGGGAATTTACCTAGCTCCTGCTAGGCTCCTTCCATAGGCGTCACTTACCAGTCCAGCTTTCCTTGCTCATTTCCGGTGCCATAAATGAGTCCAGAGGCTGAGAACTATAATTTTATCTAGTATTTGGTATATCAGTGTCACAGCTCAGAGTTTCTGTCATCTATTATGACAGAATATAGTGACAGAATATAGCGGCTGGTGGTGGTTTGACTTAGGTGTATGCCAAATGGAACAGTCTACTATGACTGTTTTATCCCAATTGTTGGCTGTACCAGTAAAGAGCAAGAATGATGAGAACATAGAGACATGGGTGATCTATACATGTGGAACTTGATAGAGCAAGGAGAGTATGGAGGATAGGAAAAACCTTAGTTAGGGCAAGGGTCTTCTGCTACTTACCAACTGGAAAAACACCATGATGTGATTAAAATGTGATTAAAATAAGCAAGTGAGGTCACTTGAATACGCACCTGTCCTCAGAAATATATTGTTTTTTATTATTATTTTTTTCTGTAAGGTCATAATTTTATAAGTGCACATCATATTCTTGGAGATTGCAATGCTCTCAAATCTGGTGCTTGCCGGTAAATTTTGTCAGATTATCAACATTTTTTTCCTTTTCTGTTTTTACAAGCGTTTAATTGACCTCTCTTACATTTTTCTTCCTTTGTCCTACAGTTTTTTGTGCCAAAGGCTCTTTTGCCACCTAGTCCAACCACCTTACTATCTGCTCTTTCCTGCCCGTCTATCCTCTAGCCCTTTCTTCCTTATGGTGGCCACTGTTTCTTCTTCTGCTTGTGGATGAATGATCTGATAATTCTGGAATATGTTTATGTTCAGTTGATCACTTAGTGTGCCTTAATTAGCCTTCAGGTATACAGCTAAATGAACTCTCTTTTTTGTTTATTTATTTTCCTTTTCCAAAAATCATTCTGATCTCTTAAAATCTTTTCATTTACATTCCAGCCAGTCACTAACCCTATTTCTGAATATTACTGTCTAGATATTCTCTGAAAGATAAGATTGTTTGCTTGTTTTCAGCCATTTTGAGTGAAGTTCATTGTTCTTTTCTTGAGATAGTTCTTGTTTGGTAGATTGTTTTTAATAGCCACATTTATTGTCTTATTCTAGTGTTGATATTAAGTCCTTCTTACACACTCTCCTACGTAAAATGTAAGATACATGTACTTGCTAAAACATGAGATTTCCCTAAAGTGCTAACTGATTTAAATTCATCACTTTTTTTTAATGATTTTTGCTTGAAAATTATGATTCATTTTATATAAGAAGAAATAGAATTGAGTCAAAGATACGTCCTCTTGGACAAAATAATGAATCCTAGACAGATCAACACAGATTCTTATTCTGGATCAGTCATAGTCCAAATAATTTAACAGGCATTCATTTCTGTAAAATGGGTATGATAATGCTGCCTCCTTATGTGTTGTGATATTTAATTAATGATTATGTGCTTTTGAATAATGTATGCTTATAAATTAATAGGTTAGTAATTCGCTTTCTCAATGTACTTTAACAAAGTACATTGGGAGCTAATTAAAAGGAATGTAATTTGTGCTTTTGGGAGGAGAAGTGTTATCTAAGTGTTATCTAAGTGGCAAGTGGCAGTTAAATCTATACAACGTATCTATTACCACACATTTGAGGCTTAACTCTAATTACAGATTGGACATGTGAGCAAACAGCATCTGGGAGACTTCCACTCATTTCCGAAGGCCCCTCCTCACATCTATAAAAGAAGGCTATTCACTTAATAACCAAAATTATTAATACACTTTCTGTTCAGAACAAAAGGTTAAAGGGAAAAGACCTCTTTCAAAGTCAGCATATTGGCAGTATTTATTGTGCTCTTTCGTAGACACTGTCTGCCCAACAAGTGTCATGAGAAATGAAGTTTATTATTTAGTGCTTCAGACAGAAGACAGCATTTTTGTGGATTGACAACTCCACCCAGAAAGGGCATTTGCACCTGATGGAAGAGGAAAATTCTGTAGACAGATTTGTGCCTGTCTTCAAACCTTTCACCATTTGAATAACCCCTGAGGTTAAATAGCTGGTAGACATCTGTAGGCAGAAGTAAGAAATGAGATCATCAAGGAACGATATCGTGCTTACAACATGTGGCGAAATGAGTGGCTCTTCACCATCTGTTATTTGTGTGTGTATTTTATTATGTAAATGTTCGTACACACTGCATTCTAAACAAAGGAACATTACTTCCACTTTGTTGGTGCTGCCAAGCTTGCGTATGTGTCCTGGAAAAAGAAAGTGGCAGACAGAAAAATCAGGGTTCATCTGGCCACTTGTGTCCCTAGTCCTTTCACCAAGAGGGTGAGAGACTGTAAGTAGGTTTGATTCCTTTTCTACATCCTGTTAACAAATACAAAGCTTGACTGTGAATGGAAAACAATGTCTTAAATACTATAGTTATGGTCCAAAGCTTCTTTTGCTGGAGTCCACGGGAAAAAGATACTAGAAGCTAGGATGCCCTGGGATGGTTCCAATGTACACTAGTGTTAAATCCAAGCTAGAAAATACATTTGGACGGAGAAAACAGGCTCTGTTCAATTTTCTCTCATCTGTTTAATTCCTGGCACATATCTCTGGGTCATGGGAAGGTTCTGGTGGGCTGCTGTCATTGTCTCCCCCAAAACAAGAGGGGTGTGTGTGTGCATGTTTGGGAGGAATGAAAGTAAGGAGATTTGGGTGACACATATTCTGGTTTAAATTTTCATAAAATTACCAATTTAAATTGAAATGTAATTATCCTAACTGGCATCTTTTTGGCAACAGCTTAAAAAAAAATCCCTCGGCTTTACTGTACCAAGCAAAAGCCCAGAGGAGTCCTGACACTGGCCTTTAATCAAAAGCTGAAAAGACACAAAAGCTTTCAGATAATCTATGCCAAGCTATCTTGGACAGCACAGAATCGCCTGGAGCACCCTTCTGGTGGCATTTAAAACACCTGGTGCCCTTAGAAAAAAAATACATCTGTGTCTGCAATTTCTCCTTCTATAATTCCCTTAAATCTTTCTCTCTCAACCCATTCTCCTCTCTTTTAAAAGTAAAGATGCTGCAGTGACAGTAAAATAAAGCAATTTTATTTACCAAGGAAGTGATACTTGTCATTGGCTATGCCTGGAGGTGACAGACTCAGGTGGCCATCTGCACAAACACTTCCTCACTGTTTATTTCATGTGGTTTAATATAATTAAACTATCATTGTGCTCATTGATTCAGCTCAAATTTTAATTTGATAATTGGGGAAAAGGTGTGCATTTGAAATGGAGGCAATTAATTGACACTTTAAATGCACTTGAACAGAAATAATTTAAGTTACACCATACTTAGTGGTGACTTATACTGTTGTGTTTATGCAAATTCTTTCATTTAGCTTCTATCATTAATGGATAGAGGTAAATAATGTTACTCAGTCTAAGTCCTTTTGATACTGGCAGTCTAATTCTGAAATTTGGAAATATTTTTGCTGCCATGAAAAATCCTATTCATTTCACAGTCACTGGCTTTTATAAAATAAAGACATTCTAACTTTGAACAAAAATCTAATCATTCATAACTAGCTTCACACATATGCAACATAATTATGCAGATTGTCACATAATTTTGTCAATAGACAGCCTGATTCTCATTCTAACAAACACCTTGAACAAAGAAATAACGAGACTAACAAAGACATGATTTCTCAACTTGTAATACACATCTTTCCCATGCTTTGAATAAAATGAAAAAAAGAAACCTAGTTCTAACTTATTTAATTTTTCTCCAATACCAGCTTTACTTTAACTTGTTCCAAGGGAATTTATATATTTTGGTGAACTTACTGAAATTTAAAAAGGAACCATATTTATGGATAAAGCAGATTTTTTTGTGTTAATTATCTTCCATCTGGAAACAAATATGCTGTCGTATTTTTTCAGACTTCAAGAACAAAAGCTAGTTTGTTTTAGCAACTTGCGAAATCTTCACTTTTACTAGCATTCTTTTATTCACAGAGCCTGAAATGAATACTTTTAATCAAAACTCTGAAGCAAATTCAATTTTACACAATATTAACTACCACATATTATACCTGTGGTAAATGTTGCTTAATAAGAATTATTAGTTGTTGCTACATATGCTCTGAGAAGACTTGTTCTTAATGTAAAAGGTTGAAGAAAATGCACTGTTTTCTAGATGAATGTTTATGCTCTTGTTTCAATCTATTATTCAGTAGTTTTAATATTCAGTGTAACCATGGATGAACCTAAGAAAGTTTTGGCAGGTCATTTCAGTTAAGCAACCACACTCTTCTTATTAATGCTGGAAACCTCATTAAAATAGGCTCTGTGAAGATTTTGTAAACTCCAGCTTCAAATGAAGGTTGGCAAAAATGCTCCAAAAAAATCTTTTCACATAAATGTGGTTCTTTTGGCACTTGAAAGACTCTGAATGTAAGAAATGCTAAAGAGCATAAAAAAGTCAAAAAAATAAACAAACAGAAGAACGTACAAAATGCACATACATAACACACACACTCATATACATAAACGGGTAACGCAAAACCAAATGGATTTCTCATAACCTTTTTTCCACTGTCTACTTTCAGACATAATTTTCCAAAACCACTTTTGATAAATCATCTAATGTAATAGTAATAATAGAGGAAAACTCCAATGCTAAACATAACTTTTTACCATACTTAATCAGTTCTTCATTACCAAGTAGAATTGAGGTCTTCTAAAAGATTGGAAAATTTTACAGCTAGAAAGGAACTGATAGGTCATCTGATTTGATAACTCAATCACATCGAAAGAAACTAAGAGCCAGTGATTAAAACTATGCAAACTCAACAGCTAGTTAGTGACAGGAGCTAGATTATAATACAGATATTTGAACTCCAAGATGGATGCTTATTCTTTATGGCATAATTTGTAATTTCAATATCCCTGGCTAAAATGTCATCAATGTGACACAATCTGACATCTAGACTAGCAAATCTATTTATAATTAGGACAATTTCTATTGTTTTGTTTTTGTTTTTTGCTGAAAGGTCAAATTTCACAAATCTAAGTTCTTACTTCCTAAAATATCCTCATTTTATTCTTAAACATAAAGAAATCTAATACGTTGCTGATAATATTCTTTTAATTTTGAATTCACCAATATTCCTTTTTAAAATTAATGTTGTGTGTAATTAATTCACAGAGAGCTTTTTATCTTTTTCTGTTGTATTTTCTCCTCAATACCGAAGACATTTTTAAAAAGCTTATTAATCTCATGTAAGTACTATTTATGTAGATAAAGATAAAAAATTCTTAACTCACAAATAATGGCTGGCTAATAGGTAATTTTAAAAAATGGATTATCAAGTCAAGTGATCGACATATTCTGTTAATGTTTATTTAAATGGCAAAGATCATCTTTCATGAAGAAAACTCTAAATTCCTTAATTTGATTTCAGCTTAGTTCAACAGAATTAATATGTAGCCCTGGTCTGGGTTTTTAGGGGGAAAAACACATATGATAGAGTTACTCATTTCAGACAGTTGGGCAAATCATATACATACACAAAATCTGCCACAACACATTTAAGAAAAGTACAAGATAGAAGTCAAAGGGGTTTAAACATGTTCTACTAGTAAAAACAGTTGTTAAACTCATCATATTTTATTTGTGGAATAATTGAACATGCTTTACACTTTGTGTTTTTCAGACTAATATAAAAATAAATCACATGAGAAATGTAATTTCTAGTTCTGTTAAACATTTTTTCTGTGACCACTACTTGCTAAGAACAGTATTAGACACAGGGAATGTGGAGGTGAATAAACCAGTGGGTTTATGCAAGAAACTTAGAACCTAACAGTTATAGCCATGCTAGGGAAGAGCTGGGTCACTCATTTCATACGGGGATAAATGAGTAAAGTCTTTTTGAGCTATGAAGATATTTGGAGGATGAGTAAATAGTAGGTAGAAATGATTTACTATAAATTCAGTGCCTAGAACAAGACAGAATGATATTGAACAATTCCCAAGATACTTGTTGATATCAATAATAGTGAGTTTCATGTGATTGCTGTCTATGTACCTACAGTATTTCTCAGTTCGGGAGAGTATTTGGAATGGATCTTTTTCTACAATTGGAGCACATGATGGTTTCTCAGAAATCTAAACCTTATTAACAAAATTACTTCTTTAATTTAGGAAAAAAAAATTGAAATATTCAGCAAATTGCAACTCAAATTTTCATGTTAAAAATAACCTGAAGGTAAGCTGAAACAACTCATGTGGCCACTAAAAGATAGCTGGCACTCATGTAAACATTCCATTCCTCTAATTTTCAAAACCTTGACATTTAAACAGCAGCTTCTACTTAGTTACACTATCGTCTTTCTGTGTATTAATGTTGGCCTGCTGTTCTACAGGCTTTCCAAGTGTGTAGGAAATTTGGCTGGGTTAGCAGTTTTGTTTTAATATATTCTTGGAAATTTTATCTTCAGCAGTTCTGTGTGCTTTCAGTAAGTGGCTAAAATAGATGCAGGTTTTCTAAGTCTGACGAGGTCATGCCTAATAACACCATCAGTTTCAGGAAAACTTACGCAGCAGCAGGTTCTGATGACATAGGAGAAATGGCATGTGGGTCAATTTGCCACCTTTGCCTCACTTTTTTTATACACTAGTTTGTTGTGACAAAATCAGGGAGAAGATCTCTGGGCACTGAAGCTACTCATGGCAATTTTTAAAGCCTTAATAATTTCAATGGCAGCTTAGACACCTTATTAAATCAAGAGATGCAATGTGCAGGAGTCCTTTCCTCAAAGGATTGCCGGTGGCAAAGGCAGATGCTCTGACAGCATCATACAGGGAGCTGTGAAACTCCTCTAATCAACTGTTTGTCCATTTACCAGCATTTCTGTTGTTATCAGAATATGTTTATATGCAGTCTCAAGGATGGCTTTCAGAATGAATGCAAGGGTAGCAATCACTCTGCAGGTTGCAGACTGCATTTATATATTCTGTGGACTTCACTCTAATTTCTGTGTTCAGTATCCAATTCAGGATTGATGTGGCTTTCTACAACACTGCATGTAATGAGAGCTATCTATGCCTCGGAGTACTCACAAGGAACTGTCAGGACAGTTTGCACACTGGTGAGGTCAGCTCGTCTCCAACCTACTTTCCCAACCCAGGTCCACCTAAAGAATGGACCTGGCTGCTTAGACTATTGGCTTTTGTTTTCCAGGGAGTGAACACTAATCCCTTGACCATCTCATTAGAGGAGAGGCACCCAAAGTTTCCACTGGAATTAAAAGTATAAAAAGCTGAAACCAACCTGTAATTTAAATGTTATTCCCAAAGAGCTAGATTTAGTATGTTTGAGACTGAGAGGCAGCATAGTCTGAGATAAAAGCTATTGTTTTATGTGTTAATAAGGATAAGAATGGGTTTTCTGTAGCTAATGGCACTACTCTGAATCACTGCCTTATTTACAGTAGAGGAATGTTGTAGATATCATATTTCATCAGCAATGATGGCTTGAATATGTTCCATGAATAATTATAGTATCTTTTTGTCTCCCTTTTGTTATAGGAACCTTTATAGTAAAGGCTTTTAAATATGCAGTGGGAGTGTGTAATCCAAGTTATCAAGTCTTACAAGAAATTGTTTTGGCAAGTTCAGAGCCCTCTCAAAATTCATGGCTTTGGAGTTTCATTTCTAATTGGAACCTTTTAATATTGGGATAGGTTTGCTCTTAGGAAAACAGCATAAAGCTTTTAACCAAAAAGGAAAAGACAACTTTAAGAAATACACAGCAGGATCTGTGACATCTAAATTGTGTTTATTTAAAAATAGAAGTTCCTGTGTTCTGGTGTTTTAACATAAAGAGTCAAAAATGAGAATTACATCCACATCCACAAGAATTTCAAAACTTTGAAAAACTGCTTGTGCAAAAGCTTTGTGAGTTGCTGTCGAGCTGAATAATTGACAAATACTGTGAGAGTGTCAGAGATGTAATGGGGGATTTTTTTGTTCAACATGTTGCCATTTGCTAGAAATGTTTTCTCAGGAGCATAAGTCCGCTGTAGAAAGGCCTAATTTAGGTTTACATGCTACTAATATTAGCTTAGACCATCCTGAGATTATTAGCTATCACATTTCCAGGTTTTCCAGTTCAGAGAGCCACCTCTCCCATTTTTTGAAAACTTTTTCCACACTTCACTTTTGAGCCTTTGTCTTACCACAAAACAGGTGCCTTGGTCATGCTAAGCCCTCAAATGAAAGAAAATAGGAAATTTATTGCTTTTTGTCTCCTTCCAGTCTTTATATGTTCAGTGGAAATGACTCCCATATGGTTTAACTTTAGTGAGAATGTTATGTGTATTGAGTAGAAAGTAACCTTCCTAAACATTCAGCTTAGACAGAAGTGAATATAAAGCAACCCAACATACAGGTAAATGTAGCTCATGAAACATTACTTCTTGTCAATTACAAGCAAAAATTGCTTTGGCAGTACCTACCAAATTGGATTTTTGTATAATTAGGCCTTAAAGATGAAAAACATTATGAAGAAAGTCGGGGTGGAGGATGAGGACTCCCTGGTTATATAAATATATACTTGATCCCCATTATGAAGCTTCATGTCTTAACTTTGATCAAGTCTAATTGATCCTTTCTGAAAAAAATTATTCAAGCATTTTGTATTCCATGGAAGACATATTGGCTCATCTCAAGAAGACAAATAACTTTTTCCTTTATTTCTTTTAGGAGTTTCCTAGTTTTGATAGTAATTATGAAATTCTTTTAGCTAAAAGTTGTATACAGTGTTAGGTAAAATTCAATGTCTATTTTATTCCATATAAATATCAAGTTGTTGCAACATCATTTTGGAAACAGCATTTCTTTCCCCCATTGAAATTCTTTAATACTTTTTTCAAAAATCAATCAGCCAGTTATATTTGGAACTATTTCTGGGCTATCTATTGTCTTCCATTTATTTATCTGTCTATTTTTTTCTCCAATACCACCCTCTTTTATTACTATTTATTTGTAGTAAGTCATAAAATGAGATCATTTAAGTTCCGCCATTTTTTCTCTTTTTTAAAAGAGTCTATTCTTGTTCATTTGGTTTTTACATAAATTTTTGAATCAACTTGTCAATTTCTGCAAAAAAAAACATGCTGGGGTTTTGAGTTAGATTGCATTAGAATTACAAATTTATTTAAAGAAAATGAATTTCTTAACAATACATTCATAAGCACATACAATTTGCAAAATCTCACTAGTAACATTGATAACACACTACCAACTAATGTGTAGGCTTTATTCAAGTTTCATCTTTTGCCCTATAGTGTTCTCTTTCTGACTCACCATTCAATACAGGGCCATACACTGCAGTTAATCTCTCATTCTGGAAGAGGTCTTCAGTCTTTATTATTCATGCCCTTGACACGTTTGAAAAGTACTGGCCAGTTGTTATGTAGAATATTTCTCAACTTTGGTTTGTCTGATGTTTCCCCGTGTTAAATTCAGTTATTCATTTTTATAAAGGAAACCATAGAAGTAACACTGTACCCTTTCCAGTGTATCATATTAGAAGGCAGAAGGTATCACTATGTCTCATTACTGGTGATATCAACTCAATCACTTTGTTAAGTTGTGGCTTACTGTCTCCCCACTATAAAGCTACCCTTTTCCCTTTGAAATTAATAAGTATGTTGGGGGGGATTACCATTCTTTATATTGGTTGCTTCCTTTTAATATGTTTTCAGATTTACTGACCCTTTTATCTCCATTTCCAGTAGCCTCTTAAGCCTACCCAGTGGATTTTTTATTTTAAATACTAAGATCTTTAGCTCTAAAATTTTCAATTTTTTAAATATTTGCAGATATATTATTTCACTCAATGCAAGTCTATATTCTTTATGTCACTGTGAAAAATTATAACTGCTTCTTTAAATACTTGTCTAATAATTTCAACATCTGCTAACCTCATCTGTTGTCATCTGTTTATAGTCTTTTCCCCTGAAACTGTATCACATTTTCCTGGCTGTTTGTATGTGAATAATATTGGACTGTATCCTGGACATTCTGAATATTAGGTTGTGGAGAATCTGGATTCTGTATATTGTTCCAAAAAGTGTTGATGCTTTTGTTTTAGCAAGAGATTAACTTGGTTAGACTCAAAGTGCAAACAGGTATGTCTGCGGTGGGCTGCAGTTTTGATCTCAATTCAATTCCTTGAATTATAGCTGTGAGCTGGTTTCCATTTTTTCCCATTCAATATGTGGTTGAATGGTTAGTCACAGTTTGTGCCCCAGTCTCTGTGTGGAGTTTAAATGCAAACATTGGGGTTCTCTTCCTCTAACTCTCTCATTTCTGATGTTCTCCTATCACTCTCTGGAGACTCTGGTTGCCCTGTTTCTTGCCCTATTTCTGGTAGCCAGTAAGCCAGTGGACTTTCTACCAGAGTTTGAGCTATCCCTACACCATGCCACTGTGACTGTGGCTCCATTCAGGGCAAAGCTGCAAAACAAAACACACAAAAAATGAGGCAGTCACCCTGTTCTCGTGATTGTTTTCCCCAAGTCTTGTCTCTACTCCCAAATCTGCTTGTCATACTTCAGTTTCCTGAACCTGCAGGTAATTATGTTAATAATTTTTTCCATTTTATAGCTATATCTAGGAGAATTGCTTTGTTGATCATTTCTCTTTTAACATGATTTAAGAGATAGATTGAAAAATTGATTTTGAACCATGAAGATGTTGTCCTAAAAATTATAGTTAGTATGAAAAGTAAAGTACTTGAGAAGGACACTTTTAGACAGAACTTCACTTATGTGACATAGTGGACTCTGTTGAATATCTTCCAACTCACAACGATCCACTTAATTACACACATCCACTTCAGACCTACTGATAGCCATACAGTTAGCACTTAGCTGCCATATTTATGCAATGGCCTCTTAAAATAATTGTACATTCTACCCTGTCTGGGCTCAAGTCACTTCCTTGAGAATTAGGAATTAAGATCAAAAGAGTTCATATCTTCATATGGCTTGAATTCTACCATATATGACGGTATCTGTTTTATTTTTCTGCCATCATGTGGATTGAGTAGAAGAAAAAAGAAAAAAAAAGCAGTCTGACAAAAGAGAAGGATAAAGCCAATGCACAGAGAGAAACAGGATCAAGAAATTGTGAAAGAATGATCCAGTTGCCAACAGTCTTTTACTGCTGCGTCCTGCCCTATCTGACGTTCGGCTGCATTATTTTCTTTACTATTATAAATCCCCATATTCTAATGAGCAGTCACCTCTTTTTCCTTAAGCTGGCTTTTCTAATTTTCAACTTTAAGAATCCTGACTAATCCATACAATTTTTCATATTACAGGCATTATAAGAAGCTTTATGTAACTACAGTGATTAGTATACACAGAACAAATGTGGCTGGGATGTTAAAGGAGCCGAGAGTAGGCTAAAATTACTTGGTATTTAAAGAGAGATAATTTTTAAATAATTATTATGTTAAAATAGCCATATAGATCTTAGACAAAGATCCTGTTAACTTGCATGTAACAGAAGAAAATAGAGGAAAAATTATTTTATAAGCTATGGATTTTTTCCCCTTACTTAAGTAATGCTAAAGATAATGCCGTTAGGTATAAACTCTCTAAATGCAACATTTGTGTCTTGTCCTGGTGCTCATTCACCACGTCTGGGTCAGTCCATTACTATAATTAAGTTTCTGCTTAATCAATTTTATTTCTCTACTTAATAAAAAGAGGCAATTTTTCTAGATGTTCTGTTTTTCCAATTATATAACCACTGAGAAATCAATTGCTTAACAAAAGTTAAAGTAATATGATTTGAACATGAATTACTCTCTAACAGAAGGACATAATGAGCCAGATGAAAAATAAGAACCTGTCTCCCCATCCCTCCAAATAAATAAATAAATAAATCTCAGCAAAGGCAAAGCTTAAGATCTTTTGGATTTGTCAAACATTTCATAGATCTTCCAAAACATTTTGGCAGAATAATTCCCTAAAGTGATTCATTATCCATCAATTCATATTTCAATGTCACTTAATATTTGTTGAATATTCACAACATGTTAGCATTGCACAGCTGCTGAGAACAAGCTACTCTGTCTCTCAACCTCACACTGCATGTTTTTTAAAGATGAAAAAAATAACATATTTTAAAGTTTCTCAAGAGGGTAGGAAAACAATAGTCTGAAAACAAATCAGCACACACATTCTTCAAGAATTAATTTTGATATCCTTATTAGGAAGATGATCATTGGCTCCGAAGGCACAAAAATATGCCTCATTTCCATTTATATATATTATATAGTCCTTTATTTTTATTTATATATAAGTTTATGTACATATATAGAAATATTTTAATTTTGATATTACTTTAATGTATGTATAATTTAATTCCATTATTACATCTATAAAACTTTGTTTTTCCACAACCTAATTTTTATTCACAGCCTAATTTTTAAATCTTTATTTAGTCATATGGATATATCCATTTTTTGACAAATGCTGAAATGTCCTCTTACCTGTTCCTTGTTTGTATTTGATTCCTATTTTGAAAATTGTTACATATAAACTTCCATATTTCTTTGGTTCCCATAAGAGGAAGCTCTTAATCTCCATTCACTTCATAAATCAGCAAACCTCACTCCCTCACTTTATTTGAGTATCTCGTTAGAGAGGTCTTCCTAGACCACAGTATCTACACACTCCTACCCAGACCCTCAATTCCCGGAGTTCACTTTTTTTGCTGTTTTTATAATTCCCGGACATAGTGGAATGTATTCAATTTCTTTATTGTCTCTGTCCACCCACTATACTATAAAGTCCATAAAGCAGGAATTGGGGTTTTATTTTTTCCTGAACCTACATAGATTAGAACACCGTGTAGCATATGTAGATGGTTTATGCATATTGTTAAATTAACAACTGAGTTATCCAAGAAAAGGCATTATTTTTCTTTTTACTCAAATCTTAATTTCAAAAGCAAACCCGATTTTCAACTCAGGCTGTGTGTTGCTTTCTACCCTCGTATTTTTTCATTCCTTTCAAATTTAAGATTTATGTCTTTTGCCCAATCTTCCGTTCATCCTGACTATACAAGGGAAGATCATTTGGGGAAAACATTTCCTATTTACTTTCTGGTTCAAATCTTCCTTAACCAGTTTTTTTCTTTGTACTTAATTCCTTTACCGATACCTTTTATAAAGAATGTAATGATTGTTAAGTATAACATATAAATGAATGTTTTTGACAAAAATATTGACTGAAGAGCTTAGACATACACTGATTTTGATGGATTCTAAAAGGCTTCAATTAAGATAAAATATCAAACAACAAAATTTTGAAAACTTTCAAATGAATTATCTTTTGATTTAGATGAATGTTAATACTTTGTTACATTTCGTCATGCTGAAAAAATAATAAAGGGACATAACAATGTTATTAGCTATTACATGGTGTCATTTATTGTTATTTTGTCATAATAAAAGAACCTCACAAAGAGCACAAATCTCTGCAAGAAGGCTACAATGTTGGCTCTAGGAAAAATAATTACATTTGTTTACTGTGGTGATTTCATGAGATATAACTGATTCAGGGAGGTTCTAGAACATCCCATTCACTATTTTTTTCTACTCCAGAATAATGGACTGCTACTTCCCTGCAAACCGACAGGAAATTATAATGTGGCATCTGGTTGCTTTCCTTTTATTTCTTTGAAATAAAATATTATGTGTTTCAGCCCAAAGTTTCCTTAAAATGCTGCATTTACCAGTGTGTTTGACAGAGCCTGGCATATTTTAAATTAACATTAAAAGGAAACAATAGTGCTGAGCACCATGATTATTCAGTAATGGTCCAAACAGCTGCCTGACTTTCTTTCTTGTTCTTGCTTAGAATTTCTTTTCATATTGTGAAAGAAAGGAAGTATGGAAAATAACCTTTTTTTGATTGAAGTTGGGTGTGTTTTCTGAAGGTGGAAGTATAAATCTTGCTAGCTGGAAGTTTAGAAAACAGATTCTCACTCTGTTTTCTCAAAGGAGTATACAGAAATGATACACGGTTATGGTAATGTTATTACATATTTTTGTTTTTCTGAAAACAGAGTACTATTTCCCAACAGCCCTTTTTGCTAATGAAAGCAAGTTAAGGTGATGGTAGTCTTATTACCATCTGCATAGACATCTGGCTATTGTTTCTGCAATTTCTTGACCAGAAAATCTGTTAGTCAGTAGTAATTTGACCACAGGTAAATATTGCTGCTAGGTACTGTCATAATACCTCCTTTATACCCATATTTCTGCACCTTCTTTATTGAATTGCATTGATCCATTTATGGGTTTCCTCTTCATTAGACCATGTACTCTTAGAGGGCAAGGGTCATGGCCACATATGTTTCTACACCAAGCACACAAACAGGATCTATATTGTGAAGTGACTATTCTCACTGGAACAGCATGCTGAATGAAGCTTATGCATTTCCTCCAGGTCATAACTAATAAGTGAGTGCAGTTAAAAAGTTTTACCCAGAAGCTTAGCCAACACCTAAGTTTCTCCAGGAATACTTACAGATACGTAGAATGATGTTTGCAAGCACAGCCAATGATTTATATCTCTGTGATGATATAAAAAGAATTTAGACATTTTCTATCCAAAGCACTCTGCCTATAAAATAAGGAAATAACCTGGAAATTAATTTTCTCTTCATTTCATTATGCAGCATTAAAAACAGCCTAAGACTGGAGTTTAAAAATATATTTTTTACTTTCTCTTTTGCTAATCTGTTATGTGATTATGTGAAATTAATTAACTTCTTTAGGCTCAAGTGTTACATTCTGAAAAATCATGGTTTATGTTGTCCCAATGGTTCTATTCAATTTCAACATTCCCGAATTTAAATTTTCATTTATCAGTTATCTGCCATAAAATGTTGCACTTGAACTCTCACTGCTTCATTCAATAGATTCAAATTCATGTCCCAAATTATCTCTGTCTAATAAAATAACCTTAGAAACCACTGCCTTCTATAGATAATAATAAAACTACTTAAGCTTTGATCTCATTTTATTCCTATAAATTATATTTTTTGGCTTTGCAAAATTAAACAGTATAATTTTACCCATGATCATAAGCAAAGGCTCAAAAACAAAAGATCAATATTAATGTCATTGAGAGCTACTACTTATTGAGTGCCTAAGTAATGACTGTTAGGAATCTTTTACATTTTTTACCCTCACAATAACCAGCTTGAGGTAAGCATTAGCATTCCCATTGTTCCAACTATACAGCTGGAAACCAAGGCTCAGAGAAGTGCGATGCGTTATCAACATTACCCAAAGTTATGCAGCAAAAAAATGTTGAAGCAGGGATTACATCAAGCTCTTATTCTTTTCTCAAATTTTAAGAAAAAAAGTACTAGGCAACACGTTAAAGTGGAAAGCATGTATGTCACCAAGGCTGCTGAAAGTCTAAAATAAATAATATGTTTATAAAAGCATCATATATGGTTCACCCCTGTAATCCCAGCACTTTGGGAGGCCGAGACGGGCGGATCACAAGGTCAGGAGATCGAGACCATCCTGGCTAACAGGGTGAAACCCCGTCTTTACTAAAAATACAAAAAAAAAAAAAAAAAAAAAAATTTAGCAGGGTGTGGTGGCGGGCACCTGTAGTCCTAGCTACTTGGGAGGCTGAGGCAAGAGAATAGTGTGAACCCAGGAGGCAGAGCTTGCAGTGAGCCTAGATCGTGCCACTGCACTCCAGCCTGGGCGACGAGCGAGTCTCTGTCTCAAAAAAAAAAAAAAAAAAAAAAGGCATCATATAAATCAACAACTTTAAACGAGTTATTTAGATTTTAAAATATAAAAATGAAAAGCTTCTATAAAGTACATTTTGATAAAGTCAGACACTTGGGTATATTTTTATAGCCTTACTGCCATTACACTATTCCACACACCAGAATTATTGCCACTTATGTCACTCACCCATCCACCTTCGATTTGGGTTCTTTAGAGATAATTGTGCCGTGATTTTATTTGTAGCTTTGAGCAAATCCTTTTGATGAGGTATTTATTTTATAGCCTATCGTTCCTGAAAAGTACTTGCTGTAGCGATCACTTCTATAAAACTAGATTTATATTTATATAACTATATATAGAAACATAAACATCTTTAAAAGATAAAGTGATCAAAGTTCCATCTTCTTTGAAGCCATAATTTAAATACACATTTTCAACTGGAAATCACATGTATTTCAAATGGTTATTTTGTTTATGTAATATGACTCCTTTCCACCCCAAATGAGTGTTTACCCCCAAATTATTCTGCGAGACATTTCCTAAGAAGAGTGAAACGTGCTCATCTTTAATTTTATGAGGTAATAACTCATTAATACTGCACTGAGTACCAGCACGCTAATGTTTTGTGACTTCACATAAATTGCTGCAGTGGAAAAAGATAGTAGGTGTTCCAGGGAGACAAAAATGTATAATTTTAAAAGAATTGTAATAGATTAGATATGATAGGTGATAAAAAGGCAAATTTCAAGCATATATGGGTTTTTCATCGGCATATACGTGGTGATGTTGTTTGGAGTAAAAGAAAACACAGAAGACCAGACTGAGGGCCAGCAGGAAGGAAAAGCATGGATATAAAATCTTGCTACATTGAGCTACCTAAGTGGAGATGTTGAAGACACCATCGTATATGTGGATCTTGAGCTAGGAATAAAAGTTGAGAGTCTTCTATGTACAGGTGGTAATGAAAACTTTGAGTATGGATTAAAGGGCATAAGAAAAGAATGGACAAAGAGATATTTTTAGGAGATAAAATTGACCAGAAGTTTTTGTGCTATCTTAAGAGTTCCTTTTCTATGGTGATTGTGAATTTATAATGAAACAAAATTGTCCTATTCTGCACTGTCTTTCCACAGCTTAATTGCAAATGCTAAATATGAAAGTAATAAGGTTGATCCAGGATGAGGGTTTTTCAGGTAGAGAGTATCAACTTACAGATGGAATCTTAGCTGTGTTTTAAAGAAGCAAACATGCCAAACTATCAGATTGACAAATTCTGGGTTGTGCAATGTGTGACAAAATAAGTAGACCCCACAGCTGTGTGTCTATTTATACACCACTTTTATTCTAATGCAGTATTTTTTATTTTTTAAACTCTGGGCAATGCTATATGGGGTCCCATTTTGGTGGCTAAATACTCTGGAAGTCCTCAAAACTCATATTAAATGTAGCCCTCTGAGGAGAAAAAATAAACATGTAATAAAAAATGTTTGTCAATACAAGGCACGGTGATTTTCTGTTGCTTCCAGGGTAGTCAACTTGCCATAAAGTAGATGATTGGGTGGTCTCAGCCATCCAATAATACGGAGACTCAGCTTTGGTCTCTGTTGCTGGCACATTGGGTATTCAGCAGGGACAGTAGCTAGATAAGATAGAATTGTTTAGGGGAGCCCATCGCATGGGGTCTATGCATACCCTCTATGCTGTCTTGGCCACTTGTTCATACACCTATTGTTTAAACACAGTGGCTGATAACAGGGATTGGCTGATGTAAACTGGTAATGACATATATTGTCCACTTGATTCTTTAGAGTCTTTAATAGTAGATGCTCTCTGGAAAGAATTGACAAATGGCATAAAAGTATTCACACGTAATTTCCTCTTTTACGCAGTCTCTTACCACTTCATCAGAACTTCTTGTCCCCAGTCTTACAATTTGTCTCTTTTCAAGACCCTGAAAAAATCAGATGAACCACTGCCCATGAATGTGTATTCTTACATTGTTTATTCCTCTTTTCACACTTTATTCATGCCCTTTGGCTTTCTTTTTGCCCAATCTCTGATTTATCAATGTTACAAAGTCTTATCTGTCTTATTACTTGGTGTATGTCTTAGTCCATTTGAGCTACTATAACAAAATACCATTAACTGAATGGTTTATAAACAACAGAAAATTATTTCTCCCTGTTCTGGAATGTCCAGATTCAGTGTCTGGAGACAGCCCATTTCCTACTTTATAGATAGTGACTTCTCACTGTGCCCTCACATGATGGAAAGGATGAATAAGCCTCCTGGGCCTGTTTCATAACGGTACTAATTTCATTCATGACAACCCCACTCTTGTGACCTAATCACCTTCTAAAAGGCTCCAACTCCTAATACCATCATCTTGGGGTTAGGATTTCAACATGAATTTTGGGGCAACATATTCAGACCATAGCGGTGGGTTTTACAGAGCATATGATTGTGATTTTCTATAAAAGCTGGATGTAAACTTCATATGACAGATTTTTTTTTCCACCACAGATAACCTCTAGTACCATGGTCTTCTAGTTAATGTGTTCCAAGTGGAAGGGCTGTTTGAACTGCAGTCTTGGTCTGATGCTGATACAGTTTGGATGTGTGTCTCGCCCAAATCTCATGTTGAATTGTAATCCCCAATGTTGGAGGTGGGGCCTGGTGGGAGGTGATTGGATTATGAGGACAGATTTCTCATAAATAGTTTAACTCCATCCTCATGGTGCTATTCTCATGACAGTGAATGAGTTCTTTTGAGATCTAGTTGCTGAAATTGCATGGCACCTTCCTCCCTCACTTTTGATTCTGCTTTCACCATGTGATGTGCTTGCTTTCCCTTCGCCTTCTGCCATGATTGTAAGTTTCCTAAGACCTCCCCAGAAGCCAAGTAGATGTCAGCATCTTGTTTCCTGTACAGCCAGAAGAACTGTGAGCCAATTAAACCTCCTTTCTTTATTAATTACCCAGTCAGGTTTTGTTGTTGTTGTTTGAGACAATTTCACTCTGTTGCTCAGATTGGAGTACAGTGGCCTGATCTCGGCTCACTGCAACCTCCGCCTCCTGGGTTCAAGCAATTATCATGCCTCAGCCTCCAGAGCAGCTGGGATTACAGGTGTGCACCACCACGTGCAGCTAATTTTTGTATTTTTAGTAGAGATGAGGTTTCACCATGTTGGCCAGGCTGGTCTCAAACTCCTGACTTCAAGTGATTCCCCCGCCTTGGCCTCCCAAAGTGCTGGGATTACAGGCATGAGCCATTGTGACTGGCCTCTGATATATATCTATATCTATATATCTGTATCTATATCTATATCTCTATCTATCTATATCTATAATATCTGATATATATGAGCCAGATATATATATCAGATATATGTATATATATCTCACATTAGCAAAGCAAGAACACCTAATACAGATACAGACTCCTTTCTGTATCTGTATTAGGATGAGTCCACGCAATACCAGCAGGCTTCTATGTCATCCAGTAAATGGATTGAAACAGTATTCTTTTGTTTTATTTTTATTTCTTTTTTTAGTATTGAAACAGTATTCTAAATTGTTAAATTTACTTCTTTTATATTCCAAAGACTCCAAAGAGGCCTGTCAATTATCGTGTTGCTTCTGAGTGGTAGAAGTTTTAAGAGAAAATCATTTATTTTTTACTTTAGAGAGAATGTCTTGGCATTTTCCAGTCCTCTGGAATCCTAAAAACTTCTTTACTGGTGTGGAGGGCCCCTGCATCTTAGGAGGGTTTATCTCCTGTCCTCTCTGGCACGTATGTCTTAATGTTTCCAATGTACTTGCCAGTTTTGTCTCACTTGGTTTGACTAGCATGATGTCATCTATTTAGTGGACCTGTGTGATATTCTGCTAGATGCCCTTGATGGTCTAGTTCTTTCAGACTATATTATGTCAGAGGGAGGGAAAATTAATATTGCTCTTGGCCAAGACAGAAAATGTGTACTGTTGTTCATCCTACATGAAAATGATCTTCTTCTTGATCTCCTTCTTTATTGGGATAGAAAAGAATGCAGGTGCAGTCAATGGCCACATTCTGTAGCTAGAGTCTATGTTAATCTGCTCTATCAACAATATGGCAGAGGCTGAAAATTGGAGTACTCCTTGGGTCAGTTTTCAATAATCCATGGTCATCTGTTACGGTTCATCTTTTGTTGTTGTTGTTTTTTTTTTTAAAGAGTCAATCTGGTGAATTAAATTGTGGTATGAAAGGAGCCACAAGTTGCATTCTTTAAGTTTTTGAGGGTAGCACTAATTTCTGAATTTCCTCTGTAATGTTGTATTGTTTTGAAAAGAAGTGTCACACTTTTAGAAGTTTCCAGTTGTCTTTCTTAAGAGAGTTATTTCACAGATCAAGTAACCAGTGTGCAGGTTTTGCTAATAATCAGTATGTCTATTCCAATTATGCATTCAGGGACTGGGCAAATTATCACTGGACAAGTCTGTGGACCCAGTGGATCACTTAATCCTCATATGGGCCAATATTTTAGTTATCATCTGGCACCTCCCACACCCCTACTCTTTACAGGGTGCAATAGTGGTGCTTGGGTCCCTGAATACCAATGTCAATTCAGACTTAATTTACATGATTGCCTGAGCAAATGGCCATAGGTCCCTTTTGGGAAAGATGGAAGAAATTACTACTGAATATGTTTGCTGTCGTGTTCTATGCACTGTGGCTTTGATAAGAGATCATGATTTTTGTTGGGGCTTCCACCCACCAGCTCCTGAACATACATATAGTTTTGATTCCTTAAACAAAACCTAAGCATGTATTTCTTGTCAGTATTTCTAGGGATACTATGTTTCATTTGCCATATTCATAGCTTTGCTGATCAGCCCCCCTGGCTACTATTTCAATCTTCTCACTTAATGCAATGATTGCATGCGCCATGCTTCTGACAGTTCATGGCACTGCCCTAACACTGGTTTTTCACAATCCTGTTATCTTCATTATTATCAGGAAGTTTAGTTCTGTGACAGCTTCTCCTCCTTTTACCCTGACCTACAGGTGATCCCCACCACTCAGCTTCTCAGCAATGCCACTATCCCTCTCATCAGCACAATCCCTATTGCTGTAATAAATGAAGTATCCTCTGGACCATTCCAATGAACATTGTGGTCTGTAGAGTTTTCTGACCTTAGATAGTATCCGTTCTATAATAGCATGCTCTGTTTTTGTCTTTTGACCCCCTCCTTCTCTATTTGTCATAATATTTTCTAGCATTTTCCCCCATTTTTATGAATCATTACTTTCTCCTAGCTTTCAAAGACCTTCCTAGCAAAGACCATCTCCAGTGGTGCTTGACATGGTATTAAGATCTATAGACTGGACCTATATTCATACGTGTTTCTTTCATCTTCAACTTTATTTTTTGCCCCTTTGATCCAGAACCCTCAGGACCCAGTTACATACCTACTCCTACCAAAACATATTAGCCAGATCTTTCAGCAACTTCAGTACAGTGTTCTTATCTTCCTTAGAATGTGGCCGGGTGCAGTGGCTCATGCCTGACATCCTAGTACTTTGGGAGGCCGAGGTTGGTGGATCAATTGAGATCAGGAGTTTGAGACCAGCCTGGGCAACATGGCGAAACCCCCTTTCTACAAAAAAATACAAAAATTAGCCAGGAGTGGTGGCACACATCTGTAGTCCCAGTTACTTAGGGGTTGAGGCGGGAGGATCACTTGAGTCCAGGCGGTCAAGACTGAAGTGAGCCAAAATCGTGCCACTCCACTTTAGCCTGGGTGAAAAAAGTGAGATTCTGTCAAAAAAGAAAAAGAAAAGAAAATAAGAAGAAGAAGGAGGAGGAGGAGGAGAAGGAGAAGGAGGAGGAGGAGGAGGAGAAGAAGAAGAAGAAGAAGAAGAAGAAGAAGGAAGAAGGAAGAAGGAAGAAGGAAGAAGGAAGAAGGAAGAAGGAAGAAGAAAGAAGAAAGAAGAAAGAAGAGAATGCATGATGACTCCCTAACTAGACTGTGCTGGAATTTGGTCCTTATTAGAGGTATGGATGTTAGGATATTCTGAAGGAGTAAGCATTGTCTTATAATGTCTCTGATTTATATGAGACTTCTGCATGATCTCAAGTCAGTGCGGCAGGTGAGAGGAAGAAAAGGGAGCACTGTTGTCAACTAACAGGGAGGAGGAGGCTGCTTTGGCAAACCCAGAAAGGTTAAGGGAATTTGGGTGTTTAAGATTCTCAAATGTACCCATTTAGATGTCACCATTACAATTCTCAAGTCCCATTCCTTCCAGAACTAGAAGATAAATTCCTTGGTGTAGGAGATCTTCTGGGACTAAGACATCAACTTTCTCTGAAGTTCCACTTTTACTTAAGCCCTGAGAGTGGTCTTTTATTCTCCCTGCCTTCCAGCTACAGGAGATTAGGGTTTTCTTAAATGTAGCCACTTACAAGCTACTCGTAGTCATTCACACTCTGCCTTGAATGGTTGATTAATCATGCTAAGCTATATTCATCTCTCTAAACTACTCAGTGGAAATCAACAGTAGTCACCCAGTTTCATTAACCTTGTAATTACCATTTTTCTCATATATCACACAACCAAGAGAAATTGCACTAGGTGGTGCATCACCTTTCACAGGTATCACATCCCGTTCATCACCAGTGAAAGTTTTAACACCAAACGGTACAACACAGTACAGGCTATCCATACACCACCATCCACAAGTTGCAGTGTCTTCAGTACTGCTTGATCAGTGGTAATACAAATAAAAAGTTTTATATTAGAGTATGCCCCCTTGGCCAGGCATGGTAGCGCATGCTCATAATCCCAGCATTTTGGGAGGCCAAGGCAGGAGGATCCCGTGAGCCTAGGAGTTTGAGACCACACTGACCAACATAGTGAGACCTTGTCTCTACAAAAAATAAGAAACAATTAGCCAGGCTTGGTGCTGCACATCTGTAGTCCCAGCTACACAGGAGGCTGAGATGGGAGGATTTCTTGAACCTGGGAGATGGAGGATACAGTGAACTGGCTTCACACCGCTGCACTCCATCCTGAGTGACAAAGCAAGACCCTGTCTCAAAACAAAAACAACACAAAAGAACAGGTCCCCTAGGGTTACCTCTGGAACCAATTGTTTTAGATTTGGGGGTTCCTTGGAAATAAACTCTGAGATAGTAAATTTCATGAAGCACATTTATTGTTGGTAGTTTCAGAATTTACATGTATACGTATAAAGTGAATGTAGAAAATAGGATTGAGCAAAGAAAGTTGTCTCATAATCCTACAAAAGAGTTCTGAATCTGGGATGGCCCTCAGAATTACCCACACTGTGGCTAGGGCAGCTGAGCATTTGTATTCCCACATCAGCCAGTCTTTGGCTATGGAATGTACCCTGGAATGTGAACATAACTTTGTGCATGGCTGTTCCCTGTGGTGAAGGGTGATTACCAGTAAGGGGCATGGTGGTAAGTCATCAGAAGTAACATGAAGAGGGGATCTGGGCAAAGTACCACACCATCCACTATGTATAATGATGAAGATGATATTGATGATGACAATAAAAATAAAAGCTAACAGTTCCACAGCACTTCTGATGTTTGAACACTATTCTAAGACTTGTAATGTAGTACATTTAATCTTAATAGCAACTTTAAGTGTCAAGTATTACTATTATCTCCATTGTTTATTGAGAAACTGAGGCACAGAGAATTTGAGCAACAAGCACATTTTAAGATCATGCAAGTATTAAGTGTTGGAGCCAAGCCTAGCACCAGGAAGTAGGACTGTAACTAGTGGAAAAATAAATAGGGGAATGTGCATAAAGATGTAAAATTTGAACCCATTTGTGTCAAAAGTATATGAGCATTTATACATGCAAATATAGCTCTATATTTATAACTATATGTGAAATATAAACATATTTGAAATATATATGTGTGTATATACATATGTGTGTCTGTGTGTTTATATATAATCACAACAGTTTGTAACAGTGGTTACTACTGGAAACTAAGAAAGGCTAAAATAAGGGATTTTTTTTTTTTGCTTGTACACATTGGAACTTTTTTTGCTATACTACTATTACTTTCTTTCTTTCTTTTTTTTTTTTACTATTGCTATTACTTTACTTTTTAAAGATTCAGTCAATACAGAATTATTCAATCCCTAAATTTAGGTAATATCTGTCACTTAGTTACCCTTTGCAACCTCCCTCATTTAGTTTATCCAGGGCAAAGGTATATTTACAGATATTAAAAAATTTTTCACACCAGTTTTCCCAAAGTTTTATATTATATTATGATTGTAACTTTTATTCTTTTCTTTTTCATTTATTAGGCATTCTTATTTCAACTCTGAGTTTCCTATCACGGGTTTTATTTATTTATGAACTCCTGTGTTTACTGTGTGATTTATTGTAACTACTTTTCATTTTCCCATCTGACCTAATTTGTACATGAATATAGGTCACTTGGATATAACTTCTTGAGGAGTAAGGAGATCGATTGTGATGCTGTCATAATATGTTTTCTCCATGGAATCTGTGTATATTTTGAATGATGGCACCTGCCCACAGTGGGGGTGAGAGACGTCTGTGCAGGGGCTTTGGGGTTATAACTCATGACTCTCTGTAGGAGGAGAAGGCCTAAGGGGAGTTGTCAAAGGAGAAGGAGAGTATGTGGCAGCCTTCTGTGGTTGGGGACTGGTAGAAAGTATGCAATATACTTACAAACTACAAGGCCGATCGATGTAACCAGAATCCTCTAAGTTTAGTACTTACCTAGTTTACCTTGCTGACACCTCATTATCACAGGTTCCCATCTTTAAAAGTCATGAGCATTTGGATCTATGATCTCACTTCCTCCTCTCTCTTTTCTCTATTACTTAATTTGTTATTCCCTATCTTCTGTGCTTCACACTTAGCCCATCAATTTCTGTCTATAGAAAGATAATAATCTATCACCTTATCGATCTCAGAAGAGGAAATGCCAAGAAAAAACAGAAGAGAAAGAGAAGAGGAGGGTTCATGATTGACTGAAAACAAAGAAATATCCAAAACATTTTTATTTAATTTAAAATATACCGTTGGAGTTTTAAAGCTCCTAACAGTAATTAAACACTTTGCCAAATGTCTTGCAAAGAAGGAAATAAATTATTGGAGCAAGAGTAGATTTTAAAGCCTCTCAAGTCTATTTACTTCATCTTATGGATGAGATAAAAGATGCAGAAATATTAACCAAATTTTTGTAGTCATACAACGCTGCAAGGAAGTAGTTTTGTAATCTGGAGCAAACATAAAATGGGATTGGGAGCTGGCATAGCAGCTAGTAAAGTTGGGCTCTCAGAGTGACCTTTACTGTCTAGGCTACATAAGCTAGTAAGGCAGAAAGAATGCAGTGTCTTGGATGGATTTGTGAATGGGAAGACTCACGTAAAGCTATCTTCCTCACCACAGGTTTGTCTGTTGGCTCCATATTCTTTCAGAAAATTTCCAGTTGAAAATGACACTGGACATCGTTTTTCCAGATTTAGTTCTAATGTTAAAGAAAGCATCCTATTCCACACAAAATCTTCCCAACTCTGCATTGGGAGGTACCTGTTAAGCGTTTCTGAGGTGAAGCAGAGGAAGCAGGGAGAGAGAGAGAAAGAATGAGCAAAAGAGAGAGAGAGAGAGAGAAACTGACTCTTGGATCATGAATAATTAATTTTCAGGATGTGCTTTGTAACTGTTAAGAACATGTCCATTTAAAAATGATATATGAAAATTATCTGAGAGTTTTTCAAAAACTATATATAGCTTGATCATAGTTGAACAGTATTTCCTTCCAGCAATGTTTCTCAATTATTAGACTCATCCAGAGAGGTCTAAAATAATACCTATGGCCAGCCCCACTCAGGCATATTAAATCAAATTCTCTATGGATGAGTTCTAGACATTAGTATGTGATATTGAAGACACTGTCACATGCAACCACAGTCGAGAAACTGAAAACCCTTTCATGGAGGAGCTTGTTTCGTTCATTCTTTCTCTTCCTTTTTTTCTTGAGACAGAGTCTCACTCTGTTGCTCTGGCTGAAGGGCAGTGGCGTGATCACGGCTCACTGCAGCCTAGACCTCCCTGGGCAAGCAATTCTCCGACCTTAGCCTCCTGAGTAGCTGGCAGTACAGGCAGGAACCACTACTCCGGGCTTTTTATTATTATTAGTTTTTGCAGAAACGGGATCTCCCTATGTTGCCCTGGCTAGTCTTCAACTCCTGAGCTCAAGTGATCTGCCCACCTCAGCATCCTAAAGTGCTGGGAGTACAGACGTGAGCCACTGCACCTGACTGAAACTTGTTTCGAAACCCCCTCATTCCACGAAAAATACCCAGCCATCTGGGGCCATTATCACTAATTAAAGGAATTTGAGGCAGAAAACTTTGAGAGCCTCAATCTCAGTTTTTTAAGGATAGAGAAAGATCCTGACTTGGAACTAACAACAGAAGATGGAATTAGAAATACAATTTACCTCATTGTCACTACTACAGCAAAGGTGATATTAATGAATAAATATTTTTCCCACATTTGTGAGAAATAGAATAAGTGTTTCACCATGTTTTTCTAATGTCTAGATTTCTAGATTTATTTTTGTGAGAAAGTGGGGTATATTTACAAGTAAGTGATAATTTTAGTTTCTTGAAATTATAAAACCTGCTGAAATTAAGTAATGAATATTAAAAATGAAATTAAGCAATAAAAATGGGAAAATGCAATAAATTAAAAATATTAACGAAATATAAAAATTATATAATTTTTAAACGTATAGAAAATAGGATATCCAGCCGGCCATGGTGGCTCACGCCTGTAATCCCAGCACTTTGGGAGGCCGAGGGGGCAGATCACGAGGTCAGGAGATTGAGAGCATCCTGGCTAACACGGTGAAACCCCATCTCTACTAAAAATACAAAAAAATTAGCTGGGCCTGTTGGCGGGCGCCTGTAGTCCCAGCTACTCGGGAAGCTGAGGCAGGAGAATGGCGTGAACCTGGAAGGCGGAGCTTGCAGTGAGCCGAGATCGCGCCACTGCACTCCAGCCTGGGAGACAGAGCGAGACTCCGTCTCAAAAAAAAAAAAAAAAATGTATATATATACTTATACTTCTAGGCCGGACGTGGTGGCTACACCTGTAATCCCAGCCTTTGACAGGCCGAGGTGGGTGGACCGCCTGAATTCAGGAGTTCAAGACCAACCTGGCCAACATGGTGAAACCCTGTCTCTACTAAACATACAAAAAATTAGCCAAGTGAGGTTGCGGACATTTGTAATCCCAGTTACTCGGGAGGGCTGAAGCAAGAGAATAGCTTGTATCTGGAGGCAGAGGTTGCAGTGAGCCAAGGTCGCACCATTGCACACCAGCCTGGGCAATAAGAGCAAAACTCCGTCTCAAAAAACAAAACAAACAAACAAAAAAAACAGAAAATATACTTCTAAAATTGAAAAACAGAAAATTATAATAAAAGAAATAGTTATGTATTCTGGAAGTTGTTATTTTTCGTTTCTATTTTTTAAAAGCAAGATTTGGACTCTTCCCCTTATGTGATCATCTAAACTAGTGACTCAAACCTGGACACAATCATGCACTTGGCAACATCTGGGACATTTTTTATTGTCACATCTGAAGAAAAGACGTGGTATAGACATTTAGTAGGTAGAGGCCATTTGTGCTGCTAAATACCTACACACAATACTCAGGGTAGCCTCCTACAAGAAAGAATTATCTGACTCAAAGCATCAATAGAGTCAAGGCTTAATTATTTTAAACTAACTTGTTAGAAGCTTCATATTTTCTGTAAAAATCCAAGAAATTATTGGTATTTTAATCAATAACGTAGTTCAATAACGATATATAGGATCCACCTGAATCTCTAAAATAATACCTACATTTTCTTATTAGCCCAAACAGAAACATATTAAATATCTCTTAGAATTTCCATATCCTCACTGTTACTATCTTAATTCACATATCTATTCTCACTTAACTGGTAGAAAGGAACAGGTGCACATCCTGTATATGACAGGTACTATAAATGACTTGCTCAACAGGCATTCCAACACCCTTTTAGCGTATGAAACAAACAAAAATAAACAACAAACAACATTTCCTCGACATTATTGTGGCTAGTGTTCTAGATATGATTTATAGTCTTTTGATAAGATGAACCAGCACAAAATTTTTATTTCACACAGTCATGTGACTAGGGAGTCAGGGTATCAAATCCATGGTATCCATGATAAATGCAATGTGGTTCTGGAATTGATAAAAGGTTGTAGCAACATTTTTCTGATTTCACATGCAGTTTTCTCCTTTTACAGGACTGTGGCAGGAACTGTAGCTCCCTTGATAGCCCAATTTTGCAATGTAGCCTCATGAATGATTCCTGAAAACTCAAACAAGAATTAGGATCTTTAGTTCTCCTAATGATCCTGTGTGATATTTAATGCCCTTAAATAAACCCTTTCTGTTTAAACTAGCTAGAGTAGATTCTTTTCTTTACCTGCAACTGAACACTGACTGATAGATACACAACAAAAAGACGGGTAAGGAAGAAAAACTCACTTTATGTGCCCACAAAGAACAATTATTTGGGTCTCCATTCTCAGGCTCCAAATGGTGCCTGCGGGAACAACAGGGCACATTACCATTATTTATATCATTTCACAAGTAAATTACAAACTCAAGTTTCTGGTTTCTTCTCTCTTTTTATTCTTTTCTAGCATTTTTTTAAATCTACTCAGGAACCACCTGGTCTCACCTCACATCCAAGAAAGTGAAATTCTTTGAGTGGTTCAAAAAAGTTCCTAGAGAATGTAAAATTCCATTTATTCTACTGTGAGAAAGTACGATGCAAATAAATCAATTTTTTTGTATTTAAATAATGTATTGATGTATGATATAGTAGGAATAGTTATATATTTAGAAAAAAGATTTTAGGATGCTATCTTGTCTTTATAATTCTGAAAGAAGGGCAGTTATGGAATTATGACATGACATATTTATCTACAAAATATTTTCATTGCTGTTAACTAAGTCGAGTACTATAATTTTTCCAAATTTATCTTTATTGTTTTTATTTTTCAAATTCAACACAATTTTTCTTTTCTTTTCTTTTCTTCATTATTTTGTCTTTATTCTCTCCTCTCACAATCCCTTTCTTCTTTTCTTAGCTTTGAGCTCCTCTCTTAACCTCCGTTTCTCATTTACTCAATTATTTAATTAATTAATACATATTGAGCACCTGCTAGCTGCTGACCACTGAGCCAGGTTATGGGAATAGAGAAGTCACTCTCTACTTTTTTGTAGCCCCCAGTGTAGTTAGTATGGGAGGCAGAAGAAGCACAAAACCGAATGTAGAAAAGAACTGAGTTTTATAAAGAAAAGCAGGCTGTAGAGATATGCCTAATTTGGATTGGTTGGGTCAATGGAAAGCAATATAAAGCAATGACATTTGAGTTTGAGGACAAAAGCATGTGAAGGAACTAGCCAGGATAAAATGCGAGGAACAGAATTTCAGAGCAGAAACTGAAAGGTCAGTGTATATGGGGAATAGTTAGTAAAGGAAAGCATGGCTTAAAGATCAAATGTAAGAGGCAGGCAGAGGCCAGAAGACACAAGGAGTTGTAAATAATTTGAATTTTAATGTCAGTGTAAAATGAAACCACTGAAGGTTTTCAGGAGAGTGTGAGGCATCCTGTTTACATGCTGAGAGAAGACTCTAGCTAATGCGTAGGGAAAGACTGGATGGTGGAAGAGCAGCAGACATTTATGTAAGGGTTAGCGTTAGAGTTAGGTTATTTCAGGAGCTCACTTAGACCAGGAAAGTGACAGCAGAGTTAAATACTGAAGTGTTTTTTAGAGCAAGGATTAGGAGATGGACTTTTTCCTTCAATTTCTTGCTTTTATAAACAATCATGATATGGATATCCTTATGAGTATCTCTTGCTGCATGTGTGCAATTTTCTCCCCAGAGCATAAGATGAAGTAAAAATTACGTGTTTTTGTGTTTGATTTTTTGCCATTTTCATACTGATTTGTGGGACATCTTATGATCCGCTTAGCTCATGGTGTCTTCAGTGGATCTGTGTTGCTCCACCGATGGGTTATTGCTGGTCCACTACAAGGTAGGCAGAGAAATTGAAAGTAGGTGGACTGAGTAATTTTATTACTATTCAATCTCATGTAAGAAAAGGACTTACATGTTATATGTTCTTTTAATTTTATTTTTCTGGTAATTCATTTTTATTGTATTATATAAATGTATTGGCCCATAAAAGATTAAAAATAGAAAAAAAAGTTGGCCCTCCACCATGGAGAGTTTGAAAAGTACTGCTTTCGATGCTTTAGCATCATAAAAATTACAAATATTTTCTCTGTGTTTGCTTACCATTTAGCTTTACTAGTGACATTTAAATATCATTTAGCAATGGAACTCCTGCTATTAATTTTGATTTAGTTAATGCATCAATATTTTTATTTATAAATTTGGCTTTGTTGTCTTATTTACCTAACTGCCCCACATTGCACCAAAGAAAGCATTGTGCTATATTTTCTTATAACCCTGTAGAACTTTCTTTTATGTTTATTGGATTAATCTAGAATTTATTTTTTGTGATGACTGTAAAATGAAATTTAACTTATCTTTCTAAATATTTATCCCAAAACTCTAAGACCATTTATTGAGTTGTTTTTCTTTTCTTCGCTGATTTGAAATGTCATTTTTTTCTAAATATTCAATTATTCCTACAGGTCCCCTTCTGAATGTTACATTTAGTTTTACAGATTTTGTTGCCTATCCTATGTCAACATTGCAGTTCTTTAAGACATATGCTTTTTAAGATTTTACATCTGGTAGGACATGTTTTCCTTTCTGTTCATCTTCAGACAGCTATTATCTATTCCTGAAAATGTATCTTTTACATGAAATTTATAATCAGCCTACAAAATGCTATAAAATCCTATTGGATATTGATTTACATTGCAAAGAATTTTTATATTAAATAAGAAAAAAAAACATGTCGAGACTTCTCATCCGCAACGATCTCTCTTCATTTATTCAGGAGTGATTATGCTATTGAGTAAACTTCTACAATTTTCTCTTTAGAAGTCAAAATAGTCTCTTGTGATTTTAAAATGTCTATTCCATCTCTAGCTATATCTCTTTCTCATTCTTAGTATTTTATTTAAGCATTCTCTTATTTTTTCTATATCAGTGTTACCTCATTTTTGCATTATTAATTTAAACTTTTCAAAGAACTCAGCTTAACTTTTTGGTTATCTTTGATTTTTTAATTTCATAGATTTTAGTGTATCTTTTAAAGTCATTTGCTGATAATTTACCCTCCTGAGTTTTATCTGCTATGAGGTGAACACTTTACTCATTATTTTGAAATCTTTGTTATAAGGTATAATCTTAAGTATTTTATATTTGCTGTTATTATTTTGAAAATAATTGTTCCTGTCTTACATTGGCAGGATTTAGAAAAGCTATTAATGTTTATACATTGTATTTCAATCTGGGTATATTGCTAAATTCCCTTATTGGTACTATTATAAATACTCTAGTTTTCCCTCTTACAACTATTCATAATAGCTTAAAATTCTGTCTTTCCAATCTAATTTTCTAAAAAAACCTCTTATTGCATTGGCTAAGACCTATAGTATAGTGATAGATAGTAGTAGTAATAACATAAATTATAACTTTCTGACTTTAGCAGGAAAGTGTGTAATGTTATTTATTAGCAGTTTGAAGGATGATATTCATGATGGGCTTCCAATTAACATGCAGTATCAGAATAAAAGAGTTTTATTATCCTTCCAGTTTGCTAAAATATTTTTTTGTTTTGATTTGGTTTGTTTCACTTGAAAGGTTATTGAATTTTATGATTTCTTTGCTTTAGTAGTAAATATAGTCAGTATGCATGAAATGGTTTTATTCATTTTCACTTTGAGAGCATTGCTTTGTAACCTCTGTATTTTTATTTTTTTGGTAAATATTGCAAGTGGGTTACAACTGAATATACGTTACCTTTTAAATACTGTATTATTTATGTTATGCAAATTTTTCTTTGTCTTGCTGGGTTTTGGTTTATTTTATGTTAGTTTTGGGGAAAAGTATGCTTAAATTTTTTATTATAATTGTAAAAATGTTAATTTCCCCTTTGTTAGGTTCAAAAAGTTTTACAATTCTTTAATTTTTTTCATAGGCAGAATTTTTCCTTTTTCAACATGAACTATCCCAATTAGTATTTTCTATTGATTTTATCTTAAATTTTAGTTTTCCAACATTAATGATGCCATAGCATTGTTATGTAGGCTTATGAAGCAAAATTCAGCTCAATAAATAAATTCTATGACAGGTATTAACAGTCCAGTATGTAGACCTCAAAAAAGGAAAAGCTTGTTGATTGTACATGAAGCAATGTAAAAAAGGAATAAAAGTATTAATAAGGGAGCTGGATGACTGAAACATAAAATGTCGTTTTTCAGGGACAATTAAAAATAGACTAGTGAGTTTAGTTTTGTTGATATTAAGATTATGGCAAGATATTTCTGTTAGGTCTTTGCAAATGGAGTTTTAGAACTCAGGTTCACCCAGATAAAGCTTTCCTTAGAATTTCATGTTCTTTTCAAGAAATTCTCAATCATTCAAGAATTTCTCAATCATTCAAGAATTCAACAATTTATCTTTTTCCCCTAACTTGTTTATCTAGCATTTAAACAAAATCTCTGGGACACAGAAAGGCCACAATAAAAGTATGTTACCTTGAATTGGGAGGGCAGCTGCTTTCCAATTTGTACCTAGTCTTACTGGTACTACTTTTCTTCATAATATAATCCTGCTCCACTTGGTTTAAGCAAACTAGGAAGGAGGTAAGTTTACTGAAAGGGTTTCATGGTCTTTAATAAAGCAGGCTTTATATTTTTTAATGCATCAAAGAGGTCTAAGAGATCATGTAGATGGAGATAAGGCAGGAACAGACACCAGATGGCAATGTGTAAGAGGCTGGAAAAAGAAAACATATGCTTTGGATGTAAAGTCATCCAAATAATTTGTCAGCAAATAATTCTATCAGCAATAGGAAGATAGCTATTGGGAGTCATAGGTCATGATATTCATTTTCAAGAAAAAATAAGAGAATGAAAGAGATAGTGCTGAACCTAGACTGTAGAGTGAGAAGTCCATAGCATAGGGCCAAAATTGTGTGAAAATGTGTAAACAGATAAATAATATTTATCTATTCTCAATGCCCTGATAGGGCTTCTGACCATATCAGGGCATTGAATTCTACATTTATCCCCTCATGCATTTGATGTCAACTTTCAGAGAAGAAGGAGCCCCGGAGCATAGGGGCAGTGTTTTTGAGTCTAGATCAAGATGAGGGAAGAAGCCAGAGTGTAGGGATTGAAGACAATCAAATGGGAGGGAACCTACAGAAGAGTAAGGTATGGCCAAGTCAAGGATTGGCCAATTGAGTCAAGGTTCAGAGGGGACCACGCAAAGAGAAGAAAAAAGCCAGGAGAATAGAGGGATAGTTTCTGAAGGTGGGGACCTAGAGAGAAACTCTGAGTGATAAAAGAAGGATTGATTGATTTGTGAAGGGCACTTGGGGCCTGCAGCATGCGCATGCAAGGAGCTGCTAAAAGTTCAGATGCTGACTTGTTTCCCTATGTTTCTTGCTCAAAAATTGTAATTTCAGTTCTTCTCCCATCCCTTAAATGTCCATCATTTTTGTAGCTTTGTATTAGATAGAAACAAAAACCAAACCAAAACAAAAAAACATAAGATTATCTGACTAAAATTTATGATCAACTTAACCTTCCTGAGAAGTAATTTATAAGTTTAAATGGAGGTTTTTGGTTTTTTACCCCTAAACCCAGATGAATCTCTAATCAGTAGAATGTGTTGGAGGAAGTTGAGCAAACTGACCTGAATGTCAGTAAATTGGACCAGCTAACTTATGGTTTCAATTTGACTATGTTTGGCTCAGAAATCTGTATTTTATTAGGCTAAGCCTTTTCTAATTTTGCATTTTCTTTTACTTTCTCCTGGGTTCTTAGCAAAGAAAAAGCTAAAATTTGAAAATAACTTGCCGCTTGCAAGGTGGGAAAGGGGTTTTGCTTATTTCTGGGTCTTGTAACACAGAGCCAACTCTGTGCCCCTGGAGGCTGTGGTGAAGACAAAATTAGAACCAAGAGGGAGGTGTAAGGGGAATCACTCATACAGCCATCTTTTTTTTTTTTCATTTTGCCTATGATGATCCCTCGTATATACTGTCTCTTCCTCATAGAGTTTTTGTGTATGTATTTCTAGAACCCGGTTGTCTATAATGATATTTTAAGAACCTGGCTGTATAGCTTTGCTAAAATAGAATTTCCAAAATTAGGACTCAAAAATCTGCATATTTATCAAACTCTTCAGATGATGCTTAAACAGCCAGCAAGGCATGATCTACAAGATACAGTAAAGTAAAACTCTACCCTGAATTTGTCCTTTTAGTGTGTGTGTATTTCCATGAAACTCTTTGAGAGTTGGAAAAGATTCAACTTGAAGAATACAAACCTTCAATTTTTTCATGAGGACTAAGAATTTCCCAAACAAAAACTTTCCCCACCACCAGTTCATCACTGACAGAAAATTTTCCAACAGCTGTTTTTTTATATCAATTTTTCCCACATTCTTAAAAATTATAAAGAAAAGGGAACATTAATTTCAAATTTATAACTTAACTAACTAGCTAGCTAGCTGCCATGACATGTCAGATGTAGAGAAACTGAGATTATGGTGCCTAGAATATAATGGACGCTCATTAAATATTTATCTGCTAACTGACAAGAAAAAGAGAAACATTCTATAAGGAGGAAGAGAAGACAAAACTGAGTTGTGTAGTCACTACAAACAACCAATTTGTAATTTGCTTCTGACCTCCCAGAAATTCTGCCATGTGCTGCCTGTTAGTAGCTTCCTGATATATAATTCTACTTATTTTTTGAGGTAAAAATTTTATACAGTGGAATACAGTAATCCACTAATCTATAGTGCATTGTGTATGATAAGACAAATGTATATATTTCTAGAGTGTATTACAAATACATACAACTGTGTTATCCACATTCCTATCAAGATAGAACATTTCTATCAACCCAGAAATGTTCTTCCCTTCACTTCCCAGTCAATTAATTCCTCAGAGGCGATTGTTACCTGATTCTTATAATGATGAATTTGTTCTGTTCTAGAAATTAATATAAATAAAATATTTTTGGAATTATCTAAGTTCTTGCATGTATCATAGTTCATTCTTTTTGTTACTGAGTAATATTCCATTACACAAATATTTGTTTATTCATTTTTCTGTTGAGGAACATCTGTGTTGTTTTGAGCTTTGAGCTACAAAGAATAAGGGTCCTACAAATATTCTTCTAGAAACTTTTAGTTGATATATGTTTTTATTTACTTCATTAAATACCAAAGAATGGAACCACAAATTATAGGGCCAGTGGAGGTTTAATTTTATAAGAAATTGCCAGTGTTCTACCTGCCATGTATAAAAATTATGGTTGTTCCATGTCTTAGTCAATTTAGGCTGCTATAACAAAATACCTTAGATCAGGTGGCTTATTAAAAAACAGAAATTTATTTCTCAAAGTTCTAGAGGCTGGCAGGTCCAAGATCAAGGGTTCAGCAGATTCAGTGTTTGATGAGAGCTTGCTTTCTGGTTCATAGACGGCATCATCTAGCTGTGTCCTCCCATGGTGGAAGGGGCAAAGGAGATTCCTGGAGTCTTCTTAATCAGGGAATTAATCCCATTCACGGGGGTTCTGCCATCATGACCAAATCACCTCTTAAAGGCACTACCTCCTCACACAATCACATTGATAATTACGTTTCAAAATACAAATTTTGGGGAGACACAAACATTCAAGCCATAGCACTCCAAATAGCCTATATTTCAGGTTGTCAAACATTTCACTGTGGTTTGATTTGCATTTCTTTGATGATTAATGACACATAATACCTTTTCTTATGCTTGTTTGCCTTCGTATATCTTCCTTATCTTCATTGTGAGGTTTCTATTCAAGTCTTATGCCCATCTAAGTAATTTTGGTTCTTGTGTTGTTCTCACTGAGTTGTAAGAGGTCTTTATATATCCTGGGTACAAGTCCTTTGCCAGATAGAAATGTTCTGAATATTTTCTGCAGGCTGTGGCTTTGCCTTTTCACTGTTTAAAGAGCAGATGTTTTTGGAGAAGGAGCTTCTTAAATTTTTGATGGGATCATATTTATTAGTTGTTTTCATGGTCCACAGATTTTCTGTTCTATCTAATAGACTTAAAGAGCTTGGAGATATTATCTAATGATTTCTTGTATAAGCCTTATGATTTTGGTGTGTACATTTAGATATAGGACCTACTTTGAATTAACGTTTTTGTGTGAAAAAGTACTGGTGGAGGGGTCAGTGTTCAACTTTTGTCCATATGAATGTTTGTGTTTGCCTATTTTGGCACCATTTGGTGGAAAGATTTTCATTTCTAACTAAATGTAATTTGGTGTTCTTTTAAAAGATCAATTAATTAAAAGATTAATTCTTTGGTGTTCTTTTAAAAGATTAATTAAAATATTATTTTTTGGAGTTCTTTTAAAAGATTAATTAATTGTACATTTTGGGTATATTTCTAAGAAAACTCTTTGGGTTTATTAAATATATTCATTTTTCTTTCCAGCAGTCTAAATTGTCTTAATGTACCTTGTTCTATGTCTTAAAGGCAAGTATTGTAAATACTCCAAATTTGTCTTCATAAAGATTGCTTTTGAGAATCATCTACATACTTATTATTTCCATATACAATTTAACATCTTTGTCAAATTCCACAAAAACAACTATAAAATTTTAATGGGCTTGTATTGAATACAAAGGACACTTTGGGGTATATTTGACATCTTAGCAATTTTGTGCCTTGTGCTTTAGGAATATATTTTCCAACTTATTTAGGTATTCTTTAATTTATTTTCAGCAAAGATTTTGTGGTTTTCATGTGTTGGCATTACAGGTTAGATTCTGAGACACATTGGCTTTCAGAAAATTTATTGCAGAGTTCTCTCTTGGGATAACTATCTACCTACCATGAAAGTGTTGGTAGTGGGTTTAGTTAGGAGAAGTTGTGATAAAATGCAGTCACAACAAATGTGTCAGTTTATCTGATAAGAATATCAAAATCCAGAATTACCCTTTAAGATGCTGAATCGAAGCAAAGAAACTGGACTGTTATGACTCTGTATTAAGTAGTGGTTGGTTTCAGACTGTACTGAGAGAAGATATAGCCTTACGTGAAATGACTCTCTTTAGCTGAGAGTAATTGGCAGAGAGAGCTCATATATGAAACCTATCTGCCAACACCCCTTCCAGCAGTTAGGAGAATAATTCTTTCAGAACTAGAGGGCTAGGGTGCTGGAGTACTAGGATGCACAGGACTCCATCCACTATATTTCATTATTTGTGCCTCTTGGGTCCACTTACTTCATAGGATTTCTTGAAAAAATCCATCAGGACTCTGGTGGGCCTTATTTCCCAGGGGAAATTTGTAAAATGAATTTTAGTGGGATGAACTATAGCCTCTACCACTGAAGCTGTTCTCTTGGCCACAAAGGATACTCATTATCTCTACTGTCTATTAGCCATTCAAGAGTCCATTCACAATTGGATAGCAACTCTGCTCATTTAGGAGGTTTACCTAGGGTAAGACCAAGAACCTCATATCTCAGATAGCTGAAGACCTGATCATCATGACCTTCTTAAGATGTGGCTGCTACACTCCACTAACAGGTAATGTGCAAAGGAGGCAGAAAAAATGTTCAAGTGTGTCATCTGAGTGCCAAACTTATTCCTCAATTTTGTAACAGCAGCACTATCTCTGTGATAATCAGGGACAATTACCCACTTCAGGTCATTGAATCTTCTGTGTTTCTGCTAGTTTCTTTGCTGAAGTTCAGAGTGCACAGGCAATAGCCAAAGAATAAAATCTGTTGAGACTCTTTTTGGGTCATTAATTGGAAATGTTAACCATTTGGATAACTAGGATTTACAAAGACCTTTTCAGAGTGCAGTGTTGAAGGCACCATGAATATGGATTTAAAAAAATGATAGTAACCAAGACCACTTTTACATTCACATTTTGGTTTCTGGATCCATGATTTCTCTCAGTTGAAGACATAACACCATATATTAGTTGCAAACTAAGAGTATATATTTCATCCTTGAGCATGATACTCATCCTCACATAGTATCATATCTGAGCTGGTACCTCAGCTGCAACTTCAGCACGCCACCTTACTGGAAGGTCAGTCTGACAGATTCTGAGTGGTGGTGCCTGCATTATTAGGACCAGTGGATCCCATTGTTGTGTGCTAATTGCCATACGTGTTGCTATAAAATAAATCCCTTGGTTTCATGCAATTTTTGTGCTTATAAATCTAACACTAAACTCTTAGATGTTGGTGCTGGCTGAGGTCTTGTGAAGCAGAAAAGGCAACACTATCTACAGAATATATGTCAGTTTGAGTCAAGATTAATCACCGTCCCTTTCAGAGTGAAGGGGTCTAATGTGGTCAAATTGCTGTTGAGCGTCTGTTCAGTCTCCTAGTGAAATGGTGCCATATTGGGGGCTGAGGGTTTGTTCTCTATTTTTGGCAGGTTGCATGTTATCGATCTGTTAATTGAAATGTATATAGTATATACATAGTATATAGTATTTGCATTTGCGTTAATATAATTATTAATTATCATTGGGTTTAAGTCTTTAATCCTGTTATTTGTTTTCTATAGTAGTAATACCATTTGCTATTTATTTCTTCTTTTTTCCCACCATTTGGTATCAAGGGTGTACTGACTCATTAAATAAATTGCATTCTGTTGTATTATTCATGTGGCTTTAGAAATCCACTTTATCTCATATATTATCTAATTAAATACATATCCTTTATTTATTATTTTAATTTTAATTGTTGTTCTAAGGGTCATAGTATACATCTTTACCTTATCACTATCTACTTCAAAACTATATTCTGTCACTTCTTATATAATATAAGAATCTAATGACAATATATTTCTCATCACTTCTTTTCTATTTTGTGTTACTTTATCATATTAGTTACTTCTAAATATGTTATAAACCTCAACAGGCATTGTTATTACTATTTGCGTTAAAGTCATTTTTTTAAATTAAGAAGGATAAAAGCATATTTTATATTTAATTACATGTTAACCATTCCTATTCATTATTTCTTCAAATACATTCGAATTCCTAAGTGGCACCTATTTCTCCTAAAGAACTTTATTATTGATTGAGCTTTAAGTCTGTGGGTGACAAATTCTGTCAAGCTTTGTTTAACAAAAATATTTTTATCTTCTCTTTATTTTTGAAGGATTATTTTTGCAATGCATTGAATTCTACATTGACATTTTATCTCAGCTATTTAAAATGTTGTTTTATCACCTTCTGCAAGTGAAGCCATTTGTTACATTTTTCCTGTATATAATGTATCTTTTTAATCTAAGTGCTTTTAGGACTTTTCTCTTTATTTTTGGGTTGTTGCCATTTGACAGTGACATGCCCCACATGTTCTTTTCTGTGTTTATCCTAATTCTTTGAGATTACTGGATCTATGGGATGAGTATTAAAGTATTTTAAAGTACTTTACACATGAATGATGCTTTTTGGGTTTGCATTCTTTTACAGTTAGTGCTTGTGTTTGGATAGTTTTATGGTCTGTCTTCAGTTTCCTGAACTTTTCTTCAGTGGTGCCCAATCTCTGATTCCCTTTTCATTTCAGATATTGTATTTTTCAGTTTTAGAACATCCTTTTTTCATCTGTTTATTTATTATATCCAGTTTGTCCTTGAATTTCTTGAGTATATTTATCATAACTATATGAAGAACCTTGTGTCATAATGCTGATATTCACGTCTTCTATGTGTCATCTCTGTGTCTATGTCTATTGACTGTTTATTCTACATTTTTCTCTATTTATTTACAAACATTGTACTTTTGATTGTATGCTCAACACTGTGGATGCTACATTGCTGAAATCTGAATTTGTAAACTTCTTTAAAGAATATTATTCATTGTTCTGATAAGTGATTACACACAGATCAGCTTGCTGGTGTCAAGACTTGAGTATGTCTAAAATACTGCTCATCCTAAAACTTGGTCTTTCTGAAGTCTGAAATAGAAGTTGATGGTTTTTAGGGAGGTTCAGTCTTCTTAGCCCTAAGGAGTCTCTAGAATTTTCATTTAACTTCCATTCAGATCTCTTTCAGAAACCATTATGATGTCTCAGCCTGTGCAAATGAAGCTTAATATTTCATAAAAGAATCAAGATAGACCACATGCAGATTTATGGGCTTCCTTCTCAGTATGTTATATGTCTCTCCTCTCCAAAATTCTGTCCCGTAAATTTTAGCCACCTCAGCAGCCCCAAATCCTACAGATCTCTGTTTGTCTACCCAGTAATTCTATTGCTTTGTATCTGTCTCCACTTCTCTATGGCTCAGTTTGGAGAGTGTCACCAGAGAAGAAACTGAGGCAAATGTGGAACTCATATTTTCCTTTTTAAAGGATCAGAGCTCTGAACTATCTGTGTATGATAGCATCATTTTACAGCTTTATATGGTAAGAGAGTAAGTCCAACAACTGTTATTTTATCTTAACTGTAACCATAATTTTGCTCCTTCTTCTGTAAAAATAAGTAGGTATCTTTACATTGTGGTTTATTCTTTACAAAGCATTATTATTTTATCACAGTATTCTCAAAATACCATCAAATAAATTATAACTTATGATAGGTAGGGAAGAAGGAAAATTTTAAACTCCATATTTCTGATAAAGATATTAAGCCTAAAGGAGAATAACTGATTTGCTTTAAACAACCTGAATTCATATTCGGTCTTCTAATTTTTATTTTAGTATTCTGTCTACTGTAAAAATATTGTTTTAAAGAAAAATAATTTTTTTTGTTTTTTAAGTATATGTTTTCTGGACTTTTGGATCTTTGTTTAAGCATATCCTTTCTTTTTGCAAGCTACAATTTATCAGCACTCCAGAGCTTTTATATCATTTTTTAACTCAGACTTTTGCTTTTCTGTATTTTCTTCTTTTCTTCATTCTGAGAAAATCAATGTCAAGTGTGCCTAATTTTCTGAATGGCTTTATTAGCCAAATATATGAAAACAGAGATGATCGCTACATTTATTTTAATAAAAATTTTAATGTGATGTTAAAAATGCAAACATGATATTTGATTTTCATAATATAATTGTGATGCCCATAGATAAACATTTGATCCATCTATTGTAATTGTAATCTTACTAAACTTATAATTTAGTATTAATATGGTTATCTCCACTACAATCTTGGCATCATCTTTGACTCCAAGCTTCCTAAGGCAAGTAAAGACTATGTCTTTCTTGTTTAACCACTAGTGCTCACTACACTAGCTGGATTATAGTGGGCGTACATTAAATATTATTGAAGGTTTGAACAATGAATGCTGATGAGTTTATATTTATAACTCTGTATTCAATTCTGAGAATCATAATTCAAGAAGGTCATGACAAATTAGATACAATGGAGGAAAGAATGGCTTAAATAAATGGTCAAATGTGTGGAAAGAATGATTGAAAAAGAAACCAATGTTACACTGAAAAGAGACTCCTAAGAGGGCACACAATGGCTGTGTTGAAATATTTGAAGTTATCTTATATAGGTTGTGTGGCAGGCTTTCTCTGTAATGCTTTATAGAAACTCACTAAACCTAATAATGTAATGTTTCAGAGAGGCAAATTTCCAGCTCTGTATAAGCAGGAATTCTTTTTCAGATAAAAGAATACACATTAGAATTAAAAGCCTTAAGGATACAGTGGCGTTCATACCTTTTCTTGGTTTTAGGGACTAAATTTATCAATTGAGGAACATGAAGGCAATTTATGTATCACTTAGTGATGCATATCAGGTGATATATAAATTTAGTCCCAAACTACATTCATAAAAATATGATTCCACCATTCAACAAATGTTTATTGAGCTCCTAGTATGCGCAACATCATGAGGAAATAATTTTATGCTGTAGGGAGGGTTTATTTCCAAAAACTGTCACTTCACAAGAAATTCAGAGATTATTTTCCCACCATATTTGGATTTGTAGCTTTTTTAAAGAAATTTTACTGCTGAGAGTGAAGTACACACACAGACTCTTAAAGAAAAAGAACAAAGAAAGTTCAAGAACCACTATCTGGCAGATTCTTAGAAAATTAAAGTAATTATATTTTCAAAAGATTCTCAAGATTTAATAAGATAAATTATTAGGACAAATGATCACTGAAACAGATCACAGAAATCACAAAATTTATTATTTAAGGAAAGATTGCTCTTTGTGACTTAAAATGAGAAGGATCCATATAACATGTTTGAGATTAGTTTCAAAATATGACCTTTCTTAAAGTTTTCCATCCTCCGGGATTCTCTACAAACAACTATGATTGCACCGAATTGCTCCTTGAACTGCCATTAACAAATATGAAGCATAATGTAATATAAAATTTCTTATAAGCTTGAAAATAGTGACACTATGAAATCTGAACTTTCATAATCTCAGCAATTTATGAATATATATGAGGTCATATACAGGCTTCAGTAAATAAGAAAGATCATTACTATCATCTACTGATAACACATGTACTTTAGTTTCCTGCAAAGACTCTAGACTCATATATGTTAGTCTCCGAGGGTCTGTCAAATGTTCAGCAGTAGGTACAAGTGTAGACACATGACTGACAATGCCAAAGACAATTCTGCATGGCATAGCTGTTTTTATTGCTATGGCCACTGTCAAAAGCTGAGAGTCGTCGGATCGAGAACCCTCTGTCACTTAATTGCCTCTGGTTTGAGATGAGCAGTTTATCCTTTAATGATGGTTCCAGCTCCACCAGTCCTAGAGGGGGTTCTTGCTGCTCACTGGGTGTGGGGCACACGGTCACTGCTTCATGCTACCCAAATCCAGCATCTTCTTTCTAATGTTCGTCTCCACGCTGCCAGAAAAGCAGCCACTCTCATTCCACCTTTTGGTGTAGATGCACTGGTATAAGTGGTTCCACTTCAGAGTCTGGTAGTTTCTTCTATGGCTGGGCAGAGATGTTCTCTTTCATTTGTTTCTTGAGCCCATGGGATCTCAAAGCCTGTGGAGATCATGAAGGAGTTAGAGAAAATTCCTCTCTTCTTTGTGAGATCTGAGCATAGTTTCTTGGGCACTGGTGTGTGACAGAGTTCCGTAAACCTGCCCCTTATGCTAGGAAGAGAGAAGCCTAAAAATATACTTTAACATTACACTGTGAGGAAGCCTTAAGCTATACTTCAAGGCTTCTCTCTCTGGTATATAGATATGCATGCAAGTGTGTATCCCAGCATCAGACTTATACACGAGCCATTGTATGGTACTAAGAATCTCTATTCCCTTCTGACAACTAAGTTCTTATAACTAGCTCAGACTCAGGATTCCAAAGTTCCTGTTACCTCAAGAGTAGGTCTCTCCTCAGAGGATTCTCACTCTCCATGCAAATAGATGTTTTTCAGTTTTGTCTCATTAATAATCCCCACAATGATCAGTTATGCCTGAATGTCCAGGTGTAATCACAATAGAGATACACCCTGTAAGGCAGGATAAAGGATGTGGTAATCCTTTTGGCAGAAGTTGTGATATGTGGAGATAATTACTAGAGTATTTAAATTTCCCATTATCTATCTCAGAAATTATATATGAAGCTACAAGGAAAACAGAAAAGATTTCATTCTATAGAAAAATCAAGTAACTAAGAATGACTGTATAAAAGTAAGCATAGACTTACTTTTTTCCCCATTCTAGAATATCTGCAATGCTTTGTAATTACTTTTTAAAGATAGTACTAATAGAGGAAAGAAGGACCTATCTCCTACCCTTTGTAATTCTTGTAATACGCTCACTGTTCGGGAAGATCATCTTGGAACCAGTGACTCTCCACACCATGTGTGAATGAATCATGGCACTAGGTAGGAATGTGATCTTCAGTTAAGTGATTTTCCTACTGTTAAATTTGAACATACTGCATCCTATCCACACTTTGTTTAAGTCAGTACAGCTTGTATTCATTACTGGGAGGTTTTATGAGTGAAATTTTTTGTTTGGATTCATCCAGAACATATAATTCATACACAAGATTATTATTTTTGCAGGTACACTGTTGGCCTTTTTTGACATACACACATCAAGAGGTTTTAGGTTAGACACAAACAGGGCACTTGACCTCATAAAGTTCACAGATGTGTCAAAAAGGAAATGGAAATTAGACAATGTATTCTTGTTTCTCTCTGGGATGTATTGGGTAGGGCACATTACTTCCTGGATACACTGATAACATCTTTCCACATTTTATGCAATGAAGTGTGACCAATATCCTACTTTCCTTAAAATTATTGCCACAGAGTCTAGGTTCTTTCCCCCTGAATAAAACTGACTGGGGTTGACTGCTTTTTGTGGTCCTCTCTCTCCTCTCCTCCTCTATGACGGTGCCACTCTGCTTGAACTTGATATATCCTTGATATCTGCCCCCCTATTACTGCCTTTTCTCTCCTTACTGCTTGCCACACAATTTCTGGGCTAAGATGATAAACTGAGCACATATGCACTAATATAAGGAATTACTCTGGAGAAAAGGCATAAACGGCATGTTCCTTACCATAGTCATTTGGGCTGTTCCCAGATATTCTTGTTCATTTCTTCTTCCCAGTCAACAGAAAGATTGCATGTACCTGCCCTTTTAGTAGTTAGGAATGGCCATATTGTTTTACTTTGCCCAATAATAGGTGAATGAAGATAATATCGGTCATTTCTGGACAGAAAGTTAAACAAGATATTTGTTTTATTTCTTTTTTTTGTTTTGTTTTGGTCTCAGCCACATGAGAACATGTGTTGAGATGGAGATTTAATCACCTGGAGCATGAATGACTATGATAAGCAGAGTCTGCATGCTAACCTTCAAGGCACAGACAAGGAGAATGAAAAATAAACTTGTGTTTTGAAAAGCTGCTGAGATTTGGGTGTGCTTGTTAGTGCAGTACAGCCTAGCATAGCCTGACTAGTATACTCATTAATGCAAATTATAATGCTAGTTTCTCGGCATATGATCTCATTTAATTTCTAATTGGTTATTGAGATCTGTATATAATGAACAGCACTAGTTATTTACTTGAGATGCAAGTATAAAAATGAGCAACATTCCGTCTTTGCTGTCAAGATGCTCAGAATTTATTCTCTCAGGAAGTTTATGTTTACTAGCATGGTACATGTCAGGTTATTCTGCACAATTTTATTCTGCATGGATAAAAATCATTGAGAGGCAGAGTATCCATTTGTGAGTCTGTATGTGGGATGGGGGGCAGTGAGATTTTTTTTAGGTACCAATTCCCTAGGTGCAAACCATAGTACATGCAAATTCAAATGGTCCCATATCCAAGGTACATAAACCAAAAAAGCAAGGTGGGAAGTAGTAGAAGATATTGCTCAGGATTAGATATCTACCTAGGCACGATGATACCATCAGAGAATGTCAAGAGAAGAAATAAAACTTAGGATACACAGATGAGTCTCTTGGTTGCTTCAAGCTACAATATTAGAGTTTAATGCAAACATAAATATAAAAAGGGATCTGGATGAGAACAAGAGATCCAGAAAGAAGGTAACCAGAAGCATCTGCCACATAAAAAGTAAGGATTAGGTAGAAAAGTTGCAGCCCAAACTCACAGAAATACTCTGGGTAAGAGGAGAACACAGGCCCAAGTGGAGAGCGGGCATCCAACCAAATTGCCACAGCAAGGGACACTAATGTAAAAAACGGATCTTCTATCCTGGTACCGCCATCTTCTTGCTATGCAAACTTGAGCCTACATAGCTTCTTTGTGCCTTAATTCCTTAATCTGTACAATGAGAATAATTTAATTCAGAGTCTCATAATGTGAGCATTAAATGAGGTAATCTCTGTAAAGTATATATGATAGTGGCTGGCTTATAATAAATGCTTAGCAAAAATGAGCCATTATTTTTATTATGGATGCCATTATGTGATTATTCCTTCTTTGGAGTTCCAAGTAGTGGGTGTATTGGTTCACGAAATGTGGGTGATTACATTAAAAACAGTATGTAAAATAGTACCAAAGCCAGGGGTGATTTGGCTGAGCCAATGTGAAATGTTAAGCCCAGTAATTAAGGAAGTATTTTTTATTTGCTTTGGTGCCTAGTTTCATTATCTTGGTTATATGAAAGTATATATTTGGCTTTCATGAGAGGACTTTAGCAATACTAAGAGGAAAGGAAACCTTTTAGTAAAGTCATTGCCAGAAGTTACATTTCTGATTTTTATTCCTTCTTTAATCCATTATGATTTTTTCGTGCTCATCCAGTGCAATTTGGTTAATATTCTTTCTCCTTCTTCCATTTACTTCCAAAAATGCATTGGCCATTAAGCCCATTTTGTAAACGTGATACATTAATATGGGTTTCCTTCACATTTTTATGAGGCTGACACTGGCAAATACTAAAAGGAGGTTGAAGCTGTCAGGGTTTTATGTGACTTTGATGACAGGTATTTTTAAGGCTTCCTTTCTGTTATATGATTTGAGGAGTGGTACCTCTTCTTTTTTTTTTTTTTTTTTTTTTTTAAATGTAGAAAATACATTTTCTATAATGTCAAGAAAGCCAGTTGGTGATTAGAAAGATTAAGCAGACACCTTGGCTCTAAGAAATGCAAACATAAGAAAAATGAATTGTACAATTTAGATTTAGCCAAGGGCATTTCAAGGCTCAAGGCTGTTTTTCTCAATGAATAGTGGAGTAATAAATACTTTGTCTTCTCTTATAGCAAGACCAGGCTGGCCTCTACGTCAGACATTCTGGTAAACAATGAAAAGTATGAAAATATTCTTGGCTTTCTTAAGGACTGTGAAAAAGAAAATGACATCTAAATCTCTGCATATGTTTAGTCTGAAGTCATACTACAGAAGACTATTATTTGGAGGAAGAAGGGGTTCTCGTAAAAGAAGCCAGATGGGTAGACAATTATTGAGATTGCATAGTGGCTAATTTGTGCAATAAGAAACAGAGTAATATATAACAGTGACACTTACATTTTTCAAAAGTGTATTTCTCTTATGCCTATTATCTCTCTAAATATTAGGCATGCATTTTGTCTACTTGCCTATTTAAAATTCTCATTTATTCCTCACCCCTCCCCCACTATTTTTTTAAAGATCCACTGAAAAGTGTTGCATGCCTGTGAATTATACCCCTAGTGTGACAGACGATGACTATTTGGAGGATGCCAAGTTTCAGTTGCCCTGGCAACAATAACCAGGGGATGCTTCTCAGAACTTCTGCCTCCGCTCTTCCCCATCATTTTTCCTGTTTTGAGAGTTAGATAACATGGTTACCAGAATTAACAGAAACTGGTTTCCCCCTGGCATAATGAAAAGGAGAAAACTTAGACATGTCTGCCTTTTTCTTACCTCAAGGGAAATTCTGCATATATCTGCAGTCAAGACTGAATAGAGAGGGATCCCGCAGAAGGGAAAGAGCTGCATGCTATCATACTAATAAATACTCAATGGTGAGAGAATTAAATGTCAGAGCTGCAATTGCAGACAGCTTTTGAGAAATAAAAAAAATCATTGTTGAATTTTCCACAAGTAAGCTAAAAGAACAGTATGTAAATTGCATTGCAAGATGCTATGTTCTGTGAGAGGAAATTTTTGGTCTGTTCTATTGAATCTGATATGGCAGATTTAATTTTTCTTTCTCAAATGAGGAAAACCTAATAAATGGGAATGTCATCTAGATAGTGATATGGAAAACTTATTTTGATTACTTATGACTTATTGATATGCACATCTGCCACCATCCCAAATAAATATTCATACTAAACCAGAGAATGAAGTTTAAGGAAATTTGTTTGCTAAGAGAAGCAAAGTAAATTTCTGTGAAGCAAATAAGTTTCATCTTCAAGGATCCTCTCTTGTAAGGGCTCTTTCTAAGGCCCTGTAACTAAATTTGCATTTGTAAATTTTTTTTTTAATCCTTACTCCCCCCTCTCACCATTATGTAAGCTTTAAATTCCACAAATTCTGGATCCACTCCTAAAAAGAAAAGGAACATGAATGACTTGTGTGATCACTTATTGTTGCTATTATATTATGACATTCAGACTTCTAACCTTGTAGTTCTGTTTTGAATATTCATGTCTGTTTTATTTCCTCTCATTTTGGGGGATATAATAAATTCTCCATCAATTCCAGGCTTGTGCATATTTAAACAGCAATAACAAAAAATGTGCAGTTTGCATGCATCATTGTAGTTTCAAAGCCATTTAATAAAATTATAGGTAGGAAATGAAATGGCAGATAATAGAAAATAAACAGGACAGATCCAGACATTTTAACATAGTGCATTTTTTTGCTAGCATGGTTTTTTAGAGTCTAGTCTATGTGATTTCCAAAGAACACATCAGATTTCTGACTTTTTTGGATAATCTTAACAATAAATTTAATTAAATAGATGTCTAATGCAGATTCTTTTAGAACACCTTTTCCATAATCTTTTAATAAGTAGTGTTCATCACATATATGTCAATAATATTCAAAGGATATGCCAAACAATCCTTTGGGGATTTACATAAAATAAATTGAGTTTTACAAATAAGATGCTAGAAACTTTTAGTAATTATTTAAATCCAGTACTTGGTGCTTACTCTGGAAAAGTTTTGAAAGGTATAGGAAAACTTAAGTCTTTGTTCTCCTACTAATTATTTTATCACAATTTATGTTTTCTATAAAAATAGATACATCCATTAAACTGCATTTTCTGGGTACAAGGTCTTTATTTTAATTTTATTTCTCAAAAGCACAGTGGCTTGAACCCAGTAGCTTCTGATACATATTACTTCAGTTGAATCTGACATAATAAATTTTTCAAAAACTTTGCTCTCAAACCCTACAGCTTATAGAGATGGTAATGAGAATCCCATAATAGATACTACTGGAAATTTTTATCTTTACCAAAATATTTAAATGATTTAAAGAGAATATATTCACATAATTCAAAATTTAAAAGGAACAAAAGGAAATATGTACATTGAAAAAACTCACTCCACTTTCAGAGATATTTTAAGCATATACACATATAAGTGCTCACATTCTTTTTAACATCTTATACAAATACGGAAGCTTAATTTTTTTCCTCAACACTATCTTGTAGATGGGCCCATATCAGCAAACAAACAAATGAGCAAAAAGCTATGTTCACATTCTGCGTTGTGGCTACATTGCATTTTATTTTATCTTTGTCGTATAATGTAAGAAAGTGACCATTTATTGATGCATGTTTAGATATTTTTCCAATATTCTCTCACTAAAAACACAATTGCAGTGAATAATCCTGTACATGACACTCTTTTGTACAAATAAGAACAAATTTAATAGGTCATATTCCTATTTCTAATTAAGGGACAAAAGTTGTATATTTTTATATATTGATAGATACTATTAAATTGCCTTCCACACAGGATAAACTCATTTATATTTACAATCAGAATGCCCTTTTCCTTCATTCTTACTTACAGAATGTGCTATCAAACTTTTCAATTTTTATCAGATAGGCGAAAAATTTTGTCACTGTAGTTTCAATTAATTTTTTTCTATTTTTGAAGTTGAAACTTTAAAAAATATGTTTAAGGACATTTACATTTATTTCTGCTGCAGCATAACTTTGTGGATATCTCCTTCCTTGCATTCAATACAATGTTCAATTATTATTTTTTTCTTGTGTCCTTGGTCATCATTTTTCTCTTCTGTTACTGCATAGGATTCTTAAAGGTCAGTACTTGGCTGTCCGGTTCATCACTGACTCACCAGCTCCCATAGTTCATCGCTGATTCACCAGCTCCCAGCACAGCAGTGTCCGTAGTAGGCATTCAGCAAATATTTTTTGAACAAATGACTTAGGCAGTGAGTCCACCAGGAGATCTCCAGTGTATGCCACAGAACTCTGTCCTTGATTCTGAGCTCAATTACTTCTGAGTCTCCTAAAACATTTGGCTATTCTTCAAGATTTTTTTGAAAGCTTGGTAAGCTATTTGAAATGGAATTGAGAAGCACAATATTAAAGAGACTCATACCTAATATTTTAGAATATGATATCCTTGTGACTTCTCTAAGATATCTAAATTATAACCATATTTTAGTTTTCCATGAGGAAGATGATTTTCTAATGGAAATTATTGGTTAACTGAAAGTTTTTCAGTACTGTCATGGAAAGAGAAGCAAAAATGTGTCTAGGAAGCAGGGAAAGAATAAATACATTTATTTATGGGCTTCCATATTATACCTAGAGCACTACAAAACTTTTCTGTTAAATGGTACACAAATTTGCTACACTGAGCTTTGTCACTGAATGAGAATGTATGGTTTTCAGGAAGGTAAATTATTGAAAAAACTTGTTATCTATCAATTAAGACATTGGGCTTCAATCATAAAATGAATAGTAATTTAAAACTTCTTCTTTCTACAGAGAGTATCATCCCCTGTGTAAATTCTTTCAGCAATTAAAGATACATAGTAATTGTTAAAATTGCTAAGTAGATTTGTGGTGTATTTGAGTGACTAATTTCACAAAATGCATAAATATTACTACATTTTTAAGCAGAATTCAACAAATCTTGTTTAGGGTTTTTTTCCCCCTCATTTTAACATATTTAATTTAAATAAGGCCCAGAGCTTACCCTATAGCATGTATTTGAGTTGAGAGTATAGAGAGCTCTGCCAATTATGTAAAAGTCTGGTTTTATTCTGAGCAGAACCACAAACTTGAAACGTTGTCACGTTGTAACTGATTTCGGGATTTGCACTAAGGAAACCAGAGAAAAGAGGCTGGAAAGTTAGGTAGTTTGGGACAGAAGGGTCTCAGATTTCAGGGGAAGAGAAAAGGGCCTTAGAATAAAAAAAGGACAGGCATAGCTGATACACTCCAGGAGACATGCTACTTTATAATCAATTTTAAGGTTCTTTCCCCCTGCATTGTAATTTTTTAATGCAATCCTTAGAACTTCAAGTTAGTTTGTTAAACCAATGTGGTATCAAGTAAGCTGCTGTAAGGAAGCCAATGTGTGGATACATATCCATGTCTTGGAGGGGCAATTGACTAGACAGAACAGGCTCAGCAAAGAGAACCAATGATGGAATGGACTGAGACAATGCTGAAGAATCCTAGCTCTAGAGACAAAATTGAGAAATGACAAATGACTGCCACCCCTACAATACACACTCACTGTGGGACCTCAGAAACAGCAGAAATGGGGTCTGGATTTCTGTTCTTATGGGGGTGAGACTTAGGTATTTGTGAAATGGTACAGGATAAGTAAGCTCAGAAGACAGGAAAAGTTAGAGGATAATCAAATGTGGCTTAACGATATACTTATAGACATTTGTTACAAGTCCTCAGTATAGTTCAAGAGTGTTTCTTGTCTCATATTTCAGTGCTTACATTATGAACTTTCCAAAAGCTACTGATACTTGTTCATGTGCATTAATATCTTCTCCCTAACCAGATCACAAACTCCTTGAAAAACAGGAATTTTTACACAACATTCTTATCTCTCATAATAGCTAACATAGTGCTGAGCCAATATTATGGTGCTCAGCATATATTTATAAAATGGATACTTTATTGGACATTTATTTTAGGACTATATGGCCTACAATCTCAAAAGATTGTAATCACATGATATGGGATTTTAAATGTGTCTATAGTTTTTTTCTTTTTGGAATGTGGACTTTCACTTAACTTCATTCTGATTTTCTTTTCTTTCACTGCTATCTTTACTTTGAGTGTCAATAGCACCTGATTTTCAGAGTTCCTTTTAAAGATCACCAAGATAACTCTGAAATAACTTCTTATTGTGGGCTACAATAAAATCAACAAGAACTCACATCTCAAGTCTGTACTCATGTATTAGGCATAATTCATGAATGCTTAAGTACATACGTACCATGATTGTCCCGCTATATATACAAACATGAAGTACAAACAAGATTTGAAGCTCTGAGCAGAACTGTGACCAGCTGATACTTAAAAAAAAATCTTTAATATTTTCTTCCAAAGGATCTTGCTCTCAAAACTTTTATATATAAATTTAACTTGTTTCTTAGTACTGGATAGGCCTGCAGATTAACATACATCAGGAACAGCAGTGAACAAACAATACATACTTCATTCCCTCAATGAAATGGGAAGAATTTAGGAAGGGAGGAGAGAAAAAGAAAGCAATTGGTGATTCAATCTTTGTGCACACAATCTCTTCACTGATGGGAGTGCTGGGTTTGACCCAAAATCCTGCCTGCTGCAGTCTATGAGATGAGAGAACAAACCACACGAAGATGGGCATGCTATTTGCTTTTCCAGTCATCTTCAAGAATAATACAGGTGGTACTTCTAACCAGGCTGGGTGTTTCTGGTGGCTACATTGTCATTTTGACTAGCGAGTTCTCAGGGTTAGTCACTGAAAAAAGCTATATTCAAAAAAAAAATTTTTTTTTAATTATAAACATGGGTTGCGGGTGGCTAAGGCTTGGTTGTTCCCTCTGCTGTTGCTTCTGCTTATTCACAGCACGTTTCCTAAGACTCTGCAGCTGACACTCAGCAGACTTCTAGTTTTTGTTCAGGTCTGGTTTTGATCTGTAGTGTTCAGGGATGAGCAATTCCTTTCAAGTTATTTGCAAACCTTGTCAAAGCCTGATTGCAGCATGACATTGATGACAGACTGATTATTACTTGTCTCAAAAAGCAGTGTAGGAACATATTGGCTTTCATGCAAACATCCAGCTTGTCATTAGTGTGCAGTGCAAATGGCAGCGGTTTCATACCGGAATCCTGGAAGCCGAGGCAAAAGAAGGAGTCTCTGCTTCTATTGGCCCTGGAAGGAGTTCAATAACATTTTAGGGATAATTTTTGTCAAGTTAAATTTCCACGGAACTAAGATAAATGGTTTTGCTTTGAAATTTCATTGGTTATCTTGAGAGACATTTATTCCAGTTGGTTAGGCAGAAAAAAAATTAAAAGACATAAAATACTATTAAAATATAAATAGCTCATTTTCCCAATAAAACAAATCTGCTAAAGCTTAGAAGTGAGTTCAGTGGCAAAGTTCTGCTTACTATGAAACTCGAAGAGCCAGATTCAACTAGATGAATAAATTAGCTACTTGGGATGTGAGTTAGACCTTGCAGTTGTACTTGTCCTTTTCAAATCTCAGGAACTTAATTGCGTTAAAGCAGCGTATGTATTCTGTAATACCGTCCATGAATTAAAAACTCTATAATTTCAATTTTATTCGAGAGTTGTAAGCTACATGTCTACCCGATACTTAGGAAAAAGTTACTGGCTGGCAACTAGTGGTATCTATGGTAGGGATCTTGTAGTGCCTCCTCATCTGCGTTTCTTTTGCTATTTCTTGCTTCTATTGGTAGAAAGGTAAAGGAATAATCTCATTAGGCAAAAGTCTACTGAATCACAGAACTAACACACCTAACTAAATTTCTTAAACAAAACAAACAAACAAGCAAACACTCTAAAAGGAAATGAATTGCTTAAAGTTAATTAGAACTTTTCACTGAAAAAAAAGGCATATGTACATGCAAAATAATAAATCAACATATAAAAATTTACATTTCTATAAATTAGCAGCACATGTTAAGAAAGAAATCAATAAATACTATTTACAAGAGCACACATCAAAACCTCAAATACCAAAATAATAATTATGAGAGACACCCAACTCCTCTACGTTGTGCACAAGTAAACTTCTGAGAAAAATTTTTTAAATCTAAATAAATGAAGGGATATACTTTCTTGCATTGGAAGTCTTAATATCATAAAAATGAAAATTCTCCTCAAATTGATCCATAGATTCAATGTTCTCTCAATCAATATAACAGAAAGCTATTTTTCTTTTTCCTTTTTTAAATTGGGGAGAGGTGATTGGCATGCTAATTCTAAAACATGTATGGAGCCTGTAATCCCAGCGCTTTGGGAGGCCGAGGTGGGCAGATCACTTGAGGTCAGAAGTTTGAGACCAGCCTGGCCAACAGGGTGAAATCCCATCTCTACTAAAGATACAAAAATTAGCTAGGCATGGTGGCAGGCGCTTGTAGTCCCAGCTACTCAGGAGGCTGAGGCAGGAGAATCGCTTGAACCCAGTAGACAGAAATTGCAGTGAGCCAAGATCATGCCACTGCACTCCAGCCTGGGCACCAGAGTGAAACTCGGTCTCAAAATAAATAAATAACTCTAAATAAATAAATAAAACGTGTGGAAATGCCAAGGATCTAGAATAGCAAGGCGATCTTGAAAAAGAACAAATCTGGCTGAACTGTACAAAGATCAAGTCTTATTATAAACGTGCAGTAATTAAAACAGTGCCGTGTTCATGTAAAAGTAAAGAAATAGGCCAATAGAACGGAATAAGATATTCAGAAGCTAACCTACACATATAATCACCTGATTTATCACAAGGATGTCACAGCACCGCAGTGTGGAAAAAATGGTGGCTTTGCTAAATGGTTGCATCAATTGGATATCTGTTTGAAAAATAAATTAATCTGTACCTTAACTTACACCGCTTACAAAACTGAATTTGCAGTGGATCTTAGACATACATGTAGAAGTCCAAAGAACAATACTTCTCTAGAAGAAATCTTAGGAAAGTGCCTTCACAATATTAGGGTAGGAGGATTTCTAAATTGTTAAGTATAAAAGAAAAGATTAATAAACAAGATAATTTAAATTAGCTACTTCTGTTTACTAAAAGATAGCTTTAATAGTGTGAATAGTCAGACTAGTTGTATAAAAAATTCCAATGAATCAATGAGAAAAGGAATAATTTTAAAAATGGGCTGGGTGTAGAGGCTCATGCCTATAATCCCAGCACCTTGGGAGGTCACGGTGGAAGGACTGCTGGAGCCCAGGAGTTTGAGACAAGCTGGAGCAGCATAGTGAGACTCCCATCTCTTTAAAAAATTTAAAAATCAGCTGGGTGTGGTGGTGCACGCCTATCGTCCCAACTATGTGGGAGGCTGAGGTGGGAGGATTGCTTAAGCCTAGAGCTTGAGGCTGCAGTGAACCATGATAGTGCTACTGCACTACAGCCTGAGTGACAGAGCAAGATAGTATCTAAAAAATAAAAATAAACCAGATGCTTTAACAGTCACTTAACCGAATAGGATAGCCAAAGGGCCAGTAGCCATAAGAAAATGTGGTTGGAATCATTAGTCATCAGCCCAAAATTAATTTTTTTTAAAAAAGGACACTATAAAGAAGAATGACTACAATTTTAAAGGTTAAAAATGCCAAGTGTTAGTGAGAATATGAATTAAACAGATTTCTCAAAAATTATACAAATTAACACTCCATAACTCAATAATCACTTTGCTGGAAAAGTGTTTTGCAGTATTGACAAAAGCTGAATATATACACAACCAATTCTGCTCTGAGTTAGATATGTAATAGGAATGAGTGCTTATGGCAACAAAAAAAAGTACATAAAATTTTTATAGTAACTTTATAATATCTTCAAACCGGAAGCAACCCAATTATTCATCATATGCAGGAGAATAAATCAATACATTATAATATATTTTTATAATGGAATATTTAGCAACAGTGAATAATAACAATTACTTACAGTGAACACTGATAACATAAAAGCGCAAGTTTTTGTCTGATAGAAGTGAGAGGTCAGTAAGAATAGTTAAAGGAAATTTTAGAATTTTAATTTTTCATTTATAGAGTAGGGAGCAAGTAGATACTTTCCAACATTAATGGATAAATAAAAAAGGACAAGGCGTAAAAATACTCTTTAGAGTAATGAGTAGAAATGATTAAAAACAACTAAGCGGGAAATTTACTTCTATTTTTCTTATCTTTAAACAATATGTATTTTGCAAAATGTTTCACAATTAACATTTTAAAATTGTAAAACATACTTCATATTTGAGATGACTGAATGGGAATTAGAAGCGGAAGAACACCCATTTTGCTGATGTTGGTATGTATACAACAGGAAAGCCTTTACAAATATAGTGGAAGCCAAAACCTGCCCAAGTCAAGAATTCACATAGGTCTTGACTGAAAGTATTCTCACCTACCAGCCTCAGTAAAGACCATTCCCTGGAATCTTACACCACCAAGCATATGCATTAGTCAGTGTGTGAGATTCGGTGGGGAGGACTTGGCAGACAGACAAAAAAGAGTCTCCGAACTTCTTTGGAAAGTGTTTTGCCACTTATCCTAAAGCTATAATTCTGCCAACTGGAGTCAGTGGGCTATTATAAATTTATATATGCATTTAATCTGCCTGGAGAATTTTTTTACTTATATGGTACATCAACATTTCAAAACAACCTTTTAAGATACAGAATCTTCCAAGAGGAAGGTTCTTTATATGTGAGAGGCAGCTTTCCTTCTGAGGGACAGCAATGACTAGTTTGTTTGGGTACAAAACTGACAGTTGGGAAAGTCTTAAATATAATTCTGGCTTTTCTACATCCTTAGGTTGGCCATACAGAATAAAAACGAACCTGTTAGGGAAGCAGAATTTTGGAGGAAGTACATACACATATTAGAGAAGCACTAGAAACTCCACTGTAATAAGAGTTAGGGAATCCCTTGACCACTGTCTGAGTTATCTTGTCTGATAAGATCTGGATAGAAACTGTTGTCAAAATTAGCACACAGGCTTCATGAGACTTAGTAAAGTGAAATGAAAACATAAAAAGATTCTGTAGAAAAAATATGTAATTCTGTTAAATTTATTTTGCCTTTATAATCTGAAAAGAAATAACTTTAAAATATTGCAAGTGACTACAATTTTTTAAAACAATTAATTAGATAATGTAATAACCTGAAAGTGAAGTTCTCATAGAAAACCCATTTTGTGGCATTCTGGAAGAGGAATCTTAGTCTTTGATAGGTCTGCTATATAAACACTGTACCCCATTAGGATTTAGCCTACAACCTTAGGGCTGTCAGGCTGTCTCAGAAGGTGGGGTCATTCATTGCTGGTTGAGGCACACCCTGCAAGTAGTGTGACTGGTTCTTTATGAGGAAGTATTTGCAGTCTTTTTAGTTCAGCTTTCTGTAGAGGTAAAAATTCACCATAGAGTCTGAGAAAATTTTCCTCAAACTATATTTGGTGAAAAACGGAAATAAAACAAAGGGAACAAACAGGAAGCAATTGGGGGGTTAAATGAAGGATATGGTGAGTAGATAGAGGTGTAAGTGTAAAGATTTGCTTAGTAAGGAAACATTCTCTTTCAAATGGGCCATCTAAATTCTGGCTTAGTAATTGGTAAAATTATGAAATATATTAAAGAGTTTATCAGATTATTTGTTAGAGATTGAAGCTTCTCCAAAATAAAAGCATAGTATTTTAAGATAAGATTAAGAAATCTAATATTTAGCAAAGTCCTTCAAGTAGGCTAAGATGTTGGAACAGAAAATGAAAAATAACTGACAGAATCCCATATGGTTTTATTAGTTTTAGGTTCATAACTTAGAAAAGGTATAGCTGTGATCACTTCACAAACCCTAAAGTGAAACATCATAACTCAATTGAGGAAATGAGAGAATTTTTATACCAATTAAGAGAATTTTTATAACATGAAGAAGGAAAGTTAATTATGATGATTGAGCGTGTTATAGGCCTACTCAGATATGAATAATTCCAAGTTCTTTGTAATGGACGATTTACTGTGTCCATTGCAAGAGGATTCAGTAGAACATTGATACTAGGCTTGAAATATTACGTCTATTTGTAGGGTATTCCATGATGTAAAATTCCTTGGGCTAAGTTTATGATTAGTTTTTAAACTAATTTACATAGTGGAATTGCCCCTAAGCAAAATTTTCAATTTCTATCTTTTCATGATTCCCAGTCTTGCTGTGATCTAACTACTGAGCCTCAGACCATACATCAAACTACTTGCATCTGCCCTTAGATACCTCAGAGGAGTGACTTTAAACTCATGATGTCAGAACTGAACTCACATTTTATTTTAACCTTATCCTACTTATACATTCCCTATCTTGTCTCCCACACCACATTTCCTACTATATCCTGCCTGAACCTACATTCCCTTCTGTAACACAGGGGGGAATATTATTCTTTGCCATAACGATTAAATGGAGAATTAAGGTTAAACACTTCATTGACTTTAAACCATTATGACAGTTAAACTCATTATATGTGTATACACACACACACACACACACACACACACATATATATATACAAACGCACACACAACTATACATATACCAACATACATACATACATAGTATATTCCATGGAAGAAAAGCAGCAAGAATACCATTAGCCTAAGCAAATTTCAAAAATACTGAGCATCAGAAAGCTGTCAAGGAAAATTCTAACTTGAGAAAAATGACAGAATGCTTTATAGGGTTTTAGCAGGAAAAGCATGTCAAGCCTTGCTAGTTTCAGAGAATAGTTGGTCAAGGATGGTCTCAGAAGGGGTAAGAATTGTTCTTGAGGAGGAAGAGCTAAGGGTCAAGTTTGTCTGCAAGACGGGGTAGGCAAGAACATCTAAGGGAAACAAAACATTTGAGACCACCTTGGAAAAGTTCCTCAGTTCTTCAAAGTCTTTCACAGATTCCAAAGGGAAAAGAAAAGTATAACAAAAATAAAGGAATTCTGAATAACTTCTACACTAAAATACAGTTAGAAAGGTCCAATCTTTTACCTCTTTTTATTAGATTTTATTTCAAGACTATTTGATATAAAATTTGGATTATAGCCCTTAATAACAAGGGTATATTTGTATTTACAGGAATATATATAAATTGCTTAAATAGATCTCTTTTACATCAAAGAACCATGTTTAGAAAACATTTCCATGTCCTTATTTTATTTCATTTTTATTATACTTTTTATTATAGTTTTAAATACAAATAGCTCTTGTAGAAGTAACTTTTTGAAATGCACTGTAAGATTGTCATTACCATATGACAAAAACACCTTGAACACACCTCTAGTTGAATAAAGTTGGACTGATCAACTCTTTTTTTTATACCTTCATTTCTGGGATACATGTGCAGAATGTGCAGGTTTGTTACACAGGTATACACATGCCATGGTGGTTTGCTGCACCCATCAACCTATCATCTACATTAGGTATTTCTCCTAATGCTATCCCTCCCCTAGCCTCCCATCCCCCAACAGGCCCTGGTGTGTAATGTTCCCCTCCCTGTGTCCATGTGTTCTCGTTGTTCACCTCCCAATTATGAGTGAGAACATGCAGTGTTGGTTTTCTGCTCCTGTGTTAGTTTGCTGAGAATGATGGTTTCCAGCTTCATCCATGTCCCTGCAAAGGACATGAATTCATCCTTTTTTATGGCTGCATAGTATTCCATGGTGTATATGTGCCACATTTTCTGTATCCAGTCTATCATTGATGGGCATTTGAGTTCGTTCCAAGCCTTTGCTATTGTAAACAGTGCTGCAATAACCGTACGTGTGCATGTGTCTTTATAGTAGAATGATTTATAATCCTTTGGGTATATACCCAGTAATGGGATTGCTGGGTCAAATGGTATTTCTGGTTCTAGATCCTTGAGGAATCGCCACACTGTCTTCTACAATGGTTGAGCTAATTTACACTCCCACCAACAGTGTAAAAGCATTCCTATTTCTCCACATTCTCTCCAGCATCTGTTTTTTCCTGACTTTTTAATGATTGCCGTTCTAACTGCCATGAGATGGTATCTCATTGTGGTTTTGATTTGCATTTCTCTAATGACCAGTGATGATGAGCTTTTTTTCATATGTTTGTTGGCCGCATAAATGTCTTCTTTGGGAAGTGTCTGTTCATATCCTTCACCCACTTTTTGATGGGGTTGTTTTTTTCTTGTAAATTTGTTTAAGTTTCTTGTATATTCTGGATATTAGCCCTTTGTCAGATGGATAGAGTGCAAAAATTTTGTCCCATTCTGTAGGCTGCCTGTTCACTCTGATGATAGTTTTTTTTTGTTTGTTTGTTTTGTTTTTTTTCTGTGCAGAAGCTCTTTAGTTCAATTAGATCCCATTGGTCAATTTTGGCTTTTGTTGCCATTGCTTTTGGTGTTTTAGTCATGAAGTCTTTGCCCATGCCTAAGTCCTGAAGGGTATTGTCAGGTTTTCTTCTAGGGTTTTTAAGGTTTTAGGTCTTATATTTAAGTCTTTAATCTACCATGAGTTAATTTTTGTATAAGGTGTAAGGAAGGGTTCAGTTTCAATTTTCTGCACATGGCTGGACAGTTTTTCCCAACACCATTTATTAAATAGGGAATCCTTTCCCCATTTCTTGTTTTTGTCAGGTTTGTCAAAGATCAAATGGTTGTAGATGTGTGGCATTATATCTGAGGCCTCTGTTCTGTTCCATTGCTCTATATATCTGTTTTGGTAAGAGTACCATGCTGTTTTGGTTACTGTAGCCTTGTAGTATAGTTTGAAGTCAAGTAGCATGAAGCCTCCAGCTTTGTTCTTTTTGCTTAGGATTGTCTTGACTATACAGGGTCTTTTTTGGTCCCATATGAAATTTAAAGTGTTGTTTTTTTCTTAATTCTGTGAAGAAAGTCAATGATAGCTTGCTGGGGATAACATTGAATTTATAAATTACCTTGGGCAGTATGGCCATTTTCACGATCTTGATTCTTCCTATTCATGAGCATGGAATGTTTTCCCATTAGTTTGTGTCGTCTCTTATTTCCTTGAGCAATGGTTTGTATTTCTCCTTGAAGAGGTCCTTCACATCCCTTGTAAGTTGTATTACTAGGTATTTTTTTCTCTTTGTAGCAATTGTTAATGGGAGTTCACTCATGATTTGGCTCTTTGTTTGTCTATTATTGGTGTATAGGAATGCTTGTGATTTTTGCACATTGATTTTGTATCCCAAGACTTTGCTGAAATTTCTTATCAGCTTAAGGAGATTTTGGGCTGAGATGATGGGGTTTTCTAAATATACAATCATGTCATCTGCAAACAGGGGCAATTTGACTTCCTTTCTTCCTATCTGAATACTCCTTATTTCTTTCTCTTGCATGATTGCCCTGGCCAGAACTTCCAATACTATGCTGAATAGGAGTGGTGAGAGAGGGCATCCTTGTCTTGTGCCGGTTTTCAAAGGGAATACTTCCAGCTTTTGCACATTCAGTATGATATTTGCTGTGGGCTTGTCGTAAATAGCTTTTAAGATTTCGAGATATGTTTCATCAATACCTAGTTTATTGAATGTTTTTAGCATGAAGTGGTGTTGAATTTTATTGAAGACCTTTTTTGCGTTATTGAGATAATCATGTGATTTTTGTCATTGGTTCTGTTTATGTGATGGATTATGTTTATTGATTTGTGTATGTTTAAAGAGCCTTGCATCCCAGGGATGAAGCTGACTTGGTTGTGGTGGATAAGCTTTTTGATGTGCTGCTGGATTAAATTTACCAGTATTTTATTGAGGATTTTCACATCGATGTTCATCAGGGATATTGGCCTAAAATTTTTGTTGTTGTTGTGTCTCTGCCAGGTTTTGGTATCAGGATGATGCTGGCTTCATAAAATGAGTTAGGGAGGAGTCTCTTTTTTTCTGTGGTTTGGAATGGTTTCAGAAGAGACGGTACCAGCTCCCTTTTGTACTTCTAGTAGAATTCAGCTGTGAATCCGTCTGGTCCTGGGCTTTTTTGTTTGGTAGGCTATTAATTACTGCCTCAATTTCAGAACTTGTTATTTGTCTATTCAGGGATTCAACTTATTCCTGGTTTAGTCTTGGGAGGGTGTATGTGTCCAGGAATATATCCATTTCTTCTAGATTTTCTAGTTTATTTGTGTAGAGGTGTTTATAGTATTCTCTGATGGTAGTTTGTATTTCTGTGGGATCAGTGGTGATAACCCCTTTATCATTTTTATAGTCTCTATTTGATTATCCTCTCTTTTTTTCTTTATTAGTTTGGCCGGTAGTCTATTTTGTTGATCTTTTCTAAAAATCAGCTCCTGGATTCATTGATTTTTTGAAAGGTTTTTCATGTCTCCATCTCCTTCAGTTCAGCTCTGATCTTAGTTATTTCTTGTCTTCTGCTGCCTTTTGAATTTGTTTGCTCTTGCTTCTCTAGTTTTAATTGTGATGTTAGGGTGTTGATTTTAGATCTTTCCCGCTTTACCCTGTGGGCATTTAGTGCCATAAATTTCCCTCTAATCACTGCTTTAGCTGTGTCCCAGAGATTCTGGTACATTGTGTCTTCATTCTCATTGGTTTCAAAGAACTTCTTTATTTCTCCCTTAATGTCATTATTTATCCAGTAGTCATTCAAGAGCAGACCTTTCTCTCTGGCTGCCCTTAACATTTTTTCTTTCATTTCCACCTTGGTGAATCTGACGATTATGTGTCTTGGGGTTGCTCTTCTCAAGGAGTATCTTTGTGGCGTTGTCTGTATTTTCTGAATTTGAATGTTGCCCTGTCTTGCTAAGTTGGGGAAGTTCTCCTGAATAATATCCTGAGAAGTGTTTTCCAACTTGCTTCCATTCTCCCCATCACTTTCAGGTACACCAATCAAATGTAGGTTTGGTCTCGTCACATAGTCCCATATTTCTTGGAGGCTTTCTTCATCCTTTTCATTCTGTTTTCTCTAATCTTGTCTTCACACTTTATTTCATTAAATTGATCTTCAATCTCTGATATCCTTATTTCCACTTGATTAATTCGGCTATTGATATTTGTGTATGCTTCATGAAGTTCTCGTGCTGTGTTTTTCAGATCCATCAGGTCATTTATGTTCTTCTCTAAACTGGTTATTCTAGTTAGCAACTCGTCTATCCTTTTTTCAAGGTTCTTAGCTTCCTTCCTTTGGGTTAGAACATGCTCCTTTAGCTTGAAGGAGTTTGTTATTACCCACCTTCTGAAGCCAACTTCTTTAAATTCGTCAAACTCATTCCCCATCCAGTTTTGTTCCCTAGCTGGTGAGGAGTTGTGATCCTTTGGAGGAGAAGAGGTGTTCTGGTTTTGGGAATTTTCAAACTTTTTGAGCTGGTTTTTCCTCATGTTCATAGATTTATCTACTTTTGGTCTTTGAAGTTGGTGACCTTTGGATGGGGTTTCTGTGTGGAGGTCTTTTTTGTTGATGTTTATGCTATTCCTTTCTATTTGTTAGTTTTCCTTTTGACAGTCAGGCCTCTCTGCTGCAGGTCTACCGGAGGCTGCTGGAGGTCCACTCCAGACCCTGTTTGCCTGGGTATCACCAGCAGAGGCAGCAGAACAGCAAAGATTGCTGCCTGTTCCTTCCTCTGAAAGCCCCATCCTGCTTCAGCTCACCTTCCATGGGCTGCACCCACTGTCTAACCAGTCCCAGTGAGATAAGCTGGATACCTCAGTAGGAAATGCAGAAACCATCCACCTTCTGTGTTGATCTCACTGGGAGCTGCAGATCAGAACTGTTCCTTTTCGGCCATCCTGCCAACCACCTCCCATAGCCTTATTTTAAATAGAGATGCTAAGAGTAGCAACTTTAAGAGTATATGTGGCAATATATTTTTATAGATGCTTCACTACTTGCTAACTAAAGTTCTCTGATAAATGATTGTACCTCTCATTCTAAATCCAAAGGAAGAAAAGGACAAGGGCATATGTGGTTTCATTATTTTTTTTAAAAAAAAGACATCTTAAAGTTCTTACATGCTCTAACCTTCATTTAAAATATATTTATATTGAGTATGAGTCAAAGATTGAAGTGTAATGGAATTCGTAGTAGCACAGTTGGTATACAATTGAGTTGGATGTCAAAATAGATATCCAAACTAGATGAATATTATATATTACATTGAAACAATTGCCAGGAGAAAAACAGAAACACAAATAAAGGAAACCTCTTTGACAGCCAATACTGATACTGATATAAGAAGGAATTTCACCAAACACTGGGCTCTAGAATTGAATGAGATGTTAACATTTGAATAATAATAGAGAAATCATGAGCAAGTTGAAAATGTTGGCAGCTTAAATATCTGATATAATAAATGGGGTCCTGTCTCACAGAAGGCTTGAGAGATGAAAAATCGGAGAAAGAAAATGTTTAGTAGACATGCCACAGATTCTAAGTGAAATAAAATATTCTATTTAAGCAGAAGTTCTGGAATATTCATAGTCAAGGCAAGAAGAAAAAATGACTTAAGAGTAGATCCATGAAAAAAAAAGAGTAGATCTATGGTCTTCCATTAGTCCACTTTGCCTTTTATTTTATTTATTTTTTCTGTTTTGAGACAGGATCTCCCTCTGTCACCCAGGCTATAGTGCAATGGTGCAATCAGAGCTCACTGCAGCTTCCAACTCCTGGGCTCAAGAGATCCTCCTGTCCTGCCTCAACCTCCCCAGCAGCTGGGACTACAGGTGTATGCCACCTCACCTGACTAATTTTTAAATATTTTATGGAGATGAGGTCTCACTGTGTTGCCCAGGCTGGTCTTGAACCCCTGGCCTCAAGAAATCCTCCAGCCTCAACCCCCTAAAGTACTGGGATTACAGGCATGAGCCACCACACCCAGCTCTGTTCTCTTTCTTCATCATCTCTCAGACCCTCTCTTCTAGTTACATCCTTCTCACAGTCTTCAGTTTTACATTAGTGGCCTCAGGCACAGCCTTTTGGAATGCCAACAGTCTTTGAAGATTTCTCTCTCTCTGCTTCCCCTTGTACCATCTCAGCAGGTACATATTTTCCAACACATGAGATTGCAGTTTCTGTCAGGTGAGCAACATGAAAGCAAGAGCGATTTCTCTGTATCAAGAACCCTGAGTTAACAGAGGAGTCCATCACTCAGTTTCAGCAAGAATATTACAAAAAAAGTGAGTTGTTTATTCTCGCATATCATCTCAGGAGGCACGTAATAGGACTTTTTGCTATATTGGTGATAGTAACTTTGATGGAACCCTTGATTAAGATGGTTCAGGGGAGGCAAAATTTTACCTCTTGCCTCTTAGTTTTTCAGTGGGCCAAAGAATTAAACTTACATAAGACAGATTCACAGAGAAAAACATACAGATTTATCTCATAAAAGTTTTACATAACACAGGAGTCCTCATAAGAAAATGATGACCCAAAGAAGTAGCAAAACCTAAATGTTTTTATATTAGATTGAAAAAGAGGCAATTGTGGAAAAGTAACTAGACTACACGGGGTGGGGGAATGTTGCTGAAGGAAGATAAGAATTATTTTAACAAGGTCTGTTTGTACAGAACTCTCTCAGTCTCAACTTCATGTCCTTGATGATAAGAATGTTACTTTCCTTCTGGTATAGGCAAGACATCTTCCATATGGGGCTTTTATCTCCTATTTTCAGGAAGAATAAAAGGAGGATCAGAGTGTCCTTCCTGCACCTGCTACTTATTTTTAAAGTCTCTTTAACTCAAAGGAATCCTTATACCAAAGCGGCATATTTTGGGTGGCATATTCTGCCACCCTTCCATGGTATCTGTTAGGTTTCTCCATGGTAAAACTGTTATTTTTCTCTTAGTAATTAATAAGCAATTGGTGGGGACATTCTTTGACACTCTGAAATAGCCTCTTCTTTATCAAATTTTCACCCACTAATTTGAAATCCATTGATTATTAGTGCTAGATTATTAACTCCATTATGATGTTACATGTATTAGTTGGCATTTTACTGTAAGAAAGAGCTTTCTTTCTATTTTTCTTTCCATATGAACTCAGGGATGCTCATGTAACTCAGTGAGTTATAAATGATTATCACTACTTTTTTTTTTTAGCTCAAATGTCCAGATTTGGTCAGTGGGATCCCCTTTATATCTTTAAATCCTGGGTTGTCCTGATATGTTCAGCTCATTTTGTGAGGATGTCCTTATTTTCTGGGCAAAAAGATGTCTTAGAAACCTTTTTCTTTTACTGAGATGTCCTAGAATTCAGCCATCCTTGCCACTTCAAGTTAAAGGGGACTAGACTTTGGTAGATCTTCTCTGTCCCCTTCCTCCTTGACTTTATGCTGTGTCTCAGCCAGGAGAATATACATGTGCCCTCTCTGCCTCCATCAATATGAAATATTTCCACTCAATCTAGCAGATTCCTTAAAGACTCTGGAAGACTTTTGACAGCTTCCTTGAAGTTCTTAGAAGACACAGACTTTAGTTGCTTCATGTTCTATCAGTCTCTGCCACAGAGAGTAAGGGTGAAGGAAGTTAGATAACCTTGATCACAGTGGCCTTCCTACTACTGCAAGCCAATTAGAATCCATCTGTGACTGTCTAGTAGATTATTTTGTTCAAGTAAGCATTGATTTTTGTTTTAAAGAAAGAAATGTTTGCATTCTTTAGCATTAAGGTCCAAGCAGGACACTGGATTCATCACAGGTGGTTCATATGAAAAGTTTTTAAAAAAGAAACAACAGTTAGAGTGTGAACAGGGATAAGAAAGCAAACAAGAGTTGGTCAGACATCCAAATACCAGCAATATTAGGAAGATGTGGCCGCTCCAAGGGCGAAAGGGACACAGGAACGACCTGGAGTGATGGTGGGTCACTGGAATGAGGACCATGGAAAAGGACTCTCTGATAAAAGCATAACTGGAGAGGGACACAGTCACTGCCACAGTTGTGGCACCAAAGCAGCAAGGAAAAGTAGAGTAAGTGTTCCCACCCTCTTTTGTTGGTGGGGTTGTGGGCCAAACCTAACTGAAGTCCAGCCTGCAGGAGAGCTGAGGACATGAATTCACAACAATCATCTCTGGGAGCACAGAGAGACAAGACAAGGGAGGTAAAAGGGTTTGGTGGGTAAAAAATAAAGAGTTGGTACAAATGCCCACCGCGGAGGTGGCGAATCTTTCAGTGCAATCTCTTTTTTAGCAAGGTTGTAGATGCTGAGTTTTCCATGCTAAAGGTCTGTCTCAAAAATACAGTTTTAATTTGGTTCAAAAGATTCTACCATACACAAGTGGTACTATATTTATTTTATTAGGAAGAGCTTGTACCTCTCTTCTGCTCTGGAAAGATCTGATTTGTTATTCCACTGAGAGAAAGGATGTCAGGTGCATATTTGAGTAAGGCAGTCATAAACAAGTCTACAGTCAGCTCATACAATCTAACCCTGTTAGAGGTTATCAGTTAGGGTATTTTCAAGGGGACTGAAGTTTATTATGAGAGAACAAAGAAGCAAAAGTCATACTACATAATAAAAATGGAAATCAGCTTAAATTCTCAATTCCGTTTCCTGAGCCAATGAATGTACAGCTCATGTTCTGCACATCTGTTTGCTGAGATGGATCTACAGTTACGTTAGGGTAAACTAAAGTAAACCCCACGTAGGTTTCTAAGGTCATCCTCAAAACTGAAAACATGGATCTTGGTCTTTTCGTGGCAGATTTAAGGGATGTTCAACTTGGGGTTTTTGTGCAGGTTGTGATTTTCTCATTTTTATAAGAACTATAAAATCACAGTGTTTTCCCATTATATTTTCCTTTTTAAGCTTGGCTAGCAAACTGTACTGATCTGATGCCAATTTTACATCCATGAGATATCTAAGGCCAAATGTCTGCATTTTCAAAAATTTAGTTATAAAGAAAAGAAGAACTTATTAAAAAAACCTGCTACCGATAGAAATGTTTTTATTACATATATTTTCATCCAATTATGACCAAAAGCAGCTTTCTGTTTTCTGATTCTTTTTCTTTTTCTTTTCCTGAACGATTTTGCTGCTGTGTTTATAGCCTGGTACTGCAGCACTGTGCTAGCACAGGGAGATGAGGAAGCAGACGTGACCAGACACAAAGGTGATAAAGGCTCGTCTCATTTCAATGTTCAGCCAGAGTGGAATGCAAATAGCAAGCAGTGCATGACAAAAAGTAAATTAGATCTTTAAAATCCTTTTTAAAGAATAATCTTAGATGGTATTGGCAACTCAGGTAAGGCTTTTCTATGAATATAGGATTTTTAGCTCAGCAAAATCTCCTTAAAAGCCAGATAAGAGGTAATATAACTTTGTCTCCTCACTATAAATGGCATTTCTTCCTTTTCCACACTGCCTTTTAAGCACACAAACACAAATACACACCTGTGTTTCTCTCCTTGCTTCTCCTTTTTATATTGTTTAATTATACATTCTCATAGCAAGTAATTTTGCATACATATTATTTTTAGACACTGGTGGAAGTTCAAAGGTCAACAAGATACAAAATGTAGTCTCTGGGTGAACACAAGTTGCCTGGGGAAGCCATCCTAGAGGTGAAATAATGATCCAGTACAATATTGCAAAGGGCTTGAATACAGATACAAATACAGTGCTTGGAGCACCAGGAAGAAAGTAACTAGCTCTGTCTTTTGGAGTTGAAAAGTGCATCCAAAAAACATACATCAGAACCAGATTGTGTATGAAAGATCAAATGGAAGGAATTAGAGAAAGAAATACATTGCAGGGAGAAGAAACACATTGTGTAAATACACCATGATAAAGTTCATTCAAATTTGCATCAATTTTGTTACTTTCCAGATGATATCATACCTTAAAGAGTGTATAAAGACTAGCTCTTTATATTCTCTTGAGTTGAAGTCAATAGAATTTGGAGACTAACATTGAGATATATATTGTTGTAGATGCATGTTTGAATTTTGTCCCAGCCTTCAATCAGCTGGCAGCTAAGAATTTTAGTGTTCTAATATCTGAAATAATGAAAAGACTACTTCATCAGAAGGCTCATTTTGTGTTCACTAAATGGCACAGCTTGTAGAAGTGCAGGACACCTGAAAGGCCCTTGAAAGCTGACTTATTATTTATAAATGAAGTTGTAGCTTGGTGTAATGTGATTAGCACAGGCTTCAGAATCAAATCACCTTGGATTGAAATCTTTCTTGCACTTATTAGCTGAATCACCTAGGCAAGTTAACTAACTCCTCTGAATGTCAGTATTTCCATCTGTAAGATGAACACAGTGGGGCTCAGTAGCACTGTTGGGAAGACTGAAAATACTGAATGAAGATCAGGCTGCTAGCACACTATCTAGCCCATATCAGCTACTCAATTAATGAGTAATGAGAAAATAATACAGAAAAGAAAATTTATTTATCCTAAATCATGAGGCAGGGAATGGGGGCAATATTACACTTATTTGAGAAATGATATTCCACTTTTAAAGGAATCCACATTGCCCTGCTGACTTTCTAAAATAATAGTTTGCAGCTCCCAACTCTTCTGAGATGGCATTAACATCTGTCTTTTTCATTTCACGGTTTGTTGGGAAGCCAGTGGTGAGCAGTGTGATAAGTGCCAAATGGAGGGTTGACATAAAGAAAAAAGAGGTGGACAGGAAAGTGAGTTCTCGTTTTTGCCATTCTAGAACCTTCTTCCTCTATTCTCACCTTCAACAGAACAGGTTTTTGACATAAGAATACAATTGTTATGGTATCACTGGTTCTTCAACATTCATCTGAGATAGATTAAAATCAGGGTGAGAATTCTCTCTTCTGTTTTCTTCCTGGAGCAGGTTCCTTTGTCTCCTGCAACCACGTTCAAGCTGAGCATGTCAGCAGCGGCAGAGGGAGATTTGTGATCTGAAGCTCAGGCTTAAAGTTGTTTACTGTTGAGTATATTCAAGCATCATTGCATTTTCTTCTCTCTTTAATATGTTACTGGCAGTCGGATGGCTTAAAGCATCTCTGTCCAAATGGAATCTTTTTTTGCTTTGTTCTCCCTTCCCTCTGCCTCAGACACATGGCCACCTGGCATATGCTGTGTGTTCTCTGTGCAGAGACTGCCAGCAAGCAAACAAAGCCCTTGTGGACTCGCATGGGCAGAGCAGCCACGGTGGCTGTGAATTCAGTCAAACCACTGGTCATTCGGTCACACATTCAGATCAAATGGTTTCTTTGACTGAATTAACTGTAGGAACAGTAGATCCTGTCATGTATAGACACAGAAAAGAAGGGTAGTAATTCACAAGTTTCCTTTCAATGCCCCACATCGCAGAAAGACAATTCCTTGACAACTTTGATATTTTAAAAATTCAAATTAGATAATTATTGGCCTAATGCTATCCAATTACTTTAGAATTTACAGAGAAAACGGGGAGGAAACCATAATTGTTGGTAGTTCCTATATTTCCTTAGAAATATCAAGGATTTTTAGAAGCTTTGTAATAACCTATTCTAGACATAACAAGGAAGTATTCAAGATTAGTATATCCCGGGAGGTAATTTCTCTATATATTTAAATTATAATGAAAACCATTAGGAAAGAAAAAAGAAAAAAATGTGCAAATAAAAGTAGCTAACAGAATTTTTGTAAAGTGGCAGCCAAAGTATTTTTGTATTCCTTTTTCTCAAGGTGATACTTTATACAGCACAGTTTATTTTCCACAGAGAAAACGTAATAAAGAGGGCATAAAAGATTCAGTGTCTTAATTCCCTTGGTTTTCTAAATTTACATTTCATCATTTGAACGACAAACAGTATTTTGGGGGGAACTTTAAATACACAATTGTTGCTATTTTTGCCAAGAATAATTTGTTGGCAAACATGGTATGGCTCACTATGTTTAGCATAAAACGGTGTATGTACTGTTACAATAAGAGAGTTCTTCCTCAAGCTGACATTTTTTTTTTCCATGTGCATTAAGATTAAACAGCAGGGGCCACTGAACTATAAGAACCCATTGAGCTATATGTTATGTAGTCCCAGGTCTTCAAAAGGCACAGTGTACAGATTTGATTGTTGACTACCCTTCATAAGATAAACCAAAGACTGGTAAACTTAACATAAGCCATAGTCTTATTAACTATTCAACTGTAGTTAGATCCATTCAAAATTTGTTGATTAACTCAAATAAACCACACCCTCAACTGAGTGGTAGAGTTTCAGAACAGATAATGAAGGGCCCCATTTTCAGTAAACTTATCTGGCTTATACAAGGGAAGCAAATTAATGGTACAAGGTAATAGAGAGGAGGTGCTCAATCAATGGGTTATTTGACTGATATCTCTCTCCCTTGTCTTTCCCCTTTTCCTTACCTATTTCCTCTATCCAGGTACCAAATTATGTAGATTATGTCTCCTAAAATTTTATATACTCTGAATTTCAATTATCCAAATTCAGATTGTCAAAATCATTCTTCTACACTGTCTGTATTCTATTTAATTGTTTGGCCTTAATTTGCCAGGATATCAATGTCAATGTCTATAACTGTATTTATATAAAAACTATAGCAGAATCCTCTATTTATCTTTTAATATATCCATATTTCCTAGAGAAAAATAATTGTATGTGGACTTCCATATTTTCCCAAGCTAACTTTTCTACTTAATTTATTATAGTTCCCTTGCCTGATACAATGTGTGTGTGAAGACAATTTTTCAATATATTTATACTTTATTTCTTAGAGATAAAATATGAATTTTATACTTTTTAACTGGATATTCATGACCTCCAAGAATCTATTCTCTAAGGTAACTTTTCTACCTTATTTATTATAATTTTTTTCTTGCCCTTATTCTCTATTCAAACCAGTTCCTCATACACAGCAAATATTTTTTTCAACTTTCTGTTACCAGTCATGCAATTCCCCAAGCTAAATTTTTCTCCCTTCCATTTTTGTGTTTGCAAATTCTTTGCATTCTTCTATGATTGGCTCAAGTGCAACATACACCATAAAGCTTTTCCTGTTTTTCTCATCTTTATATACTCTCTCTTAACTCATATCTAACTATTATTAGGGATATGGCATTTTCCACGTTCTGACTTGTCTTATTACTTTATAATTGTATTTTTAATTGAATAGTTATTGAGTATTTACTGTGTGTTCAGTATTGCACTAAGAACTGGGGATATGAACACGAAAAAAAATTCATATTGTCTCTACCATCAAGAAGTTCACAAATTCGTGGTGAGACAGACATGATAATAAATACAATGTCATGTTGAAAGGTAGTGAAAGCATAGGACAACTGATACTATTATGTAGATAAAATGCTATATAATTATTGAGGCATTATGAAATATATTACAGGAAAAAGATGCTTGGACTGAGAATGAAGGGTGAATGAGTTCACAGTGAACCACACAGGGTATACAGTGGGATGGCACAAGACATTCCAGACGAACGGACACAGGCGATGGCATGTGCTTAAATACATGTTTGAGGATAACTAAGTAGCTCAGAGTAGCTGGAACTTGCATGGCATGGAGGGAAGTGATGAGGACTAAGATGGGAGAGACAGTCAGGAGTCAGATGGCAAAGACCTTACTTTCCAAATGAGAGTTTGGAGCTTAGCTTGTAGGTTATCAGTACGGAATGTGATCAGATGTTTATATTAGAAATGTCATCTCGAAGAAGCTGTGGAATGAGGGGAACCAGTCAGACAATTATTGAGGGGAAAGGGAATGAGATTGATTTCTCATCTAAAACTTGGGTAGCAGGGATAGAAAGGTAATGGCAGAAGAAGGAGTTAGCAAGGTTGCTAGGTGTCTGTCTCTGAGGGGAGTGGGTAACATTACTAAAACAGGGCATGTATGAGAAGGCATAGGTTTGGTACCAGTGGAATTGGGTGAGTTTAGTTTTCACCATTTATCCAGGTGTTTGTGTAAATTCATTACTTCCATTCATAAGCTAATAGGTCCTTCAGGACAAAATTTGTAGTTTTTTTTTCTATATATTTACACTGCACAAAATCCAGAGTCTTGCACCTGAAGTTGAATGACGAATGAGTAGACTTGGTAAAAAAGTTATGTAGGTCTCAAAAACTATTCTTGTCGGCTTTTTTTTTTTTCTTGGGTTTTTTTTTTTGGTGGTTGGTTTTTTTTTTTTTTTGAAAAGGAATCTTGCTCTGTTGCCTCTGGAGGAGCTGGGAATAAAGGCACCCGCCACCACACCCGGGAAAATTTTTTTTTTTTTTTTTTTTTTTTTTTTTTTTTAAGGAGAGATGGGGTTTCACCATATTAGCCAGGATGCTCTCAATCTCCTGACCTCATAATCCACCTGCCTCGGCCTCCCAAAGTGCTGAGATTACAGGCATGAGCCACCGCACCCAATCTTGTCTGCTTGTTTTACGGGACCTCAAGTCCAAAACAAATCACCTCTCCAACTTCAGAGGCAAAAAGAGTTAAAGGATGTATTCTCTTCTGCCTTAGAGTTTTTTTATGAACTTGGTGGCTGGCATGATGATATTCCAGACAAGCTGTGTTCTCTTTCTGACAATATGAAATCCCCAGAAGGCTTTTGCTAACTTAGGTGTCCTGTGAAATAAAAACAGCTGTTGGTGATCTGCAATGATTTTGCTAAGCTGGTTCATTAATTTTGGAATCCAAGATCCCAGGAAATATCGAGTGGTTTTAAGTGATAACAAATAGTAATGTAGCAATATCTCAAAGGTTATATCACCTCTGAAAACACCAGGGTACCTAAGTTTAAATTCAAAATGCTTTGAAAATATACATCATAATGATTTCCCACATTAAAGAAAATTGACAAAACCAGAAAATTTTTTATTGAGATAATACTACAGCATCTTAGAAATGGAAAACAGGGAGTCAGTAGGAGTAGAACAAGCACAATATGTATTTTTAGTTTGAGGTCCTCTTGGACCAATGTCATGATTAATTTATGAATCTAATATATTTAATATTTTTAAACTCTTAGATTTTCTTGTGTTTGTTTCTGGTCTTCTTTGAAAAACGACTGATTTCACTTCTCATATCAACTCCTACCCAATTTTAATAGCACTGTAAAATAGCATTTTATTTTCAGTTATTTCTCAGGAGTGAAAGCAATAGTTTTGGAACTGGTGGGATTTCAGTTTCCCAAAAACAACTAATCCAAATTGTAATATTGTAAAGCATTTTTCTACAAGGCTACTAATCCAAATAATGATATTTTCAGTTCAATTTTATGACTTTTGAAAGACGAAAGCAAGAGAAAATATATATGTAATTAAGGAAATGGAGGCACTTTTTTTTAGTCAGTGAAAATCTTATATAATTTGAGAGAAGAAACAATAATTTGTTAAAGCATTACTGTAGTATTGCATTTGGGGGATTGCTTTTAATAATATTATACTACATTATTATAGTTGGATATAATTGTAATAGGTTTTACAAAGGAATAATGTGGTCATTTAACACAATAAAAAGAGTAGAGAAGATACATATAAAATAACATTCAGATACACTTTATGTATCATTGATGTGCTTCATGCAAACACAAATTCTGTAATAGAAAATTAATCAAGAAGTAAGACCAGTTTTGAATCAAGGATGTCAAAACAGGTGATATCCATGATGATTGAGGATAATTAGGACAGAATTCCTCTGAGTAGAGCCACCCAAACTTCTCTTGGCTCACATAATAAAGCAGCTGTTTCAGACCTACAAAAAAATGAGATGGAGTTTTATTGCCCTAACTGAATCTTGTTTGTATTTACATGATCCTTCTCTGACTGAAAAAAAAAAAAGTTCAGTTCTGCCAGTCTGATTTTAGTGGTTTATACAGCTTCATAGGAGATACTGACTTTAAAAAAATCACAAAACACATACTTTCATGTGTAGGGAACAAGGATGATGTCATCATATAGAATTGGGACTATGTGAGACCATTTATTTAAGGAATGCTGATTCTGACTGCAGTGCAAGATATGAAAGAAATCTATCATTTCTTAGATGAGAAAAATTGTGGTTTCCAGAAAGTTCCTGTGGAAAACAAAAAGTACACTTAGATTAATGAAAGAAGAAATGTAGTAAGACACTACTAAAATGGCACACCAGCTAGGCATATTCCATGTGTCCAGAGGATGTATGGAGATTGCACTGAATGTTGCAATCTTACTCTCCACAGCTTCATTCAACCTGCGTTTTGAGACAAAGAGGCACAGTCATCCTTCCCTTCTTGTTAAGGGAAATATCTGGGTATCAAATCCTCCTTGGATAGGAGAGCAAAAAATACCACTGTTATATTTTTGATTGTGCAAATATTTTCACTGTATAAATGTAGGTTCTCAGACCTGGGACATTGATTCACTTTGGAAAAGGCTGCTAACATAATGGACAGAAAAACTTTGCCTACTTTGCCTATTTTCTTCATTTGTTCATTTATATTAATGAGGGGGAATTTAGAATTCTTCGTCATCTAAGAGGGCTACATCTGCCCTGCCGCCTCATCTGTTTCCTCATGTCATGGGCCAGTCAAAATAGAACCATATTAGAGCACATACGTGTACACAGTGCTGTAGTGTGTGTGGAAGTTACTGAGGAAGTAAGTGGTATCTTACTTTCTATAAGATGCAGAGATAGGACACAGAATGTAGGCACATAACTGTAAGATTAACATAAGTCATGTTAATCATGAATTGCTAGACAACAGGGGGAAGAAATATTTCACTCTCAGCTTTAATTGAGCTTAATCTTACAATGAACAGAAAATTTCCTGGGGTTTACCCAAATTCCATATTGTAATCTATACATGAAGAAAAGGTAATTTTTGTAGATTTATATTAAATGCATATGTTAAAATATGTTCATGATTTTATTACTATTTCTATGATGTCTAAAATCACAGTTCAGGCCAGGTGCAGTGACTCACCCCTGTAATCCAGCACTTTGGGAGGCTGAGGCAGGCAGATCACTGGAGGTCAGGAGTTCAAGACCAGCCTGGCCAAAATGGTGAAACCCCGTCTCTACTAAAACTACTATATATATATATGTATGCCAGTAGTGGTGGCACATGCATGTAATCCTAGCTATTTGGGAGGCTGAGGCAGGAGAATCTCTTGAACCCAGAAGTGGAGGTTGCAGTGAGCCAAGTTCACACCACGGCACTTCAGTCTGGGCGGCAGAGCGAGATTCTGTCTCAAACAAAACAAAACAAAACAAAAAACAGATAAAACAATGGTTCAATGTAAGTCTTTTAGGGAATTTTCCTGTCATCATTTGTTTTGAATGCCTTTGAAAGCATGCTGTTTCTTGAGTTTCCTAATATTTATCCTTTACATGACTTGAATTATATAATTTTAGGATTGGGAAAACAGTTATTCATTATTCCTGTGTTTCAGGAAAGCAGAGGACGGAAGTGCCGATAAAAAGATGGAATAATGGCTGGACTCCAGAGCTATTTTCCTGGGCCACAGTTTGGTGAACACTGTATTAAATCATAGACCCACCGAATATTAAAGGAGGAAGAAACTTGAAGATTGCCTAATCCAACCCCATCATTTTTACAGATGAGGGAACTAAGCTCAGGGGATTAAGTGGCTCATCTACAGTCACAAGCAAGTTAGTAACTGAATCTGAACCAAAACCCGAATATTCTGTTTAATGGTTTAATTTATTTCCCAAAATCATGCTCTCCCTCTAAATAGTATTTTTTAATTTTTTGTAAAGCCACTATACTCACACGGTTAAAAGTTTATAAAAGGTAGACAGCAAAAGGTTTACTTACTTTAGATCAAAAATTATAAAATGCAGCCAATCATCTTGTGATTTCAGGCAGAATGGAAGGTTGAACAAGATGGTTCTAGAATGTCAGAAGCATGTTTTGGTTGCTTTTGGTTATGTATGAGAAGGTATTACAAAAAAAAAAAAGTGAGCTCAGAAAAGTGACGGTCATTTCAATGTTAAGAGGGAAGAAGCATTATGTGTTTCCACTTGGTCTCTTGAGCCTCTATCATCAGCATAAAATCACGCCTGGTTAGCTAGTTTCTATCTCCAAAAGAGTTACAGCCACATAAAGAAGACTTGGAGCCACAGACTTGCCTCCTGAGGCAGAGCTGCCTCAGCCAAACCGCAGATTCTTGAAAATTAGTTATGGTTTTAACTCCTGATTTTGTGCATTATTCTAACAATTAGGTAAAATATAAATGTGTAACATTGCAAATATATATTCTCTGTATTTGTATTTTATTGGTCAACTGTAAATGACCTTCTTTGACTCCAAGATGAGACAATCAGAAAATTATTCTTCTTTCAGTCTTTTCCTACCTTCTCTTTCCTACTTTTTCTCTTATTATTTCTTCATTGTCAGAGAATATACCTTTGCCTTCTCTCACTTAACCATAATTGTCACATTTATTTTACAGTCAAACATATTCAAAGTTTTCTGCCAGTTCTTTTGTCATGTTTTTATCAATCTTTCCTAATGAGCTGAAGTCTCTTCCTCTAGTGTTTGTCTTAAGATGGTCTCTTGGGAATAAAATTCCCAGTTTCTTGCATATTTAAAACAATGATCTGTAACTTTATACTTGAGTATCGCTCGTCTGCATACAAAATCCTGGGTTCATGCTTCCTATCCTTAAGTATCTTTTAGATGTTGTTCCACTGACTTCTGGTGTTGACAATTTCCATAGAGAAATCTGAGGCTAGACTTATTTGCTTCCCCCCTACAACTGTCTTAATATTTTGCCTGTCTATCTTTAATGTCCAACATTTTTGATAGACTATGTCTTGGCCTGCTCTAGGTCAGTTTTCTATACCAGAAGGTGATCCTTTTTCTTATGAAAAGTCAAGTCTGTTCTTCTTTCATGAATTTTTTTTTTGGTGGCAAAATACACATAACATAAAGTTTACCACTTTAATCTTTTTTCAGTATACAGTTCAGTGACATTAAGTACCTTCACATTGTTGTGCAATCATCAGTAGCATCTGTCTGAAGAATTTGTCATCTTCCCAAACTGAAACTCCATACCCACTAAACAATAACTCTTCATTTCCTCTTCCCCACAGCGCCTGGCAACCACCATCCACCATTTTACTTTCTATGAATTTGATTCTTTTATTCCACATAAGTGTAATCGTACCATATTTGTTCATTTGTGATTGTCCATGAATTTTTTAAAAATTATACCTTTCTATATAGTTTTCCATTATTTGGTTTTCTTATTTCGCTTCCTTCAACAGGGACTCCAATTATGCCTATACTACCTAATTTAAATAGCTAACATTTTAAGTTATTTTTGTCTTTTTCTTTCATATTTTAGTTTTCTATTCTCCATCTCACTATATTTTTTATAGCAACAATTTTTCTTTGTGGTCTTCTTTCCCTATATTTTTGCAAAAATTCATATTATCTACTTTTTTTTTCTGAGATAAGACAGATCAAAACTCAGCTCACATCTTCCTCGACATCTCTTGCCTGAGTTCTCTATTTGTGTTTCCAGTCTAACGCCATGAAGGCTGTTGTTTAATGAGGTTGTTTTTCTCAATATATGCTGAGATATTTGTCCCTAACTATCACAGGCACCATGACAATGTTTTGACTCTGTGGTGCGCATTGTGCTTCATTTTGTGTACTATCAGTGTATGGATGCAGTTCCAGTCCCTTTCATATTACTCATCACTGAATGAGTTGAAATTTTCCTGGGCAAGCTATTTGCAGGAGGTTTCTTTAGGGTTAGATATTCCAGAGGATCTTCTAGATTTCAAAGTCCAAATTTTCTTTCCTCTGCTGACAAATATATCTCTCGATTGTTTGTTGCTTTGTTGCTAAAATGTCTCTTCTGGGAGAGTTTTGTGTAACCCTCTCACCTGTGTTCTCTTCATCCAAATGACTTTGGATAGGGATGGGGGCAGACTTGTCATCAGCACTGCTCAGACCAGTTCCCACTTCCATTAATGCAAAAAAAAAGAGATATAATTTCACAATTCACAGTGAGCCACACTCACCTTCAGGAAATATACTTTTGCTGATGCTTTCTGAAATATGCTGCCACTGATCAATTTTATAACTCTCATATTATTTCCTGCAATTTCTTATATTTAACTCTTCAATTCTGCGTTCTAGTTTTCCTGAAAATGCAGTTAGAGAGGTCTTTATTATCATTGCAACTTTTGCATGATTTCTAGCAGAGGAAAAAGAAAGATGCTGACTTATGAAGGGAAATTCCCTTAATAGTTTCTTATCTGAGCTCCAAAAAGTAATATAGTTTCGAAGTGGGAAATAAATAATGCTCATGTTGTATTATACACTATTTGAGGTTAGGTTCTATGACATTATAAGCAGTGTGCTTCATGCATCACTTCTTATATTATCATCTTTTTATTTATCCTTGTATCCCACAGAGTGCTTAGAACAGTATCTGTTGCATAAGAAAAGCTTAACCAACGTTTGCTGGAATCTTGATGAATGAATATTGGATATTATATATCCAAACAATGGTGCAATTATTTTTTGCTCATCTTAGACAAGCTGTGAGAAATTCTCTACCTGCCCAAGAATCTTTTGCCTATTCCATTAACTCTACCTAATGAGTTAACACTTTACTCAGTTATTTCTACATGATTATTGTTTAAATTGTAGGACAATGATTTTAAATATGACTGTTGATAGAGTATACATTTTGACAGTAGTGCTGATATATAAGATGCTCCTATGGACTCTCTCATCATATACAGTAGTTTGATATGTAGGATAAACAAAACAATGGTATAGGAAATGTTTTATATTTGGATGGGAGTAGCATAATCATTTATTTGAACATTTAAATTTATCTTTTCCCTTTTACCTATGTCAATAGTTTATAGCAATTCACATCATGGAAATGAGTTGATCAATAAAGAATTGAAACTCTTTGATATTTTCTTAGTAGAGGACAGAGTATGACCTTTTAATAGACTTTTCTCCAGCAGTAGAATGGCTGTTTATTTTAATTTTTTAGCCTTGTTGCTCTATCTTTGTGTAACATTCAAACTGACATGATATTACAGAGGCAATTTGTGTAATTACGAAGAGTTTTCTAATCTCTGGATTTATACTGATAGGTAATCTTCTCAAGATAAAATAAAAGCCCTTAGTTAGTACGCTGGCTAAGAAGATGTCAGTTTTCAATTACAATCCAGTATAGAGTAACCCTACTGAGCATGAATACTGAATTTTGTGTTAATTATCCTAATTTAATTGCTTTTTTATTAATCTTAATACTTAACAAATGGGATCATATCTGCAATGAATTTTTTAAGAAGCTTTGCAGAGGCTTATCATTACTCACCGCCTGAATTTCACTGTAAATATATGAAACACAAAAGTGTGTTACATTCTTCATCTTCATATTAAAAAAAATTTAATTCCCATTTTTTAAGAATAAAAATGTTTATTGGTGAACATTAAAAACATCAATTCTTAAATATGATGTAACTGTTTATATTTGACACTGTAAATGTTCTAATAACAATAAATATTAAGACATTATTTGGGCCGGGAGTGGTGGCTCACGCCTGTAATCTCAGCACTTTGGGGGGCCGAGGCGGGTAGATCACGAGGTCAGGGGATCAAGACCATCCAGGCAAACACGGTGAAACCCCATCTCTACTAAATATACAAAAAATTAGGCCGGCGTGGTGGCAGGCGCCTGTATTCCCAGCTACTCGGGAGGCTGAGGTAGCAGAATGGCGTGAACCCCAGAGGTGGAACTTGCAGTGAGCAGAGATCGCACCACTGCCCTCCAGCCTGGGTGACGGAGTGAGATTTCGTCTCAAAACCAAAACAAAACAAAACAAAACAAAACAAAAGACATTATTTGATTTATCTTCATGTAAGAAAAAATGTAGTATTTTCTCTCTCATACCCCATTTTGTCATGTGGAAAATATATATATGTGCATATATATATATTATATATATATATACACACACACACACACACACTTACCTATATCATGTATACCTATATCTATATCTTATCTTATATATCTCTGTAGCTGTACCTATCTATACCTTACATGAGCTCAAAAAGTAATATAAAGTTTCAAATTGGGAAGTAAGTAGCCCACATGTTTTAACAGAAACTATTAGAGGACATGTCCCATGACTTATTTTATATTTGTGTTCTACAAAATGCTTACCATAATATGTGTGTATGTATATTTAAATTTAGTATTGATTGAAACTGTTCAAAATTGAAAACTGGGAGAATTGAAGTAAGGCTATAAATCTATATTAATATTATTAGGAACATGCTTTTTTAATTTTTGTGGATATGTAGTAGGTATATATATTTATGGGGTACATAAGATATTTTGATACAGGCATACAGTGCATAACCATCACATCAGGGTAAATGGAGTGTTCATTCCCTCAAGCATTTATCCTTTCTTTGTGTTACAAACAATTCAATTATATTTTCCGTTATTTTTTAAATGTCTGTTAAATTATTGCTGACTGTAGTCACCCTGTAGTGCTATCAAATACTAGATCTTATTCACTCCATCGAACTATGTTTCGTACCCATTAACCATTCCCCCTTGCCCCTCCCTGCTGCTACCCTCCCAGCCTCTGGTAACCATCGCTGTCTTATCTCTGTGAGTTCAATTGTTTTAATTTTTAGCTCCCACAATAAGTTAGAACATGCTAAGTTTTTCTTTCTGTGCCTGTCTTATTTCACATCATATAATAACCTTCAGTTCTACCCATGTTGCTGCAAATGATAGGATCTCATTCTTTTTTTTGGCTGAATAGTACTCCATTGTGCATACGTGTATTTTCTTTCTTCATTCATATGTTGATGGGCACTTATGTTGCTTCCAAATCTTGGCTATTGTGAGTAGTGCTGCGATAAATGTGGGACTGCAATCGCTTCAATGTACTGATTTCCATTCTTTTGGGTATAAAATCCCCACCCACCGGCGGGATTGCTGGGTCATATGGTAATTCTATTTTTAGTTTTTTGAGGAACCTCCAAACTGTTTTCCATAGTGGCTATACTAATTTACATTCCCACCAACCCAACAGTGTATATGGGTTCCCTTTCTCTACATCCTTGCCGGCATTCGTTATTGCCTGTCTTTTGGATATTAGCCATTTTAACTGCTGTGAGATGATATCTCATTGTAGTTTTAATTTGAATTTCTCTGATAAGCAATGATGTTGAGCACCTTTTTATATATGTTTTCCATTTGCATGTCTTTTTTGAGAAATGTCTATTTACATCTTTTGCCCATTCTAAAATCAAATATTTTTCCCTATAGAGTTGTTTAAGCCACTTATATATTCTAATAATTAATCCCTTGTTAAATGGATAATTTGTAAATATTTTCTCCCATTCTGTGGGCAGTCTGTCCATTTTGTAGACTGGTTTCTTTGCTGTGCAGAAGCTTTTTAACTTGATGTGATCCCATTTGTCCATTTTTGCTTTGGTCGCCTGTGCTTATGGAATATAACTCAAGAAATCATTGCTCAGTCCAGTGTCCCAGAGAGTTTCCCCAATAATTTTTTGTAGGAGTTTCACAGTTTGAGATTTTATAGTTAAGTTTTTAATTCAGTTTGATTTGATTTTTTGTAAATGGTAAAATTTTTTTTTGCATAAAAATATTGTTTTCCCGGCACCTTTTATTGAAGATATTGTCCTTTTTCCAATGTATGTTTTTGGCACCTTTGTTGAAAATGAGTTTACTGTAGAAGTAAGGATCTGTTTCTCGGCAATTTATTGTGATCCATTGAAGTATGTGTTTGTTTTTATACCAGTGCCATGCTGTTTGGGTTACTATAGCTCCACAGTATTATTTGAGGTAAGGTAAAGGGATTCCTCCATTTTTTTTTTTTTTTTTTTTTTTTTTGCTTAGGATAGCTTAGGCTATTTTGGGTCTTTTGTGGTTCCATATAAATTTTAGGATATTCTTTTTCTATTTCCTTGAAAAACTATTAGTATTTTGATAGGTATTGCAGTGAATCAGTAGATTACTTTAGGTAATGTGGAGATTTTAACAACATTGATTCTTCCAATCCATCAACATGAACATGGAATATCTTTCCATTTTTTTGGTGTCCTCTTCAAGTTCTTTTATCAGTGTTTTATAGTTTTCATTATAGAGATCTTTCACCTTTTTAGTTAATTCCTAGGTATTTAATTTTTTTGTAGTTGTTGTAAATAGGAATACCTTCTTGATTTCTTTTTTAAAATGTTTGCTGTTGGCATATAAAAATGCTACTGAATTTTGTATGTCGATTTTGTATACTGCAACTTTATGAATTTGTTTATCAATTCTAATATTTTTTGGTGGAGTCTTTTCGTTTTTTTAAATATAAGATTATATCATCTGCAAACAGAGATAATTTGACTTCTTCCTTTCCAATTTGGATGTCCTTTATTTATTTCTCTTGTTTGATTTCTCTAGCTAGGACTTCCAGTAGTATTATGCTGAATAACAGTGGTGAGAGTGGAGAATCTTGTCATGTTCCAGATCTTAGAGGAAAGGCTTTGTTTTTCTCCATTCAGTACAATACTAGCTGTGGGTCTGTCACATGTGGCTTTTATTGTGTTGAGGTATGTTCCTTCTGTATCCAGTGTTTTGAGGGTTTTTATCATGAAAGGATGTTGAATTTTATCAAATGCTTTTTTTGGCAACAATGAAAATGATCATATGGTTTTTGTCCTTCATTCTGTTAATATGATGCATCGTATCGATTGATTTGTGAATGTTGAAACTTCCTTGCATCCCAGGGATAAATCTCACTAGGTCAGGACAAATGATCTTTTTAATGTGTTATTGAATTTGGTTTGCTATTTATTTTGTTGAGGATTTATGTATCCATGTTCATCAGGGATACTGGCCTGTGGTTTTATTTTTTCGATGTATCTTTGTCTGGTTTTGGTATCAGGTTAACACTGGTCTTACAGAATGAGTTTGGAAGTATGCCCTCCTCCTCTCTTGTTTGGAATACTTTTGAGTAGGATGGGTATTAGTTCTTCTTTAAATGTTTGGCAAAATTCAACAGTGAAGCCATAAGGTCTTTGGCTTTTCTTTGCTGGGAGACTTTTTATTACGGCTTTGATCTCGTTACTTGTTATTCATACATTGAGGTTTTGAATTTTTTTTCTTTATTTTTTTTTTTGAGACAGGATCTTACTCCATCACCCAGGCTGGAGTGCAGTGGTATGATCATGGCTCACTGCAGCCTCAACCTCTCATGCTAAAGTGATCCTCCCACCTCAACCTTTTGAGTAGCTGAGACCACCATAGGTGCATGCCACCAGGCCCAGCTAATTTTTTTATTTTTATTTTTTATAGAGACAGGGTCTTTCCATGTGGCCCAGACTGATCTCATGCTCTTGTGCTCAAGCAATTTCTCCTGCCTTGACCTTCTGAGGTGTTAGGATTATAGGAATAAGCCACCATGCCAGGTCTGAATTTCTTCTTGGTTCATTAGGATCATTATTGATTACTGTGGTAGTCAGCCTCTAAAATGGCCTCCAATAATTTCTGCCGCAGATATTCTGATCCTTATATAATCTCCCCTTGAGTGGGCTGAGCTTACAGATTCATTTTTAATGACTAGAATACTGCAGAGGTGATGGGATGGCACGTCCATGATACGATTTTAAGGAGGCTGTACCTTCCTTCTGCAGTGTCTCTTTCTCTCATTACTCATGCTGGGGGAAGCAAGCTGCCATGTCGTTAGCAGCCCTGTGGAAAGCCCCCTGTAGCATAGTGAATAATAAGTGCCTCAATTCAACAGGCTTCAAGGAACTAAAGCTGTCTGATTACCACTCAAAGAGCTTGGAAACAGATCTTTGAGCCCCAGTTGAGTTTTGAGATGTGACCTGCAGCTTGCTGACAACCTCCTGATAGACTTTGAGCCTCAGGCTCCCATTTAAGTTGTGCCCAGATTCCTGGGCCATGCAAACTATGAGATAACAAATGTTCCTTGTTTAAACTCACTACATTTTGGGAGTAATTTGTTATGCATCAGTAGATAACTAATATAATTACCAATAACCTAATCTCACTAAATCAGGGAATTCTTCTGACATAAATTTCTTTTTTTTATGTGCATATTTGCCATTCTTTTTTTTATTATTATACTTTAAGTTTTAGGGTACATGTGCACAATGTGCAGGTTAGTTACATATGTATACATGTGCCATGCTGGTGTGCTGCACCCATTAACTCGTCATTTAGCATTAGGTATATCTCCTAATGCTATCCCTCCCCCCTCCCCCCACCCCACAACAGGCCCTGCTGTGTGATGGTCCCCTTCCTGTGTCCATGTGTTCTCATTGTTCAATTCCCATCTATGAGTGAGAACATGCAGTGTTTGGTTTTTTGTCCTTGCGATAGTTTATTGAGAATGATGGTTTCCAATTTCATCCATGTCCCTACAAAGGACATGAACTCATCATTTTTTATGGCTGCATAGTATTCCATGGTGTATATGTGCCACATTTTCTTAATCCAGTCTATCATTGTTGGACATTTGGGTTGGTTCCAAGTCTTTGCTATTGTGAATAGTGCCGCAATAAACATACGTGTGCATGTGTCTTTATAGCAGCATGATTTATAGTCCTTTGGGTATATACCCAGTAATGGGATGGCTGGCTCAAATGGTATTTCTAGTTCTAGATCCCAGAGGAATCCCCATACTGACTTCCACAATGGTTGAACTAGTTTACAGTCCCACCAACAGTGCAAAAGTGTTCCTATTTCTCCACATCCTCTCCAGCACCTGTTGTTTCCTGACTTTTTAATGATCACCATTCTAACTGGTGTGAGATGGTATTTCATTGTGGTTTTGATTTGCATTTCTCTGATGGCCAGTGATGATGAGCATTTTTTCATGTGTCTTTTGGCTGCATAAATGTCTTCTTTTGAGAAGTGTCTGTTCATATCCTTTGCCCACTTTTTGATGGGGTTGTTTGTTTTTTTCTTGTAAATTTGTTTGAGTTCATTGTAGATTCTGGATATTAGCCCTTTGTCAGATGAGTAGGTTGTGAAAATTTTCTCCCATTTTGTAGGTTGCCTGTTCACTCTGATGGTAGTTTCTTTTGCTGTGCAGAAGCTCTTGAGTTCAATTAGATCCCATTTGTCAATTTTGTCTTTTGTTTCCATTGCTTTTGGTGTTTTAGACATGAAGTCCTTGCCCATGCCTATGTCCTGCATGGTAATGCCTAGGTTTTCTTCGAGGGTTTTTATGGTTTTAGGTCTAATGTTTAAGTCTTTAATCCATCTTGAATTAATTTTTGTATAAGGTGTAAGGAAGGGATCCAGTTTCAGCTTTCTACATATGGCTAGGCAGTTTTCCCAGCACCATTTATTAAATAGGGAATCCTTTCCCCATTTCCTGTTTTTCTCAGGTTTGTCAAAGATCAGATAGTTGTAGATATGCGGTGTTATTTCTGAGAGCTCTGTTCTGTTCCATTGATCTATATCTCTGTTTTGGTACCAGTACCATGCTGTTTTGGTTACTGTAGCCTTGTAGTATAGTTTGAACTCAGGTAGCGTGATGCCTCCACCTTTGTTCTTTTGGCTTAGGATTGACTTGGCGATGCAGGCTCTTTTTTGGCTCCATATGAACTTTAAAGTAGTTTTTTCCAATTCTGTGAAGAAAGTGATTGGTAGCTTGATGGGGATGGCATTGAATCTATAAATCATCTTGGGCAGTATGGCCATTTTCACGATATTGATTCTTCCTACCCATGAGCATGGAATGTTCTTCCATTTGTTTGTATCCTCTTTTATTTCATTGAGCAGTGGTTTGTAGTTCTCCTTGAAGAGGTCCTTCACATCCCTTGTAAGTTGGATTCCTAAGTATTTTATTCTCTTTGAAGCAATTGTGAATGGGAGTTCACTCATGATTTGGCTCTCTGTTTGTCTGTTATTGGTGTATAAGAATGCTTGTGATTTTTGTACATTGATTTTGTATCCTGAGACTGCTGAAGTTGCTTATCAGCTTAAGGAGATTTTGGCCTGAGACAATGGGGTTTTCTAGATATACAATCATGTTGTCTGCAAACAGGGACAATTTGACTTCCTCTTTTCCTAATTGAATACCCTTTATTTCCTTCTCCTGCCTAATTGCCCTGGCCAGAACTTCCAACACTATGTTGAATAAGAGTGGTAAGAGAGGGCATCCCTGTGTTGTGCCAGTTTTCAAAGGGAATGCTTCTAGTTTTTGCCCATTCAGTATGATATTGGCTGTGGGTTTGTCATAGATAGCTCTTATTATTTTGAGATACATCCCATCAATACCTAATTTATTGAGAGTTTTTAGCCTGAAGGGTTGTTGAATTTTGTCAAAGGCCTTTTCTGCATCTATTGAGATAATCATGTGGTTTTTGTCTTTGGTTCTGTTTCTATGCTGGATTACATTTATTGATTTGCGTATATTGAACCAGCCTTGCATCCCAGGGATGAAGCCCACTTGATCATGGTGCATAAACTTTTTGATGTGCTGCTGGATTTGGTTTGCCAGTATTTTGTTGAGGATTTTTGCATCAATGTTCATCAAGGATATTGGTCTAAAATTCTCTTTTTTGGTTGTGTCTCTGCCCAGCTTTGGTATCAGGATGATGCTGGCCTCATAAAATGAGTTAGGGAGGATTCCCTCTTTTTCTATGGATTGGAATAGTTTCAGAAGGAATGGTACCAGTTCCTCCTTGTACCTCTGGTAGAATTCGGCTGTGAGTCCATCTGGTCCTGGACTCTTTTTGGTTGGTAAACTATTGATTATTGCCACAATTTCAGATCCTGTTATTGGTCTATTCAGAGATTCAACTTCTTCCTGGTTTAGTCTTGGGAGAGTGTATGTGTTGAGGAATTTATCCATTTCTTCTAGATTTTCTAGTTTATTTGCGCAGAGGTGTTTGTACTATTCTCTGATGGTAGTTTGTATTTCTGTGGGATCAGTGGTGATATCCCCTTTATCATTTTTTATTGCGTCTATTTGATTCTTCTCTCTTTTTTTCTTTATTAGTCTTGCTAGCGGTCTATCAATTTTATTGATCCTTTCAAAAAACCAGCTCCTGGATTAATTTTTTGAAGGGTTTTTTGGTCTCTATTTCCTTCAGTTCTGCTCTGATTTTAGTTATCTCTTGCCTTCTGCTAGCTTTTGAATGTGTTTGCTCTTGCTTTTCTAGTTCTTTTAATTGTGATGTTAGGGTGACAATTCTGGATCTTTCCTGCTTTCTCTTGTGGGCATTTAGTGCTATAAATTTCCCCCAACACACTGCTTTGAACGTGTCCCAGAGATTCTGGTATGTTGTGTCTTTGTTCTCGTTGATTTCAAAGAACATCTTTATTTCTGCCTTCATTTCGTTATGTACCCAGTAGTCATTCAGGAGCAGGTTGTTCAGTTTCCATGTAGTTGAGCGGATTTGAGTGAGTTTCTTAATCCTGAGTTCTAGTTTGATTGCACCGTGGTCTGAGAGATAGTTTGTTATAATTTCTTCTGACATAAATTTCTAAACTAGCTTTTCAAAGGCTAGCTTTTTAGAAACAAGTGTTTATTCACAAATATAAAATAAAATGGGATAATCTATTTCAAACATTCATAATCTTAAAATGTATTTTTAGATAAATGTTGGAAGTTAATAAAATTCAGGGGAGAACCTATCCTTTAGCACTTGATATTATTACAAGCTATTTCAGAACAACGTATATTTTTTCATTTGCTGTGAAGCTGGTATTAAAACTGTAATAATGAAAGAGTTTACTTATGGCTTCAGCTGTATCTCTTTTTATTCAGCTGCATACCCATATATACATCGCTACCTGAGTGCTTTAAAGTCATCTCAACTTATCTCGTTTATAACTAACTCCACGATTGTTTCCCAAACTCTCCCTCTTCTGCATTTCCTCTTCCTAGTGAATGGCCCCCTCATGCCTCCATTTCTGTACTCCAAAAAAAGAGAAGTATTCTATGACAGTTTCATACTTTAAGTAGGGAAGAGTTTAATATGCTGTAACAAATAGTCCCTAATTTGGTATAGGTTAAATAAATAACACAAAAGCACATATCTTTTTTACATTGTTTCTAAATAAGTGGTTTCAGGTTGTTGGAGCAGCCAGCCCTGCTACCTTCAGCACACAACGTCCACTTCTGGGTTTAAGGCAGCTGCTCCACTGCTCATCATCTCTTAGTGGAAAAGGGGAAAAGGCAGGGAATAAAACATATGATCCAAGCAGTGGCACATATTACTGCTCACATACCACTGGCCAGAATTAGTCACAAGAACACATCAACTGCAAAGAAGTTGTAATCTGAGAAATGTAATATCTAGGTGGTTGGCCATGAACCTGAATGGTCTAGCATGGTTTGGGGCTAAAATTATAGACCCTTGGGACAGACTTCTTGGGTTCAAGTCCCCGTTCTACCACTTAACAACTGTGTGATCGCGAGCAAGTTATTTTTGCTTCTCTGTGTACTAGGTCCTAAATCCTTCATATGGAAAATGTGCATAACCCCATATATTTGTAGGAAAAGTTTGTTTGTTTTGGTTTTGTTTTGTTTTGTTTTTGGCAGAGTTTCACTCTTGTTGCCCTGGCTGGAGTGTAACAGCGTGATCTCGGCTCACTGCAACCTCCGCCTCTCAGGTTCAAGCGATTCTCCTGCCTCAGCCTCTCGAGTAGCTGGGATTACAGGTATGCGCCATCATGCCTGCCTAATTTTGTATTTTTAGTAGAGAAGGGTTTCACCATGTTGCCCAGGCTGGTGTCGAACTCCTGACCTCAGGTGATCCACCTGCCTCGGCCTCCCAAAGTGCTGAGATTATAGATGTGAGCCACTGTGCCTGGCCAGGAAAGTATTTATAAAGCATTTAGAACCGTGCTTGGTATACTTAAATGTTTTTAGGTTAAAGTGAATGTTATTAAAGCAAGAGATAATGGTTATTTGTGAACAGGAAGCACTTAATTTTCAGGCCCTTTCATTTTTCATATTTAACCCATCACCAAATTTTGTTGAGTTTACCTCTTAAACTGTCTCCATGTCTCACCCTGAATCCACCCTGGAGGAAGGAAAAGGAAGGAAGGAAGGAAGGAAGGAAGGAAGGAAGGAAAGAAGGAAGGAAGGAAAGAAAGAAAACTCCACTATGAACTACAAAACTCTATATACCTAGCTCCAGACTACACTTTGGGCTTCTCAATCCCCAGGCTTTCAGCACTCTAGCCCCAAATCCCTTGTTTAAGTTTATTTTGTAGACATACTGTGCTTCCTTCATTCACAATTTCCTTACACACAGTCTTCTCTCTGCCTGAAATATACCCACCCTTCCTTTCCTCCTTTAATTGACGCCTATTCCTTTTTTTGGATTTGAATTAATTATTACGTTTTATGTCAAGTCTTAGTAACTACCTAGGTAAGGTCAGGTCCCCTTACTCTCAAAAGAATGTGATTTTTCCTAGAAAGCACATATCAAAGTTTGTGATAATGCTAATTTATTGTTGAGGGTTTTTTAAATTTTGTCTATTTTTCTATATTGTGAACTCATTAAAGGTAATAAGTAGGTCTGTTTCATTGATATTGTTCAAAACTCTATTTCTACCTCATAGCACGTGTCTGACACATAGCAGGCATTCAAGAAATACATGTGATGGAAGACATGAATACCTATGAAGAAAATTACGCTATGTTATTGATGAAAGCTAATACAAATATGCTGCTAAGAACGGATTCAGGGGTATCCGTTAGTAGGTAGAATTGGAATTATACCCTGAGACAACCTATGCATAATAATTTAAAAATGACTCAACAATAACTTTATATTCAGAAATGTGCTATGACTTTTAAAATATCTCCCCAATAAGCAACTGATTCTGAATCAGTAGAAATTATAAAACATATACACTAATAAAACAACAGAACATTTCGTTATTCTTTATTGGAAAATGTATAAACACAATCAAGGGTAGAGAGTACAATAAACCCTATACACCCATCATTGACATCAATAATCAATGCTATGGCATACTCATTTTGTCTATCTACCCACTTTCCCTGGTGAAGTTTTTTAAAACAAATTCCCAAAATAGTCATTTAATTTCTAAATATTTCAGTATATTTCTTTGAAATATCAATAGGAATATTTTCTTACACAACCACATTGACATTATCTCACTTAAGAAAATTGAACATCCAGGCAATATACAATACCTACTCCATATTCAGATTTCCTCTCTTATCTAAATTTATTTTTACAGTTGGTTTATTCAACTCAGGATCCAAATAAAGTCCACTCATTGTACTTGGTTATTATGGAAATAGTAATGTGTTTAAAAAAGTATATCTGTTCAATAACAGATCTCATAACTTATGTCTCTATACCAGATAGCTAAGAATATATAGATATTTTCACTTCATTTTAGTAATCACAAGCATGACAAAGTAAAGACAACTACAAATTTTTTGAAATGCCTCCAGTTAAGAAGTGGAAGCAGTGTCCTCTCTTCTTGAATACGCTTTGGAAAACTGAATATGGTAGAAATGATAGTGTGCCAATTTGGGGGCTCAGGACTTAAGAAACCAGAAGCTTCCAGCTTTGTTTCTTAGAAGATTCTCTTTGCAAACTCTAAGTTACCATGCAAGAAATCTGAGTATGCTGAAAGCACAATTATGGAGAGGCCACAGATAGGTGCTCTAGTTAAGAGTCCCAGCAATACCCAGTGCTGCAGTCATCCCAATCAAGACATCAGATATGCGAGTGAAGCTGTCTTGGGCCCTCCAAACAAGCCCATATGCCAGGTGAATAGCACCTGGTGGTCTTAGTCAACACCATAGGTATCAGAAGAATTGCCCAACTGAGTCACTATATTCTTGACTTCCAGACTGTGAGGTATTATACATGCTTGTTGTTTTAAGATGCAAAGTTTTGGGGTCATTTGTTAAGTAGCAATAGCTACCAAGAAATAGCTACCTAACAGAAAATATGCTTTTCTTAGAACTGCCTTGAAACTTCTGACTGTTCTTTAGTAACAGTAGGTTATCATTCCCCTACGCTCAAACTAAACATGTTTAATGGAACCCACTGATATAACCCAAGAATGTAATCATTTAGCCCTGCCATTTTTTTTACATCTGGAACAATCTCTCCCAAATCCTTAGTGTGGGGGGAGTGCATTGATAACTAGTTTAGTTAATCACATCTTTTGCCAGTAATACTATAGATTTTCCTCTCAGCTTCCAAGGTCAATAGAGCTATATTTTAAATATGCATTGGAAGAACGGCACAGAAACGCATCCAGACAAGGGTCAGAGAAAAATGGAAGAAAATAAATGAAAGCTACAGAGACATTAAATGTTTAATGGTTAGCTTCCAGGCTGCTTCATGCTACTTTAAGCCCTTATATATGCTTCAATGTTGTTCCCACTTTTAAAGTTTAACTAATTTCACCTTGTAAGCTTTTTAAATGTGTGAGGAAAAAATAAATTATTCTAAAATAATGCTTTCAAATGTTTTAAATATTTTTTCCATGAAGAGCTAGTACCAAGGGGTTAAACTAGAGATTTTTTAGGACATTTCATCCAGAAAGTGAGATTTCAAATCAAAGAGATTCTTCACAATGTCTATGTCTGTGTATTGTATTCCACTGAGAAAACACTCTGTTGCTCTTAAGCATCCTCTGATGCTCTTCCAAACAGCATTTTCAGTTTAGTATCTCTGGAAATATGAGCAAATGTCAAAATTTCCTTCCAATTATCTCTTATTAGTTTAATTTTTTGAACCAAAAAAAAAAATAAAGTGTTTCCTTGAACAACTGTGGTCAATTTCTTTCTTGTTGGCACAAAAGAACATCACATGTAATATTTCTGTGAAATAACTTCTTTGAGTCACAAATATAGTATATCGTGAGTCTTTTTCTTATAGTACTTATTCATAAGAAACTTTTTTTTTTCTTTTTCAGGTACTCTTTTCTAAATTTCCAACATCTTTTTCCCCTTTCCTTTATTTATTTGCGTTTTAAACAACTTCATTTATAAATCTGGTGACCAAGCACAGGGACTGCAGCCAAAGCACATTGTATCTGGTTCTCTTTCAAAAAGACAAGAACATATTTCTTTTTAGAGTGATCAAAGGGACAGGGCAGTTGGCAAATTTCAAAGCATGATTATGGGTTAAACATTGTCCTGTTCCCTCAATGGCCAACTGTTGAAATAATTCATTGGCTAAGAAAGTCTCAGTTACTTTTTCTGGATAAGGTTTGGGTTTTAATTATATCTGGGCAGTTAGAAAATGCAATTCTTTCCTATGGCTCACAAATAATAAATTTCAAATCTATATGTCAATGGCAGAATGAAAACATTGAAACATTTTCCAGGAACCAAATAGCTGGCATCTTGCTGATGTATCCTTAGTTAGAAACCACAGCTGAAAGCTCTGTGGTGACTCCTAACCAACAAGTGCTAACAGGTTTTTTCTCCAAATGTCCCCCATGAAAGACAGATATAGGGCACTCCGTCACTGTAAATCCCTGCTTGCCTTCTAACAAAAGCATCTGGAAAGTACCAAGATAACACCTGCAGCCAAGATTGTCACCAATCTAATTTATAGAATTGTTTTTTAAAAAAATCCTCCTAGTAAGCTTCCAAATGAGTCAGCTATATCCATCTTCAATAGGCAGGCAGCTGACTTTCTTCTTTTAGGTTTCTGGTGATATTTTACCTCCTTTTACAAATCAAGGACACATTCATGAACTAGGAGAAAAGAAAACAGTGCCCTTTATTTAATTCAACTTTAGCTGTCTTCGCTTAAAAAAAAAAAAAAAAAAAAGAGTAGAGAGTAACAGTAGATAGGCCTGGAATTGTCCTATTGAAATTGACATAGTGGTTAGATAGCATTTAACTTATTCTATATATACTAGGGAAATTTAGTATTAGTGGCATCACTAGGCATTTTGATTAAGTAGCAAAGCATACCTAGGCTTTGAAGTTATGGGAGCAGCAAAAGAAACTAGAAGAATCCATCCCCTCAATACATTTTACAACAGAGAAATCTCTACAGATGACAGTACATTGGAGAAGTTTTCATATGGTGACTAATTCACTCAGAGGTGAAAAAGTAGACGAGAACAGAGATATTAATTGCATTTAACCTGGACGTATGTCTTTGGAGTCAGAATGGCCTAGAATCAAATCCTAGTATGCCCCATGGCAGTTGTTGTTGCCTGGCTCGTTACTGAACTTCTCTAAGCCTCACTTTCTTTATCTCTCTCTAGGGGATCAAAGAACACATTTCTCAGGGTGACTGTGAATATTTTATGACTGGAGTAAAACTAATACAGAGCAATATATTTTACATGACTAACTCTGAATTTCAATAATGTAAGCTTTTATTAAAAATAAAGTTATTTAACTGAACTGGAACTGACAACACCTTAATAAAAATTTAATAGGTAAAGTAAAAACGGGAGTTTCCTTACATGGCAACATTTCCCCAAACAGAACTTTTGCTAAGCTTAAAGTGTCAAGTTATATAAAAAATATGCAGTTGGCTTACTCATACTAAAATATAAAACCAAAACTTTAAAAATATTTCAAGATGATTGAGTTTCATCTGATTGTTAATGGGGCAATGCAGCTACCATGGGGTGCTAACGTGAAGGCATAGGTAAGCTGTATCTAATTCATGCCATGGCAGATGTTTGTAATCAAACCAAACTAACTGTAACTTTCTAAATTTCCTGGATTTGCTTTAGTTGAATCAAAAAAATTCAAGACCTTGTTAAATGTGTGAAGATTGTTTGGAATGATATGAAGGAATAGCAAAGTGCAATGTAACCATGGTGTTAAAATTTGAATAAGTTATAGCTCATGTGCTTGGATCTTTTGTATATTGGTATTTAAAATTGCAAGCAATGTTGTAAACTTTTTACAGAGTGTATAAAACATTCTGCTATATGATCTCAAGGTGGATGCTATCCAATTGTCTGACATGTTTCTTTCTGATTATTCTTAGGACTAAATTTATTGCACTTTAGCTTGATAAGATTATTCAAAACAGGTATTAAATATCTGTGTGCATACATAGAAGCTCCTCTGAAGAAGTAAAATTCAACACTGGAGATGCCTATGATAAAATAATAATAACAATAACAGGAAAAGCAAAATATGAAAGAAATAGAGAATCTGATTTACAGAAATAAGTTTATTTGTATTCAGTCTGCTACTTTGCAATGGGAAGTGGCTGGAAGTATTTTTTTCAGGGAGCTAGTCACTACTAAAATAACTAACTAGTAGATATATCTGGACGTTTAAACCTAGGAATCACTCTATGTGGCTTTAGCCACCAGCCTAAAAGAAATAATATGTAGGCATTACTCAACAGTAGCATACTCTACGTATGCATTCTTATGTAATTATAATCCTTATTAGCATATTACTTTTCCCCAAAGCCAGAGTGGGATAAGAAACAGGGAAAGGGGAGGAGGATGACTAATGAACCATACAAGTTCCTTTATGATTTAGTTAAATAAAATATAATCTTACAATAAAAAAATAAAAAATTTCTAGATCTTTAGGGAAAACTGTCATTAAAACACATGGCTTAGAGTGACAATATGCAGCATGGGGGGGTGGAAAGAGAAAATCACTGAGATCAAAAAGAACATGAGAATGAATTTTAAAATCTCATTAAGAAAAAGAAAGCAAGTGACTAGAGAAAGTACAGTTCATTACTTTAAAAACTGTCACCAAATGAACATTGCTTCTAGATTTATCTTCCTGTCAATTTAGCCCCAAGATATTGGGCCATTGTATAACAGTCCCCTGAAAGCAATAGAGACATTTTTTAGAGATCAGAAAAAGAAATGAGTCTAAAGTAAATTTCTAAACATAGTAGAGATCTAATGGTGACAAGTTGGGTACCAAAAGTTTGATTTCAGCCAAAAGAAAATGAATAATTTTTTCAAAGTTTTGACTCAATAGTTAGAACCAAATAGTAATTGGCTTAACATAAAGCATATGAAATGTAGTTGTAATACAAAGAAAACATTAACAAAATGAAATGTGTATTCATTTTATTAATTTCAAAATTAGTAGGACTGTTGAACTATAAAGGTATTCTTTTATAAGATTGTATTTATAGCTGTCTTGGGAGGCCGAGGCGGGCGGATCACGAGATCAGGAGATCGAGACCATCCTGGCTAACACGGTGAAACCCCGTCTCTATTAAAAATACAAAAATTGGCCGGGCGTGGTGGCGGGCTCCTGTAGTCCCAGCTACTCAGAAGGTGAGGTAGGAGAATGGCGTGAACCCGGCAGGCGGAGCTTGCAGTGAGCCAAGTTGGTGCCACTGCACTCCAGCCTGGGTGAGTGAGCGAGACTCCGTCTCAAAAAAACAAAAACAAAAACAAAAACAAAAAAAACCCCAAATATTTATAGCTGTCTATAAAATGTAGATATAAATTCATCTGCTTCTGTGTAAATAAGGAATTTAAAATGTAGATATCAATTCATCTGCTTCTTCTTTATTCACTTGGTAAAAGTGAATAAGCAAACCAGTTCTAGAAAATGTAGAAAATCAGATTAGGAAAGAATGATCACTACATAAAACAATCATGTGGAGAAAGAGTTTAATCATGTGTAGCAAGACCAATTAGCTGTGTTAGGAAGAAGGTGACTGTATAGACTCTAATCCACTATCTTCAAAGATGAAACTCCTGAATAAACATTGTTATTACAATTCGATAATAAAAGGAACCAATTAATGAAGGAAATAATTAACCGAAGTGAATATTGTGTGCACAGCTATTGATAGATGTGGCAGTGACAAAATAAGACAGTGGGGGAAAGAACCACTGTGGATTGGAGATGGAGAGAGAAAGAAGGAGACTTCTGAATATCTGGAACATATGTCAGTGGACTCATTTCCAAGCTTAGTAAGCCTCAGAGGACTTTAGGCTCCCTAGAGAGTCACAGAAACAAGTACAAATAATTGCTACTTGAGTGCTTTTGTCTGATTAGTAGGTGTATTGGGCTGTTCTTGCATTGCTATACAGAATCACCTGAGACTGGGTAACTTATAAAGGAAAGAGGTTTCATTGGCTTACGGTTCTGCAGGCTGTATAAGAAGTATGATGCTGGCATTTGCTTCTGGTTGAGGGCTTCAGAAAGCTTACAATGATGGCGGAAGGCAAAGCGGAAGCAGGGACATCACACGGTGGGCACAGGAACAAGGAGACGAGGAGGCGCATAACACTTTTAGAAGTCCACTGCACTATCCATTGTGCGAAGGAGCCACCTGCTTCACACTTTTAAATAGCTCACTCATAATCGCAAGGACGGTACCAAGCCACGAGGGATCTGTCCCCATAACCCAAACACTTCCTACCAGGCCCCACCTCCAACATTGGGAACTGTATTTCAACATGAGATTTGAGAGGGGACAAATATTCAAACTATATCAATAGGGAAGGTAGCTGACTATATTCAGGTATGACTGGGAAACTGTCCTTTTGGTTGAACTGACGTGATAACAGTAGCTTTGAATACTGTAAAGTTTTAATGCTTGGAAAACATAACACGTGGAGGAGGGTCGAAATGAAGTCTCATTTATGAAACATTTACGTCACTTCCTAGTACATATTGGGTACTCAATGTCTAATTCCCTTCCCTTTTTATATTTCATATATATATATACATATATACATATATACGTATATATATACATATATAAGTATATATGTATATATATACGTATATATGTATATATGTATGTGTATATATGTGTATATATACATATACAGTATATATATGTATATATACATATACACTGTATATATGTATATATATACATATACACTGTATATATGTATATATATACATATATACACTGTATATGTATATATACACATATATACTGTATATGTATACATATACTGTATATGTATATATATACATATATACACATACATATGTATATGTATATATATACATATACAGTGTATATGTATATATGGGTGTATATATATACACATATACATATATATACACATATACATATAAATATATACACACATATACATATATTTAGTTCTAGGCAGTCACCTAATCTTATAATCCCCTAAATTCCCTCATCTAATTCATGATTATAATGATGTTTATTTATGATGCCTTTTCCAGGAATTAAATATTTGGCCATTTTTCAGGCACCTATACTCTATTTAGAAATCATAAGTGAAAATGCTTTGTGTTTCTCCTGGGAAAGATTTACTTTAAAATTAGCATTGATTCTGTCGCATCTTTAAAGTGTCTTCTTGCCTTTTCAGGATTTTATATAATCCAAAGTGCAGACAAAAAAGGAACAATAATGACCTAAACAGCAAAATAGCATTTAAGCTTAGCTCCATTACATTACTTAAGGTTCCTCTAAGAATAACAGACACCAAAATAGTACAAACTACCTCAACATTAAAGGATCATACAATATTCATTACCTCGGCTAAAATAATGCATAATGGAAGCATTCAGCACTTTCTACACCAGTACACTTTCGGTTTGGCTGATAGCTTTTGAGCCATTGTTTATGCAAGTGTACCAACTTCGAAGGAGATAATGCATATTATTAAACCATTATCTGTGTATCTGCATAAGCTATCCACTTTTTTAAGGTCTAGTAGCCTTGGGCTTAGACATTTCAATTAAATTAACCATTCTGAGTCCTCGTCTATATAATTATTATTTGAAATATCAAAAACTGGAACAAAGTTAATTTGTTTTATTTTAAATTGTTCTTTTACTTTAAAAGCAAAAAGCCAATTGGGAAAAAGTCTGTTGTCAACATCCTTTGGATCACTAGTTAACTAACAACCAGGGTATAGCTCTAGTCAGGTATAATGCCATCTGATATTAAACATATGACAAGAAACTCTCTAAATCATTTAATCCTTACTCTCCTCAAGCTAATACATAACAAAAGGAAGAAAGCAATAACAGAAGAAACAAGCACAATCAAATGCATTAAAACACGTTGCTAACACAAATTATGTCCTTATAGAAATTAAATAATGATGACTATTTTCTCCTTAAAATCATAAAACCGTAGAATTAACTGCCGTAGCTTCTATATTTGTCACAGAGTAAACCTCTTCGGTGGCTACAGAAATCCTGGAGCTTTAGACTGTGTTTTGAATGGACCCTAAAATATCAAATAGTCTTGGTCTAGGTCCTACTTCTCAGTAGGGAAGACATAGGAGGGTATGATCTGACTTTTATTTGTTTTAAACTTGAGGTAACCCGCACCTCTCTGGACATTGTGTAGTAAAATGGAGGCAGGGAAGGGAACTAAGAATCAAGAGAATGGGCTCCTTGGCCGAACTGGCAGGACAAAGGACACTATAAATGGAGATGTTGATGATATTGACAACCAACAGTGGTTAGGAAAAAACAAACGAAGAAACAAACAAACAAAAAAACCAAATCAGGAGTAGAGTGCAAAACAGTTTAGATCCAGTGTTTCAGGATCCAAATCTATGACTCTGGGCCTTCTCTCTCCGTCTGATTCAGTGTTTCTTATCAGGGTTAGGTTAGATCCTCTTTCGATTATGGTTAAATCTGACCAGGGCTAGGAAAATCAAGATTTTTAAAAAATATAGTGAATGTAATATCCAATGATAACTAATTTGTGGAGAGTGTTATATTCAGTTTATGCAAACAAAAAGGTAGGCAAAATCAAGTAGATACAGCATATGAAGAGAAAGAAATTTAAGTAGAAATTGACAAATCACATGTTAGGTTTATTCAGTATTATTCTATGTCAGGGAGAGTTTAACTCTAGTAAATACTGGAATCACTGGCAATATTTTGTCATCCATTCACAATCTGTATACAGAGTCATACACATAACTTTTCAAGGAAAGGGTAGTAAAAATGTGGTATGTATGTTTGAATGAAGTGCCAAAAACCTTGACAAGATTATGCTCTTTAATCCTAAATTCTTCCTTCTTTTATTATCACAAAATTAATATCAGACCTCGGATTTCCACAAGGGCTAAGTTTGTATTTGTTCAAGAAATCTCAAATTCATGACTGCCAATGTGACATATAAATGTTCATATAAAATGAAATCAAGCAATACTGAATTGTAAGTGGTCCTTCAGAGGCTTAATGAGAAATACTGATTAGCTGATAATGCCAAAGAATAGAATTTCAAAAACTCTTGGATGAATTCAACTGAATCATGGCAATGTGTTTATTACACAATCTCATTTATCCTCTTAAGTGACTCTTTTTTGCAAAGTGACCCTTGTCTTTATGATTGAGCAAAATTGTACATCACAAAATAGTGTGGATCTCCAGAGTCAAATATATTCTGAAGGTCCCAAACTTCAAATATGAAATAAATGAGAGCTGTGGTCTGCTGTAAAGCATTCACGTTCCAGAGACTTTTTATAAAAGACCATTTTGCGTTTCATAAATCAGTCAGTTTCCAATCAAATTAAATATCCTTTGGAAGACCTTATACCACAGGGCAAAAGACAAAAAATATGTTAAAAAATTACTTCCTAAAAGGGAGGTGAAAAGAGTACTGATATTAGTACAATGTTTATTTAGATAATCTAATAAAATGATCTGGATGGCATTGTTTTTTGCTTCTGTATTTCACAATTTTGTGCAGTAACACACACGTCTACATATAAGCATATAAACTGTGTTTTATATGTGGCATTCTACGGAAGTGATTTTTTAAAACATTTTTAACTACTCTATTGAGGGATAACTGACATTTAAACACTGTATGTATTTAAAGCATATAATGTGATGTTTTGACCTATGGATTTCTCTCTGACACCATCAGCACAATCAAGATATTGAACATATTCATCACTACCAAAAGTTTGCTCATGTGAAATGATGTTTTTTATCGAATGTATCCTGAATGATTTTTCTTTATCAAAGATGATGCCTCTTTCCATATATATTCAGGATGAGGAAGGGATCTTCAGGTTATCTAGTATATTGTCACTTAGCAGGCTTATACTAATTATCCTGAGTAGTTAGCCATAATATCTTAAGCTATTAGAATTAAAAATAACACTTGACCCCCTTTCTCCCATCTAAACATTGAATCATAACCGCACCCTTCCAAACGGTTATTTATCAAGTCACTGTTTTAACATATCCAGCCCGTTTTGAGGAAAATGCTCTATCCTGTGTCAGAAGTCTGAGAGTCTGGGGCCCAATCTTCACGTTGCCAGCCTTCGGACCCTTTTCCTCTTCAGATAAAGGAGTGTGCTAGAGAGATAACTACTAACATCTCACCTGGCTCTCTGATTTTATGAATATCTTGGTTCCTGAAAGCCAGAGAATCTATTCAAATCATGCATTGTACTTGCTGTTGGAAAATTCTTCCATGAGTGCAGCTAAAACTTACTCCTCTGTAATTTCAGCATCCACTCTCTGAGTTCTCTTTCTCAGTCTTCAGAATCTCAGTTGGAATCTGAATCTTTACACTGCTCAGGAACAAGTTCTAAATTCTAACACCCTTTAAGAGCCAGGACATTCTTTATGTGTAACTTAATATTCTTTTGATGAAAGTGAAGTCAATCTTTGGCTCTCTTCTTAAAGAAGCTAAAACAAAAGGGGCCATCAAATACACTCTCTGCTGGATTGCCCAAACAATTATGTATGATGGAGTAAACTCCCATCAGTAGGCATGGAGATCACCTGGAATGTCCAGATGGTTCCTCAGAATGGGGGTTTTCAAAAGACCCTTGCTAGACATATGTGTCTGGTTAGAATGTTTAACCTTCATGGTCTTTAATCATGTAGCATTATGTGAAATGCCACTGGCTGAATGGCTTGATGAAGTGTTTTGAGGCCATAGAGTTTCCAATCTCCTGACCACCACCAGAGGCCCTGCAGCTTCTGGGAATGTGGTCCTTACAATCTGAATGCCTCTCTATTGGTCTATGAGAAAAGAGGGCAGATGGGAGTCGGCCTTCACATTGTGTTGCATGGCCATAAGGACTGCTGTGATCAAACAAATGAGAGAGAGAAAGGGGAGTGAGAGAGAGAGAGAGAGAGAGAATCAACTGCTGGGATAGGAAAGGAGTACCACTAGGACGAGAGAAATATCTGACCTGTAGACATTCTGTTTCTATTCTTTCCTTACTGTCAATAATCTCAGAGATTTTTTTTTTTAATTCTCTAAGGGCAAAAGTGATATCAATATTATTTGTCATAGATGTTCATTGCTCTACACGTGGTAAGTGCTGGTGAAAACAACGCGAGTGAAAAGCCAGAAGTTGTTTATTTTAAAGGCAACTGAATGATGTTGGAAGCAAGGTAGTAGCAAAAGACATTAGAATCAGCCTGTTCTGAGATCAGCTGGAACAAGTGTCTGAACTCCTCTGAACTTCCATATTCTCATCTGTAAGTTGGAATGATATCAGAGTTGTGGTCAGAATTAGGTCATGTAAAGTCCTTATCACAGAGCCGGAAACTTAGCAAACACTCAATAAATGATAGCTATTATTAATTATTTATTAGGATTACGAAGATTATAACATGCTTGTAGGGAATGTTGATAATGCTTTAACAGCAGGACTTGACCTAGGACCCATCTGTGTGTGTAATTGACTTGTCCCATATGTGGTGATGGTTTGGCCCATTTTAGTATTTATCTATCTTACACGAACTTTTTCTGGCTCAGATTTATTTATTTTTTAAATGTTAGTTACCAGACTTCCCTGTGATACTTCTGAGGAGCACCGAGGCTTGGTGGAAATATCTCTTGCATGCTTTTTAGAGTCCTGGTTCTGTCCAAATAGAAGCATATGAGTCTTCTCTTGCATTTATTTGGGGTCAGCATCTCTGTTGTTGTTGCTGAAACTCTGGAAAGAGAGCAATACATGGAGCTATGCTAGCCAATTTGGCAGCATGTTTTTTCAGCCCACTTGGCTGTGCACAATATTCTGTCTGAGTTTGGGAAGATCTGTCTGCTTTTTTCTTTTGTAGAGAGGCTATGAGAAATGAGGCAATGGATTTGCCTTATACAACAGCCTGGAAAAAATAGGCCATGGCCTAACAAATAATGAGTTACATGGCCTCCTTCCAGGGAGTTCCTGGCTGGAGACTGCAGGACAGGTTGAGACGCCTTCTGATAGATTTTGCACTAATTGTCTACTTTCCTAAAAGAAGTTCTGTTTAAAACAAAAGGCAGTGGGGGTGGGGCGGTGGATGAGAGGTGTGGATCTTTTATGGCATGAGATCCTTTCAAGAATAATCTATTTTATGCAGATTTCAAGGTCATGGGTCAAATTATGCATCCCAAAGTGTTACACTAAACCAGGTAATTCTCATATATGGCAGTAAAAGACAATAAGGTGTGCATTTGACCTCACCCCAAAAGTTTCTCATTTGGAACTGACCCAAACCTCTTCTTTGTCATAGAACATAAATGACCGTATGCTACCCTGTTTTGTTATGTTTATCTAGACAAAGCCCTTCGTCCTTATAGGGTCTGCCTGTTCCAGATTACTTGTGACAATCTTCTCTTTGCTGTTTTCTTTTTTAAACACTGAGGAAGGCTCAGGCATGAACTGTAACTGGGTGTTTCTCTACCTGTACTCTGCCCAACTCTATGCACACACTGCCATTTTAATGGCTTTTCTCAGTGATGACTGAGTGATGTCTTCTGTATTGGGTACTCTTTATCACTTTTGGTTTAGAATTAGAGGAATAGGCAAGGCAGAAACATCATCAATCTTGAGAGGCTGCTAATCTGATGAGTCAGCTCCTGCACCAAAAATATTGCTCTGAAAAAGATATAGTCCCCTCACTCCCTGGCTAACATGTAGAGTTCCCACATTCCCCATGCACTGTCCACTTAACTCCTTGACTGTCTATGTTAATCGTGATGGCCATGGACCAAACCTCCATTTCTTCATCTCAGAACAATGTTCTCCAGAGCTGCTTTTTATGGAGCTATTCATAGATAAGAGCAATAATGAGCCCAATAGCGTTGCTTCCTTTTCTGTATTCTGTGACGTTCTCATCTCAGCGGACTGTGTCTGGCAGCCACACAATGAGGCCCTGCGTGTGTCAGAGAGATGGATGATATCTGCAGTGTCTGCATCTCAACGCTGACTCTATGAGCTCCTGCTGAACCTTAGCTCAGGGATGTTAGATTCTGTGCCATTGAATTAGAAAAACAAACCTCCCTTTTCCGAGAACTGTCTTATTTTCTCCCAACACAAAATACCTTAATGGAAATAATGACACGCATTAGATATTTGATGAATTGCACATTGTACTTTCATCCTCAAACTTCCTGACTATAAGACTCTGTTTTTGTCTTATTACTTGAGTATTTTTTTTTTCAAAGCTAAAATAAAGAGGCTACTGGTACACGTAGTAGTCTTTACACATTTTTCTAGATATTTTTGCTTTCTTCAACTGAATGAAATTGGAAAAAAAAATTACAAAGGATATTAATGAGGCCCTATTTCATTATCGGGGAAGTGGCCAGTTAATTTGGGGAAAATCTGCTCAGATCTAAATTGACCGGTTTTTGTTTCAGCGTGAAATCAGTTATGAACCATGCACAAATGAGCCACAGTGGAGTCTTTGGTAATGGATTATTAGTAAGAATCTCAGTGCTGCTGAGGTCACTCAGGCACATCGGAGAGAAGTGGTATCATGTGGGAGGTGGGCCAAGGGACTAACAACGATGGACTAACAACAATGAGTACTTCTACCATCTGTTTTCTAGAGCCTACTCCATGGGCATGTAACCTGGGCCATCAGGATTCCATGCTGCAACGAGCAGCTTAACGCTCGGCTACTGTCATTGGAATTCTTAGTAATTTGTGAGCAAGAGGACCTGAATATTCATTCTGCACTGGACCCAGCAAATTATGTAGCCAGTCCTCATGTTGAGCCTTTCTCTATGTGTTGTAAATACTAATAAGATATTAGAAGGATAACTTCCTCCTCAATTTTGACTGAGGTAGGACAGGATCGATATCAGGACAGATGTCAGGATGTTAGAATCTTCAGTCAGATCAAGGGTTTAAGAAAAGGTTTAGAGAGAAAAAAAGTGTGAAGGTATCTCCCAATTCCTCCTCCCTTTTATATGAAAGATAAGAACTTAAGGGGGGTGTAAATTACTGATAGTCATGACTGAGAAAGCTATCATGGACTATGGCTTAGATCTAACTTATACTTGGAAAGTCTAGAGCTAAGAGTAGGGCTAAAATAGGGAAATCAAAAGGAGGTGATCTAGTTTAATGGAACGAGGGATAATGCATAAGTCAGCTATGGGCCATCTGGAAGAGAGCATTGGTATAGAATTATCTCAGGTCTTCCAAGGTCTATCTTGGGGCTGCTGAAGACATAAGGAGACCCCAGGGGAAAAATGTTCAGCCTGTGGGTAGGAGTTGAGGCAAGAATCTTGAGATCCTGGAATAGAGATGGATCTGTCTGGGATCCAGAGACATTGGCTAAAGAGAACATTCAAAGAGTTTCCTGAAGCAACTGTCCTAGTCAGTTCAGGCTACTATAACAAGCTGTCATAGACTGGGGAGCTTAAACAACAAAGGATTATTTCTCACAGTTCTGGGGGCTGTAAGTTAAAGATCAGGGTGCCAGCATCTTCAGGCTTTTGGTGAGGGCTCGTTCTCTGGTTTGCAGATAATTGTCTTCACACTACCTCCTCACAGGGTGGAGAGAAAGCTCTGAGCTCTTCGTCCCTTTATAAGGATCCTAATCCCATCATGGGACCTCTACCCTCATGACCTCATCTTAACCTAATTACCTCCCAAAGGCCCCATCTCAAATACAAACACATGGGGGATTAGGATTCTGCATAGAATTTTGGTAATGTACAAACAGTCTGTAGCAGCAATCCTGAGATCATCTGTAATCATCTGCAAGGCTCTTCCACCAAGAACTGCCAGCTTTAGCTATGTGCTAAAACCAGAAGGCATGAAGCCACGCAGGCAATTTCTCTTCATGCTCTCCCCGACTTTACTCCAGAAGTGCAGATGAGGACTGGGAGACACTGTGAGCAGGTAAAGAGAAAGAGCAGAGCCCTTGCACCATTGTAAGTCCCAGCCTGAAACAGATACCATCTGGTTGAGGGGTGACATGCATGTTCAGTCAGATTTAGGGTTTTCACTATTAAATTTAACTGAACATTCTGATGACTGAATCAAGTGTGTGTTTTCAGTGTAAAATAATAGTTAGGTTTCCTTTCCTTTTTAACTAATAATAAGAGGAAAAGCCAGGGAAGCTGCCTGAGTTTCCCTCCAGGGACAGGAGATGGTTATATCCTCTCCCACTATTCCATTAGATTTTTTTTTAGTGATCACAGTGCACACACATCATGTTTGTTGACATATGGATCACATCTTTATTACCTATTTAATCTTCCCAAAGTTTTACAGAAAATATTATTCAGCTTTTGGAAATGAGAAAAATAAGTATCACCAATTTTGGAAATGAGAAAAATAAGTAATCTAAGTTTAAGAGAACTTAGCAAATTAATAAATAATAGAGCTAGAATTTGAAGCCAGGTTTGTGTGTTTCTTAGGTTTTGTTCTCTTAATCACTAGACTGATTCTCTCTCCTTAATTGGAAAAAATACCATTAAGTACTTACTATATGCCAGGAATAATGCTAATGACCTCACATATACTATATTAATACTCCTTAGATAAACCATGAGTAGATTCTATTCTATTGTCTATAAGGGGAAACAAGCTTAAAGGGTTTCAGTAATTAGTCAGTAACTAATCTGAAACTACATGAGTAGCTTTTGTCGGCCTGACCCCAAAATGTATGCAATTCATTAAGAGACAGAAAAAGTGAAAAAGAGAGAGAGATTCTTATTAATTTCTTTCTTAAATAAGTCAGATCTTTATTAAAACAAAATGCATATAGAGGTCCTCCTAATTGCTAGAGCCAGTAGCAGGCACCCAAAAAAACACATAATCATTAGCTGGACATGTTCTTACCAATAGGTGATTATAAATTGGGAAAGAAAAAACTGATCATCATGAGAAACTTAGCCAATGATGAAATGATCAACTGTAAGAGAAGGCTACACTCTAGAGAGATGGCTACTCTCACCTGTTTCCAGGAAAACTCAGAGAAGTCTTCATGGAAAAGATGAGTCATTAATAATAGTTTTATTTAAATAGCTCAAAATCAAAAACAGAGCACCCCGGTTTGGGGTGGCAGTAAAAGCAAAATAACAGAACTGGAAATAAATATAACAAGTAAAGGGAGAAGGCCAAGAAGGAGTCATCCTTTTAGGAAGAGTGCTGTTCGTTCTAGAATAGTGAGATGCTTGTGGCTGTAATATGTATACAGAGACCTGAACTCAGGCTGATTGTATGTGCACAGGATGTGATAGGAATTAAGAGTTCATTACAGGTTCTTCATCAGGTGGTTAAGCAATGAAAGCCGAGTTTTGGAAATATTTGTCTGGGAATGGTATGCTGGCTAGACCAGAATGCAAAAGAGCATAGAGCCAGTGAGTGACTGATATAGTTGTCCTGGTATAAAATACCATCTCATTACAAAATGGATTATTGAGTTTTCTCAGTTTTCTTTCCTGAATGAAAGTAGAAATAAATAAGGGTAGGAGTAGTTATATATAGAATTATATATCTATCTTTCTGTCTATCTATCTATCTATCATCTATTTCTACAACTCTGTATTTGTTTAAAAACATCTGTAAACTGTAAGAGAAGAGCTGAAATAATGTGAAGAGTTTTTATCATTGTTTATTCAACAATGCAAAGTATATGATAAATTTCTAATATTTATAACCGTGTAAGGAAAATCATTGTTGTAATACTGGAAAGCATGATGTGCTGGTAGAAATAGCAGTGATTTAAGAATCAGAATAATGTGTTTTCTTTTGAAGCATGATATCGCTATATGGAGAAAACTTTGTCTTTTCTTTTTGCTCAAAGTAAATCAGCACACATTTCCAGTTTGCTACTTACTGTGCTTGTAGACATTGGAATATTCAAGAAAAATCCTGTGAACATGCTGAACACTTATGGGTAGATGACTTGTATTAAAATTCCCTAACATTATTCCTGGAGTTGGAATGCTCAATTAAAACCTATCATCGAAGGCTTTGTTGAAAAGTGTCAGGATGCCATTGAATAAGGTAACACTGAGGTATGTAGCAGACTCTTCATTTGCCCATACTTTCTTTTACATTATCTTGATAACAAGCTCTGATGTATTCTTTTTCTATATATATAGTTTAATTTCTGGGATACGTGCACAGAATGTGCAGGTTTGTTACATAGGTATACACATACCATGGTGGTTTGCTGCACCCATCAACCCGTCATCTACATTAGGTATTTGTCCTAATGCTCTCCCTCTCCTTTACCCCCACTCCTTCGACAGGCCTCAGTGTGTGAGGTTCCCCTCCCTGTGTCCATGTATTTTCATTGTTCAACTCCCACTTATGAGTGAGAACATGCGTGTTTGACTTTCTACTCCTGTGTTAGTTTGTTGAGAATAATGGTTTCCAGCTTCATCCATGTCCCTGCAAAGGACATGAACTCATCATTTTTTATGGCTGCATAATATTCTGTGGTGTATATATGCCACATTTTCTTTATCCAGTCATTGATGGGCATTTGGGTTGGTTCCAAGTCTTTGCTATTATGAACAGTGCTACAATAAACATACATGTGCGTGTGTCTTTATAGTAGAATGATTTATAATCCTTTGGGTATATACCCAGTAATGGGATTGCTGGGTCAAATGGTATTTCTGGTTGTAGATCCTTGAGGAAACGCCACATTGTCTTCCACAAAGTTTGAACTAATTTACACTCCCACCAACGGTGTAAAATTGTTCCTATTTTGCCACATCCTCTCCAGCATCCGTGGTTTCCTGACTTTTGAATGATCACCATTCTAACTGACATGAGATGGTATCTCACCGTGGTTTTGATATGCATTTCTCTAATGACCAGTGATGATGAGCTTTTTTTCATATGTTTGTTGGCTGCATAGATGTCTTCTTTTGAGAAGTGACTGTTCATGTCCTTTGTCCACTTTTTGATGGTTTTTTTAATTGTAAATTTGTTTAAGTTCTGTGTAGATTCTGAATATTAGCCCTTTGTCAGATGGATAAATTGCAAAAAATTTCTCCCATTCTCTAGGTTACCTGTTCACTCTGATGATAGTTTCTTTTGCTGTTCAGAAGCTCTTTAGTTCAATTAGATTCCATTAGTCAATTATGGCTTTTCTTACCATTGCTTTTGGTGTTTTAGTCATGAAGTCTTTGCTCATGCCTATGTCCTGAATGATATGCCTAGGTTTTCTTCTAGGGTTTTTATGGCTTTAGGTCTTATGTTTAAACCTTTAATTCATCTTGAATTAACTTTTGTATGAGGTGTGAGGAAGTGGTCAAGTTTCAGTTTTCTGCATATAGCTAGCTAGTTTTCTCAATACCACTTATTAAAAAAGGAATCCTTTCCCCATTGCTTGTTTTTGTCAGGTTTATCAAAGATCAGATGGTTGTAGATGTGTGGCTTTATTTCTGAGGCCTCTGTTATGTTCCATTGGTCTATATATCTATTTTGGTACCAGTACCATGCTGTTTTGATTGCTGTAGCCTTGTAGTATAGTTTGAAATCAAGTAGCATGATGCCTCCAGCTTTGTTCTTTTTGCTTAGAATTGTCTTGGCTATACAGGCTCTTTTTTTGGTTCCATATGAAATTTAAAGTAATTCTGTGAAGAAAGTCAATGGTAGCTTGATGGGAATAGCATTGAACATATAAATTACTTTGGGCAGTATGGCCATTTTTATAATATTTATTCTTCCTATCCATGAGCATGGAATGTTTTTCCATTTGTTTGTGTCCTCTCTTATTTCCTTCAGCAGTGGTTTATAGTTCTCCTTGAAGAGGCCCTTCACATCCCTTTAAGTCGTATTCCTAGGTATTTAATTCTCTTTGTAGCAATTGTGAGTGGGAGTTCACTCATGATTTGGCTCTCTGTCTATTATTGGTGTATAGGAATGCTTGTGATTTTCACACATTGATTTTGTATCATGTGTGCACTGAGACTTTGCTGAAGTTGCTTATCAGCTTAAGGAGATTTTGAGCTGAGATGATGGCATTTTCTAAATATACAATCACATCATCTGCAAACAGAAACAATTTGACTTCCTCTCTTCCTATTTGAATACCCTTTATTTCTTTCTCCTGCCTGATTGCCCTGGCCAGAACTTCCAATACTATGTTGAATAGGAGTGATGAGAGATGGCATCCTTGTCTTGTGCTGGTTTTCAAAGGGAATGCTTCCAGCTTTTGCACATTCAGTATAATATTGGCTGTGGGTTTGTCATAAATAGATCTTACTATTTTGAGATACATTCCATCAATACTTAGTATATTGAGAGTTTTTAGCATGAAGGGTGTTGAATTTTATCAAAGGCCTTTTCTGCCTCTGTTGAGGTAATCATGTAGTTTTTGTCATTGGTTCTGTTTATGTGATGGATTACATTTATTGATTTGTATATGTTTAAACAGCCTTGCATTCCAGGGATGAAATTGACTTGATTGTGGTCGATAAGCTTTCTGATGTGCTGCTGGATTTGGTTTGCCAGTATTTTATTGAGGATTTTCTCATCAATGTTCATCAGGGATATTGGCCTTAAATTTTCATTTTTTGTTGTGTCTCTGCCAGGTTTTGGTATCATAAAATGAGTTAGGCAAGAGTCCCTCTTTTTCTGTTGTTTGTAATAGTTTCAGAAGGAATGGTACCAGCTCCTCTTTGTACTTCTGTTAGAATTTGGCTGTGAATCTGTCTGGTCCTGGGCTTTTTTTGGTTGGTAGGCTATTAATTATTGCCTCAATTTCAGAACTTGTTATTGGTCTATTGAGGGATTTGACTTCTTCCTGATTTAGTCTTGGGAGGGTGTATGTGACCAGGAATTTATCCATTTCTTCTAGATTTTCTGGATTATTTGTATTCTGTGTTTATAGTATTGTCTGATGGTAGTTTGTATTTCTGTGAGATCAGTGGTGATATCCCCTTCATCATTTTTTATTGTGGCTATTTGATTCTTCTCTCTTTTCTTCTTTATTCATCTAGCTGGTGGTCTATATATTTTGTTAGTCTTTTCAAAAAACCAACTCCTGGATTCTTTGGTTTTTCATGTCTCTATCTCCTTCAGTTCTGCTCTGATCTTAGTTATTTCTTGTCTTCTGATAGCCTCTGAATTTGTTTGCTCTTGTTTCTCCAGTGTTTTTAATTGTGATGTTATGGTGTCAATTTTAGGTCTTCCCAGCTTTCTCCTGTGGGTGTTTAGTGCTATAAATTTCCCTCTAAACACTGCATTAGCTGTGTTCCAGAGATTCTGGTACATTGTGTCTTTGTTCTTGTTGGTTTCAAAGAACTTATTTATTTCTACCTTAATTTCATTATTTACCCAGTAGTCATTCAGGAGGAGGTTGTTCAGTTTCCATGTAGTTGTGCAGGTTTGAGTGAGTTTCTTAATCCTGAGTTCTAATTGGATTGCACTGTGGTCTGAGGGACTGTTTTTTTATGATTTCCATTCTTTTGGATTTGCTTAGGAGTGTTTTACTAACATATATGTGATCAATTTTAGAATAAGTGCAATGTGATGCTGAGAAGAATGTATATTCTGTTGAATTGGGGTAGAGAGTTCTGTAGATATCTATTAAGTCTGCTTGGTCCAGAGCTGAGTTCTAGTCTTGAATATCCTTGTTAATTTTCTGTCTCATCAATCTGTCTAATATTGACAGCAGGGTGTTAAATTCTCCCACTATTACTGTGTGGGAGTCTAAGTCTCTTTGTAGGTCTCTAAGAACTTGCTTTGTGAATCTGGGTGCTCTTGTATGGGGTGCATATATATTTAGAATAGTTAGCTCTTCTTGTTGCATTGATCCCTTTACCACTATGTAATGCCATTCTTTGTCTTTTTTTATCTTTGTTGGTTTACAGTCTGTTTTATCAGAGACTAGGATTGCAACCCCTGCTTTTTTTCCATTTGCTTGGTAAATATTCCTCCATCCCTTTATTTTGAGCCTATGTGTGTCTTTGCACATGAGATAGGTCTCCTGAATACAACACACTGATGGGTCTTGACTCTTTATCCAATTAGCCAGTCTGTGTCTTTTATTTTCTTTTCTTTTTTCTTTTTTTTTATTATTATACTTTAAGTTTTAGGGTACATGTGCACAACGTGCAGGTTAGTTACATATGTATACATGTGCCATGTTGGTGTGCTGCACCCATTAACTTGTTATTTAACATTAGGTATATCTCCTAATGCTATCCCTCCCCCCTCCCCCCACCCCACAACAGGCCCTGGTGTGTGATGTTCCCCTTCCTGTGTCCATGTGTTCTCATTTCCTTAAGCTGATAGGCAACTTCAGCAAAGTCTCAGGATACAAAATCAATGTGCAAAAATCACAAGCATTCTTATACACCAATAACAGACAAACAGAGAGCCAAATCATGAGTGAACTCCCATTCACAATTGCTTCAAAGAGAATAAAATACCTAGAAATCCAACTTACAAGAGATGTGAAGGACCTCTTCAAGGAGAACTACAAACTACTGCTCAATGAAATAAAAGAAGATACAAACAAAATGGAAGAACATTCCATGCTCATGCGTAGGAAGAATCAATATCATGAAAATGGCCATACTGCCCAAGGTAATTTGTAGATTCAATGCCATCCCCATCAAGCTACCAATGACTTTCTTCACAGAATTGGAAAAAACTACTTTAAAGTTCATATGGAACCAAAAAAGAACCCACATTGCCAAGTCAATCCTAAGCCAAAAGAACAAAGCTGGAGGCACACTACCTGAGTTCAAACTATACTACAAGGCTACAGTAACCAAAACAGCATGGTACTGGTACCAAAACAGAGATATAGACCAATGGAACAGAACAGAGCCCTCAGAAATAATGCCACATATCTACAACTATCTGATCTTTGACAAACCTGACAGAAACAAGAAATGGGGAAAGGATTCCCTATTTAATAAATGGTTCTGGGAAAACTGCCTAGCCATATGTAGAAAGCTGAAACTGGATCCCTTCCTTACACCTTATACAAAAATTAATTCAAGATGGATTAAAGACTTAAACTTTAGACCTAAAACCATAAAAACCCTAGAAGATAACCTAGGTAATACCATTCAGGACATAGGCATGGGCAAGGACTTCATGTCTAAAACACCAAAAGCAATGGCAACAAAAGCCAAAATTGACAAATGGGATCTAATTGAACTAAAGAGCTTCTGCACAGCAAAAGAAACTACCATCAGAGTGAACAGGCAACCTACAGAATGGGAGAAAATTTTTGCAATCTACTCATCTGACAAAGGGCTAATATCCAGAATCTACAATGAACTCAAACAAATTTACAAGAAAAAAACAAACAACCCCATCAAAAAGTGGGCAAAGGATATGAACAGACACTTCTCAAAAGAAGACATTTATGCAGCCAAAAGACACATGAAAAAATGTTCATCATCACTGGCCATCAGAGAAATGCAAATCAAAACCACAATGAGATACCATCTCACACCAGTTAGAACGGCGATCATTAAAAAGTCAGGAGACAACAGGTGCTGGAGAGGATGTGGAGAAATAGGAACACTTTTACACTGTTGGTGGGACTGTAAACGAGTTCAACCATTGAGGAAGTCAGTGTGGCGATTCCTCAGGGATCTAGAACTAGAAATACCTTTTGACCCAGCCATCCCATTACTGGGTATATGCCCAAAGGATTACAAAACATGCTGCTATAAAGACACATGCACATGTATGTTTATTGTAGCACTATTCACAATAGCACAGACTTGGAACCAACCCAAATGTCCAACAGTGATAGACTGTATCAAGAAAATGTGGCACATATACACCATGGAATACTATGTAGCCATAAAAGATGATGAGTTCATGTCCTTTGTAGGGACATGGATGAAGCTGGAAACCATCATTCTCAGCAAACTATCGCAAGGACAAAAAACCAAACACCGCATATTCTCACTCATAGGTGGGTATTGAACAATGAGAACACATGGACACAGGAAGGGGAACATCACACTCTGGGGCCTATTATGGGGTTGGGGGAGGGGGGAGGGATAGCATTAGGAGGTATACCTAATGTTAAATGACAAGTTAATGGGTTCAGCACACCAACATGGCACATGTATACATATGTAACAAACCTGCACGTTGTGCACATGTACCCTAAAACTTAAAGTATAATAAAAAAATAAAAATGAAAGCAAAAAAAAAAAAAGGAAACAACAGGTGCTGGAGAGGATGTGGAGAAATAGGAACACTTTTACACTGTTGGTGGGACTGTAAACTAGTTTCACCATTGTGGAAGTCAGTGTGGTGATTCCTCAGGGATCTAGAACTAGAAATACCGTTTGACCCAGCCATCCCATTACTGGGTATATACCCAAAGGATTATAAAACATGCTGCTATAAAGACACATGCACATGTATGTTTATTGCGGCAGTATTCACAATAGCAAAGACTTGGAACCAACCCAAATGTCCAACAATGATAGACTGGATTAAGAAAATGTGGCACATATACACCATGGAATACTATGCAGCCATAAAAAATGATGAGTTCATGTCCTTTGTAGGGACATGGATGAAGGTGGAAACCATCATTCTCAGCAAACTATTGCAAGGACAAAAAACCAAACACTGCATGTTCTCACTCATAGGTGGGAATTGAACAATGAGAACACATGGACACAGGAAGGGGAACATCACACACCGGGGACTGTTGTGGGGTGAGGGGACGGGGGAGGGATAGCATTGGGAGATATACCTAATGCTAAATGATGAGTTAATGGGTGCAGCACACCAACATGGCACATGTATACATATGTAACAAACCTGCACATTGTGCACATGTACCCTAGAACTTAAAGTATAATAATAATAATAATAATAATAATAATAATAAAGGAGGGGGCCGGGTGCGGTGGCTCACGCAGGTAACCCCAGCACTTTGGGAGGCTGAGGCGGGCGGATCACGAGGTCAGGAGATCGAGACCGTCCTGGCTAACACGGTGAAACCCCGTCTCTACTAAAAAAAATGCAAAAAATTAGCTGGGCGTGATGGCTGGCGCCTGTAGTCGCAGCTACTCGGGAGGCTGAGGCAGGAGAATGGCGTGAATCCGGGAGGTGAGCTTGCAGTGAGCTGAGATTGCACCACGGCACTCCAGCCTGGGCGAAAGAGCGAGACTCCCTCTAAAAAAAAAAAAAAAAAAAAAAAAAAATGGAGGGGAAAGGCGTAAAAGCAGAGGAGTTTCTGTGTGGAAATCATAGAGGTAGAGAAGAGGACAGTAAAAACATTTCAATATAGCCAAAACTCATGACATTTAATGGAATAGCTACGGATTCTGAGATGTTCCATATATTCTGGATTAGAAAATATTTTGAATTTATCATATATTGAAAACTACAGCACAAGTAATCTCCCCACAGTTGAGTAAATTGTCATATCGTTCCACAAATTTCTCATAAATAAATCTACTCTTTGGCTGTAGAGGCATATTGCTTCAAGTGCTTTGCACTTTACGTTGCCTACCCTTTTACTTCTGTGTTCAGTAAAACATTTTGATTTTAGCTAGTATCTTCTAAACTATTCTCATTTGTACATTTCTAAGCAGCAACTTGCATTCCAAATATTTCACAGTCATTTAATTTCACCACTTGACTTTAAAAGCTATTTGATCTTAGTAGGAGATTGCCAGCTCTCGAAAACATGTTTCTGTAAAGAGCAACCTGTTGCTAAAATATATAACCATAACCCATTTGTCTGCAGTCATTTTTCCTACAGATAAAAGGGTCATTTTAGATAACTGCAATAATAGCTATTTAAGGTACATATTATTAACATTAGAGGTTAAGGCACTTTACCACCTCTAAATAAATGAGATGTATAGAGCATCAGAAGCAACAACACATACACACATTACATTTTTAATACCCTAACATTTTCCACAGAAATTATTAATTTGCTTTGAAAAGTTCCTACTTTAGGGCCAGATATCCTGGATATTTGTAGTTTGAGGAGGTCAAGTGAGTATCACCAATTGTCATGATCATGAACATCAAGCAGTCTTGGAGCAAGAAATCTGTATAGGTCTCTGGACCAAAGAGGATTTTATAAGAGATATGTTTTCTGGATGTCATGACTTCTTACTCAACTTTCAGATAATTGTAGTAGAAAATATACATTGTAGAACTAACTCAGCCAGAAGGGTAGGAGATTTTTCTGCCCTCACCACTGTGCTTTTCCTCTCAGCTGCTGTCCTGCTTCCAGCTGGGTCAAGTAAGGTTAAGAACATATTTCTGAGACATAGAGCTGCTTGATACTGAGAAGTCTGTCATGCCTGGACATCTGATTTTCCTCCCATGTGAGGATTTAGCATCAATAACACATCTGTGTTGCCACAAAAAGCAAAGCAGGTTATTTATAAATATTTAATTATTTATGCCAATTTTTTGTTTGATTGGCATGGATACTTGAGTGACTACTTGAATTATTTTAAAAATGCTTATCTGATGGATAGCTTTGCTATCTCGTATGATGGACCTAAACTCTACTAAACTTCAGGAAATATATTGAGGATTTCATTCTATATTTCTGAATTTAATGGAGAACATATTAAGAGAACTAGATAACATATAAGTGGAAATAGAGCTTTTGAATAACCAAATATTGTATAAGAACTAAAGAAGAAGAAATGGGAGGTTTTATTTTAGTTGTCATATATAAGAAATTAAAAATACAAAATATCCATCATACGAAAACACAAAATATCAAAATTTACATCATGGGAGATTTCTTTTTTTTTTTTTTTTTTTTTTTTTTGAGACGGAGTCTCGCTCTGTCGCCCAGGCTGGAGTGCAGTGGCGGGATCTCGGCTCACTGCAAGCTCCGCCTCCCGGGTTCACGCCATTCTCCTGCCTCAGCCTCCCGAGTAGCTGGGACTACAGGCGCCCGCCACTACGCCCGGCTAATTTTTTGTATTTTTAGTAGAGACGGGGTTTCACCGTTTTAGCCGGGATGGTCTCGATCTCCTGACCTCGTGATCCGCCGGCCTCGGCCTCCCAAAGTGCTGGGATTACAGGCGTGAGCCACCACGCCCGGCCATCATGGGAGATTTCTATGAAGAAGTTGGAGAATATGGTTGTAAGGAAAAACAAAACCATGTTTAAATTACTCTGTGGTTTTAAATGAGCATATTACTGTAAGGGTACTCCTTCAAGGTAGCTCTATAGCAGCCATATCTTCCTCTGTGGCCCACCCAGGGAGATGAAGAATGGAACATTTTATAATAATCTGATTTTTATGGAGTATAACATGCCAAAATTGTGATTATGAGGTTAAAAAAATAAAAACAATATCTAAGTGTCAAGCCAACAGTTTCTCTTTTAAAAGTACTGCCCAATGTCTGTGACGTCAACAGAGAAAGTAGAGATGAAATAGCAGTTAAGGTAAAAAATGATCCAACACTTTATTACCTTTTCCCTCCCCAGAAGCTCCTTATTGGAAATTCGTTTTAAAGAGAATATATAAAATGAGAAAACTACAATCCTTTAGAAATATTTTCAGCACTACTCAATAAAATTTTTAAAAGTCTAGAATGCATTTGGTCATAAACAAAAATGAAATAATAAGCAAATGCGTTATGAAATTTATAGTATCAAGGAACTTACCTGAGTTACTACGTCAGTAAGGGAAGAACAAAACAAGGAAGAACAATGAAATAAGATGACTTAAATGAAATCCTGCGAAAGGCTGGAGGAGGGAGCTGATATTTGAATAGTGCTTTCCTCAAGAACTCAAAGCATTATGGTGTACTGTACTGTAGCTTGGAAAATTTAGTTTTTGTCACCTGTAACTGTTTTCATATTTGTATATAGACACTTAAACATAGTACAGTTTAAGTGAGCTACGACAATACCTTAGTATTGTCAGTTTAGTATCCATTGCTTAACTGGAATAAGTTGCTCCATGGAATCAATCCATGAGACGATCAGGAGGCAGGGTGGTAGAGATGTGGAGCAGAACAGAGAGAAGCGTGTACTCTGCAGAGTGGAAGAGGGTAAAGTGAAGTACGGTGGAGCAGAGCACAGCCATTTATTGTAAACGTGGGCAAAGCTACTCCTAATATTTGTGGGGCAAGTGTACAAATAGAGACACACATACATTATATCTAAATATGGAAAAGTTATATTTCTAGCTAACCAACTGTTAAAATAAAATGTGTTATATACACCCGAGTAATAACAAACTAGAAAATATCTTTATGTTTTTTGAATGACTGAGTCAGCCAAATGCCAGAGGTTACTAAATTCTATTGTTATTGCACGTGGCTGGTACTTTGTTGATGGCTATGAGGTCTGCAGAGATATTCCATAAGCACATACAATTAACAAATTATTATATGTGGATTCCACGAACTTATTTGTGCCTTTGTTTCTGCAAAATCATGAATTGTACTATTATCAAGCTTTTTGCATAATTTGTGTTCTAATGCCATCTAAAGATGTAAAGAACTAAAATAATAGCATTGAATTACATTCAGAGGTCACAAGAGTTCATTTTTATCAAGAAATATGCATTAAGTTAAATGTAAAAATAAAATAAAATTTTATCTTATATGTGCTTCAGAAGTAATTTTTCCTCTAACAGATTCAGTATTATCTACTAAAATTGAGGAACAGAATACAAATTATAATAGATGTATAGGAAAATTTTAAATTAGGTTATATAATACAGCTGAGTGTTTATGTAAAAATTTTAATTGAATCCTAATAATTTTATAAAAATAAAACTACTCATATTCAGAACATTCAGTAGTAATCCAGATGGCCATGTAGAGAACTAGAATCATCAAAATATCCCTTACACTTTATATACAACTATTGAGAATATCATGCTTCTCCATGAATACCTCTAAACTACGAATTGGAACGCTGAGAAATGACATTTTGTTAGGTAATAATTTCTTGTAGTCATTCTATCCGAAAGAAGAGTTTGACAAGTTCCTTTGTCTTTTACTTAAGTGCTTCAGCTGTTCACATCCTCTTCATAATCTGAGTCGTGTCCATCTTCATGTCAGCAACCCCATGAATCTCAGTGCTGGCATTGGATGTATGGGACAGAAAAAGAGATGTGGAGAAGCATTTCTCTGAGGCCTAAGCAGTATACAGTCAAGAGAAAGACTATATTGGCTTGAAAGTGTTGTTTTGCTAGAAACAGAGGTATCCACGTATTCTTCAATAATTTTATTTTTTGTGTGTCTTTGTGATACATGGCCAGCCAAAGCACTGGGCAACGGCCTCTTCTGTCCTGGCTAAAGAGTGTCGCTGACTACGGGATCTGGAGTCAGACTTCTAGCATTTGAATTAGGGTTTCACCATTTATTAGATGGACATATCAGACTTTCCTAATGCATCTCTGCAGATCCTTTCAGCCAGAACTTCTGCAGGGCTTTTGGCTGCCATTTCATCTAAACCATTGCTGCCACAATGTGCTATGCACGGGCTTCAAATGACTTCAGAACGAGGCAAATCAACTCTACCTTGTATCATTCTCCTGCATTACACCCTGTGCCCCTTTCTTTGGTGCATCCCTGTTGATGATAAAACAAAGTGCCAGGAGATCCTAAACACAACTGTGCTTGCATGATCCAAAAATAAATATGAGAAAAACATTTGACCTATGGGACACATGAATCTATGGATCATTCTTCCCCTTTCCTCTCCTTCGATGGGTAGTCTTGAGATGTATTCATTACAAGGCCTGTCAAAAGGTGTTCCAGAAAGATCCCCATCATTTGCACTAGACACCAGGTGCTGATCAGCTCAGTAATGCTGCCTCATATTGAATCTCTTCTTTCCAGTTCCAATTTTTTTTTCCTTAACCCCTGCTTCCCTGGCTTTCCTTATTCTAACACTATTTTAGCACATAAACCTTTGCCACAGACTCAGCTTTCAGAGGAACCCAGGCTAAGAAAATGCATGATCTTAGGTAAGTTAACTTCTTTGCACTTCAGCTTCCTAATATGGAAATGGGTAATAATAGAACTTATCTCTTGGGATGGCTGCACTGATCAAATGCATTTATACATGAAAAAACACCGAGAACATTTCCTGACATACAGGAAGCAGAACCTGAAGCAAAGGTTTATGTGCCAATTATTTTTACGTCGCCTTTTTCCAGCCACAACATTTCTTCAAATAGAAGCCAATGTTCTTGGTTGCATGGCTATTTCTCCTTTATCTACATATGTTGAGCACAGATCATGAGCCAGACACCATGCTGTATACCAGAGATTTAGATAAAGAGCATAATCCTTCTTTTAAATACAGTTATAGCCTTGTGAAAGAGGCAGAAAATAAAAACAATAGATACAGAGTAATAATACTGACACGGCATTCACGACACTATGGAGATAGAAAACAGTCACCTGAAATGAGAGGCTTAAAAACTCATTTGAGATGAAACTGTAGCTTAGGTAAAATTTGAAGGGCACACAGTAGTTAACTGGAATAAGTAAAGTATTGGGACAATTTCAGAGAAAAAAAACAATGAATATACAACATATGGGTGACATGGAAGGGAAGAGTACATTCAAGTATTACAAGAAGCTCCTTTATATGTGGAAAGCTCAAAGTGGGGAGAAGGATAGATGCATATAAAAAGTAGTAAGGGAAGACTTTCAGAAAAAAATCAGTAAGGGATGGTAGAATGAACTGGAGGGAGCGATACAGGAGGTTGATTGAGTAGTCAGATCAAAAAAATGGCCAGAGCTCAGCAAGTGGCAGAAGTGGTAGAGATGAGAGGATGGAACTCAATTGAATTTTATGAAAGAGCAATATAAACATAAACAGGTAAATAGACGATTGATAGAGATAGACATTACAAATCTATATGTATGTATGTACACATAGACATATAGCTATGTATGGTGACTTATGGGCTGGTAGGTTGAGAGAGAATTATACACCATTCTCAGATCTTGGCTCAGAAAAGGTGGTGGAAGGGTGGTAGCAATAATCAAGGTAAGGCACATCAGAAGAGGAGTCATTAGGAATGTAGTTTGGGTGGCATATGATGATTTCAGCTTTAAATATGTTGAATTTGAGAAGTCTGTGTGACAACAAAGAGCAAATATGCAGAGTCCCGAAGCAGAGCAGGGAAGCAGTTTCACTGTCTCTGGAGGGAGAGAGGAGAAAAGAAGAGAGTATTTGAAAAGAAGAATAGTATCAGAGGCTTTGAAGATTTGTTCTTTTGAAAATCTTATATACACTAATATATAACCAAATATAAATAATTCTAGTTGTTTAAATTCTTCGACCTTGCATATTCAGCTAAGAAAATAAGAAAAAGTTACTTTGTTTGTATTAATCTTTTCTAGTATTCCACAGGGTCAGGAAAGGGTACAACTTCAAAATGTCAATAAACAATTATCTGAATCACCCACCAAGAGCAGAAACAATAAGAGCAGTTGACAGTTTCCATATATCTGGGGCATATTAAAGATACAAGTTAATACTAGATATCACAAATGATAAATATATGACTAGTTAAAATAATCTGAGATAGAGAATGTTCTAGTAGAAAGTACATAGATTCTTTAGGAAAGGTCACTTAGGAAGTGATATTTAAGCCAAAATCTGGAAAATGATGAAGAACCAACCACACAAAGGCAAGGGAATGTTGCATACACAGAATAGTGTTATGTAGACTAGAGAACCAAAACATATCTAAGAAACACACTATTTTATGGAAATTATTCCCTCCAAAAGGAAATGCTTAGAAACCAAATGATTTCAGTAGCATGGCTTCTAGGAACTGAAGCCAAGTACTCAAATATAAAATTCAGCTTCTTAATCACATTCAAGAATTGAATGCTTGGGCAAAAGACCAATCTAGAACTAAATTCCCAGACTTTGGTTAATTATGAAAATGTCAAAGTTGCACAGACTATGGTATAAAATTATACATGGACTTCATTAGACTAACTTATGGTTTCCATTAGCTACTGAAATGTCTCAATAGTATGGGAAAACACAAATGAAATATATTTTAAGACATTCATTTTCATATCCCAAAGTATATGTCATGAAGTTCACTTAGTCTGCATTAAAAACAGAGGATTATTATCAAATGAAAATAACATGCTATGACCTATATAAATTCTGACTCGTACATGAGCAGTATAAAAAAATTAAATAAATCTATCAAGCCACAAGTTCATGGCAGACAAATTTGGCTGTTTGAATATGTGAAGTTTCAGTACTGACATTTTCTTTGGCAGGGATGGGATCAGTTTTAAAATAAATACCAGTAAACAGCCTTCCCCATTAATTACATGTGTAACCACCAGCTGTTGGTCCAAATTAAAGTCTATTTTCTTTTAGTTTTCTACACCCCAATCCCATAATCATCAAAATAACTGGAAAAATTGAAGGAAGATAACAGTAGTAAAACACTCGTATATATCAACATACTCCAAACAGTAGTGCAGTATAACATACATGCTTTTAACACCTACTCCACATCTAGTTATAGTTTCAACTGGTAGCTGTTACATTAAAATGTTCATAATACAGTACCTGCACATTGTGGGTGTTTGTTAAATGGAATATTAAGATGAAAAACACACAATTGTAGCCCTTAAGGAGTTTTCTCTTCAGTAAGCTTTATTTTAAGTTTCTGGAGCCAATTCTTATAAATGTAACAAAAGCTGGTAAAGTCTCTTCCAGAATAAAATAGCTCATTAGTGATCACAGACATTTTAAGAAACAAATTCAGTAAATTTACAGATACTGGCCAGGTGGCTGAAACATTAAAAATATCAGATTAAATTATTAAGAAATCTGAAGTTTAGAGAAAAGCAGGGTGGAAAGTCATTGTAAAAACAGGAGAGGTAAACATTAATCTGTGCCTTAGTCTCTCCCAGTGAAAGATGAGCTGCAATATATATGATTATTTGTATTATAGAAATAGCTTGACCTCCACACACACACAAGTATCAACCCCACCTATCAAGACTAGTTTTAGATTTTTAAAATGTATTTTATTACATTTTTTGCTTAAAAATGACTTTCATGACCTAGAATAGTGTTAGATCAGATTTTTGTCATTCAATCTCACAAATTCTCTATCATCTTCAGAGTACTCCTCTGTCAAGCCTTTCCCTGACAATTTCCCAGCAGCCTTTTCTCCTTTCGTCATTCACAACTACTTACATTTATGGCTTTAGCTAGCACTTGCTTAAAGCCTAATACGTATCAGACCCTGTTCTTTACATATATTGATTTACATATACATAAATCATATATTGATTCATTTTGTTTTCATTTAGATCGTAAAAGGCAGATGCATTATTATTATCCTCATTTTATAGATGGGGAAACTGAGACAAAAGTAGTTTAGGTAAATGCTCCAAAAGTACCCATTACAGTGAGTGGTGAAAGAGGAGTTTGAACCAAGACAAATGGCTCCTGAGTCTATGTTGTTAATTACTACTCCACTCTAATGTTTCCTTCTGACCTTTGTATTTGGTATATTGTACAGCAATATTGTCTTTACATCTTTATCTCCTCTTTTACACTGGGAGTTCATAACAAACTTCATAACCAAAAATTTTACTTTTTTTATCCTTGTGTCTTCAGAACCAATTATGCTATCTGGTACCTTGTAGATATGCAGAAATATGTGTTGAATATATGAATTTATAATTTAGACTGGAAGGCACTTCCTTGTCAAAAGAACATAGATTTTAAGATTTCCATAGAGAAGTGAAATTTACCAATATGATAATACTACAAGACAAATTATTGCTCTTGAAATTTTCAAAATTTCTATCATATGCAGTGGTGATTTACTGATGGTCAACTTTCTGTAAAAATAATAAAATGTAGCAGAAGAAAAAAGTCCATTTCTCAGATAAGCATTTTTTTCTGTTCTTTCAAAAATTTGATAATAATTTTTTGGGTTATATTTTTAATCTGGCACCAACTCTAACTTTTTTTTTTTAATTATATTTTAAGTTCTGGGATACATGCGCAGAATGTGCAGGTTTGTTACATAGGTATACGCGTACCATGGTGGTTTGTTGCACCCATCAACCCGTAACCTACATTAGGTATTTCTCCTAATGCTATCCCTCTCCTAGCCCCTGCAACCCCTGACAGGTCCTGCTGTATGATGTTCCCCTCCCTGTGTCCATGTGTTTTTATCGTTCAACTTCCACTTATGAGTGAGAACATGCAGTGTTTGGTTTTTTGTTCCTGTGTTAGTTTGCTGAGAGTGATGGTTTCCAGCTTCATCCATGTCCTTGCAAAGGACATGAACTCATCCTTTTTTATGGCTGCATAGTATTCCATGGTGTATATGTGCCACATTTACTTTATCCAGTCTATCATTGATGGGCATTTGGGTTGGTTCCATGACTTTGCTATTGTGAACAGTGCTGCAATAAACATACTTGTGGATGTGTCTTTATAGTAGAATGTTTTATAATCCTTTGGGTATATACCCAGTAATGGGATTGCTGGGTCAAATGGTATTTCTGATTCTAGATCCTTGAGGAATAGCCACACTGTCTTCCACAATGGTTGAGCTAATTTAGACTCCCACCAACAGTGTAAAAGTGTTCCTATTTCTCCATATCCTCTCCAGCATGTGTTGTTTCCTGAGTTTTGAATGATCGCCATTCTAACTGCCGTGAGATGGTATCTCGTTATGGTTTTGATTTGCATTTCTCTAATGACCAGTGATGATGAGTTTTTTTTCATGCTTGTTGGCCACAGATTTTTAATTTTTTTCCCCCTCTTAAGTTCACCATCAGTCTTAATTCTGCTCAGGAAAAGCCACTCTGTTTCCAACTACTACAAACCAGCCATTGTTCTTTTCTCAGCAGGTTACAGCTGGCATTTTGTTGCTTTCAGCTGTAATGTAGCTTTTTCATACCCAAACTAGTTGTTCTCACTTGCTTAATCATAGGCTATCTGCTTGGTTTTTCAGCATCATTTATGTCTTATGTATAAAATCTTCAGATGAACTGTGTATCTTCTCAATTCACAATTTATTATGTGAGAATGTTTAGAAAAAAGCAGCAGAAAATGAGCCAGAGAGGGTAGCATGAGTGCTGTGTCATGTGACATTAGATTCTGCTCCGCATTAAATGAGCATCAAGTGTCCACAAAACTAACCACAATGTTTCCCTTATAGTTTTCCAGATACAGTTTCTTTCTCAACAAATAAATAATTCTGTAAGCATTTTTCCACACAAAATGTGTTTGGTGACTGCTTAGTTTTTCTCAACATTCTTTCTTTCTTTTTGGCTCTTCTGTCTCTGCTGGCTGAATCAAGGATAAATAATTCAATTAAGTGAATGTGCTCTTATCTACACTGAAGATTCTGAAGATCTCCAAGTACACAGTATTGCTTTTTAGGGTCAGTCAATGAGAGACAGGAGGCTTGAGCTGAGGCTACATCACCAAATCATAGTTAGTCAAATTTGTAATGAGGCTTTAGGGTGCACGTTGAACATTTGGTTGAGAAAAGATTTTATAGTGAGTCCATAGTTCACAAAGCCTGGAGGAATTCCTAGAAAGTGGAACTATAGAATGAAGTCAATGCAATGAAAATTTGTTTCCATTGATTTTTTAGTTACTAAAATAATACATGATCTTTGTAAACCATTTAGGAAATATGAAGAAGTACAAAAGAGTAAATGAAGATAAACCATAATTCATAATTGTACTACACCCAAGTCACCACTGTTAATATGTTAATATATATTTTCAAATAATTTTATGCACATATAAATAATACATGTATAACTTTATTATTTATTTTGTTCACTTAATATTACGAACAATTTCCTAAAGCATTAAATATTCTTCTAAAAATATTTAGGTAGCTACAAAATATTTTGTCATACAGGTTAGCTGTATACTATAATAACCAAACTCCATTTTTGTGTATATTTGGTTTATTTGGCCAACCCCAATTTTTGAACATATTTTAAAATAACCACCATGATTTTTTAAATCAAATGGCTCTAATGTCCTGCCTCCATGTCCTAGCTCTCCCCATTGATTTTTTTGTTGTTGTTGTCGTTTAATATTTTAGACCCGGGAAAAGTGTGAACACAGTCCCCTGCCACAACAAACTAAGCAGTCAAGCTTCCCCATTGGGCGGAAATCGTAGGGGTCAGCACATCCAGAGTGCAGTGAATAAATCTTGCCTTGGGAAAACCACCTTCGTGATCATGCTATCTCCCCTGCCAAGTCTCCCCATTGAATTCGGCAACAAGTGCAGTAGATATTTTTGTGTGGGTTTCAACTCACTGTAAGCTGACAGTATCTCTCCTAAAACAGATTTCTTTCCCTCACTCTGTGGCCAAGAATGCCCAAGAATTGGCACTAATTAATGCATATTGTAGCAGGAGTGGAGTGGGGGTGGATAACATAGGTAACCCCTGCAGAGTAGCCCTCAGCCAATGAGATATAAGCCTTCACGGAGGAATGCATCTCTCAGTTGATCCTCCAGAGAAAAACTTAGAGGCATTCTATAGGCTTTTGAGATGTCAGGTGAAGCCAAGCCCCAGTTGCCCTCTTTAGTGACCTTGACAATAGACATTATTATAGCTTTTTCTCCTTCCCTTAATCTCTCCTATCCTTCATTCCAGCAGCCTGATATCACTACACTATTACAAGTCCTTGTTTCAGGCTCTGCCTGGAGTGGTGGGAAGATCTAAGCAGTTCAAATAGTGTCCTTTCTGTAATTCTTCGTGGATATTATAAGTTATTTCCATTAGACTGATTGCTAGAAGTAGAACTGTTGAGATGAAAGCCGTGAACAAAATTTAAATCAAGTATTTTGATACATAATACACACTGGTAAATTTTAATTAAACAGAATACCCATTTCCTAATTACCATGTTTCTCTTCAAATAATTTATCTTTATTTCTAATTTTTAAAAAAACTTTAAATTATTTTTTAAATAATTTATGTTTTATTTTAGATCAGGGGTACGTGTGCAGGTTTGTTACATGGGTGAATCGTGTGATGCTGAGGGTTTTTTATATGAATGATCCCATCACCCAGGTAATGAAAATAGTATCCAACTGTCAGTTGGATACTATTCCCTTCTCCCCCATGTCTAGTAGTCCCCAGTGTCTGTTATTGCCATCTTTATGTCCATGATAACCAATGTTTAGCTCCCACTGATAAGTGAGAACATGTGGTATTTGTTTTTCTGTTCTTGCATTAATTTACTTAGGATAATGGCCTCCAGTTACATTCATGTTGTTGCAAAGGAAATGATTTTGTTCTTTTTTATGGCTGCATAGTATTCCACAGTGTATATTTATGACATTTTCTTTATCCAGTCCACCTTTGATGGGCACCTAGGTTGATTCCATGTCTTTGCTATTGTGAATAGTGCTGTAATAAACATATGAGTGTATGTGTCTTTTGGGTAGGATGATTTATTTTCTTCTGGATATATACCCAGTAATGAAATTGCTGTGTCAAATGGTAGTTTCATTTTAAGTTCTTTGAGAAACCTCCAAATTGCTTTACACAGTGACTGAACTAATTTATATTCCCAACAACAGTGCATAAGTGTTGCCTTTTACCCATGACCTCACAAGCATCTGTTGTTTTTGACTTTTTAATAATAGCCATTCTGACTGGTATGAGATGGTATCTCTTTATGGTTTTGATTTATGCTTCTCTGATGATCAGTGATGTTGAGCATTTCTCATGTTTGTGAGCTGTTTGTATCTAGTCTTCATTACTGGGATGCAAAGTTTGTTCAACATAGAGTAATCAATAACTATGATTCACCACCTAAACAGAACTAAAAACATATACCATATAATTATCTCAATAGATGCAAAAGAAGCCTTCTATAAAATCTAACATCTTTTCATGATAAAACCCTCAAGAAACTAGGCTTCAAAGGAAACACCTCAAAATAATAAGACCCATCTATGAAAAACCCACAGCCAACATCATAACAAATGGGAAAAGCTGTAAGCATTCTCTCGAAGAACTGGAACAACACAAGAATGCCCACTCTCACCACTCCTATTCAACATAGTCCTGGAAGTCCTAGCCAGAGCAATCAGACAAGAAAAAGAAATAAAAGGCATCCAAATGGGAAAAGAAGTTACACTGCCTCTCTTTGCTGACCATATGACTCTATTCCTAGAAAACTCCAAGGACTCCACCAAAAGGCTCCTGGAACTTAAAAATGACTTCAGTAAAGTTTCAGCATACAAAATCAATGTGCAAAAATCAGTAGCATTTCTATATATCAATAATGTTCATGTTGACAGCCAAATGAAGAACACAATCCCATTTACAATAGTCACAAAAAAAGATAAAATACCTAGGAATACTTTTAACCAAGGAGGTGAAAGATCTCTACAAGGAAAACAATGAAACATTGCTGAAAGAAATCACAGATGACACAAACAAATGGAAAAACATTCTCTACTCATGGATTGAAAGAGTCAATATCATTAAAATAGCCATAGTATTGAAAGTAATCTACAAATTCTATGTTATTACTATCACACCAATGTCATTTTTCACAGGATTAGAAAAAACTATCCTAAAACTCATATAAAACCAAAACAGAGCCCAAATAGCCAATGCAATTATAAGCAAAATAAACAAAGCTGGCACTTCAAACTATACTACAAAGATACAGTAACCAAAATAGAATGGGCCTGGCACAAAAACAGACACATAGACTATATTTCTTTAAATAACTACCTATATAGGTGCTTCGTTTACCTGTGGAGGCCTACCCTAATCATCCCTTAGACAGCTCAAATGCAATACCGTAATTTTTAATCCAATTTCTCTGGCTCACATTCAGTAGTTCTGTAATAACTCACATATACTAACACTCAAAATATATTAGTTGAAGAAATAAAAAGAATTAACAAGGCATAATTTGAAGCACTTTAAAGTTTTTATAAAATAACCATCTTGTCACTTTAGTCAACTGATATCTTCCTGCTTAATTTAATAAGTAGGTTTAGCTATCTGTTTAACTCTTCTCTGGGTTCTCACCAACTCTTTTACCATTTGTTTTTTCTTTCTAATACAAACCAGTGGAAGATTTTAGTTTTTTATCACTTCATTTGCTCACTTTCTTTAAAACTTTTTAAATAAAATTATCAACTTATGAACACTGACATATATCGTTTCAATGACCATCATAATATGTTTTAAATATCTCATTATCTATTAATTACTATATTCTTTTGTGAGGAAATAATCATACAACTATGCAAATAGGCTTCAATGTGACTTTTGAATGATGGAATTAATCAGGAATATCTGGAAGCCCCATCTCAGGGCCAGAGTTAAGCTGTTATTAACATACCTGACAATGAGTAGAATAGCACTTGGAACTAGAGGATGAGCTTAGAAAAGAGAACTCATTTCATAATTATTTG